>NC_000023.11:22137488-23387488 GCF_000001405.40 Homo sapiens | reverse complement strand
TTTTATATCTGAATGTGTTGTTAACTCTCAGACTTTGGAGCAAATGAAGGGAAAAAGAAGCACACATGATAAATAACACTAATGGCGGAAAAAAAAATTCAACTGGCTAATCCTCCCATCACTGAGGGTGACTATCAAGCACCCTCAGAGATTAATTCTGTCACCCAGAACTTTCTGGGGCCTGACCAAAGCCTTCAGGGTTGTTTATAATCCGGTAAGACAGAATCTACTAACAAATAGTTGAGAGTTAACCTTTCTTTACCCAGTAGATATACTTCTGGAAAGTTGCTCATAAAGTGAATAATATTTTAAATGTATTTAGTGGTTTTGCTATTGGAGACAGTCTGGGTGATTTTTTTGTTGTTGTTTGGTTTTCAATGAATAATCGTAGGCAAATTGATCTACTTTGTATAATACTTCTGGATTTTGTAAGTCAGATTTTTCTTCAGTCCCAGATTTTCGCGCCTGTCCCAGTATACATAGCCACAACACAGCAGCTGAGAGATGCCGCTGGGTGCTACTCACATTTTAAACCTCTCCACACTAGCAGGATTTCCTCATCCTGAGTTCCTCAAAGTAAGGAATGGCTAAGAAGGAGGAAATGGGATGGCTTGCTGATTGATGGATGATCTTTCAGTTTCAGTGTGAAAACATTTAATATCATGAGTCAATGAAGCTGTTTATAGCATGCCTGGGCAGTGCCAAATTTCATATATGGAAATAAAATTACTACATTCGTCTCAAAAATTCAGAGACTATAATCCATAAGCAAAATCTGCTTAAAGCCTATTTTATTCTTAGAAAAGCTTCACTAAGTAGCTCATGTTTATAAGATGCCTGTTTTTCAATGTCATCCACATAAATTCATGATTTTTGTGTTTTTGAGAAGAAATTTAAAGTGTATATATGTCTGGGTTGAGTAACATCTATTTTCAGGGAGAAGTTTATTAATTGGGTTACATTTACACTTTGCCAGTTATAAACATTTACTTTACAAGCTGAATTGTTTGGTTTATTGCAGCCTGTTTTGTCTCAGAGTTAAGAGTAAGAATAAAGGTGTACTCTGTTTAAGTAAAGACAGATGCTCACATCAGGGGGAACACACACATCTTATTCTTTGTACTAGAGACTTGTCACATTTTGAAAATTCTAACCAGAGCATTGGGTTTTAGTCTTAGGAATGATTTTTCTTCACTAGATAGCTGTAAAAGAGAGCCCTAGAAATGAATTTGCTTATAGCTCTTCCTTGTTTAAAGTATTTAGATATTGTGTGTATGTACATTATATAAGACCAGTGTGTATAAGTATAAATGTGGCCCATAATATATGCTATGGTCATTGCTTAATTTCTTTTCGTATAGAATACAAATGTGATATATAAACATATGTATATATGGCATATCCTATTCAAATATATTTTATATATTTACATACAAAATGTTGGACTCCTATATACCAGATAGTATACACAGAGAATAGCTTCTATTTAAATATTCAAGCAATATATATTACATAATATATGTTATAAACACATTGTATACATATAAATACATAACATGAGCTTACTACATATCATATTGCATATGATATATAATACAGCTAATGTGATATATAATATATATTATGCACATAGGCTATAAAGACACACATACACACAAGATGAATAGTAGGCTGATGTGAAATTTATTTTACTGATGAGGCAAAATAATGTTAGTGTTGCTACACCAATCAGTGTAGAGAAGGGGCTATAGAATCCCTCTGTTGGGCTCCATCTGTCTATATTTTGGTTCTTGAGTAATAAAGTAGCCTTGGTGAAATGCAGGGTTTCCTTGACAATAACTGTGAACCTGTTTCGGTTGTGAGCTTCTGTATATCCATCTGGTCAAGACTGCCCAGCTGTGACTTTCTGAGAGTTTAGTCCAAATGTAGATACTAGGTATTTCTCCCCAGGGTCTATGTTTAGTTCAGTGTCCTGATGTTGCCTCTTGCTGCCCAACCTTTACAGGGTCTGTCACTCCCTCATTCCCTGGGCACGACCGGGTAGACAGACCACCCAGGGGATATCTGGGAATCCTGGGTCAAAGACAAAGCCCCTTTGTATTCCTCTGACTGAGTTCTGCTTTCCTGGACTTGTGCCCCCAAGTCCTGTTCCTGTCTTACTTTATGGTTAAAAATAGAACAATAAAACTTGTTTTGTTCCATTCCCCTAAACCTATTTATTTCCACCTACTCTCACCCTAATATGATTGGTGGAGCATAAGAATAAAAGGGCAAGAACGAATTACAAGCCTAAATTACATAATCTCCTTGTAAATTAGTCCCATAATGACCATGGACCATTACAAAAAACGATATTCGAGAGACAAACTTTGGAAATACTGTAAAATAAATGATCTCTTTTAAAAAAATAGATGTACACAAAAATGTGAACAACAAAACCCTCATAAATCAGTTGTTTTCTCTAGAACATGCTGAACCTATTACTGATTTATATCTAAGCAAAGTCTTTCCATAGCATTCTAATATACTTCTACTCCATCAGGCAAAATTGTCATATTGTTGCAAATAATGGATTTCTACAATAATGTGTTAGGCTGAACCACACAAAATTACCATTTTTGTAGCTCAAAAATGACCAGATAATGGTACCAAGTTTGTAGGCCAAAAATGGTTGGATATTTGCAATTTCATATGGTTTAAATTTTATTATTATCTGACTGATTTTTCCCTCATTTTCTCATGACTTTTGAAATGTATCAGAATACTCATCAGGAAAGCAAATTCTTTCAGGTTTGCTTAAGTTTAGAGAAAAAATAAGAATTTCAATGTTTCAGTTGGAACTAAATGTTTTGCATGAGAATTTTTTTTCCTTCCCTTTTTATGAGCTCCATATACTGCATTATATTTCAAGTGGCATCATATGAGAGCAAATTCTTGGAGAATGGAACCCAATCTTCTGGTTTCTGCTACATATGAATAATGTTAAAATGCACAGCTAAAAGAAGCCAAACTTCCCTGCTATTATTCTTTTCCTAGCACTAATCCGCAAATTAGAAATAATCCACTAATTCTTTCTTCCTTTCACGTCCTTGAATCTGAGTGGCCTGGTTGGATAATTCAAAAGGAAGAGAACACCCTGGATCTGACATCTGACCTCAAAATCCCAAACATTTGAAAAAGGGCTTAAAGAGTATTTTTTATCTCATAAATCTCTGGGGCTCTTGTATCTTGATAAATGCAAAGCAACCTTTATAAACTAGATTGCATGTAGAAACTAATATCCGAACTCTTTCACTACGACTTCAATTCTCCTTTTTAGCTGTACAGGATGTACATGAAGCAACAAACCTTCCAGATGCAGAAGGGAGAAAACTTTCTTTTGGTTCCCTTCTACATCATCTAACATTCTATCCCTTTCCTGATTTGTATCTGATCAGCAAAGCTGTTGAAACATTAAGCCTGTAAGGAGAGCTTGCACACAGAAAACCTATGCTAATTTTAAAAATCATACCCAACTGGAGAATAATGGTGTAAATCTTCATCCTTTAAAGGAAATTCCATCACAGATTAAAATAATTAGCATCATATATTCACAAGTAGCAATTCAAGTAACTCACTACTTGATATCAATATATTTGGAAAGGGTTATTATTTTATGCACGATAAGGGTATAGACCAAATAAACTCTTCTCCAAATTAGAGTAACTAAAAAATGTCGATGAACATTTATAACGCTGTAGACCTTTTAGGATTTCAGCTCTAAATAAACTGATATGACTCATCTGGACAGAGGTTTTGGCAGAAGTGGGATTGTCTAGTATGCACAACACTGATTAAAAACATTCTAAATCATGATGTATCTATGCTTACATCATTGCCAAAATGATTCATCTGTGTAGGATATATTCTTATTGCCAGAACTGTCACATATCATCTTGGCTAGAAACACACAGTCACATCCCATTATGGTGAACTCTTAAGAGTTTATCCAAATTCTTTCCTCTTCTGGAATTTTGTCAGGTTAATACTGCTTGACACATGTGATCTTAAAATTTTCCATTCTAAATCTAGTGTCATTTTGGCATTTGGCTGGATTTGGCCTATGTGACCAGAATCACACTGACAATGTTCAGTTTGTTGAATTTTAAATCTATAATGTTTATCACAGTATAGACCTATTGATAGCCAAGGAAATGTCCATGTTTGAGACTTTTTCTAAGATACTTTACCTTTTAAATGAGGCTATATACTTTTTGATTTGATATTGTATTTATATAACATACTAAATCAAGTTTTGCTTAAATCTGCTTAGGTTAAGCATAGCCATTTTAAGTTATACACAGGAAAATTTAAACACTGGACAGTTTACTGTAGTGCCAAAACTCTTAGCACTGCATTTCTTCTTGGTCATTTGAAATATTTACTGGCATTTTAGGACTGGTCATCCAAAAACCCCAGAATTAAACGATGGCCTTGAATGCAACATTTATGAAGCTGTTCTTGCTTATATTTCATTTTATAAACTCTTAAAAATGAAGAGTTTATCTGAGAAATACAGGAGGGCGACCATCCTAAATCCAGGCACTGTTAGCTTTATGAGCATATTAAGCACCCATTACATCGTGCAAAGTGTTTATTGTAAATGGGCCTTAGCTATTAAAACATGTAGCTTCCTTTCATGTTATGACTAAGTAATTTGAGAACTCTTTGGGCTGAGAATGTACAGAAAGGTTGCACACTGATTGTCAGCAGGGAAAACTGCCATCAAATCAATGCACGTAACATTCCTCAGAAATTGCAAACAAGGGCTTATTGGGCACCTGTGGTGCGTGGTCTCTTTCGCTGCAAATGCTAGATTTTTTCTGAATTGAACTGTGATGTAAAGTTCAGTGATACTCAGTCTTTGTGGATCTGTGGCATTACTATTTCTGGATTTGTTTTTTAAAGACATTTCCCTGCTAACAGCATCTTTCCATCCTACCATCTCTTACATCCTTCCCTGCACCAATACTATCTGCCATGGTCTGTTTTGTGTTGACTTTGCCTTACAATATTTAAAACCTCTTTAAAAAGTACAAAAAAGTAAGTTTTAAGAAATTTAAAATATTGCAGTTTACTTTATAAAACTAACTTTAAGAAGTTTTGAATATTACAATTTCATTTTTTAGTGAAACGAAGTTTTGAATACTGCTATTTTAGTTTACTTAAAATTAATTTGAAGAAACTTTAAATATTATAATTTTATTTTACTTAGTAAATTAACTTTTCACAAGTTTTAAATATTCTAACATGCTTTGAGCTCACTGGTAACAACCTGGAATGTCATAAAATCAGCACTGATTGTCCTTTTTCTAGCTCCGGCGTCCTTTTGCCTCACCTTGAGAACCTTACGATCTCCCTTCAGTTCCCCACTCTTTTCTTATTCCTATTTCTCTTCCTCCCACAAAAGCAGCAAGAAAATGAAAAGCTAAAAAATGAAACGAAACGAAAACCCTTCCCGTAACCCCCAAAACATTCAAGATTGTGACTAATCATGAGCAAAACATCTTAATTTCAACCTTGATACAAGCCTCTGTGGAAGCTACTAATACTCAGTCCTACTCACTCTTCAAGGAACCACTCTGTATTCCACAGTCAACCCACACGGTCTTGGGGTGATTTTAAAGCGGCAGGTTATGCTGCTTTCTTAATAGACCGAATTCAGGAGGAGGTACGGCAGCCTTCTTCTCTGTTGTTTTCAGCAGTGACAAGTACATTATCAAATTATCAGGCTGCTCGGTCTCCTTACAGTGCCCAGCTCTTCACAAAAGCTACTAGTATATGTTTATTGACTAGGTTTCAATTCCTCGGGCCACAGAGAATCGAGGGCAGAATGTAATTCTGTGGCTTTGCAGCCCCACCAGCCCCGCTTATCGTGTGCTCACAACACAGCGGAGATTTCCTGAGGAAATTCTCTTCCACTACTCTAAAACAGGGCATAAGGCACGCTAATGACCTCAACAGTGGTTATTTCTTAGTTAACCAAAAAATGCCACTTCATTTGTCATGTGAGTATCTGATTCCAAATGACATTTTAATTTTGTTAAAGGAATTGATGAGAAGCTACCATAGAAAAGGGGGAAAGTGAACCTCTTGAATCCTTGGCCCGCAAGAACCCTGCCATCAGGCTTGCTGGGCATGCCATTTTCGATAACAGATGGACAGGGCAACCGATGTTATGGCCACTATGGCTTTGTTTTGACCATTAATCTCTATCAGGGAGTTCCAGCAGCCCCCTGAGTGGACACACTGGAAGCACGCTGTCACCATCAGCATCGCTTTAAAATATTCTCCTGAGTTCATAGTAAGAATAGGAAAAAAAGTTACTTCCTACTGGTATCTCACATGTCACTTTCAAAGTTCTTATACATTTATCATGTCCTTTTGTGTGATGCTCACATCCACTCTATTCATAAGGTGGGGAAACTGAGAGTAGCAGGCGCTCTCAGTGCCAACCCAACATGCCCTCCCATTCCCCATTCTTGAGCTTGCTGAAGGCTTATAACTACAAAGTCACCTGAAGGATTTCTCTGGCTGCAGGAGTGTGCTGCAGGAGCACCTCCCTGGGAAGTGCTGGCAGTTAACTGGCCTGGGGAGCAGCCCTCAATGAATCACAAAGGGTCTGTGGGAAAATAGCCCAAATTCCTCACCCCGGGGGAGGACCTCTCTGAGGTGTGTTTCACAAGGTCTCCCAAAGGTCCCCTGTGGGGCTGAACCACAGGTGCCCACAGCAACCGGCAGAATGTGATATATCTTGGGCTCATTAACATACCTTCAACTGCCTGCCTTCAACTGAAGTGCCTTCAACTTCCACTTCCTCACTCCCATACTGGTGCTTCCTGGGCTCACCTCCCAAATACACTACTTGTATCCAAATCTTTTTCTCAGGGCCCTGCTTATGGGGAAGCCCAACCTAAGACACTGGGACAAGGAGAAGATTAATACCTGCTAGACACCACATGGCTGCTCAATGGAGAGTCAGCGCTAGAACCCAGGACTTTGAACTTCTGGCACATTTACCAGATTAGGTTGTTTTTTGCTGATTACCAGCACTTTATAGAGTGGGTCCCAGGACTTTTGGGCAAAATGAAGATACTGTTAAATGAAACAAAGTTGTTAGAAGGCTACTCCTGGCCTTTTAGGAACCTAGTCAACACCACCAGCAGGCGGAAACAGAAGAAAGAAGAGTAGTAATTACCTAGCATGACGAAAGGGACTCCCAGGAAGGTGGAATTATATTTCCCACCAGTAAGATTGATGATCCCGGCTGCAGTGAGAGTGGCCAGGCTTATGGTCACCAATCCGAGCAGGCCTAGCCAGGGTTTGCTGCGGACGCAGTCCTGCATAGAGCAACACAGGATGGCCATGGTAACCACCAGAATCAGGCTGGTGACCAGGTAACGTTCTGATACGCGGCTGGTCTTCTGGAAATCTTCCCTCAGTGAGGAGGACGTGTAAGGGTACATTTTGACTTTGCTGTTGGATTTCTGAAACAGTCTGACAGTGTCGCAGAAGCTGGACTCCCACCTCTCAGCCACCATGTCATTGAGACTGTTGATTGACTGCAGGTAGTAGGTGAGCTGGATGGCCTCTGCAGATTTCACCCGGTCTTTGCTGTGCACAGTGACGCCCCCAAGCTGGTGCCCATTGTACACAGCCCTCCCGTCCTTTAAGTGAGTGATTGGGTATGTGATAGCAAAATTGGTCCGATTGGTGGCCCGAGCATTCTTTAGCTCTTCCAGGACGTGCACTATGTCATCCACGATGCAAGTCTTATCATTATTCAGGATACATATATGGGCAAACGTGTAATTAAAACCAGGCCTTGGAACCTGGATCTTGGTGACAGCAGCATGCAACTGTGGGGGAAAAAAATGACAGCATTTATTAATCAAATATTTCTATTTTTATTTTTTGGAGAGGGTGGACATTCCGTCTCTAAGCTAAACAGTTCAAATCAAATGTTATAAACCTAGATCAGAAATAGGTAGTAGGAATGTGAAACACACATTTGACCAGTGGTTCTCGCAATGTGGCCCCTAGAACAGCAGCAGCAGCATAACCTGGGAGCTTGTCAGAAATGAAAATTCTTAGGCACCATCCCAGACCTGGTAAATCAGAATTTCTGGGGTGTAGCCCAGGAATCTGGGTTTTCGCAAGCCCTCTTAAGAATTCTGATGCAGCTGACATTTGAGAAATGCTGCATTAAAGTACCAGTATTCTTTCCACGTGTTCTTTATTTGTGACCCAATTGGTCTATACTGTTGGGAAGTCTTATATAGGTCCCCTGTTCAGTGTCCCTGTTGAAAATGTAACATAGAAAGTGAACTAAGGTGCAATTCCAAATGCAGAGATCCTCTGCTGGCTCGTCCTTTAATGCCGATTTGCAGGGCAACTAAATGATCTCTTCATCCAATTAAGTCTCTCTCTACCATATAAGACAAGAGGTTTACCTTGAGGGTCCTTGTTGTCTCTGGCTTTCCTTGCCTACATGTATGGGAAGGGAGCTATAACTGTAAGAGCCTGGCTGGGATATATGGGAATCATGCTAAAGGAGAACAATGGGATTTATTCTACACACCTTGCTCTATACCGAATTTGCTGTGCCCAGGTACTGAATGCTTGTCATCAAAATATGCAGGAGAATACACGCACTAATTTAACTGCCCCTACTACATGCCAGGCACAATTCTAGGCTCCTTATACAGATAAACTCATTTAATCCTTGCAGCAAATTACAAAGTAGGTTCAAGTACTAGCTTCATTTTACAGATGAGGCAATACAGAGAAGCCAAGTCACTTGCCCAATGTCACACACATAGTAAGAGGCAGAGCTGGGCTATACCAGGCAGTCTGGCTCCAGAACCTGTGCTCTTGGCCCCTCACCATACACCTCTAGCCATCTGAATACCTAAGGTTCTTGTTAGCAACTAATTTCTGAATTTATGCTTTTACTGCCCCACTCCTAAAAGTCACAAATGCTCTATTTCAGATATGTACGAGTATGTGTAATCTACTGTCTAAGATAAGAAAACAAGGTAGTCGAGGGGTGTGGTGGGAGTAAGGGAGTTAAATGAGCTACTACCACGTGTCAGGGCTTCACACCTTAAATTCTCTCAACAAGTCACTTTACAGATAAGAAAACTGGGGCTCAGGGAGGCCATGTAGGTAGGAGGAATGGCGGGGCTCATCACTGTCTTTTTGAAAATGGCATATCATGTTACTGTTTCAGTGGTAGCTACACAGGTCCTTAGTTTAACTGTTTTGACTCACCAGTAGCTTATCCTCATGGTGGCTTTGCTTTCTCTGTATAAAATGTGGCCCGTGTGCAAAATGAGGCCAGTGACAGACATGTAGTTGAGTGTTAAGTAAACTAGTACATCTACGACTGTGCTTAGCACTGAGTGGACTCTCTCAAGAGTATAGATAGCCATTATGACATATCTGATGAATGAAGGACATTTCATCTGTAAAGAAGCTAGAATTTAACATGCACAGAGTTGTTATACTGTAGCTGTGCCACTACAACTCATTACCTTCTCCATGATCCTGATATATTTTCTCTCAAATCTGTGCTAAATAGACTATCTGTTAAGACATTTTGCTGCGCATGTGCCTGGATGAGTGGGATATTATGCTTTTAAAACAATGTCTGAGGGGCACTAGCTGTCAAAGTGCTTTCATTAGCACAGAGCATGAGTGGAGAATCCTAATTCTCAGTGGCCCCTTGCCCCCCATCTCTTCATGGGTACCAACCCACAGGATCAGAAAACATTTCATTGTATTATGTTTGGCTGAAATAATTTGAATTCCTTTATATAAATATGTAAACACACACACACACACACACACACACACACACACACACACACACCCCTAGGAGGCTATTTTCACAGCCTAATCATATGCTAAATGTTTGTTTTGATGCTTTGGGATTAATGGTGAGCAAAATGTCTTCCATGATTTTAAGCTGTGAAAGTGTGTTTTTATCAATTCTTCTCTAAGCATGGCCCAGTGAATTTTGATTAAAAGAACTCCTAGTTACAAAATATTTCAAATTATAAAAGGTTATTTTGGAAGAAAGAAGAACTTAGAGGAATTTAAAGACAAGAGAGAGTTTTGATAAGCACTGAAGAAAGACTTTGGGAAAAGATTCAGAATAGGCTAGAAAAGGAGTGGTATTGAAAGCATGCCTAAGTGTAATATTTAGTGCATTGTTTGTTCCCATGAGCAGTGTAATAAATCTCCCTTAAAGTGATTACTAAATATGTCAAGAGAAAAAGATTGCCAAATAAGATGGTGTTAAGCCACAGGGCTGAACCCAATTATAGCAAGGGGATATTTTCCATCCATTCTCTATGACGGCCATGCCCTTCTGGGTGGGGAGTTGTAAACTCTTTAGGGATCTTCCAACTGTGCAGATCTACTGCTATGACCCCAGGACCATACATCGAAGAAAACAGACACCATGTTAACCCGCGTACTACAAGACCATAGGAGGGAATCTTGGAAAATGAGAACCTTAATGAAGTTTGAGAGGGAAGGTTTCTTAACTCACTTCCAGAGCTGCTGTAAGATGCAACTGCCTTGACTTTCCGACAGAGTGGTGGGTAGAACATGTCACTCTTGCTTCTGAGTGGCAGAGTTCTGCAGAGTGACAAAGCAGCCAGAGAGAGGGTGTTGGCTGAGGCCACCCACCTAGCAGGGGGAATCTGTAGGATTCTACTGTGGAATAAGAGGTGAGAGGATAACAAGAGTTATAATAAGGAGTTGAGACTCCCTTCTGTGACTTCTGCAGTGGCTCAGTTCTGATCTTTGGTGCTTATGAATACACATAAGCACAGACACAATCCACTCTTGGAAATCCACATAGCCGTGGGCAGATATACTGCGCATGCTACCTGAACATCTACCTATACCGAGTTTTAGAGTGCCCTGATTTACTTTCCTAAAAGAACCCCACTCAAGGCAGTAGAAACATTAGTGGATGTTCTAAACTGTAGTACCAGATATATTCACAGAGGGAAAAGAAAGCCAGGGTTTGAAGCTATGCTTCAGATAATCCACAAAATGGACAACTGCGATCCATATAAGCTTGTTATTGAACTAGGTAAGAGACGCTCTTCTCAGAAAAGAAAACGAAGGAAAAAACGACACAAACTAATTGTCCTGACCCTTAATGTGGTCTAAGTCTGTGGTGTGAAATAACATATAATCCATGTTTCTATAACTATGTATAGATTCTAGATTATTCATTCAACACACATTCAACAGGTACTCATCAAATCTACTATGCTGTCAATAATAGGATAATTTTCCTGAATTTAGCGTGCTTGCACTCGCGCGTGGAAAAAATCTCATGAGATGCAGTGTCCAAAACAAAGGGAAACTCCTAACAGTAAACAACGCCAAGTGCTTTGTACTAGTAAAGCCCGAACCAGTGTCAATTTCAATAACAATATTTTTTATTGTTATTGTATTTGCTGCCAAAGAGGCCAAAACTGAATGTTAGATTGAGATTAGTTTTAAGGCTCTGAACACATCACGTAAATTATTAGCTTCTTTGCTCTCATCATTCTTCAGGTTAAGAATGATAATGATAATAGTAATTAGTTTTCTAAGTGCTTTCTATACAGTTGAAAAATGTATTTAAAACAGACTCTGTGGCAATGGTGATACTATTATCCTCATTTTATAGCTGTTGCAACTGAGGCCTAGAGACTTTCAATCACTTACCTGAGATGAGCCAGTAAATAAGGGCAGACCTGATTCTCAAGTCTTACTCCACAGCAGGACACTTAGCATACACCAACAAATTCAGCAGTGAGCATGAAGACAACTTGGGGGTGGATAAAGAATTGTCAGCCCGGCCGGGCGGCGCGGTGGCTCACGCCTGTAATCCCAGCACTTTGGGAGGCCGAGGCGGGCGGATCACGAGGTCAGGAGATCGAGACCACGGTGAAACCCCGTCTCTACTAAAAATACAAAAAATTAGCCGGGCGTGGTGGTGTGTGCGCCTGTTATCCCAGCTACATGGGAGGCTGAGGCAGGAGAATGGCGTGAACCCGGAAGGCGGAGCTTGCAGTGAGCGGAGATCGCGCCACAGCACTCCCGCCTGGGCGACAGAACGAGACTCCGTCTCAAAAAAAAAAAAAAAAAAAAGAATTGTCAGCCCACCTGCTTCAAGTGACTGGCAGTGGATATGATTGAGCTATGGGATGGCCACAATTGGAGATCTGGGGTCCAATAAGAGAGACCAGAAATAATCCAAACAGCTAAACTCATGTTCAGACAGCAGCAACATTACATGGCAGTATTAACAGGTAACGAAGGGGATGGGTTTAGAGTTTAACGATTTTTCTTAATCTCCATCCAGCCTCTGGTGTTGCTAAATAAAGCTTTTCAAAGACAGGCTTCCTAAGAAAAAAGGTCCTGGGGCACAATGGAATCCAGTAAGAAAAAGTTTTGGCTTCCAGTGTCGCTTCCACTACCTACCTTAAGAGTGTCAGAAACTTCAGGAATCCCACTCTGCTTCTTTAAGTCTGAAACTTCAGTTCTCATATTTATCAGTTAAAAAGGGTGTTGGTCTAGCTAATATTTAAGGACAGAC
This sequence comes from Homo sapiens, assembly GCF_000001405.40. Lineage (NCBI taxonomy): Eukaryota > Metazoa > Chordata > Mammalia > Primates > Hominidae > Homo > Homo sapiens. Next base: position 23,374,839 of record NC_000023.11, on the reverse strand, counting down.
CCTTCCAGTTTTAACACTACATAATTCTAAGATGAGTGATATCCACAAACTACATAATCAGACACCAGGTGAGAGAAAGTTAACTTAATAAATATCAAATTGAACATTATTACGGCTACTTGAGGTATGCTTTTCTGACACACTGAAGTTCTTTTTCAGGGCAATCCGATCTGATAGATGAAACCCAGAAGGAAAACGGTAAAGAATATAGGTTTACTGGAAAAAAAAAAAAAAAAGATTTCCCTCTCTGAGTGATTTCCCATTCTGGGGAGGCGTTGGCTCTTATAATCCCCTTCTGCCAGATCCTGGGACAAAGCCAGTGTGGGCTGCTTGGTCACGACAGGCCAGAGTCTAATTTCCTCTCTGCCTCTCCTTGGCACACTCAGATCTTCCTCAGAAGACAGCAGGGACACTTTGCAGAGGACAGTACAGAAGGGAGGAAGGATGTATCTGCTCCTGAGTGGTGATTAACACAGGAAAAATACCTGTGGGTTTAGAGGATCTTATACAATACCTTGCAGGGTTTTGGGTTTTTTTTTTTTTTTTTTTTTTTTTTTTTGTATTTGTTTCTTGTTGAAAAGGGAGGAGGGAAGGAGGAAGGCCACTCTGCCCATGCAGGGCAATTAACATGCTCTGGGGTCAGCCTCAAACAGTCCCCAAGCAATCTCATCTGTGAGGGAAGACTCGGAGTTCGTATGGGTTCCCCATGTCGCAGCAGGATGGAGCTCCAGTCACCTCCAGTGGGAGTTAGCCTGATGACACCCCCTTTATAGGCTGTCTTCCCTTCCTTGTCTCACGTTTCCACCCCCTTCCCACTTCTTCTACTCCCAAATAAGCTGCATACATTAAAAAAATGTAAAAAGGAAGATTATGATTTGACTTCTTAACCTATATCATCCGTCCCCAAATATTACCTTCCAAGTGACACAATCAAAACTGCTTAAAAATGCTTTCAAGGAATATCTGGTTTTCACCCCTAAATAAAATGTTCCCTTCACTGAATCCCTCCAAACTACATGTCTTGATCTGGGTCTATATTCTGCAACTGTAAATGGGCAGGTGCTAACTGGCAAGGTATCCTCACTCAGGACGCAAGAAAACACCTTGAAGTGGATGGATCTGGCTGCAGCAGTTCATAAATTACGCTAGCTCCCTTGGTGTTATGTTCTGTCTTTGCATGATCTCACTCTCACCCACTCTCTTTCCTCTTCTTTTAATAGAAATGCATTACATCAGAACACCAGAAGTCGCAAGTTAGGGATTGTTACCGTGATTCATTTGTAGTGCAGCCAAAAGCAAGTTAGTCATCCCTTAATAAGTGAACAGAAATATCATCCTGCCTTTGAAATATTACATTTCCAGAGGACACCAAATTTAAGCTGTGGATATAGCCAAACAAGTGACTATCTATCCACACACTTCCTCTGCACATGTGTGCCTGGTGCCATGCTCACCTGCTCCAGTGACAAAAGACAAATGGTTACCTCTGTCAGTAATGCAATGCTAGTGCAGGTCTGGGAGAGTTGAATAGTTCTGTTTTGCTCCTTACTCTACAAGGTGGTAAACACTCTTATTGCGGGTACTGACACTGAAAAGCAGCCAAGACAGCCCTTATTGTAACTCTCCAAACAAGCTGAGTTTGTCTTTGCAGGCTTGGCTGAAAAAACAAGGCAGCTTTAGATTTGAAGCAGAGAAATCTGAGATTTTAGAAACAAAAAATAGTGATGGTGAAGGAAAATGCAATTGCAGTATCTCATTGCAACTTCTGCCTGACTCCACACTGGTATGGATAAGACAGTCAGTACAGTGAACCACAGGTTCAACAATCTCTTTATTCCCGTAGTCTGGGAGAAAATTTCACTTGGTCTTGATTTGTGAAAAAATCCTTCATATTATGAAGATACTTGGCAGTCTGTAAAGTTGAACTTTCTGATTAGAATGTTTAGAGTGGCTGATAGAGTGGCTATTTTTAAATTCCCTAAATCCTCACTTGAGTTTCATGGTCAAGCTTAAGCTGTAGTTGAGCTAGCTTGTGGGTGAAGAGTTTTGTTGGATAGCTCTAAGAGGACCCGATGCTCACAGAAACAGGAGAATGTTAAAGCTGATTGGCTGGACAAATGGCAAAGGAAAGTCCCAAGGAACCAAATGTTTGGGCTTGGGAACAGGCAACAGCTGTTACAAGATTTGATTAGCAGACCACAAATAACCATGCCAGGAACAGGAAAAACAGCATGCCAAGGACATTCAGGTCTAGAGAATGACCAACCATGGACCTGAATGGGAGGAGCACTGTATCAGGAGTCAGAAGGCTTCAATTTTAGTCCTGGTTCTGGGTTTTGCTGACCACATGACTTAGAGATAAACAAAACAATGAACCTATGAAAACACGTCACTTCCCTGCTTTAAATTCCCCTAGAGTTCCTCATCATGCTCAGAGCATTGACTTTGGCGCCTGACATGAAACATTCTCCTTGCTGACCTCTCTTCTCTGGACTCCCATCTCGCTATTCTCACATTGCAGTGCTCGTCTTGCTCTTGATTCTGCCTGGGACATTCTTCTTCCAGACACTTAAAAAACTTCTGTTCTCACTGCCTTTACTTCCCTGCTTAAATGCAATCATCTTTCCTGAGCTCACCCCTAATTTAAAAAAAAAAAAACACTAGTATGTTTGCCCATCACCATCATCTTTTCTTGTTTTAATTTTTTCATGGTACCATCATGACATGACATTATCATCATCTCTGTTTTTATTCTGCTGCCCCCATTCAAATATGAGTTCTGTCATGCCAGAATGTGTTTCTGTTTGGTCCACCTCTACATTTCCATTAACTAGAACAGTGCCTGGAACACATAACAATTGTGAAGTAAACACATGAATATAATAATCTCATGAGTAAAGGGACTTTAGTTTGTCTCATCATGGGCATGATGAAAGCCAAATGAGATGATGAGTGTGCATGCATTTTGTCAACTTTTGAGAGCTACACAAATACAATTGTATTATTATACAGCAGGAAGCATGGATGCTAGCTCCTCTGGTGAGTGGTCTTACAGCTTCCAAACATAATCTACAATTGAGTCCTGGAGCCCCTAATCCTTCCCGACTTGACAATATCTTGTGCTTTTGTGGGAGGGACATGGGTTATGAGGTTAGAATGCCACAAGTTCAAATCCTGCCTCTGTTCATAACACAGCTGGGCCCTGCGCATATCCCCTCATCCTTACCACTTCAGTGCACATATCATATCTATTTCCAGCCTGATGTGGAAATACTGGGGCACTAACATACTATCTCAATTCTAAGCAGGCTGGACCTATGACTAAAGACAGTCTGTGTATGAACAGCCCAGCTCACATGTCCTCCTAAATGGGATAACCCTACAACATGTGTTCCTCACTGTTTCCCAGAGTTCCCCAGCAGGATTAAACTCCAGTTGCCCACAGAGTAGCTGGCTTGACAATGCCTCCATAGCCGACGGCTTTTCTTCCCTGCCTCATGATGCTGTTCTCTTCTCAGTGCTTCCTGGGATTATCTTCCAAATATTGTACTCTCATGAAGTGCTTGACTCCAGGTTAGCTTCTGGGGGAGGTCCAACTAAGACAGTGAATTTAGATTTTTAATTCAGTTTTGTTATCTGAATTATGGGAATAATCCTTACCTCATAAAGTCATTATGATTACCTATAAAAGGTGTCTGGCCTGGCATTTAGTATTAGGTTAAACCATATGAAATTGCCATTTCTATAGGTTAAAAAGTAGTTGAATAGCGGCAATTTTATGTGAGTCACCTACCTGAGCTTTCGTCAGTGTTTGTTCTTTCCCCTCCTGCCTCTCCTCCTCCCCAAGAGTCCTGTCAGAACCTGAGCTTCCTGAGGGGGCTATCAGACAATTTTGTTTGGTTTCCAAGAGACAGTTTGGTGGTATCAGGGCAGGATTTTAGAAAAAAGACAACAGTTTTGGGCTAGGAAGGATCTCAGAAATCTTCTCATTCCCGTCGTTTTAACTTATGAAAAAAATCAAAATGCCATATAACCCACATCCCCAAGATATTTGAAACTGAATAATAATACTGTTAAATCAAAAAATATACAAATGTCTTCATCAGATGAGCTCTTTGGTAACATTTTTTCTTTGAAAGGATTTGCTATGTTTCTAATGGGCACTGAACTTGAGAACAATGGAAATTATGGCTGATGAAAGAAAAAATAAGAAGAAAGTTCCACCTAATGATATGGTAACAGCTCTCCTTAATGATGGACCATAAGCCTTACCAAGGATGAGTACCTGTAATTCATAAAATAACGTATTATAGGACAGTGCATTTCTTCCTGACAATAATTCTTCTCTGTTCTCAAGGTTCTCATACAAAGCTACTGCCCTTAAAAATCACAGGAGCATTTCAGCCACTGCCCTCCCTTTCCTGATCTGAAAAGAGGTCTCACAGGGCAAAAGGTCAAACTATGATAGTTTCTATGACTCGGCTTGCAAAGGCCTCGACCCTTCTGGGAGGTGCTGATGTTGGTGGCATGGTTTGGCATGATGGAATCAGACTGCCTAGGCTCAAATCCCAGCTTTGGCACTAAGGAGATGTGTGATCCTGGACACTAAGCTATTATGTAATGGCTATCCCTTGCCTCAGCTTATTCATCTGTAAAATGGGGCCAATAATAGTACCCATCTCATTAGGATTGTTGAAGGATAAATCAGAAATTGAATGTAAATTGCTCTGTACAGTCTCTGAAACACAGGTGGTACCCAGTAAATGTCTGATAGCAAAGACAAAATGAACAAACAGAAAACCCCATTTCTATCTTCTGTTGTGTCTTGTCTACTTCAACTTTCTTTTCCTTTAAATAGTGAAACTTCCTCCATTTTTCTTGAAAAGTATATTCAATGAAATGTAAAGGTGACCGATTTTTGCTCTCATCTTTGCTGAAAGACTAAGGGGTAAATGGGGTTAGAAGCATGGATCAGTACAAATATTTGAAGGGAACAGCTGGGTAGTATGTGTTTAAAGTTGGCCCTCCTTAATCCCAGTATAAGCTCCAAGTTTGAAAATTGTCCCATCATCTGCAGGTTAGCTCTCTAGTTAGATAACTGTGCACATCAATTAAAGGAATCCAGTCTAGGCAGGAAAAGATGGTAGGGGTAAAAGAAGGAAACTAAAAGGTACTAAGTGCTTGCTAAGTGCCGGACATTGTGCAAAGAATGCTACAATCTATCATCTTATTTAACCCTCACAGCAAATCAGGGAGGTAGATATTACCCCTCCATCTGCGCGTGAGGAAGCTGAGCCTCTAGGAGCTTAAATAACTTGTCCATGGCCACAAATTTAGTAAGTGGATCAGCCCAGATTTAAATCCTGGGCTCAGAAAATTGTCCCCTAATGAGAGTTCTTCTGGAAAAGTAAAGACTTTATCCCCTAATCTCTGTGCTTTGGACATTTGGATATTGATAAATTTGCTTTCTGGTATTAGGCTTAAACGTGGTCAACTCACAGCAGGAGATGGTGATGAGGTAGCAAAGTCGGGGGTCAAACATGACAAAGCAGTCTAGAAAAGCAACAAAACTCCGACCAGTACTAAACAGTAAAACCCAGTGAATGCCAGATATTTACAACAGAAACCTCAGAAAGAAGCCACAAGCCCATCACCAATGACAAGCATGCGCAAACAGCTGGAGATGAAGAAAACAGATGTGAAAAGGGAGAAGACTTTCATCAGTCAAAATAGCATCTTTTGCATCATGTATGTGTCTTTTTTTTCTTTTTTGAGACGGAGTATTTTTGCTTTTGTTGCCCAGGCTGCGGTGCAATGGCATGATCTCGACTCACTGCAACCTCTGCCTCCTGGGTTCAAGCGATTCTCCTGCTTCAGCCTCCCGAGTAGCTGGAATTACAGTTGCTCACCACCACGTCTGGGTAATTCTTTGTATTTTTAGTAGAGATGGGGTTTCACCATGTTGGCCAGGATGGTCTCGAACTCCTGACATCAGGTGATTCACCCGTCCTGGTCTCCCAAAGTGCTGGGATTACAGGCGTGAGCCACCGCACCCGGCCATGTATGTTTCTTATATAACCCCTTGACCTCAGAAACACACGACGAAAAAGAAAAAAACAAAACAAAACTTTACAGAACATATTTGTATAAAGGGGCTTGCGGTGTGTGGATTTACTGAAAATATCAGATTGAAGTTGGGGGTCTTATAGGACTTGGGTATCATCTCTCCCCACGGGGAGTTTTACACTAGAATATATATGCTTCACGACGGCAGGGATTTTGTTTCGCTCAATCCTATCCCAAGTACCTAGAGTAGTGCCTGGCACATAAAAGGAGCACAACAAAGATGTGCTGATGAAACCTTTAGTGTTTGTTCCTTCTTGCTGATTTATATTTCTCCGGTGACATTGAATGATACTTCATTTGTACCCAAAGGCTACTGTGCTACATGCATATCATTTACATCTTAAATAAACAGATGACATTGAATTTGCTCCTGTTGCTTACATGCTGCAGACAAATGGCTGATCTCATTAGACAAATGGATATGGTTAAACTATAATCTAAAAAAATAAGAGCAGAGAAACAATTTAGGTAGGCAACTGAGGTCTGAAATAATTATGTGCTATGCTTAATCATAGGGTAGTTTGAATTTTTCAAGTGTATTTGTTTTTCATATTTCCTTTTATTTTGAAAAGTTTTTTTTTTTTTTTTAAATACAGAAGTCTGGAGACTATTGTAAGAATTTCTATGTACCTACCATCCATGTCTATCTGAAGATTCTGCTCCTCCTGTTAATGCTGTTGATGGGTAGTGTGACCATATAATTTATCATCCAAACTGGAACACTTTTGGGAGTGCAAGAGGGCAGTGTTAATTTCACAGGAACAATAGGCATAAAATGGGACTATCACAGGCAAACTAGGTTGTATACCCTTCCTATCTCTGGATGTCTCAGACGATGCAAGCACTGATGTAACTTCATCTGCTTATGCCTCACAGCCGACCTGAGGTGACAGTCCTTTGGTTTGTAGCCCACTGCTGCTGATGGAACCTAGAATATTGCACGTGATACTATCCTGTCATCATAAAGGTCTCCAGGAAAATAATTTGGAAAAACTCCTCTTGTCTGTAATCACTTCCAACCACACCTATGCTCCCACTATTGCAACTTCCTTCCACGTCAAGACTCGGATGTTTTTGCAAGATTCAGTTATCCTGCAGCCTGGTTTTGCTTGCTACTTTAGAGGTGGAGTGCATCCATAGGACCCTCAGAACATTTCATCTACCTTCCCTGAGCACGCCAGCCCTACTGAAATTGACAGATAGCTTCTACTAAGCTGTCTCACTGGCATGTGGCTTTTGGAAGTGATATGCCCAGCCCGGAGCAAAGATTGCTTTCATGTCCAAAGGTGTCACTCTGGTGATTCTATCTTGCTTTAATGGTGACAATGGTTTGCTAATTTGGCTAATGAAAATTTTCAAGGCTTGCAGATGTGAAGTCTGTGATGGGTCTCAGACACTGGGCAGGTGGGAGGCCAGAGGTTTTTTGCTTTGTTGAGAATCAGAAGTCATGCTGATAAAGTCTTCTGCACTTCATCACCAATTATAGCAATGATGCATTTACTCAACATATATTAAGGGACTACACCATACTGGGCATTACGTAAGCCCTGGAGAGATAAAGAACATTAAGACATAACTTTATCTTCAAGTAACGTAGAGTTTAGTGGAGGGACTTCAGGCAGATTCTCAGAATTGATTAGCGCAAGCGAACCACAAAGTCCAGTGAGTGTTACAGTGCTATGATAGGAATAGCTAAAGGGGTATAGGGAGTCTAGTATGTTGGTGTCCAGGATATATGCATATGTGAGGGGGATGCAGGGGTGTGTGTGTGTGTGTGTGTGTGTGTGTGTGTACCAGGAGCATGTGTGTAGCAGTGGTGAGTGTGCAATAGAATAAGAGCTGGAAAGGAGACAGGGGTCAGACGACGGAGGATCTTATTCATTCATTGAAATTTATTAGTTACTATTAGTAAATCTTACCTGAAGCCATGTGAGCAAGACAAACATGGTTCTGCCCTCACAGAAAATTCAAACTGTGGGAGATAAAGACAAGCAACAAGACAACTACAAAATCTTTGTGGAGTTCTAAGACAAAAGAAGTGCAGAGTATTAAGGGAAGGGCACCCACACTGGCCTTGCAGTCATCAAGGACGATTTCTAGATGAACTGACTTCTAAATTAGGACCCAAGAATGAGGAAGAGTTAATTAAGGGCAGAGGTTTGGCTCAGGGCGTGGAACTGGTTGAGAGAGTATTTCAGGTGGAAGCTAAGGCATGGGCAAAGTTTCAGAGGCACAAAAAGGATGTCAGGGGAAATGGAAGTAATTCAGGCTGGTAGGAAAACGGAGAGGAAAGCCAGAGGGGCAGGCAAAGTCCCAATCACACAAGGCCTTGTTAGTTGAACTTGGAAGACAGACTTTGTCCTGTGGGCAACTGCGAGCCAGTCAAAGATTTTATCAGCGGATGAAATGATCAGAAGTGTGTCTTGGGAAGTTCAGTCTGCCTGCAGTGTGGTAGCTACATTGGAAAGGATGAAGAGTGTAACCAGGGAGACAAAATAAGACACCAATGTAACAACTAGTTCACTGACGAAATGAAGGTCTGAACCGTGGGGGTCATACTAGCTTGAAGGAGACAGAAGGTTTATGCCTTTACTTTTTTATAGATCTGGACAGCTTAGCCAAGGCAATAAGCCAGGTAATAGAACAGGATGACAACTTTCAGCTCCATGGTACTGATTAAACATTTGGGCTGCATTTCCCAGGTTTGGGTCTTAATGTGCCATCTATCAACTGTAGATTTATAGATATGTAGATTTAGCTGATGTGTGGCTTTTCAATTTTCTGTATGTACACTTCTAAAGTGCAGTCATAGACTATACAAGCAGAGAAGTTCCTGGCCAATTGCTTTAAGTTCCTCTGCAGCAGATGCAGTTGGCACCCTGCTCATATCCTCTAGCCCTTATCTCTTGAGAGCACACCTGCCCGACTTCAAATGCCAGCACCCACACTTCTTTGTCACAGAGCCCACTTCACCATCTGCTTGGCAGGCCAGAAGTGCTGGGGAATTAACACTCCTTAGGAGCATCCCTCAACCAATGACAGATGGGACTTGGCCTATAAATACCCAGCTCCCTCCCCATGGGTGGGATCACTTTGGGGTGAGTGTGTTGTAAGCTGGTTCCCAGAGCTTCCCCCAGTGTGACTGTGCTCTAGTTGCCCACAGAAGTGGCCTGCTTAATTATATGCCCTTTTAGGCTCCTTCCTCTTTCTTTCTCTCCCCTCTGCTCCGTTCTGTTTGCCCTACACCTCCCAAGTAAGCTGCCTTTACTTGATTTCTTGTTTCAGGATTGGCTTCTGAAACACAAACTAAGAAAATGTCCAATAATTCTCATAGCCTCTGGAATTCGAGTTTCCTAGTGTCCTCAAAACACTAAGCCATTCTAAAACCAACTCCCCAATGTCTTGTATTATTTTCACACAGCCATATTTGAACACACAACACTCAACCGTTAGGGAATAAAGCTAGGATCTTGTGAGCTTCTCTTCATACTCAATCTTTTGATGGTAGGCACATTTTTATGACGATGAACACAGTAGGTATGCAATAAATATTTCTCCAAGTGGCCCAAACAAGTTCACGAGTGTAGATGGCCTGATGCTGTCAACTGCACTTCACCCTCATTTGGGACACAGTCCAGTCTTTTCATTAAGGCTTAAGGCTAATCACTTGTTGGGTCTAGGGTACACTGCTGATGAGAATGTACCGTAACTCTTCAAGAAGTACTTAGACCTGCATCCTGCCAGGAATGGAGAGCTGTGAGATGGCATGATCTCTTATTTTTCTTCTGGCTGATGATAAAGGAAGCAGGCATTTGTTTGGCTTTTACTTTATTTGGAATAAAAGCTTAGAGACATAGTTAGAAGCCTCTTTGCAACCTTCCGGATCATCTCAACAGGTAAGGTCTCAGGCTTCAGTGTTCTCTGTTGACAGCAAATGCTGGAATATTGCCCAAGTTGGATGAAAGTCCCTATCTTTACATTTCTGGATTTCTGCTGTTATGGCAGTAGGTGTGTGGGAGAGACAGCTGATGTGTTCACTGGATTCCTTCCCAGGCAGTGATGTGCCTGGGGAGTATGTGCTGATGGAGACAAATTCTCCATGCATCGGCATTGCTGCCAGTACAGGTGCTGAAAGTCCCCACGATGGCAGTGAGTTGGATGTCACTAAAACTGGGCTGATTTGTCTGCCAAGATTCAGGCTGCCTTTCTTCTTCTTGGTACTCACCATTGTTGGATGTTCTGTACTGCTGGGATGGTAGTCTAACTCTTCCACCTTACTGACAGGGTCACTGAATACGGTGTGTGTGTGTGTGTGTGTGTGTGTGTGTGTGTGTGTGTGTGTCTACACTCTTCATAATTAAGGTATGATTTATATACAGTACAATGTGTAAATGTTAAGTGCATATTTAATGAATTTTTATATATAGATACACATAAACATTGCTCAGATCAAGACATAGCATATTTACAGTACCCAGAGGGCCCTCTCATGTCCTTTCCCAGTCAATAACCCCACTATCCCCAGAGGAAAGCTATTCTGACTCTATCAACTTCAGCTAGTCTTGCTTATTCTTCAGCTTCCTAAAAATGGAATCACGTAGAATACACTCTTCTGTGTCTGCCATCTTCTACTTAACTGACCTGTGAGATTTATCCATCTTGTTGTGCTTATCAATACTGTTATTTTTATTTATTTTTGCTGTGTAGTAGTCCATTGTGTGAAAATACCACAATTTACTTTTCCATTCTCCTGTTGGTGGACCTTTGGGTTGTTTCCAGTTTGGTTGTTCTTTAATTAAAACTGCTATAAACTTTGTTTTACATAGCCTTTGGTAGACATATGCACTCACTTCTCTCAGGTGTACATAGTGGTATGTTGGTAAATATTGAACAGTCAGTTCTATAATAAAAATAGCTTGACTTCCATTCCAAGATGGCCGAATAGGAACAGCTCTGGTCTGCAGCACACAGCGTGATCGACGTAGAAGACAGATGATTTCTGCATTTCCAACTGAGGTAGCTGGTTCATCTCACTGGGACTGGTTGGACAGTGGGTGCAGCCCACAGAGGGTGAGCCGAAGCAGGGCGGGGCATCGCCTCACCCAGGAAGCGCAAGGGGTCAGGGGATTTCCCTTTCCTACCCAAGGGAAGCCATGAAAGACTGTACCTGGAAAATTGGGACACTTCCGTCCAAATACTGCGCTTTTCCAACAGTCGTAGCAAATGGCACACCAGGAGATTATATCTCACGCCTGGTTCGGCAGGTCCCATGCCCATGGAGCCTTGCTCACTGCTAGCACAGCAGTCTGAGATCGACCTGCGAGGTAGCAGCCTGGCAGGGGGATGGGCGTCCGCCACTGCTGAGGCTTGAGCAGGTAAACAAAGCTGCCCTGGAAGCTCAAACTGGGCGGAACCCACCGCAGCTCAGCAAGGCCTGTTGCCTCTGTAGATTCCACCTCTGGGGGCAGGGCATAGCTGAACAAAAGGCAGCAGACAGCTTCTGCAGACTTAAACGTACCTGACTGACAGCTCTGAAGAGAGCAGTGGTTCTCCCAGCACAGTGTTTGAGCTCTGAGAATGGACAGACTGCCTCCTCAAGTGGGTCCCTGACACCCGTGTAGCCTAACTGGGAGACACCACCTAGTGGGGGCTGACTGACACCTCATACAGGTGGGTGCTCCTCTGGGATGAAGCTTCCAGAGGAAGGATCAGGCAGCAATATTTGCTCTTCTGCAATATTTGCTGTTCTGCAGCCTCCACTGGTGATACCCAGTCAAACAGGGTCTGGAGTGGACCTCCAGCAAACTCCAACAGACCTGCAGCTGAGGGACCTGACTGTTAGAAGGAAAACTAACAAACAGAAAGGAATAACATCAAAATCAACAGAAAGGATATCCACACCAAAACCCCATCTGTAGGTCACCAACATCAAAGACCAAAGGTAGATAAAACCACAAAGATGGGGAGAAACCAGAGCAGAAAAGCTGAAAATTCTAAAAACCAGAGTGCCTCTTCTCCTCCAAAGGATCACAGCTCCTCACCCGCAACGGAACAAAGCTGGACGGAGAACAACTTTGACAAGCTGACAGACGTAGACTTCAGAAGGTCGGTAATTACAAACTTCTCCGAGCTAAAGGAGGATGTTCGAACCCATTGCAAGGAAGCTAAAAACATTGAAAAAAGATTAGATGAATGGTTAACTAGAATAAACAGTGTAGAGAAGACCTTAAATGACCTGATGGAGCTGAAAACCATGTCCAAGCTTCAATAGCCAATTTGATCAAATGGAAGAAAGGGTATCAGTGATTGAAGATCAAATTAATGAAATAAAGCAAGAAGAGATGTTTAGAGAAAAAAGAGTAAAAAGAAACGAACAAAGCCTTCAAGAAATATGGGACTGTGAAAAGACCAAATCTACGTTTGATTGGTGTACCTGAAAGTGACGGGGAGAATGGAACCAAGTTGGAAAACACTCTTCAGGATATTATCCAGGAGAACTTCCCTAACCTAGAAAGGCAGGACAACATTCAAACTCAGGAAATACAGAGAACACCACAAAGATACTCCTCAAGAAGAGCAACCCCAAGACACATAATTGTCAGATTCTCCAAGGTTGAAATGAAGGAAAAAATGTTAAGGGCAGCCAGAGAGAAAGGTCGGGTTACCCACAAAGGGAAGCCTATCAGACTATCAGCGGATCTCTCCGCAGAAACTCTACAAGCCAGAAGAGAGTGGGGGCCAATATTCAACATTCTGAAACAAGAGAATTTCCAACCCAGAATTTCATCTCCAGCCAAACTAAGCTTCATAAGTGAAGGAGAAATAAAATCCTTTACAGACAAACAAATGCCGAGAGATTTTGTTACCCCCAGGCCTGCCTTACAAGAGCTCCTGAAGGAAGCACTAAACATGGAAAGGAACAAACGGTACCAGCCACTGCAAAAACATGCCAAATTGTAAAGACCATCAATGCTAGGAAGAAAATGCATCAACTAATGGGCAAAATAACCAGCTAACATCATAATGACAGGATCAAATTCACACATAACAATATTAACCTTAAATGTAAATGGGCTAAATGCCCCAATTAAAAGACACAGACTGGCAAATCGGATAAAGACTCAAGGCGCATCAGTGTGCTGTATTCAGGAGACCCATCTCACATGCAGAGACACACATAGGCTCAAAATAAAGGGATGGAGGAAGATCTACCAAGCAAATGGAAAACAAAAAAAGGCAGGGGTTGCAATCCTAGTCTCTGATAAAACAGACTTTAAACCAACAAAGATCAAAAGAGACAAAGAAGGCCATTACATAATAGTAAAAGGATCAATTCAACAAGAAGAACTAACTATCCTAAATATATATGCACCCAATACAGGAGCACGCAGATTCATAAGGCAAGTGCTTAGAGACCTACAAAGAGACTTAGACTCCCACACAGTAATAATGGGAGACTTTAACACCCCACTGTCAATATTAGACAGATCAATGAGAAAGAAGGTTAACATGGAAATCCAGGAATTGAACTCAGCTCTGCACCAAGCAGACCTAACAGACACCTACAGAACTCTCCACCCCAAATCAACAGAATATACATTCTTCTCAGCACCACACCACATTTATTCCAAAACTGACCACATAGTTGGAAGTAAAGCACTCCTCAGCAAATGTAAAAGAACAGAAATCACAACCAACTGTCTCTCAGACCACAGTGCAATCAAATTAAAACTCAGGATTAAGAAACTCACTCAAAACCACGCAACTACAGGGAAACTGAACAACTTGCTCTTGAACGACTACTGGGTAAATAACGAAATGAAGGCAGAAATAAAGATGTTCTTTGAAACCAATGAGAACAAAGACACAACAAACCAGAATGTCTGGGACACATTTAAAGTAGGGTGTAGAGGGCAATTTATAGCACTAAATGCCCACAAGAGAAAGCAGGAAAGATGTAAAGTTGACACCCTAACATCACAATTAAAAGAACTGGAGTAGCAAGAGCAAAGACATTCAAAAGCTAGCAGAAGGCAAGAAATAACTAAGATCAGAGCAGAACTGAGGGAGATAGAGACACAAAAAACCCTTCAAAAAATCAGTGAATCCAGGAGCTGGTTTTTTGAAAAGATCAACAAAATAGATAGACCACTAGCAACACTAATAAAGAAGAAAAGAGGGAAGAATCAAATAGACACATTAAAAAATGATAAAGGGGATATCACCACCGATCCCACAAAAATACAAACTACCATCAGAGAATACTATAAACATCTCTACACAAATAAACTAGAAAATCTAGAAGAAATGGATAAATTCTTGGACACATACAACCTCCCAAGACTAAACCAGGAAGAAGTTGAATCCCTGAATAGACCAACAACAGGCTCTGAAACTGAGGCAATAATTAATAGCCTACCAAGCAAAAAAAAGTCCAGGAACAGAGGGGTTCACAGCCAACTTCTACTAGAGGTATATAGAAGAGCTGGTACCATTCCTTCTGAAACTATTCCAGTCAATGAAAAAGAGGGAATCCTCCCTAACTCATTTTATGAGGCCAGCATCATCCTGATACCAAATCCTGGCAGAGACACAACAAAAAAAGAGAATTTAGGTAAATATCCCTGATGAACATCGATGCAAAAATCCTCAATAAAATACTAGTAAACTGAATCTAGCAGCACATCAAAAAGGTTATCCACCACAATCAAGTTGGCTTCATCCCTGAGATGCAAGGCTGGTTCAACATATGCAAATCAATAAACGTAATCCATCACATAAACAGAACCATCGACAAAAATCACATGATTATCTCAATAGATGCAGAAAAGGCCTTCAACAAAAGTCAACAGCCCTTCTTGCTAAAAACTCTCAATAAAGTAGGTATTGATGGAAAGTACCTCAAAATAATAAGAGCTATTTATGATAAACCCACAGCCAATATCATACTGAATGGGCAAAAACTAGAAGTATTCCCTTTGAAAACTGGCACAAGACAGGGATGCCCTCTCTCACCACTCCTATTCAACATAGTGTTGGAAGTTCTGGCCAGGGCAATCAGGCAAGAGAAAGAAATAAAGGGTATTCAATTAGGAAAAGAGAAAGTCAAATTGTCCCTGCTTGCAGATGACATGGTTGTATATTTATAAAATCCCATCGTCTCAGCCCAAAATCTCCTTAAGCTGATAAGCAACTTCAGCAAAGTCTCAGGATACAAAATCAATGTACAAAAATCACAAGCATTCCCATACACTAATAACAGACAAAGAGAGAGCCAAATCATGAGTGAACTCCCATTCACAATCGCTACAAAGAGAATAAAACACCTAGGAATCCAACTTACAAGGGATGTGAAGGACCTCCTCAAGGAGAACTACAAACCACTGCTCAATGAAATAAAAGAGGACACAAACAAATGGAAGAACATTTCATCCTCATGGATAGGAAGAATCAATATTGTGAAAATGGCCATACTGCCCAAGGTAATTTATAGATTCAATGCCATCCCCATCAAGCTACCAATGACTTTCTTCACAGAATTGGAAAAAACTACTTTAAAGTTCATATGGAACCAAAAAGGAGCCTGCATTGCCAAGTCAATCCTAAGCCAAAAGAACAAAGCTGGAGGCATCACGCTAACTGACTTCAAACTATATTACAAGGCTACAGTAGCCAAAACAGCATGGTACTGGTACCAAAACAGAGATATGGACCAATGGAACAGAACAGATGCCTCAGAAATAACACCACGCATCTACAACCATCTGATCTTTGACAAGCCGGACAAGAACAAGAAATGTGGGAAGGATTCCCTATTTTATAAATGGTGCGGGGAAAACTGGCTAGTCATATGTAGAAAGCTGAAACTGGATCCCTTCCTTACACCTTATACAAAAATTAATTCAAGTTGGATTAAAGACTTAAATGTTAGACCTAAAACCATAAAAACCCTTGAAGAAAACTTAGGTAATACCATGCAGGACATAGGCATGGGCAAGGACTTCATGACTTAAACACCAAAAGCAATGGCAACAAAAGCCAACATAGACAAATGGGGTCTAATTAAACTAAAGAGCTTCTGCACAGCAAAAGAAACTACCATCAGAATGAACAGGCAACCTATAGAATGGGAGAAAATTTTTGCAATTTACCCATCTGACAAAGGGCTAATATCCAGAATCTACAATGAACTCAAACAAATTTACAAGAAAAAAACAAACAACCCCATCAAAAAGTGGGCAAAGTATTTGAACAGACACCTCTCAAAAGAAGCCAACAGACACATGGAAAAATGCTCATCATCACTGGTCATCAGACAAATGCAAATCAAAACCACAATGAGATACCATCTCACACCAGTTAGAATGGCAATCATTAAAAAGTCAGAAAACAACAGGTGCTGGAGAGGATGTGGAGAAATAGGAACACTTTTACACTGTTGGTGGGAGTGTAAACTAGTTCAATCATTGTGGAAGTCAGTGTGGTGATTCCTCAGGGATCTAGAGGTAGAAATACCTTTTGATCCAGCGATCTCATTCCTGGGTATATACCCAAAGGATTATAAATCATGCTACTATAAAGACACATGCACCCGTATGTTTATTGCGGCACTATTCACAACAGCAAAGACTTGGAACCAACCCAAATGTCCATCAATGATAGACTGGATTAAGAAAATGTGGCACATATACACCATGGAATACTATGGAGCCACAAAAAAGATGAGTTCATGTCCTTTGTAGGGACATGGATGAAGCTGGAAACCATTACTCTCAGCAAACTATCACAAGGAGAGAAAACCAAACAGTGCATGTTCTCACTCATAGGTGGGAATTAAATAATGAGAACACTTGGACACAGGGTGGGAACATCACACACCAGGGCCTGTCGTGGGGTGGGAGGCTAGGGGAGGGATGGCACTGGGAGAAATACCTAATGTAAATGACGGGTTGATGGGTGTTGTGAAGTCAGCATGTCACGTGTATACCTATGTAACTAGCCTGCACGTTGTGCATATGTACCCTAGAACTTACAGTATAACAATAATAATAATAAAAAAGCTGTGGTTTGTGTTGGTAAATACCCCACCATGGCCATTTTTCTTCTACCAATGGAGTGGGAGTTTGGAAAAGATGTGGCCAGTCAGATTTCAGGAGTCAGTAGGAGCCAGCCCCAGCACATCACTGGGTATATAGACTCATGGGTGGAATTTTGGGATCACAGAGTAGGCATATATTTAGTTTGTTTCCCAAAGTGATCATAACATTTTACAGTCTCACCAGCAATGTATAAGAGTTCCAGTTACCCCATATCCTCAGCAACACTCAGTACTGCCGGTCTTTTTAATTTTTTACCATTCTGATGGGTGTGTACTGGTATCTCATTTTGATTTTAATTCACATTTCCATGATGTCTGAAACTAGGCACCTTTCCACATGCTCATTAGCCCTGTGGCTATCTTCTTTTCCAAAGTATCTGATCAAGCCTTTTGCCCCTTGGATATTAGGCTGTTTTGTCTTTTCCTTACTGTTCTGTGGGAGAATATCTAACTTCAAGACCAGTAAGCTAAACTGTAAACACTGCAAGAAAGAAGAGCCCCAGAGGCAGCCTGGTATGGTAGAAAGAGTCTGACACTTCAGTCATACAGACTTGTATTCATATCAAACTAAGTTAGTCACTTCCTGATGACCTTGAGGAAGTCACCCTTCTGGAGCATTAGCTTCCCCAGCATCAAAATGGGATTACTATCTTGTAGTGTTGTTGGCTCCCGAATGAGACAACATAGATGAAATGCCTGGCAGAAAAGCCTATCACAGGTGTTCAGCACTCTTCAGCTCCTGTGTGCATTGAGAATCATTTCCCCATCTCAATCAGAAAATGTAGCTGGCACCTTCACCCAAAAGTTGCTATTTGTGAAGTGCGTGATGGTTTTAATTTAATGCCTGGAAATCCCATATTTGTCCTTGCTGTCTAGTGGCGTTGTCATAGAGCAACTGCCTCTCTCATGCTGTGAGGGTGGTATTCTTTTTGAGAAGCAGCCCTTCTCTTTTTGTTGGAGGTACAATGGCAAGGTTTACTGGATGTGATATTCTGCAGTGACTTATTTGATTTGAGGCTGGAAGGGATTTACCGGGCACTCTTTAGAGCCCTGTCCTCTATTCTGGGGAAAAAGCTGGTGCGAATCAGCACTAATAAGAAACTGGGGCTGTTTCTGAAAGGGCTGCAGAGTGAGCAGCCAAGTTGTAGTCCCCTGCCCTCCCTTGCAGGAGTTTGGACTTGTGAGAAGTGATGGGCTTAGCTTAGGCGTAACCTCCTCCAGGAAGCCTGCTCTAGACACGCATTTTAGATCCTCCCTGGTCCCCAGGGTGTTTACACATCTGTTTTATCACTTGAAATATTATAATGGCATCTTCTTTCAGCTCTTTGAAGAAAGGAACTCAATCTTGTTATTTGTTATATCCCCGCTCCCAGCACAGTGCATGTGGAGAGTAGGCACGCAATACTCAAGATAGAAACATTCTGGACAAGCCAACATACTCTTGTACAATCTCCTTGGCATCACCAGCGTGCATTAAACAGCTTCCCCTTGCATGTCCTGAAACCTTGTTAAATACTGAGAAGTGATTAAGCAAAAGTACTAGCTAATTCTGACTCGAGAAAAAAAGCAAAACAAGCAAACAAAAAAGCAAACAAACAAGAGGAAACAGAACATGTGGGAAAGGATCATTGTTAAAATAAGTATATATACTTTTATGTTTGTAAAAGTAAAGATACTGTGGCAGTTTAAAAACAAAACCAAACCAGAAAGTATAGCAACGCTTTTCCAGCCCAGCTCTCAAGGGAATACACAGGCAGATATTAATATATGCATTTGTAAAATGGCTAGCACATTGGAATGAGAATATTTAAATATTTAAAAATTCTCAGTCTATCATTTCTTCTCTCCTTTTCCAGGCTGAAGTAGCTTTACCAGACTCAATTTAAACCGGCCTACAGATCTCAAACTACGTTTGGGTTCACTTAAGCAATGGATGAACTTAGGTGTTATTCTTTTACCTTGTAAATAACATAGCTCATAGAAAGCTGAGACATAATGTAATAGAAGAACCTGGAACATAGCAGTAGCCCTGACATGCCACCTTAATGTTTTCTATCTCACACTAACCACTTAAAATAATTGTTAAAATCTGTGATGTGCTTATATTATGAGGTGCTTATGCATTATTATAATGGCTATGAGAGCTTTGTAACTTTTTTCAGTTGAAAAGGAGCAAAAATGTCCTAAAAGGGAAAAGTGAAATGCCAAAGAGCAGACCATTTTGAGGTGGAAACATTTTCATGGTGCTTTGCACACAATTTTATAAAGAGAGACCCCAATAGGCGGCAAGCAACTCTCAGTAGGGAAACCTCTGATTGTTTTTATCAGGCAGAGACTGGTGGCTTTGGCAGATCACCCTGTAAAAGACAGTCTGTCAGTCATTGGCTGCTTTCAACGTGTGAATCTGAGGGTAGGGTGCGCACTCACAGGACACCTTCCGTGGAATCTCGGGGTCTATTAGCACTGAGTGCTGAGGAAGCTTTGCTGTGCCTGCTGCCCTGCTGCCCCAGTAGGCGGGGAGTAGGAGCAACCACACTCCATACCTGTCGCAGCAATTGGCTGGCTTCTCCCTCCCCCCTCCCCCCAAAAAAGCCTTACATGAATAAAAGCAAACCTACACAAAATGAACGATTTCTCTGGAGAAAGATGGGAACAATGTCTGGGTGGACTTTAGGAGACAACTTGGGAGGGGCTTTCCGAAATACACAGAATGGCTAGCAGCAGTTAAAAAAAAATAAGAATTTTGGCCGGGTGTGGTGGCTCACCCCTATAATCCCAGCACTTTGGGAGGCCGAGGCGGGGTGATCACGAGGTCAAGAGATCGAGACCATCCTGGCCAAGATGGTGAAACCCCATCTCTACTAAAAATACAAAAATCAGCTGGGCGTGGTGGCAGGCGCCTGTAGTCGCAGCTACTCGGGAGGCTGAGGCAGGAGAATAGTTTGAACCTGGGAGGCGGAGGTTGCAGTGAGCTGAGATGGCGCCACTGCACTCCAGCCTGGGAGACAGAGCGAGACTCCGTCTCAAAAAAAAAAAAAAAAAGAATTTCACCTTGTTCCCAAGCCATTCTAGCCTAGCTTCTGGAGGATTTCTTTATATATATATATATATATATATATTTGTGTACTTCAAATTTTGGGATTGACAAGAAAGTTGTGTGTTTCTCTCTCTCTCTCTCTCTCTCTGTGTAAAATAAGCTGAGGTTATGTTTAGATGGCACAAACAACTGAACTTTTTTTTTTTTAATCTGTTTGTCTAGACAGGCCATGGGAAGATAGATAAGGTGCAAGGATTATGGCTTTACACACGTTAACTCAAAGTTTTGTGATTTTTCTCAACATAAAACAAATGGAAAAGGAAGGGCTACCGCTCTAATTTTTCCAGGCTGTATCTTTGCTACCTCCTCCTCATCCATGCTGGTTCCTGGAATACTTGATTAAAAACCTATGAGGCTTGCTCTGTACTTCCCGCTTCCTCGGCCTGAATCTCTGATCTAGCCCCTGTAAGCCCTGACCATTTGAACCACCTGAGGAACTTTACAAACTCAGATACCTGGGCCCACCCTCATACCATTAAATCAGAATCTCTTGGTGAGGGTTTAGATATCTGTATTTTAAAAAGCGTCCCAGAAGACTATAACACACAGTCAAGATTGAGAACCCTTCCATCATTCATAAAATCTTGTTGATTTTGCCTCCCAAATCTCTCAAATCCATCCTCTGCTACTCCATTTCCATTGCTCCTGATTTGGTTTCTAGCCCTTATAATCTATGTGGATGGCAGAAACAGCTTCCTAACTTAGCTTTTTTTGCTTTCCATCTACCCTTCATATGCCACCAGACTTATTTTTCTAAAACACAAATCCAAATCTGTCTTTCCTCTGCTTTAAATCCTTGAATGGCTCCGCTACGAATAAATGATGGAGCCCGTGTTCATCTCAGATGATGATGGAAAGCAGCTGCTCTTCATCTTAGGTAGGATCTCTTAGCTTACGTTTTTTTTTTTTGTTTTGTTTTGTTTTGTTTTGAGACAGAGTTTTGCTGTTGTTGCCCAGGCTGGAGTGCAGTGGCGCGATCTCCGCTCACCGCAACCTCCGCCTCCTGAGTTCAAGCGATTCTCCTGCCTCAGCCTCCCGCGTAGCTGGGATTATAGGCATGCACCACCACACCCGGCTAATTTTGCATTTTCTTTAGTAGAGACGGGGTTTCTCCATGTTGGTCAGGCTGGTCTCGAACTCCCAACCTCAGGTGATACGCCTGTCTCGGCCGCCCAAAGCGCTGGGATTACAGGCATGAGCCACTGTGCCCGGCCTAGCTTAAATTTTTTCAAAAAAACCTTTAAGACTCATGAGAAGTCGCAAATTAGTTTAGAGTTCCCATGTATCCCTTACTCAGCTTCCCCTAATATGTTTCATTACCATAGTAAATTAGCAAAACCACAAAACTGACTTTGGTCAGTGTGACAGGCCTTATTTGGATTTCACCAGTTTTTACATGCATTCTTTTTTGTGTGTATATAGAATACAATGAGATTTTATCACATGCGCTTAATACAGTTGTAAAATGATCTCTTTTTCTATCTAGCAGCAGTTCCTAACTCTAACCGTGCATTAGAGTTTCCTAGGGGAGCTTCAAATAAGTACCTAAGTTTGGGCCCCACTTTAGACCATGCTTTAGTCTAGCGCTTCCCAGACTTTTAAGATGTGTAGAAATCAGCTAAGGATCTTGTTAAAATGCAGATTCTGATTTACTAGGTCTGGGTGAAGCCTGAGAGTCTGCAGTTCTAATAGGGTCCCAGGCGATTGCCAGTGCTACTGACGCTGCCAATCTGTGGACTGTATTTGGAGTAGGCCACTGTTTTTAGACCATTGAAATGAGAATCCATGGGTTTAAGGCTTGGGTACAGTATATTTGAGTTACTACGGTGATTCTAATATGTAGCCAGGGTTGAGAACCACTGAGATATGTGATGAAATTTAAAGGCTATGTGATCCTCGGAGGTCACACCATCCCAACCTCTATTTAAGCCATTCTAGGTCATTCCAGTCCCCTCTGATGAGCTATTCAAATGCCAAATAATTCTCGGAGTTAATAATTCTTTCTTACTTTATAATCCATATTCTTCTTCTGAAATTTAAATATACCCTATGTGAACTCTCTCAACAAACTTCCACTTAAATTTCTTCTCTATACTTTTGCTCATCTTGAGATAAAAGGGAAGGAGAGACTGTCCCTTTGCTTTCATACTCAAATTCTGTAAAAGAGATTGCTTCCACATTAGGACCTAGCCTCTTCTCATTCCCTTGTCAGTTGGTCACCAAGCTCACAGATATTAGAATGTTCTTTCTTTAGCACTTGACAAGACTCATTTTCAGCTGCTGACCTTGTTTTCTATCTTCCAGAGCAAACCCCAGCCAGATGGGAATTACCAACTTGCTGCCACCATATAAATACCTAAACCTACTCCCCTTCTCGCCCTCCTGTGAAAATCAAGGCCCATGGCTCTCTCTCTTTTTAAGGTCAATTGCTTTCACTGGGTTTTATCTTTCCTTTCCTTCTTTCTAGTACAGTTCATTCCTTCTTCTCCCACGTCCTCAAACTCTACTAATTCTTTCCCATGGGTTTTAAAATATTTTCATGTCTCTTCCATATTTTAAAAAAGGCTTCATTAACCCCATGTCCTTTCCACCTTCTGCCACATCTCCCCTTCTTTAATAAACCCTTTGCATTTGATGTCTCCAACTATACCTCAAAGAGTGATTTGTGCTTGCTAACTTTATTTCCTCACCTCCCACTCACTTCTCAAACCACTACAGTCTAGATTCTATCCTAGCGCTGAACCAAAACTCAACAATGAGTTCTAAGAAGATAAATTCAATGGCTACTTTTTAAATCTTCATTTCCTTCAACTCTGAGCAGCGGCACCCAGTTAAGTCAACAATAAAAAGTCAAGGGAGTACCTAAAAATATCCTGAGATGGTTTAGCATTTTTTTTCCATTTTCAATGTTTTTAATTTTTAATAAAGATTTTAATTAAGCTTCAGTCACTAAGAAGTTTTTAAACCTAGGTTTCATGATTCTTTGACTTCATACTTTTAAATGGAGTCAGTTATCTTCAAAACATGACAAATTTCAGAATCCATTAAAAACTATTTTATTCAAATTATGTTTTCCAAAAGAGAGGGTTCTGTGCTAGTCATCTTTGAAAGTTTTCGTACCATTTCAGAAACATATTTTGCAGAATGAACATTTCATATAGGCTTGGTGTCATCTGGGCCTGAGAGACAGCAAATGATGAAGCAAAATTGTGTAAGTTGTCCAACATCTTTTGTGTGAACAGAGTGAATGAGTCAACTGAGGATAGAGCAGCATTACCTACAGGAGTCTGCTGAGCCATACTGTCCAGTGATTCCACCGAAATTCCAATCTGAGCAACAGATGGAGTTTGGACAGTATTCATGGCTCCAAAAGGATGTTGGCTTCCTCCTCCAGATTTAAGACCTGAAATTTTGAAGATGGCACTTGGTTTCCCATTCATGACAAATCATAGGAGTTGTCATACTGGCATCCCATTTGAATCAGGATAGGAAAAGTAGACAGAGCCTACTGGATTCCCATGAAAATATGGATTCCATTTTCATGGGAATCCAGTAGGCTCTGGTAAGGCCTGAGCATGGTTTCTTCACTGCTGCATCCTCTACTATATGCCTGGCAAACAAAGTTACTCAGTAAATATTTGTAGTTTGACTGAAACCCTTTCTTTCTCCCATAATGAATTACATGACTCAACTCTTTCCTCTCCTCCTATCTTTCGACCTAGCTTTTCTCAGTGTTCTTCTGACTTCTCTACCTTTGCCTATTTTGTAAATTTGATGTTACTCAAGACTGTCTTTGGCACTTCTGATCTTGTCATAACAGAATATATTCTTCACGGGCAATGAATTCCACCTCCATGGTTTGACTTGTGACCTTTACACTGACCAATCTCCAGTTCACATTCACACTTTACCTCTTCTTCAAACTCCGGATCTTAATTTCCATCTGCCTCCTGAAGATTTGCAAATAAATGGTTTGGGAGTATTGCAACTGGCATATATACAACAGCTGAATCCTTTTCTCCAAATTTGTTCTTCCACCTGTTTCCTGTAATGGTTAACACAGCATCATCCTCTTTCTACTCACCCAGCTGGGAAACTTCTAAGCCAACGTCACCCTTTTCCCTTTGATGACTCCCAGATCCAATTATCTTGAAGTCTTATTAATTCTATCTCCCAATCTTTGGGCTGGCATTTTCAGTGTATGTTCTGAGGCACATTAGATTCTTGGGATGTTGATAGGGGCCACCAAAAAAGTAAAAAATATTCATCTCAAATAGATTTGAGAAATGCCAAACTGGACAGAGTTAAATAGGTTTCTTTACAGAGGAACTTTTTAGAGCTTTTACTATGATAACGTGCATGCAGTATGAGGATCTGAGATGGTGGTACCACATCTATTGTTTGCCAAAGTTATTTGGCCACACAGGTCTTTTTTTTTTTTTTTTTTTTTTTTTTTTTAACAGCACTAAAGGGAGCTTTCCTAGAACACATTTTGGAAAATGGTGGTCTGATCTATGTCCTTTCTTCTCTTTCTGCAGCTATTGTATTCCAAGCCTTCTGCCTGCAGACTTTAACAGCTCCTTGGGTGCACAGAAGGCATCTCCCTATCTCCAGTGTTTTGCTTCTCCTATTTAACCCCTACACTTCTGTAAGAGGTACCCTTATTAGAGTCGGATTATGTATTTTCCCAGAGTAGTAGACATGCTGTCCCTTACTCTGTCCTGATTATCTATATCCTTAATTATTTTCTGCCTGTTTTTGTTTAATCCATTACTGACAGAGGAATGTTGAAGTCTCCAACTATAATAGTGGATTTGTCTATTTCTCCTTTCAGTTCTATCAGTTCTTGCCTTATGTATTTTGATGCTCTGTTGTTAAGTACATACATATTTAGGATTGTTGTATCTTCTTGGAGAATTGATCCCTTTATAATTAGGTAATACACCTCTTTATTCCTGATAATTGTTCCTGTTTTGATGTTAGCTTCGTCTGAAATGAACATAGCTACTCTAGCTTTCTCTTGGTTAGCAGAATTAGCAGGGCATATCTTTCCCCATCCCTTTACTTTTAACTGTATGACTCTTTATATTTAAAGTGGGTTTCTTATAGACAATATAGAGTTAGGTCTTTTTTGTTTCCATAATCCACTTTGACAGTCATCATCTTTTACTTTGTATATTTATACCATTCACACTTAAAGTGATTATTGATATAATTAGATTAATATCTACCATGGTGGTAACTGTTCTGTTTTTTGTTTTTGTTGTTGTTGTTGTTTTTGCATTTGTTCCTGTTTTTTTTACCTCCTCTTTTTCTGCCTTCTCTGGTTTTAATTGAGCATTTTATCTCCTCTGTTAGTGTATCAATTTTACTTCTTTAAAAAAATTTTTAGTGGTTTCCCTAGCACTTACAATACACATTTATACCTAATTTAAGTTCACCTTTAAACAATACTGCTTTATATGTGGTGCAGTTATAACAGGGTATTCACAATTCCTCCCTCACATGCCTTGTGACATGGCTGCCATTCATTTCACTTATCCATGTTATAATCATCCAATATATTGTTACTATTATTGATTTAAATGAAGTTATGTCTCAGATCAATTAAGAGTAAGAAAAATAAAAATATTTTAGTTCAGCTTCATTTATTCCTTCTCTAATACTCTTCTTTATATAGATCTGAGTTTCTGACCTATATAATTTTCCTTTTTCTTAAACAACTTCTTATAACACTTTTTGCGGGACAACACTGCTGGCGATGAACTCATTCAGTTTCTGTCTGAGAAAGTCTTTATATCTCCTTCACTTTGAAGCATAATTTTGCTGGCTATTGCATTTTAGGTTGATTTTTTTTTCATTTTAACCCTTTAACTATTT
Organism: Homo sapiens; assembly: GCF_000001405.40. Classification (NCBI taxonomy): domain Eukaryota; kingdom Metazoa; phylum Chordata; class Mammalia; order Primates; family Hominidae; genus Homo; species Homo sapiens. The sequence goes on along the minus strand of NC_000023.11, from coordinate 23,348,638 downwards.
ATCTTCATTCTCTTCTTGCAGTTTTTTCTCTGACAACTCTAATGTAATTCTTTTCCTTGTTCCTCTATATATAAGGTGTCCCCCCGACCCTGGCTTCTTTCAAGATTTCCTCTTTGTCTTTGGTTTTCTGTAGTTTGATTATGATACACCTAAGTGTGGTTTTATGAGTACTTATCTGTCTTGGTGTTCTTTGAGCTACCTGGATCTGTGGTTTGGTGTCTTTAATTTTAGAAAGTTTTTGGCCATTGTTACTTCAAACGTCTTCTGCTTCATTCTTCTCCTTCTGGTATTCCAATTATGTGTATGTCATATATTTTGATAACCCTGTCTCACAATTTTTAGATGTTCCGTTTGGGTTTTTTTTTTTTTCTCTTTTAACTCTTTGTGTTTCAGTTTGTGATGTTTATATTGCCCTATATTCAAGCTCACTGATTCTTTCCTTGGCAGTTAAGTCTACTGATGAGTTCATCAAAGCCTTTCTTCATTTCTGTTCCAGTGTTTATCTCTAGCATTTCCTTTTGATTCATCCTAAGTTTCCACTTCTCTGCTTACATTACCCATGTGGTCTTGATGTCTACTTTTTCCACTAAAGCCCTTAACATATTAATCATTGTTACTTTATTTTTTTTGAGACAGGATCTCACTCTGTTACCCAGGCTGGAATGTAGTGGTGTGATCAAAGCTCACTGCAGCCTCAAACTCCTGGGGTCAAATGACCCTCCTGTCTCAGCTTCCCAAGAATCTAGGACTACAGGCATGTACCACCATGCCCTGTTAATATTTTTTAAATTTTTTTGTAGAGACGGGGTCTTGCTATGTTGCCCAGGGTGGTTATGAACTCCTGGCCTCAAGCTATCCTTCCACCTCGGCTTCCCAGAGTGCCAGGATTATAGGCATGAGCCACCTCGCCTGGCCTTCATAGTTACTTTCAATTCCCTGTCTGGTATTGAATTTAAATTCCCATATCCGAGTCTGATTTTGATGTTTCCTTTGTCTCTTCAGACTATATATATTTTATTTTGGCTTGCCTTGTAATTTTTTCTTCAAGGCTAGACATGTTATATCAGTTAATAGGAACTAAGATAACAGGACTTTACAGGGAAGATTTATGTTAATCTAGGGGTCAGAATGTATTTAATGTTTGTTGTAGCTATAGGTACCAGAAGCTTTAATTTCCTCTACTGTCCTTGTTTTTGTCTCTCTTGTTGACGTTGGATTTTCCCACATACTTCTCCTCAGAGAGGGTCTGTGTCTTTTTGCTCTTTCAGCTGTAATCCACTATTATTAAACTGGAGCTCTGCTGATGTGGTAGTAAAGTGTGGTAAGGGGAAATTGCTATATAATCTTCCAATGAAATCTCAGTCTTTTAGTAGACCTGTGACCTTCACAAGTATTTCTCTAGTGGTATAGTTTTTTCCTGTCTTCTATTCCCTTCCCTGGCTGTAGTGCTTCAAATTGATTTCTTTGAATCCCTGACCCCTGTTGACTCTCCCCCCACCAACTCTTAGGTAAGGCAGAAAGGCTGAAGGGGGCTGAAATGGGAAAGAACCTAGGATAAAGTTTCAGAATCGTGCTCTGGCAAGTCCATTCTCCTGGAGAGTAAGCATTTGTTAATAGAGAACACTGGGTGGATTTCACAATGATAATATTGTTGATCCCATTTTATAGATGAAGAAATTGAGACCTCCCAGAGAGGTTAAGTGACTGACTTGATCAAGGACACATTAATAGTTCACAGCCTCAAACACAAAACTTTGGGTTCTAAAGCAATGCTTTTTCCACTCTGCCTAAACTGGTACCCACTGAATTTTGGTTGCAACTGTCACCTCTCTCTGACAGCACTTGACATCAAACAGTAATTGACACTGAACATTAGTTGCCAGGGTCCTCCCTGTGGACACCTCACCTCTGACAACTGACGACTCTCCTTTACCAAACTCTAGTCAGGCTCCTCTGAACCTTCTCACCAACTAACCCTTGGCATTCAGATTTCCTTTTCTGTCTTTACATCATCCAATTTTAGGAAGACTTCTTCTAAATCCATTTAACCATAATCCCCCACCCTTTGTATCTGATCATTCTAGATATCTGACTAAATTATTCATCTCTGACCATCTCTCAGATGATATCTGATCATCCTGGCCAGCTTTCAGCAAGAATCCTGTCGGATTGGTTTAGCTAGAATCTGCCCCTTCCCCCTGATGTTTCCTCTTAATAATGTTGTATCCACTGACCCCATCCTGCTCCTTGGCTATAAATTCCCACTCTTCCCTGTCATATTCCGAGTGGGTCGGATCTCTCCCCTACTGCAAAACCCCACTGCAGTAGTCCCTATACCATCTCAGTGGCTCCTGCTGAATAAACTCTGCCTTACCATTCTTTAACAAGGGTTTTGAGTAACTTGTTCTTTAACAGAACCACAGTACTGGGACCCTGTCTCAGAAATGCAGCATGTAGCTCCTATTTGTGCCTGCTGTACCATCTGATTTGCTTTAAAGGAAGTTCTGGAAAAGGCAAATGGCAGATGACCCTGTATGGGAAGGCTTTGGAAGAACGAAAGCTTTGGCAATCCCATATGTGATGGTAGCAACGACATCCATGGTGTGTGTGTATTGTGGGGGAGGTGTATCTCTCTTCCTCCATCTCAGGGTGTCCTTTCTTCTACTCAGCCCTTTTCTCCTGAATTCCAACACCAGGAGACAGGCAGTAGAGTACGGCCCTCTGTTCAACATGCTTGCCTTACAGTGCAAACTTCAGATATTCAGATTTATTTAATACCCTTTGTAGAAGAGCTATTATAGCATCATTCAGAATTAAGTGCTGAGCAAACAACTTTTTCATCCTGCTTGTATCTTATTGGCCAGATTCCACAGAGAGAGACTGCATTTTTGGAAGTAGTCCTGGTAGCTAATTTCTAGGATACTTTATAGCAGTGGCTCTGAAAGTGTGGTCCCTAGACCAGCAAGAACAGCATCACCTTGCGAACCTGTCAGAAATGCAAATTCTCAGGCTCCACCCCAGACCTACTGACTCAGAAACTCTCTGGGGTGGAGACCACAATCTGTTTCGAACAAGTTCTCCAATGCCTATCTGCTCAAGTTGGAGAGCCACTACTTTAGCTTACAGAGGCAATTAAATAGAACTGAGTAGTCAGGATATACAAAGGTTCAGCAAGGTTCCTTAGATCCACTAATCTACTGCTCTACTCAAAATGTGGTCTGCAGACCAGTAGCATCAATATCCCTGGGGGCTTGCTGGAAGTGCAGAATGTCAGGGCTACTGCCTCAGACCTACTGAATCAGAATCTGCATGCTGAAATTCCCAGGGAATTCAGAAGTACAAAGTTTGAGAAGTACTGCTAACCCTCACTTACACAGAGGTTAATTTTGTTTGAAGAGATTAGGGATAGAGAACCAGCTAGGCAGAGGAATCTTCTTTGGTGGATTTGATGTGGAGCCTGAATAATTGTGGATTTCTTTTGGGATCCTATAAAAAGCAATTTTCTAAAGGGGTAGGTGGGGAAGCACACTGAACTAAATGATCAAAATTCACAGTCTGCAAAATTTCGCAACATTCCAGTTTCAAAGGACTTTACAATTATCACTTTGCCTGGTGCTCCTGATCTCTGGCAATTCTGATGACACTCTTCCCTGTGAAGTGCTTGCAGATCTACTTATGTGGACGAGATTTCCCAGGGAAACACTGTAGTCATGTAAATTCAGTAAGAGAGGAGAATGATCAACGTTCTCACCTAAATCACTGGAGAATCCCTCTTTGGCATGCTGTGCTGTGAGATGTGGTGAGGAGAGCCCTGAAACCAGAGCCCGCAGCCTCTCAGAACCTTTAATTCAAAAGGCACTTCCCTGGGCAGGAAGTGAAGGCTTTTTTTGTGTGCAAAGCCCCATCAGGCATGAAGAGTAGGTTCTGAGCCCAGAGGAACCACGTTGGTGTGCTGGAATGCAATGCACCCATCCCCATCCGCAGCTCTGCCTGCCTAAGAACTTTCTGCAGGTAGAGGAGCTGCATGCTCAGCAGTAGGTTGAATCCAATTGTCTGTAATGACTCAGATGGAGTCATTAAAGACCAACAAATTGGCAATATGAGTATTGAATGTAGCTTGAGCACCCATTATTGCCTGTTGGATCAAAGAAAAAAGTGGCTACATGTGTATTACTCAACAGGCAATAATGGCTTTGAAAGAGCTGGCACATGTGAGGAAATAGCAGTCATTTTCAAAGTAAATAGTAATAATGATAACACACTTTACAGAAGGCTATGGTTACACAGTGCCTTCACATACTTTATCTCATTCTATCTTTACCTTAAGTGGGTGAAAGAGATGCTATTACACCCAGTGCAAATAAGGAGCGTGTTTCTCAGGGAGGTTAGGTGACTTGCCCAAAGATACATACTTAGGAGAACTGGAACTTGAACTTGGCTTTCCTGATTCTAAATCCAGTTTTCTGTTTACAACAGTTAAATTTGAGCCTTGCTACTCCAAGTGTGTTCTGCTGATCTGTAGCATCAGCATCACCTCAGATCTTGTTAGAAATGCAGACTTGCAGTTCCCACCCCAGACCCTTTGAATCAGTCTGTATTTTAGCAAGATGCCTAGGTGACGTGTGTGCATGTTAGAAAGTCTGAGAGCAATCAAACAATCTTTACTCAGTAGGACTACTTGCCTATACCACAAGACCAAAAACAAAATCCAACAACTCAAACCTCATACAATTAAGGTATAAATATCACAAAATGTTCTTGAGCATTTATAATGACAGCTCTATAGCAGAGATGCATTATTTTTTCTTGAGACAATTAGAAAGAATTGACAAAGCCATGGTATTAGTGACAGCAGGAGAGCCTCATGGAGGAATGGGTAAAGGAATCTTTATCTTCCACGCTGAAAAATTAGCAGTTTTAGTGTTTCCATTAAACTCACAGAAATATGCTGATTTTGTACCAGTATCATTTTCTTTTAAGTTTGCCTCTTAGAACAATACTTTCTGTTCCTCTGGGCTAACTTTTAAGAAGAGTGGGACTAAGCAACATCAGAATGGTGATCTCCTGAACACTGGTGCTATGGTCAGGAAAACCACTTGTCCTTGATGTTTTCTTTTAAGTGTGTTTCCTATTTACATTTGAATATGGGTGTGGCCAATGTTTTGAGACTTTTCTTTAAGTAAATAAGGGAATGTGTAGTGTGGGGACTTGGGTTCCAGGGTGCTCACTGGGAACTGCACAGGGATCCACCCTCCCACATGGAAATGCACCACTGATTGGGGACTGAGGTCAAGTTCATACCCTCCCAAACTGTACTTGGACCAGAGAAGGTTGTCAGATATTTGGTTTTCCAAGAATTTCTCCTCATATAAATGGCAGCAGATCTGGAAACAGAATGGATGCTTATTGCTTATCAACAAGTTTGAAACCAAGATTTGTCAAAGATGAAAAATGAATATAGAGCACAAGAAATCACATGGTCATGCTACCAGGCAAAATTATATTTGACCAAAATAAATCAATAGGGAGGCAGAGCACATTTTCCATCTTACAAGCTATAAACCAGTAACAATTTATTAAGCACCTGCTGCAAACTCCACATTATGCTAGGCTCTAGGAGAGATCTGGCAGTGTCAGACATTGTTCCTGCCCCTGAAGAGTTCATTACCTCTCTTAAGAGAAACGATCACATGACAATATAGCAAATTACATAAGAGTCTACAGCTCTGCATTAAAGAATGTGTATAAGAATGAAAGCCCAATAGATTTAAGGGAGAGAAGAAGCCATGAATCTGAGAAAGCCTCATAAAGTAGAAGGCATGTGAACTGGTCCTTAAAGAGAGGAGGGAGGGCACTTTTAGGGAGAACAACAAAAGTAGATGTGTGAAGATGGGGGCCTGCAGACTTCTGTATTCATAAAGGTGAGAATGAATATGTGCCTCTCAAATGTAGAGGTCTGGCATCTAAAACCACACATCCTGTTGGTGTCTAGGCCCTGTTTGGAGTCATCTTTACCAGCATCCACTGGCACTTGTCAAACTTGGGAATAACTAAATAGCTATGCTGGATGATTCTTAACTGTAAGCTTCATGGAGACAGGGTCATAGCCATCTTGTTGAGTAAAGGGATGAATATCCATTCCCTAGAAACGGGGCACTAAATCTCTCGATGTATAACTCTAGATGAATATAAGACCCTTAGGGCAGATGCTCTCAGGGTCCCACCCATATAGTCTCAGCTCACACTCACCTCTCCATGCTAAGGTTGCTTGCCACAAACACCTGTAGCTCTGTACCCAATTCTTTTAAAAAAAAAAAAAAAAAAAAAATATATATATATATATATATATATATATATATATATATATATATAGGGAGAAACACAGCATATGAAAATGCCAGAAATTTAATGCTTCTAAATGTAGTTGAATCAGCCGATGATGGCTGGAGTTGGGGAGAAAATATTCAGCTTCTTTATCCACAACTGAGATTTCTCCAACACATTCTACAGTGTCTCCCAGAGTTCCCTAGTGAGACTGAGCCCCAGTTGCCCACAGTAGACACTTGCTTAATAATACTCTCTTGATTGGCTTCCTGCTACTCACTGTTTTACTTCCCCACTCCCCTATCAGCCTTTTCTGATATCACCTCCCAAGATAACCGACTGCACTTACATAAATCATCTTAACTGTACTTGAAGCCTATGAATTAAACCTAAAGTGGAAGACCTAACAATGGGGATCTTTCAAAATAGCAGAAACAATATTCTCAAGAGGATTTCTTAGAGAGCAAGAAGATAAAAATAGCTTTTTCTAGTTCCTCACTGCCTCCTTTTGTTCAAAATATGAATTCAGAAGTTGCAAGCACAACATATTATTCAGGGCTTCCCGTAAGAAATAACAACTGGTGTTGATTTTCTTTTTTTCCTTTTCTTGTCTTTTAAAGGTTAGCGATTACTCACCTCCCCTGCTGGTCATTAAATCAGTCTGGCAGGATTCCTCGGTAGTTCTGTGGCCTTCCGGGTATGTGGCGGAGACACAGGCAGTGCTGCAGACAGGCCTGCTTGCTGTGATGTGCTATCAAGCAGGTGACTTCAAAGGTCTGCTTTAAGCCTATCTCAAGTATCACTTGGGGCTCACACTGAGCCCCGAAATCAGGTACCAGATGGCACATCCCACAAAGTCAAAGTTGATCAGCTCACCAGCATCTCACATTTCCCTGGCTTTTGTGCCAAGGGACTGGAAACACTCAGGTAGAAAACAAATAACTTCTGTTAGCTTACTTCTCCTTCTCGTATTTTTAAGGAGTCATCAGTTCAATGCTTGACTGTCCTGTGAGCTTTATAGGTCTGGTGAATCCTGAGAGGCTCAGTTTTTGTGGTCATTTAAAATAGAATCATCCTTTCCTAACTCTAATATGGCATCTATCAAGATGCCATGAGTCATTACAAAGGTGGGCTTCCTCTCCCACTAAGGCTTTATATCTAAATTTCAGTTTAATCAAAGTTTGTCTCAAATGTGTACCTAAATGGAGAATTAAAAGACTGCTCCCCAAATCTAAATGAGACAAGTGGGCATTTTACATACTAATCGCAAAAATCAAATGTACTTAAAAGTCAGACAACCCTAGGATGAGACTGTGCTTAGATTATTCGGATACACTACCTACGAAATGAAAGGAGAATGAAAACCGATCTCAGTCTCTCCTTAATTTTCCCCTAGTACAAAAATAAAGAGTAAAAGTCAATTGACTGACCCAGCAAATACACAAATGCTGCCCTTTCAGGCCCAGGCTCAATCTTTTCTAAGAGTATCTGCCACTTGGATAACTCACCAGAAGAGACTGGACTGCCCAAGGCTTCATAGCACCTGTCACCAAACAAAGCACCCTGAGATGCTAAGAGAAGATTCTAGCATCAGCCTCTGTGGAGATGACCTTTAAGGTGCCTTCTAAACCGAAGGTTCTTTGATTCCGTGTTTCTTTGATACAAGCTCTTCTCTTGTCATTTTATACTTGGAAAAGCAGAGAGACTGGAATAGGCAACAAAGCACTGCCTCCTGCCTCCTCAGGTCGCTGCTCACAGTGGGGTCTTACACACTGTCAGAAGAAGCCCGACCTAAGTGGGCGACTGCTGCTGACTGATGCTTAAGGCATGCCAATAATGGGCACTCTAGTAATGGACAAGTCTCAAAGGCCAGTGTCAACTTAGCCCCTTCGTCATTCAAGCAGTTATACTGCATTCAGTTTCTTGGGCTCCTCTACAGCAGGTGGGATTTAGACCTGAAGGGACAGAGCCATCGAAGAGAGCAAGATAACTGCATTTTGGGGACGATTACACTGGAAAATCTGGTCTCTGCTCAACTGCCCAAGAGAGCATCACCTCAGAGGTCATAATAGTTGTCCCCAGAGTTCTATGAACTTCTCTTTGGCATTTTTTCATTTTACATAATCAAAGTAGCAAAAAAAGAATCTTTATAAAACAAAAGAAACATGCAAAGCAGAGAGTTTCTCCACCTTGGCACTATTAACATTTGGGGCTGGGTAATTTTGTTGTTGTGGGGGCTACGCTGTGCCTCTACCCACTAGATGCCAGTAGCACATGCCTCTTCCCCAAGTTGTGACAACCAAAAATGTCTCCAGCCATTGCCAGATGTCCCCTGGGTGGGTGCACAGTCAGCCCCGGTTGAGAACTACTGCCTTACAGATTCACAGTATTAACTTCTTGAAAGTGCTCTAGTAATGACATTTTAGAATACAACATAGGAACTTTGAATGTACAGATAGCAAATCTCTCGGGCTTCGCGAGCCACAATTTCTGCTATATAGCTTTCTTGGTTTTTGTTTTGTTGTGTTTATAATCTTTTAAAACTGTAAAAACTCAGTCTACGTTAAAAACTAGGCTGAAATTTGCTGATCCTTAGATTGTGGAGGAAGAAATGATGGTGATTCCCATAGTGATTGCAAGTGTTGAGACAGCATTTGGAAAAACTATGATCTTGATCTAGCTACCCAGTCTTTGTGACCCCGAGCTAGCAGTTATGCTGCCCTTCTTGGAAAGCCTGAAGTAAATAACTTAAGGTTAGATTTTATTAACCTTGTTTGCAACTTAATTCTATTTAATGTATTTAAACATAAAAGCTTTAAGTAAAACAGAAACTTGATATTTGAGCGAAATGAGATCTCCTAGTAAATGGAAGAATGTTTGCTATGTGAGGATGCGTCCTTCCCGTGGTTTGGAATAAAACATTCTGAGTTTCCCCTGAAGAAGAGGACTTTGTACAAAGGCAATTCCCCTACCCAATTTTGAAACTGAAATACGCTTTGATATGACTACGGGGGTTATCAAGGAGGGAAGAATGATATCTTGCAAACAAAGAATCCTAGTAACTGTCTGTAAAGTTGTAAAAATAAAAATTTCACTATGTAAATACATTTCAAATTCGTTTTTATGGAATTTTCTTTAACTCATCACATAAATGTCTGAGTAAACTAGGGAGGGTCTATTCAACAAGTATTTATTGAGTAGCTATTATGTGCCAGGGAGTGTGTAAGGCACTAAAGTTCAGTCAACCTGGACCCTGCCAATGAGCAGCACTCAATCAGGAAGCAGCTACATTCAATCATCCAGAGATTTTTTTTCCAAAAAAATCTTCTTTCTATCCTTGTATATTGTTAATTATAAATATCTTATGCTTTACTTTGGGTATTTGGAGTTTCTGTATGTGGATTTTAATTGACACTAGACAGAATCAGTCAAGAAAAATATTCTTATGATCCAATTACCACTATTAGAACAACTGGATGGGATGGGATATAAAACTTTGGTCAACTGTACTTCATTTGGATAACAAAAATGTACATTTTAAATCATTCCAGTAGTGTATCATATGAAAGTAAATTACAATGAAAAGCACACTGGGCTTGGAGTCCAAAACCCTGGGTCCAGTCCAGTCCTGGTTCTAGCCTTGTATTTTTTCCCATGGACAAGTCAGTTAACTTCTAAGAAGTAGTTTTCTCATATGTAAAATGGGATATAGCATTTTTCCCAATTTACTGTATTTAAACATACTGTATATTTCTAACCTATAAAGTCCTATAAAGATGATGTCATTATCATAAGTACTGGGCTGTACTGATTCTTCACTTTAAATAGATGATTCCGGAATAAATCAAGAATTGTTTTGTTAACAGCCTGGATCAATTATCAAAGGGACCTACTTACACTTCATTTTAGGTGATCGCAACGAAACGTATCTATAAAAGCTTGTGAGGCCCTCCTTTGAAATTTGCTTTGAGATGAACATCATGGATCTTCTGTTAAAAGATATAATCAGCTAAATTTAATTTTCTAGGAAAAGGAAGATGTTTGAAGAGCAGCATGTATGTAAAGAGGTTCAGAAATTACTGCATGAGCCCTTATCAGCACCACCAGGTCCTACCCACTTTTGCCTAATAATGCATCGTTGCCCTGTAGCCTTCAGGGGAAACCAACGCTGGGGGGAGTCATGCCTCACAGTGTGGGGTCAACTTCTAAGCTACAGTGGTCAGAGTATGGTAATCATATCACTTGCGCATATTCGAGAAAGCTCCTCCAAACCAGATCAGCTGGATTTTTGAAATACAGATATTTTTCTGTAATACTCTCAATTACATTTAAAAACGTCAACCTGGCTTTTCGTTTTCTGTCATCACTCCCTCCCAGTCTATTTTTTTTTTGTCAGCAAATAGTGGGACCAATATCCCAAGAAGGATCTCCTTCACTGCACAGGTACAATCCCAAAACATTAAGAGGAGAGAATGGGTCTACTCTTCATGCTTGAAGCAACACCCTACACAGCCCTACAAGTCACCTCCTCAGTTCTGTACTGGGGTATGAAAAAGCCTCAGACCTGCTCATGCTCTGTCCACTTCACTTCATTTCAAATGTGACGCCATAAAACCGGCAGGGGGCAGGGACTGTTGGGTGTTGTGTAGTGTTAACTGTCAATGCTATCCTTGATGCCAGTAACGAAGCATCAGAATAACACTAGTAACAACAATAACAGTGATTCTTTCACTCCTGACACCTTTCCTAAAGGACAAGTCATCATGTCTCTAAATGAAAAAAATTAAAAAAAAAAAAGTGCTCACTCCCACACTTTACATTACCATGACTAATGAAGGTCCATCTTCCTGTCCCCTGGCTCCATATCTACCAAAAGTAGGGGCTGGATGCAGAAAGAAAAAATTAAACATATAATTTAAAATTGAAGACAGTTATTTCCTTGGTTCCGTAAGTCTGGATTTTTATAAGCTGTATGAACTCATTTGACCAGAGAGTCATCAGCTAGAAATAAGTTCGGACCACTGCTAGGCTTGGTTTTGATTTTACTCAGACACCTAGAAGATGAAAAACCATCCCAGTTCTTAAAACAATCCACTGATTTTTGACCATTGTCCTTTAAAGTTGCCCTTTAGATATGGAGGCAAACCAAGCCTCCGTCTCTCCAGTCTCAACCTTCTCCTATAGCACTGTTTTCTGTCCTGAACTGATCAAAATCAAATAGGGAAGAAGTAATCCAGTTGAAAAGAGATCTGATAATGCTTGTTGATGTCTCATTAACCTTGAGAGTGACTGTAACTGGTGACTGCCTGTCACAGTGGTGTGATGGTTTGTGGGTGGGGGGGGAAAGGCAATGGAAACGTCACCTTGAAAAAACACAAAAAGAGAAATATCATTTAGTAGATCATCAATCAAAAGACGGGGCATTTCCAACTGTCAGAACTGGTTAAATTACAGTTTCCTTATGCCCATGATGAATCTACTATGTGTTTTCGTGGGAAAGCTTTTGGAGCAGTATTTATCTGTGTCCCAAAATATAGTCACTAAAGTATTGAGAGAAAAAAGAAAACCACTTTGATGCTGGAAGTCTAATCATGAGAAAAACAAACATCTCGGGATTAATGTTATTAAGGTTCTGTGATGAGTAAATGTGTGATGTGTGCCATTAAAAATATCATGAGCCACTCCATGTGGGAAGATCCTAATTCCATTGAGCCCCTAGTCAGATTCCCCTCATTACTAATTGCTAATTGATAACATGTCAACAAACGGACATAGGAAAATAATGAAAATTAGCTTGTCTCTAGGGATAAACTATTACCTGTAGAGGAAAAGAAGAGGAAAGAGTTCCCCAGGTTTCCCGGCAGACTCCCCTTGGGATAAGTAGACTAGAAATCTAACCAGCCTCTAGTACCAGATCTGGACTAGAGACTCACACAAAACGATCACCTTCCATCCCTCTGCACCAGAGTCCCAGCTGGGACTGGTTCTTGTCTGCCCTCCCCAAAGGAGAACCTTAAGTAAACAAGCCCCACAGTCCCCATCAGGGATTCAGATGGAACATTCTCACCTATTTTTACTTTTCTCTCCCGAGGTCTCCACTTTTCCATCTCTAGTCCTCACTCCTCTGCTTTTCTTAGGAAGTTCCTGAAAGTTACCACCATTAACCTCACTTTCCACATCAAATTCCCACCTCAAGCTGATGGCACAACCGGTTTCTGCGAGTGTCACCCTCTAACCAGCTGCTCGGTTTCCTGTGCTCTTCTCGGGGTCACACAGCCTGGCTTCTGTTCTCACCCTTCGGGCTCTGCCCCTCACCCCCATGCTCAGATGCACCCAAATAAAAGTGGATTGATCGGTTCCCTCTTTTCCCAAAGTTTTGGCATTTCTTGAGGAGCTACTGTGAAAGACGAAGGAACTGCGAATTACAAACATAATTTCATACCCTAGAAGATAGAGATGGCTACCTCGCTCCGGAGAAGAGAGCAGCAGGGCAGCCCCCTGTCCTCGCCAGAGACCACACTTCTTTCTGGGTGGGTGGGAGGCATCTTCATCACCATCCCGCCTCACATTCTTTTGTCCTTTCCCAACATCCCACACCAACAACCGTTCCCCAAACACTCCGGGGGGCCAGAAAAAGGGAGAAACAAAACTGAGGACAGGGAGGGGTATCTCGGAATCCCCTCCAAGCATAGTATTTTGTTCTCAAGTAGTAGGACTTTCCAGAATGTCTTCTCTCGTTCTGCTCCTTGCTGGCCCAGTTACCCCAAAGCCTCCCCACCCCCAAGCCCACTGCGACCAAAACAAGCGCACCGACCACAGCACTGTGGCCGCCGCCGCCCCAACTGTTGCAGCAGCTGCGGGGTGGCGGTAGAGGCGACGCGGGCAGGGCCGGACCCGGACCCCGACGCTCCTTGTCCAGGAGGCTGGGAGGCTCCAGTCGGCCGCCCTGGGGCGCGCGGTGCAGGAGAGTCCCTGCGGCAGCTGCCTGGGCTAGGAGAGGTGGCGCTCTCAGCCGGGACCCCAGCGCAGAGCCAGCCCGACCGCGGCCGCGGCGCTGGCGGAGTCTGCCCGCACCCGTCCCCTCTCACCTTTAAGATCAGGTCGGTGTGATGCTGGTCCAGCATGTTGGCTTTCTGGAAGGAGGTGACGATGACCCGGCCGTAGCGCCCGGGGGTCTGCAGGTCCGAGTAGAGACGGTGCTTGGAGCGGTTGACCGGGAAGAGGCTGTTAACGAGGTTGCGCTCGATCTTGGCCAGGCTGTGCTGGGGCGCCAGCAGGTGCTCCACGCTCTCCTCGACCTGGTAGCGGCTGAAGCTGGCGCCGAGCAGGATGGAGATGAGCACCGGCGCCGAGGCGAAGAAGACAGGGTGACTGGCAATGAAGTGGCCGAGCCGGGAGAAACACGTCCTCAAGCCCCTGTGCAGAACCTGCCGCAGCATCCTAGAGCAGAGCGGGCGCGGGAGGAGGGCGAGGCGCACGCTCGGCGCGGGTTCGGGCGGCGGCGGCGGCGGCGGCGGCGGCGGCGGCAGCGGCGCCCGCGGCGGCGGCGACGGCGGCGGCGGCGAGACCCTGAGCTCTCCCGGAGCCGCGGCACCACCATCGGGGAGTCCCGCGCCGCGCCTCGGGAGGGTCCCCTCGAGCCGGAGACACGCCCTCCTGCCCGCGGCCGCGCCCTCCCGGAGAGCCCCCCAGCTTGGCGGCCTCTGCGCCGCCCCCACTCCGCCCTACCGCGTGCGCCCTCCCCACCCCCCGCGGCCTCCCCGCCAGGGGGGCTCCGCGCCGCGCGGCCGCGTCCCCTCTCAGCGCGGGCGGGGCCCGGGGCAGCCCCCGCGGCTCGTCATGACCCCACTCACCCGACCCCCAAGGCCAACGACGGGGTGGCGCGGGGAGCGGCGACGGCGCTATCGCCAGGAGACTCTGCGCGCCCGCCCAGGAACACGAGGACGGAGAATTCCAGGCTACACCCAGTCCCCTCCCCTCCCTTCGCTCCCCTCCCCCGGTCCGGCCCGCCAAGCTCGCTCTCCCCTTCTCTGCCCTCCTCCGGGAAGACCCAGAGATAAATAAAGAAATGGCCCCGATTTTCCAAACAAAAAGTAAAGAGTTCTCAGGAGTGGGGGGAGGGGGCGGGTGTCGGGCGGACCCGCTCAGAGCCGAGTCTCTCCAGAGGCTTAAAGGAGCAGGCTGAAGACTGCGTGCGTCCCGGCTCTCGCCAGGCTCAGGTGGTGGCGCGCACTGGCTGGTGCCGAGAGGGGGTGGGGAGCGAAGACGCTCGAACGTGGAAATCACGCCTCCTTCCAAATAAGAACCGTTTAAAATACCCCCAACACTGCAGCTTCGGCGGGACCACGGGGTCCGGGTGTGTGTCTGGAGCACGTCCACTCAAAAGGTATCCGTGGAGAATCTTTCTCTGTGGCTCTAATTTAGGGTCGCTCCAGAGTGGATTGGGGCTGGCCAGCTCTGTTGCACACCCCCCAACCTCCCACCCAGTCCTTTAGTAATAAAAGTGCTGATAATGACGGTCAGTCGATGGAACTGTCCGTCGCCTGGGCTCCCGGGCTCCCGAGCTCCGGGGCTCCCCGGCTCCCGGTTCTTCGCCCTGCCTTCTCTTCCTCCTCCTCTCTCTGTCGTCACCAGCAGGTCTGGGGGACCTGGTGCGGCGTGGCTGGCGCGGGCGCCCCTGCGGGCGTAGAGTGTTTGAGAAAGGCTGGCCAGGGAGTCAGTAGCATTAACCCCCTTCTCTGCCTCACTCCGCCCTCTCCTCCCCTACATGCGAAGGTGTGAGAGTGGAGGGAACCTTATCTCAGAGCAGGAGAGATACAGGTCTCCGAGCGTGTTGAGCCGCAGGGGGCGCGGGGGAGCCCGCGGGGCGCCGACGGCTTGGCAAAGTTGGGCGTGTGCGTGTGCGCGCCAGCCGTGAGCTAGCAGGCAGTCACCGTGGTTCCCCTCGCACTCCCCCTCCGGAGAATTCCCCGAGAAGGCGGGCGCCGGCTTCGGCCCCGGGATAGACCTGCGGCGGCGGCGGGAACGGCCACGCACAGGTACAATTTAGCGCGTTTCATTTCGCGCTCCAAGCTCCTGGGTCTGTCCACTGCAACGCAGACCGAGCGGGATCTCGGAGTCTGGGTCACTGAGGCGCTCTCTCCAGCCAGGGGGGTGGGATACAGGGCGCGGCGAGGGGTCCTCAGACTCCGCGCTCTGAGCGCTCAGCCTCCCCATCCCAAGCCTTTGGTCGCTACAGCTCAGTCTCCCAGTGCCAGGGGTCGAACGGGAGGCGGTGGCCCGCACTACGGAGCATAGACATGCATATTAATCAAAGCTGAAGGAAGACGAATAGGGACAGGAAGAGGAAGGGGAGTGGGGGGGGGGGAAGAAAGAGGAGAATGGGTAGGAGAATGCGCCTCGGGGAGGCATTTCCCTAACGTTCCCATTCCAGACTCCCCTACACCTAGCGGCCCTTCACTTCTCAAACTGAACTTGGGAACTTGCACGTTGGAAACAGCAAGTCGCGGTTTGGGAAATCCTCCTTATTTGATGATCTCCTCCCTTCCCCCATACCGGACTTCCTTCCTACCTTTCCTCAGCAACACCTGCTCCTGCTGCGCTGCCCACCCCGGGGGCGCACCTGCCCTGCTCTGCTTGTGCTCCCTAGATCCTTCCACCCATTTCTCGTCCACTTTCTGTGCTCATCTTCGTTATTCCCTACACTGCTCTGTTTCCAGAGGCTCCCCGCGACGCCTAAGTCCAGCAGCTTCCAGCTGACTCCCCTCCCCCAGTATCGCCGTCCCTGGGAGGGACACATTGGAAGGGGCTAGAAATTCCCCTGCCACACTCCACTCGTGCCGTTCCCCCAGCATCTTAATTTCTGCTCGTGGAGGTGCCGCTGCTCTGCAGCGCTTTGCTGATTCACCATGATCGCGGAGGGAAAAGCCTCATTGACTTGTGCCCCTGCAAGCGGCGAGGCGAGCGCGAGTGGCTGCGAGGGCACGCGCTTTGGGAAACCACCCACCATTGCGTAGCCGAGGTGCTAAATGACAGGGTGGATGCCCTGCGTGGCTCTCAGCCCGGGCAGACGGAAAGATGGAAGGGCGGGGAGGAGGGGTGGCGGTGGGAAATACTGCGAACCCAGCTCTTTGCGACTGAGCCAGCGGCAGCTAGTGGGTGGGCACTTCTCAGGAGGCCTAAAATCGGTCGCTGCACAGGGAATGAACAGAGCTGTTTCATGTGCCCCGATGCCAGCGCAGGGATAAAAGTAAGAGAAGGAAAACCAGCCGACAGGTCTGCTTAGGTGCCTTTAACATTTTGGCGAAGCTGTTTTCATTCTGAAGTCTTTGACCCTCCGATTGGCTCCCTTCCAACCTCGGTTCGCCCTCGTCCCTAGAATTTCCGGCCTTTTAATGTCAGCCCTCACAAGGGCTGAAGAACAGAGTGCCCTCCCTCAGTGCCTGGGCTGAATCTTAGAGCGGGAGAAACTGCATTGCTCAGCTGGCCAGGGCGAGAGTGTTGTCCTCCCACACAGAAAAGGCCTTTCCTTTGGGACCAAGGCATTTGTTTCTAGTCCTCCCAACTCTATTCCTAACTGTCCTTATGTATATTTGGAGGAGCTTCTAACCTGTATGTTTCAATTTGGAGACAGAACCAACTAAGTGTGGACCTTGGGCCACCTTTTACTGCAGGCAATCCCGTTAGTGTTGTCTAAATTGAATTGGAGCAGCAGAGAGAGTGAGAGTGAGGAGAGAGGAAAGAGAGAGGAGAGAGAGGGGGAAGAGAGAGGCGAAAGAGAGGGGAGAGAGAGAGGGGCGAGAGAGAGGGGCGAGAGAGAAAGAGAGCCCACACGTAAGAGTGCAGGAAGGGTGTTGCCTCCCCCCGATTTTTCTTCTCTTTTTGTAGAAGTTCTGGGGAGCATTGCCTCCACCAACGACTTGGGTTTGCATTTGGGCCAATGACTTTGTGATCAGAGCTTTCACCAGTACGTTAATAAATTGTTACCTTTTCTGATTTAAAATTAATACATATTAATTTTAGACAATTTGGAAAGTAAGAACAAGAAAAAGAAGGAAACAAAAACACCTGTATCGGTGTACTCACACTACCTTTCAACCTTTGTCGATCATTTATTGTACACATAGGCAATATAATGTAGAAGTTGAGGCTTTTGGTTCTGTAGCCACTGAGTTGAATCCTTGCTCCACTATTTATTAGCTAAAATGCAGTGGGTAACTTTACTTTTTTATGGCACAATTTTTCTCTTCTGAAAAATGGGAATAACAATAGTACCAACCCCATAGAATTGCTATGAGGATTAAATAGATTAACACACTTAAAACAGTGCCTGAAATATCACAGACATATAATAAATGATATTTGTTATAATCTTATTCTATACATAAGTGTGAAAAGAAAAGCATTCCCTGGTATTCAGAAGCTAGCCTGGCACTCACAACTAAGTTTGGTGTTCTCCCACCGAACATAAACCATTTTCTGAAACACTAATGTCAGATAAGAGCATTCTGTAACTGTGATGGTTTAAGATAAAATTAGGACCACTCCATAATCATATGTGAAAACAGACAAAACATGAACCCTGTCCAAACCACAAAAAATGACGAAGCATGTTATCCTGGCTAATATGAGGACAGTTGTGGTCTTTTAAAAACGAATTACGGCTGGGCGCGGTGGCTCATGCCTGTAATCCCAGCACTTTGGGAGGCTGAGGCAGGCGGGTCATGAGGTCAGGAGTTCGAGAACAACCTGGCCAACATGGTGAAACCCCGTTTCTACTAAAAATACAAAAATTAGCCAGGCATGGTGGCCAGTGCCTATAATCCCAGCTACTCGCGAGGCTGAGGCAGGAGAATCGCTTGAAACCAGAAGGCAGATGTTGCAGTGAGCCGAGATTGCGCCACCGCACTCCAGCCTGGGCAACAACAGCAAAATTCTGTCTCAAAAAAAAAAAAAAAAAAAAAATTACAGCTTTAGCCTTTAGCCTCATTCTAGTCTTTTCTCCCTCTAGAAAAAAGATTAAGACACTCAGACATAAAACTACCCCTGCTTCCTAATGGCACCCAATCTGGTGTAAGCCCCCCATATACACAACCCACAACCTTCCCCCAAATTACTTAACACAAGCCCAAATCCTATAAGTGCTTTCTAACACCCCCTTCTTGAGACACCTCTTAGTTCTCCATGGTGTGTGTTCCTCACTGCAACACGAAGGAAACCCAGTTTGGCCAACTACTTGGTGTGGTCCTGGTGGTCTTTGGCAAGAGGACACTGACAATGTATATACAATGTTTACTTTATTTTCTAAAATTGAGGATCATAGTAAAAATTCTGTTTGATAACCATTTTTTCCCATGAAATATTTCCCATGAACAGTTTCTCATTTCAATTATTATTGCTATAAAAGATTTTATGGCTGCATAGAATTCCATCATACGGCTGAACCTTAATTTAACTTATGCCAAGTTGTTGGTCATTTAGTTTTTAGAAATTTTACTACTATAAGTAACACTGAGATGAACATCCTGTACATAAATCTCTGGCTGTATCTCTATTTTCTTAGGATCAAATATCTGCCACTACATGTTAAGTAGACAGCTCCTAACAAATGCCTTTCTAATAATTTTTAAATTGGAAGGGACAAGGGCATTCCTTCACAGGGATTAAATTCTTTGATGAAATACTGACTTAGTCCTACTTTACAGGGATTTCTATCCTTTGCTACATTTGGAATCAGTTTCTTGGCTCAGTCCTGCTCAGATATGCCAGAGAGATTGATCATAATGGGGAGTAGGGATTCCAAAGAAAAGATTATTTGGTTTGATAAGGTTATAAAAAAAAAAGGCCTGCTCTTGTCTAGCAAATGTTTCAAGCATTAGCTTTTAATCACATCACCATTTTCTGCCTGAGAAACAACAAAATATTTTCATGCATATATCTTAAATCTAAACAGTTCTATGTCAACCATGAAATCACTATGCATAGCAAGTGATATAATACAAAGGATATTTGGGAGGCTGCAATTGAAGGTGGCACTTAGTGTAGTGTGCTTATTATTTTATACCATCCCAATCTCAATAGTTCTGACATATTGCCAAGTGGTGGGTGTTTCTGCTATCCTAAAAGATCTACGTAAGATTTCTTGGAGAATGGAATCGCATGCAGAGAAGGTAAAAGTATAACAAGAATTGTCCTTTCAAAGCAGGGAAGCTCCTCTGGCAAACATCAGAGCTCCCTTGAGTAGGGATGTCTCCATCAAGTATCTACTGGGTCTCAGCCATGTTTTGACCAAGAAGCTGTTTTACACACAGCAACACTGTACTCCTTGAAATGGTACCCAAAGAGATTTCTAAAGATAGTTTAAACTTGAAATCGAAAAGAGAAAACGTGTGGCAAGCCTTAATTGTTTGCTTAAGATAAAGAGACACACTGCTGTGTGTAGATGATCCCTGCTGAAAAGTGGGCTAATTGTTATGTCTGGGTCTTCCAGGATGTTCTGCCAACTCAGCAGGCTCTCAAAAGCATCATGAGTCTTTTAGAAGAATGATCCGTGATGATGTAAGGAAAAAAGTCATGCAAAATTATCTTCCTGAATAAACACAGGACTCAGGGCCAAAAGAGAGGTATTTCGTGTTCTGATTTAGGGGAAAACACTTTGGCACACACTCTCTGGATGTCTGTGCTCACAGTGCCACTGGTGAGTTGAGATGGCCAGCTCTAAACCTTTGCTTTGCTTTTTTCTCCTAACAGAAAGCATGGCCATACCTTCTCTCTACCTTTCAAAATCCTCCCTTCCTTCAAGGTTCTCTCAAAATCCCAGCTCACGCATCCAATAAACCTCTGATTGCCACAACAAACATTGATTAATTTAACTCTATTAACTCTGAGCGATTTTATTTGAATTATTTCAGTGAGCAAGTTCCTACTGTGCTTGGCAACTAGGAGAAATTGAGCAAAGAATTCCCTGCTCTCAAGAAATCTGTAGTCTAATATGGTTGAATGAAAATACAGAGGATTAAAATATGAACTTATATAAGGTAAATTTCAGAGAAGTCCTGTTCCATCAGTGTGTGGGATTCATAGAAATCATAAATGATATCTGGCTGGTCCCTGGTCTTAGAATACCTTTAGCCCTAGAGTTAGCATCTTGCTTGCTGTTTTGAGCTTCTTTGTTGTCTGATGTTTCATATATATATCTATATATATTATATATTTTTCCTATTCTCTTAGCAATGTTTTAATTTCCTACAGGCCAAGAACCTTACCTTTTGATTTCACCTTCAGAACTTTGGTGCTAGGATTGAGCACAGAGCAGGCTTGAGTAAATGCATGTTAGTGGCTTATTAGAGTAAAATACACAAATCACTCAAGGAAGATAAGGATGCTGCCACATTCAGACAAATTATTTTTAAAATCATTTTGTTAGAACCAATGATCAGTTATTTTTTAAAAAGTAGTTCACAATTCTGATTTCACATAGTCAAATATTTGTTAGTCCACATGAGAAATTCGAGCTGTAAATAAGATGGATGGGGAGTGCTTATTTAAGAGAAACCCTTTAAATTGGATGTGCATATTTTAATATGCAAAGGAATGTTGCTAACTATAAATGAGTATCTTTTTGCTAAACTGTGCTGAATGGGATACTGGTTCAGACACATTTTACAAGGAACACTTAGAGGCGCTTGGGACATTGAAAGCAGCAAAGTGTATATGCATTTAAAGACTAATCTATAACTCAAGTGGATGGGCACGTAATTGTGTTTCAGCATGCATCAGCCTGCATCCATCAGTGGGCTGGGCTGGTGTCTACTTTCTCTTTCTTCCCTTGGGGTGGTCCTAAAGTTTTAACTTGGTCAAAGAGGATGAGCACTGTATTCTGGAGATGCCTGAGTAATGTCACTTTCTTAATAGCAAACAAGGCACAATTCAGGATTTTCATTAAGTCGCGCTAGTTTCCCCTCTACTGCATCTATATGAGGAGAGTTTAGGTACATTGCTCACTTTCAGCACCAGGGACAGATCTGATATAACCTAGCTACCCCTACCCTTTCCAACTTCCATCACTTGTAAGTTGGTTTTAGAAACATTTTAGAGCTAAAGAGGTTCTATAAAGTAATATAATACAGGAGTTGATCATCTTTTTCTAAGCCAGGCCAATTAAGATGAAAATAAATTTAAATTGGTGGGCCACTAATCCAATATGATCATATTTCAAATTGTGTCCATTACTTTTATACCCTTGTGATGTTTGTATGAGGAGGGAGACATTTAAAGAGAAATGTTAGAAATGACTCTAAAATATAATCTCTTGCAGTTAAGGAGTAATCGTGCTGAAAATTTACAGGAATGATAGAAAATGGGAAAAGAATATTTTTATGCATTTCATGTGCCAAGGTTAGCCCTAGGCACTTTCAAGTGTCTAGCCTATATAATTTGCAAAATCACTCTGTGGGCTATTAAGCATTGTCAAACCCATTTTAAAGAGAGGAAATTGAGGATTAAGGAGATTAAATGTCTTGTGCAGGGTTACACCGTAATGGAAGTATAAATAGAGTGCAGGACTATCTGATATCAAAATCCATGTTTTTCCATTCACTCATTCTGCTGTTAAGCAAAAAATTACTTGATTCCATTTCTAAAATGCCTTGACTAGATTTAAAAACGTTCTAATCAGAAAACATAATATGCCATGAATATTATAAACAATTTAATGTTATTTCTGTATTTGCTATTCATTTAATGGTACTGTAAAATGGCAATATTGTGGCCTATCCATTAATCGGGTTTTCAGTGTTTGGATTCATTTCTAATGTTGGTATTCTTCAGAGGAGTTTTGTGGACCAACAAAAATATTGTATGGAACCCAAAGTGTTTGCTAATCTAATCCAACCCACTCTTTTTGCAGATGGCAAAACTTCTGCAGTCCTTGTCTGAATTCTACCAAGAAAAATCCCTCAAAATGTTAAAACGGAAAACTGTCAAGTGGTTCCAAAATACATAACAGAAAAAGGAACTGAATAGACTCTGACCTTATGCATGTTAAAATGTTTCCATTTTTTAGTTGTTCACCAGTAGTCGTGATATTGCTAAGGGAAAGCTTCTTTAATTCTCTTCCTTTACTGTGTAAAGTGAACAGAGACCATTCTAATCACCAGATCCATTGTCTTACGTTTGAACATAGGGGACATAGGAAAGCAGGGGGTTTCCTGATACAACTCTTAGCTTCGGGGCAGTCTTTCTTTGATGTTTATATATTTAATCCTTTTAAAACTCGTACTCCAGAGCATAACCTAAGAACAAAGCACTTCATCCCTTCTGTTATTAGAACTGTGTACTTCTTGCTTTGACTTTTAAAAATGACAGAGCTACAAGGCATTCTGTTCCCCGTGGCTGATCACTTCCTTCTCATAAATGGCATTATGTTGGTGAATTAATTAATAGTAAAATCTGATTTACATATTCACAAATATTAGAATTGTAGAAAAGTTAAATCAGGAGGCAGCTCCAAGGAGAGGCTAAGTGAGGGAAGACCAAAAAAAAAATCAAAGCTTCCTTTTTTAGACAAAGCACAGAACTTGGCATTTCTAGGGCTGCCCTGCTTCCACCTTCAGGCATCTTCTGAATATTGTAAAGGGGATTATTCTGGACATGGAAAGCTCTGTTCTGCCATGGGTTGAAAGGTTTAGCCTCAGGTGAATGCCATTACCTCCTGCAGTGTGCTAAGCAACAGGAACTAAAGTAGTTTGGGTACTGGCCTAGTCATCAACAGATAAGGTCCTTCATCTGCTCTGTTACATCACTGCAGTTAAGATTTCTATCCTTAAAATGAGAATAATGAAGATGATGATTATGCTATCTCCCTCCTAAGCAGGGTTTCAGATGCAAAAGTTGATGATAAATGTAAAATGCTTTGAAACAAACACATACATTATTGGGCCTTCTAGGTCCAGGACGCTTTGCTAAATGCGGAGCATGAAGAGATGTAAAGACCTTGCCTTCAAGGTGTCCACAGTGCAGTGGAGTGTGGCCAACAAGTGAAACAAGAAAGTTGTGTAGTGTGGCAAGGACTTTGTCGTGCTATGCGATCAGTGAGAAGGTTCCTCTAACCTAGCCTGAAAAGCAGAGTCGGGCAGGGTGGGGCGGCGGGGTTGGAAAAGTTTTAAAGAAGATGTGCACAGATGCCATCTGGTGCTCCATCCTTATCCCCTCCCCCCACCCCCAGAAGTTCATTCTAGGTAGTTTCCATTTACACCGAAGTCTTCCTGCCTCTCTCTGTCTGAGCTGTTTCCTGCCCATGAGACACACTAGAAATGCCAGAGAGCTAACACCTCTAGAAATGACCTTAAATTAATGAGGGATAGGATAAATACCCAGGCTTCTTTGCCTTGCAGTGGGACAACTCAGAGATGTGTTTCTCACAGGCTCTCCAAGAATTCCAATGGAGTGGAGCCCTCATTGTCCACAGCAATAACACACTCATGCTCATTAACACACCCTTTATAAACTTTTCTCTCTTCTCTGTCTCCTTTCTCCATTCCGTTACTCTGCTTTCTGGGAATCTTCTCTGAAATAAACCTCTTGCTTCCACATATTTATTTCAGGATCTGTCTTTAGTGGAACCCAACCAAACACAGGAGATGACATCCAAATGGAGTCTCAAAGGTTAGCAGTTAGTTAAGCCTAATAAATGTGCTGGTATGTAAACTATATTTCAGTAAAGCTGTTAAGTAAAAGAGTTAGCTAACCCACCTATGGAGAGAAAGAATATTCCAGGCAGCGGGAATAACATTCGAAATTATAAGGATGGGATAAAGGGCTTAGCTTGTTTTCGGAAATATGAATAGCTCAGGATGGATAGGCAATAGTTTGGAAAAGTATACAGGAACTAGGTTAAAAAGGAACTTATAAGTTCAAATAAAGAGCTGGGTTTTTATTCTGGAGATGACAGGGAGCCATTTCAGGGCTTTAAAGAGTGTTTATGGCCGGGTTTATGTTTGTTTATGTTTTACAAATCTGGTGGCCACATAGGAGGTGGATAAGGGAAAACAAGACTAGAGGCTAAGAGACCAATTAGGAGGTCATGATAATAGCTATGACAAGAAAGGATTAGGGCCTGAAGCAAGGTAGAGGCCAGTGGGATGGAGACAAAGGGAAGAGTTGATATGTTTTTAGGGAGATAGAATTGGCAGGACTTGGATTATTGAAGAATGGAGCTAAGATACTGCATCGTGATTTCTGATGACATAATGTCATTCCAAATAGCCATGCCAAACCATATCCAACCCCAGAAGTATTAGTTTATTTTTTATTTTTACCAAATTCCACTGAAGAACAGAATTTCTTATCAGAGTGAGGAAGGAAAAAAGGTGGACTGTGTTAAGCTCTAGACTATGACAAATAGAGGGTGATTATGATATTTTGGGAATGAGAGCTGGACAATGGGGACCAGCATCCTGGAAAATGGTCTGGAGAGTCCACAAGGTAGAGGCTACGATCCATTAGATGAAATCCACAGTGTAGAGATTCATGTGGGTTAATAAATGTCCTTCCTTCTCAAATAATTGAGTTAGATTTTAGGACCAGTTGCTTGCGTGAGACAACTTCATCTGAAGAAGGAAAGGAGGTAAATCTGGAAGAAGAAGAAGGAGGAGGGGGAGGAAATGATTGGCTTTCGTGGGTGAGAGTCTCTGGAAAACCTCCTGTCTTTGGTTCATCTCAATTCTTTTTATCTTTATAATGCAGAGCTGGGGATTGGGGATTTTCATTCTGATGACCTGCTAGAATCCATCCCTGAAGGTGACCAAACACCATGCACTCCATACACAAGGCCCCTATTATTACCTGATGGCATCTTATACTTCTGTTAGGAAACACACACACACACACACACACACACACACACACACACAAGCTTGCTTGCTTTAATTTACACAGTTAGCAATCACATTGAAGAAAATAGGACCAACATTTTATAGTATTAGACACTCATTCTTTCATTGCCCCGTTGCCAGGGCACTATAAATATGAGACCATTTTAATGACGTATTTTTAGTCCTATTATAAATGATGCTGGTATGAACATTTGTGAATAACATTTTATGTGGACATAAGTCCACATTTCTTTTGGATATATACCTAGGAGTGGAATTGCTGGGTCATTTCATAACTCCATGCTTAACATCTTAAGAAACTGCCAAACTGTTTTCAAAAGTACCTGAACCATCATACATTCCCACTAGCTATGTTTTTGCTGTTATATCATTATATATTCTAAATTTTTCTCTACTTATTACTAGATGTTAATTTCACAAACCTTTGCAATCTCATTCTTGATATATCTTTAAATTCTCTTTCTTGTAAAAATCATTTAAAAAATATCTTAAAATGTTACTTGAAAATCCCCATACTATCCTAATAAGAATTAGTGAGATTGTCTAGAAAGTGTATTGGATTAGACCAGTGTATTACTTAGATAGATATGAGAAGCTATTTGTTTAGGGATCCTGAATTTCAGATTCACATGTCCACATCTTGCTGTGGCACCTCACATCTATAGAATCTCTAATGAAGGAGTAAAGTTGGATTCTAGGGACCACTCATAGTCAGAAGGGGAAAGAAAGGAGGTGGAGGCAAAAAGGAAGTGGAAGACTCAGAGAAAGTTGTGAGAAGACCACAAAGATTTATATAACACGCCCACTGTTATGGCTTTGATGTAGGCAGAAGGCCAATGTCTGAGTTACAATCATGGGTCTGGTTTGGACCCCCTTGGAAGCTTGTCCAATTCATGTCATCCTCTTTCTGCAGTTCAAACTACTCTTCCCAATTTACTTCTTTTGGTTTCACCCTACATCTATCCATCCAGTCCCCATCACTGTGGGCAGTGCATGATGAGAAAAAGTAGGGAGTGGGAAAAAGAGGAAAATGAGAACAAACGTGTTCATGACCCTTTCCCTACCTCTTTGCCTCCCTATTTATTATCAGTCTGGTAGGCATACTGTTTAGTTTGCCTCATCTGGAGAGATAACACTTTCGTCTCTATAAAGCAGTTAGTATCACCTAAGCCACGGAAATGAACTTCCCTATGGAACAATAAAGATGAAATAAGGTAGTGACAAAATCCCACAGGAAGGACTATTAACTAATATTATTAAGTGATACTTCCTAAGTGAAACATCCCCTCCACTGTAATATTTCATTATTAATAGTCCTTGGGAGTTTCAAGAAAAGAAAAACCTTTTTATTTCTCTGGCTTGGTCTCCTGGTATTCATAATGGAATCTAGGCTATGCTTTATGATGCCAAAAACCACTGGTCAATCCAGTCAGTCTTTTAATAGAACAACAATCAGCCACATTATTTAGTGTTACGTAGACAAACAGCTATTTGAATGGAATATTCACATGCAAATCAGTTATTTTGACATCATATGGGCACAGTCCAAGTAAATATTTAAATACTAATTGAAAATCATTAATTGGAACCATATTTGTTGACTATCTCATATATACAGGAATATTTCCCATTTAACAGATGGCTTCGTATCAATCTCATCTTAGAAATTAGTAAACACAGATTTTCCCAACCATGGAACAGAAGTACATACATAAGAAGGGGCTATAAGCAAAAAGCAGCTTTTGTTAAAATAAATTTGATTATACATACTTGAAGTTTCCAACATGATGTTATGAGAAGGTAACTTAAAGAAGATAACTCTGGAAACCAGGGCAGTGGTAATTCTTCAGCGGTGGTAAAATTATCTGTGGAAGAGAGCCCGTGGCAATACAAACATTGAAGATCTTGGTTGTTAATCTGTTGTGCTAGTTTCCTAGGACTGCCATAACAAAATACCAAAAACTAGGTGGCTTAAAAAAAAAAAAAAAAAAAAAAAAGGAAATTGATCATCTCACAGTACTGGAGGCTGGAAGTCCGAGATCAAGGTGTGGGTAGGGTTGGTTCTTTCTGAGGACTGAGAGGAAGAATCTGTTCCATGCTACTTGCTTATCTTCTTGTGGTTTGTTGGCGAGCTTTGGCTTTCCCTGGCTTGTAGATTCATTATCCTGATCTCTGCCTAGATGTTCACATGAGGTTCTCCCTGTGTGCCTGTCTATGTCCAAATTTACCCTTTTTTTTGAGGACACCAGTCATATTGGATTAGGGGCCCACCCTACTCCAGTATGACCTCATCTTAACGAATTACATCTGTGATGAACCAAATAAGGTCATATTTCCAAATAAAGTCATATTCTGAGGTACTGGGGGTAAGGAGTTCAATATAGAAATTTTTGGGGGGACATAGATTTATAAATATAAATTTTTAATGTAATTCAACCCATAACATCTGGTAAGAGATCAATAACACCTTCACAGAGGCCCAGCAGTCTCCGTGATCTCTGGCAAAAGTCACTTTTGATTGGATGTTTTGGGGTGGAGGTAAGGGCAAAGTAGAAAGACTAATCAGTTTTGTATAAATCTGCTGTCAAGTGTATGCCAGGAACATATAATTCTATTTTTTTACTTAATGCCCTCTGATACCTCTTCTCCACATTTCAGAGGAATGGGACTAAAAGTTGCTTTAATATTTGGGGTCTGAGAGAAACTCAAACTTTGGCAAAACTGTCACAGTTTTTTGAGGGTGCTTTAGGTCTCTTCTAGGCTTGAAGATTATAATATGATAATATTCATACTTTGGGTGTTCACATATTTTCCAGTCCAACTTGAAGTTTTGTGTCAGAAGACCCACAGGTATTTTCTTTTACTTTGTATAAAACTGCTCTCTGCTACAGGAGGTATTTTCCCCACCTCGCAAGAATTTTCATTTTCTTAACTTAACAGATGCCCTCTCAGAATCTTCCCTTCTCCTTTATTTGAAAACATGTGCCCTAGTTTCCCAGCTTAACTGCCACATCCTTTTGCCCCACCAGCACTATGGCCATCTCCATCCCATCCTTACCCTAACGTGACTTTGTATTTGGATTTGGGAGAATCACTTGGCTATTGTTTCCCACCTGGAAAAAAGGAGACCCAAGTCATCCTTTTAAGTATCCTAAACACCTAGGTTAGTTAGCATCATCATGTCTGAGTGATCAGCCTTTGCTGTAAGTGATGGATTGCACTTTGCAAGGCTCTCTCTTTCTTGAGAAAATCACCAGCAGTGTCCTGGTAGACTGTAGACTTTTTGCGAGTAATGTCACAGGATATATGTATCAGTATTACGCTATCCTCAGAAGGCACCTTGCTCTTACCTGTGGTAATGACCACCCCCATCTTGCTCTCCTTCATTTAATAGCTTCTTCAGAAGTGACTCCTTTTAATTACTGCTGATTTTTCTTGCAACGATCTAATAAGAAAATCATAGAGGCTATGTCTGTGTGATGCAGGACCAATTGTAGGGTCAAGTCAAACCATCGAGCAATTTGGTGGGAGAAAATTGTCAGGCCAAGCTTCCATTTGACACTCTTGACTACGTGTTGTATATGTTTATAAATACATATTTAATGATTGGATGTTTTTATATGGTATATACAAACAAAATCATGTTCCTTAGGTGTCGAGTGAAAGTTATTGAAGTAAAACATGGTTTCCTCTTTATACAAATCACTGACTAAATATTTATTATAAGCCCACTGTGTGCATCACTTAGGGGATGCAAGGAGGCACAAGTCCAGATTCCTGTTCTCAAGGAGCTTGATATCTTGGTGGGGAGTTAATATTCTTCATTCATTTCACAAATATATTTTTAAAGCAACTAATACGTTCCAGGCCCAACTTAAGGACTGATATACATGCTAAGTAAGCCACCATCCATCCTTATCTCAAGAAGGTTATAGTTTACTGGAGGATGTAGAGAAGTTGACAGAAGGTGGCAGAAGTTTGGTAAAGACTTTAGTAGAGGGAAGCACAGGGCATTATAAGAGTTGGTATTAGGGGTATCTAACTCAGACTGAGAGGGAACATGGAGGCTGCCTGGAGGTGGAAGATAACTAAGACCAATGTATGCCAGTGCCATAAGTGTTCATCTCTGACAGAGGGGTGCAGGCATAAGTGGCATTCAAAGATGGGGGAGGTCACCTCATGTCGGGGTGATGAAGGGGGACTTCATGGAGGAGTGGGACTTGAGATACACTGTGAAAGTTGATGCCAGAAACTTCACAGACCTTGCTGCGTGGTGCCTGTGCATTGTGGATACTCTCTGTAGGGAGTTCTGGTTATGAGACAAGCTTGGGGTCTAGTATGGTCAGAGCAAGATATAATTAGCCAGAAGAGAAGGGCTTGACATTGAATCTGATAGTTAGTATTGCTGTCTAAATGGTGTCACCTGAGTCAGCAGTATGTGTGTGTGTTAAGGGGTTGCTATGGAGAGGTATCTCATAGAAGATGGGTATGGGAAGCGGGTAGTTGGCTACTTTGAGTTGATGAAGAGATATTGGTATGAAAGGACTATTCTGGTATATGAGTTAGGAATGCTTTTGTCTGCAAGTAATGAAACCTAACTAAGAATTGCTTTAACAAAAAAGGATTGCCTTTCCCTGCATAGCCCAATGTCTGGTGGTATTGGTTCAATGGCTCAAAAATGTCAGGGCTGGCATCCCTGCCATCCCTGTGGCCTTCCCACCACGGTCATTGCCTCTGTTCAAAATATAACTGTTACAGTTCTAGACACATCAGGTCTGTATTTAAGACATGAGGGAAGGGGAAAGTTGTGTCTGTTCCTTTAATAAGGAAACGTAATATTTTCTCCAGTACCACTCCAGTAAATTTCCTTTTATATCTGAGTGGTCAGACTGGTAGCACATGGCCACTCCTACACTCAAGAGACATTGGGAGAAGATTAGCTTTTTCAGCTTCTCAGAGAAGGGAGAAGGAGGTTGGAAATGAGTGTTTGGAGGACCAGGCAGGAATGTGTGTGCGTGTATGTGTGTTTGTGTATGTTTGTCTCGTAGGGGTGCCAGGGTTACTTGTGGCCTAGGCTGGGGGTCCGGGGCTAGGTGCAGTACCAGGAGGTGCCCTCAAGGGGGAGCCAAAGAGAAGGCCACTCAGCTGGGCCCACACACGGTGCTCATTTCATGATTCTTTGGGGTAGCTCTTCTCCACTATCGTTCTTTCTCTATCCCTTCCGTGGATCCATATCCTCTCCCTGCCTCTCATATGTTAGCTTTTTCTCGGATTTTACCATTGGCCTCTTTTCTTCTCACCCTGCCCACACCTGGAGAGAATTCAGGAAGCTGACATTGGAAGGGCCTGAGATTCCTGCCAGGCCTAGCAGCTGTGCCAACCGTGAACTCCCTCTGGATAGGGTTTAGAGTTGCCAAGTCTCACATCCCAGTTAGAGAGGAAGAAAATAACAGGGGCTTGAGTGCCCAGTGATGAGTGCCAGGCCAGTGTTAAGCCAGACTGGAGTCACCCTGGGATAAGAAATCTGTTCTCTGAAGACAAGCTTGATTTCAGACTTCTGTATTTTCTACATGGTTTCTGCCTTTCCCTTTAGTGTCTTGGTAAACTTGTTTTCCAGAAACGCCATGCTTGTTATCTCAGAACTAAAAGAGAAAGGGAAATTGCCCACCCCATGCCAATCTAGACCCTCATCCTTACATCTCAGTCTAGGAATAGAAGTCAACCCATCCTAGCCTGGGATACTGGTAGGAATGGGACAGTTAGTCAGGTAAATACCTAGGAGGTAACCAAGAACACGAGTGGTTTCTACTGTCCTCTCAGTAGAATTCATTTAGAAGTGATTCATTCAGGCCGGGCGCGGTGGCTCATGCCTGTAATCCCAGCACTTTCGGAGGCTGAGACGGGTGGGATCACCTGAGGTCGGGAGTTCGAGACCAGCCTGATCAACATGGAGAAACCCCGTCTCTACTAAGAATACAAAATTAGCTGGGCGTGGTGGCGCATGTCTGTAATCCCAGCTACTCGGGAGGCTGAAGCAGGAGAATCACTTGAACCCAGGAGGCGGAGGTTGCGGTGAGCTGAGATCGCGCCATTGCACTCCAGCCTGGTAACAAGAGTGAAACTCCATCTCAAAAAAAAAAAAAGAAGTGATTCATTCAGAAGTGATTCTCAGCCACAGTTGCTAGTGAGATTGGGGAATCGAAATTTCTGGTGAAGTTGACATGTGGGGATTTAACATAAAGAAATACTTTGCCCTACTTAGTGGTTTTTTAATAATTAAAAGAAAAATTTGTGGGTACATAGTAGGTATATATATTTATGGAGTACAGGAGATGTTTTGATACAGGCACGCTATGTGAAATAAGCACATCATGAAAAATGGGGTATCCATCCCCTCAAGCATTTATCCATTGAGTTGCCAACAATCCAATTACACTCTTTAAGTTATTTTAAAATGTACAGTTAGTATTGAGTATAGTCACCGTGTTGTGTTATCAAATAGTAGGTCTTATTCATTCTTTCTGACTATTGAGTGGTTTTTAATCACAGTGTTGATTTTGCATTTCAGAGAGCATTAAAGGTGGGCATAAATGTTTATTAAAGGGCAGCATGGCCTACAAAAGCTAAGAAACACTGCTAGGGACAGTGAGGCAGGGCAGAGTGGGGCGTCGCGTGGAGACAGGTTAGACGACAAACCTTGTCTGAATTGCAAGTTGCCTCAGATGGAAACTTCTCTTGTACATCAGTGAGAAGACTTGGCCACTTTGCCATGTGACCAAAGGTGGGAACTAGGGCAGGTATTCTTAGTCTTTCTGGTGCCAGGCACAGCTTTGGAAGGTTGGTGAAGCCTATGAATTCCCTCTCAGGAAGTGTTTTTAAAAGCATAATATAAAATATACTGGATAACAAAGGAAATCAATCATATCAAAATACAGCTACCAAAATATATTTTAAAAACAGGTTTGTGAAACAGTAATACAGGTGCTTCTTTATTAACATGTTAATAACAAGATGTAACAACAGTTGTAATAACTTCAGTACTTTTGAAGTAGTGTGAGTGTTAACAGGATTTTGAGATATCTGCAACAACTGAAATGTGATATGAAAATAACTGAATTTTATTGGCGACAAAGTCACAGGCACTGCTAGTGGTGCTGCAGTTTGTTACCTACGTTGATTTAAAGGAAATGCCACATTTCAGTTAGAGATTAGAGGGAACAAAAGTAAAAGTTTCCCATCCAAGTTAGAGACTCCTGAATTCTACGCACAGGCCTCATGAGGGTCTACAAGTTTAGAGCTTCTGGCTACAGAGAGGAGAAAAGAGGGGACTATATAACAGCAGATCAGTGTTGCAATTAGGGAGGGCAGGCAGAAGACTGGACACTCACCATGGAGGCAGCTCTGTCATTTGTCCTGGGCAATATCCCTTTTTTTCATGAAGGATCTGGAGTAGAAGCTACACTCCATTTCCTGGGTCTGTTTGGACTCTTAGATAGTGCCAAGCTCAGGAAATGGTGTCGTTAATTTTTTATTGACAGTGGACTTGGTTATCTTGCAGGAGATTAATGGACTTAGAGTCTGGTCCAAGCCTATGAGGGTTTCTCGTAATGGTTTGCTTCCAGCCTTTCTGCCCTGACTGGATGTGATGAGCATTCACACAGTGTCAGCCAATGTAATATTTATTTGCCTCCTCCCTGAATGTTCTAAATGAAAAGCCAACATCAAATGCAAAGGAAAAGGCGCAAGAAAAGGATTTGGCTCTGGGTTCTCCCTCTTTCTGGATATGGCACTGGGAGTCTAATTACTAACCCACATCGAGCCCTCGGTCAGAAGGTCGCCTCAAGACTCATGTTAATCATTATTCTCATTTTGCGAACAGAAAAGAGAACTAGCCATGGGTTCAAGGCTGAAGAGCATGTCAGGGTGTGATGAATAGAATTTCCAACTAAAGAATCACAATCCTTCTGGCCA
Organism: Homo sapiens; assembly: GCF_000001405.40. Taxonomy (NCBI): domain Eukaryota; kingdom Metazoa; phylum Chordata; class Mammalia; order Primates; family Hominidae; genus Homo; species Homo sapiens. The sequence continues at coordinate 23,315,450 of NC_000023.11, read as the reverse complement.
TGGATGCAGTTAGTTACACTTTTGAAAAAGCATGCCTACCAGTAAGCAAGTGATTATTGAGTGTCTAGCACATGACTAGCAAGGAGAGGAAGGGGGTCTCTTTTAGCTATGATGGTCAGGCAAGGCCTCTCTGGGGAGGTGAAGTTGGAGTTGAGAGCAAAATGAAAAGCAGGCTGCCATGCAAAGATCTGGGTGAAAGCACTCCAGTTAGAGAGAATGGAGTGTAGGAATGCCCCGACATAGCAGCAAATGGTGAGGGATGGGAGAAGGCCAGTGTGCATGAGAGGGAACACGGCAGGTGACGGAGCTGGAGAAATAGGCAGTCCCAGAGCTCAGAGGGCCACGGAGGAGTAGGGATTTTGGTCTGGTTGAAATGGGAAGTTGTTAGAAGGTTTGAAGAGAAGCAGCCTGCTTGATCAGCATGCTCTGATTTCTTTTTCCCTTGATAACTCTTGCCGCTGTGTGAGGAGAGACTGTCTGGGAGCAAGAGTACAAGGGAGGCGAAGATAGTCAGCCCAATGAGGACTTGCGGTGACTTGGACTGGGTGTCCTAGTCAACTCGGACTGCTATAACAAAATACCATATTTTTGGTGGCGTTAACGATAGACATTCATTTCTCACAGTTCTAGAGGCTGAGAGGTCTAAAATCAAGGTGCTGGCAGATTCAGTTCCTGGTTTGCAGATGGCCACCTTCTCATTGACTCCTCACCTGATGGAGAGAGAGAGAGGGCTCTGAGGTCTCTTCCTCTCCTTATAAGGACACTCATCCCATCATGAGGTTCCCACCTTCAAAACCTCATCAAAACCTAGTCACCTCCCAGAGGCCCCACCTCCTAATACCATCACATTGGGGGGAAAGGGCTTCAACACGTGAATTTGGGGGTGGGGACAAACATTTAGTCTGTAAGACGAGGGTTGTAGCTGTGCGTATATTGAGAAGTGGTCAGATTCTGGAGATGGTTTAGAGGCATAGAATAGCACTTACTGATGAATTAGATGTGGGACATAAAAGAAAGCAAGGTATCAAGGATGACTCCCCAGCAACGTGGGGAGAAGTTTCTGGGTGAGCGATGGGTACCCAGAGGTCTGCCATACCTAGCAGCTCTGTCTGTGGGGAAAATGTCAGGTTATGTGAAGTCTGTCTTATGTCCTCTGATACTTCTCCCTTGGAGCCTTCTCAATCCCACCACTTTTTCAGTCTCTAATTTCCTTTTTTTTTTTTTAAGTTCCCAAGGGCTGCAACCATTCACCACTTTCTTAGAAAGCTCTATGAGGTAGCAGATAGAGGGTAGGGTTTGGAATGCAAAACGACTAGCTCTTAAATCCTGCTTCCCCCGTTTGTTTGTTGTATGATCTAGAAAACCTGCTTCTCTGGATACCAATTGTTTGCTGTCTATGAAATGGGATGAAATTGCGTTATAGAATTTTTGGAGACCAAATAACACAGTGAATGAAAAGTGTCTACCCTAGAGCAGGCTCTCAGTAAACTCATCCAGACTTAAATTTTATTTTTTATTTTATTATTACTATTTATTATTATTATTATTATTTTTTTTTTTTTTGAGACGGAGTCTTGCTCTGTTGCCCAGGCTGGAGTGCAGTGGTGCAATCTCGACCCACTGCAACCTCTGCCTCCCGGGTTCAAGTGATTCTCCTGCCTCAGCCTCATGAGTAGCTGGAATTAACAGGCGTGTGTCACCACACCTGGCTAATTTTTTGTATTTTTAGTAGAGACGGGGGTTCCACCATGTTGGTCAGGCTGGTCTCGAACTCCTGACCTCAAGTGATCCTCCCACCTTGGCCTCCCAAAGTGTTGGGATTACAGGTTTGATCCACCGTGCCCAGCCCAGACTTAAATTTTAATTTACCTTTCTTGTATCCCAGCTGGGGCCTGGCTTAGTGACAGGCTGGCTAGCTGTTCACTAATAAACTAGTTCATGTTGAAATGTTGTCCTGGTTCTCAAAGCTGGCCGCATGTAAGAGCAGCTGGGGAAATTTAAATACTCAGGCTCCATCTCCTAAGGTTTCTGATTTAGTTGGTTGGGTGGAGAGGGGATGTCAAAGAAGCAGTATTTTTTAACATATTAACATAAATATTTATTTTAAAATATGTTTTCCAAAATAAAAAATAAATCGTGAAAAGAGTGGTATCATTTTATATTTCTCCAAATTTCTTTAATGTTTGGCTTAATAGAAGACAGCTGGATTCTCATATCTGCTCCTGCATTCAGTCTGGATGGTTGAGGCTAATCTTTACAAGAAACAGTATTTTTAAAAAGCTCCCCATGTATTTCTAATGAGAAGCTAGGTTTGAGATCCACTGTTAAATCAGTGGACAATTTTAATTTACTTAATGACCATCAAGTAGGCAGTAGCATTTCTAGCATAATATTGGAGTTGTGAAGATTTACCCCAAGTTGGAGTTTCATTTAAGGAAGGGCAGGCTTTTCTCAAGAGTCCCTCAATAGCTAATGTGTATTGTACACTAGCTATGTGTCAGACAGTGTTCTAAGTCCTCCCCCTGCCTTTTCTCTCTCTCTCCCGACCTTAGCCATATTGGTTACGGTTTTTAGCCAATTTTCTTGTTCCTTTAAAATCTCACATTCCCTGCCTTCACACGTGCTATTTCTTCTGGCCTGCCCCTTATATTTTCCCTTTGCACTGAGAACTTCTTATTCCTCATATTGTTTAGATTTCCCTTTACCCTTCATCTTTGTAGGCATTTACTGTTTTGTGGGCATTTCCTTACTTAATATCTGTCTTCTACACTAAGCTGTAAGCTCCGCAAAGGTGGGATAGGGTCTGTTTTGTTCACCATTGAATCCTCAGTGCGTAACTGGCTTGGTAATATTTGTTGAATGAGCCCAAGGGAGGACACTTCTTTTTTCATCATGAGCGGTCGGTAGCTGGGGACAAATTCCAATGGCAGCTTCCCAGAGGACTCTGAGTGACTGTCCCCTTCCAAGCTGGGTTCTTGGTGCTGAATCCAGTCAAGCGGTCACTCTCTGCCACCTCATGGCCTCAGTGTGCTTTCCTGTTATGTGGCCTTAGGACTATGCAGTGGTTTCAATAACATCAAAATGCCCACACAGAAATGGTTGGAATCTTGGATTGTTGTTTATGTGAGCCTCCTCTGCTTCTGTGTTAATTCCTGACTATTAATTGATACATGGTTTGAGGAGTTGGGACCATTTGTCTAGGCAGCATTACCAATGTCTGTGTTGGGTGCTGGGATGTGGTGAGGGCGGGGAGTCGAATGGGGCAGTTGACTAAATTCCACTGGCTCAGGCCCCAATTTCATCAAGGTTTTTCATTATCAATTGCTTCACTGGCCTGTGGGTCAAAAGTGTGTTTTGATTAGTAATAATATGTAGTAAATTTTGGTGCCTGCCTACACTTTCTATAAGGGAACTGGTGGTGTGTTTTGAAGACAAAGCTCCAAGGTCATTTTTTTTGTTGCCACATTGCCAAATATGAGACCTTTCGTATTTCAAGTTTGTAGGGCAGGCTGGGTGCAGTGACTCACGCCTGTAATCCGAACACTTTGGGAGGCCGAGGCGGGTGGATCAGCTGTCAGGAGTTTGAGACAAGCCTGGCCAACATGGTGAAACCCCGTCTCTACCAAAAAATATAAAAATTAGCCGGGCATAGTGGTGCACCCCTGTAGTCCCAGCTACTGGGGAGACTAAGGTGGGAGGATTGCTTGAACCCGGGAGGCAGAAGTTGCAGCGAGCTGAGATCGAGCCACTGCACTCCAGCCTGGGTGACAGAGTGAGACCCTGTCTCAAAAAAAAAAAAAAAAAAAAATCAAGTTTGTAGGGCAGAAAAACCTATGCACATCACTGAAAATATTTGTTGACTAGTTGTGGGATGGGGTCCCTCATAAGCTGACTTTGAGGTGAAACATGAATATAAATATTTTATTTGGGAGGTGATTCCAGGATGCACTGAGAAAAGAGGTGGGAAGTGAGATAGGTAAGAGAAGGAAGCCAATACAGGCACGTTACCGATAGGGTTACCTTTGTGGGTGACTGACTCTCAGTCCTATTATGTGGACCTCTGGGATATTGTATACAACATGCTTCAGAGTTGCCCCACCTAAGAGGTGAGGAAGCTGGGGTATGTATCCAAACACTTCCATCCTTCATTGGTTGACAGCCGCTGGAGGAGGGATGTTGATTCTTGGCCCTTTCAGCCTGCCCCACGTGCACACAGAGCATGTTCCTGTGGCTAGACAGAACCTTCAGGCAGGGAGTCACAAAGGTTTTTCTCAAAAGCCATAAGTGTTTAAGAGAACAAATAGCAGCAAGAGGGTGTAGATAGGGCACCAACAGAATCTGCCATACTGAGGATCTCTGTGTATCTGCCACCATGCCAGGAATGGCCAAAAAATTTGTTCCTTTGAGGCTTACAGTTCCAAGCAGTGACAATTCAGGCAGATCTACAGGACGTATAACATATAATAAATGTTCAGGACACATGCTTATCTTCAACAAGTACAAACCAGTAGAGAAATTAAGAAAGAACGTGGCCTGTATGGAAACAGATATGTCACCCAACACTAGCCCCTTTCTTGTTCTATAGATAAACTAACAGGATTTTGGGGGGAAGATTTAACAAATGTCAAAGATATCACAAAACAATCATCAGAAAATATACATGATTACATTTGTGTACTTTACATACAGCTTTCCCACAGTTGACAGGGAAGATATAAACAGATTTCAACTGACAAATTGATCAAAAAACCTTTTTTCTGCCTGTTTGCTGTAACTGAAGAGCGGTTACACTGAATGCAAATTGCTCTATAAATTAGGGTTTATGGTACTGGCCCTACTTGAAAGGTGAATTGTACAGAAGAGTTGAGATGAATAGCGGTAAATACTGGAGGAAATACTGATGTGAAAAGCTTCAGATGTGTGAGGAGGATGCCTGTTGTGTGTGGTGGAGGCTGGGTGGGGTGCTGAGGACTAGAATTTAAGATGAACCAGCAACTAGCCTAAGGAACTGGTAAATCAAATAGAACTATTGTGAAACATTTGTCTTATGCTTCATTTCCTTTGTATGCATATATGTGTTTTTTTCCCCGCAAAAAGGTAAACTAAAGCAAGGGCTGTTAACTGAAAAAATTATTTTTCAGGGTAAGGCCTTATCCTGACGTACAAATGTCAACTGGAAGCGTAAGACAAAATATTTACTTTGACTGGCTTGTGTTTTGCTTTGGGTTTGACTGAAAACCATTAGCATTTATTCCCAACTTCCCCTACCACCTCTAAATCACTGAGTCAAAGACTGGCTTCATTTTCTTGAGGTCGTATTAGCTCTGGGCATGAGGGGCCTAGTGATGCTCAGAAAGGGGGCTAAATGCTGCAGTCGACATCTGCCTGAGTTTAGTTTTCAAATGCTCACTTTGATGCATTGCATTAATAATTTTTAGAAGTGTTCTTTTTTAAAAACTAAAGTTATTTACCTAGGGAATCATCTTTTTATATTTCCTGAAAGATTCATTGGTTAATATTTAATTGAAATACAACACAGCGAACACACTAGAGAAATAAAGATACTCTACAGATATAACACATAATTATGATATTCTTGTGTGAATACCCTGAAAGAATATCCAGTTTTCTAAATGACTCTTTTAGCTTGAATTTATTTCTGGGCTGTGGTCTGTGCTGCAGTGAAAGCGTGTAGTGCTATTTTCTGGAGTGCAATTACCGATGAGGTTGTTAAATATCAAGGGCTGGGAACCTTTTCCTAAGCTGTGGGCTAAAGTTCTGCTTATTTTTCCCCTTTGTAGTATTGACTATGTCCTCATGTCAGAGTATAAGCACGATTATATGGGTGGCCTTTAATTCCTACGACGGTTGGTACCTTATGTGCCACCTCCCTTAACTGGCAGGTGGGGGCAGCCTTCAAAAGGCATGGTGAGTGAGGTGTGGTTGTACCTGGCCTAGCATCATTTCAAATCACCATTATTGACACATGCAATAGGTGGATTACCCGGGGGGTTAATGGATAAAGGGACTCCTTGTAGACTCTCATATCCAGGTGCTCCTCAACTTACAATGGAGTTACATCCTGATAAACCCATCCTAAGTGGAAAATATGGTTTAGGGGAAAATACATTTAATTTACCTAACCTACCAAACAGCATAGCTTAGCCTAGCCTACCTTAAATGTCCTCAGAATACTTCCATTAGCCTATAGCTGAGCAAAATCATGTAACACAAAGCCTATTTTATAATAAAGTATTGAATATCTCATGTAATTTATTGAATATTTGTACTGAAAGTGAAAAACAGAATGGTCATATGGATACTCAAATTATGGATTCTATTGAATTCATATCACCTTCACACCATTCTAGAGTTGAAAAATCATAAGTTGAACCATCAGAAGTCAAACTGTGTGTATTTCCTCCACTGGTGCCACCTTTAGTTGTACCCAGTATGACCTTGTAAGATGGCTGGAAAACCATGTTGCGGGCGAAGGATAAGAAAGAACAATGGCAGGGAACTGAGGTATTATCAAAATCACCTCTACAGCTTCTAAAAACAGCATATTGATCCTTTCCCCAATCTCTCACCAGCAATGGAAAAATCCACTTTTTCTTCATTGAGCATCACTGCCTGGATGAATATATCAGTCAGGATCTAGTTAAGAAAAAAAAGAAGATACACTGGGAATTTAAACAGAAGGGATTTAACACAGGAATTGGCTACACCAGCATTGGAAGGCTAAAGAGCAAAAGGGAAGCTGAGGGAGCCGGAGATAATAATTGCAGGAAGCAATGCCCCTGGGCTGGGAGAACAAGAGGGAAAATGTGCTGTTTTAGAATCCAGGAGTTTGGGGAAGGGCCCTTCTGGGGCTGGTGACTGCACCTTTGTGGAGTAGGTGCCCTGCCTCTGGTACGTAGGCCAACGAGTGGGTGATCTAGTGGGTGCTCCAGTAGCCCAGATGGCATGGCCCAGTGAGTTAGGGAGCACAGATGGCTGGTCCTCCAGCTGCCGCTGGCACCTCTGAGGGTGTAAAGTGAGGCTGCTATTAGAGACATGCTGACAGAAACTGGGAAAGAAGTGGGAAGTCCCTTTCCCCATCCAGCCACACTCCTCTGGGAGATCCTCCACATTCATTCAATCTCCTGATGGTGGAACTGGACAGGAAGCCAGCTAGCAAGGGACTCAGAGAAACATGGCTTGCAGAGTCTCAGCTCTAGGATCACAGGGGAGAGTATAGGATGGTGGGCTTGGAGCTGAGAGACAATAGGTAATGGAACATCGCAGTGATGCCCGGTCACCAATGGGAGTGGGTCTTTCTTTGTCCTTTGCCTTAGTTTCTACTTTCCATTACTATTCAGCCTGGCCTATTCTGCCTGGCCTATACAACCTGGCCTATTGGAAGCCTTGGCTTCCAAACGGGCAAAGACGTTGCACAAAATGCAGGTGAGAGGACTTTAGTTGCTACTTCATGTCAGCAGTATTTTCTCCAGTCTTGCACTTCCGGAGGACCCACTGAAACCCTGCATGTTAAATGGAATGGAATAGTATAATTTCTTTTTGTTTTGAGATAGAGTCTCTCTCTGTTGCCCAGGCTGGAGTGCAGTGGCGTGATCTCCGCTCACTGCAACCTCTGCCTCCCGGGTTCAAGTGATTCTCCTGCCTCAGCCTCCCGAGTAGCTGGGATTACAGGCGCCCGCCATCACGCCTGGCTAATTTTTGTATTTTTAGTAGAGACGGGGTTTCACCCTGTTGGCCAGACTGGTCTCGAACTCGTGACCTCAGGTGATCCATCCAGCTCGGCCTCCCAAAGTGCTGGGATTACAGGCGTGAGCCACCGCACCTGGCCGGAATAATATAATTTTGATTTGACTTTAAAATATATCATTAATTTGAAGAAGATTTAAGAATCTTGAGGCTTGAGAGAGAGAAGTAATGAAAGCACACTTATCAGAAAAGTTAAACTCAAGCAATAGATAAATGCATTTCCCATATAATCCCTTATGAAATACTTGGCTGTTTACAAGTAAAAACATTCTTATTCTGATTAATTTGAGGATGTACTAAGGTCTTAAAATCCTCCCAGTTGTCTTTGAAATGAACCAGCAAGCTGTAAGATTCTCTTTGATCCATGTATGCAAATTGATCTTTGAGGCTGATGCAGGTGACAATGGAATTTTCCAACTGCACAGCAGTGTATGCTTAATTATACATAGTATTGTTAGAAACACCCATTTTTCATGGAATTATGAAGGTTTCATAACTTTGGCAAAGTCATTTAATGAAAGCAGTACTGAGATTGTGGCACTGATATACTAAGTAACATTTCTAATCATCAGTGATTGGGCTTTATAGGGGTTTGAAGTTTGTGATAATTAACTCCTTTTATGTCCGAGGGTATGTGCTTTATTAAAAACATTGAACATTTGTCAGTAAAAGTTTTTGATAAGATAAGCTGATTCAGTGGCTGATGTTATCATGTACCTTCCAGCAATTAGCATGCTTCCTTTAGGAAATATTTGGGGAAGGAAAGAAAGAAGTAGAGGAGGGAAAAATTTATAGGGGGGATAAATATATAGGTTGGTTGGTTGTTTAAGCAAGTATTTGTAAAGTGCTGGAGGTGATAAACTCTTATTTTGTGTCTGGAATGGACATTGATTTCCTATCAAGGAAGTTAGAACCGACGCCCAGAAAAGGTCACCCCATGTTCCACTTTCTTTTATTTTAGGTTTATGACCTGAGTTCTCTCAATCTCTGAGCTTTTTGGAATTTTCACTGCTCTTTTCTTATTCCCTGTCCTGGGCACGTAAGTTTCTTGAGTCTGCACCTGAATCCTCAAGACTGTCATTTATCTGCTTGGCTGGCAAGCATCATGCTTTTACTTTTCCTTTTAATCATATTTTCTCAGAAAGTGGAAACGGTGATGGCATATGGTTTTGGAATCAGGGTATTCCTCCATCCAGTTCAAATTGTCTCAGTACCACAGACTTCCTTGCAGGTAAATTACGCCCTTCTGAAAACAGGATGAGGTCTTTGAGACCTACAGCTATGCTTAATTATAATGCCTTATATTTGCCTAATGTTTGAAAGTGCATTGTCTCCTATAAAGGCACTTACCTCATTATATTTTAATTATATTGTTTACAGGTCTGTCTCTTAATAGGATGTGTACTTCTGGAGGGCCAGAAATATATATTTCTCATCTGGCAGACCGAGTGGCTGGCATATAATTGTGCTTTAATAACCATTTGTTGAATATGGGATAAGTCTTGCAGTAGTTTTACTCACAAGGTTATCCTATTAGATGAGTCATTAGATGGAAAAACCCTGATCACTGAGCCTGGTACATAGATGGCTCTCAGTAAATGTTTTTGAGTTAAGTAACAACTCCTGTGATGTAAACAGGTTTATTGTCAGGATGCTTATATGGGGTGGAGACCTGGAATGTGGATCTTTAGCTTCTTAAGGTGAGAATTTTTCCATCCTACCTGCTGGATCTCACACTAACATGCAGCCAAAACAGCAGAGAAGTGCTATTTCATTGGTCCTCTAAATAAATACCATTATTCACTTGAACAAATACGTCATATGAGATCATCTTGATAATGTGTGACAATAGAAGGGAAGCAGTGTGAAGAGAGTTCAAAATAATGGATAACCCCTCAAAGCACATATTCCTTCCAGAAATGCAAAATATAATGGGGGTAGCAGATTTACTTTCATTATTAAATGTTGTTACAGTTATAGCAGGCTGCAGTGGAATTCATAAGCATGGATGTTTAATCATTGTTTTTGACTGTAAGCTTCAGGAGGCCAGCTTCTGTTATGGTTGGGACTGCTTCCTCAGTGCTTTGCACAGTGCCTGGACCATGGTAGATGTTGGCAGCATTAATGGTCCCAATTCTTCACTCCCTCCTATCCACATCCTTTGCTATCTGACTCTGCAGTTTGTCCCATTAAAGAGACAGATTCTGTGTTCTTGCCTCTTGGTTTTGAGTTTGGCTATGTGACTTGCTTTGGCCAATGGAATGTTAGCAGGCCAGAGGCTTAAAAGGCAGAACCAAAGTTTAGAAAGCACCTGAAAATGACGCTTTCCTTCTTGTGCCTCTGCTGTTGCCATGAGAGGTGCAGGACTGGGCTCACCTTCTAGTCCCAGGAGGAGGATGACAGACATGTGGAACGGAGCTGAACCACCACGGCCAAGCCAGGCCAGATCAGCTCACTCCCAGCTGAGATCAGCAGAGTTACTCAGCTGAGTCCATCCTAAATTAGTTAACTTTCATCAAACACACAAATCTGTGACAGTATAATGACTTGTTTAAAGCTACGTCGTTTGGGGGTGTCTTTTTTGGCAGGGTGGTATTTTTGTGGCAATAGCTAACTGATTCAGATGCTTAATGCATACTTGTTGAATGAATGAATGCACACATAGTATTGCATAGCCAGCTGTCCTCAGATACTCATTTAATTTCCTAGCATTTCCCTGTCCCCACCCAAAGGAGTTATTGGGCAGTGAAACACAGAAGAAAATGCCCAGAGTTGTGCATTAGGAGACCTAGGTTTTAACAGTGGCTCTGCCAATCTTAAGTGGCTTCACTGAGACAAATCTATAAAGTGAAGATAATTATATCAAATCCGTGCCCTGGCAATCTCATATGAAAAGTGTGACGATAAAAAGAGATGGTAGACTTTGAAAAAGCTAAATGTCCTCTACTAATATTATTACCAGGCTTCACCGTAGACTCATATGTCTGACCTCATCAGAGCACAAGATATTTTACAAAATAATGTTTTTTCACAAAATAGAAATTGGTGTGTGTAAATGCCATTAGGCTTATTTTTGCTTTTTGTGTAACCATTTTAAACATAATACTTTGAGAAAATCACTGCTTCTTAATGACTCAGGGTTGTAATTCTGAGTGGCAACAGTTTTCTCCTTTCATCAAGTTAGCTGTAAAACAAGGTAGGATCTAGGGTACCTCCAGTGACTTCTATTCTTTCTTGTTCTAATGTTGTTTGTCTATTGTGCTGCCTTGCAGTGATGTCTTTGGGAACTATTGAAATATGGAGAACTCAGGTGACCCTTTCACTGATGTCCACCCGTTGCCCAACTGCTCCACTTGAACAATTCTTCCACCTGTTCTGTTGATCTCATGTTCCTTTGCCCCTGGTGGACTTTCACTGGCTGTCAGTGTGTTGCTATTTGTAATCTTCTGCCATTCTCTGCAAACTTAGTCATTTGGAGGAGGCCAGTGGTGTCACTACATATTTCTAATATGATTAAGTTCCCAGCTTTTTGGGGCATATATGCTGCTGGAAGTCCTTTAAACAAATTTTGGGGTTCCCTGTGTTACAACTGGCTGAGGCAGCTGCAGGTTGGACCTCTGATTGGCGAGGCTTTCCTGAATTGATCTTTTCTCCACAGCCATGCTTTAGTATAGTCTCGAGTCTATACCCAAATTGCTCCCCTCCCTTCACTGTACATTGCTTTATGTGCTTTGTAGGAGAAACAAAGCTGACTTTTCAGACACCTAATCTTCGTCTCCTCTGCTTATTTCCTGTTTGACTTCTAGTGGAGAGTGCTATTTTACATCCCATGTCATGAGAATAAACCTCCTGGGTGTGCTGATTATGATTGAGCCACTTCTGATCTGTGGTCCCACTAAGGATCTTGCACTTCAGTTATGTCACATGGTATAGTGGAAAGAACACAAATGTAGAGTCAGATTGACATGAACTTACATGGTGGCTATGCCACCTGTTAATTGTTCTGTCTTCCTCGCTGTGCAATGAAGAACCTCTAGGTACTAGTTTTTCCATCTTTAAAATGAAGTTAGTCATAGTTTCTATCTCATTGTCCTGTTTTGAGGTTTAAACTAGCTATATGTATAGAAGTTTATCATTGAGCTTGGCAAATGTAATACTTTAATCAATGCCATCGTTCATCTTATTATCAATATATTCATTGTAGAAATTTGAAAATATACAATGGTATAAAAAAGTAAAAACACAGAATCCCATTAGAGAATTGTTGTTAATAAACAGAAAATTATTAACTGTTGTAAATAAACATATCACATACACACTATATATATAGTGTGTGTTGTCAATATATATTTTAATATAGACAGAGTGTATATATCTATCTATAGATAGTATGTGTGTTTTGGGGAGGGCGTATTTGCTTAGCCCACTTCAAGTTACTCTTTAAATGGGTATTTTCCACAGCATTTGTGATTAGAATCTCAAATGTTGGACCACTTTTGGGGTTTCCCAGACCTGCTTCTGGAGCAAAGTATTAACACATATTTTACCAAGTGTCTTCCCAAGGGGCTATGGAGTGGGGTTCAGAATCAAGTTATATAGAATAATTAAAAGCTTCTTATTTTGCAGATAATTTGGCTCAATTTGTTTATATTCTCTAAGCGTGTGCTACCTGAATTACACATAGCTGTTTCTGTGTTTGTCTTAGATAAAACGTTGTGAGCAAAAAATGCTCTGGGTTCTGTTTTTTGCGGTGCTGATGTCCAAAAGGTCAGCAATATTTTTCTGGATGGGATGGCCGGAATTATCTGTACAGAATACAGTAGTTGTGTTGGTTTTTTTTTTTTTTTTCAAATAAGGGATTGCTCTCATTCCCTTAGAGATACCCCACAGATTAGGCAGCCAGAAATCAAGTTCAATGTTCCAAGATGTCAAAGTTTCGGTTGACAAAGAGATTTATCTAACTCGTCTACCTCCTTCTTTGTACAAGATTGAGGCTGGAGAAGTGTCGCAACCCCTCTGCCCTAAATCAGGGAGTAAGATTATCTCCTGTCTGACAGTCTAGGGTGAGGCGTTAAGAACTAAGAGGTAGAGCGTTAGATGTGTGAGCATTACCACTCTTTGGCATGGCCAGAGTATGGCAGTCTCTTGTGCCTAAGTGGTTACTACAGAAGGTGGCTAGAGATGAAATTCTCTTGATTATACCCCTAAGAGGGCTGCTAGTTTGTTGAGGGAGTCCCATCAGCAAGTCACCATGGGGAGGGTGCTGAGGAGGGGCAAGAACGAAGCCAACTTCAGCTGGATCTTCCATTCCAGGGTGCTATTCAGGGGAGGCCTCCCATGCGAACCTTTGAAGAATTAATATGCTCTTTCCCCTCAGAGAGCCAGCATTTTAATTCTTGCCTCTCAGAGGGAACCCAGGGCAGTCAGAGTTAGACAGGACAACAGTGACGCCAATAGAAAAGGGATGGTGACCTTACTACCATTGCCACTATTGCATAAGATGATTGGAATTATAACCAATAAAGCAGAGGGAAGACATGAAAAAAAATTATTTCTCTTATCCCTCCCCACCACCTTCAATTCAGAGGAGTCTGAGAAGAAAAGAAGGTAAGTGTGTGAGATAGAAGCTCCCCTCACTTTGGTCTCACCTCTGCTCCAGGCCTCTGGTACCACTATTACACCTGGCTTGGATGAAGACTTTGAATCAAATATGAGATTGGAATTTTGAAATAGGAAAGACTATCTTACCATTAAATTAATATTAATTAAATATTAAGTTAAATATATAAAATTATATAGTAATATAACACAACAGCACGTAACATATAAAATATAAACAAGATAATGAAATATCCCAGAAAGAATTTCATTCAGGCCTCCCTGATAATAAAATGAATGTAAACAAAGTAGATGAGAATTTTTAAGTTGGGGAACTGATACTTTTTAAAGATAGGAACTTCAAAATTAAATCAATAAATACCGATATGTGTGTTTGCACTTTTATGTAAAGTTTATACATTTTATAATTGCTTAACCTATCATTTTATTATTTTTTTTTGAGATGGAGTCTTGCTCTGTCACCCAGGCTAGAGTGCAATGGCGCGATCTCAGCTTACTGCAACCTCTACCTCCTGGGTTCAAACAATTCTCCTGCCTCAGCCTCCCAAGTAGCTGGGATTACAGGCGCCCGCCACCAAGCCCTGCTAATTTTTTGTATTTTTAGTAGAGATGGGGTTTCACCATGTTGGCCAGGCTGGCCTCCAACTCCTGACCTTGTGATCCACCCGCCTCAGCCTCCCAAATTGCTGGGATTACAGGCGTGAGCCATCTTGCCCAACCCATAACCTATCATTTTAAAATTTACTGTAGATGATATTTAGTATGAATCTCTATAGGATTTTTTAAGAACTCAAAAATACCAGCTGGGAAAATTCGTACTGTGCTAAAATATAGTTTATGGGAGAAGTTCTCAAGAGGAAATTGCAAAAAAAACCAAAAATTAGAATAACCAATGTCTTTAAGTGAAAGGAAATGTCATAAATAGAGACACTGAAAAATCTTTTCCTATTGACTGCCTAGTTCCGATTGACATTTCCCTTTTCTTTACTGCTCTGTCGTGATTTATTTGAGACTGAGGGCAGATGCCTGGATGATTTGTGGGGCCTACCTAATGCCATGGTGATAGGGATCAATGGTTTGCTCTAAGAAGTAGTAAAATGCATCATCTGTATTGAATAAACAATATTTCTAAAAATATTTTGCTAAGCATAGGAGTAAAAGTTGAGATTTACTGTCGGGAAAGAAACGTTAGAAAGTTAATCCATCTGCCTCATGACATGATTGGCATTTCTCTCAATCAAACTTTATCTGTCATTCCCGTTGAAAGGAAACAGGTGCCTTGAAAAAATTGTTCATTTCTAGACAGTCTTCTTTGAAAGAGGAAGAAGAATTCTGCTTGACACAGTGCAGTTTACTGTATCACTTGTTTTCAGCAGGAGTAGAGGATAAGGGATTACTAAAACCAAATGAAGCAAAATGAATTAAGATGTAACTGTGTACCCAAAGCTAGGTGACTAAAAGAAGTGCTTTCTGTTTAATTATTTATTTTTTACTTTACACATAAAACAAATTATAAACTCAATGCAAAAATTTGGAAAAGCCAAATGAACACTAATCAGAAAAGCAATGACACCACCCGAAGGTAACTTTCTTGTCTGTATCCATTTAATCTTTTTATATGGTTCTGCTTTATTTAAAACATTTGCAGGCTGTGGATTTCAAACCAGAGCCCTGAAACCTGGAAACTTGATACTGCTGGACAAGAGAAAAAAAAAAAAAGTGAGAAGTACAGCAAAGGATTTTTGAAGCTGCAGAAATGTGGTGAATGTATTTTTAAAAGATATTGCAAGTTAAATTGTTGTTAACAATAATTAATACTTTTGTTCTGGGAAAATACATCCATATTTTATGAATAAAAGACATTCTAATACATACTAACTACTGTATATGATTAGTGTATAGGGCTGTGGTAGTCCAGGAAACATTAGGAAGTTGTGAACTTACAATTTTACAAATGTCACACATGGAATACAGAAATAAATGGTTTAGAGTATTATCAAGCACTAGAACTCTTGATAATGGATATGAAACCTTTTTTTCCAATTCTGGTGTGCACTAAAGATACTATTATGACTATTATTTATTATTATTATTACTACTAAATATATGGAAACGAAGTCAATTTAAGAAAAACTGAAATTCTACAGAAATGTCTTCCAATTCTTTACGAAGATATAATGGGCTGAATATGCCATGTTAGCAAGAAATAGGTAAAGTGTGGCCACGTAAAAGAGTGATTGCGTTTGATCCTGTGAATCCCAAGGAGGCTATTTTTATTTATTTATTTATTTTTTTAAGGATAAAAGCATGTTCCCAGGATAAAGATTTTGGATAGCTTCCTTAATTTAAAAAATACCTTTAGAAGTAAATATTAAATTAAATGATAACTAAATAGTATCCTACCCTTACCAGAAAATTTCTCATAACTTTCAGACTAAGTCCAGCCATTTTGCTTCCCTTTGGATGTCCCTTGATTAAAGCCTGGGCAGGGTTTTGGGAGCATATTGAGTTGTTTCCCTTTTTGAAAAACATTTTGGTCTTTTCATGTTGAGCATTTTCCCCAAGTCAGCCTGTTAAAATATTGCTTTCATGTTTTAGTTAGAAACATTTCCAGCACTTGAAAAGCAAATACAGTATGTTTATGTCATCTAAGAAGCCGCAAGCTTTTTGCTAGTCTTCCACTGATGTTAAAACCACATAATTTGTAACAGCACAAAATGGCTGAGATTGCAGGAAGCTGAATTGTCTTTTCTTTGAAAATTTAACATTATTATTATGACAGGGTCTTTATTTTATTCCTCTGTATGAGTCAAGGTAGGATCGGTGTCATAACAAACAATTCCAAAAATCTCAGTGGCTTAATACAATGAGAGTTTATTTATTGTTCATGTCAGATTTTAACTCAGATAGGGAATGTGGGTGATTCTATTCCACTCAGTCCTTCAGGGATCCAGTCCCTGTCCATCATGTGGTATAGATCGCTTTCGCCCAGATTTCATTGGCTAGACTCAATGACATAACCACTCCTAACTGTAATCCAGCTGTATGCTCAGGAGGAAAAAAAAATGGTGCTTTGTGAATGCATAGTAGTCTCTGTATTACCTCCCTTAAATTGGAATAATATGCAATAAAAAGTCTGAACTCTTCTAGATTGTTTCTTAAAACAGAAACTCACCATTAAAATTAGAAGAATGGTTATGTAGTAAACATTTTGGCTTTGAGGTGTCCCCAGTACATACTTGGGCATTTCAAATTGGTTTTGGGGAGACTGAGGGTTGCTGAGCTGTAGGGGCCTTGATTCATGGTCCCACATCATCACATGGAATTCTATGGGGCAGTGATTTCTGACCTGAGGGCTCCCATTCCTGAAAATTCTCAAAATGGATCCATGAATCCACATGCAAAAACACATCGAAATCAGCCACTGAGCCAGGACAGGGGACATTACATAATGTCCAAGAGCACAATACTGCTCTTTGTTAATGATGCACTTCTAGGAATTGGGTAGTGTTTCTTGGAGTCTGTTTATGATGTCGTCTACCAAACTGAAGGGTGTTTGGGGAGGAGTGACTAAGAGAATGGGGACACTTCAAACCATATCATTCATTCCACAGCATTGAAAGCCTTCCACGTTTTATTCACTGTGGGCTGGAGGTATGGGGAGAACAAAAGCAGCAGTGTTTCTGCCTTCATGGAACTTAATAATGGTGATAATGAACAAGGGAAAAAATGCGTGAGCATGTTAAATTGAACTAGTTATAAATTCATGAAGAAAATAAAATGAGGTGCTAGGGGCTATCTGGTAGGGGCGGAACTTCATTAGCTGGAGTAAGTCAAGAAAGTCTTGCTGAGGAAGTGAGATATTTTAGTGGCGAGCTGGATGATAAGAAGGATCCAGCCATGTGGGAAAGAACATTCCAGATAAAAGCTCTAAGGTGGGAATGACCTTGCTGTGTTCATGTAACAAAAAGGCCAGCGTGGCTGGAGTCCTGAGCAAAGGGGAGGAGTGGTGAAGAAGCAGTCAAAGATGGGCTGCGTCCATCTCGTGGTGTTTGGATTTCATTCCAAGTGTGATGAGAGTTTTAGGTAGGAAAGTGACATAACTGGCTTTACATTATTAAAATGGCATTCTGGCTGCCATGTGGTGAATGGACAAAACAGGAGCTGGGTGGCACATTGCCCCAGAAGACGGGAGTATAGTGATTTTGCTGCTGGGGTCTGTGTTCTACGACGTTTTAACCCTAGGTTCTCATAAGAAACATGGACGGTGCAGCTGCAGGACTGATGTGTGAGCAGCTTTGCAATCTGCTGTGTCAAAATAGAAAGCTGCACTCTGGTACGCAGGGATGTCCCTTCCACTACACCCTCCTTCTTTCCCGAGGCAAATTGCTAATTGCCATCAGCAATTACTTAGCAAGACTAAGACTAATTAACTTAATCTTATTATGAGAGGTCATATTCTGGCTAAAGTGCCTTCCTAGCCTCCCTTCCAGCTGGAGAGTGGCCAATGAGATATAGGCAAAACATGTTGGGTGGGACTTATGAGCAGACTCTGTAAGAGGCACAGTTCTGCTTGGAACATACATGTGATGGCTGGAGATAAAGATAAATCCTGGGCTGCGGCAAGCTTGAGGATGGAAGCCAAGAACTCAGCAGGGTGGGGAGAAAGGTAAAAGGAACTCAAGTCCCTGATGACAACATGGAGGTGTCCTGCATCCCTGGATTGCCTGGTCCACACTTTTTTTATGCAAATGAAAAAGAAACTTCTATCTTGTGTAAACCACTTACATTTTTCTTACTAGTAGCCAAATATTAATACAATTGCTAATTAATCTGCTTCTCCTCCCTAGCTGAAACTACTTTTTGAAACAGCATTTCCTAACTTCTGTGACACGCTCTGTGACAGTTTCTTTGATTAGATAAGTTTGGTAAATGCTGTGTGCTAGGCCTTCTTTGATCACCTTATTTAAACACTACCCAAAGTGCGCTCCTTTTACCCTCTTCCTGCTTCATATTTTCCCGTGTTCCTTATCATGATCTAACATACCATATGCTTTATGTATGTTCTTTATTACCTGTCTCTTGTACCTCTCCCTGAAATTCAAAACCAAGGACTAATTAACAAGGAGGAGAGAGGACAAAGTTCCTGATTCTCCCCCGTCTCTTGTCAAGCTGGAACATTTTGTCTGGTGTGAACTTGTCAGGAGATGGCTCCCATTTTCCTGCTTCTGGCACTAATGATGAGTTTCCTAGATTGTCTTGGTAGAGGTCAAATGATGAAGGGGAGAAAAGCTGTGTCCAGCATTCTCTATCTGAAGGGAGCTGGCAGCAAGCGATGCTGAGATCTTGAGCAGATGACCCCAGATAGGGTGTGACATCTCCACTTCCAGGAAAAGGAAGGCATTTTTTTTTTTCCTGGTCTGGACATGTTGTGCTTTCAGGGTCACACATCCCTGGGCTGTCCATTTACTTCAGAAATGCCCCCAGTTGTTAGTGAGGCAAGATGCTTGGGAGGTCAGGCCCTGGATCTAATCTGGGAGGACAGGCCTTTTATTCTGGTTCTGCAGCCTTCACACCTCCTCAGGGGAAAGCTATTGGCCTGCTCTTGTCCATCTTCCTCCCCTTCCTTGCTGCTACTCAATTTCTGCAGTTGTGAAAGGGAGATAGAAAAGTCTGAGATCTGCCTGCTCCACAGTAGTTTAGAGGAAATGAATCGAGCAACGAAAAAAATCTCAGCTTATTGTTTTTCAATAATATATTGCTGCTTAACAAACTATTCTGAGACTTAGTGGCTTAAAATAAAGCAATTTATTATTTCTCTTGGTTTAATACAAGTACAAGACAAGATAATGTATGTAAAGCCCCGAGTAGAGTGCCAAACACAGAGTTGGCACTCGATAATTGTTAGGCCTTACCATGAAAATGACCTTGCCCAGGAGAATGTCCTGAGACCATGTGTTATTGTGAAATTGCATATTGGAGCAGCACAGGAGAACTGTTGCACAGCTTAGCACTAGGGCTGCCCCTATGGTGTGCAAGGCCGCTGGCAAATATTTGGTGTGGGGCCTCTATTTATGTAAGCAGTTCAATTAAAAATGTATCACAAAAATTCATGTACCAATGAGAGGTTTAACATTTTATTGATGAAGATTTAGAATAATAGGTAGAGATGCAGTATTTGCATATGTGTTTATTGCCACATCGATGCACATGAGGATTCTTTGTCACGTCCAGCCATCATGTCTTCTTGTTCAGGTCTAGGTACCATCTATTAGTGTTTTATTTTGTTTTGTTTTGTTTTTACTGTTAAATGCACTGGATAATATTACCTTGCCCCCTACCCTTCATGAGAAAGAGGTAGCAAGAGGTGATAGTACTCACAATGCTATGGGTTATTGGAACTGTTCGTATTGAAATCACGTAGATCTTCTTGCCCTACGGTTCCCTAGAACCCTTTATTTAATGCTGGCTACTTCATTACTCATGATACGGCATCATCTATCGTGCTGCCACAGGTATTGTCTTCCAATGACTCTCTCAGAGGTTTTTTTTTTTTTACCATGTTTTGTTGATGCTGGACAGTCTTATCCAGAGTATGCAGGAAAATATGAGTGATAAATCATTTTTCTGGTCATGTTAAATTTACCATTCAGAATTTTATAGTGTACATGCACAAAGACACGTTTTCCAACCATGTCATCTCTAGAACTCTTTAGGCCATAATCACTGTATTCCTAGCATGTGATCTCTTTCAATGTTGAGCAGATCTTGGGTGCCAGTGGTAGAGGTGAAAAGGGTAAAGTACTCCTGCTGCCACCTCTGTAAACCAGAGGCGGAATCTAGATGGACGAGTTGACACATGTACCTACACATGTGGCTCAAGCCTCTTTCTGCTTTACCTGTAATTTTCCCTTTCCTTGAATAAATGTATTGGCCAGAAAAATGAAGAAGGTTCTATATCAGTCAGTCATAGCATTGATGCACGATGCTACTACAGGGTAAGGAGGGTTTGAGGAGGGGACGGTTTAAGGAACTTAAGTGAAGAGGGGTTTCTTATTAGCATTTGGCTGTATTAGCTCTTCGAGGAGGACACTGGTTTGGCCAGGGACTCTGGTGGCAGCTTCTTAGAAATGATCTCCATTGCTAAGTATGCAGAAAGAAAATATTAGAACTCCTATTTATATTTACTTATGGTTAAAAAAATAAGAAAAAAATAAACTTCACGAGTTTAGGGTTGCCAGATAAAGTATAGGAGGCCTAGTTAAATTTGAATTTTTACGTAAACAATTTTTTAGTGTATGTCCCAATGGGGACATATTCACTTATACAGAAACATAGATATACATATACGTAGATACAGATATGTCTTATATTTGTGTGTATCTCATATAGCATACAGATATATGTTTTTTACACATGTTGTTATCACAGATAGTTATACAGATATTAGTTTTTTATGACAGGTATTATGAGGTTGTAAAATAACCTCACTTGTTCCATTTGGATCTATGCGTCTTTGTGGGATCTCTCTCGCTCTCTCTCTTTCTTTTTGTGGGGGCTGTCACAGCTTTAAAAACCAAGTATCAAAAGAAACTGAATTTAGCACAATACCTCTAAATTAAACTAAATCAAAAAATAAAAGCGCTAGTTTGATAATATTTCTCTCCTTAAAAATGTCAGATTTTTCCAGTGAGAGTAAAAGTGACTTTTGTGCCTTTAATAAATGAAACAAAATTAAACCTAATTTTAAAAATATTGCATTTTCATTTGAACGCTTTTAAGATTTCAATTTTGGGAGCATGTTTTGTAATGTGATAATACAGTAGTATATTAGAAGGTATATCTATATATATATATGCACATTGTAAATAGAGATATGTGTATTTGGAGGCGTGCAAAGATGTTGTATGTGAATAGGATGCTTGACCCCGAAAGTTTGGAGACTCCTGGCTTAAAGTACTGCGTTAGAAAAGATGTGGTATGCATGTTGGTCTTAATGGAAGCAACTACTGATCTTAAGAATAATTCCTTGTTCTTTTTTTTTTCTTTTGAGACAGAGTTTTGCTCTGTAGCCCAGGCTAAAATGCAGTGGCAGAATCTCGGCTCACTGCAATCTCCGCCTCCAGGGTTCAAGTGATTCTCCTGCCTCAGCCTCCCGAGTAGCTGGGATTACAGGCACGTGCCACCAAGCCCAGCTAATTTTTTGTATTTTTAGCAGAGACAGGGTTTCACCATGTTGGCCAGGCTGGTCTCGAACTCCTGACCTCAAATGATCCGTCCACCTTGGCCTCCCAAAGTGCTGGGATTACAGGCGTGAGCCACCACGCCCAGCCCGTGGTTCTTAAGTTGCAATCACTAACACTCTTTTGGTTGAACAGACTGCAAAATTTCACCAGATTTATACTTAGATGCCCAGACAGGAGACATTTGGAAGCCCTTCAACTTCCTGTGTAAAACCTCAGAAAGAGTGACCACACTGCTTGGGAGAGTAACTCAGAATCGTCTGTGGCAGAGACCTGGAGGTTTACAAGAACACCTCATTCCTTAGTTCCTGGCTGCCTGGAATTCATAGGGAATTTGCCAAGTACATTGTACCTCTGTATATCTAAAGACTGGGTAGGGAAGGGCAAATGGCAGTGGAGCGTGAAAACCAGGTCCTTTTCCAGCACCTCTCTCCCGGGGCAATCACATCCTGGGCTGGCGGCTTCTGCTTTGCCGCGGGAGCCTCTGAAGGGCACAACCCATCCTGGCAGCCATGAAAACAGGTGGTCCCAGCTGCTGGATTTGTTGCTCTGTAAATCAGCAATAGGCATCCATGGGATGGTGATGTGACTCACTCCAGGGCCCAGGGTGGCAGGGAAGCACTCATCCCAGCCAGATCCCCCAGCATGCTTCAGGGGTGAAGCAGCAAGGCCCTCACAACTGCAGCGAGAGAAGAGGCTGGCAGCATGGGTGGCAGGAGGCTTGGCAGCCTCACAGGATGCCTGCAAATACCTTTCACTTATGCAGTTTGGCAGTGCAGTGGTGCATGGAGACAGCGTCTTGGGCCTGGTAAGGAAATAATTGGCTTCAGAAGCAGACTTCTTAGGTTGCAGTCTTGAGACTGAGGCTTCAAACAGTGTGGGAAGGGCCGTGACATTTCCAGAAACCCTTCTCTTTTGCTGGCCAACAGATGGTGGCTCTAAATCTGCAGTGCAGTCAGGTTAGAAAAGAAGAAAGTATTTAGGGCGCTAGTAGAGCCATTATTTGAATAGTATGGAACATAATGGTTTCTTTGGTAACCAAGCCAGGGAGACACCCACACAAAGTTAGAATGCGCTGGGCTCGTTTCTGTTCCCCACCCCACCCCCTAATCCCACAAGATTAAAATAGTATAAAGAGAAAAATGAGATGCAGCAGCATTTCACACAAGAGGGGATTTGTTCCCAACGAGAATGTATTAATGACCTGTCTCTTATTTTGTGGGCAACCAGATATAGCAGGTTTTTAGTTATGAATCTGTGTTCATGGTCACTCAGATGGTTTACTCTCTGCCCAGACTTCAGCACTTATATATAGATGGGGCACTGAGAAATATGAGATAGGGAAAAAAGAGAAACATTTAACCCATTCCACACTGCACATATTCTTAGTGCTAACCAGGCGGAGGCAGCATAGAAAAGGCAAAACGCGTTTGAAAGGAAACCATTTGTCTTTGAAGAATAATTTCTCTTCAGCTCGATGAGTAATCTCTCTTCTAGCTGATAAAGTTCCAAATCCCTACTCTGGGTGAGGCTTTGAAAGTGTCAAATAACAGGATTCAGATACAAAGAGTCAAAAGACCCCCTCAGATTCATACTGCCGTCCAGTAGAATTTTCTGTGATGATGGAAATAGTCTATATCTGAACTATCCAATGGAGAAAGCACTGGCCTCATGAGGCTATTTATATTTTAATTTTAAGAAATTTAATTTAATTTAAAATTTAGTTCATCGGTTTAAATTAAATAGCCATATGGGGCTAGTGGCTACTGGATTGGAGAGTGCAGTTAGAAATTCAGAAAGTGGATGATTTTCATTACTGTAAAATCACCAAATAGTAATTTTGTCCTTCTTGTTTCACTTTGCTATTTTTTATTCTGATGTCAGCCTTGCTTGTCTGGAAGTCACCCCATAGGTTACCATAAGCAACATTTTACTTAACTGTTCTAATAATAGTGTTTCCAGGGGCCCTGAGCACTCCGCAAACATCATCTCATTAATTCCTCCAAACTCCCAATGGGACAGGTATGGAGTACAGATAATTATGTTTAATTTTATAAAAGAGAAAAACAAACAGTAGCCTCAAAATGTAAATTATTCGCAGTAAAGGGCCTTCTGGAATCCCAATGTTACCTCGTTGGCCTTTCATTGTCCTTTATAGTAGGAACTTAGCGTTTTCTCCTATCAGGGTGAACCATTCATCAAACATGTTGGGAATAAATGAAAAACCTACTGCATCTAGTTATAGATGGAATATGGTTTGCTTAACATTAGGTTTAAGCAGCTAAATATTTCTTTCCTTCTCATTTCTACTGTAAGACTTGAGACTATACTTTACTCCTAGGTAACCAAGATAATTAGAAATGTGCTGCTTGTCTAGAGTAGCAAATCATCCTCAACTTTTTTTGCCCTCTTTCATGCCTCTTTCAAGGATATAATACATGTACTTTTTTTAAAAAATGCTTCTTTATACATGGTGCTTATGAGAGTGACCAGGAAGCATATGGTAATATGCTAACCAGACAGTCCTAGGAATTGAGGAGCTCTATGAAATGCTTTGATTTGTACAATGGACATTTATGAAGCCCCTACTTTGAGTCAACAAGTGTGCCTGGGACTGTGGATACAAAGTCGGTAAAACCAGACAAAATTCCAACCCTTGCGTTTAAGAAGCTAAGAGACATTGATCAAATAATCAAGACAATATATGTAAAATTTCACCTATAGCAGGTGCCGTGGTGGGAAGGTACCTGAGCTTGTAATGGGGAGAGTTGACACAGTCAGGGAACCAGGGATAACCTGTCTGAAATTGGGGCCAAGAGCTAAAGGCTGAGTAGGAATCAACTAGGTAGAGGGCAGGTTGAGCAGAGAGTTCTAGGTAGAAGAAGCAGCATGTGCAAAACCCTGAGGTAACATGGAGCACGGTGAACATGAGGGACTGAAAGAATGCTGTTTTTGTTTGTTTGTTTGTTTGTTTTTGAGACGGAGTCTCGCTCTGTCACCCATGCTGGAGTGCAGTGGCGCAATCTCGGCTCACTGCAACCTCCGCCTCGTGGGTTCAAGCGATTCTCATGCCTCAGCCTCCTGAGTAGCTGGGATTACAGGTGCCTGCCACCACGCCCGGCTAATTTTTGTATTTTTAGTACAGACAAGGTTTCGCCATGTTGGCCAGGCTGGTCTCAAACTCCTGACCTTAGGTGATCCGCCTGCCTTGGCCCCCCAAAGTGCTGGGATTACAGGCGTGAGCCACTGCGCCCGGCCAGAAGGCTGTTTTTGGGGAAACATATAGAGGAAAAGTGAGCAAGGTACAAGATAGGATTGGAGAGGTTGGCGGAAAGCAGACCAGGCAACACCCTCAGGCTACTTTAAGGAGCTATGTTTTTACCTTACAAGCAATGGGTTCCATTGAAGGGTTATTGGGTGGAGGTGGAGGGTGTAGCCCATGAAAGATGTACATTTTCAAAAGATCCCATTGGTTTATATTGGAGAGTAGAGAACAGTTTGGATCATAGTTATACCAGGAGGTGGTGAGGAGCAGGCTTAGATTTGCAAAGACCATTCATTCTTTGCACCTGGATTTATTTTGAGCCTATCAGGCAGCCTCAGAAGTTGTACTTAACCACATTCCTCATCTATTGCATGATGTCTTTTGGTCTATTAGGGTGCTCTTATTTTTCTAGTAGGCCTAACCTCAGCAATGGTAGGTGGTGGGGAGTGGGGAAGTTCTGACCTATATAGTGTTGTAAGAATATCTTCTGTGACTGGTGATTTCACCATCTGAGGGTTTTTCCTTTTTTCCTCTTTGTTGCTCGTTTTTTCCAGAAAAGGTAAACACTATTATTTCCTTTTTTCACTTTGATGTCTTGAATCCTTCAATATATGCTGAGTTAAAAGTACTGTTTCAAATTCCTTTTCCACAAGGTTTTTATCTTACTGTGTTCCAGGCTTGTGAGACCAACTATGAATCTGATATAAGAGTTTCTGGGTTCATGCTGAAAGTATAACGATTTCAGGTGATTTGAATAATGAAATAGGAAAAAAGGTCCTGAAGTTCCATTGTGCTTTTTTGTATGTGTGTTTATTATAGTCCTTATTCATTCTGACTTACATTACAGTTATTTGCGCATGCATATGCAGCTCTTTCTACACCCCCACTCACCTTTGCCTTTACCTCCTACTCATTCTTCATATTTCACACCATCATCACTTCTTCCGGGAGGCCTTTCCTGACCTTTTTGAGTAGGAAGCTTCCCTTTCTTATACGCTTTCATGACCTGTGGTCACATGTGTAACTTCCACTCACTCTTCTGCTGTTTGGCCCGTGTCTGTCTGCTGAATGAGGAGGTCTTTGGGGGCCTGAACCTTGCCCTTGACTGAGGTCACTATTGGACCCACTGCACAAGCATAGCACCTGCTCACTCAATGTTTGCCAATGAATGGATGACACTTACAGAAATGTTCTTTAGGTCGTGGCTTTTTTTTTTTTAAATGTTTGACCTATTTCTTCCAACACTTGAAGAACTGACATAAAACTTGTATTATTGATTTCAGTCATCTCACATGTAATTTTCAGCTGAGATGCCAATATTCAAGTGGACTTAGCTTACCACTTGAAATATATTAAATATAGTCCATTTAAAATGGGAAAAGTATGTTAAGCAGCATAAAATATACAGGAATATAGTGAAGTGGTTAAGAGTACAAACTCTGAAGCCATACTGTTAGAATCTGAAATCATGGTTTTCTAGCTCCGCTCTATACCTCAGTTTCCTCATTTGCCAAATGGGGATAATAATAATACCTATTTCAAGTAATTGTTATGAGGATTAAGTGAGTTAATTTATGTAAATCACTTAGAGCAGTGCCTTGCATATGTGTTAGCTATTATTACTTCGTAGTTATTATTATTAAAAAGGACAGGTGATGTCATACTCATTAAGCCTGTGTAGCAAAAATGTTCAAGTTCTTCCTCAGCTTCTTTTTTATAAGTTGAAAATGAGCAGTTTACATTATTCTGTTTATGTTTTTGTTCAATACACTGATTTGATTTTTTTCAGTTCCCACGTTTTAGTATCATTCAGATGGTAATGGAATTAGATTGTTTTACCACCGAAGTTTATTGCAAATGCTGGAAGGCTAGGGAAAACTAGGGATACTGAGATGACACTGATAGCATCAAATAATTTGAGCAGCTTAAAAGAGGGTATAGGGGCCTCAAGGCTGCTGAATTGGGCTCCCCAGGAGAAGTGAGTGGGTGTGTATATACGTGTGTGTTGAGGGGGCGGTGCGGAGGTTACTGGACTGGAGGCAATAGGTTTATGTGTACATATTTTAAGCTTTTAATTAGAGGATAACAACCATGTAGAAAGGTGTATATGTATGATAAGTGTACAGATTGAATTTTTACACGTGAACACACCCACAGAACTAATGCCCAGATCAAGAAAAACAGAATATAACCAACAGCCCAGAAGCCCCTTCCAATCACTAATCCCCCTAACACTAATTAGTATCCTGACATCTAACCCTGTAGGTTAGTTTTGCATATCTGTATTCTTCATTTGGATAGAATCATGTAGCATATACTCCTTTGTGTATGGCTTTTATTCTCAGTACAATATATGTGAGAGTATTCTATATTGTTGTGTGTAGTTGTATGCTATTCAATCCTATGCTATATGTTATTCCATTGTGTGCAAATGTATTTTTCCATTCCATTGTTGATGGGCATTTGGGTGGCTTCCAGTTTGGGGCTACTGTGTGCTTCCTTGAACGTTCTGATGTATCATTTGGTGCACATATGTGTGTATTTCTGTTGGGCATAAGTCTAAGAGTGGAATTGCTGGGTCATAAGATATGTAAGTGTTCAACTTTAGTAGATTTTATGTGTATTTTTTCAAGTCTTAGAGGTGATTCCGATTCCTAGCCAAAGCTGAGAACCACTGATCTATAATATCTGCCCAAAAGCAAGGTTTAAGGCCACACTATCAAAGCTTGGATGAGCTCATTAAAGATGTAATATTTAAGAAGACGAACTACAAGGATCATCCACACTAACTCACAGATAATGCCAATATCTGTTGCTTCAATAGTTACCTTGCCTTCTCCATAGGGGTCGAGGTGGGTGGGTTAATGCCAGATCCTGGCTCTCTCATTTTCTTTTCTCCCTTGGTTTGACCCTGATTTCTCTCAGGTTCAGCAAAGTGGAATGCCAACCAAGAACTGGGACTGAGGGAAAGCACTGCCAAGCACTGTTAATTATTAATGAAATGAATTTGCATCAGACCAGAGGGGATTAAAGCAGCTTAAAATGAATAGCAAGTTCTTGATAAGGCTTTTCCTATTCTCAGGTGACTGGAATGATGCACTCGTGTTGGAGCACATTAATTTAATAGAAGCACTGCTTCCCCCTGTACAGCGTGGAGCTGGATGTAAGCCCAGCCCAGGGACAGCAGGTTCCTAAGCAATTTCTGCTTATATGGCTGTGGCGAAATGAAGTGACGTGAACACAACATGCTGGACTGAAAAAATGCATTAAACATACCTCAAAGCAAAATGTCCTTTAATGATACTACCACAAGCACTGGGGAGAGAAAAGGACCTTGTTGTATAGTATCAACCAGATTGCAGTTCAAACTCCAGGTCAGCTTTCCCGGCTGTAAGAACTTGGGCAAGTTACCTAACCTCTCAGAGCCTTTGAGTTCTTCATCTATAAAATGGGATAATCATATGTACCTCAAGAGACTGCATTTAAAGTGCCTGGCTCATGAGAGGCACCCAATAAATAGCAATTATTATTGCATGTGGTGCTGTGAGCAAAACTGAGAATATAACCATGTGGTAGAAAATAGCAGTGGAGAAAACGTGGTACTCTAGAAGCTAGCCTTCCGACAGATGGCAGGCCCATATTGAAAACGGAAATGTTTCCTGCTGCTACAAATCCAAAGAAGGTCTTCGAGTCTATGTAAAATATAAAGGGATGGGCTACCAGAATTTTCTATTAGTTCATTGCACACACTTGCACACACAGGCACACATACATACCAAGAGCGTATGGAAAGTTAACTATTCTTGATGACTGGTAAGAATGTCAGAGTAGCTCAGCAGGGCCTTCTAGATACATGAGTGTTAAAATTATGAGTTTCCCTTGAAGGATACTGTCCCCAGTCAAAGGAAAGTCACTTAGGTATTCGTGTTCTGCTCCGGGTAATTCCAGTCCTCCTTGGCCACAGCTGACTGGACGGTGAATGACTGTGAAAGCTGGGGCCCTTTAATCTATCTTGCTCATCTTCTAAGATCTAGTTTAACTGTCATTATTTACAGAATGCTTTCCCTAACTGTTTAAGCCATTAGGATGGAACTGACTTAGCTGGGATTGTGATATGATGGGAAATGGCTAACAAGCAGAGGGACAGACTGGTTATTCTATCTAAGCCTTAGATGCCAACTGACATGCCAAGGATGATGCTAACAGTAGTGTGACATTTACTGAGCACTTATTTTGTTAAGGAATTGAGCTCAATACTTCTCATGCATGATTTTTTTCTGATAACCCATTAAAAAAGATATGATTATCTTCCCCATGTTAGAGTTGAGGAAACCAAAATATCATTTAGTTCAGTGACTTACCAAGCTGGAAGTAAGCTTAGATCTTGTTGTTTTTAAGCTCACACCTTTCATCACCCCCTATGCAGCCTCACCATTGGTGGACCACAATGCCGATACGGCACTCAAGTTGGGAACTGTGCTGTTGTTTAGTAGAAACCATGTTCAGAGGGAATGTGGTAACATTTTTGTATACATTCTTTGTATTTGGTGATTTAGACCAGATTATTTCAAGTTGCGAAAATATTACTCTTGGTCAATTGATAGCAAGTCATTTGTTTTATGATTAAAAGGTCATTCTTTTACATTTAAACAACGTGTAATTCAATGAAAGAAATTCTGTAGCAGCATTATTAGGCCCAGGACCATATAATAGATGTTTGAAAAGCGCTTGGCATTTTTTAAGGTGCCCAAGTCATTAATTGCTTAGTTCAAATACTCCTTATACGGTAGGCGAGTACTAGAATAATCTATGTTTTAGGAAGAAGTTCAGGAGACCCTAGGGGGTAAATATGTATC
The DNA here is from genome assembly GCF_000001405.40 of Homo sapiens. Taxonomy (NCBI): domain Eukaryota; kingdom Metazoa; phylum Chordata; class Mammalia; order Primates; family Hominidae; genus Homo; species Homo sapiens. The sequence goes on along the minus strand of NC_000023.11, from coordinate 23,285,700 downwards.
CAAGTTCTTCACTGAAAGAGAGGATGCAGGCTTAGAATTCAGGATCACTAATGAGTCATCCCGGCAGTTCCGTGGTATGGAAAAGAAGTAATCTCTAGCTGCCTATATTACAAAACCATTTCAATACTTGAACTATAGGCTCTTTGGAGTTAGATTTGTGGGCAATTCAATACTACTCTCAACACTCCCATTCTATAGTTTTAATGCTGGTAGATTTCCATCAATTCATTTATCCAACCAATATTTATTTTATAATTATTGTGTGTAGACATTGGGTTCCATTCTGGAGACACAGCACTGGGCAAGACAGAGCTTACATTTGGAATGCAGACAAGTAAATTGCACCTATGTGGGGCTGACGAGAGCTGTGGACAGACACACCGAAGAGGTGGGAGGTAGCTCTGGTACCTGAAGCTTGTGTCTGCTAAAAGTGTTCCAGCTGTCCTGGAGTCTTCCCTATCAGTTACCAGTTTCCTCTCTTCAGGATTCCTCAAGAAATGGAGGAACATGGACCCAGAACCCTCCAGACTAGTGGTTCTCACTTTGGTGAGCATATGAATCACTAAAGAGGAACTTGTAAGATACTGAGGCCCAGGCCCTGCTCCACTTTACCCAAACTGGACCTCTCTGTCCATCAGCTCTCCAGGCAGTCCTGACTCTGCCTCACTCCTCATTTTGGGAACAACTGCTGTGGACTAACACCACACCATTGCACTGGATGTAGTCTGATGTGTGGCAGTTAAACTGTTTGCTATGGTTTTTTCCTGGAGTGTGGAATGGGATCTCCTACACGATATCTGATTTCAAGAGACTTTGGCTCATTTGAAGCTAAATTACTTAAAGTGGGGAGGTGCAATTTTCTATTTCTTTTCATGTTGGGTACCTTGCCCCTGACCTATGTCTTTGTTTTATTGCACTCATTTTCTTTGAAGTTGTTTCTGAGCAGAAAACATTTTATTTAAAAGTGCTCTTATGAATTTGAAATGTGACATTAAATAAGAAATACCAGCACCGAAACAGAGACAACATGACATTGACTGAAGACAGCATACCTTTGGGGGAGAATTCCCGTTTCCCATTTCATTTGTTCCTTTTCCATTTTCATTGTTTTGAGACAAGCTTTCCACTTGCTACTGCGTAACTTCAGGGAAGTTGCTTAACCTTTCTGTGCTTGTCTTCTCATCGGTATCATGGGGCTGGTTATAATAATAGTATGTACTCCCAGCGTTGTTATAAGTGGTTGTGTTCACACATGGAAACGCTTAGAATCTGACACCTAGTACGTACTAAGTAAATGTTCCTGCTATTATTTTTTAATTATATTTTTAAACATCTCATTCCTCCTTGTGCACCTCTTGTTTCCTTTCTGAATTATGTTGACACTGAAGACCAATGGGTTCTGCCACGGTTAATTTAAAAAGAACTGGGGCCTCATAAAGGACTAAAAGAAAATTAAACTAGCCTCATGGTTACTACCAATACTTCTTATAAACATAATGTTTGGAAACTGGGGATTAAAGTTTAGGAGCAGAACTTGTTGCCAGCCAATGGCTGTGTGGAACTGTGCTTCTGAAAGGGTGAATCAAAGACCAGCTGTATCAGTTCCCCTGGAGCTCTTCTTTAAAAGTCAGATTTCAGAGCCCCACCCCAGAGCTTCCACAGAGGAGCTTTGCAATCTCTTTGTTCTTTCTACCACAGTCCACATCCAACTCTCTTCCCCTTCCCAGAACATAGCAGAGGGGCCAAGGTCAGAACCACATGCAGACTGTGTGTAGAGTCAGAGTAGGTAGGGGACTGCTTCCACTGTGGAACATGAATTTTTTTTTTTTGTCATATGCAATTTGTCAAGCTTATTTCTCCAGGATTTATATTAGATGATGCAAAAAATCTTTCGATTGTTCAGTCTTTCAGGACGAAAGCTGCAGACCCTAACCCCTGCACTGATTCCTACAACCTACATAACCAAGTTATAAAACAGTAGCAGTAACCGAAACGAAACGATCTTTAGCTTTCTAACTGCTGTATTTGTTATTTTGTTGGTTTTAATCTTTGCTATAACAATTGGTGATCATCTTCAGAGTGCCAAAAGTGACCTCAACTTATCATGAATAAAACGGTATTTCAAAACCAAAACTCCTGCCTTTGGTTTTTACGCCATTTACTTTTTTTTTTTTTTTTTTACTTTTAAGCCACTGAATCTCTTGGCTTTGTCTTCTCTTTTGCCTCCACATTTATCCCTTAGGTGTGATGACAGAGCTGTTTGCCTGGTTTTCACCCCAGTGCCCCCAGGGACATAGTCCACACTTCCTTAGTTTTTCTGTCGGGAAGCTGCATCCTCTTCAGCTGCAGAGACCCTCACCCTGACATTTGCTAGCGTAGCCTGCACTTTACCCCTTCATGGCGTATAGGGAGGTTGTGGTCAGACCTTAGAAGGTGATGAGCTTTTCCTTTTCCTGTCAGAGTACTCTTCATTATTTTATTTTTCCCATCACAAAAGTTGATTTGAACCGCAGGTCTCTCTTCCCTCAGCTTTCCTTATCTCTCCCCAGCTTCACTGCAAAGCCCTCCACTCTTGCTCTGCCACCCACGTTAATTCCTTGTTTGCTTTACAACTTCAAGTTTCCTCTTCTTTAAAAAATGTATATTCATCACTACCCACCCTCTTCTAGGAAGAGTGACATATATACTTTGCTTTTGTACACAGAAATAAAACCACAAGTATAAATAAGGATTTTGTGCATGGACAATTTGGGAAATGGGAAGAATTGGTGCACTAGATACATTTAAAAAATATGGTTTATTTAGTGTCATTTGTGTTTGGCCATTTCTACAGTGGATGCATTTTGTTTCAGGTTTCCGTATTTTCATTTTCATTCTCATGTACCAATTTTTAAAGGGGCCTTTCTTATGCTACAATACCAAATTTAGTAGTGTGGTCACCCTTATACTGTGTTAGTTTAACATTACATTTTTTTTTTATGAGAAATTTCCCATTTGCTAAAGAAGCAAAATAAAATGTGTCCATGGTATTCATGTACCAATTTAGATGTGTTTTTAAAAAAGTTTTTATCTTGAAATAATTATAGACTCACAGAAAGTTACAAAAATAGTACATAGAGTCTTGTGTATTCTTCCTCCGGTTTCTCCCAATGGTGATATTTTATACAGCTGTAGTCTAATATCAAACTAAGAAATTGACATTGGCACAACACCGTTATCTAGATTGTAGATCTTGTTTGGTTTTCGACATTTTGACTTGTATTAATTTGTGTGTGTATTTGTATTTTTATGCAATTTTATTCCACGTGTAGATTCGTGTAACCACCATGACAATCAAGATATAGGATAGTTCCATCACCACAAAGTAACTACCTCCTGCTACCACTTTATATTTGCATACCATGGCAACTACAAATGTGCTTTGCATCTCTCTTGGGAGGTCGAGGTGGGAGGATCAGTTGAACCTAGGAATTCAAGACGAGCCTGGGCAACATGGCAAGACCTCATGCCCCCTCTGAAAAAAGAATATTATGTAAATAAAATCATATGATATGTAGCCTTTTGAGAGTGACTTTTTGTTAAGCATAATGCTCTTTAGATTCATCTATGGTATTGCCTGCGTTGATAGTTTATATCTTTTTGCTGTTGAGTAATATTCCATTGTATGGATGGACCAGAGTTTATTTAACCATTAACCCGATGAAGGACTTTTGGATTGTTGCCAGTTTTTGCTACTATGAACACAGCGGCTGTGAAAATTCATGTGTAGGATTTTATGTAAGCATAAGTTTTCATTTCCCTGGGATAAAGGCCCAAAAGTATGATTGTGTGGTCATGTTAATCGCATGTTTAATTTTATGAGAAGCTGTCAAACTGTTTTCCAGAGTGACCATACCATTTTATATGACTACCCATAATATACTAGAGATCTAGTTGTTCCCCCTTTCCCCCTCCCTGCCAGAATTTGGTCTTCCACTATTTTTTATTTTAATCATTCTGATATAGATGTAGTGATATCTCGTTGTGGTTAAAATTTACATTTTTCTAATGGCTGACGAAGTAGAGCATGTGTGCTTATTTGCCATCCTTGTGAGTGAAATGTCTGTGTCCTTTGTCCTTTTCATAATTGCATTATTTAACCGTTGAGTTTTTTATTGTGATAAAATATACATACAATATACATTTATCATTTTAACCACTTTTAAGCGTATAATTCTGTGACATTTATAACATTCACAGTGTTGTGCGACCATCATCATTATTTCCAAAATATTTTCATTACCCCAAACAGAAACTTTGTGTCCATAAGCATTAAGTCCCCATTCCTCATTCCCCCTACCTCTTGTTAAACTTTAATCTACTTTCTGGCTCTATAAATTTGCCTCTTCTAGATATTTCATACAAGTAGAGTCATACAACGTTTGTTCTTTTGTGTCTGGCTTATTTCATTTAGCATAATCTTTTCAGGGTCCATTTATATTGTAGCATTTATCACAACTTGATTCCTTTTTGTGGCTGAATAATATTCTATTATATGGATATAACACATTTTGTTTATCCATTCATCTGTTCATAGACTTGTGGGTGTTTTCTCCTTTTGGTTATCTTAAATAACGCTGCTGTGCATATTTGTGTACAAGTACCTGTTTCAGTCCCTGTTTTCAATTCTTTGGGGGTATACACCTAGGAATGGAATTGCTGGGTCATATTCTATATTTATCGTTTTGAGGCAATGATTTCTTAAGTATGACACTAAAAACATAGGAAACCAAAGAAAAAATAGATAAATTGGATGATTAAAATTAGAAAGTTTGTGCATCCAAAGACACTATTAAGAGAGTGAAAAGACAACTCACAGAATGAGAGAAAATATTTGCAAGTCATATATTTGATGAGTTTAATATCCAGAATACATAAAGAGTTCCTATATCTCAACAATAACAAGAAAAAACAACCCAACTTAGAAATGGGCTAAGGATTTGAATAGATGCTTCTCCAAAGACATACAAATGGCCAGTAAGCAATGAAAAGCTGCTCAACAGCATTAGTCATTACTGAAATGCAAATCAAAACCACAGTGAGGTGCCACTTTACACCTACTGGGATTGCTATAATTTTTATATAAAAAGGAAAATAAGAGTTGACAAGGATGGAGAGAAATCAGAATCCTGTATGTACCTTGTATTGTTGAGTTTTGAGAGTTCTTAATATATTCGAGATACAAGGCCTTTGTTGGATTTATGTTTTACGAGTATTTTCTCCCCAATATATAGATTTTAAATTAAAAAAAATTAACTTTTCTTTTCGGTTTGGGGGTATATGTGAGGATTTGTTTTATTGCTAAATTTGTATCACGGGGGTTTGTTGTAGAGATTATTTCATCACTCAGGTACTAAGCCTAGTACCCAATAGTTATTTTTCCTGCTCCTCTCCCTCCTCCCGCCCTCCACCCTCAAGTAGGCCTCAGTGTCTGTTGTTGCCTTCTCTGTGTTCATGAGTTCTCATCATTTAGCTCCCACTTACAAGTGAGAACGTGGTATTTTCGTTTTCTGTTCCTGCATTAGTTTGCTGAGGATAATAGCTTCCAGCTCCATCCATGTTCCTGCAAAAGATATAATCTCCCTCTTTTCTATGGCCACATAGTATTCCATGGTGTATGCATATTTAATACCACCTTTTCTTTATCCAGTCTGTCACTGATGAGCATTTAGTTTGATTCTATTTCTTTGCTATTGTGAATGGTGCTGCAATGAACATTGGCACACGTGTGTTTTTACGGTAGAATGATTTATATTTCTCTGGGTATATACTCAGTAATGGGATTGCTGGGTCAAATGGTAGTTCTGCTTTTAGCTCTTTTAGGAATCATCATACTGCTTTCCACAGTGGTTGAACTAATTTACACTCTCACCAACAGTGTATAAGTGTTCCCTTTTCTCCACAACCTCGCCAGCTTCTATTATTTTTTGACTTTTTAGTAATAGCCATTCTGACTGGTATGAGGTGGTATCTCACTGTGGTTTCAATTTGCATTTCTCTAATGATCAGTGATATTGAGCCTTTTTCATATGCTTGTTGGCAGCATGTATGTCTTCTTTTTAAAAGAGTCTGTTCATGTCCTTTGCCCCCTTTTTAATGGGGTTAATTATGGAAAAAATCAGAAAATGCTGAAAACTCTTAAGTCACCTAAAATCCATGCACACTGATTTTTAAATTGACAACATTGGCTTGTTGATACTGCAATCTTTTCTTTTGGCTTACTTCCTTTTCTTTCTCATCATTATGAATTATTTTAGTCTCCCAATTTTGAATATATCTTTGTTAATCTTTGAGGTGCCTACTGTCTATTATAGCTCCTACGCCTAAGGAAGCTAATTATAATTCAGTGCGTTGAAATGGGACTCTAGTATACTAGGCTTACATAAGGGAATTTACAGTCTTGTATATTTTCTCGTCTGTGAATAGTAATATTTTAGTAGCACTTGGGTAGGTTTTGTACATCTTTGAATCATACAATGGACAGTATTTTCATCAGTTATTCTAACATATTTACCTTCTATCATAGCTTCATCACTTTAATTTTCTTTTTTTCTTTAGGTACTCTTATATATGTATACATATTTATATCTCCTAGATGTGTGGGAAAATATCAAACTTTTTAACATTGGATTCTTTTTTCAACATGGTAATGATGTTTTAAATAATTTTAATTTCTATTATCACCAGTGGAAACCATATTTATTATAGAAGTTTCCGGTGATTAAAGAGAAGAAAAATTTTTAAATTACCTGAAATCCTACCACTCAGGAAAGACTGCTATTTATTATTTTATTGTAAATCCTTCAGGACCTTTAGAACATTTAAAATCTCTATTCCTCAATATTAAACTATCCTGTAGATCTTACTTGGTGTTAGTCATATCTCTGGGAGCAGAATCGGAGTGTCTGCACCCTGTGCTTGAGGGACTGAGGTATGACCAAGGGAACCTGAGGCATATGCCCGCTTTGCTTTTATGGCTTAGGCGTCTGTGTCCAGCAAATGCCCAACTTATGACCTAACCAGTGAATTGGTCTAGACTTTGCAGAAACCTCTATAACTCATTTTATATCCTCCTCCTACCCCTACTCCTCTCTGAGACTCTGGGCAGGGCCAGACCTGAGCCAACATCTTTTCCTGAGAACTGCCTCCTGGTCTTGCTTGGCCTGCCAAGGTCAGGCTGGATATCCCCCTTACAAACAGAAGGCACCCATAGTTTTTGTCTCTCCACACTAATCCCACCAAAGGGAAGGGATCTAGCAGCTGCAGCAGCAGCAGGAGAGAGAGAGAAAGGTACCTCTTGTGGTTCCATTCTTGGAAGCCGCTATCACCAGAGCTCTGGCCTATTGGGGCCTCAAGATGACTTCCCTCAATGCCTGCCAGAGCTCTCCCACTTGAGGTTAGAGGGAGGAGAAGAGGGTTGTAGCCACCTTTCCTGAAGACGGGTAGGATGACCTGCAGGTGATGTGAACTCCATTCCTGGCCTGTGAGGTATATAACCTACCCCCCTTGCCAGCCTCTGGAAAGGTCCAGGAGAGAGGGGGTGCATTCCCATCTTGTCACTGCTGTATTCTCAGAGATGTGCAGCAATGACTGTGGCCTCAGCAAGCCCTTCTTCTCCCACTCCAAAAAGCAGATTGAAATATAAAACTGACATCATTACAGGGATGGCCTTAAATTGCCTCTAGTTCATAAAAATAACCAAATTGATCTCCAACTTGTTGCTAGTATTGGTAAGAAAAAAAAAACATAGGGCTCATTCTACGATTGATTCAGGTGTATCAGTATATCTCAGTTTTGTCACATCATAAGCCTTGCCATCTCTTAGAACTGCATAATTTCTGCATTCCTGAGCTCTGATGCCCTAGTCCATCAACTTAGTTACGATCATCTTTTTCTTACTGATCTTGCGCACCTCCTTCCTGGCCCTCTTGTCAATTCATTTACCCTATGACTGAGACAGAGTGGTCTTTCTGAAGGGTACATCTGTTCCTGGTCCTCCCTGGCTCACCAGTGTTACCAGGATGGCAGCTAGGGCCATGATGGGCTGGTCTCTGCTTACTAGTTCTCTAGCCTCATGTCCTCTCCCCCCAGCCATTCTAAGCCTCTAGCACTTCCCAAAAGGCCTTTCCTGCCTCCATGCCTTCCCTACATATCATTCCTTCTACTACAGTGTTCTTTCAATTGTTCTTCAGAGTCAAACTGAGCATTTCTCTCTTTTGAGAAAAGTTCTCTGCCTTATGGAGGGCAAACCTCTAGTATAGCTGTGCCAACTGCGAATTTATTGTCCTCTCCTAGGACTACACTGCAAATATTTTGAAAGAGATTGTGGTTTATGTGGTTTTGCATCCTTAGTGTCTGAATAGAGATATTTGCTGAATCAATAAGTATAATTAAAAACCTACACATATGTTTTCATCCTTCACCTGTGTTTAAACAAACACATATTTAAAACAAATTTCTTCTCAATATTTCTGTCGAATGGATCACATTATACTACCATATTTGTTTTTCCCCCACTGAGAGGAAATCTTCATAAGCATGAGCTCCAAATAACATTTCTTTGAGGTGACTGTCTTAAAAATACAGCATGAGAACATTTTCGAACACAGGAGTTGACCCCTTTTGACACTCATGATTTCTCTCGTTATCAGAATCAAAATATGAATACACATGGTTGGATGATCCTTCGACATTGATATAACTCTGCCTTTTAATATCATTGCCTGACTCAGTTAACCCCTGAACGTTTTATTAATCATTCTTTCACATTCTCTCTACTGGATTTTCTTCCCCTGTAACTGATTTCAGTCTTCACCAGCTCTTTGAAAGCATCATGATTAAGGCCACGCCTTTGCCACATCTGGCCTTGTCTCCATTTATACTTTGAATAAACTACGGCATTACTTCCCAAACTTGAGCATGGTGCGTCAGAATTCTCTGGAGGGCTTGTGAAAACATGCCTGGCTGGGCTCCAGCCCCAGAATTTCTGATTCATTAAGTTTGGGGTGGGGTTGAGAATTCACATGTCCGAGCAGGTACCCAGGTGATGTTGATACTGCTGATTTGAGAGCGTACTTTGAGACTCACTGCTCTACTAACCTGCCTAGCGCCGTTTGCTAATTTTCACAGCTGTAGCCTCTTAACTGAACACCTGTTGATTCCGCCGCACACGGGCTCTGGGACCAGTCTGTGCTGGGAAGGAATATAAGGCCTTTAGTTGGCTCAGTAACATATAACTTTGCTACTGATTCCATATGGGTCACAGACCTGGGCCTTTGCTCAGAGTTCCAGTCCTCACATTTTAGACCTTCTTGGATTTCTTGCCGCACATACGATTTCCTCTGGGAGTAGGATGCTTTTATTTCCCTTGCCCAGTTCTTTCTGGAAGCTGAAGATCAGCAGGTATGTTCACATCTCACACCTAGGCATCTCCCTGCTTGCCTAGTTCTCCATCTGTGGCCCAACGCTCACACTGGCATTCTTTGTTTGCCTGTGCTGATTTCTTCCGGTTGCCCGTTGTTAAGACTTTGAGGTTTGCCTGCTCTGTGCCAGTGAGTCTGTCTGGTCTCCAAGACCTCATTAATTCTTATCTCGCATTCTTCAATGCTAGCTGAGCTTGACTTTAGCAAGTACCTCAGGCTACCTTGTTCTCTGCTATTCTATTCAAACATTGACTTCTTTATTCAGTTGATCAGCTTCGTTGCTGTTTCTATGACTGCTGCTGGCTCTTTTCCCTTCTTGATTTCTATATATGTTTCTGGGCCCATTGAACCCAGCCTCCATTACCCTCACACCGTGAGACTCAATGTTGGCTTGTTCCTTCTTATGTGAATGATGACTTTCCTGGCAAGATCACGCAAGTCGACTATAAGGTTCTAGTTGCCATCTACATGCATATCTTGTATCAAAGTAAATCACAAATTATATTCTGTCTTTTTTAAAACCTCTGTCAATGATGTCTATGGGTTTGCTACTCAAAATGTAGTCAGAGGTTCAGCAGCATCAGCATGTTGGGAGAGCTTTATGAAGAACCTCAGGCTCCACCCTGGACTTGCTGAATTAGAACCCACATTCATTTTCACAAGATTTCCAAGTGACTTATATGCACATTGGAAAGAAGTGATCCATGGCATATCTTCACCTTCTTGAGGCATTCTCTATTTGCCAGTCAAAATTGGTCTTCCCTTTCCTGCCCTCCTTCTAAGGCAAGGGAAGAAATGGCCAAGGTGACCCTCCTGTCAACCTGGAGTGAATTTATCTCTTCCTCTGAAGATACCGTGGCTTTGATGCCCTTTCTGGCTAGGCAATTTTGATCATGGAAAATAAAAAGATTTCTTTATGCCAAAACTTCTGAGCCTCTCTTTGAATATCCTGGACGGTAAGTGAAAACATCAATAGACAACCCGATGAGCAGGTGCTTGCTTGATTTACTGCTCTCTTCTTGAATCCTTTTGTTAGAACCCAAAGTAGAAAATAAAAACAAAGTGACAAACTCTTTGTTTCAGCTTGCTTCTTTACCATGCTGGACAGCCTGTTCCACCCCAGTGAGAGCTCACTGGCAGGGTAAGACTGAAGGCTACTGAATACTCCATGGTGAGGCAGATGCTGTCTATAAGTCTAAGCCATGAGCCCTCAGAGCACCCACCCTAGAGACTCGTAATAATTTATTATGAGAAATTCCTCATTACCTCTTGATCTTCTGAGGAGTGGAAAATCAAAAAATATGGGTCGTAGACACAGAACAGCTTGGAATGGCTTTGTGACCTTGATTGATTTCTTCACTTGTGTGTGTGTGTGTGTGTGTGTGTGTGTGTGTGTGTGTGTGTGTGGTTTTTTTTTTTCCTTTTCTCTGCACATTTGGAGTTGAATCCTAAGCCTAGGAATTAGACTTCTTGTCCCAACGAGATAGGTAACAGGTGAAGTTCAGGGTGATCTGCTTCCTGTCTGTATTGTAAATCTATAGCCTCATTGTCATGGTCAGAAATAAAGCAGAGGCTAAAGGCCTACTTGTGTGGGAGAAGCAGAAAAGCTGAAGCCCTGTCTGCCTGCCATATTTGCTGGCTAATTAAAATACCTACAGTGGCCAAGCAAGTTATATAAATAAAGGAAGTGGCCCAGGAGTGGTGATAGAGAAGAGTGAGGACTGTGGTGAATGGGACAGCATATGCCTTGTCTAAAGAAGACAGCAGCTAAGGAGAACCAGCAGATTGGTGCCATGTAAGAAGGTAACATATAGCTGCACGATCTGAACTTCTGAGTTCAAGAGAAGCCAGAGTTCTAGGGAATTTCTCTCCCTCCCTCAACCCATGTGAGATAACAAATTATTTGAAAAGTTGTGAAATGTTTTGAATTTTTCTTTAGGTTGAATTTGGCCTGAAAGTCCCAATTTTGACTCCTCGACTATAGCAAATTGAGTAAGGAACTAAACATTGAGCTTATTGGCTGTTGATAACCATTTATTGATAGGGATTTGTCTTGTTCAGAGGCTTTTGATCCAACTCTCTAACTTGGGTTTACTTATGTCTTAAGTAGCACATAACGATTCAACAACAGATATTTTAATGTTCCCTAAAATAGAACTCAGGGTTTTGTTCCAAGAATGGTGCAGAAATGGATCTAGATGTGTATATACTATATTGGATTCTGTCCTTCGCTCTTATGTTTTTTCCTGCAACAATTACTTTAAAATTAAAGAATTTAACCCGACGATATTAATGACACATAGTATTCATACAGATTTGTGGTATTTCTAATTTGAGCATAGGAAAACAGAGTAAACACCACCAGTTGAACAATAATGAGTAAATCTAGTGAACTACTGTGATTCTAAATTTTAGACACTGCTATTTTTCTCCAGTGATAATGTTGACTCATTCTTCCAAAACTCAACAAAAGAAAAGTGTAAGAATGAAGCAGAAGACAAACTTCAACTGAGCGAAAGAAATATTAAAAAGTGAACAATGCCTTCTCTACCCCCGTTCTGTGGCCCGTGCTGCTCTGGGGTCCTATAGCCTGAAGAGGGAAGAAGATAAACAAGAAGATACATATAAATGTGAAAATACTTAAATAATATGGAAAACTCCAAGTTAGTCAGTGAAATCTTGTAAAAGCTTAAGAAAATTCTTCATAATTATTAGCTCAAGGTTTGAAGACTTCCTTGCTTATTAGCTTTAAGGATTCTAACACTAAAATCAACAAATGTCAGCATAAGCAGACCATATTATTTTTTCTTAAATCAAGGGCCAACTAATATCTATTTCGACAACTTTAAATGTCTAAAGTTTTTAATCAAAATCCATTCTTATGGTCTGGATTGTGTCATCTTTTCTGAGGGTTTGGTACGTTTAATTTCCAAAAAGTTTAAAAAAGTTTCTAAGAAATAAAGTCTCCACTAAAAAATGGAACTGAATACTTCATACTGGGAGAGGCTAGGAACCTTTAAGTTTAGAAGCTCTTTAAATTCTTCTCAGCCAGGCAGAACCACCACCCGGCTAAAGCAACCTAGATCTGTGTATTCTTGCTCTGTCTTTATGCCATGTAACTGGCTCTTAGGGGATCTATTGTACTGCCTATCTTATATTGAAAGACTTTTGGTCACCTTGAGCCTGCCTTGTTCTAGAATACTATGTAACTACATGTGACAGCTACACCCCTCCCATAGGCATCCTGAAACAACCAGAAGGCTTTTTGCAACATTTACCATCTTCCTTAGACTTCTGAGCTACTGTATCTCTGCATTTCAGTATTAGATTCCCCTTATTCTAAAGCTCAGACATTATCTAAGTAGCTGGTAATACTTTCTCCAAAATGATATACTTTTAACCTATGCCAAGACTCTCTATAATTGTCAGGACCCATGATTTTTGCCTTCAAATTATTTTGGTTCCAAGGACTTTTAAACAAGTCTGTTTTCACTAAAATCATCTGTCCTTTCTCATTCTAGAAAGTTTCACATCTTGTCCTTCAAACAAGTCGACATCTGTCTCCTTGTAGCTAGCTGGTCAGATAGAATGGATCAGTTATAGAGACGAAAATATGCCTACTACTTTGCTGCTCAAAAAAAAAATAATAACTGGAGTTTCTTCTATGACCAAACTATGAGTTTTGACTACTGTCATTCACTGATGCCAGTCTTAATCAATGCCCTTATGCTTTTACCTGTCTGAGATCCATGATGCTCATGTTTACCTGTAGCTCATCCTCCACTGGACAGAGCCCAATATAAATGAGCCACCTAGTGATTTATTCTTGGAACTCCAGTATGTGAGCACTTAGCACGGCCACCCAGCACTCTCCTCAATTCTGCCTCCTGATATCTTGCTCTCACACTCTATTAGTAACTACTTCCAACCCCAGAGAGTGAGTCCAATAAGAAGCATTACATAAAAGCCATATTTGACATCTACAGAACTCTGTAGGCCATTAGAGCATGGTGAGTGGACATTTGCCTCACACGTGTGAACTCCTGGTGGTCTCTTCTCTCGGCTATTCTGTGAATACCAAGATTATCCTGAGGACAGGAATAAAGAGAAGTCAGAGTTGTATTATTCTCTCAAAAATAACCATGTTATTTTTGTCCTTAGAACTGGAACAGGTCTTTGGGTTGCAGATGTGGGGCTTATAAAAGTAGATCTATATATTCTCAGTACTAGTGGCAGTACGAATTAGTGTACTATATATGCAAAGAAATTTGGCAGTTGTCCATGTAGTAATTCCCTTTCTAGGAATGTGTCATAGGGAAATTATGTTAATGTAAATAAAGGTATCTGTACAAGACTGTTGATTTTATTGGTACTGAAAATCATAAGAAATAGACACCAACCAAATAGAATGGTTACCTTATAGAATTATTCTGTGGAGTATTAGGTACTCATTAAGAATCATGTATTTGGAAAATATTTGGGAAAAATAATCATGTTATTGTAAATAAGGAAGATATAAAAGTAAAGTATGATGCTATCTGTGTAAAATTACACATAGCATTTATTTAACTTTTTTCCTCACAGGTTGTCATTAGGTGATAAGTTGTCACTGTTTTCTTTCTTTTCTACTGTTCTTTTTGAATTGCTTTCAGAATCAGAAAGTAATATGAAAAAGTTATTTGAATGATCTGCTCCCTTATCTTCAGGTCACGTGAACATAGCCTGGCATTGTTGATACGCCAGAGTGTGGGAGAGCTGGCTGTTACGGTGGCTAAAACCTCGTGTACATGGGTTTGATTTAACCTGTCGTCATCATGAATTGTCCTCAGCATGGAACAGTGGGAGTAGTGATGGTAGATGGCATAAAAAAGAGTCCAGGGGGAAGGTTTTAGTTCCGGAACTGTGCTCGTTATCTAAGCATAGTTTCTTCTTTCCCTTCCCTAGTCTTCCTTCCTAAGTCCCTACATAGGAACTACCTCTTGCGAAATGCCCAGGACTTAGTCTGTGGTGAATGATTAGCTGTTGTATGTCAGTTGTTCATGGTAGGGTTATTAGCAAGACCTGAGTGATTTGTTGACATCCCATCAAAGCCAGCTGTGGCTCAGGATGGGGCTCCACATTGCAGGGGATGATTGAACACCTAAAGAGGTGGTTAAGGCAGAAGAACAATTATATAACAAGCTAATTTTTAGGGATCGGTTGCTAATGTATTTAAATGGCCTATTCAATCTTACAATTCTATATTCTGGTTTTACTAACATGCCCCCTATTACCAAGGGGATATGTAAATTTGGTAGGGTTGCTAGATAAAATATAGGACCCCTAGTTATTTGTGCATTTCAGATACACAACAAATAATTTTTAAATATAAGTATGCTCCAAATATTGCATGAGGCATACATATACTGGCAAATTATTCATTGTTTATCTGAAATTCAGATTCAACTGAGTTTCTTTTATCGTTATTTGTTAAATCTACTCTAAACTTTGGGTGACTTATTTTGCTAAGAAGTGGCTGATACAGGGCTTGAAGGTAGTTTTGATGGCGTAAAAAGTGTGTTCTGTTAACCATGTGCCCTGCTGCCCATTTTTCCCAGTTGCGTGCGAGAATTACGCTGAATCTAATGAAGTGCTGACTGACTCATTCAGGATTGTCTGTGGGTCTTTTCATGGTTGTATCTGTTGCTCAGGTTGACAAGTTGAACCTTATCATTTAGGTTTCTATACCCTTGTTTTGTCATCTGTCCTCCCTAACCTTCTCCTTTTAACAACTTTATGCAGATATAATTCATATACCATAAAATTCACCTACTTTAAGTGTACAATTCAATTACTTTTAGGAAAATTGGAGTTGTGCAACCGTAACCACAGCCTCAGAGGCTGGAAAAAAATACCTTAAATGACCCTGCTCATAGTGTAGTAATAAAAAAGGAAGATGGAAAAAGTCACATAATGGCCTTACTAGTCCTTAAAAGCTAATTTTGTTGTAATCCATTGGACTAGGGACTGAGAAGGATCATAGTTCGCAGAGGGAACTGAGACATCAGATCTGATCTTCTACAGGCACCCACAGCCACTTAGGAAGTTGGAGTCCTGGAGAGGAGAACACAGAACGTGGACAACTAGCTGTCAAATTGCAGTAAAAGTTGGTTCAGGAAAAGTGGAAGCTACCCAGATGTCTACCAATTGGTGAGTGCATAAACAAACGTGGTATGTTCACACAATGGTATATTATTCAGCAGTGAAAGGGAGCAAACTACTGACATATGCTGTTCATGGAAAAACCTCAGAAGCATTATTTGAAGTGAAAAAGCCAGGCGCAAGAGGCTACATAGTGCATGATTTTGTTTATTTAAAATGTCCAAAAAAGGTAACTGTAGAGACAGAAAGTAGATTCGTAGTTGCTTAGGGCTGGGGGGTGGGAGGGGTGAATAAATGTAAATGGGTGTGAAGGATCTTACTAAGGGCATGGAAGTGTTCCAAAACCGGATTGTAGTGATGGTTGTTGATATCTCTGTTAACCCATTGGGGCAGAATCTCCTAAGAAAATCATAGACCAAAAGCTTGGCTGTTTAAATACAGATTGCATCTGATTACAATAAAATGCGTCTAATTGTTTTGTGGCAGCAAAATCTGATAGCAACCTTTAAACTGTGGAGTCATTAAGTGACTGTTGTAAGTCTTGTTTGTTACGGTGATTTTCATTAAAGTGATTTCAAAGAGAGCTGGACTTGGAGAAGGCAGTAAACACCTTGGCGTGGGCAGCGTAACTGTGAGTCTGGGTTCAGCCACTGACTGGGTTTGTTGCTACATAGGTCATTTAACTGCACTTAAGCTCAGTTTTCTCCTTAGTAAAGCAATACTTGTAGGCTTTTTGTGAAGAATAAATAATTGATGTATATGAAAGCACACTACGAACTGTAAAACTTATTCAAGAGTGAATGATCTTAATATGGCATAAATTCTGTAATTAGAACCTCCTGATTTCTTAAAAGAACTAAAATGAATAAAAATATGAGCTGTTTTAAAGATAAACTGTTGTGTTTTAAAACATCCCTCTAAGATTCCTAAGATTCCTTTTTGTTTTGCTCAGGAAAGTTTAGTGACTTGCTTTAAAGGTTTGGCCATATTCAAATGCCTGTTGGTTGTGTTAAGTCTTGCTGCTTTCTTAAAGGAAATGTAAGCCAAAGAAAATCAAACATGTGCGCACAATAAAGCACTTAAAACTATTTGTTTTCTGAGATGGACGTTTTCAGAACATGACTACACTGACGTCTGGCAAATCTTAATTTCCATGTTGAAGGAAATTGCCTTAAAGACAAGGCTATAAATGATGACAAATTTGAAGGACATTCGGTGCAAAGCAAGGGATGAGGATTTGCGCAATATGGCATTCATAGAAATAATTTGTATTCATATAATGACTGACTTTTATATTTTGAGGCATTTATAGATTAATTTTCTTTGATTGACAGACAGAGGTGGAGAGATTATATAATTTACTTTTTGATTAAAAAGATGAAGCGTAGTAAAATTTAGCATTTTACTCAACAACCAGTTGGGCACTTCCAGAGAACCTTTTAGACTCCCACACTTAAGACTATTTTCTAGTTGATTGAATCGTGCCTTCTCTTACCATGAGAGTATCCCAAGTGCTTTTTAAAACATGAGTTTTAAAAATTCGGGAACTAATTTTACATATGGGCCACAAAACCTGGAGTTGTGCCAAATGTAAGCCCCAAACTCATCCACTCAGAGGAGGTCATTTTGGGAAGTATGCATCTTGTATAACTTGCATAACTGGTTGGAGATAACCATGGACAAAATGTAGCATAGATATTAAAAGATGGAAAACAAAGTAGATATGTTCTAGAAGAAATTCCAACCTTTATCTAATAGATTTTTCAAAACCAGAAAGAGGTACATAGAGGGAGCAATAGTTGAAGATGAGACTGAAGGACATTCTCAGATAGAAGACGTCCAAATTTGAGCAGGATCCAAAAAATATATCTAGACTTATTTGAATAACGTTTTAGGACATCATAGGTGAAAAGAGAAGCATAGAAGCTACAGGGGTGGGAGTGGAGGGGGAGATATTATCTACAAAGGAAGAAGCAATTGACAATAAATAACAACAAATCTTTGAATCCCAGTGGAATTATATAAAAATCAAGGATGGTTAAAGTTTCTTGTTTGTGGTGGAGGAAGGAATAGGTAATGGTTAACTTAATCTTTGGTAACAAAACATAAATTTAAGTATGTATGTTAACAATTTAAAGGTAATCCCTAAAAGTAAAGAAATAGACTATGGCTTTTAATTGGTAATGGGGAGAAAAACATGAAGAAAAAAATACTATCAATCCAACTGGAGGCAGGAAAATGGAAATAAAAGGCAAACCTGTTAAACAGAAAAGAAATGAAGTGGCAGAATTAAGTTCAAATGTAGTAATTACAAACATGCAAGTGGACTACGATCTTCAGTTAAGAGTCTCAGACTGGAATATAAAATCCAATTACAGTTAGGCACTGCATAATGACATTTCAGTTAATGACCGACCAAATATACATTGTTGGACAAATGAGATTATAATACCATTTTTTACTTTACTTTTCTATGTTTAGATACACAAATACCATTGTATTCCAATTGCCTATAGTATTTAGTACAGTAACATGCTGTACGGGTTTGTAGCCTAGGAGAAATAGGCTCTACCATATAGCCTAGGTGTGTGTAAATATATCTACATTTATGATGTTTGTACAAGAACAAAATTGCCTAACCACTCATGTCTCAGAACATATCTCATTGATAAATGACGCATGACCATATAGACAGTTTACAAGAGAACATCTACAATGTAACAAATATATAATAACTAATCTTAGCCCAAAAGTAGGAAGCTTGAGTTAAAAAGTCAATAAAACATCAAAACACTGATTTAAAATACAACCCTCTCTCCTCAAAATAACTTGAACACCAAAGAATTTTATGTCTAAATTTTACCAAAATGTAAAGGAACAGACATACCCTTCTACAAAATTTGCCATAGAATACATCTAGAGTAGAATTTATAAAACTTATTTTATATGGGTATAACTAATGCCAGTAAGGTCAATTGAAAATTAGAGGTCAGTCTCACTTAAGGACATCGATAAGAAAACTCAAATAAAAAATTGGAAAAATAGCAAAGCTGTAAAAATAAGTGACAGCTTATACCAGCAATACAAGATGTTTAAATACTATTAAGGCTATCAGTGGAATTCACTATGTTAGCAAATGAAAAGAAAACAGATATATACATTTACTCTAATCAATGGCAAAAGGAGAGATACAATTTCAAAACCCATTAGTGATACAATCTCATAGTGAACAGAAATAAAGATTCAGCAAAGATGGTAATTCATGCTGACAAGAAGTATTGCCATTGAGGCTGGATCTGAGACATGATGAAGATGTCTCTGCTTCTCCTACTATTTAATATTGTACGGGAGGTCCTCATAATATGATACAACAGGGAAAAGAAATAAGAAGTATAAAGACTGTAACAGGAAAGAAGGCACAATTTCATTATTTTCAAACCATTTACAGAAAATTCAAGAGGATAAACCTATGCTGTAAAACTAGTAAGAGAGTTCAGTCAGATTTCTTGAGATAGGATTAGCATAAAAAATTACTATTGTGCCCATACACCAGTAGCAACCAATTAAATAGGTAAGAAGTAAGATCCTATTCAGTATAGCAACAACAATACAAACCTAGTAAAACTACACAGCCAATCAAATATATATAATATCTTTAAGGAAAAAATATAAAACTTTGTTAAAAGACAAGAAATATCTAAGTAAATGCAGATACAAGCTACATTATTCAGCTGGAACACTTTTTCCAAATGAATCTATGAATTTATTGTAATACCAAAACTCCCACTGAGATTTTTAATGGAACTGGCCAGATTCTACAATCCTTATAGAATAGTAAATGGGCAGAAAAGACGTGTTTGTAAAAGGAACTTACCAAACGTTAAGACACATTGTTAAGTGGCTATAGTAATGAGCATAGCATGCTGTTGGTGCAGGAAGAGACAGGTAGATCAGAATCAGAATGGAGAACATGGAAACAAATGGAAAATTGTTCCAGGAAGAAAATGACATTAAAAATCAATGAAGAAATGATGAGCCATTCAATAAATCATGTTAGGAAAATGACTTTGACATTAAAAATAGACTGCTTTCTCACACCGTTCACAAAAATTTCCAGATAAATTACATGTTTAGTTTTTTTTTTTTAAAGAACCTTTAAAATATAAGAAATTGTAGTATATCTTTTTTTTTTAAATTGAGGTAGAGCCTCACTGTGTTGTCCAGGCTGCAGTGCAGTGGTGCGATCTCGGCTTACTGCAGCCTCCACCTCCTGGGTTCAAGTGATTCTTGTGCCTCAGCCTCCCAAGTAGCTGGAATGGCAGTTGTGCACCACCACGCCTGGCTAATTGTATTTTTAGTAGAGATGAGGTTTCACCATGTTGCCCAGGCTGGTCTCGAACTCCTGGCCTCAAGTGATCCGCCTGCCTCAGCCTCCCAAAGTGCTGGAATTACAGGCGTGAGCCACCACACCTGGCTGTAGTATAGTATCTTTATGACCATGATGAATGGGAGACTTTAAAAATACAAATCACAAAAAGCACAATATGTAAAAAGAAAACAATATATTTGACTACGTCAATGTAGAGACTTTTGCAAGTCAAAGGACACTACTGTATACAAAATTTAAGGAAAAACAACAGATGGGGAGAAACACTTTTACCATATGTGACAAATAATTAGTATCCAAAAATGCATAAAGAACCCCTATACCTCAATAAGAAGAGAAAAAATATGGAACAGAAAAATGGGCAAAGGTTGCCCAGGCAATTCAGAAAAGAAATCCAAATATTTAATACATTCTGTGAAAAGAAGTTCATCCTGACTATTAACCAGCAAAATGTCATTTCTTCATTCATTGGAATGACCAAACTTTTAAAGTCTGAAAATACTCAGAATATGAGGAAACAGGTCCTCTGATGTACACTGCTGGTGAGCATGTAAAAGAATTGAAAAGGCTTTGGGTGGCAAAAGTTACAAGTGGAATACGTGAACCTTAATGACCTAGAAATTCCACCTTGAGCTACATGCCTTATATGCTCACACTGGTGTACAAGGATGGAATAAAGATGCTCCTTTCAGGCCTATTTGTGCTAATAAAATATTGGAAACAAATGTCTGTTTAAAGAAGAACAGGCCGGGCATGGTGGCTCCTGCCTGTAATCCCAGCACTTTGGGAGGCCGAGGCAGGCGGCTCACTTGAGGCCAGGAGTTCGAGACCAGCCTGGCCAACATGGTGAAACCCACCCCCCTACTAAAAATATAAAAATTAGCCAGGTAATCCCAGCTACTCGGGAGGCTGAGGCAGGAACATCGCTTGAATCTGGGAGGCGGAGGTTGCAGTGAGCCGAGATCACGCCACTGCATTCCAGCCTGGGTGACAGAGAGAGACTCCGTCTCAAAAAAAAAAAAAAAAAAAAAAAAAAAAGAAGAATAAATAAATAAAATGTGGTCTGTTTACAAAATGGCATAACAAACTGCAGTTAAAGGGAAAAGAAGTAGATATCTTTGTGCAATCAATGTGGACAGATGCATACTAGCTCCTGGTAATGCTTGCTCTGTGGAAGGGAAGATGATGGATATAACTGGGGTTGGAGACCCAAGGGGATTGTTTTTTAATCTAAATGTGTGTTTTTTTTTTTTAAAGAGGATATAATGCATATAATTTTGGCGCAGTGAAAATACATATGCTTAGGAAAAAAGAGAATGCAAATTGAAAACTAGATTGAATTTAGAAACTGCTTTTACTTGCTTTGTGTCATTTGAGCTCTACACTGCCTTGAGAAATAGGCACTAGTTGTTTTTCTGTTCCAAATGATAACATGGAAGCTCAGGGTGCACATGACATGGCTAGGGGTTTGTCGTTAAGAGAAGATTCCAGGCTTTCTCTTTTTTCCCTCTAGTGCTTATTTTCCTGAAGTTGAGTCAATTGTTGCCGGTAGTGGAGTTGGGTTTCCTTTGTACTCTCAGCTGTTTTCCATGGTGACCATTGGGTATGTGGGTAGGGCTGTGCTTACAGATGGGAATCAAGTTGAGAGGCCCATGTAAGGACCAGACTTCCAACACCCCTTTCTCATCCACCCGGTTACAGAACAATTGGTGACAAACAGTGGTTGATAAAAGAAACATGCCTGGTTTCCCTTTACACCTTATTTTGTCAGACTTCACAAATTTCAGTATAAATGTGGTAATAATAACTAACATTGGTGAGAGCTGGCAGAGCATACTGGTAGTATTATTTTTAAGAAGCAAGTGCAAGTGCTTAGAGGAAAGAGCAGGGAAAGGAGAGAAGCTGAAGCTTATATTTGTAGATGGTAAAAGAAGCTTAGGAAAAGAGAAGCTAGAGTTTCTGGTTACCATGAGCAACTCTTTAAGTTATACATTTCTCACCTTTGAGCCTGATTTTCCTCAGTAGGAAGTGTAAGTTTCTATCAATAAAGGAAATAGTTCTGGAAAGATTCTGCACTTATCAAAGTGTATAGTATTGTAGGCAAAATTATAGCTATGAAAGAATTTTAAGAAATTTTATAGTGCATTTAAAATAAAAATAATTTTGACTAATACGTTTTCTATAATTATACATTGTTTTAAAGAAGAACTTTGAACTTTTTTGAATTGAAAGAAAAAGGGCAGAATCTAGTGGATTTAGAGTCTGGTAAAATTTCAATGGACTCTCTCTCTCTCTCTCTACATATATATATACATATGTTATATTCTCCCTTCTTTGTGAATAAGGCATATATTTTCTCTCAAGGGGTTTGCACTATTAACCTATAAAAATTATTAGACCCAAGAAAGCATTTTAGAGAAAAAATAAATATTGGTATATGAGCTTCTTATAAGTGTCTTAATGAAAGATTTTTCATCCGTAACGTTTGGCAAGGGGAAGTGGCCAGAAATTCACTTTGAAATGAAAGAAAAATTTGCCAGCTCTGAGTTTTATTAAATATAATTTTATTTCAATCTAAGTGACCACTTATGACACATGGAAAAAATGATATATAATCTGTATCATGAGCCAAGACTTGTCAATGAATAATACATGGCACCTTATGAATTTAAAAAGTTATATTTAATAAAAAGAATATAAAAATTTATTTTACAGTGCAGATAACTACTGTATTAGTATCCCACACAAAGTGATTAAAAATATGCCATCTCATGAATACAGTAATGAAAAGTGAGAGAAAAATTGTAAGACATAACCTGGTATAATAATTTGTTCAACAACCTCAAGAACATTCAAATTTTTCATTTAGTTGTTTAAAATTATTCACAAACAAGGGATATTGAAGTACATAATGCATGTGAAGTATCTGAGAGGGGAAGTTAGTTTTTGCTAACTCATTTGTTAAGATACATTAATTAATTCAATTAACTTTTGTTTTGAGTAGCAATTCTGTTCCTGGGGTGAAGCTGGAGGGCATAAGTGAACAAGATAGAGTCCCGTGAGGAGCTGAAAACCTAGCAGGGAAAATTTTTTATAGATACAAGCGATCATAATTCATTGTGATAAATACATATCCTATGGCTTCCCCATTTAAAAGCAAAATAAGCAAAAGTCAACTTTGAAGCATCCATTGTACTTAAAAAGTCCTACTTTCCTTAGATTGGCTTTCCAGACCCTTCTCATAAATCTCTCTCTTCTGAGGTTCTTCTCCAACACCCCACCCTCTCTCCCATGGCTCCTCCCTTTGCTCTGGAGGGAAACACTGTATCTGCCAAGGCTATTTGCTGTATAGCTCCAGGACTAGGATGAGGCAAGTGAAGTGCCCAAGACTCACCATTTTAAAAGTGTTTGCTCTGAGGTGCTGACGATTCTGGGCCAGTTGAACTAGCACAACCTGGAAGCATGTGCCTCTTTTATTTATTTATTTTTTTGGAGACAGGGTCTCACTCTGTCCCCTAGACTGGAGTTCAATGGTGTGATCATAGCTCACTGCAGCCTCGAATTCCTGGGCTCAAGCGATCTTACTGCCTTAGACTCCCAAGTGGCTAGGACTATAGGTGTGCACCACCGTGACTCTTTTTTGTTTTTTACATTTTTTTCAACTTTTATTTTAAGTTCAGGGGTGCATGTACAGGATTTGCAGGTTTGTTACACAGGTAAGTGTGTGCCATGGTGGTTTGTTGCACAGATCATCCCATCACCTAGGTATTAAGCCCAGTGTCCATTAACTATTATTCCTGATGCTCTCCCTCCTCCCACACTCCCTTCTGACAGGCCACAGTGTGTGTTGTTCCCCACCATGGGTCCATGTGTTTTCATCATTCAGCTCCCACTTATAAGTGAGAACATATGGTGTTTGGTTTTCTGTTCCTGCGTTAGTTTGCTGAGGATAATGGCTTCCAACTCCATCCATGTCCTTGCAAAGGACATGATTTGGTTCCTTTTTACGGCTGCATAGTATTAAATGGTTTATATGTACCACATTTTATTTATCCAGTCTATCATTGATGGGCATTTAGGTTGATTCCATGTCTTTGCTATTGTGAATAGTGCTGCAATGAACATATGCGTGCATGTATCTTTACAATAGAATGATTTATATTACTTTGGGTATATACGCAGTAATGGAATCGCTGGGTCAGATGGTATTTCTGCCTCTGGGTCTTTGAGGAATTGCCACACTGTCTTCCACAATGATTGAACTACTCTACACTCCCACCAAGAGTGTAAAAGCTTTCCTTTTTCTCTGCAACCTTGCCAGCGTCTGTTATTTCTTAACTTTTAATAATAGCCATTCTGACTGGCATGAGATGGTAGCTCAATGTGGTTTAGATGTGCATTTCTCTAATGATTAGTGATGTTGAGCTTTTTTTTCATGTTTGTTGGCTGCATGTATGTTTTCTTTTGAGAAGTGTCTGTTCCTGTCCTTTGCCCACTTTTTAATGGGGTTGTTTGTTTTTTCCTTGTAAATTTAAGTTTCTTGTAGACTCTGGATATTAGACCTTTGTCAGATGGATAGATTGCAAAGATTTTCTCTGATTCTGTAGGTTGTCTCTTCACTCTGATGCTGTGCAGAAGCTGTTTAGTTTAATTAGATCCTATCTGTCAACTTTTGCTTTTGTTGCAGTTGCTTTTGGTGTTTTCATCATGAAATCTTTGCCCGTGTCTGTGTCCGGAATGATAGTGTCTAGATTTTCTTCTAGGGTTTTTACAGTTTTGGGTTTTACATTTCAGTCTTTAATTCATCTTGAGTTATTTTTTCTATATTGTGTAAGGAAGGGGTCCAGTTTCAATTTTCTGCATATGGCTAGCCAGTTCTCACAGCACCATTTATTAAATAGGGAGTCCTTTCCTCACTGCTTGTTTTCGTCCGGTTTGTCAAAGATCAGATGGTTGTAGGTGTGCGGTCTTATTTCCGAGTTTTCTATT
Organism: Homo sapiens; assembly: GCF_000001405.40. Lineage (NCBI taxonomy): Eukaryota > Metazoa > Chordata > Mammalia > Primates > Hominidae > Homo > Homo sapiens. The sequence goes on along the minus strand of NC_000023.11, from coordinate 23,260,722 downwards.
CTGTACCATTGGTCTATGTGTCTGTTCTCATACCAGTACCATGCTGTTTTGGTTACTGTAGCCTTGTAATATAGTTTGAAGTTGGGTAGCATGGTGCCTGCAGCTTTGTTCTTTTTGCTTAGGATTGTCTTGGCTATTCAGGCTCTTTTTGGCTCCATATGAATTTTGAATTCTTTTTTCTAATTATGTGAAGAATGTTAATGGTAGTTTAACGGGAATAGTATTGAATCTATAAATTACTTTGGGCAGTATGGCAATTTTCATGATATTGATTCTTCCTCTCCATGAGCATGGAATGGTTCTCCATTTGTTTATGTCCTCTCTGATTTCTTTGAGCAGTGGTTTGTAGTTCTACATGAAGTCCTTCACTTCCCTTGTTAGCTGTATTGCTAGGTACTTTATTCTCTTTGTAGCAATTGTGAATGGCAGTTCATTCATGATTTGGCTCCCTGCTTGTCTGGTGTTGATATATAGGAATGCTAGTGATTTTTGCACATTGATTTTGTACTCTGAGACTTTGCTAAAGTTACTTATCAGCTTAAGAAGCTTTTGCGCTGAGATGATGGGGTTTTCTAGATATAGTATCATGTCTTCTGCAAACAAAGATAATTTGACTTCCTCTCTTCCTATTTGAATACCTTTATTTCTTTATCTTGCCTGATTGCCCTGGCCAGAACTTCCAATACTATGTTGAATAGGAGTTGTGAGAGAGGGTATCCTTGTCTTGTGCTGCTTTTCAAGGGAAATGCTTCCAGCTTTTGCCCATTCGGTATGATATTGGCTGTGAGTTTGTCATATATGGCTCTTATTATTTTGATGTGTGCTCCTTCAATACCTAGTTTATTGAGGGTTTTTAACTTGAAGGGATACTGAATTTTATTGATGGCCTTTTCTGCATCTATTGAGATAATCATGTGATTTTTGTCTTTGGTTCTGTTTATGTGATGAATTACGTTTATTGGTTAGTATATGTTGAACCAACCTTGCATCCCAGAGATGAAGCCAATTTGGTCATTGTGGGTAAGCTTTTTGATGTGCTGCTGGATTTGGTCTGCCAGTATTTTTGAGGATTTTTGCATCAATATTAATCAAGGATATTGTCCTGAAGCTTTCTTTTTTTGTTGTATCTCTGCCAGGTTTTGGTATCAGGATGATGCTGACCTCATAGAATGAGTTAGGGAGGAGTCTCTTCTTTTCAATTTTTTGTAATAGTTTCAGTAGAAATGGTACCAGCTCTTCTTTGTACCTCTGGTAGAACTCAGTTGTGAATTCGTCTGGTCCTGGGCTTTTCTTGGTTATAGGCTATTTATTACTGCCTCAATTTCAGAGCTCATTATTGGTCTGTTCAGGGATTCAATTTCTTCCTGGTTCAGTCTTGGGAGGGTGTATGTGTCCAGGAATTTATCCATTTGTTCTAGATTTTCTAGTTTATGTGTATATAAGTGTTTGTGGTATTGTCTGATGGTTGTTTGTATTCCTGTGGGGTCAGTGGTGATATCCCCCTTATCATTTCTGATTGTGTTTATTTGATTCTTCTCTCTTTTCTTCTTTATTACTCTAGCTTGCAGTCTATCTTTTTAATTAAATTTTTCAAAAAACCAGCTCCTGGATTCGTTTATTTTTTTTTTTAAGAGTTTTTCGTGTCTCTCTTGCCTTCAGTTCCACTCCGATCTTGGTTATTTCTTGTCTTCTGCTAGTTTGGGGGTTTGTTTGCTCTTAGTTCTCTAGTTCTTTCAGTTGTGATGCTAGGGTGTCAATATGAGATCTTTTTAGCTTTTTGATGTGGGCATTTAGTGTTATAAATTTCTCTCTTAACACTGCTTTAGCTGCATCCCAGAGATTCTGGTACATTGTCTCTTTGTTCTCATTAGTTTCAAAGAACTTCTTGATGTCCACCTTAATTTAATTATTTACCCAAGAGTCATTCAAAAGCAGCTTGTTCAATTTCCATGTAGTTGTGTGGTTTTGAGTGAATTTCTTAATCTTGAATTCTAATTTGATTGCACTGTGGTCTGAGAGACTGTTTGTTATGATTTCAGTTCTTTTGTATTTGTTAAGGAGTGTTTTACTTTCAATTATGTGATCAATTTTAGAGTAAGTGCTATGTGGCGATGAGAAGAATGCATATTCTATTGTTTTGGGGTGGAGAATTCTGTAGATATCTATCAGGTCCACTTGATCCAGAGCTGAGTTCAGGTCCTGAATGTCTGTTAATTTGCTGTCTTGATGATCTGTCTAATATTGTCAGTGGGGTGTTAAAGTGTCCCACTATTATCATGTAGGAGTCTAAGTCTCTGCAGGTTTCTTTTTTTTTCTTTTTTCTTTCTTTTTTCTTTTTTTTTTTTTTTTTTTGATACAGAGTTTTTGCTCTTGTCACCCAGGCTGGAGTGCAGTGGCATGATCTTGGCTCACTACAACCACTGCTTCCTGGGTTCAAGTGATTCTTCTGCCTCAGCCTCCCGAGTAGCTGGGACTACAGGCACCCGCCACCACGCCCAGCTAATTTTTGTATTTTTAGTAGAGACAGGATTTCACCATGTTGGCTGGGATGGTCTCAATCTCCTGAACTTCTGATTCGCCCACCTCGGCCTCCCAAAGTGCTGCGATTACAGGCATGAGCCACCATGCCCGGCCTGTCTCCGTAGGTTTCAAAGAACTTGCTTTATGAATCTGACTGCTCCTGTATTGAGTGTATATATATTTAGGATAGTTAGCTCTTCTTATTGAATTGAACCCTTTACTATTATGTAGTGCCCTTCTTTGTCTTTTTTGATCCTTGTTGGTTTTAAGTCTGTTTTGTCAGAAACTAAGATTGCAACTCCTGCTTTTTTCTGTTTTCTATTTGCTTGGTAAATTTTCATCCATCCCTTTATTTTGAGCCTATTTGTGTCTTTGCACGTGAAATGGGTCTTTTGAAGACAGCATGTCAATGGGTCTTGGCTCATTATCCAGCTTGCCATTCTGTGTCCTTTAATTGGGGTGTTTAGCCCATTTACATTTAAGGTTCGTATTGTTATGTGTGAATTTGATCCTGTCATCATGATGCTAGCTAGTTATTTTGCAGACTTGTTTCTCTGGTTGCTTCATAGTGTCACTGGTCTGTGTACTTTGGTGTGCTTTTTTAGTGGCTTGTAACAGTTTTTCCTTTCCATATTTAGTGCTTCTTTCAGGAGCTCTTGCAAAGCAGGCCTGGTAGTGACAAATTCCTTCCATTTGCTTGTCTGAAAAGGATCTTATTTCTCCTTCACTTATGAAGCTTAGTTTGGCCAGATATGAAATTCTGAGTTGGAAATTATTTTCCTTAGGAATATTGAGTATTGACCCCCAATCTCTTCTGGATTGTAGGGTTTCTGCTGAGAGGCCCACTGTTAGTCCAATGTGTTTCCTTTGTAGGTGACCTGGGCTTTCTCTCTGGCTGCCCTTAATATTTTTTCATTCATTTCAGCCTTGGAAAATCTGATGATAAAGTGTCTTGGAGTTGACTGTCTCATGGAGTATCTTATTGGGGTTCTCTGCAGTTCCTGAATTTGAATGTTGGCCTGTCTTGCTAGATTGGGAAAGTTCTCCTCGATGATATCCTGAGGTATGTTTTACAACCTGGTTCCATTCTCCCCGTCTCCTTCAGGTACCCCAATCAGCTGTAGTTTCAATCTCTTTGCATAATCCCATATTTCTCAGAGGTTTTGTTTATTTTCATTCTTTTTTCTCTATTCTTGTCTGCTTGTCTTATTTCATAAAGATAGTCTTCAAATGCTGAGATTTTTCCTCCACTTGGTATATTCTGCTATTGATACTTGTGATTGCATTGTGAAGTTCTCATGGTTTTCAGCTCATCGGGTCAGTTATGTTCCTCTCTAAACTGGCTATCAGTTCCTCTATTGTTTTATCCTGATTGCTAGCTTCTTGGCATTGGGTTACAACATACTCTGTTAGCTCAGTGAAGTTTGTTGTTACTCACCTTCAGAAGCCTACTTCTGTCAATTCAGTCATCTCAGCCTCAGCCCAGTTCTGTGCCCTTGCTGGAGAGGTGTTGCAGTCATTTGGAGATGAGGCACACTGGCTTTTTGAGTTTTCAGCGTTTTTGCATTGATTCTTTCTCATCTTTGTGGGCTTATCTACCTTTGACCTTTGAGGTTTCTGACCTTTGAATGGGGTTTTTGTGGGCTCTCTTTTGTTGATGTTGTTGTTTTCTGTTTGTCTTTTAAGAGCCAGGCCACTCTTCCACAGGACTGCTGCAGTTTGCTGGAGGTTTGCTCCAGACCCTAGTTGCCTTTGTTTTTCCCATACCTGGAGGTATCACCAGTGAAGGCTGTGAAATAGCAAAGATGGCAGCTTGCTTCTTCCTCTGGAAGCTCTGTCCCAGCGGGGTACTGACCTGTTGCCAGCCTGAACTGTGCCTGTAGGCGGTGCCTGGAGACCCCTGTTGGGAGGTCTCACCCAGTCAGGAGGAACAAGATCAGGGCCTGCTTAAAGAAGCAGTCTGGCTGCTTTTTGGTAGCACAGCTGTGCTGTGTTGTGGGGAAACCTTCCTCATCTGGACCATCTGGACTCTCTGGAGCCAGCAGGCTGGAACACCTGAGTTGACCAAACTGCAGAGTTGGCAGCCGCTCCTCCCCCTGGGAACTCAGTCCTTTTACTAGGCTGGCTCCAGCCTGTCACCGCTGGCTGGCTGGAATTCGAAGCCAGTGGGTCTTAAGTTATGAGGTGCCATGGAAATGGGGCCCACAGACACTTCTTGGCTCCCTGGATTCAGCCCCCACTCCAAGGGATATGTAGGGATGAATCTTCTGCCTTGTCAGGAATCCTGGGGCAGGATTATGCAAAACTCCTGGGCCTCTGTGTGTGCCTGAGCAGCTGCTCTGCCAGGATACCACACAGCTCTTGTATTGGACCCAAAGCCCTGGTGGAGTGGGCGTATGAGGGGATCTTCTGATCCGCTGGTTGCAAAGATCCATGGGAGAAGTGTGGTTTCCTGGGTGGGATTGCACAATCACTCACTGCTTCCCTTGGCTGGGGGTGGGGGTTCCTTGGTCTCTGTGCCACTCCTGGGTGGGCTGTCGCCCCACCTGCTTTTCTTCATTATCTGTGCCACCACGACTCTTTAAGCTTTGAATCCTAGGTGCCACGCTTGCTTCACTCTAGTCCTGGCTCTGTATTACACAGACATCCTTGGAAAAAAGTTTAGTACTAAAGCTGTTGATGCCTTTGCGCAGAATGAAATACTCATGAAGAATTGTTTCCCAACCATTGGCAAACCTCTGGTTATAAACACATGATGTTTAAATGCCTCTTACCTCTGCACCTATGAACAAGGCCTCTGATGCTAATACTTTGGGAATGACAGAAAATCCTTAGAGTTTCCAAATATATTTCAGGTTTCCATATGACCCAGCCATTTCACTCCTAGATATTTATCCAAGATTAGTGAAAGGATATGTCCCTATAAAGACATGTATGTGAATGTGCATGACATTTTAGTTTTTTAAATATTTTGGTTTTAATTGACACATAATAACTGTACATATTTATGGGGTACAGTGTGATGTTTTGACAAATATATACATTGAGTAATGATCAAATCACTATAATTAGCATTTCCATTACCTCAAACATTTGTCATTTCTTTGTGGTGAGAACATTCAAAATCCTCTCTTCTAGCTATTTTGAAGTATACGGTACATGATTGTTGAATATAGTAACCCTACGGTACAATAGAACTCCAGAACTTATATCTCTTATTGAACTTTAACTTTGTACCGATTGATCAATCTCTTCCCCATTCCCTCTCTACCACCTCCCTTGCTCAGCCTCTGGTAGCCACTATTCTGCTGTCTACTTCTATGAGATCAACTTTCTGAGATTCCATATATGAGGGAGATCATGTAGTGTTTGTTTTTCTGTGCTTAGCTTACTTCACCTATAATAATGTCCTTCAAGTTCATCCATTTTGTCACAAATGGCAGAATTTCCTTCTTCTTTTATAGCTGAATAGTATTCCATTGTTTGTATATACATCTTTTTTAATCCATTTATCCAACTATGGACACTTAGGTTGATTCCATATATTGAGTATTGTGAATCGTGCCTCCGTCTAACTGAAATTTGTACCCTTTGACCAGGGTCTCCCCTTTTTCTGTGTACCCCCTCATTTCTAGTCCCTGGTAACTGTTACCCTCTAATCTTTACTTCTGTGAAGTTTGATTTTTTTAGATTCCACATATAAGTAAGATCATATGGTATTTGTCTCTTTGTGCCTGTCTTATTTCACTTAGTGTAATGTCCTGTAGGTTCATTCATGTTGTTGCAAATGACAGAATTTCCTGCTTTTATAAGGCTGGAAAGTTAGTTTTCCATTGTATATATATATATGTGTGTGTGTGTGTGTGTGTGTGTGTGTGTGTGTGTATGTGTGTGTGTGTATATATATGTGTGTATATATATATGTGTGTGTATATATATATATATACTACCTTTTAAAAAGCCATTGTTCATTGATGAGCACTTCTGTTTCTGTATCTTCACTATTGTGAATAATACTGCAATGAATATAAGAGAGCAGACAACTCTTTAACATACTAATTTCAATTCCTTTGGATATATATCCAGAAGCGGGATTGCTGGATTGTATGATAATTTTATTTTTAGTTTTTTGAGGACCTGCCATACTGTTTCCCAAAATGTACTAATGTACAATATTACCAACGGTCTCCAAGGGTTCCCTTTTCTCCACATTCTTGCCAAAACTTGTTATCTTTCATCTTTTTAATAATAGCACATCTAACAATTGTGAGGTGATTTCACATTGTGATTTTATTTTACATTTCTCTGATGATTAAATATGTTGAGCATTTTTTCATATATCTCTTGGTTGTTTGTATGCCTTCCTTTGAGAAATGTCTATTCAGATCCTTTGCCCATTTTTTTAATAGAGCTATTTTGTTTTCTTGTTATTGAGTAGTTTGAGTTTCTTGTATATTTTGGATATTAAACCCCTTTATTTGAGGTATGATTTGCAAATATTTTCTCCGAATCTGTACGTTGTCCCTTTGCTTCAATTGTTTCATTTATGTGCAGAAGCTTTTCAGTTTGATATAATCCCATTTATCTATTTTTGCTTTAGTTGCCTGTGCCTTTGGGGTCATATCCAGGAAATCATTGCCCAGACTATTGTTATGGAGCTTTTCCTCTATGTTTTCTTCTAGTAGTTTTATAGTTTCAGGTCTTATATTTAAGTCTTTAATTCATTTAGAGTTGATTCTCATTGAAGGGGTGAGATAAAACTCCAGTTTCGTTCTTCCTCATATGTAGTTTCCCTAACACCATTTATTGAAGAGACTCTCCTTTCCCCATTGTGTGTTCTTGGAAGCTTTGTTGAAAATCAGTTGACCATAAATGCGTAGGTTTATGTCTGGGCTTTTTTATCTTATTCCACTGGTCAATATGTCTATTTTTATGCCAGTATTATGCTCTTCTGATTATTATGTCTTTGTAATATATTTTGCCATCCAGTAGTGTGATGCCTCAAACTTTGTTCTTTTTGCTCAAGATGGTTTGGCTATTTGGGGTCTTTTGTGGTTTCATGTGAATTTTGAATTTTTTTCTATTTCTGTGAAGAATGACATTGAAATTTTGGTAGGAATTGCATTGAATCTATACAGTGCTTTGTATAATACAGACATTTTAACAATATTAGTTCTTTCAATCCATGAACAGACATCTTTCCATTTATTTGTGTCATCTTCAGTTTTTTTCATCACATAGCAACGTTATTTGTAATAGCCCCAATAGTTGAAAGATGTGTGGGTTTTTACCAACACATCCATCAATAGGTGAATGAATAAGAAAAATTATGGTATATCCATACAATGGAATATTATTCAGCAATAAAAAGGAATGAACTATTGATATGTTCGCGACTAAGCTGCCAGAAAGGAGCCAAAAATACTTTATCTTTCCATCCATACTTCGTCTATCTACCATATGATTCCATTTATATAAAAAAACTAGGAAACTAGTCTATAACGATGGAAAGCAGATCAGTGGATTACAAAGGGACGGGGGCAATTTTTAGAGGTGATGGAAATGTTCTTTCCCTTTATTGTGTTGATGCTTTCATAAGTGTATACACATGTCCAAATTTTAAAATCATACTCTTTAAATGTGTGCAGGCTATTGTATATCAAGCATACCTCAATCAAGTTGGGTTTTAAAACTGATTCCTTAAGTTCAGAACTGGAGGAAAAGATGCTTGACATGACATGCCCCTGGGTTCAGAGGAGAGTTAGCTTACCTACTACCTGATGACTTCTTCAACATTGTGAGCTTTTCTAACTTGTATTTGGAATGAACTTCTACAGAGTCGAAAGATTAGTTTATATGAACAAAAAAAGCAGCAATGCGGGACTTGTAAATGGCTCTTAGTGATTCATAGCTTGTGTGAATTAGCATGGTCAGATGGGTTTTCTCCTAAACCACTGCCTGAAAAAACAAGGCCCTGTGATAAGGGTAGGAGTATAGATAACTTTGGCAACATGGAGCATTTGGGGCAGAGAGGAAGTCTGAGTTGGAGCTTAGCATAGAAAAAAAATGCTGGTATTCTAGAAAGTAATAGAGAGGAAGATGGAGACGTGTTAAAGATAGCTTATCAAAGTAATGCTACATGACCAATATTATAGGTACCAGATAAATATTTGTTATATGAATGAACAAATGGATGAGTATTGCATTAGGGCTTATCTAGGGCAAAGGAAAGATGAGGAGATGCTTTTCTCTTTACATCTCTAGGGAAGTAGATTGGTTGGATTTTCTATAGAAAATATATTCTAACTTCCAGACAACTGACTACTTGAAAATTACTTGGATTCCAGCCTATTTATAAAGTAGAAACTATGTCCTATTTATAATAATCAATACATTTTTATTGTATTGTGCTATATTCTAAGACTGGTACCACTCAGAGCCATGGGGAGCCATCCGTAAGAAATGTTCATTCTTGTTAAGGGCTATGAGACAGTTACCCAATCAATGTGGAGAACACAAAAGCTAAGCTAGGTTCTTGTTGGATTGACTCTCAACTGGGTTTCAGAAAAGGAAAGAGTTCACTTTGAGTTGAATTACATGAAGAAAGTTGGTTATGAGCTTGGTGTTGAAGAATGGATTGTAGTTGGATTAGCAAATGGGAAGAGAGAGGGCATTCCAAGAGCAAAGACATGAAGAGAGTAGTATGGCCTGAGTTGAGGGTGCATGTTTTTAAAGGGTGGGTAGGCAGATGGGATCCAAGATAATAAGGCCATGGAAAGCCATGCAGAAGAGTTTCGTTTTTATCTAATAGACAATTGAGAGTCTGTATAGGATGCATTTTATCTTCAAGTAACCCAAAAGTGACTTTAACAAATAAAGCTTTATTTTACTCACATGAGATGTCTGGTAATGCCACCAGTGAACCAGTCCTGAGGATGTTGGCTTGTCATATTAGTCTTAAAATGGTATCACTTCTACATTCATATTGGAAAGAAGGGGAAGTGGTGTTGCCAGCCAGCTCTGTTCTCATACCTGACCCTTTCTAAAGGGAACAAAAGTTTTTCCAAAAGCCTCTGTCAGACTTCTGACTTTGTTTCACTGGACAGGACTGGGCCATATGCTTATCCTTTTAGGCAAAGGAGGATGGGAAAGGAAGTATTGGGCTTTCCAGCCTCTCTAATTGAGGTGTCAAGGGAGAAAGGGGTTAGTGATCACTGTTGGCTTGTTTAATAAACATGTACTACAGAGCCATTGCAGTGTGGCTTTTGAGCAGGAATATGGCATGTTGAAAGCATATGTCCTACCCCAAATTATTATTTTTTATCTTAACTAGAGAAAAGGAGAGTTGGGATGACATAGATGATTATTTAGCAAATCTTCACTTCCTTCTCTCTGCCACTGTTGACATGTATTTCTCCACCTCATTGATGTTGGGCTTGGTCACGTGATTTTCTTGGAGCAATGGAACATGGATAGAAATGACAGTGCAATTCTGAACGTAGGCCTTAAGAACCCTCTCACGTTTCTGCTTCTCTTTATTGTGCTTTTGCCACTGTCTTGAAAACAACGTGCCTCCCCGGTAGCTCACTGATCCCAGAATAAGAGGTATGTGGATCAGAGTCACCCTAGCTGACCCACAGACCTGCAACATGAAGCAGAACAACCCTAGCTGATCTGTAGGCTCACAAGAATGAAGTTAAATGGTTATTGTTTTGTTCTACTGAGATTTTGTGGCCTCTTGTTACACAGCAGTAATGAGGGATACAAGCGTACTTACAGTAAAGTAATTACACTAAAGCATTGTTGTTATTAAAAACTCAAAATAATACTAATGTAAGGCATTTGTACTGTGGTTGCATATAAATGGCAGCAATTGATATAGTTTTTCCTGGGAGGAAAGTAGAATACATATCTTTGTCTACATTTCAGAGACTAGAAAAAATTATTTGGCCAGTATTTGGGAGACCACCGCTCTTTTTGGCTTGAAGTCCATTATTTTTTCCACTATACCAATTACTCTGGTAACAGGGCTACAAAAGTGTCCGTTTCAGCTCATAACGTATTTTCAGGTCCTGGCACTGTACCTGGAATATTGTAGGCATTTAATTAACATATTGAATGGATTAATGAATGAATGAATAAGTACTCAAGAAATCTATTTGTAGTTAGAGGGTAGAAGCTTTCCTAATTTTTTCAGGTATAAAATGAGTAAGCACTTCCATTTGTTGTATCCTTCCCAGTTTCACTCTGCAAATCAAAATCCATTTCCTCAGGAAGAAATCTCAGTTAGCTGGTTCCCATCTATGCTGCTATAGTTTGGATATACTTGTCCCACAAGCCTCATGTTGAAATTTGTTCCCTAATGTTGGAGGTGGGGCCTAATGGGAGGTGTTTGAGTCATGGGTGTGGATCCCTCATGAATGGCTTAACGCCATCCTCATGGTAATGAATGAGTTCATTATCTATTAGTTCCCACAAGAGCTGGTTGTTTAATTCAGTTTGGCAGCTCCCTCCCCTTTGTCTTGCTTCCTCTCTTGCCATGTGATTCCTGCATACACGGGCTCCCCTTCACCTTCTGCTATGAGTGGAAGCAGCCTGAAGCCCTCCACAGAACCAGACTCTGGTGCCATGCTTCTTATTTAGCCTGCAGAACTCTAAGTGAAATAAACCTCTTTTTTGTAATAAATTACGCAGCCTCAGGTATTCTTTTATAGCAACACAAACAGAGTAAGACACATGCCCTTATCACAGTTTTGGGGAAGCAAAGAGGTTACATTAGTCAGAATATTAAAAGAGGATACAGAGGAAGTCTAGTAAGACTAATGAGACTCAATGCTAATAAGCATAGAGAGAGTGCCATATGTACTTGGTGTTCTATCCTTGTACATGTTACTATAGCATCCAGGGAGACAGGAACAGTGGAATTTTTCGTAGTTGGGCCCTGAAGGTCTTCTGAATCACGTACATGGGCCTGCTTATATAACAGACAATAGTAGGACAATAGAGGCAATGAAGACAAAGTTGGGGCAGAAAAAAGGAAGTTATAAACAAACAAAGAAATAGTACTCTTCTCTTAAGTGGAGCCTCAGTAGAAAGAGGGCAGACACCATGAGAAACATAATTTTTATTTCCATCATTTTAAAATAAATCAGCAAAATTTGATGTGTAACTATCTGCCTAGTGTACTGAAAGCCCCACTAGGTATGGGCAAGGAGGATAAAACCAATTTTGTTGGTATGTACACCTGGGCTAACACTGTAGTGAGATATAGGAAGAAGGTCATTTTGGGGTCTCTGAATACAAAGTTACAGGGGCCTCAATAGCTTCCTGTTATTCTTGGATCAAGGCTAAACTTCTTGGCATGGTTCTCAAGGCCTTTCAAAGTCTGATCCTATTTCTTATAACATAATTTCTGGGCACTTCTCGTACACAGCACACAAATATTTTAACAACAATCATTTAAATATTGGGGGTAGTTGGAAACCAAGTTATTTTATGACTTTGGCTAATGCAAATTTGATGTAAGAAAACTTCCCATGCTATTGCTACATATATTGTATGTCATATCTTGGAGGCAGGGATGATATGAAGTTCCTTTTGTCTTTAAAAAAAAGAAAATTTCCCATATTGTAGATAGAATTAATTTTTTCAACTCTTCACTCCCTCCTTGCAATAGAATTATACATCTATGCACTTACTGTGTGCTTTGTCCCACTAGAGGAGATAGGGTTTATTTCCCTGCTCCATTGATACAAGGTTTGGCCATGCGTCTTGCTTTGGACAATGGAATATTAGTTACGGTTGAGCAGCAGGTTTAAATGTGCTCAGATGCTTTGGCTTCATTCCTTGCAATTCTACCATCCACTATGAGAAGAACGTTGCTCAAGTAGCTTCTGATCTCAGAATGTTGAAGTTATGCATTACACGTGTGAACGTGAAGCCTGGAGCCCAACCTGTCACAGCGAAACCCAGTCAAGATGAGCTGAAATGCAGTCTACCCACAAACCCGTGGGCAAGAAAAATAAAGTTTGTTATTGTAAGCTATTGAAATTGAGGATTTTTTCCCAGTATTACTACTGCAAGAGTTGTCTAACACACCCTAGTTATTTGCATGGCCATTTGGTCATGGTGTTATAGAATTCTAAACTATGGAAATTTTTGCCTAAGTTTTGTTTTGTTTATTTCCTCTTTCTCCCGGAAATAATTTTTGGGGCAGAAATATAATACTTTTATAATTTTAAAGCACTTTACAGCGTATTTTCACATAGATTACTGCATTTAATCTTTACAACTACTCCATGAAGTGGAATTTATTAATGTCCCCATTTGATGGATGATGTGAACACTGAAAATCTGAAACAGGGCTCAGTTAATTTAGAAAGTTTATTTTGCCAAGGTTTAAGATGTGTGCCCTTGACACAACTTCAGGAGGTTATGTGTCCTGACAACATGTGTCCAAGGTGGTCAGGGCACAGTTTGGTTTTATGCATTCTAGGGAGACATGAGACATTAGACAACATATACGAGATGAATATTGGTTCAGTCTGTAAAGGCAAGAAAACTCGAAGCAAAGCAGGGAGGGGTCTTCCAGGTCATAGGTAGATGAGAGACAAATGGTTGCATTCATCTGAGTTTCTGATTAACCTCTCCAAAGGAGGCAATTGGATGTGCATTTATCTCAGTGAGCAGAGGGGTGGCTTTGAATAGAATGGGAGGCAGGTGGGCCCTATGCAGTTCCCAGCTTGACTTTTCCCTTTAGCTTAGTGATTTGGGGGCTCCATGACTTCTTCTCCTTTCACATTTACTCCCTTCTCTTTTCAAAAACTTTTTTGAGAAGCATTTTAGAAGAAAATGAGTCTCTGGTATCAGGTTTCGTTTGATCTTTCATGATTGGGATGGTTTATTCCTAGATTGGCAGGTCCCAAGTTATTAGGAAAGCTCATTTTTAGCAGGTTGTAAAGTCTCATGTCCTATGAAGAGAAAGTAGGGGGAGGAAGGGAGAAAAACAACAACAAACAAAAGAACAATCCTGGAAAATTGGTATAGGCCACATTACTCTGGAGTCCATACATCAGTTAGCAGGTATGAAAGTGGCTTATGGCCAGACCCCGTGGCTCACGCCTGTAATCCCAGCACTTTGGGAGGCTGAGGCGGGTGGATCACAAGGTCAGGAGATCGAGACCAGCCTGGACAATATGGTAAAACCTTGGCTCTACTGAAAATACAAAAATTAGCTGGGCGTGGTGGCATGCACCTGTAGAGAGGCTGAGGCAGGAGAATCGCTTGGAACCGGAAGTCGGAGGTTGCAGTGAGCCAAGATCGCGCCACTGCACTCCAGCCTGGGCAACAGAGTGAGATTCCCTCTCAAAAAAAAAAAGAAAAGAAAGACAGTGGCTTATGTTTGTAAATAGGTTGCTGTTATCTGCTTCTGAAGTTTAGGTTGTCTAGCTTCAGTTCGCAGGGCTTTACACAAGTACAGCTTATTTTTCAGTGATTTCACATTAGGAAAAAATGGGAAAAAGGAAAATAAATAAGAAAAAAAGGAAAATATTATTTTTAAGACTTATAGCTAGGAAAAATTAGAATTCAGCCCAAACTGTAGACAATAATAAAAATTGAAAAACATTAGGCAAGACTAAAATCTAACAACAGGTGTGCTATAGTTTTGAAATACAATTTTTCTCTCCCGTTTTCCATTTTTACCAAAGACAAATCACGGCTGGACTGGTTTGCTTTATTATACTTGGCCTAATAATTTGTATAAAGTGCAGCAAGAATAACTATTTTTTTACATAGGCTTTTCAATTGGCTTCAATGGAATTGTGTTTCATAGGAGGAATCTCAGATAAGACTTTTTTAAAGTCGAGCCCAGCCATAAGTTTGTGCCATCAAATACCTACGAGTTGAGTGATCCTCTGCTCTTGAGGTTCCAACATAAACTTGGGGCTCCTGGGCCTGTTAGAAAGTGACATTCTTTACTTACCACAGGTCAGGAACCCTGTACAGGGACTGTGTAAACAAAGGATGAGGCCAGTTTTAACCACAGGGCTTTTATTGGCTGCATAAGTCAAGTTTGATTTATTAAAGTCTTGGCAAAATAACCAGTTTCTCCAACTGTGTTCTGTTACAAATGAAATTCTTATTGCACTTATGCAAATAACTGTATTGTTGTAAGTTAAGAATACCCACAAATAATAGTTTCCAAATTCTGGAGAAATCAGGTAGAGAGAAACAAATATGCTCCAAATTTTGTTCATAGGAGTGTATTTTACTCAATTGCTGAAGTTATAAATAGGTTAAAAGAAAAGTTTTCTTGACTCTGAAAAACAAAACAAAGGATCAGCAACGTTTTAAGCAAAAAGTTAAAAAAGATTACTTTAGTCTTCTATCAGTTTGGTTTACGCAGTTACTTCCTGTTCTGCTTGATATTCATGAACATTTCAGCTCTCCATGAGAGTCCTGAAAGCTTTTTCCTCTATTCTAATGTTACAATCTCCAAAGTGATCAGAAACCTGTATTTAAGAACACCTGTTAGAGTTCTATACCTGATTATAAAACCACCTTCTAAGGAAGACCAAAACAAGACAACAATTGTCTGTGGATGACAAAAGGTTTTAGGATAGCCATAGTTAAAGATGACACAATTGACAAGGAAATTTGTTACCTTTGTGGCACACAATAATTTAACATAATAATTATAATTATTACTGATAATGTACATTAAGTCATATCAGAATTATAGGAGTTTCCCATGATTTTGGAACACATACCAATAACTTATTTATACAAATACAGCCTAAAGAAAAACAAACACCATTTCACATTTGACAATGCTTCCTGTATAATTTTTATACCAAATAAGCCAAATTATTGCATTTTTAGACTTTTGGGAACCTAACATCTTAAAGGATTAATTAGGTCAGAAAAAGACATAATTCATAATTTGATTTTTGGAAAGTTTGTCAAATATCAAAGGTTTAAAACACTTGATATCACAAAATAGGATCACAGGTCATTCATTGTAAAATAAGTCATTCATTTAACCAAAGTGATAACTCAAGGATTTCAGAAAAGGTGAAAACCTTCATTTTTTGAGAGAAGAGATTTAATTTTCCAAACAATAAGCCCTAATAAAAACAGCATGAAACCATTTAAATTTGTTTTTGAAAATTTTATAAACAACCTATAAAATTTTAATCTTGACCATAAGATATAACTTCCATAAGGATTTTATAAACTTTATAGCCTTTATTAAGCAGTCAGTTAATGCTTCAAGAAAAATCTTGTTAATCTGACACAGGGGCTTATATGCTGGTCTTACATCAGTGTGCCTTTGACATTCACGATTAACTTATAGAGAAACCGAACCTATTTTATCTTTAAAAAACTGGCCCTCACAATCTCATGCACCTACCTCTTCTGCGATAGTTCTTGGGCCTTGAGGAGTTGAGTAGCTTTAATTTCTGGCCCTGTGTCTTAGGAATGTAGTTTATTCTGACTGGTATCTTTTATGGGGCCTGAAGATGCAGCTTTAATTGCTGTCAGTGTTTAAGATTTGGCAGGACTTGATGTCCTTTTTTAGAACTCAGGAATGAAAGCCCTGTAACTCAATGTCACAAGGACTTTATTTTTTTTTTTTTTATTTTTTTTTTTTTATTTTTTATTTTTTATTATACTTTAAGTTTTAGGGTACATGTGCACATTGTGCAGGTTAGTTACATATGTATACATGTGCCATGCTGGTGCGCTGCACCCACCAACGTGTCATCTATCATTAGGTATATCTCCCACTGCTATCCCTCCCCCCTCCCCCGACCCCACCACCGTCCCCAGAGTGTGATATTCCCCTTCCTGTGTCCTTGTGATCTCATTGTTCAATTCCCACCTATGAGTGAGAATATGCGGTGTTTGGTTTTTTGTTCTTGCGATAGTTTACTGAGAATGATGGTTTCCAATTTCATCCATGTCCCTACAAAGGACATGAACTCATCATTTTTTATGGCTGCATAGTATTCCATGGTGTATATGTGCCACATTTTCTTAATCCAGTCTATCATTGTTGGACATTTGGGTTGGTTCCAAGTCTTTGCTATTGTGAATAGTGCCGCAATAAACATACGTGTGCATGTGTCTTTATAGCAGCATGATTTATAGTCCTTTGGGTATATACCCAGTAATGGGATGGCTGGGTCAAATGGTATTTCTAGTTCTAGATCCCTGAGGAATCGCCACACTGACTTCCACAATGGTTGAACTAGTTTACAGTCCCACCAACAGTGTAAAAGTGTTCCTATTTCTCCACATCCTCTCCAGCACCTGTTGTTTCCTGACTTTTTAATGATTGCCATTCTAACTGGTGTGAGATGATATCTCATAGTGGTTTTGATTTGCATTTCTCTGATGGCCAGTGATGATGAGCATTTTTTCATGTGTTTTTTGGCTGCATAAATGTCTTCTTTTGAGAAGTGTCTGTTCATGTCCTTCGCCCACTTTTTGATGGGGTTGTTTGTTTTTTTCTTGTAAATTTGTTTGAGTTCATTGTAGATTCTGGATATTAGCCCTTTGTCAGATGAGTAGGTTGCGAAAATTTTCTCCCATGTTGTAGGTTGCCTGTTCACTCTGATGGTAGTTTCTTTTGCTGTGCAGAAGCTCTTTAGTTTAATTAGATCCCATTTGTCAATTTTGGCTTTTGTTGCCATTGCTTTTGGTGTTTTGGACATGAAGTCCTTGCCCACGCCTATGTCCTGAATGGTAATGCCTAGGTTTTCTTCTAGGGTTTTTATGGTTTTAGGTCTAACGTTTAAATCTTTAATCCATCTTGAATTGATTTTTGTATAAGGTGTAAGGAAGGGATCCAGTTTCAGCTTTCTACATATGGCTAGCCAGTTTTCCCAGCACCATTTATTAAATAGGGAATCCTTTCCCCATTGCTTGTTTTTCTCAAGTTTGTCAAAGATCAGATAGTTGTAGATACGCGGCATTATTTCTGAGGGCTCTGTTCTGTTCCATTGATCTATATCTCTGTTTTGGTACCAGTACCATGCTGTTTTGGTTACTGTAGCCTTGTAGTATAGTTTGAAGTCAGGTAGTGTGATGCCTCCAGCTTTGTTCTTTTGGCTTAGGATTGACTTGGCGATGCGGGCTCTTTTCTGGTTCCATATGAACTTTAAAGTAGTTTTTTCCAATTCTGTGAAGAAAGTCATTGGTAGCTTGATGGGGATGGCATTGAATCTGTAAATTACCTTGGGCAGTATGGCCATTTTCACGATATTGATTCTTCCTACCCATGAGCATGGAATGTTCTTCCATTTGTTTGTGTCCTCTTTTATTTCCTTGAGCAGTGGTTTGTAGTTCTCCTTGAAGAGGTCCTTCACATCCCTTGTAAGTTGGATTCCTAGGTATTTTATTCTCTTTGAAGCAATTGTGAATGGGAGTTCAGTCATGATTTGGCTCTCTGTTTGTCTGTTGTTGGTGTATAAGAATGCTTGTGATTTTTGTACATTGATTTTGTATCCTGAGACTTTGCTGAAGTTGCTTATCAGCTTAAGGAGATTTTGGGCTGAGACGATGGGGTTTTCTAGATATACAATCATGTCGTCTGCAAACAGGGACAATTTGACTTCCTCTTTTCCTAATTGAATACCCTTTATTTCCTTCTCCTGCCTGATTGCCCTGGCCAGAACTTCCAACACTATGTTGAATAGGAGCGGTGAGAGAGGGCATCCCTGTCTTGTGCCAGTTTTCAAAGGGAATGCTTCCAGTTTTTGCCCATTCAGTATGATATTGGCTGTGGGTTTGTCATAGATAGCTCTTATTATTTTGAAATACGTCCCATCAATACCTAATTTATTGAGAGTTTTTAGCATGAAGGGTTGTTGAATTTTGTCAAAGGCTTTTTCTGCATCTATTGAGATAATCATGTGGTTTTTGTCTTTGGCTCTGTTTATATGCTGGATTACATTTATTGATTTGCGTATATTGAACCAGCCTTGCATCCCAGGGATGAAGCCCACTTGATCATGGTGGATAAGCTTTTTGATGTGCTGCTGGATTCGGTTTGCCAGTATTTTATTGAGGATTTTTGCATCAATGTTCATCAAGGATATTGGTCTAAAATTCTCTTTTTTGGTTGTGTCTCTGCCCGGCTTTGGTATCAGAATGATGCTGGCCTCATAAAATGAGTTAGGGAGGATTCCCTCTTTTTCTATTGATTGGAATAGTTTCAGAAGGAATGGTACCAGTTCCTCCTTGTACCTCTGGTAGAATTCGGCTGTGAATCCATCTGGTCCTGGACTCTTTTTGGTTGGTAAGCTATTGATTATTGCCACAATTTCAGAGCCTGTTATTGGTCTATTCAGAGATTCAACTTCTTCCTGGTTTAGTCTTGGGAGGGTGTATGTGTCGAGGAATGTATCCATTTCTTCTAGATTTTCTAGTTTATTTGCGTAGAGGTGTTTGTAGTATTCTCTGATGGTAGTTTGTATTTCTGTGGGATCGGTGGTGATATCCCCTTTATCATTTTTTATTGAGTCTATTTGATTCTTCTCTCTTTTTTTCTTTATTAGTCTTGCTAGCGGTCTATCAATTTTGTTGATCCTTTCAAGAAACCAGCTCCTGGATTCATTGATTTTTTGAAGGGTTTTTTGTGTCTCTATTTCCTTCAGTTCTGCTCTGATTTTAGTTATTTCTTGCCTTCTGCTAGCTTTTGAATGTGTTTGCTCTTGCTTTTCTAGTTCTTTTAATTGTGATGTTAGGGTGTCAATTTTGGATCTTTCCTGCTTTCTCTTGTAGGCATTTAGTGCTATAAATTTCCCTCTACACACTGCTTTGCATGCGTCCCAGAGATTCTGGTATGTGGTGTCTTTGTTCTCGTTGGTTTCAAAGAACATCTTTATTTCTGCCTTCATTTCGTTATGTACCCAGTAGTCATTCAGGAGCAGGTTGTTCAGTTTCCATGTAGTTGAGCGGCTTTGAGTGAGATTCTTAATCCTGAGTTCTAGTTTGATTGCACTGTGGTCTGAGAGATAGTTTGTTATAATTTCTGTTCTTTTACATTTGCTGAGGAGAGCTTTACTTCCAACTATGTGGTCAATTTTGGAATAGGTGTGGTGTGGTGCTGAAAAAAATGTATATTCTGTTGATTTGGGGTGGAGAGTTCTGTAGATGTCTATTAGGTCCGCTTGGTGCAGAGCTGAGTTCAATTCCTGGGTATCCTTGTTGACTTTCTGTCTCGTTGATCTGTCTAATGTTGACAGTGGGGTGTTAAAGTCTCCCATTATTAATGTGTGGGAGTGTAAGTCTCTTTGTAGGTCACTGAGGACTTGCTTTATGAATCTGGGTGCTCCTGTGTTGGGTGCATAAATATTTAGGATAGTTAGCTCCTCTTGTTGAATTGATCCCTTTACCATTATGTAATGGCCTTCTTTGTCTCTTTTGATCTTTGTTGGTTTAAAGTCTGTTTTATCAGAGACTAGGATTGCAACCCCTGCCTTTTTTTGTTTTCCATTGGCTTGGTAGATCTTTCTCCATCCTTTTATTTTGAGCCTATGTGTGTCTCTGCACGTGAGATGGGTTTCCTGAATACAGCACACTGATGGGTCTTGACTCTTTATCCAACTTGCCAGTCTGTGTCTTTTAATTGCAGAATTTAGTCCATTTATATTTAAGGTTAATATTGTTATGTGTGAATTTGATCCTGTCATTATGATGTTAGCTGGTGATTTTGCTCGTTAGTTGATGCAGTTTCTTCCTAGTCTCAATGGTCTTTACATTTTGGCATGATTTTGCAGCGGCTGGTACCGGTTGTTCCTTTCCATGTTTAGCGCTTCCTTCAGGAGCTCTTTTAGGGCAGGCCTGGTGTTGACAAAATCTCTCAGCATTTGCTTGTCTATAAAGTATTTTATTTCTCCTTCACTTATGAAGCTTAGTTTGGCTGGATATGAAATTCTGGGTTGAAAATTCTTTTCTTTAAGAATGTTGAATATTGGCCCCCACTCTCTTCTGGCTTGTAGGGTTTCTGCCGAGAGATCCGCTGTTAGTCTGATGGGCTTTCCTTTGAGGGTAACCCGACCTTTGTCTCTGGCTGCCCTTAACATTTTTTCCTTCATTTCAACTTTGGTGAATCTGACAATTATGTGTCTTGGAGTTGCTCTTCTCGAGGAGTATCTTTGTGGCGTTCTCTGTATTTCCTGAATCTGAACGTTGGCCTGCCTTGCTAGATTGGGGAAGTTCTCCTGGATAATATCCTGCAGAGTGTTTTCCAACGTGGTTCCATTCTCCACATCACTTTCAGGTACACCAGTCAGACGTAGATTTGGTCTTTTCACATAGTCCCATATTTCTTGGAGGCTTTGCTCATTTCTTTTTATTCTTTTTTCTCTAAACTTCCCTTCTCGCTTCATTTCATTCATTTCATCTTCCATTGCTGATACCCTTTCTTCCAGTTGATCCCATCGGCTCCTGAGGCTTCTGCATTCTTCACGTAGTTCTCGAGCCTTGGTTTTCAGCTCCATCAGCTCCTTTAAGCACTTCTCTGTATTGGTTATTCTAGTTATACATTCTTCTAAATTTTTTTCAAAGTTTTCAACTTCTTTGCCTTTGGTTTGAATGTCCTCCCGTAGCTCAGAGTAATTTGATCGTCTGAAGCCTTCTTCTCTCAGCTCGTCAAAATCATTCTCCATCCAGCTTTGTTCCGTTGCTGGTGAGGAACTGCGTTCCTTTGGAGGAGGAGAGGCGCTCTGCGTTTTAGAGTTTCCAGTTTTTCTGTTCTGTTTTTTCCCCATCTTTGTGGTTTTATCTACTTTTGGTCTTTGATGATGGTGATGTACAGGTGGGTTTTCTGTTAGATGTCCTTTCTGGTTGTTAGTTTTCCTTCTAAGAGACAGGACCCTCAGCTGCAGGTCTGTTGGAATACCCTGCCGTGTGAGGTGTCAGTGTGCCCCTGCTGGGGGGTGTCTCCCAGTTAGGCTGCTCGGGGGTCAGGGGTCAAGGACCCAATAGAGGAGGCAGTCTGCCCGTTCTCAGATCTCCAGCTGCGTGCTGGGAGAACCACTGCTCTCTTCAAAGCTGTCAGACAGGGACACTTAAGTCTGCAGAGGTTACTGCTGTCTTTTTGTTTGTCTGTGCCCTGCCCCCAGAGGTGGAGCCTACAGAGGCAGGCAGGCCTCCTTGAGCTGTGGTGGGCTCCACCCAGTTCGAGCTTCCCGGCTGCTTTGTTTACCTAAGCAAGCCTGGGCAATGGCGGGCGCCCCTCCCCCAGCCTCGTTGCCGCCTTGCAGTTTGATCTCAGACTGCTGTGCCAGCAATCAGCGAGATTCCGTGGGCGTAGGACCCTCTGAGCCAGGTGTGGGATATAGTCTCCTGGTGCGCCGTTTTTTAAGCCGGTCTGAAAAGCGCAATATTCGGGTGGGAGTGACCCGATTTTCCAGGTGCGTCTGTCACCCCTTTCTTTGACTCGGAAAGGGAACTCCCTGACCCTTGCGCTTCCCAGGTGAGGCAATGCCTCGCCCTGCTTCGGCTCGCGCACGGTGCGCGCACACACTGGCCTGTGCCCACTGTCTGGCTCTCCCTAGTGAGATGAGCCCGGTACCTCAGATGGAAATGCAGAAATCACCCGTCTTCTGCGTCGCTCACGCTGGGAGCTGTAGACCGGAGCTGTTCCTATTCGGCCATCTTGGCTCCTCCCTCGTCACAAGGACTTTAAAAGCACATACAGAAAGATACATGGATGTAATAACCTTAGTTAAATTTTTTAATATCAGTTATTTCTAAGCAAACAAAAACTTAATAATAATGATATATGAATTGTTTTGATAAAATGTAAAATCTGTTAGGCCAGTTACCAAAAGGCAAGAGAAAAGACCTGCTGCACTGCACAGAATATTATGTTGGAAGAAAACATTTCCTTTAGACCTTTAAGAAAACATTGCTAGCATTGGGCCACTGCAACAGAACTCCAGGAAAAAAAACTTATATAAGCTGAAGATAAGTTTAAGGAGAGCATTACTATTTTGTGCCCTTTAAAAGGGGAGAGAAAACCAAAAACGTAGAGATGCAATAAAAGTTGAACTTTGGGTTAAAAAAAATTAAAATCTTTTATAATATATTAAGAGTCAATCAATCCCTTAAGAAAATTTCATTGTTCTAACCAATTATTTAGTGTATAAGTGTTTTTAAACATCAAACACAATCTCTAGAAAGACCATTATCATTTCTCTTTAATTATAGTCAACTTAACTATATAAGTTTTTAAAAATATATCAATCCATTTATTGTGACTGACTTAGACCATTCATGACATGCTTGAACTTTCTGGTTTTTCCTGAACGTCCCTCTTTCTTAAACAACCAGTCATTTTATTCTAGGTCTAAATTTACCATATAAGATTCTTTCTCATATAAAATTATTTCCCTTTAAGCTTTCTTACCAAAAAAACCTCTTTATTTCTGTAACTTTCTTTACATTTCTCTTATTTCCTGGTTCCTTTTACCTTGTTTTATACATAACGTTTAAATAACCTTTGAATTAGACAAAAATTTTTCACCCTTTTAAAAAGGACACTTTTTTAAGAAAGAATGTTTTTCTACAATATATTTTTATTTGAAAATACCCAAATAATGAAATATCTATTATCTAATTTAATATAACTTTATATTCTAAATTATGACAAGGTAGTCCACAAGTATTTATCACATTACATTTACCGAATTATTTTATTTTAATTGTTTACCTAGATTATTTACGAAAACTGCAATAGTCATGATTTAACATTATGAAACTGCCATTGCAAAATTATAACTGAGACAGTGAAAAAGATTTGATGTGACTGACTCCATCTTGCTTTTAACCTCCCAGATGTCCTTGTTCATTCCTGGGCATAGGCTGAACTAACTTTGGGAGGAACTTCGTTTATAGTTTAGCTTTGAAACAAAGGCAATAACAAGCCTTACTGCCTGTGGACTAGACCACCTAAAGCCACAAGATTAAAGTTATGGTAATCTTACTAAATTTAAGGTGTAGCTATTTTTATTAAACCAATATCAATGTCTTACTTATTAAAGATTACACAAGCAAAGATCATTCTGTTTTGGGCTGGGTTCATAGTTTTGTTTTTTGTTTTGTTTGGTTTGGTTTTTGAGACAGAGTTTTGCTCTTGCTGCCCAGGCTGGAGTACAATGGTGTGATCTCGGCTCACTGCAACCTCTGCCTCCCAGGTTCAAGCAATTCTCCTGCCTCAGCCTCCTGAGTAGCTGGGATTACAGGCATGTGCCACCATGCTCGGCTAATTTTGTATTTTTAGTAGAGACGGGGTTTCTCCATGTTGGTCAGGCTGGTCTCGAACTCCCAACCTCAGGTGATCCGCCCGCCTCGGGTTTATAGTTTTGTAACCCCCCATGCCAAATTTTGACACCTTGTAGTACTTGTCAGGGATAAGTATGAAATTGCTTGATTAATAAATGCAAACAAAAATGTCTGTTGGCAAATTCTTAAGACATTTCTAATGTTATTTTACTAAATATTTTAAAAGCCAGCTTATTTATTAAAGAGTTTACTTAAGTCACGTGAACTTGAAAAGCATTTGACTAGTCTTTTTTTTAGTATCTGGCTTAAGCACTTTTATTTTTTTAAAGCCAATTAATTAGAGCTCTTATATATTTTTAGTAGTGAAACACTGTGTACACAACACATAAATACATAGACGTGTTAGGCATGCCGATAGAAGTACATCTTATAGATTCATAAAGGCCTCCTTTTTTTCCTTTTTTTTCCCTATCTTACCCAAGGCAGTTGTCAGCTAAATAGCCTTAAATTTGCATATTAAAAGAAATAACTCTTAGATGAAAAATCAGATAGCAAAATTTACATCTCAGGGTACAGAGAGAAAAAGTTTGGTGATGCTAGAGGGAGATTAAAGATGGATGCCAAATCAAGCATAAAATTACAGAAATTTATTATAGGATTGTATAAGGAGACCAATTTTATTTAGATAGGGACTACCTATTTTTTTTTTTTTTTTTAACTGCATCTCTAAGCTCTGGGCAGAGCTCACACTGAATCCTGGGTCTCCAAAAAGAGAGAATTATAAGACTAGACCATGTGATGCTTTTACAGTGCACTTCAAAATTTTTTTAAACAGATATTTTTAAGTTTCCAAACTACACTCTTCCTTACAAACAGTAGCTTCTGTTGCAATAACTATTTTAATTAAAAAATCAGGCCGGACACCGTGGCTCACACCTGTAATCCCAGCACTTTGGGAGGCCGAGGTGGGCGGATCACGAGGTCAGGAGATCGAGACCATCCTGGCTAACACGGTGAAACCCCGGCTCTACTAAAAAATACAAAAAATTAGCCAGGCGTGGTGGCGGGCGCCTGTAGTCCCAGCTACTCAGGAAGCTGAGGCAGGAGAATGGCGTGAACCCGGGAGGCGGAGCTTTCAGTGAGCCGAGATCACGCCAGTGCACTCCAGCCTGGGTGACAGAGCGAGACTCTGTCTCAAAAATAAATAAATAAATAAATAAATAAATAAATAAATAAATAAATAAAAATCAGGCGAAAAGAGAATTCAGTCAACTGAGAAGAAAAAAAACTTTTGCTCAAAAAAAAAAAAAAAAAGACAAGGTCCTAGGAGAGAAAAACAACAAAGAAAAACATGAAAGCCTTTTAAATGCAAACATGCAGACATGCACACATACACACACACATCTTGGATGTTAGCCTTTTAATTAAGCTGACTTTTAACCATTGATCTCCTTTAAAAAAAATCCTTTTAAATTTCATTGCCATATTTTAGCTAGGAGAAATTTCTGCCATTTCAGAAGTACCAAGTATCAAACCAGGAAGGCCTTGATTTATGAACCAAATCCAGGCTGTCGTGGTTAAAAAAAAAAAAAAAAGCAAGGAGCTTAGCTGTCAAATTGCAGCATGGGGTGACAGCCATTGCTCTTTCAGTTTGGCCTCGCTAGCAAAACGGTGGCCTTGTTATGTAAATAAAGCCCTTTAAGTAGTCCAAATAAAAAATCCATGTTTTTTTCCTTTTGCTGGTTGTTTTTCTCCCCCCCGCCACATCACTTTTGTGTGTGTGTGTGTGTGAATTTAGCCCCTTTAAAGGCCTTGTTCCCCATAACTTGGAACTTTCCTTCGGATTTGATCACGTCGAATAGAGTCGGTCAAACCTAATGGGAAAAAGACCAAAACAACGACAGAAACAGAAATAAACAACAACAAAAAAACCAGTTAAGCAAAACAAACAATCGCACAACTTATATGATTACTGAGCACTCTGATGGTAATGAGAAATTAAGACCAGCTGGTTGTTAGTCTTAACTTTAGCCAAGACAAACCTCAATTCAGTTACTTACCTAGGGATGGGTCTCAGGCTGTAGACTGCTCTCTACCAACCCAGCAGCATGAAAAAAAAAAAAAAATCTCATCTTCCGTGTTGGAAGTGAGCTCAAACTCCATAAAGGAATTACCTGTCTTCCATCGACATGGAAACAGGAAGTCTTGCCTTCCTTGTTGGAAGCAAGTACAACTCCAAAAAAAGTGGAGTTGTACAGCAAAATAAACTTTATATCTCATCCAAATGTTTGGAGATCAGGGATTCTCTGGAGGGGGTGCTCTCAGACCTCAGCAAATTGTCCTATTGGTTTGAGCCATAAAGTTAGCTCATGCCGGTACCCAGCACTGATAGGTCAAAGGTCAGGGGCATCTCCACTCAGAATCCCTCCATGGTTACCGAAATGTGAAACCAGAAAATCTGAGACAGGTCTCAGTTAATTTAGAACGTTTATTTTGCCAAGGTTGAGGACGCTTGCCTGTGACACAACCTCAGGAGGTCCTGGCGACCTGTGCCCAAGGTGATCAGAGCACAGTTTGTTTTTATACATTCTAGGGAAACATGAGACATCAATCAACATATGCAAGATGAATATTGGTTCACTCTGTAAAAGCTGAGCCAAGATTCCAGCATTTTATTCCACCATTTTAAAACAAATCAGCAAAATTTGATAGTATAGATCCATGTTTGCTTAAATATAATGATAAAATTCATATGCGGGCCTTTTCATGCTAAAAATTCTCAGTGGACACACTTACTGAGAATCTGCTACAGGCCTAATAGTTTATTAAATCAAATACCAAACAATGTAGAAGCAGAAAATGGAGTTTAAAGTATAAGGTGTATTATAAGATGAAATGAAATATTTTTCCCACTTGATTTTTAACCCCCAAATGCCTTATTTTTTTAAATTATGATTGTATACATAGACTCTGATAGGAGACTTATATTTTAGAAATTAGCTTGAATGCTAATTTAATGCCAAATGCTTTTGGACGTGAGCTGAACTCAGCTTATATGTGATTTGTCTTATAATTTATATGATTTTCTTTGTTTCTCATCTCTTTTTTATGTTGTTTCTCTTTGGCTCAAAGCAGGAAGGAGAAGCAGTGTTTTGTCGGAAAGAAGGACTTCAGATCAGAAAACTTGGCATTGAGTGCTGTGTCAAGCACAGTTTACATGCTTCAGTAAGTTGTGTAGCTGCTCTGAACTCAGTGTCCCCATACATCAAATGGGAACACTGATAAATCTCACTTCATAGAGTAGGTGTGAAGATCAAATGCAATAATCTATGTGAAAACATGCTGTAAAGTGCTTTAAAATTATAAAAGTATTATATTTCTGGCCCAAACATCCTTTCTGGGAGAAAGAGGAAACAAAATGAAACAGAAGATTTAACTGTTGCCTTCTCTTAAAGGGCCATATGTATCTGTAATTAAGTTTTCTCCAATCATACGAAATCTATTTTTTTGTTTTTTTCTTCTCATTTTGGTTTAATATTTTATCCTTCCCTGTCTTGACACTTGAATGGAGCCCAACGAGAGGATGAGCTTGCTCCATTTTTTTCTCTTATGATTGGTATTGTTAACTCCTCAAACAGTAGTGAAGTTAATTAATAAATCTGTCATTTTTTAGTTTTACCAAACTCCAGATTCAGCAGTCTTTTAGCTAGTTCCATAGCATCAACAGAATGTAGTATTTTAATAGTCAAATCAAACAGAAAAGGGTTTAATCACAGACGTGTTAGGCCGTTCTTGCGTTGCTATAAGGAAATACCTGAGGCTGGGTAATCTATAAAGAAAAGACGTTTAATTGGTTCATAGTTCTGCAGACATTACAAGAAGCATGGTGCCAGCATCTGCTCCTGGTGAGGGTTTCAGGGAGCTTACAATCATGGCAGAAGGCAAGGACGAGCCAGCATGTCACATGGCAAGAGTGGGGGCAAGAGAGAGACAAGAGGAAGTGCCATACTCTTTTAAAACAACCAGATCTTGTGTGAACTTACAGTGAGAATGTACTCATTACCATGGGGATGGTGGTAAGCCATCTATGAGGGATGCAGCCCTGTATTCGTCCGTTTTCATGCTGCTAAAAGGACATACCCAAGCCTGGGTCATTTATAAACGAACGAGGTTTGATGGATTCACCGTTCCACATGCCTGGGGAGGCCTCACAATCATGGCGGAAGGCGAAGGAGCAACAAAGGCATGTCTTCAATGGCGCAGGCAGGAGAGTGTGTGCAGGGCAACTCTCCTTAATAAAACCATCAGATCTCGTGAGACTTACTCACTATCACGAGAACAGCACAGCAAAACCCACCCTGAATGATTCAATTACCTCCCAGCAGGTCCCTCCCACAACACATAGGGATTATAGGAGCTACAGTTAAAGATGAGATTTGGATGGGGAACGGCCAAACCATATCAATCCCCATGATCCAATCGCTTCCCAGCGGGCCTCACCTCCAACATTGGGGATTAGATTTCAACATGAGATTTGGAGCGGACAGACAATGAAATTATATCAACAGGTAATGTGTTTTAATGGTAAAACAATGGCTTTTGAAGTCCATCAGTCCTACAGTTCAGTCTTGGCTGCTTCACTTACAACCTTCTCTTAAACCTTTCTGAGCCTCATTCTCCTCACTTGTAAAATAGTGATAATTCCTACTTCATGGGGTTATTCAAAGGATTAAATGAGGTTCATAAATTGACTACTCTTCATTTTGAACTTTGAAGCAGAAAAATCTTATAAACACTGTAAATTATGGTCTCCAGACTGCAAAGCATGGCCTTTTAATTTTTTGTTGGCTTATATTTGTTTACAATCCAGAGTAAGTTTTGGAAATGCTTTTGAAATTGTTTCATTGGCTTCTTTTCAGTAGTCGTCTTTGAATTAACTCTCTATAAAGTGAAGAAGCAGAAGTCAGGTGATAATGACACAATGCACTACCTTGGCTCCGTAATGGAACCAGCCCATAAATCCAAGGGACTTATTTAAGAAAATGCAATGTATTTGAGTCCCCTCTCCTTAATCAGTGGTAAGTTTTCTTGGCCTTTCTTCTCAAGGACAAAAAGTAAAATTTATTCATGTGGGGGAAAAAATATACTTGTGTTAAAAGGCTTTCTGATTAGATCTCTCAGTATAACATAACATCCTTAAAGTGACAATTTTAGTGGAAAAAAACATATTTTGTTGTCTTTACTAACATATACTTTTCAAATTAAAACAGTATCTTATTTTTAGAGAGAAAAACCTAAATCCAAAGTACATTTCATTGTGTAAGTAGATATGGAAAGTCTGCCAAATCTATCGGTGTATATCTCAGAGATTTCACATGCATTAAAGAACTATAACCAAGCCTTTGCCCCTCTTTTAAACAAATAAGACAGCATGCCTAGTGCAGTTTCTGGAATCTAATAAGGTGTTCCACAAATATTCCAGGCCCACGTAGTTGTAGGAATTTTTCATGCTAAGGCGTTCAGACTTTTGTATTAATTCACATACATCTATATTCCTAAACTTTAGAGTTTGAGATTTTAGAGCCTATTAATGGAGGCTCGAGGATGATAAGGGTTTGTTGGTTGCACTTCTGAGACAAGACCCCCTTAAAATATCATTGTGAAGTAAACTTTCCATTGTCTGGCTGATTTTGTTGGGGACTGTCTAAGAAGGAGCCCAGCTTCTTTTCCACCATGATGCCTCCCCAGCTCCACTCCTCAGGTATATTTGGTCAGTCCTTCCCCACGGCTACCACGGCACTCCTACACTCTCCACTGTGGCACCCTAGTGTTGTATTGTAAGGACGTATATGTATCTCTCTTATATCTCTCATGTATCTCTCTCACTGTTTTTCTTTGTGCATCAGTGTTTCCACAGCGCTTAACACATAGCAGGCACATAGTAGGCATCCAATATTTGCATTGAGTTTGTTGGATGGATGGATGGGTGGATGGATGGATGGATGGATGGATGAACAAATCTCAAGGGGCTTGAAGTATCACTGCTTTTCACTGGATTCCTCTGATTCCCTCATCTCTGAACTATCTTCCTGGCATCTGGAAACCATTAAAAACAGGAAAGAAGGAAAAGATTCAAGGAACCAGAGTCAGCTGTCTTCTTACCCCTCACACATTAGAAAAGGTATTGTAAACACAATAGTTACCTTATCCTTACTCTGCCATCCACCCAAGGAAGGTGTGAGACAGAGTGGGGTTCCAGTTGCTGAGGAGAGAGACTGGCAATTTTTGCCATGCCGTGGGTACCACACGTGAGTTGGATAATGATCAGAATACAAAACTAGAAATCCTTCAGATTCTGCCAAGGTGTTTCTTTTTCCCTTTCTAGTTATTGTCAATGAAAAAACGCCTTCCAAGATCATAATAAAATAATTCAGAGATTGTTCACGCCACTGTTCCCTGATTACTGAAGTCAATTAAAAATCCATTTTTTGTCAATATGTTACTACTCTATTTACTCAGCCGCATACCTAACAGGGTCTTTGATTAAACATATGATTTGAGATTCAGAGAATATTGTCTCATTCACTTAGTACACAGGTATCCCTTTACCAGTGACCCTCTAAGAATTCCCCCCGAGCACTTCTCATTGGAAAGAAAATGTAACTCAGCTTTACAGGCAAAGAAACCTTTCTATTCTAATTGCTTGTATCGTCCACTTTCCAGTCATGTTTTTCTTTGTGTAGTTCAGTTTACAGAAGGTGAATGCAGTGCTCTTGCCCATATGTGTTCAAGGTATTTTTTTGTTGTTGTTTAAATGACAATTCATTTGTTACTTTTATGGTAAGCTAGGGAGTGTGGTGTTGATAGCAGCTGTTACCCTCTGTTCTTGCAGTTGGCAGCACAGATTCATCAGGGATCACCTACCCTGTTTACCCTCAGGCCCACAGCTGGAGAAAACGCTTTTATTGTTATAGCTCTTCAGCTGCAATTGATAGGGCACCTGAGAATTTGCAAACTTTTTAGTCCGTTACTTGCTGCAGTGTTAGTGACTGTGGACAAAGTTTGCTGTGTCCTTGTAATTACCTAAATTGAATTTATCCTAAAGTAGGATTGGCTGGCTTTTTTCCAAGTTTTCTGTGGTTTTAGAATCTCAATGACCTTACCTTGGGGAATATCCTGGGTTTTTTTACTTTGTTGGTTAATAACACCTATCATGTCCAAAAATTTGCATTGACTGTATTTATTTTAAGATTATTCTACATTGTATTTTCCTATGGAGTTTTGATACTTAGTTACAAGATTACGTGGTAGAAATCATTAATATAATGGGGATAGAATGAGCTCCTTGATTATCAGGGTATATACTTATATTGGTTATGTATTGCCACAGTAATGCTGCATCGCAAACCTCCTAGGTGGCTTACAACAATGTGCATTTATTTAGCTGATCTGGGCAGGGCTCACGCCTGTGTCTGCACTCAGCTGCTAGTTGACACAGGCAACTTTCCTGATACTGGCTGGGCTCACACATCTCTGGGTATGCTAGCTGTCAGCTGATCTGAGATGGCGTTGGCTGGGAAGATAGGAGCACCTCAGCTCAGCTCAGAATGTGTCTTTCATTCTCCAAGCATGTTCTCATAGCAGTGGTAAAGGGCGAGAGCAAGCAAGTCTACTCTCACAAGCACTTGTCAAGCATCTGGTTGCATCACATTTGCTAATATCCCATTGGCCAAAGCAAGTTCGTGGCTGAGTCCAAAGTTGGAGTGGGTGGGCACTTCAAAGTTACAAGATAGAGGGCATTGAAATAGGGAGCAGTGACGAACTGGAGCAGTTCCTGCAATTAGTCAATTGCAGAATCTTCCATTGTAAGCCTGTGTGAAGCCTGTTTCTGCTTTCCATGGATTCTGCATGTTTTCCCCTTTGCCTTCTTCCTCACAGATTGAAATAAATTGTTCTCTTCTTTTTTGATCCTGGGCTCATTTTCTTTCTTTTCTACGTTTCTTCGCTCGTTTTCCTTCTATGTTTTCTTTTTCTAGCTTCCTTTCTCTTCAGTCTTTACCTCCTGTTTCTGTTCCCCTTCTATCTCCCCTCCTTCCTACAGAGAAACTAAAAACAAGCCTGAAATTCTCATGTACATGGATAATTGTTTGAAAGGAGTACTCTGGGGGGCCCCTGGAGATCTTATTACTGATTAACTCCTTAGAAAAGGAAATGCCGAAACCTCTATTTCTCCCGAAACTTAACAGTGTGTGTGGGTGGTTCTGGTGTGAGCAGGAAGAGAGAGAGTCAGACTTAAGTTGTTCTGAAAGATAACAACAACAACAACAAAACTCTGTGAAGCAAACACAGAAGCCAAAGCTAAATAGATTTCCCAACATTTTGAAAAAAGTTTTCTGCCAAATTTACCAACTGGGAATTTGAACTGGGCTTTTCTTGTTAATTAACGGTCTAGAATAGACGTGGATGCAGGTGGTATTTTGGTTGGTAGTATGTGGTGATAATCATTGTTGCCATAGCTACCCGAAAAGTGTTCAACAGAATATCACTTCATGTTGGAACTTCAAATAAAGGCTGTAAAAGTTCTATGCTCCACATATAGATTTTATTTAAAGGAAAAAAGTCTTCTATATTCAGGCTAGAATCTGTTTCTTAATCTGTCCCTGAAAATATGGCTCAGTGTTCAAAACAGGTCAATTCAGGGGTAAGTAAATTTCTTTAATAGGTTTACACTGAGTTCAGATAGCTCCTACCACAGACTTGGCTTACATTACACTAATTGGGTAACAACTTAGCAAAGTGAGATATATTAAGGTGATTTATTATGGTAAACATTTATGAGGTTTTTGGCTTCTGACTGGTTTCAGCGGAAAGACTCCTGTCATTATATCAAGCTCTTACAATGTGCCAATCCTTGATTCAGAAACAAAATGCATCTGTAAAAGCCTCACATACGATTACATGTACTTCAAGAAGGTTCAAAGGCACTCTCACAAATTCAGTTTTTATTAATCTGCCTTGGGACAGCCTGGGCTAAGTTCCACGTGGTTAATTCAATGTGAAATGGCAATTTTGCTTCTCAAAACGTATTATGTACTAAATTTAAGATAGTGGAGAGTTCGATATTATTTTCTAGCCTTGTGACCCAAACCTACTTCTCTGCAATTTAGA
Organism: Homo sapiens; assembly: GCF_000001405.40. Classification (NCBI taxonomy): domain Eukaryota; kingdom Metazoa; phylum Chordata; class Mammalia; order Primates; family Hominidae; genus Homo; species Homo sapiens. The sequence goes on along the minus strand of NC_000023.11, from coordinate 23,227,734 downwards.
TTTCTTTTCTACCTGCATGTCTGTTTCAATTGATCATTTCCTTATCAATTAGACCCTCTGCTCCTAAATATCCTCATCTGTAAAAGTGAGGCTGTAACATCCACTTCCCAATGTGGTGAGGATTGGAGGTCAGTGTAAACGAAGGCAATTAATAAGTTCTTAAGTGCCATACAGATATAATGCCTTATAACCAATACAGATGTTATGTTAGGCCCTAGGAAAACTCAGATTTCTCCTAAGGAACTTTGGTCAATGGTGTGAATCCTTGGTGAGGACCGAATTAATGGACAACAATTAAAGATAGTGAAATCTGATTTGTTTTCCATTTCCATAGCACAGATTTCAAGGTCTTCACGGGCAGATGTAGTCTCTAACAAGACTTAATTTTTAGGGCCGGGTGTGATGGCTCACGCCTGTAATCCCAGCACTTTGGGAGGCCGAGGCGGGTGGATCACGAGGTCAGGAGTTCGAGACCAGCCTGACCAACATGGAGAAACCCCATCTCTACCAAAAATACAAAAATTAGCCAGGCGTGGTGGCGGGCGCCTGTAATCCCAGCTACTCAGGAGGCTGAGACAGGAGAATCACTTGAACCAGGGAGGTGGAGGTTGCAGTGAGCTGAGTTCGTGCCCTTGCACTCCAGCCTGGGCTACAGAGCAAGACTCCATCTCAAAAAAAAAAAAAGAAAAAGAAAAGAAAACTTAATTCTTAATTTTTATATTTTCTTAGCTCAAAACCCTAGGGATAGGAAGATTTGAAGATGTTTGATGAAGAATCTGAGTCTGTAACATGAGAGAAGTTTTAAAATGGAGGCTGAACAGTGATTCCATGATCCCTTTGAAATTATTACGCCCTATCAGTTCACTTACTTTCCCATAGTAGCTTTGAAAAGGGGCTACATGGCATGTGTCTGTAAATTAAAGTAAGTTTAAAGTAATTTTGATTGGAGAGATTTGTAGAATTTTTGAGATTTCTTGAGAGCCAAAGTAATCACCAAAACAGGAGTTGAGATACTTTGGAGACTGCAGCAAGACTTGATGCTGGGTTATTTACCGGTGGGATTCTGGGTGTCTGCTAATGAATGATTTGGATGTTCATGCTGTTGCTTTCCAGTCCCTGTTCAAGTGGAGCAAACAGTGCTGGTCCAACTGATGCACACAGATGGTTATGTTCCTCCCTGGAGAGGAGGTTTTCAGCTCCTAGGTGACTGGGAGAAAAATCTCTTCAGTGTTTGACATGGCTTTCTTTACAATTACATTATTATTATTATTATTATTATTATTATTATTTTAAGTTAAAAACATAACTCCTTGTTTATGTAACATGGGATTCATGAGAGGTTTAGGGGATGGATGCATTTCTGTTTTGATGTTGAGGTGACCAAGCATAGCTTGAGAGATTTTGAAAGGTTTCTGCATCCTGTATGTATACAGTATATAAATGTTCAAGGTAGACAATATAGAGCTGCACTGTTCACTACTGTAGCCACTAGGCACATGTGGCTATTTAAATTTAAAACTACTTAAGATAAAAAACTCACTTCCTCAGTCATTATAGCTGTATTTTAAGTGCTCAGTAGCCACACGTGGCCAGTAGCTACTGCTGAGTTGAACAGTGCAGAATCAAAACATGTTTGTCGTTATAGAAAGTTCTATTACATAGTGCTTGTATTAAAAAAAAAAAACATGGGAATATTTTCCTCTGTTAACCAAGATGTGAGTTATCCTAGGAAAAATATTAAGAGGCTTTAGTATTTTATATCCTTAGAGACAAATATAAAATATCCCATTTACCTGCTTCAAAATTAAGAATATGAGTCATAAAACTTAATTGAATAGCTACAACAAATTGTAAATGCAAATACAGTTTCCTATTATAGTGTACAGAGGGAAAGAGATTGGGGACAATAAGAGAGGGACAGAGGTGAGCTCAGGCATCTAGTTACCCATACATATGCACACAGAAACAGATGGGGAAGGAGAGCGATGCATAAACATGGAGGTCCTGAGACAGAAAGGAATAAAGAAAGGCGGAGGCTGAGGGGTGGGGAGAGAAGCAGGAATCAGAGGAAAAGACCAGGAGGATTTCACAAGCTATAGGTGAGAATTTGCTGAAGGTCACAGATCAGAGCTCAGTGTTGCTGAGAGTTAGGATCTTTGTCTTCTGCCCTATGACATATTGATGGGCCCCTGTTCCCAGCATTTGAAATGCTCCGAAGTGGACTCCTTGGAGCAGATACTTTCAACCTGGTCCATAGAGTCCTAGAGTGGCAGCTCTCAGGGAGTGGTTCCCAGACACAGCAGCATCAGCATCATCAGAACCTGTTAGAAGTGCAAGTTCTCAGGCCCAAGTCACCCAGACTAATGGAATCAGAAACTCTGGGGGCCTGTGCTTTAAGAAGCCCTCCAGGGGGGTTTTCATGCACTCTGAAGCATGAAAGCTACTGTTCCAGAGTTACAATGGGAGGGTCTATAAATTTGAAATGCAGTTTTTGTATGTGTGTGTGTGTGTGTGTGTGTGTGTGTGTGTGTGTGTTTTGAGATAGGATTCCTAACTTTCATCAAGTTCTCAAAAAAAAAAAAAAAGGCTAGGCACAGTGACTCACGCCTGTAATCCCAGCACTTTGGGAGGCCAAGGTGGGTGGATCAGGAGTCAGGAGTTCGAGACCAGCCTAGCCAACATGGTGAAACCCCGTCTCTACTAAAAATACAAGAATTAGCTGTGCGTGGTGGTGTGCACCTGTAATCCCAGCTACTGGGGAGGCTGAGGTAGGAGAATGGCTTGAACCCTGGAGGCAGAGGTTGCAGTTAGCCGAGATCGTGCCACTGCACTCCAGCCTGGTTGACAGAGCAAGACTCCATCTCAAAACAAAAACAAAAACAAACAAAAATACCTGACCCTGCCAACTGCCTGCCAATTTAAAAATGTTCTCCTGTATTCTACACTATGATAAGCAGACACCTGGGTTAAAGTAAAAGGTCTTCTTTTGTGTTTTGCATTTTAGCTGCAGTGACCAGCCATCATTACCTGAGAGGCTAGATGAAGAGAACTGGCTCAGGTTGGGGGCTGACCTTCTACTCTTCCATTTTAGGAATTTGACCTGATTTCCATTCTCTGAAAATCATTTTTAGATCCTGGTGATAAAGTGATTATGTCCAGAGTCAAGGTGTACAGGTGCCTGACTTAGGTATTAGAATAGGGCAGACTTTAGGGAAGGAAAAAGCTTCTTTTGCTTTCATATTCTACCTTGAGGAGACATGGAGGCATTTGAAGGATCTAACTGAGAAATCTGGTCTTTCTCATCTGGCATATTACAATACTTTCCTTGGGTGGATGGGAATTTTCTAGGTGTAATTAGTTAACATCTATTAAGTAAGGCCATTTATTAAGCACTGCACCCTGTGGGACCTTAATACACTGTAATTGATGTTGACAGCAGAGGCAGGATCTTCTTCAGTTGGTGCAGTCTCTGAGTAGGCTGTTCTTCTATTGACTCCATGGTGTTCTGAAACTTATGGGAGTTGTTATGCTTGGGGATATAATGCCTAATAGTGATTCCTCAGAGTTTTCAATTTGGAGAGCGATTGGGTACACTCCAGTGGTTCAAGCAGCTGTTGTAATAGTGACTTATCCAGCTTAACATTAATCCCAGCTCTGTAGGACTCCAGATCTTCAAAGGAGTACTTAATCAGTATACATGGTATTAGCACTGGTTAACTAGAAGGACTGGGTTCTCTATGTGTCCAAGTATAGAGATATATTACCAAGCAAAAGAAATGATTCCGTTTTCTTTTTTTCCAACTCATCTAATATTGTAATAGCTAACACACACTGAACCATTTTAGTAGATGGTATTTATTGATTGTTCACTGTGTGCCAAGCATTGTGCTCAGTGTTGTACATTTTCTTATTAAATGTCACACCAATCCCCTCAATTAGGTGCATTGTTATTCTCAGTTTACTGATGAAGATACTGAGTTTAGAGAAGTTCTAGTAACTAACACTGTCACACGGTATATTTATTCATGTAGACCAATAGCTGTAATAAACAACTGCAATATATCTGTGGTTTTAGAATTTCTACCTTGAACACATTCAATCCTGTGTAGGTTAGCAGGGATGGGGAGAATGGGAAATAGAGTTTTGTTCCATGCAGTTATTCAAGGTTGCTTCTCCTTTCCCTCTTGTGCCTTCACCCTCCTCTGAGTCCTCAGATTCCTTTACTCATAGGTAGCGGATGGGGAAAAAACATGAAGAACTACAAATGGCAGATTTTGATGGGCCAGGCCTAGAAATGGCACACATCACTTCCATTCCAGACCTCAGTCACAGGAATGTGGTCCTACAATGGAGGCTGAGGAATGTAGTCCAGAGGTGGTGCTCCGGAACAAGCGGAGAATAAGAAGACTGTTGAGCACCAGCAGCTTGTTAGCAACAGAGCTGGGCCCCATGCTGTTCTCGTGATAGTGAGTGAATTCTCATGAGATCTGGTGGTTTTATAAATGCTAGTTTCTTCTTGCCTGCTGCCATGTAAGTCGTGTCTGCTTCCCCTTTTGACATGATTGTAAGTTTCCTGAGGCCTCCCCAGCCATGGGGAACTGAGTCAATTAAACCTCTTTCCTTTATAAATTACTCAGTCTCAGGAAGTTCTTTATAGCAGTGTGAAAATGGGCTAATACAGGTATAGATCATGTTTTGCCGTTAGGGGGAAAAACCACTCTGTACTCCACAATTAGTAAAAAATAATAAGGCCACCCCATCTAGTTCTCTAGTTCTGATCTTACATTGGATGGCACCTTGCACATTTCCTGTATGCCTGGACTCATCTGGCTAAAGCACCTTTAGCTGTGACTTTGGCAATGCTGATGTCTGAAAAAATGGTACAACCTTTGTGGATTTGATAATCACATTAGAAAGTTGCTGTTTTTCTACCATGAGCAGACTGATGGCAGTCTTACTTTTTTTCCCATTAAACACGCACACATTTTTCAAACCATTCCTTTTGAAGTCTGACTCGCCTGTATTTTGTTGCAAGGAAACTTACTTTCTAAATGCTTTTGTCTTTGAGTGTTTTTTTGACATCACATCAGTTCTCACTTTCAAATTTCTTTATTTTCTTGATAATCTTTTCAAGTATTTAACTTCATACACGTCGTGTTTCTAAAAAATTCAGCACAAAACAAATTATTTTCAAGTTGGATTCATTTTTAATGCAGTGGAGGAGCTCACTGTTTAAAGAAAAACACCTCTTCATATTTTCCTTGGCTGACAAGTGAATAGTTCCTACATAATTTGTGTGTCATTATGAATAGCAGAAATTTAACATTCAAATGCCTTCATATGTCATGCAGGTACCAAATATGCGAAGTGGCTACGTATAAAGCAATAGGGAGTGGTAGGGACTATGGGTAACTGAAAAGTACATGACCGATTTAAAGGCATACAAAATCAAAATTATTAAAATTACTTGTATAGTGAGGAACATATAGGCTGAATTGAACGGATACACTTGAATGTAATGTAGCATGATGTTATTTTCAACTATTTTCTAAAGCCAAAATACATATTTTATAAGACATCTTAATCTATTATAGAATGACCAAATTAATGCTACAAAATTTAGTTATGAGTTTAATATCCTTTTTTTTTTTTTTTTTGAGACAGAGTTTCACTTTTGTTGCCCAGGCTGGAGTGCATTGGCGTGATCTCGGTTCACTGTAACCTCCGCCTCCCGGATTCAAGCAATTCTCCTGCCTCAGCCTCCCGAGTAGCTGGGATTACAGACATGCGCCACCACACCCGGCTAATTTTGTATTTTTAGTAGAGATGGAGTTTCTCCATGTTGGTCAGGCTGGTCTCGAACTCCCGACCTCAGGTGATCCACCCGCCTTGGCCTCCCAAAGTGCTGGGATTACAGCTGTGAGCCACCACGCCTGGCCATGAGTTTAATATCCTTTTTTAACTAATACAGGCATATCCCATTTTATTGTACTCCACTTTATTGCACTTTGAAGATACTACATTTGTTTTTATTTTTTACAAATTGAAGGTTTGTGGCAACCCTCCATCAAACAACTCTGTTGGCACCATTTTTCCAACAGCTTGTGCTCACTTTGTGTGCCTGTGTCATATTTTGGTAATTCTCAGAATATTTCAGATTTTTTCATAATTATTATCTCTTTTAGGGTGATCTGTTATCCATGACCTTTTATGTTACTGTCGTTAATTGTTTTAGGGCACCATGAGCAGTGCCCATATAAGACAGCAAACTTAATCAATAAATGTTGTGTTTGCTCTGACTGATCTACCAACAAGCCATTCTCCTGTCTTTCTTCCTTTCCTCATGTCTCCCTGAGAGACAACAATATTGAAATTGGGCCTATTAATAACCTTACAATGGCCTTTAAATGTTCAAGTGAAAGAAAGAGTCGCACCTCTCTCACTTGAAATAAAAAGTTAGAAATGATTAAGCTTAGTGAAGAAGGCATGTTGAAAGCTGAGACAGGCCAAAAACTAGGCCTCTTGCACCAGTTAGCCAGGTTATAAATGCAAGGAAAAATTATTGAAAGAAATTAACAGACTTACTTCTGTGAACACACACATAATAAAAAAGTGAAACAGCATTACTGCTAATACGAAGAAAGTTTGAGTGCTCTGGATAGAAGATCAAACCAGCCATTACATTCCCTTAAGCTAAAGCCTAATCCAGAGCAAGGTCCCTATGTGTCTTCAATTATGAAGGCTAAGAGAGGTGAGGAAACTGCAGAAGAAAAGTTTGAGGCTAGCAGAGGTTGGTTTCTGAGGTTTAAGGAAAGAGGTCATCCCCATAACATGAAAGTACAAGATGTAGAAGCTGCTGCAGAAGATCTAGCTCATTGATGAAGGTGGCTACACTAAACGACACATTATCAATGTAGACAAAACAGCCTTCTATTAGAAGATGCCATCTAGGACTTTCATAATTAGAGAAGAGAAGTCAATGTCTGGCCTCAAAGGTCCAAAGGACAGCCTGACTGTCTTATTAAGGGCTAATGCAGTTAATGCCTTTTTAGTTGAAGCCAGTGGTCATTGATCATTCTGAGAGTCCTGGGGCCCTTAAGAATTATGCTAAATCTGCTCTTCCTGTGCTCTATACATTGAACAACAAAGCCTGAGTGACAGCACATCTATTTACAACATGGTTTAATGAATATCTTAAGCTCACTGTTGAGACCTACTGCTCAGAAAAAAAAAAGATTCCATTCAAAATATTACTGCTTATTGACAATGTACCAAGTCACCCAAGAGCTCTGATGGAGATATATGAGGAGATTAATGCTGTTTTTGTGCCTGCTAATATAGCATCCTTTCTGCAGCCTACGGATCAAAGAGTCATTTTGACTTTCAAGCCTTATTATTTAAGAGATACATCTTGCAGGGCTATGGCTGCCATAGATAATTATTCTTCCAATGGATTTGGGCAAAGTAAATTGAAAACCTTCTGGAAAGGATTCACCATTCTAGATGTTCTTAAGAACATTTGTGACACACGGGAGGAGGTAAAAATATCAATACTAACAGGAGTTTGGAAGAAGTTGATTCCAGCCCTCATGGATGACTTTGAGGGGTTCAAGACTTCAGTGGAGGAAGTCACTGCAGATGTGATGGAAATAGCAAGAGAACTGGAATTAGACCTGGAGCCTGAAGATGTGGCTGAATTGCTGCAATCTCATGATCAAACTTGAACTGATGAGGAATTCCTTCTTATGGATGAGGAAAGAAAGTGGTTTCTTGACATGGGTTATACACCTGGTAAAGATGCTGTGAACTTTGTTGAAATGATAACAAAGGATTTGTAAGATTATATAAAGTTAGTTGGTAAGGCATCAGCAGAATTTGAGAGGATTGAGTACAATTTTGAAAGAAGTTTTACTGTGTGTAAATTGCTGTTCAACAGCATCACGTACTACAGAGAAATCCCTCACGAAGGGAAAGGTCAATCGATGTGGCAAACTTCACTGTTGCCTTATTTCAAGGAATTGCCACAGCCACCTCAACATTCAGCAACCACCATCCTGATCAGTAAGTAGCCATCAACATCGAGACAAGACCCTCCACCAGCAAAGAGTATGAATTGCTGAAGGCTCAGATAATCGTTAGCATTTTTAGCAAAGTATTTTTAAATTCAGGTATGTAGTTTTTTTTTTTTAGACAGAAGGCTATTTCACACGTAATAGACTACAGAATAGTGTAAACAAAACTTTTATATGTACTGGGAAACCGAAAAATCCATGTGACTTGCTTGGTTGTGTTATTCATTTTATCGTGGTGGTCTACAACCAAACCTGCAATATCTCTGAAGTATGCCTGTATGTAGCTTGTGGTGATCATCTGTATTTACTTCTTTAAAATTCTATTAATAGTAACTCCCTTTTCCAACATTTAACTTTTTTGAAGGAAATGCATAAAGCATTTAAAACCTGGGGCCAGGAACAAGACCCATCACATTAATTCTTACTTTTTCTCAGGAACAAATCCATTCTTGTAATACTTCTCTGCAAGTAGGGTAGTCAGTTTCCTGTGGTGGAGCATAGTTGAACCACATGTAATTGTCAATGTTCAAACACTTTTTAAAATTTATAAAACCAGCAATTTGCTGTAGTTCTTGTGGCAAAGACACCAATATTCAAAGAAAACTTTTAAAATATGCATTCCTCTCTCTACCTAGGAGTTACTGGCTTAAAATTCATTAGCCCCAATTTAAGAAAGCTAAATGGGCTGATTTTAGCAAATAGATCCACAAATTGGGGAATAAAGGACGTATTGCAATTCTTACCTTCTACTATGAAATGTTGTTAGTTGCAGGAACATCATGATCATAGTCAACAACCAGGTCACTTAGGCCTGTGTACATGGCAAATGTCATTTTCTCTATCTCAAAGATTGAGGACAGCTAGCCTCACCTGACCTTTAATTGGGAAAGTTTGCAATATACTTTAATGATATTGCCACAGGGTTATGAAAATTTGCCTCCTAAGGGCAAAGCATTCTTTGAGACTTAGTGGGCACATTACTCTCTATTAGGTAAGACCGCTACCATATCCATCAATTCCTAATTAGTGGAGAGATGGAGATAATGGTGCCATATACCGTAATCACAGTGGTGGACCACATACAGTGCAGAGAATGGAAAATGCAGTGAAAAAGATTCGAGGGCTGACGAGCTCTGTTACATTCTTTGAGATTCAGTGGCTAGGAAGAACACAAATATTGCCAATTGGAATAAATTGATGGCCTTAACACTATTCATCATAAAACATTTGGGATTCTGGTCCTGGAGAGCATAGCAACCCCACTTGGGCCACTCCTGGCTGCTGTCACTGAGCTTTGTTGAAAGTAAATAACTTTGCACAGGTAGTGAAACACAGTGTGCTACTCTAGAAAAATTAGAGTAGGATACACATATGCATACACCATGACTTTTGAGTTCTAAGAGGTTAACAATCGAGTCTACTTGAGCTTGTGGAAAAACCAGTAGGGAGACCAAACCAGTAACTCCAGAGTTCTGAATTGAATGTATCCTGGAAGCTCAGATTTTGAGAAACAGCTGTTAGCATGGTACTGGCCACGGGTGTCTATGAGAAGGAATACTAAAGGTGTGCCATAACCTTTTAGTTGTATATTTCTAGTCTGAAGGCAATATTGCCTGTTAGGCAATGCAGGACTTGCCTTCACACAAGGTTGACCAGGCCCCAGTGACTTCCACGGCCAAGAAGAAATGGCACTCACAAGAATTGGCTAAATCAGTCACCACAGAAGTTTCTGTCCTCCAGAAAAGTGCCAGATTGTATGTAAATGGAAGTGCACTGAAGTCTTCCAAATCTCATACCCCTCAAAATAACCTTGGCTGTAGAAGAGGAAGAGCAGGCATAGTTTACTTATGGGGAAGCCAAGTGTCTTCATAGTGCATGCTATTGGAAGGCAGTGGACACTCGCCGCATAATTGATGCCCTCTCACATATGGGAAGACAAGGAAATCAGCTCAGTGGACAGAAATAAGTATTATACATTGGTTCTGTGGAGAAGCTAGTTAAGAGGAAAATCAAACACCATGATATGTAGGTGTTTGGGCTTTCACAGTGGGTTTGATAGAATGGCTAGAACCTGTAAAACTCAGGAATGAAATAGGAGAAACTCCTCTTTGGGCAAGAGCTATGGCAAAGCCATAAACAGCTAACTAGCATGCTGAATTTATAATACAGCAAGTTACTGCACTCCAAACTAAGGCCAACCCTTTGGTTCACAGATGCTCATGTATTCTTTCTTGCCTGACAGGTTATGAACAATCAGGATAAAGAGGATGTGTCACGATGTTGCTTTGGCTTCAGGATCACATGGTTGTAATATTGAAAAATAAATAGGTGCATGATTGGAAGGTGTCCTACAGGTCTACAGTCGTGACCCAATGTAAAGCATCAGTATGACCATCTATTGAATTGAGGGATACGTAAATAATTCCAGGTCTATATGGTTACCAATAGGGTCTAACCACAGTAGGCATCTCGTACAGGTGGAAAAATCTAGCTCATATGCAACTGTAGAAGCTGTGAAGTCCATTATCAACTATGCTTTATTCTCTTTGCATTCCCTCTGTCCAAAAGCAATCTCTGCATTTCTCTGCCCTACTCTGTGCCTCAGAGAGGCTGACCTCTTTGAACGGTACCTCCCAGCCTCTCTTGCTGTCTGGCTTCTACCAAAGACTGCCCCCATAGGAGGTTGGAGGGTGGCAGAAGAAAGTAATTTGGCCTGCCTCACTTGCTTATTTGAAATCTGTGGAGAGTGCGCTTGTAGGCTAGGCCTTATACTTAGTGAAATAGTTCATTTGTTAAGAGACGTGAAGGCAGCATTGCTCTGAATGCGTTTTCCTAATGGCATCCATGACACACTGTGATATTAACACAGTAACACTCTTAAGTGAAATGCATTTAGAAACCCTGTGGCTTTTCCTATCTACAATGGCACATATATTCTATCTCTCAGGGTTTTAATATTTGCCTGGATATAGTTAACAAGTGTCAAGACTGGTGGTGCATGGCTTACAGCTGAGACAATCTTAACATTTATTCATTAATTCAACACAGATTTATGAAGGTCTTTCTATGGGCAAGACAGTGCACTAGGCATGGTGGGAAAGACAGAGATGAGTAAGACAAATACTGCCCTTGCAGAAACAATAATCCATTAATATAAAGGTGGACAATTAGGAATGGGAAGAGGAAACAGTCCACAGACATTATAATACAGTGCTTGTATATGTCCTATGATTAGAATAAAATGATAAAATTCAGAAAGAAAGTTTAAAGGATAATGGGATTTAAAAGGAGAGTGAAATAGCCACATAAGAGGGATCAGGAAGAAAAGATAATTAGGAAGTTGTTGTTTATCTAGGCTTTAGAAGGGATTGGTGTGGGGGAGAGAATGTTCAAGACACCGGGAAATATGTGAAGGGGCAGTTAGTAAAAGAGAGTACATTTAGGAAGGGCAAAGGGAGGCAGTGTGTCTGCTATGGGCAAAAGCGAACTTTAATTAGGTCTTGAAATTCCAATCAAATCCAGAAATGTGTAGAAACATGCAGTTACCTCAACCGCAATAAAATGCTTAGACAATGGCTGGGAGAAAATGGGCCACAATATTAACATAAGTTATTTTTTATGTGGAAGGATTTTGAGTGTATTTTTTATATATTGTTCTTACTTTCTGATTGAACTTCAGCTTGATACAATTAAGTAGAATAGTGCTAATAGGAACATTTAGAGAGGAGTTTAAATTCAACTTTGATAAAGTGTGTGACTTTTACTTTTTTTACTGTTAAAATGAGTGGTATATCATTGTTGACACTGTGTTTTGAAGAAAGAGGAGTTATCTGTATTAGTCTGCTTGGACTGCCATAACAAAGTACCAAAGGCTGAAATTTATTTCCTTATAGTTCTAGAGGTTGGAAGTCTGAGATCAGGTTGCCAGCATGGTTGGGTTCTGGTGAGGGCTCTCTTCCTGGCTTGTAGACAGCCACCTTCTTGCTGTGTTCTTACATGGAAAGAGAGAATGAAAGCTATCTCTCTGCTGTCTCTTCTTAAAAAGGCACTAATCCTCTCATGAGGGTCCCACACTCATAACCTCACCTAAACCTACTTACTTCTCAAGGGCCCCATCTCCAAATACCATCACATTGGGGACATATAACTTTTGGGGGAACAAAATTCAGTCCATAGCATTATCTAAGGTGGCATTGTACTAAGCCCATATTGAGTCGCCTATTGAACTGCCCATGTGAGTTTCTAAAACACTGGATTCTAATGACTTTTGGATGGCATTTTGGATATCTCTTGTGAACCTCCTCTCTCCTCTTAGCCTACCTTTTCTTCAGCCATTGCTGTGGCAACCATTTTTTGGCACATGTCACCTAACAGCATGTGGCCCTGGCTACCTGGAGCTTGCCACTTGGTTGGCTGCATTGCTCAAATATGTACAACTGGGAAGTATGAGGGAAATAATCTCTGGGGTAGACTTTAACAAGTAGGGGATGGGAGCCAGTGAGTAAATGCTCCTCTCTTCTATTTCCCAGGCAGGCTATTCTGAAGTGTGTTCTAGATAGGTCCTCAGTGGATCCCAGTGGGATTAAGACTCAGTTGCCTACTATGGTGACCAGCTTGATAATACACGCTTGTATGGGCTCTTATTCATTTCTTATTTTGCTCTTCTACATCTCCCTTTCCTGCTGCCTGGGAGCACGTCCCCAAATGAACTACTTGTCTCAGATTGCTTTCTGGAGGGCTTCTTAGGGAGATGCCCAGGCTAAGACAAATAGGCTATCATCCCCACCTACCATATTTCAAGCATGACTAATTTACTTTATAACCAAGATTTTTTTTTGACTGTCCACTCTGAAAGAAACTTGTATTTTTTTTTCAGATGATCATTAGCATTTTTGTTTGTCTGTTTGTTTTTTTATTTTACTTTAAGTTCTGGGATACCTGTGCAGAACGTGCAGGTTTGTTACATAGGTATACATGTGCCATGGCATGGTGGTTTGCTGCACCTATCAGCCTGTCATCTAGGTTTTCAGCCCTGCATGCATTAGGTATTTGTCCTCATGCTCTCCCTCCCCTTGCCCCCCATCCCCTGACAGTCCCCAGTGTGTGATGTTCCCCTCCCTACGTCCATGTGTTCTCATTGTTCAACTCCCACTTATGAGTGAGAACATGCGGTGTTTGGTTTTCTGTTCCTGTGTTAGTTTGCTGAAGATGACGGTTTCCAGCTTCATCCATGTCCCTTCAAAGGACATGAAGTCATCCTTTTTTATGGCTGCATAGTATTCCATGGTGTATATGTGCCAAATTTTCTTAATCCAGTCTATCACTGATGGACATTTGGGTTGGTTCCAAGTCTTTGGTATTGTAAATAGTGCTGTAAACATACGTGTGTGTGTGTGTCTTTACAGTAGAATGATTTATAATCCTCTGGGTATATACCCAGTAATGGGATTGCTGGGTCAAGTGGTATTTCTGGTTCTAGATCCTTGAGGAATTGCCACACTGTCTTCCACAATGGTTGAACTAATTTACACTCCCACCAGCAGTGTAAAAGCGTTCGTATTCCTCCACATCCTCTCCAGCATCTGTTGTTTCCTGACTTTTTAATGATCGCCATTCTAACTGGTGTGAGATGGTATCTCATTCTGATTTTGATTTGCATTTCTCTAATGACCAGTGATGATGAGCTTTTTTTCCATATGTTTGTTGGCCGCATAAATGTCTTCTTTTGAGAAGTGTCTGTTCATATCTTTCACCCCCTTTTTGATGGGGTTGTTTGTTTTTTTCTTGTAAATTTGTTTAAGTTCCTTGTAGATTCTGGATATTAGACCTCTGTCAGATGGGTAGATTGCAAAAATTTTCTCCCATTCTGTAGGTTGCCTGTATAACCAAGATTTTTTATTTTGAAATCTACTCTTCTACTAACCCGAGATGGTTTGCTAGGGATATTAGGAATGACAAAGGAAGCCAAAGTCAAAGCAAATGATATGTATTATCAGCACTTGAAAAGAAAATCTTAGTTTAGAGATCAGTGAGTCTCAAGTTTGTCTGCACCTTGGATTCCACTGAGGAGCTTCCAAAATTACTGCTGCTAGTATCCTCAGGAAATTGTGACTTAATTGGTCTGGGGTATGGCCTGAGCACTGAAAATTTACAATGTTCCCTAGGTGATTCTACGTGCAGAGAAGTCTGGGAGCTGATCTAGATTAGGGATTGGCAAACTTTGCCTCGTAGGCCAAATCTGGCCCATTACCTGCCTGTTTTTGTACAGTCTGCAAACAAAGAATGGGTTTTACAATTTTAAATGGTTAAAAAATTATGTAAAGAAGAATACTATTCTGTGGCAGTTCCTGGGGAAAAGGGACACTATGTTGGCTGAATGATATGGTTACCACATTTGATAGTATATGAGAACGTCAGATCAGATATTTAGTGTTAAATAAAGATTAGTAAAAACAAGCTACCCACATGTGCCTGCTCTGCATACATGCTTTTATTTAGGAAAAGCAAAACCATAAATGAATATGGTGAGAAAAATAGCTTTTGCAGAGCTTTTGCAAAGCTAAACAAGATAAAGGAATTTTCCAGCATGGTTCTTTTTAGGTAGTCTTATATGTGCATGTGTAGTTTTAGTTTCATCACAGTCAGTGTGCATAATTCTTCATGACAAAAGCTTTAACATGGATTGCTCTAGCTTTTCCCAGTGGTAGTGGAGGTGGGAAGAGGAGTAGATGGGTAGTCTTTAGAAAGCTAAATCTATGGTAGTTTATACTAATTGTGTGAATGAATTACAAGAACAGGCACACCATGTGTTTGGCCTTGAGCTGTATGAAGTCACCAAGCTGGATGACAATGCCTAACAACAGTGTTATCATAATGAAATAAACTCAAGTCTACTCAATCAGTACTGTGAAGTGAATTACATTATTGTTTAAAAGCCATTGGAAACCACTGCACACTAGTGGACTGGTTCAGAGCCTTCTTTCTTTATGCCATGGCACCTTTCTTGTCTATTTATATCACTGCTTATGAGAAATCTGGAAATAAAGATGTAATCCAGCTACAATCAATGATAATTATCTTTTGTTATTAATCCATGCCTGTAGGGCTAATTGGATGTAATATGTGCTTCTTGTAATATTCAGATGCAAACACTGAAATGGAAAGAAGCTTAAGGATTTGATCACAGAAGCAATGTCAAAGGAAAGAGCCAAAATAGAAGTCTTCCCATTGCACGGCTAAGTGCACAGCACTCCTTCTGTTGGATATTTTATTATTTTAACTCCAAAGTTTTCAGAGTCCTTATGACTCTATACAGCATATTGAATCCAAATTAAGTGATTGGGGCAATAAAATGAGCACATGACAGGACATTTGTCTATGAATAAGTGACTGGCAATGGTTGATATAATAAAATTGGTAGTTTCATGTATGGTGTTTAAAAACCTGGTTAAATGTGGTCTCTAAATTTCATGTACAAATTATTACTGACTTTGATACCACAGCCTGCTTGAGAATGCTGCCTTGAGTTTAGAGAAGGGTTTTTGGCTATATATATAAGCAAGCTTTAAAGTTTAAATTTCCTTTTCTAAAAAGGATGAATGTGTAAAAGTGGTAAAAAAAAAAAAATGAAAAATACTCCATCCCTCTTGAGATATGAAATGGTTGCCCCAGTTTACCTATAACATTCTGAAAGATGGGGAGAAGGGGCTGCAATAAGGAAATAGTCCTCTCCTTGTTAAAACAGACTCCAGGACTCCAAGGTTTAGCTCTGGAAAGTGAATCTCTGGTGTGGGTGCAGTGAGGGAGAAGGGATGGCTAACTCAATGGCCCGATATGTTCACCTGAATTTCACCTTCCTCTTGGGTTCTTTGGCTTGGCTTCCTGTTCTTGTGATCACATTAATGCTAGGTATGTATGATGCTTCCCTCTTAAACTATTTGGCACAAGTAGCAGTTGGTTGGAATTTACTAATAAATTTTTTGCTAGAGAACAGCAGGGACATACTACAAGATCGAAGGAATGTTAGGTGTCTGGCTTACAGAGCTCTTCTGTGGCCACAGCCAACCTTGTTTCATAGGCTTTCAGATCCCATCCTATCCCTTGGCCCCTTGTTTTTCTACCTCCTCACCATGTTCCTTCCTTTGCTGAGGCTGATACAAACTATCAGGGGTGCTGTGGTTCTTAACTCAGATCCTCCCTTGAGAGTTGAGGCCGTCATTCCTCAGCTGGTGGGGCTGTTGCTTGCTGATAGTTCTCATCTTACATCCTCTCCAGGCATTGCCCTTGGCTGAAGGCACTGCCACACCCAAGGTTATGTCCTTTCCCCAGGGGTAGCTTTCACCCATTGTTTAAAGTAGATGTAGAGATAGAAAGGTTTGGTCCCCTTTCCTTGACTCTGGATAATTCAGAAGGGCTACTACAGCTCCAGTGTGCCCCCGCAGGATTGGCCGAGGCCTCTGTTGTGACTACATCATGGCTCAACTTCTCCCTCTGCCCAATCTGGCTTTCTTTACCTCCCCTGACTAGCGGTGTTCCTGAGAGCACTGTCCAATGAGAGTACTGCACAAATCTCTGTCTCAAAGTCTGTTTCTAGGGAAACCTGCCCTAAGACATAGACACACATGTATTTGCTTTAAATTGTGGATAGTACTCACCCTTCAGCTAGGAAGCAGTTCACAATTTCCTTATTTTATAGATTGAGAAACTGAGATGTAGAGAGATTGCTAAGGTCACGGAGCTAGTAAACAGCAGAACCAGGTGTCTCAAACAAATTCCCGTGTTCTTATCTACCCTGACATATTGCTTGCATACTTTTATCAAAAACGTGTGATTTTTTTCAAACATATAGAATATAATTAAGTAGACACACATACCAGCCAGATTTGATGGATGTTATTTTGCCATCCCTGTCTCAAATCTTTTTTTAAGAAATAAAATGTTGCAGGTATAGCGAAAGCCTTCTCCCTAATCCTTTTCCTTCCATTCTTTCCTGATTTTTTAAAAAAGAATCTATGAGTCAAATAATAAATTCATATGTATAAATAAAAATGATACTCTTACTGATGAAGACTTTTTGCTGAGTTGGCTTACTTGCTAGAAGAAGAAAATGTAGCCATATTTTAAACTTAAATAAATATATCTCTCTTAATAAGTTTTGTACATTCAGCATAACTCAAGAATGTTTTGCCAAATACCTCTCCTTATTCTCAAGTTTCACAACTACATTTAATTTGAGGGAAGTCAGTTCCCATATGTTTCTAATTAATAGATGCTTTGCTACTCATCAGAATGTTGTTTTGTGTAGGCAAATGACATCTGAAAAAGCTTTTTCAGCTTTTATCCTTAGGTTGAAGAGGCAGAATTTGTCAGCAAGAAATAAAATTGAACTAAATACTTTATTTGGATGGTGAACATAAATATTACAAAGTTCCAACTCATTCTGAACTTAGGAAAACATGGTCTTGTACTGCTTGCTTATGCATGTATTCTTGCTTTTCTCCTCATTTTTTTTCTTCACCATTTTTTCTTCCTCTATTAAGGATTTGAATGTGGGATACAGCTTAGGGTGTTAGTGGCTTTAGGCTAAGGTAGCCTGATGTTGCCTTTGACTGCAGTAATACAACTAGCACCAAAGACATCAAGAATTCCAGGATGGAATCCCATTCATAGGGAGAAAGGCAGATAGGGTTTGACAGTATCAAGCACAAAATAAATTAGCGTTTGTGTCCACATCCCATATGACCATATCAGAAACTGACAGAGAGTCAAGAGGCTGTACAAACTAGACTGTGCTGGGATAGGATCGGCAGGAATGGTGTCCTGGAATAACATCTGTCCACCACCCCTGAAGTACTGATGCTATCCATCTTACCAAGGGCCTTGACTATTGAGCCAAAGATAGCAATAGGATTCTGGAGAGTCCTGTGGAGGGGGCTGTCACAAATTAGGGAGTAGAAGAAATGCTTTTGTGATGTAGAATTTCAAATCATTACCTGCTGACACATCCCAAGCATCAGTAACACTACCCAAACTAGTCATTAAAGATTTTAATTTTAATGTGTGATTTAACAGCAGCCAGGACATGTGACTCAAGGGACAATATTTGATTGAGGTATCGGTGGGATTGGGGTTTGGTGGTGATGGTGGTACTGGGAACGAATAGCCCTAGATTCAATCCCTTATTTAACAAATACTTACGACATTTACTGTGGGCCAGGCAATTACCAGTCCCTGGTCACATGGAGCTTAAAGTGATGAAACAATTACAAGGCGGTGAGGTGAGGATAGGCTGCTATGGGAGCCCATGCGAACAGGTACTGAATCTAACCTTGGGGATTAAGGGAAGTTTTCCTATAGGAGATACTTTGTAGGTGAGTCTCAAAGGATGAGGGGTGATCTAGGAGAAGGAGATACAAATACAGGTGAGAAAGGGTATTCTAAGGAGATAGCAAAGCAACGGTAAAGTCCTGGAGGTGAGAGAGAACATGGCCTATTTGGAAGATTTCAAGCAGGGCAGTTTCCTTTTGTATTTAGATAGATGAAACTTATTTTTAAACCTAAAATATAAATAAAGTAGCAGAGAACGGATAAGATAAACGCCAGATTTTTTTTTTTAATGTTAAGTTCCAGGGTGCATGCGCAGGATGTGCAGGTTTGTTACATGGTAAACGTGTGCCATGGTGGTTTGCTGCGCAGATCAACCCATCACCTAGGTATTAAGCCCAGCATCCATCAGCTGTTCTTCCTGATGCTCTGCCCCTGAAATGCCCCCCAACACGCCCCAGTGTGTGATGTTCCCCTCCCTGTGTCCACTATTTTCATTGTTCAGCTTCCACTTATAAGTGAGAACATGTGCTGTTTGGTTTTCAGTTCCTGTGTTAGTTTGCTGAGGATAATGGCTTCCAGCTCCATCCATGTCCCTGCAAAGGACATGATCTCATACCTTTGAATGGCTGCATGGTATTCCATGGTGTATATGTACCACATTTTATTTATCCAGTCTATCATTGATGGGCATTTAGGTTGATTCCATGCCTTTGCTAGTATGAGTAGTGCTGCAATGAACATACACGTGTATGTATCCATATAATAGAATGATTTATATCCCTATGGGTATATGCCCAGTCATAAGATTGCTGGGTAAAATGGTATTTCTGCTTCTGGGTCTTTGAGGAATTGCCACACTGTCTTCCACAATGGTTTCACTAATTTGCACTCCCACCAACCATCAACCATGTGAAAACATTCCTATCTCTCTGCAGCCTCACCAGCATCTGTTGTTTCTTGACTTTTTAATAATCACCATTATGACCGGTATGAGATAATCCAGGAGTTTTGAGCAGAAAATTTAATTTAGATGTATCAGTAATTTATAAAGCCACAAACAAAATTCCTTGCTACAATTATGCATACACTATGAAAGCCCCTCCATAATAATAACAAGCGTACCCCACAGAACACCTCCTGGTTATTACAGGCTGAGCATCCCTTATTTGAAATGCTTGGGATCGGAAGTGTTTCAGATTTTGAATTTTTTTCAGATTTTGAAATATTTGCATTACTCTTACCAGTTGAGCATCCAAAAATATAAAATTTGAACTGCTCCAATGAGAACCTGTATTTTCCTGGTGGAACACTTCCTGCTTTTTAATACCTGACTTCACAGAACACATGTATTTCTCAAGCCAATATTTTTTCCGCCCATATGCTCTATGCTAAGATTTCTATCTCATCCCCCAAACCCTAGACAGTATTACTTAAAAAAAGTACATGGAGGAAAAATCTTGATATGCATTCCAAATTCATCTGGCATGGTGATGAGCCTTGGGTGCACATTGGATTTATTTATTTTTGAGACAGAGACTTGCTCTCCTGCCCAGGCTGGAGTGCAGTGGCACCATCACAGCTCACTGCAACCTCGAACTCCTGGGCTCAAGCAGTTCTTCCATCTTAGCCTCCTGAGTAGCTAGGACTACAGGCATGTGCGCCACCACACGCAGCTAATTTTTTTTAAATTTTTTATAGACACAGGGTCTCACTGTGTTGCTCAGGCTGGTCTTGAACTCCTGGCCTCAAGGGATCCTCTTACTTTGGCCTCCCAAGGTGCTGGGATTACAGGCATAAGCCATACTGTGCCTGACTTGGAATCATTTAATAGTGATGTCTGGGATCCCATGCAGAAATTCTGAGCCAATTGGTCTGGGGTTTGGCCTGAGTATAGGGATTGTTAAGAGTTGACCAGGTGACCCTAACATGCAGCCAATGTTGAGTAGCAGAATATTGGTAGAATGTCAGACACACGTTTAGAAGTTTGGTTACATGCACCAGAGTGTCAAGAAAAGAGATATGCTTGCTTTATGTTACCTGTGCTAAGAGGGATGTCAGTGTTAATGCAAACAAAGAAGCTCTGTTTTAACAAGTCTATGAATGGATGATCATAAAGCAAGGATCTGAACATTGTGCATCCTGTGATATCTCTCTGTGTGTATGTATTTTACTGTGTTTTAAGTATGTTTTAAGAAATTGGTTGGAGGATTTCAGTTGTTACATATTTTCCCATTGGAAATAGTAAGAGAGCCCTAGATGTATAGTAGGAAACTCAGGAATGGATTTCTGATGTTAAGCAGTAGATGCCTATATTCATTTAAGGTCAGAAGTATTCCATTTTATTTTGGGGCCTGTTCTATCATGTCGGTGGAGGTAGTTGAGGTGTATAGGCTGCGCTTGAACTCCAGAGAAGTGGTGGAACTTGAGGTGGGTGCAGGTGCTCAGTGGAGAGCAAGGTTGCATACTTTGTTCAGCCTATGCTGCGAACTTGTCAAGTGTTGGTTGCAGCAGGCCTCGCCCCCTTGTGAAATGAGGAAAGTGACTTAGAGCAGCTCTGGTTTTCAAAGTTCAAAGGATCCCTTGGGTCCATCTGGTGTGGGGTGTCGGGATGAGTATGGTTCTGTCTGCTCCCTCCCTTCCTCTTATTTGTAAGGTGATCCTAAGACACACTGTGAGGAAATGAAGTGAGATTGGGAAGGGAGAAAGCCAGTAAAAAGTACATTAACCAGCAAGTTACTGCTATGGGAAACGTGGGATGCATTGTTCTGGGAAGCCTTTGAGAAACTCTATGAACCATACCTGAGAATTGTCCTGTTGAGGGGTGAGGAAGCTAGGGTATTTGTCCTCCATCCCCCACCCCACAATGATTGAGGGTGGCTTCTGGAGCATGGGTCACGCAGCACTCTAAGCCTGCCCCGGGCACGGGCCAAGCATGCTGCTGAGGCTGGAATATGTTGCCCATCAGAGAGTTGCAGGAAGCCACTGCATGTCAGAGAACTGTTTGAGGGACCTCCAGGGAGCCTGTAAGGATATGGGTGGGTATCATCAACATTTGCTTTGTTCTACTTCTTACTTCACCAGAAAGGTCTTCTTTACTTCATTTATAATTTGGTCTCCTATGTACATTTCTTTATAAGCAAGTGTCCCAGGGCTCGAAAGTTTTTTGAAAAACTACTCCTTCCCGAGGAGTTTTGAATTTGGCAAACTCTGACCGGTTCAATTTGTTTTCTTAGGCCACCATTAGATGGAAACATACCTATTCTTTTCTGAAAGAAATTACTGCAGTCTGCTTGATTTTAGTACGTTTGAAAATAGTAACAATAATCATGGTTAATTTCCAAGTGTTACATGCTTAGTATAAAACCCAGATTTTTTTCTGTCCCAGATTTTAAGTCAATAAATATAGTTACTGAGACTACGAGTTCAGGATTTGAGTCGTTTATTATACTAGATGATCATGGCATGACTGATTATGGTCGAATTATTGAATCAATGAATTATAAAACAGTACGTGGAAGTGATTAACTGAGATGCACTATTAGGTTTTGTTTGATTTTCATGAAGCATGAGGATAAACAGCTAGAAATCTGGTTCAGCAAAGTTGCCAAAAGTTTATGTTTATAGATAAAGTTGGGAAGATTCATGGAATGTAAATTGCCCAAGTGTTTTTCCAATTCCTTTTATCCCCTGCCCTTTTTTTCCTTACCTCATGAAAAATTTAGCAAAGGTTTTGCAATTGACAGTAAATAATGGGCTTCAGTCAGATCATGATCTTCACTGAGAAAAAAAAGACTAAGAAAGAAATGCAGTGAAATTTTAATAGCTGCATTTCTCAGCTTTTCCATCTAATGCTTTCTAATTCACTTTGCAGCATCTTGTTGGGACCTGACTTCTAGAATCTGAAACAGAATAGCAAAGGTGGATAATGTTTGAGATGACCAGCTCTGGTCAGAAAATCTAGCACAAGTGTACTACCAATTTCACATGAATGGCCATCATCATGTGGCTCAAAACCAGAACATACACCTCAAGAGGGCCTACAAATGTGCAATATATTCATTTCATGCCCAAATTGCCAAATTGCTTTCTTTTTTCTGCCATTGTTCTCCAACATAAAGACTAAAAATAATAAGATAAAAGAGTCAAATTAGAAGATTGAATTTTTTTTCTGATACAAGGGAAAGTATTTCATTACTATTGGCCAAATTTTTTATAACTGTTTTTGAAAAATATGATGCATAAAGATATTGAATCAAATACTTGTAGACAGAGATGTTCTGAAAACGATAAATTAGGATTGTTTAGGTAATTTTCTTTTTGCCAGTGGTTTATATGAATCATTAACCAGATGGTTGCAAAGCTTTCAGTTTTGTTAAATAAAAAAAAAGGAGATGATTAGATTAACAGATTCACTGCCTCTTAATCTGAGTTGTCTTTAAGGAGAAAGTAACTGTAATATTAATCCTGTATCTAGAACTATGTGATTGGTGTATTTATTAATATTTAGGAGATTAATCAAGTTTTATTTAAAGCATCATTATCATTATTTGCTTTGAAATCTGTGCTTCCTTTTATAGATTAGGGAGTGAAGGTGATTCTTACCGAGATCCTGCTGGCCTTTCCTTGCAGGTTAGCCTTAGTGTCCATGTATTTATTTAGCGATGAAATTATCATGGTCCTGGAATGCCAACACAAGAACAAATTGAGGGAAAATATTTCTCTGGCTTCCCTTGATTAGGATTTCTCTCATGGATCCCTTATACAAGCACTTTCTGTTGGGGCAGTTTAAATGTGAAAGGCAGTCTTTTTTTTTTTTTTCTCTTTCTTATTATTTTCTTTTTCTTTTCTTTTCTTTTATTATTATTATACTTTAAGTTTTAGGGTACATGTGCACAGTGTGCAGGTTTGTTACATATGTATACATGTGCCACGTTGGTGTACTGCACCCATTAACTCGTCATTTAGCATTAGGTATATCTCCTAAAGCTATCCCTCCCCCCTCCCCCCACTACACAACAGTCCCCGGAGTGTGATGTTCCCCTTCCTGTGTCCATGTGTTCTCATTGTTCAATTCCCACCTATGAGTGAGAACATGCGGTGTTTGGTTTTTTGTCCTTGCGATAGTTTGCTGAGAATGATGATTTCCAGTTTCATCCATGTCCCTAACAAAGGACATGAACTCATCATTTTTTATGGCTGCATAGTATTCCATGGTGTATATGTGCCACATTTTCTTAATCCAGTCTATCATTGTTGGACATTTGGGTTGGTTCCAAGTCTTTGTTATTGTGAGTAGTGCCACAATAAACATACGTGTGCATGTGTCTTTATAGCAGCATGATTTATAGTCCTTTGGGTATATACCCAGTAATGGGTTGGCTGGGTCAAATGGTATTTCTAGTTCTAGATCCCTGAGGAATCGCCACACTGACTTCCACAATGATTGAACTAGTTTACACTCCCACCACCAGTGTAAAAGTGTTCCTATTTCTCCACATCCTCTCCAGCACCTGTTGTTTCCTGACTTTTTAATGATCGCCATTCTAACTGGTGTGAGATGGTATCTCATTGTGGTTTTGATTTGCATTTCTCTGATGGCCAGTGATGATGAGCATTTTTTCATGTGTCTGTTGGCTGCATAAATGTCTTCTTTTGAGAAGTGTCTGTTCATGTCCTTCGCCCACTTTTTGATGGGGTTATTTGTTTTTTTCTTGTAAATTTGTTTGAGTTCATTGTAGATTCTGGATATTAGCCCTTTGTCAGATGAGTAGGTTGCGAAAATTTTCTCCCATTCTGTAGGTTGCCTGTTCACTCTGATGGTAGTTTCTTTTGCTGTGCAGAAGCTCTTTAGTTTAATTAGATCCCATTTGTCAATTCTGGCTTTTGTTGCATTGCTTTTGGTGTTTTAGACATGAAGTGCTTGCCCATGCCTATGTCCTGAATGGTATTGCCTAGGTTTTCTTCTAGGGTTTTTATGGTTTTGGGTGAAAGGCAGTCTTAAAAAGAATTGCTGAAAGAAAACAAGGATAAAAGAATAACGTGATGAAACCGAATACTGAAGATATCTGCAAATCTACTGCTCATGTAGTAGTAAAGATGGTTTGTTTTGTTTTGAATTGTGATTGTTTTAAATGGCCAGCTGGGGTCTTTTGCAAG
This sequence comes from Homo sapiens, assembly GCF_000001405.40. Lineage (NCBI taxonomy): Eukaryota > Metazoa > Chordata > Mammalia > Primates > Hominidae > Homo > Homo sapiens. The sequence continues at coordinate 23,203,180 of NC_000023.11, read as the reverse complement.
TGCATTTGCAGGGCTGGAGTTCCAGGTGAGAGGTCCTGGGGGATGAGGTGACACTGAATGTTACTAGTCTGAGAGCCATCCGCAGAGTGGTTTAGGGGACTGAACTTGGATTATGTTGAGGCAGGTCCACCTGAGTTCTCTGCCACGTGGTTACTGCAGACTTAGGGAGTTAACCTCTTGACCAGGTTTCACCAGAAGAATTTGCCTTCCACTGCCACTTTTTTGTTTTTTTCAGCACTCAGTGGAGCTGGTCAGTATTTATCAGACCTTTGATATCTATATAGCTATGCTAGTGGGGAACAGAGCACTGGATACAACCAGGATGTTTTCATAATCACAAAGCCCTGCCTCTATCTGTCCCTCCTGGATGGAAAATAGCTGTGGGATGAATGCAGTGGCTGAAAACTAAGTGTTGTGGCCTTGATGGCTGCTGACAGATAGCATTGCCCAGTAAAATATAAGATTCCCAGTTAAATGTAAATTTCAGACAAATAACAAAGATTTGTTTCACGTTTTCATGAGACATGCCTATGCTGAGAAAGTATTTGTTGTTCATCTGAAATTCAAATTTAACCGGGCATCTTGTCTTTTTATTTGCTAAATCTGGCAACCACATGCTGAGATCTCTACCGGAGCTTGTGGTCAGTAAAGAGAATCACTGTGAGCCTGAAGTGGCCAACAGCTGCCTGAGGTCCAGAGCTCAACAGAGCTCTACTTAAGCAGATGGAGCAACGAGAATGATAGATACCACCACAGTGGATGACTTTTCTGTGCCTACTTCTCCTTTCCTGGCTTTACTTAAGCCTCAGTGGAACCAAAACTTGACCATTAGGGTGGGGATTTAGAACCACATTTAATTTTATCTAGAAAAATAAGGGAATGTGACATTCTTGCACATATGTTTTATGGAACAAATTCTTACTGACTCAACTTTTTAATGGATAAAATAGGAAAAATAAATATTACCTACTTTATAGCTCTGTTGCAAGAATTAAATGAGATAATGTAGTTGAAACCCATTAATTAGCAAATTACCTGTCCCTTAATACTCATTAAGGATTCACATATGTCTATCATCATCATCATCAGCAGCAGCAGCAGCAGCATCATCATCACTAGAATGAGGGACAGCTAAAGAGAAATTTCAGAATATCCTTAGAGCTATCCCTAGAATAGCTACCTAAAAATACAATAGCTGAGCAGTTTCCTTCCATACCTTAGGTATTTTGTGACTCTCAATTCTTGGCCCTTTTAAGCTCTCCAAGGAATAATGCAACTTTGGCTCCACTATTAGACAAATGTAAGCCCCTAAAGTATTTGAAGTATGGCTGTATCTGCCAAGAATGGAACAGGAAAAAAAGTTTCTGTATAAGATTTTTCTAAATCGTATTATCCTAAAACTCTGAAACAAAATCTTCCCTGCTGCCTATGGGAGGAGAAGTCAGATGAAAACCACTGAGAGTTGAGTTATCATTAAAATAATCAACCAAAGAGAGCTTGCTTTAAGATAGTGCCTCAAAAGTTGATTCGGAATAGAATTTCAAATATAATATTGAGTGATAATCACATATAAATCTTAAGGAAATGAAAATATACCCTCAATATTGATTTAATTTCCTACCGAATTCTTCTGTCTCTCAATTGCTGAAAATCTTTTGCTTGATAAGATAAACAGGCAGTAAGTGTAAAGTTTTTTTTAACCTTTTCATTTTAAAATACTTCTACATTTACAGAAGAGCTGCAAAGAGACCGGGCTCCCATATATCATTCACTCAGCTTGTGAAATTGTTTTTACCCTTAAGTTATTACTGTTTCTAGAATTATCCTGGGTGCCAGTCACAGTAAATTAGGCACACCAATGCCAAGGAGACTTTTTTAGAATGAAACTTTCAAGAATGCCAACAGACATTTCCTACAAGCAGTGGGATTTCAACCTTTTCATCTTTTTTCTGTATAACAAACCGAGGTAAGAGCTGAAAGAAAAAGCAACTGTGTGTACTGTTGAACCACGTGAAAATCCAAGTCGTCCCCTTTGCCAATGATGAACAAGGGAAAACAGTCAGTGTGTTGACAATCTAGGATGAACCATTAAGCATTGAAAATCTGAGTCTCTGCTTAATACACCTAAATAAATTTAATGAGAAGTGACTTTTTTTAAACAGAGCAGATTGGTAATTATCAACTGACAAGTTTTCAAAACAACTGATAACATCTGTTGGACTGCCTTTTAATTTTTACCCCATCCTGTGGGTAACCATAGAGTTTTGATCATAATCACCAACAATATTTCTCTAGCTTCAGTCCCTGCCCCCTGCAAATGGGAATCTACCTCTCAGAATCAGCCCACATAATTCTGGAAGAGTACAGGATGTGTCTCTTGTGTGTTCCAAGTGCACACAAAAGTGCAAACCCATTGAATACTTTTCTATTCCGTCGTCTGCCATTTTCTTCTTCTTCTCTTGCGTACACTGTTGCTGAAAACATCACGAGTTATTGCTGATGAGTCTTACTGAAGGCTCTGTAGATTCTGGTGCCCACAAGGTGGTCACCCTCTCCTAATTGTGGCTGGTGTCTTCCCCAAGAGTGCCTATGATAGTTGTGAAGGTGCTGTTATCTGTATTAAGGGCGTTAGCCTCTTTTGCTGCTGAGACTAATGTCATCAAAGCAGCTGACGGCCTGCCCTGCAGTTCCTTTAGTATTCCGTCTTTGGATAAATCAAATTTACTCCAGCATGGGGTGTGAGTACAGGGGAGCAGGGCCATGGACGATAATGTGAGTCAAAAACAGTACTCATGTCCCTCTACCTATTGTTTTGAACTCCTTAGTTCCACTTAAAACATACCCCTGGTTGTTTTTCCTTCTAAATTTTTCCTGTGTGTCCAAACTCAAGTTGAAACTTGGCTACAGTTCCAAAGAGGTAATTTAGTTGTCTAATCATTTCTTGTGGTTTCTCTGGAAAAAAAAAAAAAAAAAAAAATTCCCTGGAGAGTGACAGTCTCAAGCTCAAATGCCTATAAGGACCACTTACCTAACTTAATGGAATGCAATGGATCGGGTGGAACCAGCAGCAAATTGCAGAGAACACATCGTGTCTAACGGGTTCAGTAATTGTTTTTCAGCTCCCACTGATGGTTGCCAAGCATGATTGTTGGGGCAGTGTTGCCAGATTTTCTGATTTTTCAGAAGGAGCTAGAAATCTAGACATTTATATTAAATCTTCTGATTTTCAAATGTCATGAACTAATTTAACATTTTTATTGAGCACTGTGCAAATCAAACAAAACATTGGTTTGCTGCACTGGGCCCACAGGCCTCCTGTTTGCTTGCTTTAGTGCCCTAAACATTTCATGTCAGCAAGAGAAAAGAGACCCAAGAATTAGATCATGTTTAGATAAATGCTTAGGTCATCAGCACCATTAAATCCTTAAGCTCATCTGAATCAAAGGGAATTACAAAGACAAACCGTAGTATTGGTTTTAATGAGCTTATGACCTTTATTAGAAAACAGTAATAACAATTTTAAAGAATCTTAAGTGTCAGACGCTTTATTTTTTATTCTTTGTTTTTCCACATTTGATTTTTTTTTTTTTTTTTTTTTTTGAGACGGAGTCTTGCTCTGTCGCCCAGGCTGGAGTGCAGTGGCACGATCTCGGCTCACTACAAGCTCCGCCTCCCGGGTTCACGCCATTCTCCTGACTCAGCCTCCCAAGTAGCTGGGACTACAGGTGCCCGCCACCATGCCTGGCTAATTTTTTTGTGTTTTTAGTAGAGACGAGGTTTCACCGTGTTAGCCAGGATGGTCTCGATCTGCTGACCTCTTGATCCGCCCGCCACGGCCTCCCAAAGTGCTGGGATTACAGGCGTGAGCCACTGTGCCCGGCCTCAATTTTTATTACAAAAGTGATAACGGTTGCTATAAGAATCTAAATATTATACAATTGTAATAAGTGAAATATTTCTTGCTTGCTTTTTTTTAAACTCACTTATCACATTCTTCCTTATCTAACTACCACTAAGCCCAGTTGTACTCTCCAGATGTAACAAAGGTTAACAATTTAGAATCTACCTCTTTCTCTGTTTCTTTCTCTATCTATACACACACACACACACACACACACACACACACACACACTACTTGGCAGTGTTAAACAGACAGAACCTGTCAAATCCTGATTCTGCCATTTATTGCAAAGTTATTATTATTTTTTTTTTCACTGTGGTTCACGCCTGTAATCTCAATACTTTGGGAGGCTGAGGCAGGAGGATCACTTGAAGCCAGGAGTTCGAGACCGGTCTGGGCGACATAGCAATACCCCATTTCTACAAAAAAATTTTAAAACCTGGCCAGATGTGGTGGTGCAGACCTGTCGTCCAAGCTACTTGGAGGACTGAGGCAGGAGGATCATTGCTTGAGCCCAAGCATTCAAGGCTGCATTGAGCTATACAATTGTCACTGTATTCCAGCCTGGGAAACACAGTGAGACCCTTGATCTGTATAGATGAATTATAACCCACACGTCTTTTTCTGCATTTGTGACTTCATTCACTTACTGATTTCCAGAAATTTCTGTTAATTCTCCACATTTTTGTTTTTTCTTAAGAGCTTTCCATTCCTGTAACCGCTTCTTTCTATGTTTCAATAGCTTGCATATCTTCATCGAATTCATCTTCAGCTTCCTTTAGCTGTGCAAGAGTCATCTTTTCAAATGGTTTCACCATTGCTTCTTTCTGTAAACATAAAACCATTTCTTCAATTTCATCTTTTGACTCTTCTTTAGGAGGAAGAATGCCGAAATCTCTTAAAATGTCATTCCATTCTGTATCTTCATTGGGATCCTGCATGATGCACTGCTCTGCCCCTCACCTGCAAAGTGATTTTGAAGTGTCAGACACTTTAAATACAGAATTGTTAGTTCTTACAACGATCCCACCAATTTTATATTTTTATCTCCAATTTATAGAGAAGGATACTAAAACTCAGATAATTATGAGAATTTAAATAACTTGCCCGATTTTTAACTACACACATCTAAGAAGTTGCAGAGCTGGAATTAGAACCAGAGACCATTCACTTTCTATTCTGTCATATTGCCCATAACGCTAGAACTCAATCTAGTGCATGGTGAGGACAGGTTACATAGTAACTCCCTTGTAGGGAGGAACCTCTCTTTTCAGTGATAACAAGTTAGAAGAATTTAATATTAACTTGTAGCATGGAGATGTATGTGTGTCAAAAGAACTCTCCAAACGACAAACACCATGAGAATAATTCTTCATTCCTATGGAGGCCTTCATCTTCTTGGATCTTTCTCTTCCCCTACCACTCCTCGTCTTTCATCTCTTCCATTAGTCTGTAAGTTTTTTGGTACTGAGGATCATATTCTATTAATCATTTAATTAATTTACAGGGAATCCTAGTATCATTTACTCATGCCAACATGTCACTCTTTCATTCTTCCTGGAAGAATTTAAACGTGACTTTGATATTTGGTCACAGTAGAATCTAAAGGGATCAAAGGGCTGTTGAGACACTTAAAGACTTTACTGTACATTTTATTTTACCATTAAGGTTACCAAGTAGAAACAATACATTTTTATTTCTCTTCAAATTGTGTCAAAGAATCAATATAAATAGGTGGCTCTTTGTTAAAAAGTCTCACTTTAATTGAAATGTTATAGCTTGAACTCTTAAAGTTTGAATTACTTTAAAGTTATTTATGACAAAAATCTAGGTGTTGGGGATTTTGAAGGCACCTTTCTCCCCAAGTGTTGCTTTCAAGTGCACACGACCTTTCGTTTCCTTAGACAAAGGGGGAAAGTATGAATTAGGAACTCACCAAGAGGGCAAGAAAATAAAAAGGTAACCTCCTAGTTGCCTTCCAATGCTGTGTTCCTCTGACACACATTTTCTCTTTCTAGATTTTGTGTTCATGCCTTTCCCTTTTGAGTTTCATCAATTTTGGTTTTGACAATGTTACTTTCTCACACTGTTTTTTAAAATAGTCCTTGCAGCACTTTATGTGGGCTTACTGTTGAACAAATCATAAAATTTGTAGACCCTTCTGTAACAATGACTTGGGACAGGATACAGATTTTTTTTTTTAACAAAGATTAGAAAGCTCTCTGTGAGGGAGAGATAAAGATGATTAAAAACTGCAGGAGGCCAGCATCTTACAGAATTGTAGACTTTGTTCATTCTTAGACATACCAGAGCACCCTGCACTTTTCATAGTAGACATTACTTCATTTTGCAACTCTCCATGTTACTCAATGTGGGGTCCATGGACCAGCAGCATTGGCATCTCACCTTGAAGCTTGTTAGAAATGCAGTTTCAGGCCTCACCCTAGACCGACTGAATCAGAACCCACATTTTAACAAGATCTCCAGATGGGTTATGTACACATTAAAGCTTGAGAAGCCCTGCTCCTACTACCTTACCAAGATGTCTTTTTCAGTCTTGCATTTCCAACACTGAACATGGAGCCTGGTGGATAGTCGGAACCTTATAAATATTTGACTGTTGAGTTGGTTCTTAGTACTTGAAGATCTAGTCTAAAGCTCCCATTTAGAAAAGTTAGGACGCCCAGGAGATATAGTTAACTAAATGTAGAGCTTGATCTACTCAAGGGGTTCTCAACCTTTGCTGCACATTGGAAACATCTGAGAAGATTTTAAAATTTAATTTTAATTTTTAATTTTTTGGATGCATAGTAGGTGTATATATTTATGGGGTACATGAAATATTTTGATATAGGCATACAATGCATAATCATCACGTCAGGGTAAATGGGGTATCCATCACACCAAGCATTTGTCCTTTCTTTGTTTTATAAATAATCCAATTATACTACTCTAGTTATTTTAAAATGTACAATAAGTTGTTGTTGACTGTTGTCACCCTGTTGTGCCATCAAATAGTATAACTTATTCGTTCTATCTAACTATATGTTTGTACTTATTAAACATCCCCACTTCCTGCCCCCCACCCCTCCCCCCCAACTACCAAATACTGATACAAATTCCTGGCTATCAGTATTGATTTAATTAGTATAGGGTATGACCTGGACATTGAAATTTTGAAATCTCCCCAGGTGATTCTCATGCGCATCCAAGGTTGAGAACTGTTGCCATAGAAATAGTTTCACAGAAAGCTTTTCAAATAATTGAATGACTAAGTCCCAGGACAAGGAACATATTGAAGCCATTAATGCATATAAACTTGAGTCTCAGAGTATCTTGGGCCAGAACATGATGTTACTGGGAGTGAGTTTGTGTGTCCCAACAATTTTGGAGTATTTGGTATTTTTAGTAAGCAAATATGTTCTCTGTATTTTCCTAAACTAATCATGCAGGGGAACAGTAGAAAGATACAGGTTTGGTAAAGAGAGTGATACTTATGAATCTTGGGAGAAACTATTACTTTAAAAGAACGTTAATAACTTTCAACTTATTAGTTGAAAATCAATAAAAGTGTTTTTATATTTCATCCAACTGGGTTGGTTATTTTGTTCTGTTGGAAGAGGTATCGTGACCTGGTTTATCAATTTTAAAGCTATTACTCCTGAATAAAACAGTTCTAAATTTTACCCTTCCTTTTGCTTCTCTCCTCTTTTAGGCAACAAAAATCCATCTGCTCTAGGATAGGAAACTATTCTGCTTATGAATATTTCTCTCCTCTTCCCTCCTTGGCTGATTCTCTTGAAGAGCATAGCCTTTCACTCAGATGGAGGCTTTCAGCAGGGAGAATTACATCATTTCAGATGATGTCAATGTAGCATGTGGCTAATTTGGTTGAACTGACATTATGAGCACATTAGAGATAATGTTTGATAAAGTTGAAGTACATTTCCTTATTGTCCTATTACAATTCTTAGCTCCTCGGGGGATTTTAAGCAAGGTTGAGATATGTACTCAGTGGCTAACGTTCCCACAAAGTATTTCATGCTTCCCAAGCATGTCAAAGCTTATGAGAGTTGGAGATAAAATTGAAGAAGCCACTGAAGAGCGAATATGTGATAACAGTGGGAGATCTGGGTGTCAGAGCTGATTGCATCATTATAGTGTAGATGTGGAATTTGCTTAGAAATTCACTGTATAGTGATGTCATATCATGACATGCTACTGTGTAGATGATTTCCTCTGTTTTTCTTTGAATACTCTATTAGAGTAAAAGAACAGTGTCTATAACCAAGAGAACAAAATACAGTGTCAGGACATTCATTCCTATTGAGCCTTGCCATTCAGGGGACTTTTATGTCATTGATCTTCCATCCTTTAAGACATGATCCTCATCTGCATAGTTGAAGCTACATCTTTGGAACACCCATATTTTTGCTTGCAGGAAGGAAGAAAGAAAATAAATCAATGGCAAATGATTTCTTTGAAGCAAGTGAGAAGGAATTCATACATATCCCTTATGTTCACATTTCATTGTTGAACACTTATCACATAGCCACATTCATCTACAAGGAAGGCTGGGAAATGTGGACTTTATTGTGGCAATCATGTTTCTGTGTGTGTGTGTGTGTGTGTGTGTGTGTTTGTGTGTGTGTGACAGAGAGAAAGAGAGAGAAGGAGAGAAAGGCAGTGTAGAACATGCCTCCAAGTTATACCTCTGAGATGCAAGGAGCAGGGGTATTTATATGAACTCCTGACACTCATTGATTGGGGGCTGTTCCTGGTGACGAGCTAATTCCTTGACATTTCTAACCTGCCGTCTGCATGGAAAGAGTGGGCTTTGGAGAGCAGAGAAATCCCTCCGGCAAAGAAATATAGATATTGGCAATTGGAAGTTGGCTTTTAGGAACTGATGAGGGTAGGGGGGATATAGATGGGACACCAGCAAAATCTGTTATAGCATTTTCCCCAGGTTGTTGGCATCTCATTGATTTCACAACTTCTACCTCTATCAACTTCCAGCTATTCCTCTACCAATCTTACATATTAAATACTGAAGAAACACATATATTCTGCCCTTAAACAACCTAGAGTCATAAACACCCTTGGTTCTAAAATGAAGGTGACCAATTAATTGTATAACTATAGTTACAATTTATAAAATTTGGATGTGGGTTCACGTGCTTTACATAACTTGCAGGAAGATGGGTGCAAAATAATTCTGGGTGAGTTGCTGTGTGCTGAAAGATGTAATTATGAGTTATTTAGAAGGAATTTTCAAAGGGTTTGATGGTTAAAAACTAACTTAAATTTAATTTTAATATTTTTGTTATTACTTCTTTAAAGAATCTGATTGCCAACTCATTTAGCTTTATCTCATAAAAATGTAGTTGGTAAAGCTAGAGCTAGTTTATTTAGATTTATCTCATAAAAATGTAGTTGGTAAAGCTAAAGCTAGTTTAAGCTTAGAAATATATGTAAACAATTTTTGGTAGGACCAATGGATCCTTCAATTCTTTCTTTCCTTTGTTTTGTTTTGTTTTTGTTTTTTTTTTTGAGACGGAGTCTGGCTCTGTCGCCCGGGGTGGAGTACAGTGGCGCGATCTCGGCTCACTGCAAGCTCCGCCTCCCGGGTTCACGCCATTCTCCTGCCTCAGCCTCCAGAGTAGCTGGGACTACAGGCACCCGCCACCACGCCCGGCTAAGTTTTTGTATTTTTAGTAGAGACGGGGTTTCACCGTGTTAGCCAGGATGGTCTCGATCTCCTGACCTCGTGATCTGCCCGCCTCCGCCTCCCAAAGTGCTGGGATTACAGGCGTGAGCCACCGTGCCCGCGCCCTGCCGGATCCTTAAATTCTTTCTAAGAATCACAGGTAATAGCAATACTTAGTCAATTACATGATATGTATGGGCTAATTTGAAAACAAATGTGTATGTGTATAAGTTTGCAGGACTATTGTTCTCTTTTTAATTGCTCCAGTGTGAATGTAGCCATAAATAGTCATTGCATGGAGGCAGAAGACGGGTTGAAATACCTTTTTCAAGCAGGAAGTTGTTCCTGTTTGAACTCACATGCTAAAATGAGAAAAAAAATTAATCAATTACTGAATTATGAGGTCTACATGAGGGTATTTTTTTCTTTTGTAGAATTGGAGGAAGTGAACGTTCCTCCCATGATTCCTTATCTATAAATAACTAAAATAAGTTAGGTTTATTTATTTTTCTCACTTTATTTCAAATTAAGAGTTCTGCTAATAACCTAGTTAGGGAAAAAAAGCTATTTGAAAAGTGAATTTAATTCTAGTTTCAAATAGATTGACATGCAAACCTAGCTTTTTCATAGATTTCTAAAATATATTCAACAGAACCTTTAAATAGATCTCTTATGATATGAAGGAACTTCACCAGAGTGATGCCAAGCATATTTTAGACTGAGGCAATTTTAATATCTATCCAGTTACAGCATTATTCCACCAGATTTGGAAAGAACCTTGTAGAAGGAGATGCTGGAACCTGGCTCTGAGCCCTTGACCAGTCTTTCAGCAGAGGTCCTGATACCAATATTTTGAGCTCAAAATTTTTACCCCACCATTTTCCCTTTTTGTAGCAGCCCTTCAGGGAAGAAGCAGTTATTCTGAGAAGGTTTGGGAACTGAAGATGACCAATTCCCAAACCTTACAGAAAACTAGTGCTAAGACAGCAGGTTTAGCACTGGTTGTACAAGGTTGAAACACTAGATGCTGAATTTTCCCTCAGTCAGTCTAATTTCTAGGCAAATAATCTGGTCCCTCATGAAATTTGGTAGGTCCTGAATGACTATTTCTGAACCAGAGACAATCAGGATTTGCCTATTGCTTTATACCTTTTAATGGCTGAATATTCCTCTGTGTGTGTGTGTGTGTGTGTGTGTGTGTGTACACACAATGCCTGTTGCTTTCAATTCAGCAGGGCTACAACAAGATTATTGGCAGAGCTCTTAATTTGAACTAAAGTGGGAAAATAAATAAACCTCCTAAGTTCTTTTAGTTATTTATGGATTAAGGAATCATGGTAGGACATAATGGGAAGAATGTTCATTTCCTCCAATTCTACACACTCAATGGGATGTTTTTCAGCCATAAAAATGCGATTATATGTATATATTATAATATATAATGTGATTTTATATATATATATATGTAAATATATATAAAAAACATTTTGTTTATCCATTCATCCATTGATGGACATTTGGGTTGTTTCCACATTTTGGTTACTGTGAATAGGATTGTTATGAACATTTGTGTACAAATATTCGGTTGAATTCCTGTTTTCAGTTCTTTGGTGTATATACCTTGGAGTGGAATTGCTGGGTTGTATGGTAACTCTGTGTTTAACTTTTTGAGGAACCAAGCCTGTTGCTTTCAACTCAGACAGCAGGGCTGTAATAACCTTCGTTAATGATGCTTTGCCCAGTAGCACCATAAAGTGTTCATAAGTATTGATCTCTCTTGGCAGTGAAAATAGTAAATGAAAGAAGTTTGAGTCATACAGTGGAAACATTTTAACATTCACTCTGGTTCTTATATACGTGACATAGCAGTAAGAATGATGAAACAACCCTGATTTTGAGACTTGTTCTAATGTGTACTAAAAATTACATTTGACTGCTAAAAACATAGGCCTGAAATCACAGAGATTTTTTTTTATTCCTGAACACACGGTTCTCAACCTCAGAATTATTGACATTTTGGGTGGGATGATTCTTTGTTGTAGAACACTTTCCTGTGCAATATAGAATGTTTAGCTCCATCCTTGACACTTAAATACTAGGTGCCAGTAAACTTCTCTCTCCCCAAGTTGTGGCAATCAAAGATGTCTCCAGACATTGCAAAATGTCCCCCCTGGGGTCGGGGAGAAAGAAGGGGGGCAATGTAAAAGAAGTCCAAGGCTGTTTTGGTGGCTGCACAATATAACTAATATCTTAGGTTCTGTCTATGTTTTGTGACTGTATCATCCTTAATGTGCAGCTGTTAATCTTGAGGTTACGTCCTGGTGGGAAGAGGGCTGCTGCAGCTCCAGCCATGTTTCAGGCAAGAAAAAGGAGGTGAGTTAGGCTCCTGTAAAGAAACTTACAAAAAGTCTTGCTGAAAGACCTGTGTCTATATCTCATTGGCCACCTTTATGTGCAATGGAAGCTTGGACAAATATTTTATTTCTGGGTCCATTGCCACACCCAACAAAATAATTATTTTGCTACTAAGGAAAGGGGGAAGAATGTATATTGCATAGTCAACTATAAGTCTGAATCACAGAATAGCAGATTTGTTTTTGATTGTTGAGACTATGGGAGAAGATTACGTTCTAATGAGGGGTGGTGCCTTCTTCCCTGAGGGCAATGGATGTTCATAGTGTTTGCTTCTTGGGAAGAGTTTTGTCCTAAGACAGGAAAGGGGGTAGGTTATTGCCCTGGTATAGAAAAGGCCTTAAATTGGCTTAGACTCTGAAACATAAAGAGAACCAGCTGGCCGGGTGTGGTGGCTCACGCCTGTAATCACAGCACTTTAGGAGGCTGAGGAGGGCGGATGACTTGTGGTCAGGAGTTCGAGACCAGCCTGACCAACGTGGTGAAACCCTGTCTCTACTAAAAATACAAAAATTAGCAGGGCGTGGTGGCGTGCACCTGTAATCCCAGCTACTCAGGAGGCTGAGGCAGGAGAATCGCTTGAACCCGGGAGACAGAGGTTGCAGTGAGCCGAGATCGTGCCACTGCACTCCAGCCTGGGCAACAGAGCGAGACTCCGTCTCAAAAAAAAAAAAAAAAACAAAAAAAATCAAAAAGTTAACCAGCATAATTTTGGTGCTGTAAGTCCAGTTCTCTTCTACACAGGGAGACAGATCCAGGTCGGTCAACTCTTTTCCTTCATTTGTCACTGCAGGCAAAGGTAGCAGTGGCAGCAAGAGGCCAGGGATTTAGCCAGGCAGAAATGTTGGAGCCCCTAGCCTCAAGTGGGTGTATCTGAGCTCTAGTCCCATCGGCGGTATGCCCAAACCTGAGGCTAGAATGGGAATTAGTAGCAGTCACCAGCATATGTAGCTGTGTGAGACAGACCACTGTTCTCACAGAAATCAAGATCATTGGTACCCAGGGTAGCCATATGGTGACAGAATGGGAAGGCCAGAGCGGAAGTAAAGGGAGAACTTTTTCTGGAGGACTCTGCTTTCCAGACTACAAAAGATTGCTGGGACACGTAGGGCAAACTCATTAAGAAGTAGGTCTCTGTGGTAAGCAGGGATTATAGCACTTAGAGTATATAAAGAGACATAACTTTATTGTCACTGGTTCATAAGGCTGGTAATTAATGCTAATATTACATTATAATATAATATTACAATATATTATAATATTAATACTAATATTAATTAATGCTAATATTGAATTGTAACCCTTCAAAAGACATGTTTAAGTCCTAAACCACGATACCTGTGAATGTGCTTTTATTAGGAAATAAGGAAATAAAACAATTAGGAAATAAGAGTCTTTGTCCATTGAATCAAATTAAAATGAGGTCATACTTTCATAGGGTAAGCCCTAATCTGACTTGTTTCCTTATAAGAAAACAGAAATGCATATACAGTGCCATAGGGGAGAATGCCACACAAAGATAGAGGCAGAGACTGGAGTGATTGATCTATGTGCCAAGGAATGCTAAGGATTCCTAGCAACCACCAAAAGCTAAGAGAGAGGCATGGAATAGACTCTGCCTCAGAGCCTCTAGAAGGAAGCAACCTTTACAACACCTTGTTTTTGGATTTCTGGCCTCCAGAACTGTAAGAGAGTAAATTTTCTGCTGTTTTATGCCACCCAATTTGTCGTGCTTTGTTACAGCAGCCCTAGGAAACTAATATTGCTGAGACTTATGTCTGACACACATAAAATAAAAACTTGCATTTACTCAGAACCTGTCTAGTTGCTTTTATCTTGTATATATTGTTTAATGTGAATTATTGTGATGGGCAATACAGATCCCATCTCGTTAATTTGCTCCTAAAATACCCTAAACTATTTCAGTTGTGGTGGCTTCTAACAAATGCTTTTTTGGAAAACGTTTATTGAATAAGCTTCCACCCGGGAATTTTCCATGAGATGATGTACATGAAAGCACTTTATCAGTGGTAAAATGCTGTGTGATTGTTAGCTATGGTTGTGTTGTCAGTGTAGTTTTATAATTGTGCACCTGAAAAATAAGTGGTCAGAGGAATGTCAACAAATGTAATTAGATTTTTAGCCTGTGTGATTCTAGGGGCAAAGCAAATAATAGTGAGAAATGAACATCTAAGAAAGGCCTCTCAAGAAACATTCAGTCCTTACAATTGCATCTTGTTGTAAAATTTATCAGTAAAATAAAATGGTCAGAAAAACATCCGGAACAGGACAATGCCAGGCAGGGCATGCTGGAGCGTTGCTTTTCTGTAATGTTGAAACAGTCAAAGCTTGGCATTCTGTGTGCTTGACAGATCATTTCAGAGCCACCTCAGGCTACCAGCAATGTATGACCTGCCCTTTTCTGTAATGGAGAAGCACCAAGGAGATGTTTCTTCTACCTCTTCCAGATATAGCTTGGTAAGCAAAAGCATGTTAAAGCAAAATACAATCTAAGACCTGAGAGAATGTTCTTCTTGTGTTGTTAAATAAAATTAAAAATAATAAAATAAAATGGAAGAAAATGAAGGATAAGCTCTAAGTTGTAGGCTCAGACATACTTATGCCTTGAGTTATAAGGGCTGTAGTAGCAACAGCTCTAATAATATGGTCTAATGAGTTGGAAAAATGATGGCTTGGTAGTTGCTTTGCTGAACCCTGTGGCTGACAGGCCAGGCAGAGCCTGTGGACTGTTGCGGGAAAATATATAAAATGAGCAGAAAAGTGTCATGATGGAAGAGCTTCTTTAATGACAAAAAGTATTGAGTGATGTTCTATTTTCCATGGTTCAGTTACTTTCCAGCTGCAGACCAAATCTATCTTAACCTTTCAGGAGTCCCTTAAAAAACCAGAAGGAGCCGCTGTTAATTTATTAGCACATTCTCCAAGAGGTAGACCATAAATGTTGCTCCTATTTTACTGATAAGAAAATCAAGGAGCACATATATTTGTTGTAGCAGTATTCACAATAGCAAAGACATAGAATCAACCTAAATGCCCATCAGTAGTAGACTGGATAAAGAAAACGTGGTACCTATACACCATGGAATACTATGCAGCCATGAAAAAGAATGAGGGCATGTACTTTGCAGGAACATGGATGGAGCTGGAGGCCATTATCCTTAGCAAACTAACGTCAGGAATAGAAAACCAAATACCACATGTTCTCACTAAGAAGTAGGAGCTAAATTATGAGAACACACGAACACATAGAGGAGAACAACCGACGCTCAGGCCTACCAGAGGGTCTAGGATGGGAGGAGAAAGAGGATCAGGAAAAACAACTAATGGGTACTAGGCTTAATACTTGGGTGATAAAAATAATCTGTACAACAAACCCCTATGACACAAGTTTACCAACATAACAAATCTGCACATGTACCCCTGAGCTTAACAGTTAAAAAAACCTTTTGAAATAATTTCCATGTATGTGCACTTGGTCTATTCTACGTAATATTCATGTTTATTCATAAAAAAGAAAAGGCATAATTATTAAGAGCAAAGCCATCTCCTTTTTAACACCTAGCCTCTGCTTGATTACTTTTAGGGAGCTCTCCAGCTCACTTGGAAGCATTTATAAACAGCTCTCATTAACCATTAAAGTCTTCTTTCCATTGTTTAGAAATTGCTATCCTATAACCAATGGCTGCCTATTTTCCCTTTCATGTGCTAGTCCTTCAAGTATTTGAAGACTTCCCTCATGCCTATATTAAATATTCTCTTTTCCGTATTAAATGTCCTTGGATGCTTCAACTGTTTTTTTATGTAAAATGGTTTTCTGACCTCTCAACATCCTAGTTCACGCACCCTTGAATGGGCTTTAACTGATCAGAAACTCTCCTTAAAATGTAGTGCCTGAAATAGGGTATGTATCTTCACATTGGGATGAGTCTCTCCTTTATTCTGGATGCTAGATAGTTATCAGTGTAGGTTAATTTTGAGTGTTAACTCTTTTGGAAATTAAGTTGCTCTTGAGTAATATGGAGTTTAAATTACAGTCAACTGAGACCTTTGGGTATTTTGTATATGGATTTCTATGTTAGGTCTACTGAAATTGTATAATTTATGTTTTACTGTAAATTTTCTTCGACAAAATCAGTAGCCTGCTTAAATTGACATCTTTCGATTTTTTTGTCAAAGAATGTTTTCCCTCTCAGCTCTATGTAATCTTAATCATGTTTTCCTTATCTTTATACTAGGTACTGGTGAGAATTAAATATAATGAGACTAAGTAGAGAGTAATGTGGTCCAGATCTAGGATCTTCCCTGTAGGGTGACAACTCATTAATGTGGAATCTTACTATTAAACAAATTTCATTCCATTTAACTATACTATTTGTAGTAAACAATTTTCCATTTTGTTAAAATGAATTCTATTCCAATCCAGGAATTATTTATTGAATAGAACAGAGGTTGGCAGACTACTGCCAAATCTAGCCAACTTTCTGTTTTTGAAAATAAAGTAGTATTGGAACACAGCCATGCTCAGTTGTTTACATATTGCCTATGGCTGCTTTAGTGGGCTACAATGAGAAAGTTGATTAGTATGGCTCACAAAAGCCTAAAATATTTACTATTGGCCGTTTCCAGAAAAAAGTTTGATGACCTCTGGAATAGTAGGACTTCACTCCTGCAATTCCCGTCTTTCCTTTCTTTCGGTATAATCATTTTTCTCATCATTATCAGTAGCATAATAACATGCTATAATATCTTCCGTTTAAAAAAAAGTATAAAACCACATCTGTCTTGATCCCTCTCTTTCCAGATATAACCTCTTCTCATTTTTATATTCCCCTTTACCAAAAACTTGAGTTTTCTCTACTATTATCACTCCTTTCTCTCATTCTCACTTGACTGCACTCCAATACGGCATTCATCCCTAAACACTTTTCTGAAATGACTTTGTTCAAGTTCCTGTGTGACTTTCACATTGCCTGCCTGAGAATGAAACATTCTCAGTTCTCATCTTACTTGACCATTTGACCTATCATCTCCATTCTCATTTTCTCCCCTTGGTCTTCAGGACATGGCTTTCTCTCACTTTCCTCTGTGCTCTTTTCATCTCACTTTTAAACATTGAAGCATCCTAGGGCTCCATGCTTAGATATCTTCTTTTCTCCATCTTCACTCACTCCCTATGTGCTCTTATCATATCTCACAGTTTTAAAGACCATCTCTATATTTGATAACTCTCATGTTTATATCTTTAGCTTGAATCTCTAGACCCAACTCCAGAGCCAACCAGACATCTCCATTTGGGTGACTAACATACACCTTAAACTTAGCAGGTTATAAAACCAAGTTTTCATTTACCCTATACAAAGCAAATCCTCTTGGAGTCATCCTCATTTTAGTAAATGTCGATCCTAAGTGTTCATTGTTCATATCAAGCATATAGGACTCATTCTTAATTTCTCTCTCTCTTGTACTCTATATCCATCCATCAGCAAGCTCATTCGGTTTTAAATTTCAAAATATACACCAAATTAGACTGTTTCTCACCTTCTCTACTGTTGTTGCTTTGCTGGTCTAAGCTACCATTTTCTCAGATTTGAATTATTTCAAAAGTCTCCCAACTAGTTTCTCTGCTTCTACCCTTGATCCATGCCCTACCTTGTCCCAATAATTCTTTTTAAAAATGTCAGTCACATTGATACTGTTAAAATATAAGTCAGATCATGTTTGTTCTCTACTCAGAACCCCCCAGTAGCTTTTCCTCTTAGAATAAATTCTCGAATCCTCCTGTGGCCTATGAATCTCGACATGATCTAGCCCCTTTCCTTTCAGATCTTATCTCCACAGCCACACTGGCCTCCTTGCTGGTTTACAAACACACAAAGCATGTTGTAGCATTTGCCTATGCTGTTCCCTCTACGTTAGATCCTTTCTTCCCAGATATTTACATGGCTTCTAGCCTCACCTCATTCAGATCTCTGCTCAAAACTCACCCTAGCAGGAAGTCTTCTCAAAGCACCCCTCCATAACTCTTGATACCTTTACCCTGCTCCATTTCCATGGCATATATTACCTGACATATCATAAGACAAATATAAACCTAAATGTTTCTACAGTACATATATTAATATCAGACAGAAAAGAGTTTGAAACAAACAAAAGGCCATATCAGAGTGAAGAAGATAATTATATAAAGATAAAATGTCCAGTTCGCCAGGAAGATATAACAAGCCTTAACTTACATGCAATTAACATGGCCTCAGTACAGCAAAAGTAGGTAGAAATACAATGAAAATTTGGCAAGTTGACACATAGAACCTTCTTAGCAATTGATAGATCACGCAGACAAAATCGGATAACCTTGGAGATTTTAATGTTATAATCAACAGTATTGATCTAAGAGACACATCTAAAATCTTGTACTCAATTGCAGAGTATAGTTCTGCAGAAAACAATTTAAACAAAATATGTCCACCTATTAATCCATAAAGCAAGCCTGACCATAATACCATTAAGGATGAATAAAAACAAATTTAAAAGCTTCCTTATATTTCACATTTTAAATACTCTGCTAAGTAATTTGTGGGTCAAAAAAGAATTACAAATAAAATTTAAGAACACTTAGAAATGAACTATAATGAATACATCAAAACATATGGGATGCAACTAAATATATATTTCAGAGGAAATTTATTGCTTTAATGCTTATATTAGAAAAAGAAGAAAGGCTGAGAATCAATGAGCTAATCATGTATCTTAAGAGTAGAAAATTTTAAAAATACAAGAGAATAATCTTAGAGAAAGTAGAATGAAGAGAACAATACATGTATAATTGTATAATTAATTTTTTAATTGACAAGTAAAAATTTTATGTAACTATGGTGTACAACATGATGTTTGATATATGTATACATTGTGACATGGATAAATCAAGATAATTAACATATGCATTATATAATGTACTTATTCTTTGTGGTGAGAGCACTTAAAATCTACTCTCAGCAATTTTCAGGTATACAATATACTGTTATTAGTTATAGTTACCATGCAAGTATGTAATAGATTGTTATTGGTTGTAGTCTTTTACAATAGATCTCTTGAACTTACTCCTCCTGGCTAACTGGAATGTTCTGCTCTTTGATCAATATCTCCCAGTCCTCACTTCTGATTACCCCCAGCCTCTGGTAGTCAACATTTTACTCTGGGTTTCTATGAATTTTGCTTTGTAAGATCCCACTTATAAGTAAGATAATGCCATATTTGTCCTTCTGTGCTTCGCTTATTTTACTTAACCTAAGGCCATGCAGGTTCATCCACATTGTCTCAGATGAGAAGATTATCTTCTTTTTAAATTCTGCATGGTATTTCATTGTACATTTATGTACAATGTAAATATGTACATATGTATGTAAATACCGTTGTACATGGTATTTCTTTATACATTTATCTGTTGATGGACACTTAGGTGGATTCCATATTTTGGCAACTGTGCATAATGCTGCAATGAACATGGAGTGTGCAGATATCTCTTTGGCATACTGATTTTATATCTTTATGTATATACCCAGTAGTAGTATTGCTATATCATAAGGTAGTTCTATTTTTCATTTTTAAAGGAAACTTCATGCTGTTTTTCATAATGTCTGTACCAATTTACATTTCCACAAATAGTGTACAAGGCTTCCCTTTTCTCCACAACTTTGCCAACGTTTATCTTTCATCTTTTTGATAACAGCCATTCTAACAGGTGTGAGGTGATATCTCATTGTGGTTTTAATTTGCGTTTCCTAGATGATTAGTGATGTTGAGCATTTTTTCATATCCCTGTTGACTATTTGTATGTCTTCTTTTGAGAAATGTCTATTCAAGTCATTTACCCATTTTAAAATCAGGTTATTGGTTTTCTTACTATTGAGCTGAGTTCCTTATGTATTTTGGATATTAACCCTTTATCAGAAAATCAGAACAGCATGGTACTGGCGTAAAAACAGACACGTAGACCAATGGAACAGGATAGAGAGCCCTGAAATAAACCCACACATTTATAGATAATTAATTTTGGAAAAGATACCAAGAACACACAAAGAGGGATGAACAGTCTCTTTAATTAGTGGTTCTGGGAAAACTGGATATCCCATGTACAAGAATAAAATTAGACCCTCATCTCACACTACATAAAAAAGTTAACTCCAAATGGGTTAGACATTTAATCATAAGACCTGAAATCATAAAACTACTAGAAGAAAACGTAGTGGAAAAGCTCCATGACATTTACTTGGGTGATAATTTTTGGGTAAAAACCTAAAAACACAGGCAACAAAAGCATGAATAAAGAAGTGGGATTACATCAAACTGAAAAACTTCTGCACAACAAAGGAAATTATCAGCAGAGTGAAGAAACAACCTATGGATAATTGCATAATTTAATGAACGAGAAAACAAACCTACATTAGGGATGAACAAAAAACCCAAAGATAGTTCTTTGAAAAGTTCAATAACATAGACAAACTTCAACCAAGATTGACTGCCAAAAAATAAATAAGAGAAGTATAAATTCATCATACTAGGAATGAAAAAGAAGACATAATCACAGATATATCAAGATTAAATAAAACCATACTTAAACCACTTTCCATCAATAAATTTGTATATTAGAAAAAATTAATACTTATTATTTTGGAAAAATACTGTTTACAAAAACTGGGGAAGAAATAGAAACCTGAATAGAAACATTAAATAAATTGGATTAGTATACAGAAATAGACGTGTTCAGACTGGTTTTACAAATGCAAATACTTTCTTAAAAGGGAGTTATGATGGTTCTGCTTGAATTCCATACACACAGAAGTGACAAAGACCCAAGAGTAGGGTCTCCTGGGATGTAGAAAAAGTTGAGTTTTGAATTAAATAGAGCACTTATCTAGGCTCTTTTTCTCCTGATATTGATCTTACTTATTTCACACAATTTTTGTCACATTTCCTTACATCGTATGATTCTTAAGTTTTTTGGAAGGTGAAACAACACTATATAAAATGTCACTTTTGTATCGTTCACTAACACACTTTTCAATAAAAAACTATGTTTTCATGTGTGAGCTCGTACATGCGTGTGCGAAATGCAGACATTTTTAACATGCCAAATTTAGTTATTGTCCATTATTTAATTTTATCTCTTTTTTTCTTTCTGGAAAAAAATCTAATTCTATTACCAGGAACAGAAAACCTGACAAATTGGAAAGGAAGACCTGCTGTTGTTTGATCAAAGTATCCTGTCATCTCTATATAAAAAGGTACCAAAATAGAGTGACTGGAAGTTTATGTGTCATTCTTCCCTAGACATTTTATAGAAAAATTGAATATAAAAGAAGTAGGGTTATATTCTAGTCCTAATACTCTTACAAAACTTGGAATGAAAGACAGTGACATTATAATGTAGAAAATCTAAGGGATGAACATTTCATTGTACATTTACATTTTTCAGGTCAATATTTCTAGCTGTTGAAAGTTGTTGAGGAGGCAGTGTGAAGCTCCATCCCTTCTCCTGTTGGGAATTTCTCGGTGAGAATGGACATAAAGGTATCCAACTGCTGAACTGTTTTTGGAAAGTGTAGTTTGAAGCTGAAGTTGAATGGTCACTCCTACTTCTACTGTGAATCTGGACTTGTCTGTGAAGAGATCTGTTTCTTTAGGGCAGTTTTAGAGGCCACTGGGAAGGACCACAGGCCTGCTTCTTATACCATAGCCAGCAGGACAGTGACAGTGGTGAACCCCTTTCCTTATCCATAAACACAAAAGATTCTTCCATAAAGAATTAGGGAGCAGAGAAAGAAGAAGACTTCTTCCACTTGCGAGCAAGTTGGTGAGAGCAAGAGAGCAGGCCAGCCATCTTTATCTTTCTTAATCCCAATGGTAGAAAATGTAGCACAATAAATGATAGGCTTTTATCAATCAGGCTACCTATCCTTGTTCTCTTGAGAAGAAATGAGTAAGGGGTAAAAAGAGGAGAAGGTATTTCCCCTATAGAGACTTCCCAGAAGTGTGAAACTTGACAGAAGGTATTTTCCGGGTACGGATATAGGATTCTTCCTATGCCAGCTTTCCCTATGCTTTAATAAGCTTTTGCTGTGTGATAAACCACCTCAAGACCTCAGAGCTTATAAACAACGGCCATTTATTCATCTCATTATTTTGCGGATCAGCAATTTGGGCTGGTCTCAACTGAGTTTGCTCGTGTGTCTGTAGTTAGCTGTTGGGTCAGCTACATGCTGGCCGATCTAGGATGACCTTAGCTGGGACATCTTGTCTCTGCTTCATGAGTTATCTCATCCTCATCATCCTAGCTTGGGCTTGCTCAAATGGTGGCTGGTTCCAAGACAGAAGGGCCCTGTCTCAGACCTGGCACATTGTTACTTCTGCCACATTCTGTTTGCCAAATCGAGTCATAGGGACAATCCAGATTCAACGGGTAGGGAAATAGGCAACACCTGTGGCTCAGAGGCGCTTCCAAACTACATTGCTAAGGATGTGAATAGAGTAAAGGGCAGAGAATTGGTGCCATTTCTACAAGCAATCTTCTGTATCCAAACAGCTTCCCTCATACCCTGTGGAGTATGCTACTACCTTGAAACTCTTCATATATTACTTTCATGGAGGTCAATTAAATAAGTATTTATTAGACGGTCAATGTATGTTTGGGACTACATTAGAGGCTACAAAATTTCCCAGAAGGCATATAGAAAATGGTCTTTGCCCTTGCAGATGACATTTTTACCCCTGGTATAAAATGGAAACATTTTATTTCTCAAACAATTGACTGTAAACAAATCTGAACATAGGTGTCAATCTTCTGGAGGTCTCCCAGAGGTGTATAATTTCAGTCAACTTTTCTATCCTTCACCCTGGGTCACATGCTGTCAGGTAAAGAGCAAGAGGTTCTGAATAAATCTTATCCGATGATATGAGGAAAACACACCTCTTAAAAACCTGTAGAAAATTCAGTAGCCTTTGGATATTCCCAAATGTTCAACTTAGCCACAGAGAAAGCAATTGCACAGTGGAAAAATTAAAAAAAAAATCTGCTTTGGAGTGAATCATTATTTTTCCAGCATGTGCAATATTTGTTCACCATAAATAATAAAAGAAACCAGGAAATTCATTCATTTTTGTAGAACACTACAATATTTTGGAACAGAAGAGAAAACAGTAACTCAGTTATTTCAAGCATTTTGAATTCAGTCTTCCTTTGCAATAGGGCAAGTCGTTCATTGTGTAATTAAAACCACTTTATCTCACCACTTGTTTTTAATGACAGCAGTAAAATATTGTGTGATATCACAAGTCTTTCTCAAGGGTGTTATGGACTATACCTCAAACTTTCACAAAGGGCATAACCTTGTTCTGTTTGAGGCAAGTAAACACAATTTAATAGAAAAAGTAGACAAGGAACCCACTAATGGACTCTTTATAAAAAAAAAATATGTAATATTTTAAAAGGCCAATATGAGGCCGGGTGCGGTGGCTCACGACACTTTGGGAGGCCAAGGCAGGCGTATCACTTGAGGCCAGGAGTTCGAGAACAGCCTGGCCAACATGGTGAAAACCCATGTCTACTAAAAATACAATAAATTAGCTGAGCGTGGTGGTGCATGCCTGTAATCCCAGCTACTCGGGAGGCTGGGGCAGGAGCATCACTGGAAACCGGGAGGCAGAGGTTGCAGTGAGCTGAGATGGCGCCACTGCACTCCAGCCTGGGTGACAGAATGCGACTCTGTCTCAAAAAAAAAAAAATGTGAAATATGAAACTAATATTTTCCTGACCTCAGGTGATCCACCCGCCTTGGCCTCCCAAAGTGCTGGGATTACAGGTGTGAGCCACTGCGCCTGGCCTGAAACTAATATTTCGGTGTGGCAGAAAGTCTGTAATATTCCATTAAAAAAAAAGCACAACACTGGATTTGGAGTTAGGAGACCTAAATTCTTATGCCAGTTCCATCACTAAACTTACTGTGTAGGCTGTAGGCAAGCCAGATCACTTCTCTAAGTAGAATTGAAGCCACTCTATAGTGGAGATTATAATCCCAGCGTTATTCCCTCACTGGAGGGTTGTGAAGCTCAAACAAGTAATTGTGGAAGCATTTTGAATTGTTCCGTGCACCATGTACACATAATATATGGCCTAGTTATAGGTAGATTTCTTCAGGCAAAATTTTCTTTTAAATATAAACTAAAAATGGAGCTAAAAATATCAGTTTGATTAAAAGCATGTCAAGCTAAACTTTTAAGTAATTTGAACTTGAAAAATTATAAAATAGTTCATCTGTATTTGTAACTTTTGTAATGAAGGTTAAGAAGAACTGAGTATCACTGCATTGCAAAACTGTGGTTCTTTAAAACATCATTTTTGAGAGGGAAAATGTGCAATTCTTTCTTTTATTCTATCCAGTGGATCGTTAAGCCATATTCTTCTTGGAATTCAGTTATGTTGACTTGGGATGATCTGTAATTAAGTCATAAGTTTTTTCTCTTCTGGCAACATGCCTTCTTAAAGAGGAAAGGAAAAAAGCTTCCGTTTTTCTTGATTCTGCATTTTCTGTTTCATACCGCAAACTTTTTACAAGACATTTTGACATGGACTTTGTTTTCTTAATTGTCTTTATTTGAAAATGGTAACAATATTCTAAGAGTCAAAGCTCAAAACCTTAGGCTTGTCTTTGATTCCTCCTTTCTCTCAAGCCTCACCACATTCTATTGTACCGTCTTTCCAAACTCTTCCTTGTCTCACCAACATTAGGTCAGTTTTATCTTTTAAGAACACTATCAAGTCTACTTATTTCTCCACATCTCAAAAATATCCTTGCCTCTAGCAGTTAGCGCATGTCTGGTATAGAACAATGCCTCCTTCATTAGCCCATGTCAGACACTGTTAATTGATCAGGAAGCTATTTCTTACTGACACTGAGTGTAACTTGAGAATCGTTCTCAAACTAGTTGAGACTGGTAGCCCTCCTTAGCAACTGGCATGAGAAATAATATCTATTTGACTGGTTCTGCATGACAAAGTTCAACACCCTTGGGCTGATATTACGGGTTCTCTGTAATTAGATTCTAACCTACATTTTCAGTACTAACTCCACTACTTCTTAATAAATAGATTCTACTCGAATGAAACCCATTATTTGATATGTTTATTTTCCCAGTTCCACACTTTACTTACACACTTCTTTTACACTTCTTCTTCGTGTCATCAAAATTTGATGAGCTTCATCCTATATTTATGAAAATCTTCTGGAGATTTCTTCTTCATTTCATCCCTACAGTTCTTACTATCAGCAGTGTTGTATATGATTGCTGCTCTGATCTCTTAACTTTTCATATGCACAGTTCATTTTCCTCAGTAGTCTGTAAAGTCATTGGCAAGGGACTGGAGGCTTGTGTTAGTCACAGTAGGCTAACTGCTGCAATAACTCCAAAATCTCTGAGGCTAAACTCGATAAAGGTTAACTTCTTGTTCATGTCACGGTCCAGCAAAGGAAGGAAGAAAGGAATAGGGTAGGAGTGTCTTAGCAACTGATTTTTCTATGCATTCAGTGATTTGGAATGTATATTTCAATTGTACTGTTGGGTAACATCAAGGATTTGATTCTGTTTGCAAGACTTGCATTACAGTGTGAAATATGTGTATGCTTACTATAAATAAATTTTTTAAATTATATAAGTATCATTAGTTGGAAAAAGAAGACCCTTCTCCATCCCCAATCCTAATCCTCAGATGTAGCTATAAACAGCTTGATTTGTATGCCTTTAGAATTTTTAAAATATTTATACAAATGTGTCTATAGTTGTATATCCAGAGAGAGAGAGAGTTAAAAAAAAAAAAACAACAACAAAATGGGGTTGTAATATACATACTTTCCTTTTTTTCCCCCTCCACTTTTATTTTAGGTTCAGGGGCTACATGTGCAGGTGTGTTACATGGGTAAATTGAGTTAGCTTTTCTTATTGTTGTAGGTCAGCCCTATATATTATTGGCATCATTTCATAGAGAGCAACTTTAGTCTTTAAAAAAACCGCACAGTATTCCATCATATAGATATGTTTTAATTGGCTTTATCTATATCCTGTTGATAGTAATTTGGATCAAATGGTTGGCTTTTTAAATTCATGGTGTTAGGACAATTAGCTACCAATTTGGAAAAATATAAAGTTAAATCCTTAGCTCATGCCATAGTTGCAACAAATTTCAGATACATTGAAGGTTTAAATATTATTTTAAAAGTAAAAGTACTAGAAGATAACTCAAGGGAATATTTCCATTAATTTATGGAGAGGGGGAGAATTTGCAAGAGTTATTTAAATCACTGAAGTTTAAAGGAAAAGAATGAACAGATTTAATTTCACAAGAGTGAAAATATTCTAAGTTATAGAATCACCATAAATTATATGAAGGGATACATAATCTGGAAGACTGGATTTAGAGTTTTCGATGATAACCAATTTGTGGAACATCTAGAGGAAACATATGTAGGAGTTTAATGACATTCTTTGCATATAGTGCTTTTGAATGCTTGCAAGAACTCATATTGGTAGCTCACATACCCTGAGTTGGCCTTTTACCTCTTTACCACCTCTAGACATAAGCTATTTGCTTGTATGTCATGGCTTATGGGATCGCCAAAGACCAATATACCACATCCCAAGATCTCTGCTCATTTTCAAGCCTTACAGTTTAAAATGCAGCTATAATACTGGGGAAGATAAGCTTTAATTAAGTTATTCTCAGTTATTCATACTTGGGTATGGCTTGGTTACTGAGAGTAGCTGGTGAAGATCTTGATTCTGAGTAAACGGGACACAGGAGGAGTAAGTTTGAAGAGAGACTATGGAAAATAAGTGATCAGAGTTCGATTCCAGAGAAAGTCTACTTGAATGGGGTATTCGATTGCAGGACCCAGGGGAGCCTTACAGGACCTATTTCCTGAAAATGAGTTAAGATTTTGAAATAAGCACCAGGAAAAAATGCAAAAACAAAACTCATTTGCTTCATAATGATTCCTGGGGTGGATATTGCATTCTTTAATAAAGGGGCAGTTGCATTATTTCAATAAATAGTTGAAATGAATAAAATCCAGATTAAAATTCCCTTGAATAAATGAAATATCTTGTTTGAACAAAACTTGAGAAATGCCAAAAGTGATGGTGGGATGGTACTTCATTTTACAAAATGTCAAATGGAATATCATTTCTGGGTATTAAAAAGTGCCGTGCTCCTTAAATGCCTGCATACTTACAAGCTTGGTACCAAATTAATCCCTTTCAGGCATTTGGTAATATATATGATAAAGAATATTTTCAATATTTGTTCCAAGGATTTATCCCAAGCATGATTAATGTCTTGGAATTATCTGTAACTAATTATGCTACTTAGCAGTTTCAATATCCCATCGGTGTGAAATCATTGGAACTATAATAGCGTAGCACACATCAGAATGCTCTGATTTATTATCTGTCACTGATAAGTTTAGATTCAAACCATCTGGGATGATTATTGACTATTTACTGTCCCAAGAGGAAGGTGGTGAGAATGTCCATTGTGTGGAAATAGATTACACTGGAGATTCACAAGGCTGGCTCCCTGACTTCCCCTATGGATATGAGTATATTTCCCTCACAGCTTGACAGAACTTTATTTATAAAGGTGTAAGCAAACATTCTTACTTCTGCCTTAGGGAGGAATCTTTTTTAGTCTCAGAGCAATTTACATGCTTGCTTTTCGACTTGACAGAGCAGTGATTTATAACTCTTCTCTTCTTTTTCCACTGGCTAATCTCAGGCCAAACTTGAGGCAGGTAGAAAGTACTTTCACTTTACAGTTTTAGGAGAATGGGCATATGATCTATGATATGGTTTGGCTGTGTCCCCACTCAAATCTCACCTTGAATTGTAATAATCCCCATGTGTCAAGGGCTGGGCCAGGTGGACATCACTGTATCATGGAGGTGGTTTCCCCCATACTCTTCTTGTGGTAGTGAGTAAGTCTCATGAGATCTGATGGTTTTTTTTTTTTCTTTTTTGAGACAGAGTCTTGCTCTGTCGCCCAGGCTGGAGTGCAGTGGCGCAATCTTGGCTCACTGCAAGCTCCGCCTCCCGGGTTCACACCATTCTCCTGCCTCAGCCTCCCAAGTAGCTGGGACTACAGGCGCGTGCCACCACGCCGGGCTAATTTTTTGTATTTTTTAGTAGAGACGGGGTTTCACCATGTTAGCCAGGATGGTCTCGATCTCCTGACCTCATGATCCACCCGCCTCGGCCTCCCAAAGTGCTGGGATTACAGGGGTGAGCTGCCGCGCCCGGCTGATCTGATGGTTCTATAAATGGGAGTTCCCCTCCACAAGCTCTCTTGCCTGCTGCCGTGTAAGATGTGACTTTGCTCCTCATTCACCTTCCTCCACGATTGTGAGGCCTCCCCAGACATGTGGAACTATGAGTCCATTAAACCTCTTTCCTTTATAAATTACCCAGTCTCAGGTATGTGTTTATTAGCAGCATGAGAATAGACTAATACAATCTGGATTCCAAAGTTTTAATAGGTTTTGGTACCATTGGATTGCTTTAAAAATAAAACACGTGGACAGGTAACTGGGAATACATCTGTATCATATAGGTGACAGGTGTCCAACATTTACCTTTAAAACATGTGTTTTGTGGTTGTATTTTAAATGGAAATAAGAGTCCTTTTACTGTCCCTGCCATCTTTCACAAGACACTTCCTTCTAAACCATATTTGTCTAAAGAATATAATATGTTTTGTCTTATGGCTCTAAAAACACTTGGTTTTTGGTTTTTGTATTAATGCTAATGGTTCGTGTCAAGTTAGGACTTACAATAGAAATGTGAATGTTATATGTTCAGCAAACTCTGTAAATCTTTTTGACTGCTCCCTCTCAGTTTTTAAAGAGCAAGTGCCATTTTCTTTCTAAATTAACAGTTTAATCTTATGGTGCTTACAGTGTTCTACTTGATACCAGGTAGCATTCTCTTTTTAAAGTTGTGTTTTGTTTGCTTGTTTTTGTTGAATAGTGTGTCAAGCTCCTTCTATTTTATTTACCAATTCTTATATTAGTAGTTGACCTAGGTCTTGCAGGATGGGAAATTTTCTAGCTTTATCTTAAAATTCTTTCTTTGAAATACCTTTGGGTTTTAAAATCTGACTAAGTCAGCAGATCCTCTTTTGTATCCAACTCCTAATCCCTTTTATTTTAAATTGATTCCATTACTCCAGTATTTTTATCGAAGTCATTTTGATGGTGGTAATTAGGGGACAGAGAAACTTGCACTCTAGGAATTAATGTTTATATTTCTGGAGGATAAACCTTTATCTATATACTAAAAAGATAAATTTTAAACAACTTTGATATTTTCTTCCTTGAGTATTTTGCTTAAACTCTGTAATAATAGAGAGTGGAGCCCTTGTCTATAGACACTTATTTAGGGCTTCAGAGACAAAAAAGCAAATGCATTAAATCTCAGGTTTTCTCTTGCAACTTTATCAGTCAAATTCACCCACTAGTGAGCTTACTCCCATGGTTGAGTCAGTGTGTCTATCTGAGCATGCTTGCAAAGTATTGCAAACAGTGGAAGAAGGCTGAAAGCTACATGGGAAATCTTAACAGCTGAAGGGTTACTGATTTTCTGTTCCTTTTACTGTGAAACATTCTTTCAGAACAATAATAGCTTTGTTGTTGGCCTAAAGATGTCATTGACAAGTGACCATATGTATATCCTATTTGTTGTTGATTCCTTGCATTTTAATGATATAGAAGACCAGTTTGGAGGTGTCCACACTTTTCTGTTGACCTTTGTGAGCACCAGAATCTGTCTCTCTCTCTCTCTCTCTCTCTCTTTTTTTTTTTTTTTTTTTTTTTTTGCGACAGATTCTTGCTCTGTCGCCCAGGCTGGAGTGCAGTGGCACGATCTCGGCTCACTGCAACCTCCGCCTCCCGTGTTCAAGCGATTCTCCTGCCTCATCCCCCTAAGTAGCTGGGACTACAGGCGCGTGTAATCTCGCCCGGCTAATTTTTGTATTTTTAGTCGAGATGGGTTTTCACCATGTTCACCAGGCTAGTTTCGAATTCCTTACTTCAAGTGATCCGCCCGCCTTGGCCTCTGTGCTGGGATTACAGACGTGAGCCACCACTCCCAGCCCAGAATCTGTCTCTTAAACTGAGGGAAGATAATGCCCCTACCTGCAACAGGCAACTGGAAAAATACAACCTGTAGCAATAGATTGGGGCCAAACCTTACTGAAGCAGGTGGCAGCTTGGGTCACTAGAATCTTAACATAAACTCACGAGGGCAATGTTAACCAAAAAGCTTATTTCAGGGATAGAAACTATATTATCTGCAGGAATTTCCACCAGATGGATCTAAAGGTAGTATCCCATCTAGAGGTAATGAGAATGGATTGTGATATTTTAATAGCAAGCATTTATATCAAATTTAAAAACCTAATAATTTTTATGAACTGTAGATATATATTGAGATTTTGCTGTGGTCCTTTTGCAAATAGTTCATACTGGCTGGAGGGTGCCGTCTACTCAGAAATTCTGTCTTATAATTAGTTAGTTTAAATAGCTTCATAATTAAAGCCCATTGGATGTGAGCCAAGATAGAATCCTGCATATTTATTATATTACTCATAATTTATTAGGCTGTATAGTTTGACTTCAAAATGCTATTTAATATAATCATTAAAAATATTGTTTTACTGCAAAAATAAAGCTGCACATACGTAATAGAGTAAAAAGGCATAGGGCGGAGATTGTCAATGCAGTCGTATTAAGGTTGTCCCCATTCACATTCTAACTGTTCTTTTAGGAAGGAATTAATGGATAGCTTTGGGGACAAAAACAACTTAAAAATAATAATTTTTTTCCTCTTACGATATTAGCAATGTTGGGTAAATACAGACATTAGATATTAGATAGGAATAGTATATTTAATTCACATTCCTATTTGGAACAACTTTCAAGTTCACTTCTGTTTTATTAAGATCTTGAAGGCATAAGAGCCAAGGTGGGCAAGTAGGCTGTCAGATCTGATTGGAGAGACACCTTTATAAGAATCATGCTAGAAACCGTTAATTATGATCCAGCCAATTCACATTATAGATTCTAAGAATGAAAGCACTTTATACACTCAATAATTAATTTTCTAAAATGGATTGTTTTTCTTAGATGGATGAATAATTATGTATTCAAATTGCTGCAAAATGAAGGTGACATTTTTGTAGACTATTTTCCCAGTTTATCAATGATCTTAATGGTGAAAAAATGCAATCCAGGGGAAGAAACTGTCAGAGTAGGAGAGACAAGAATATTTCAACCTAGATTTTGTCCGTTGCACGGCAATGCCTTGGAAAGTCACATGTCTTTTTTCTGTCTAGCTTTTACTTATACCAAGTGACAGATGGTATAGATGCTTGTGATTTTTTTTAAAAAACAATATCTGCTCAGAGCACAGTGGCTGTGGGACCCACACAGCACAACATTTGTCTTTGGCTTCGTATCATCTGACCTGCATGGGAAGGAAGTCACAGAAAATCTGACACCACCTGGCCCATACGGTGAAGAAATGTACTGGCATACGTTTCTACACTGGTGAAGAAATCCAGTGGTGAGGTGGGGCTTCAGGGACGTATCGTCCAGTTGCTCTGGCTCCATTTCCCTATGTTTGTCTTTACTCTACTTCCTTGTAAGTGTTGACTTCTTACTCTGACCAGATCTCACGCTTGTGTATGACAGCATCCACAAGGAAGAGAAGAAAGAGTTCTACCAAAAGCTCTCCTGAAAAATGAAGAAAAATTAACCTACCCTCTCCCCAAAAGTGTCTCATTGAAAATCTCATTGGCCCTTAATGAGTAACATGCCCATTTCTGAACCAATCACTTGCAAGAAGGTAGAGTAGATTACCCTTAGTCCAGGCCTATGTGAGGTCCTGGGGGTGGAGTCAGCTTCCCCTAAGGCACACAAGCTATGTAGAGGGAAGGGACCAAGTTGATTTAATGATAACCTCTCTTTGGTTGCCTGTATTAGTCCATCTGCATTGCTATAAAATAATACCTGAGGCTGGGTAACTTATAAAGAAACAAGTTTTTTTGGCTCACAGTTCTGCAGGCTGCATGTAAGAAGCATGACATCACCTGCTGCCTGTGAGGGCTTCATGGAGCTTCCAATCATGGCATAAAGGGAAGGAGAAGGGGAGCCAGTATCACATGGTGAGGGGAAGCAAGACAGGAGGAGGTGCCAGACTCTTTAACAGTTAGTTCTTGAGTGAACTAATAGAGCAAAAACTCACTCATTACCCCAAGAAAGGCACCAAGCCATTCATAAGTAATTTGCCCCCATGACCAAAACACCTCCCAACAGGCCCCTCCTAAACCAATGGGGATCAAATTTCAATGTGAGATTTTGAGGGGACGAACATCCAGACTATATCACTGCCCTTTCACAATAGCCATATGCACCCACTGTTGCAGGTGAACTAACATTCCAGAGCTAGCTCAATCTCCAAGTTTCAAATGTACCTATCTGTATCCCATCCTTACAGGATATCACTTTTAGTTAAGAGCTGAGAAACTTATGTGGGTTAAGGACAAGGTATGATAAAAGTTGATAATATTCACAAGGAATATTTACATTTTTATGTAGATCATAGTTAGAAACTCAATGTTTACTCCAAGCTACAAGAGTTGTGCTGGCCATGAGAGGGAATAAGTTATATGATAAGATGAACTCCCTGGGGCTCTGAAATCTACACTGTACACATGACTACGTACCATCAAAATTGAAGAACATTAACATTGTAAGACAGGTTGCCAGATGTGTGCCTTAAGGACTGTTGCAACATGATTATTACTGAGGAAAGTGGGATAGAGTTAATAAACTTGATCGATTTATGCTTTAGAAGTTAGATGTGTGTATAATACATACACATATCTACATGTATCTATCTGTACAGGTGGTGGTACGTGTTATTGTAAATATGCTAGATGCCTTCCTTGTGATTAGAAAATGCAAACTATCTACCCATGTTTTGAATACTTTGAAGTCATGCTAATTCCTGAGCTTCCTAGATAATTCTCTAAGTTCTAAAAATGGATTTTATAACACATTCATTATATTAGATGAGTTGCTCATTCTTTTTAATGCTAACAGTAAATTGTAAAACTTATGAGGCTGCTTCTAGAATAACAACATTGATAGAAGAAGTAACTTGATTTTGGAGGATAAAAGCCTCTAAAAGCAACCAGCTGAAAATATTAAGAATAATGATCACTTCTTTCTTGAAGTTTTATCTCATTTTATCTTCACTCCCACACTGTAAATAAAGTCTTCCATTCTTCAGACAAGGAAATGGAGGCTCAGAATTATTTGATCTTGTTTATTGTAGATCACACAGCTTGTATTTGATAGTTCAACCTTTGTGTCCTCTTTTCACTTTACCACAGCTGGCATCCCTAATTGGTAAGAGAGTTGTACAGGATCAGCCTCAAGAGTAAGTAGAATAAATGACATGATCGTATATATCTGAACACTTCCAGAGTATTTTTTCCCCTCTGTTTTTAGCAGTTCTAGGTAATCTACCAGTAGTTCATTTCATTATTTTTAAGAATGCTCTTTCCTAGCATTCCTGATGCAAAAACAAACTTTGGGGCATAGTCAGTATCTTCCTAACATATTAGTATGAATGAAATTTCCTTCCCTCAGAGAGGGAAGCATAGGAACTGAGAGCATAGGAACTCTGGGTAGGAAAAGAGCTGAGAAGAGAGTTAAAGCTGTGTCTTAAATATGAATTTTACTGAAAGCTAGCTTTCTCTTTGAATTGCTTTAATGTTATTGTGGGAATCAGCAAGACCTGGTGGTTTGCAGTCAGATTCCTTGAATTTACGTTTGGACTCTGCCACTTTCTAGCTGAGTGGCAGCTAGTTGGTTAAATTCTTTTTCTCTCATGTGTAAAATGTGAATAACAACACTTGCCTTATCTCCTCAAAGGGTTCATGAACCGATCACTGTGAAATAAAATGAACAAATACATTTTGAATGCTATGAAGTGTTCTACAAAATTTAGTTATCAGTATCACTGTGCAGCCTAAGTTTTGTGGGTGCTAATCTAGGATTGTAAATGCTTTTCCAAAATTAAACATGGAGAGTGACACAATTAGTTTGATTTATCACATCTATAGATTTCCCACATGTATAGTTGTGTGCACTCTGTTACGTTAAGTATATCTTATAAAAGTTGGAATTTGTGCTCATCTTCCCATTGTTTTCTGTCTTCCTATGAGAACCTAGTGTCCTCATTCTCAGTGCTGTCAGCTTGCATCCATCAGTTCGAAGGGAACTAGGGAGATTTTAGTATTCCCTGAACACTCTTGATAGTCAAAGCTAATAAAATCTAGGTTTCTGATTATAAACCATCACCAACACTTCAGCCATTTTGCTAATACAGGTAGAAATCCTCCACTGCATCTATCCACATTTGCTCCCCTGACATACATTGCATGTAAGAACCAAGATGACAGTTCACTTGGTAATGTTATTAGTCTCTGAATTAGGCTAATTCATCATTGGCCTCTAGTCTTAACATTTTCCACAAATGCTGAGCTGACATTTATTTGGTCTTAGATTTGTGTAGGATCACTCTCTCTTTTTAATTAAAACAAAGTTTAGAAGGAAGTAGAATGACAGCATTACTTCCCTTGGCAGTAATAAAGCACGATTATATATAAAGATATTGCCCCTGAAGCCCCATCATTTTGGCATGCTGTTGCTTATTTTTATACAAAGTAATAGTATTGTAAAATGTATAACATTGAGAACACTACCTATAATTTCCCCAACACTGTAACCTATAGTTTTATATTTATAGATACTCTTTCAGTTTTTAATCAGAATATATACTTTTAAAATAGTTGTAATCATATATATAATTTTTGTTGTGGT
The DNA here is from genome assembly GCF_000001405.40 of Homo sapiens. Classification (NCBI taxonomy): domain Eukaryota; kingdom Metazoa; phylum Chordata; class Mammalia; order Primates; family Hominidae; genus Homo; species Homo sapiens. Next base: position 23,168,145 of record NC_000023.11, on the reverse strand, counting down.
TGCTTTCACTTAGCATGAAATAATAAGCGTTTTCCTGAGCAGGTATATGCTTCTAATTATTATCATTTTTACTGCTTACATAAAATGACTACCCTATGTGTATAGACCACTTTTTAATTTGTTTCCATTTTACTCTTTTATTAACACTGTATTGAGGAGTGTGTACTTTTGAGCATTTCCCTAGCCCAGCAGGGGTGATCTGGATTTAGATTATTCAAACAGTCCTATCCAGTTTTTTAATTCACTGAAGACATGTAATTTCAAGATGGCTGACTCAATGCAGGGTGTAGTTTTCAAACAGAATGAAATTCACCCTCATTTCAGGGGATTAACACCATGGCCTTGGGCACAATAGCATGTATGCTAACTAACTACTTAATCCGCCTTTTTTGTTTTTAATAAAGGGTTATTGGTTTTATTGAAAACCAAAGAGACTTAAGGAAATCAACTTTGAGTTTCATGAAGAGTCTTGGCTTTTGGCTTTAAACAAATCCCTTTCTCCAGATATGTCCCTTCTTCTTATTTCTATATTCTCACTTATTTAGGAAGGGCCACATTTGACCTTCAAAATTGTGACTCTCTCCTTTTGCAGATTACTTCTGTTGTCTACAGTTTTCCTGTCACTGCCATTTCTTCTTAAGTGGCTCACATAACTAGACTGTGAAGAAGAGCTCCTATCCATAAGTAAGTTGTATAAGTTCAGCTCTGTGGTAATTTCATTTCCAAACACCTTCACGAAGACATAACGTTAAGATAATTAAATTCCCAGAAGTCCATGTCATGACATATAGGCTTTGAATTCTAATATGTATGAATAATATGATCTTTGTTACATATCAAGTGCTTCATTTATTTTATGATTCAGGGCTTCCCAAGCTACCAAGAGACAAATAACCTTTCCTAATATATAACAAGAACCTAAAAAATACAGATTGATGTTAGTTCACTTTGCATCTGACTTTTGCCCATGGTTGGTATGATGAAGTAAGATCCTCTAACATGTGGTCCAGATTCCAGTTGTTGATGCCAAGAAGCAGAGCAGTGTCTGTGGCTAATATATGGAGTAGGGGGTGGGGGTATAGAAGGACTATGGCATGCTGAATTAATTGACACTGACAAGGCTGGTGTTACTAGGAGGTGGAGAAAGTGATGGACCAGATGAGGTTATAGTTGCCAGCATTGAAAGGCTACACAGAAAATCCTGGGCTACTGATGTTATATGGAAGTATATTAATACATAGCTCATATGTTGGTCCAATGGAGAAATTCATTTATCTCCAATCCTAATAAAAGGTGAGGGCCGGGCACCTTGGCTCACACCTGTAATCCTAGCACTTGGGGAGGCTGAGGCAGGTGGATCATGAGGTCAGGAGATCGAGACCATCCTGGCTAACACAGTGAAACCCCGTCTGTACTAAAAACACACAAAAAAATTAGCCGGGTGTGGTGGCGGGCGCCTGTAGTCCCGGCTACTTGGGAGGCTGAGGCAGGAGAATGGCATGAACCTGGGAGGTGGAGCTTGCAGTGAGCCGAGATCGCGCCACGGCACTCCAGCCTGGGCGGCAGAGCGAGACTCCGTCTCCAAAAAAAAAAAAAAAAAAAAAAAAAAGCTGATAAATTCAGAATACTTAGAAGATAGATATACCCACTCACCCCACCCACTACACACAGACACACACACACACACACACACACACACAGAGAGAGAGAGAGAGAGAGAGAGAGAGAGAGAGAGAGAGAGAGAGAGAAAGTGCGGTTTTGCAAATAGAGGAAAAGAGGCCAGTCTCAAGCAAATAATGGCAGCCATTTTATTTCTTATGTTGGAATCACCAAACCTTCATAGAAATCAGAGTGAGCTTTGAGCAATTAAAAAAACAAATAATGAGATTAAATGATTTGATAAAAGAAAATGTTATGCCTGGGAAGACCAGCATGAGGCAAAAATTCATGATAAAACATCACCAGAATTTGGACAAGGCAAGGAAAAGAGAGATCCAGTAGGTATCAGCAGAAATAAATAAATAAATAAAATATAAATATAAATATAAATATCTGAGCATGTTAGATAAGAATTTTACCAGTTCCCAATGAGGAGAAACTGATAAGTATACCGTATCCCCTATCTATGTCCTTTTCTGATATGCTGTATATAACATGGGGTGGGTGGGTAATATCTTTTTTGTGAATGACTCCATAGGCCAAACATCTAACAGAGTGTGTGTCATCCAGGAAGGGCTCAAAATATTTTTATTGAATGAGGGAATAAATGAAGCAGGATTTTGAAGGAAGAGTGGAAGTTTTCCAGGCAGAGAAAGGGGGCAAAACGTATTTGAGAAAGAAATGCCAACATGGACTGTTAAAAGGACTCCATCAACGTTGATGTGTTTGTAGAAAAAAGTATGTGTTACATGGAAGGGGATCTAGAGACTATGGGGTAGCATAGGAAGAAATGAAGCTAGATGATAAAAGATTCTGAACCCCATATTTAGAAGCTTGGACTTTATCCACTGGATCAGAGGTAAGGTAATGTCATAAACTTAACTGTGTTTTAGAAAGAATACCATGGTAATGCATGGAGGATGTGTCAAAGGTACCTGTTGCCTCTGTCATAATTATTGAGCTGGAGTGGCATGTGGTGAAAAGAATTCTGAAAAAGAGCATCTTTTCCTCCTTCACCTGCCCTGCCTTCATCAGTTGGCCATTGATCACAGCAGTGCTTAGATCTGGGACCCATTTGAGCAAAGGACCAACTAGGATAAAATCTATCTTTCTCACCCAAATCTTTCTTCGGAGCTCTAGACTTTTATCTGACTATTATATACCTGTGCTCGGTTGTTTAACAAGCATCTCAAATGTAACATGTCCAAAACTCAATTCAGCACCTTCTTGTCCCAAACTGGCTCCTCATCTATATTCTCTATCTTAATAAATGCCACCTATACCACCAAGTTGCTTCATCCCCATATTGAAGCATTCTTGCTGAATTCTTCTCTATTACCTCCTCCCTCTACTCCAGGATTACTAAATTCCAAATATTCCTAAATATCTATTAAACGTACACCTCTTTTACTGTAGCCCTTCGCACGGCTTAATTATTCACCTCAATATTGGTGATTCTTTAATGTCTGTTTTGTATATGTGTTAGGCTCCTTGAGGAAAGGGAACATTTCTGTTTGCCAACTATAGTATCTCTAGAGCCTAGTTTTATGACTAGAACATAGAAAATTGTATGAAAATGTTTGTCAAGCAGCGATTGACCTTCCTTTCATTAGATTCATTTATATCACTTGGGTTTAACTATTCAGGCAAAATAGCTGTCTAAAAAGCTCCAGAGCTATTCAGGATCTTAGAGGTTCTGAGGATGTCGTAAGTTATTTTGTTTTAGTGGTAGCAGACCCTGGGATGTCTCTCACTTCCAGGTTCATGGATAGATTCTGAACAGTGTTCATGTCAGGATCAGAGGTTCTGTATCCAGCCTTTAAAGCAAGGCCTGTAACTCGGAGCTCTATAAGAGTATCACACATATTTAAGGGTGGATTAATGGACTACTTGGCTGCTTATAGCATCACGATATTCTGCTGCCATTTTTTGTTCTATAGTTTGTGTAATTCAGAATTTTTTTAGTTTGAACTATAGGACTGTAATTTCTATCTTTTCATTTTCTCGTTTGCTTTTCCTGATCAAAGGATTTAAAACTCCGCTAATTTTGCATGAAAGATAATGAAGACTCTTTGCGCCACCCTCCTCTCGCACTGCCATAGTCAAAATAATGCAAGAGAGCCCTTTTACTGATGGAATTCAATATCAGTATTTTGGATGAAATACCACTGAGGTTAATTAGAAATCTACCTAAAATAACCATATAGACCTTTTCTGTTCTTTGACCCTATGAGAGGTTCTGATTGTTCCCCAATCTATCAGTCTTCTTTTATCTTTCTCTCATCGTCCAACTTAGATTCCATGGCACATCATTTCTATAACTGTTTTTAATTACTATATGGAACTTCCTTGTCCCCTTTCTTTTTGTCGCGTTACCTGGAAAAAAAGCACATTTTTGGATGAACTTGGTTCTTGCACTTGTTTCTGTGTAAATTAATGATGACTTCCCTTAAAACAGCTCTCCATACTGCTTGGCAGTTCTACTCGCCTTCTCTGATTAGCTCACTCCCACACTCTTCACAAATACCATTCCAACAGTTTGCTACTCTGTCTACACTTTCGCCTGTCACATGTCCTTCCTATCCTATTTTTAACTCATACCTTCCCTTCTACTTTACAGAAAAACAAAACAAAACAAAACAAAATCAGATTGGAACTTTCTTATCTTTCTAGTTCAAAATATAGCGACTGGCTTTGCTCTTACATACTTCTCTTCCCTCCTAAATTCATGGAGAAGATGTTCTCCTTATTTAAGATTGAGCCTTCCCTGTTTTATTTTTTAGATAAAAGATGGGGTCCCACTGTGTTGCCCAGGATCGTCTCGAACTTCTGAGGGCTCAAGCGATTCTTCTGCCTCAGCTTTCTAAGTAGCTGGGATTACAGGCATGCACCACCCTGTCTGGCTTGATTCCCCTTGTTTTTACGATGCCCACCTAAGATCTCTCATATTTTCAAAACCTCTACACTCTTTTGTATTTATCCCTTTCTTGCATACTTTTTTCTTTCTGAAAGTTGAATACATTGCATCAACTTTTAAACTAATTCAGGTCTATCATATATAATAAGACAAAATAACTTGAGTACTCACCCATGTCCAGCTACCACACCATCGTTCTCTCCAGCTAAGAGATGTCTCTACCATCTATCTCCATTGTTTCACCATCAACTTACTGCCCAGCCCACTTCTGTCCAGCTTTAAGTCTTATCAGAAAACTGAAATATCTTTCCATAAAGGTAACAGTGTTCCTAAATATGATGAACAGTTCTTAGTTCTAATCTGAGTTTACTTCTCATTAGTCATTTGCCAAAATTGACCGTTTGTTCTCTCCCTGTTGAAACACTCATGTTTTGGTTTCATGTTAATATCTCCTGTTATTTGTCATATCCCTACCTCTCTGGCTGCTTCCTCTCTTTCTCATTTGACAGCTTGTCTTCTCCTAAGTGGCCAGTAGATGTTGAAGTTTTTCAAGGTTCAGTCTTGTCCCTTCTTTTCTCCTTCTGCATGCTCACTCTATGGTAGTTCTCAACCCTGGATAGTTATTCAAACCATGGAGAAGCATTTAAAAAGTAGGGGTCACACCCCAATCAATTAAATCAGAATCTCTGGGCCCAGGCATCGGCTTTTATAAAAACAAGTCCCCAGTTGATTCTAATGTCCATCCAGGGTTAAGAAGTTCTGGTCTAGGTAATCGCTCCAAATCCATGCTTTTTTTTTTTTTTTTTAACTATAGTCTGTAGGCAGATGACATGCAAATATCTCTCTAGCTCAGACTGCTCCTCAATGCTCTCCTCATATGTATTCAACTATCTACTTAATTTCCCTTCTAGAATGTTTCAAAAAAAAATCCCAAACTCACATATCTGATTCTCTTCTTGTATCTTCTGTTGCAGCTAATAGACTCAACACACACAGCCTGGACAAGCCAGAGACATAGGAATCATTCTTAACATCTATGTCTCCTTCACCTTCTATATCTAATCCTCCACTACCTTCTGTTTTACTTCTTAGATCTCTTGAATCCATCACATCTTCCTATCTTCATAACCCATATCCTGGTGTACAGCATCATCTACTATCAAATGGACTATTGCAATACCTCCTAATTTGCTTTCTAGTTCCCATTCTCATCACTAATTTTTCTCTGCTCTGTAACAACTAATGGTGTTGAAATGAACATCTAATTTCTCCCTCTACCCAAATACACTTAAAACCTTTCCATAAGTTTACATTGCTATTAGTATAGAACGAAATCGCCTTATCATAGCTGTATTAGTGTAGGAGTCTATGGTTGCAAGCAACAGAACTTGATTTGGGCTAGCTTAAGCAAATGGAAATTTATTAGATCTATATTGGATGCTCTCAGAATCGATGGGAAGATGAGATAACTTGGAAGCAAATAGGAAGGAAAGCCACTATGTATGCATGAGGCGTAGGGAGGGGTGAGAGACTATGGAATTGAAACACCAGATATTTTTTCATATTGGGAGCAGTCTATTCTGGATATAGCTTCTTAATTAGTTCAGTGATGAATGTACTGTACAATCCAGGACACTTTTAAAAATGAAAGGGAATGCTAATTATAATTATGCCAGGAAAGGGGGCATAACCAGGCTTGTTTCAGGCAAACCAGAATTTCTGTCAACCTAATAAATGACTATAGCCTTGACTAACATCTTGACCCCAACCTCATGAGAGACCTTGAATCAGGACCACCCAGTTAAGTCATTCCCAAATTCCTCACCCATAGAAACTGTAAATCAATAAATGCTTCTTTGTAAGTGACTAGGTTTTGAGGTAGTTTGTTATGCAGCAAATACAATATTTTTTAAACTTATGTGATTGATGAAAAATTTCCTCTCTACCAGGCTAGTGCCTCCCCAAAGGTACAGACTGTTTCTTTTGCTTACCATTGTATTCCAGTATTTTTGTCAATGAATAAATGAATGAATCACTGTAATTTGACTGCATCTTGAGAGCCATTGTGCTGGAATTGCTAACTGGTTCTGTTAGACTTATTTACACAGAGCCCTTCAGAAATTCATGAGCCTGTGGGTGTTTGGAAAACAAAATTTTATCATGGTTTAAAGAAAAATCCCAGATTTTCACCTGCTTAATTATCTAGTTAGATCCAAACTTTATTTTAAAGAAGGGTGTTATATTTTCAATGAACAAATAAATGAATAAATCATACAGAAACTGTTGTTTTAAACTATAAAGCTTTTGGAAAGGAAAACAGTGTTACAAACAGGTGGTGTGCTGTGAATAATGCAATTTGAAATAATCTCAGGCAGAGAGCTGGGCCCAGTTAAACTAGACAGTAACCTTCCACTTGCAAAGTCGTTTTCTATGAATGACTTTTGCAGCTTCGGCTCCTTGATCTTCATGCAAAATTAACTTAACTGTCATCAAAATTTCGTGGTCTATAAACTGAGCCACTTCAGCTTTATGTCACCCATATGACACATTGAAGTGTGACCAGAGATGAGAGTCTATATCGTGGCAGAAATAAGAAAATGGTGGTAGTGGAACTATGACATAAATGATAAACAAACAATGTACGTAAAGATATAAACAAGGCATCTGCAAACTGGCGTTCTATTACAAAGACTGTTTTTCCCCACTGTGAAAGAAGCAGCTAAGGGGACTAAGGAGAAAAAAAGACTTTATGAGGTGACTTATTCAAGATAGGTAAGCCTAGTAATCAATAAAATCACTATTTCAGTTAGATATCTGCTATATTTGCTTAGGAAAATGTGACATCAAAGTAATGTTATCATAACAAAGAAGGGAGAACTCTGAATTAGAATCTCTGAATACATTAAGGGGATTTGTCTGATTTATTTCTATTTGTTTCTCATAGGAAAACAACCAAATTTCAAAATGCAATGATCCCCTGGATGGCATGTTATAATTTAATGAAACATTATTAAAAGGATTGATTTAATATGCTGCCATACCTTATAGATTTGCCGTTTCGTATGAGGCTGACTTAGGATAAGTCTTCTTTAAGGTAAACCTGACTGCCTGTGTTATTTTGTGTCTTGCAGAAAAAAATTCAGTGTTCATCCCCTTGAAAGGCCTTTTAAAACTATACAATTTATGCTGTTCGCATTACATGGCATTTGTTTATGAACAGACATTACTTATTAGCCAAAGTCCTACTGAAAAAACAAAAAGCAAATTGGATTGTCTCTCTCTTTAAAAATAAAAGGGCATTGAGCACCACAATAAGCTCACAGTTTGAAAACCTGATGGTTTCTCCTCTTCATGCTGACATCTGCAAACTGAAACCTCAACCTCCATATCTTTTTTTTTTTTTTTTTTTTTTTGAGATGTAGTCTTACTCTGTCGCCTGGGCTGGAGTGCAGTGGTGCAATCTTGGCTCACTGCACCTCTGCCTCCCAGGTTCAAATGATTCTCCTGCCTCAGTCTCCTGAGTAGCTGAGATTACAGGCACGTGCCACCACACCTGGCTGATTTTTGTATTTTTAGTAGAGACCGGGTTTCGCCATGTTGTCCAGGCTGACCTCGAACTCCTGACCTCAAGTTATCCGACCGCCTCAGCCTCTCAGAATGCTGGGATTACAGGCATGAGCCACCGTGCCCTGCCTGAAACCACCATATCTTAATTAGCAAAACCTATGGGTTGTAAAACAAATTGGCCTTCTAAGATTACTGTATTTCAGGAAAAAAGAAAGATTTCAAATGTTCTATAGTCCACATATGAAACTATAAGCAATCTATATTATGTTTTTATACTTTCTTTTGTTGAAACCATCATGTCTTAATTAGCAAAACGTATGGGTTGTAAAATAAATTGCCATTCTAAAGTTACTGCATTTCAAAAAAAAAAGACTTTAAATGTCATATAGTCCATATATGAAACTATAACCAATCTGTGATGTTTTTTACTTTCTTTTAGTTAATAAAGACAACTATCAGAAATTTTCATTTTTTTTTCTTAAGAAAATAAAAACAGCTGGGTTCAGTGGCTCACACCTGTAATCCCAGCACTTCGGGAGGCCGAGGTGGGCGGATTACGAGGTCAGGAGATGGAGACCATCCTGGCTAACACAGTGAAACCCCGTCTCTACTAAAAATACAAAAAAAAAATTAGCCAGGCGTGGTGGTGGGTGACTGTAGTCCCAGCTACTCGGGAGGCTGAGGCCGGAGAATGGTGAACCCGGGAGGCGGAGCTTGCAGTGAGCCAAGATCGCGCCACTGCACCCCAGCCTGGGTGACAGAGCAAGACTCCATCTCAAAAAATAAATAAAAAATAAATAATAAAAACAATATTTCTTTAAAAAAAAGGCTGCCAACTACCTGAATTACTTGCATGTTCACCATGGAATTCTTCTCCCATAATAAATCCTAACTATTACAGTCATTCTTTCCATCGGTGCCCAACCATCTGATACAGGTTGTAGAAATATGCCTGCATGAGATATTTCATGCCCCGGCTTATTACCTTATTAAGTGTTGAGACTAGTGCCAGTCTCAGAGACAGAAGTTATTTTTTTTTTCTGTAGACCCTTGCATCCAGGGATACTTTATTGGGATTTCCTAAGATTATGTTTTGCCTTATTACGTATCTTGTCAATTTTTGTACTTTGGATAACGTAAACTCTGAATTTGAACCCATTTATTTTTAGTCTCTGAGAAGAGCATTGTGGGTGACTTCTAACTAAAAGTGTGAGGAGATGAGGATGAGAATAGGTGGGTGGACAAGACTGTTGACTTAAACACAGTCCTGTGTAGCCAAAGTCAGACCTGAACTGCTATAGAAGCACTGAGGAGGAGTACTTGGCTCTGCCGGGACAGAGTAGGAGGCTCCAGAGAAAGCTTCACAAAATAAGGTGAGGAGACTAAGTGAGTTTAGGTCAAGTCAAATGAATTGGCTGAATAATAATTAAAAATGCCTTTAGTTTCCAGAGCATTTTGGACTTTGGACCTGTCATATCTTTATAGATCAGAAAACCAGGCTGGATGCAGTGGCTCACACCTATAATCCCAGCATTTTGGGAGGCCGAGGTTGGCAGATCACGAGGTCAGGAGATCGAGACCAGGCTGGCCAACATGGTGAAACCCCCTCTCTACTAAAAATACAAAAATTAGCCAGGCATGGTGGTGTGTGCCTGTAATCCCAGCTACTCGGGAGGCTGAGGCAGGAGAATCGCTTGAATCAGGGAGTCGGAGGTTGCAGTGAGCTGAGATTGCACCACAGCACTCCAGACTGGCAACAGAGTGAGAGTCCATCTGAAAAAAAAAAAAAAAAAAAAAAGAAACCAAATACTGAGAATTTGAAGTAACTTTCAGGAGACGAGGTCTGCTAGCATCTCTGAAAAGGGATACATAATTTAGACAGTAGTTACGGAAGGCAAGGAAACATTAAGAATATTATTGACCAGTCAAAGCCTACTGTAAAAAATAAGTTGCTTTAGCTAATTGCTTCAGTCTCTCTTCTGGTAACTTTTTTAATAGGGTAGTATTGTATTATAATGAAGATTACAGGTTCGCCAGGCGTGGTGGCTCACACCTGTAATCCCAGCACTTTGGGAGGCTGAGGTGGGTGGATCACTTTAGGTCAGGAGTTCGAGACCAGCCTGGCCAACATGGTGAAACCCTGGCTCTAATAAAAATAAAAAATTAGCCGGGCGTGGTGGTGCACCCCTGTAATCCTAGCTACTGGGTGTCATGCGCGTCTGTGTCAGGAGACCACCAAATAGGCTTTGTGTGAGCAATAAGGCTGTGTATTTCACCTGGGTGCAGGCGGGCTGAGCCCGAGAAGAGAGTCTGCAAAGGATGGTGGGATTATCATTAGTTCTTACAGGTTTTGGGATAGGCGGTGGAGTTAGGAGCAATGTTTTGCGGGCAGGCAGTGGATCTCACAAAGTACATTCTCAAGGGTGGGGAGAATTACAAAGAACCTTCTTAAGGATGGGGGAGATTACAAAGAACCTTCTTGGCCGGGCGTGGTGGCTCACGCCTGTAATCCCAGCACTTTGGGAGGCCGAGGCAGGTGGATCACGAGGTCAGGAGATCGAGACTATCCTGGCTAACATGGTGAAACCCCGTCTCTACTAAAAATATAAAAATTAGCCGGTTGTGGTGGCGGGCGCTTGTAGTCCCAGTTACTCGGGAGGCTGAGGCAGGAGAATGCCTTGAATCCGGGAGGCGGAGCTTGCAGTGAGCTGAGATCGTGCCACTGCACTCCAGCCTTGGCGACAGAGCGAGACTCCGTCTCAAAAAAAAAAAAAAAAAAATAAAAGAAAATGAACCTTCTTAAGGATGGGGGAGTTTACAAGGTACCTTGATCAGTTAGCGTGGGGCAGAAACAAATCACAATGGTGGAATGTCATCAGTTAAGGCTATTTTCACTTCTTTTTGTGGATCTTCAGTTGCTTCAGGCCATCTGATGTATACGCGCAGTTCACAGGGGATATGATGGCTTAGCTTGGGCTCAGAGGCCTGACACTCGGGAGGGTGAGGCAGGAGAATCGCTTGAACCCGGGAGGTGGAGGTTTCAGTGAGTGGAGATCGTGCCACTGCACTCCAGCCTGGGCGACAGAGTGAGACTCCGTTTCAAAAAAAAGAGTACAGGTTCTGCTACTGGACTGCCTAGGGTTGAGTCCCAGTTCTACCATTTACTAGCTCTGTGATCTCAAGCAAGTTACTTGTCTCTCAGTTTCTAAGGTTTTGTAAAATGGGAATAATATTGGCACCAACCTCAGCATTGTCACGCCACTGCACTGTGGCCTGGGCGACAGAGGGAGACTCCATCTCAAAAAAAACAAATTACATTTTTCTGTTATGCACATACTTCACCCTCATTGACCCATAGGCAGCCATTTTAATGTCTTTTTATTGCGGAATGTGTAATATTGGTTTGCAAGTGTCTATTTTACTTTACTTTAAAGGTTATTTTAAAATTTTCACATATTTCTTTTTTTCTAAGCACCAAATATTTAGGAATCTTCATGTTGTTAAAGTATATTTTTTAAAGTACACATCTTCTAATCTTAATAGGGTTGGTGTAAGGGTTAAATGAGGTAATACATTTAAGTATTTAGAAGAGTGTTCGGCACTAAGCTAAGTACTTAACTACAGTTAATACATATTCATTAGTGTCTTATTACTGAAATTATTAGTGGAATTCCCCCTCTGATTGAAGCTACCAACCTAAAGAAAAAGGCATGTTGCTGAATTTCACTTTTCCTACCTTCTGATGCCTTTTGAGAAGAACCTAATGTATATGTTACGGTTTTAAATTCAATTAAGGGCTAAAGAATGGAGGTAAGATTATTCATATTGGAAAAAGAAGTTTGTAGAAACTTGGTTTTTTATTTAAAGAAACTTTTAAAGGATGTTTTTCTCCTTCATGCGTTTTACCAATTCAAAATATTTTGCTATTTTGAGGAAACTTAAATATTAGTGTCTTTTGAAAGGAGATAACCCAAAGTGTGAGGTCACTCACAAGAAATTCAATTTTAATTGAGACTAGAAGGTGGAGCTCCTGGCTTGCCGTCTGCTTGTGTTCAACCGAGGCCTTCACAAATAGTCAAATATCAGTGCTTGGAAACAGTGGGCTGCCATGGGGTTATAGAATTGCATGAATATGGCTATCTCCGGTCTGTGTTTTTTTGAGTCCTTTCCCTTTCACAGTCCTTGAAGGTGAATAACCAGTAAACAAATTGACTGTTGGTGACCTTGTGAAAGAGGTTAAATACAAATTGTTCAATTTTTCTCAGGTTCCGAATGGGAGAGAGTAAGGGATGCAGGACCGTTTTTCTTTTCCAGTCTCATTAGGATGTCTTCTGGGGGTTGGAGATTAAAGTACCCTTTTGTTAATTTTGTAAAGCATCCTGGTGTGAAAACCTAGGGCCGTAGTTCACTTCTTAATATTTGTTTCACCCCAAAGCGCTAATATTCTTATAGCATTTTAGTTTAGCTTCAGCCCTCTCTGTCTCTTGTGACAGTACCTCAAGCCTTACAGCTGTGACTACATTAATAAAAGAGAAGGCCAAGAAAAGGAAGGCACATGCCAGTCAACCGACATTGAACTCACTTGTCAAAGTTACATCAGATAAATGAAACAGAGTCTTTGGCTATTTCCCAGCATTCTGCCATTGGACCTGTGGTTTTATTATAGTATTAAATCAGATTCAATCCCTGAGACATCATAGAGTTAAAATATTGTGATAAATAGGAATAATTGAGTGGTTAATATATTTTCTCTTAGAAATGTTATTTTGGTACAATATGTTGGCTCATTTAAAAATTTAAATGTAGGTTTTAAAAATCTAAATGTGCTAAGAAATTACATTTTTTGGCTGGGCGCGGTGGCTTATGTCTGTAATCCCAGCTCTTTGGGAGGCCGAGGCAGGTGGATCACTTGAGGCCAGGAGTTCAAGACCAGCCTGGCCAACTTGGTGAAACCCTGTCTCTACTAAAAATACCGAAAAAATTAGGTGGGAGGTGGTGGCGGACACCTGTAATCTCAGCTACTCGGGAGACTGAGGCAGAAGAATCGCTTGAACCCGGGAGGCAGAAGTTGCAGTGAGCCAAGATCATGCCACTGCACTCCAGCCTGGGCAACAGAGCAAGACTCTGTCTCAAAAAAGAAACAAAAAAGAAGAAATTATTTTTCTTTTATGCACATATTTCACCCTCATTGCCCCATAGGCAGCCATTTTAATGTCTTTTTATTGCAGAATGTGTATTGTTGTTTTGAAAGTGTCTGTTTAATTTACTTTAGAGGTTATTTTAAAAATTTCCTTTTTTTTCTAAGCACCAAATATATAGGAATCTTCATATTGTTAATGTATATTTTTTAAAGTACACATGTTCTAATCCTGATTAAAGTGAGACTCATGTGATGTGTAAATTTAAGACTTCTAGAAAAGCTTTTCTGCCTGAAAAATTCTTTCTCATTGGTCCCAAAATATTGACTATATTTCAGATTATATGTTGAAAGATTAATAAAGTGAGTTACAGAAATATTTGTAACTAGACCAAAGTTTCATTCTATGTTTCTGGGTTTTGAACTAGACGCCTGCCTTATACAATTGGTCTTGCTATGCCTTTGAAGATTATTATTAAATCAATGCAAAGGACAGGGTTAATTATCCTCCTTAGTTCAAGGTACACCATTGGCCAACACAGTGTCCCTGTTTGTTTTCTTTATTGTTTTGTTTAATTTTTCTTCTGTTTTTTTCTCCCTAGTCCTTACTCCCAATCTTCTTTCTGCCCATAGGTAAACATTTAATGGGTTGAAGTCTACCCTTCATTTCTATGTGCTCTTGAAATATATGTATTGTGTGTGCATGAATTTTTAGTAAACAGAAATCCTAGTAGTATTGTACTATAAATCTCATTCTCTTTATTTTCCAGCACCATAATTTTTTTTGTTTGTTTGTTTGAGACAGAGTCTCGCTCTGTAGCCCAGGCTGGAGTGCAGTGGCACAGTCTCAGCTCACTGCAAGCTCCGCCTCCCAGGTTCACACCATTCTCCTGCCTCAGCCTCCCGAGTAGCTGGAACTACAGGCGCCCGCCACCACGCCCAGCTAATTTTTTGTATTTTTAGTAGAAACGGGGTTTCACTGTGTTAGCCAGGATGGTCTCGATTTCCTGACCTTGTGATCCACCTGCCTCAGCCTCCCGAAGTGCTGGGATTACAGGCGTGAGCCACCATGCCCGGCCAGCACCATAATTTTTATACTGTGTATACACCTATCCTATAGTTTCAAACTGCTGCATAGTAATCCATAGTATGCATTCATCACGTTGTAGTTACTCATTCCCCTGGTGATGAAACATAGATTATTTCCAACTCCCTGCTACCTCAAAGAGTATTGTGATAAACATCCTTGTACACGTCCTCTTACAGACTTTGAGAAAAATTTTCAGGAATATATATCCAGGAATGAGAGGTCTGGATCAAATTATTTAGATTCACTTAATTTATCTAAGCACTTCCAGATTGCTTTCCAGAATATCTGTTCCTATCTCTACTCTATCTTACCACATGCCCTCAAATACTTGGAATTATCTAGCTGTGGCAGATTACATTTTTCCAAAGATAGCTGCAATCTTCCATCCCACTTGTTCTTCTAAGAAACTTGCCATTCACCATCAAAAAGTGGAGTCCAATTCTCCTCCTCTTGAATGTGGGCAGCCTTTTGTGACTGTTTCAGCCAAAGGAACATGGCAAAGTAACACTGTGTGAGTTTCGAAGCCAGATCCTAAGAGATGATACAGATTTCACCTTGCCTGCTGGAACACTTGCCCTGGGGTCCTGAGCTACCATGTAAGAGGACTGACTTTCTTGAGTCAACCACGCTTATGAGGAATCCCAAAGTAGCCTATGTGATGGACCCCAAGGAGAAGGCTACGTGAGGGGAGATGCCTGGTCAACTCCAGCCTTTCTAGTTCCGGACATCTGATGTTGGGCCAGAACTTCCCAGCCAAGCCCTTAATGAATCTCTATTCCATAGAGACCGTGAGAAATAATAAGATGATTGTTGCTGTTTTAGACAACTAAGTTTTGTGGTAGTTTGTTTTGTAGCAATAGTAACAGGAATTCCAGTTTTCCAATTTTTGCTAATCTGATACATTAAAAGTGTGATACATTAAAGTGGTACATTTCTCTAATTACTAGTGAGTTTGAGCATCTCTTAATATGCGAGGGTTTCTTCTTGACTTAATTGACTGTTCATTTCCTTGGCTCATTTTGTCACGGGTCCCTATTATGTAGGTGTTCCTTTTATATTCCAAATATTAGTTCCCTGTCAGTTTTAGACTTTTCAAATTACTTGTCCTGTTCTGTCATCTGTTTGATTTAGTCGTTGAACAAAATCCTTCATTTTGCTATAATAATACTCATTTGCGTTTCACCTTATAGATCATGATTTTTGGGTTTAAAATCTTTGCCTATCTCAGGGTTATGAAACTATTCTCTTACATTATCTTTTATTACTTTTTAATTTTACTTTTTATATTTAGGTCTTTAATCCACTTGGAGTCCAACTTTTGTGAGATGTTATATAGAAATTCAGTTTAATTTTTGTCAAAAAGGATTTTCCCACACTGTACACTAAATGATTCATTTTTTGATTTGTGTATGGTGCCATCTTTATTGTATATTAGGGACATAGTCCTACATAGTTCTATTATGATTCATCCTTCTGCTCCACTGGTGTTCTTGTTCATTCTTACACCAAGACCATTCTGTCTTTTTTATTATGACTTTTAATATGTTTTAATACCTGATAAAGCAGTTTCTTACTTTATGATCTTCTTTTTCAAAGTCAACTTAGCTATTTGTAGAGCTTTAGACTTCTAGGCAAATTTTAGAAGAAGTTTATCAAGTTCATCAAAATAAATCCCGCTGGAATATTTATTAGAATTGCATTGAATTTATAGATCAATTTGGGGAAAATCAACATATTTAAAATATTAAGTCATCCTTTCAAAAGTATGAAATTCTCATTTATTGTTTTTCTTTTGTGTTCTTTCATTGAATTAAAAATTTTCTATAGCAGTCTCGTGTATTTTGAATGAAGTTAATTTCTAGATATTTTATAGAACTTGATGCTCTCGTTAATGGTATATGTTTATATTTTCTAGTTGGTTGTTCTTGATACAGAAGAATGCTGTTTGTTTTAAAAGTTGATGTATCTAGTAACCTCACTGAACTTTCTTATTAGTTCTGGGTTTGTCTGTGATTTTGGTAGATTTTTTGGTGTGGTTGATCATGTCATCTGCAAATAATGACAGTTTGAACTATTCCTTTTATAAGAAGGCGAGGTCAAACTAATTTCATATTTTAAACTCCATGTATTTGAAATACACTTCATGAAGAATGCTCGGTGCTACAAGGCATGATGATATTTACACAAGGGTTTTCCTAAATTAAAACAACTACACAAAGAAGGAAGTATTTTCCATCTATTTTTCAGGAACACAAGATGAAGTTAAATATTTTGAGGTTTTCTTCAATTGTGGTTCAAGAAGATTTAAAATGGCCTTGGGAACTTCCACAATATTCTATTTAATTTCAGCAAATGCTAAGAGAACACTGCTGTGTGTTAGAGGACACAAAAAAGAAAACGAATAAAATTCCCTATGCTAAAATTCCTTCCAGAGTTGGGGGAGTGGTTGGAGAAATAAACAACTAATTACCTAACATTGTGAAAAATGCTGTAGAATATCACCTGAGCAGGGAAAGACCAGTGCTGAGCTTTCTGGCTATTTGGGGATGTTTCTGAGAACATATTTATAAAAGTGTTCGGGTTTTAGTAATCCTCATTCTTTATCGCACTTTCCTTTGGTTTGACCATGAAGGTGATAGGGAATCAGGTAATAAATCTTCTTAATTACTTTTTTGTTAATTTTCTAGATGACATTTATTAAAATTCTAAACAGCCCTTTCATGACTACAAACATACTATTGATTAATAACCTCTCATTAGGGACACAGAAAACTTGGCTAAAGTTCATCTGAAGTTTTGGAGATTCTGCCAAACAGTTCAGATAGTTAAAGTTTAATGATGCTTAACTTCCGGAGAGGAGCAGACATAGAAGTTAGAAAGCAAAAATAGCTACCCAGAGAGATGGTTGTGCTTGAGTTAGGTGTGAATGAAAGAGATTCATCGAATCTGAGTTTTCTCTGCATTCTTACGGCAAGTGTGCCGTGATGGGAAATTGTTACTCTCCAAAATACGCACACAGAGAAGGTGAACCAGACTGGCAGAATCTCTCAGTTACATCTAACAATACAGGTTGAAATCCTATACAAATAGAAAATAGTGTTGGAAAGGGCACTCTTTGAATGCAAAATACACACAAAATAAATAGCTCTCAAGAGTAGTTTTCTTCAAAGTGAGCCCCAAAGTGTGTAAGACGTGATGCATGGAGTATATTTAACCCTATATTTAAAAAGGAAAGGGAAGGAAGGAAGGGAGGGAGGGAGGAAGGGAGGAAGGAAAGAAGGAAGGAGGGAAGGAGAAAAAAGAAGGAAGAATGAAAAAAGAAAGAAAAAATACTGATATTAAACATAAGGATTGACTTTGAACTTCTCTCCTCTTCTGCTTGCTGAATGTGCTAAGTCATGTGCTACATTACTTAGGAGAACTTCCTTTGGGGAACTGTGAGTATTCTACTGCATGAAGACTTTGACAATGGTCTCATCACTCTTTCCATCCCCCAACGTACTGTTAGTTGGTATATTTATGTGCCTTAAATTTTAGTGATGATAGTTTGTTGGTTAAAACCATGTAAGTATGTCATATATTTCTTTTTTCTTTTTTTTTTTTTTTTGAGATGGAGTCTCACTCTGTTGCCCAGTGGCGTGATCTGAGCTCACTGCAAGCTCTGCCTCCCGGGTTCACACCATTCTCCTGCCTCAGCCTCCCGAGTAGCTGGGACTACAGGCGCCCGCCACCACGCCCGGCTAATTCTTTTTTGTATTTTTAGTAGAGACGGGGTTTCACCGTGTTAGCCAGGATGGTCTTGATCTCCTGAAGTCGTGATCCGCCCGCCTCAGCCTGACTCTCATTAACATACTTTATCAACTTGGAAACATCTTTAAAAATCTTTCAAATGGTTTCAATGAATTTTTATTCATTTATTCAGTAAGTCAACAAATGTTTATTTACCTTCCAATTAGTTGTTAGTAACAACCCATTTACAATGAGGAAGATGTAAATGTACAAGCCAAAAATTTAATGAAACTCTTTGCATAATTGGCAATTGAGATTTAAAAATGATAATCATGTTTTAATAAGCACAGCCAAAAATTCAATTCTTCCATTTGGAGCTATATATTTTTGCGAGGTGAATTTTCTACCATGACAGCCACCAAAACCAAATATCTAAAATAACTGGTATAGATTTGAATCATAAGCTGTTAAACCACAATTTAAAAAATATTGACACTTATTGAAAGTTATAAAGCATTATTCAATCACATTGTTCTCACTAAAATATAAAGATAGTTATAATTTTAGTGAAAAAAGTGAATAAAGTATTAAAAATATTTAAAATATTTTTATCTTATTGCTTGTAATTTATAATATTGGGTACATTTAATGATGTATACAACACAATGTACTTACATGCCATTAATGCAGATATATCTTAAAAATAAATTCATATACATATTTTGGAGATAAATGCTAATGTTTTTACAGATTTTTTTTTTTAGAATGTAACTTCCATGAGGAAAGGGATTTTTGTCTGTTTTGTTCACTGAATATCTTAAGAGTCAAGACCAAAGGTTGTCAGACTACTACCCACAGTTCAAATCTGGGCTGACTCATTTTTTCACACATAACATTTTGTTGGAATATAGCCACACTTATTCATTTGTGTATTGTCTGTAGCTGCTGTGTTCACATTATAAAGGCACAGTTGAGGAGGTGTGGAAGGGAGCCTATGGCCTGAAAAAGTGAAAATATTTACTCTCTGGCCCCTTACAGAAAAAGTTTGCTGATCCATAGTCTAGAAGCATGCCTAGCACATAGTAAATATTCAATAAATACCTACTATTCAATAAGTGAATGAATAAATAGCATGTCTGATCACAAAAGGTTGGACACTATAGTTTAAGAGCATGGATTCAGTACTTTCCACAATTTAGGGCCAGCTTGCAAGATGTTTTTCCCAAGTTTATTGAGATATAGTTGAGAATTAAAAATTACATATATTTGAGGTGTAAATTTGATTGATTTGATATATACATACATTGTGAAATATTCACCACCAACAAACTAATTAACGTGTATATCACCTCACAGAGTTACCATTTTTTTCAAGTGTGGTGAAAACACTTAAGTTCTACTACCCTCTTAGCAAATTTCAAGTATGAAATACTGTATTGTGACCAGGCGCGGTGGCTCACGCCTGTAATCCCAGCACTTTGGGAGGCCGAGGCTGGTGGATCACCTGAATCATAAGCTGTTATTTTTTTTACAAAATACAAAAATTAGCTGGGCATGATGGCGGGTGCCTGTAGACCCAGCTACTCGGGAGGCTGAGGCAGGAGAATCATTTGAACCCAGGAGGCGGAGGTTGCAGTAAGTCACGATTGCGCCATTGCACTCCAGCCTGGGTGACAGAGTGAGACTCTATCTCAAAAAAAAAAAAAAAAAAAAAAAAAAGAAGAGACAGATACTGTTTTGTTAACTATAGTCTCATCATTGCACATTAGATCTCCAGAACTTACTTTTTTTTCTTGTATAGTTGAAACTTTGTACCTCCTTGCCAACATTTCCCCGTATCTCCCTCCTTTCAACCCCTGGTAATGACCATTGGACTCCTGTTTCTATGAATTTGATATTTTTAGATTCTATATATAAGCGAGACCATATCTGCATCTGGTTTAATGTCCTCTAGGTTCATCCATGTTGTTGTAAATGGTAGCATTTCCTTATCTTTTAAGGCTGAATAATATTTCATTGTGGGAATGTGTGTGTGTGTGCATCTCTCATTTTTTAAAATCCATTTAGTCTGTTTCTGTATCTTGGCTATTGTGAATATTGCTGAAATGAATGTGGGAGTGCAAATGTCTTTTTGAGATAATGTTTTCATTTTTACCTAGTAGTGGAATTGTTGGATCATGAGGTATGTCTATTTTTAATTTTTTAAGGGGAACCTCTGTACCAATTTATGTTTCAAACCAACCATATTCTCTTTCCTCCACATTCTCCCCAACACTTGTTATGTTTTATCTTTCTGGTGATAGATGCTAACCAGTGTGAGGTGAGATCTCACTGTGGTTTTGATTTGCATTTTTTCATATACCCGTTAGCCATTTGTATGTCTTCTTTTGAGAGATGTCTACTGAGGTCCTTTGCCTATTTTTTTTCAAAGCTTAATTTATTTACTGTTATGACTGAGAGTACACCACTTTGCCTATTTTTTAATTGAGCTATTTGTGGGTTTGCTAGTGAGTTGCATGAATTCCTATATTTTTTGGATATTAACCCTTCATCAGATATATGGTTTACAAATATTTGCTCCCATTCTGTAGGTAGATTTTCACTCTGTTGATTATTTTGTTTGCTGTGGAGAAGCTTTTTAGTTTGATGTAGTCCCATTTGTCTGTTTTTGCCTTTGTTGCCTGTGCTTTTGGTATCATAACCAAAAAATTATTGTGCAGACCTATGTCAAGAACCTTTTCCCCTATGTTTTCTCCTGTATTACATGTATTTTAAACTTATTTTTTAACTCATATTTTCTGAACATTGTCCAACAAGCATAACATATTTATACAGACTGAACAAAAGACTGCTTTAATTTAAGATGTGAAGGACGTAGAGAACCCCCACAACGTTAACCACCCTAAAACAAAATGGACAAAATGACTAATGACATACAGATAAAAAATGATGCATAAACCAGTCTGTCATGTATCTATGTTATGAAATACAAACAACGTTTTCAATAACCCAGCTCTTACTTGTAATAGCATAGTAATGAATAACTAGATGGGAAAATATTGAATTATTGTTATTCTAAAGCTACTTGTTAGGAGGAAAAGGTTGTTAGATGAGGTGAGGTTGGAAGGAACTAATTTAAACTAGAAATTTTTTTTATTTGAAAATTCAGAGGAAACATGTCTTTATACCTTTGGAAGATGATCAACTACAGCCAATACCTTTGAGTTTTTCATATTTGATTTTGACATGCTCATGTTTTCCACTTTAAAATATGGAAACCAGATCTACTTAAGTAAGAAATTACCAATGAACTTCTGAGTTTGTCAAACCCTCTTTGCCACTGGGTATACTAAGCTTAAACCTAACCAAACAGATATCTTCCATCCTATAAAAGATTTGTGGGGAACTAATGGCTATTACTTTATTTTCTCTAATGGCGCTTCATGTCTCTGGCAATGCTTATTCAATTAATATTTTCTTTATAGATTTTAAGATAAGTTTTATGAAAATTTATTTAATCTTTCTGAATGCTTGCATAGAGTATGCATGTCACAACAGTACTTTGGGGTTCAGGGAAGAAGTAAGCTGAGATTGAAGTTCATCAGGATCTGTGAGTAATAATTGGCATGAAAGAGCTAATGACTTCTAAACAGGGGTAGAGTACCAGTCACTACATCCCAGGGGCTGGAGTGAATACTTGTTTGATCTGATATAGCACTGATATTTGAGAGGTTGGATGAAAAAAGATGGAGCATGACGCTAATATGGAAAACTCTTGTTTTCACGAGGGCATCTAAGTTGTGTATTGGGAACAGGGGTTTGGGCCACTGTCGTGAAAGACACAATCTCAAGTGCCATAATCCTGAATGTTGAAATCTCAAAAGTTCTAAATCCCAAAAACATAATTCTGGAAAAAATAATTTTAAAAAATTATTTAAAAGACATTTATTTATATTTTAAAAAGGAGATTGAGAAACATAAAAACACAACAGGGTACTTCATAGGCTACTTTATATAGCAAAATAGGCAATAATTGCCTACATATTTCTGCAAGTATGAACACTCAGGTATATTAATAACAGTTGCATGGGTATAGCCATTATGAGCAGATGAACTATATTCATAACAGGTTAAAAAGCAAAATGTATAAATAAATATCATTGTGATTGGTAATTGTATGCACCAGGCTTTATAACCAGTCATCAGAAATACCGTGATTAACAACCTGTGTCTTTTGAAAGGATTGATGAAAACCCACAATGAGCTATCACTGCATATGTAGTCACTCAAAGAGCTGAGATCTTGAGATGTTTTACTTTTCACAAATGCAGGTGTATACAAAGGACATCTCTTTATTTAATGAGAAAATTTCAGCATGCACAGTGCTTACACAGAAAGTCAACATTGTGATATTGCACTTCTGCAGAGTCAAATCTGCAAAAAAAAAAAAAAGCATACAATTCATTAGAGTTATCTAAAATATTTACAAAATGCGGGCCTCCAGTGTCAGAAATGATGCAAAGATGAAATACATAGCATAGTGAATCAATGCCAAGTGTAAAGGGGCAGAAGTCATACATGATCAAATAATTTGGGACGGGAGAGTTCTTGTTTTTCACCTGCATTTCCACTTCATCTGTGATCGTCAAAACACTTGTGGCACTTGTATCTGGAGAGTGGTTGTGGTCTACAAATTTTGTAACTTAATGCTCTTCATTTGAAAGTCTGGTCATTGCTTGGCCTTTACAATTAAGTGACTTTCTGCTTTTGCGACAGCAATAATAATTAGCTTTTAAACTTTTATCTTTCACCATTAAGTAGCGTCATACACTTATTGCAGCATTTTCATCAGGGAACAATTTCACAGATCTCTTCCAGTGTGTTTCAAGAAACACAGTAAGAAGAAATGATATTCAGCTTCCCCAATACCAAATTTGTGTTAGGGTTCTCCAGAGAGACAGAACCAATAGGACATATTCATATATATACATATATGTATGAATTCATATATATGTATATGTATGTATGAATTCATATATATATGTATATGTATGTATGAGAGAGGAGATTTATTAGGGCCGTTTGTTCATGTGATTATGGAGGCTGAGAAGTTCCACGACAGGTCATGTGAAAGCTGGAGACCCTGGGATGTTGGTAGCATGGCTGTGTTTAAGTCCAAAGGCCTCACAAGCAGGGATGCCAATGGTATAACTCATAGTCCAAGTCCAAAAGCCTCAGGACCCAGAGAGACTGCTGGTGTGAGTCCTGAAGTCCAAAAGCCAGCAAGCCTGTAGTTCTGATGTCCAAGGCAGCAAAAGAAAAATCTGTTCCAGCTCTCAGAGAAATCAGTTTCCTCTCAGTATTTGTTCTCTCTGGGCCCCCAGCTGATTGGATGGTACCTGCTCACACTGAGGGCAGATTTTCCCTACCTAGTCCACTTAGACTCACACATTAATCTCCTCTGTAAACACCTTGACACCCACGCCTAAAATAATGCTTTGCCACATTTCTAGGTGTTCCTTAATCCAGTCAAGTTGACACCTAAAATTGTCAACTTGACACCTAAAATTGTCCACTTGGCACCCATACACATTTTCCTAAACCATACTTAATTTACGAATGAAGATAATAACAAGGTGATAGTTCCATTTAACATGATGCAACTAACACGATGCAGGTATCCTACGTACAACTGAAAATGCACGAATCCCTTCTCCAGAATTTTACTTTCAGGATTTCAACATTTGGAAATTTAATCTTTTAGGATTGTGATTATGGGGATTTTACACTTTAGGAATTTTGATCTTTGGGGATTTTGATGTTTGGGATTGTGTCTTTTGGGATTACAATTGGCACCACAGAAATGTTATTCCAAACATTATGGACATGGGTAAAAGGGAAAGAAATGTATTTGACATTGATTGATGTGGGAGAAAGGAAGTGTGAGTAAAGAAGGAAGAACAATGGAGAGGAGTAGAGAGGGATTCTTCTTGCCAAGGGGTCTCAGCTGAGAACTGCTTCTAGCCCTTAGACATTGAGTTGATCTCTCTGTGTTTCCAGAGATATTGCAGAGTGTTCTGTTGTAAATTCTACGCTAGATCCATATTTTGGCACTTACCCTCTCTATTTCTCCTGGAAATAGGTTTCCAGGAGTGTAGCACAGTATTAGTCTTGAAGGAAGGTGGTGTTACTTTCTGGCAAACTAATTCCTGTGCGCTATCATTTTTTATTCTGCCTTGTAATTCTGTCTTATTGTGCTTCTCCTCTCATCTTTTCTTAGGACCAACAAAAACCCAAGTGTATTCTAAAAGAATCCCACCTCAAATTATTCTGAACAGCATTATAATTAAATAAAAGGATACGTTTAGTAAAATGTATCCGTTTAACTAGTTCCTTCTCTGTGCTCCAACCCTTGCCCCATTATTAAACAGAATAAAGTACGCGATATCTGTTTTTGGAGTTACGGGAAATGAATTATCTTAAAAAAGTAAACTCTTGATTTCCATGTTCATTTGAACTCTTAGTTCTCATGTGTTATTTATAGTTTAGCCTTTGTCTCCTATTAAAGAGTTTCAAATATTAAAGAGAGTATGAAGGGATATTTGGAGTGGCAAAAGGTCTTTGTTTTACCTATTCAACATTCAAAATATATTGAACACCTATTATTTACCAGGGCCTATGCTGGGTGATGGAAAATATATCATTCCTGAAAAGATATCATAAAGCTAAACCCAGAGGAGGAGGGAGATAGGGCAAGAGTTTCAGTATTTGGTTCTCTCCTTTGCCTATTGCTTCTTGCTCAAAGCAAATACAAGCTTGAGGAGGTCTCCTCCTCTGTATTGGCTAGTTGCTAATACCCTGAGGACTACAGGTAGGTCTAGAAATTAAAAGATTTTTGCAGCAGAAATTTTCTTCTTGTTGGGATAGATGTAGGAGGGAGATTCTGGCACTGTGTAGGAGACTGGATTATAAGACCCAAAGATCCTTCCAGGTTGAGGATGTAGTGATGCCGGTCCTCCAAGGGGGCAGGCAGCTAATTTCTTTTATACTGTGGTAGGATTGAATAGCACTTCATCACTTAGACATAACTCTTGCCAACATTTGAGGAGAAGAAGCACAATGATCACTGATCACCCCCTTTTTTTTTTTGTTGATGGAGTTTCGCTCGTTGTTGCCCAGGCTGGAGTGCAATGGCGCAATCTTGGCTCACCACATCCTCTGCCTCCTGGGTTCAAGCAATTCTCCTGCCTCAGCCTCCCGAGTAGCTGGGATTACAGGCATGCACCACCATGCCCGGCTAATTTTGTATTTTTAGTAGAAACGGGGTTTCTGCATGTTGGTCAGGCTGGTCTCGAACTCCTGACCTCAGGCGATCTGCCAACCTCGGCCTCCCAAAGTGCTGGGATTACGGGTGTGAGCCACCGTGCCCCGCCAATCACCCCTTCTTACAATTAAGGAAAGGCGGGACTACCATGTGCTCATTAACCATAGGGCATAACCATCACTAATATGCTTTTAATTCCCAGGTGCTATTAATATTTTCTCTTAACTCTGCTGCCATAGCCCAGATAAGAAATTCAAAAGTACCAGGTCTTATGTATGTTAAAATTCCACAGGAAGCCAGAAAAACAGGAGTAATAATGCAAAATGTTTATATGACTTTTCGATAAAAATAAGACATCTTTTATGGGCGCATTCTTAGTCCTAGAAGTCTTGGGCATAGCTGAGGAATTGCATGCAACTGAAAGAGATTTTAATGATTCTGATTCCATCTCAGAAAACATTCTGACCAATACCTGTGACCCAACAGAAAGCAAGGATTCATTTAGTAATTATCATACCTTCTAGGAGATTCAGTGCTCAATAAATGAATCTTGCAATTACCTGTTTATGTAGAAGTACTGTTTTTATCACTGCTGTTAAATAGATAAATGGACCAGACTTCACTAGTGAAATCTCTCAAACTCTACCTCTAATTGGATTTGGTTGAAATCCGTTAACATTTTCAAAAGATATATTTTATTGATCATTGTTTTGTTTCAAAATGGAAGAATGGGCCAGAAACCAATCTTAAGATATATTTTATTAAGCAAATATGTTAGCATTAAGGAAAATGCCAGCTGGCTCTTAAATTAATCATGGATGAAGTAGATGCCAAAGGTTGAGTGATGGAGTTAAAACAGAGATCTTATTTCAGTAAATAAATTTTATCAAAAGAAATTCAGTTAGGTTAAATATATCCACTGAAATAGCTGCAGCAGCATATTTTACAAAGAAAGTCGCAGTGACAGATTGAAAGGTTTGATAGAGTTGTTCTGTACCTTTGAAATTGATGTTCTTGTTGTTAACCTCTGGTAAGTAACAATAGTACTGTGTTCATAATACTACTGAGAACTTTAGAGAAGTAAAGATTTATTCTTTTCATGTGCTAATTTATCAGGTCTTTGTTTGAATGTGCTGCAGTGGATTTAATGTGGTGGGTAATATTTTTAGGGAGTAACAATATTGGAATTGCCTTTTAATTTGGTTTTAGTAGTGCGAATCACAATTATATTTTGGATCAGATTCTGAATTTTATCCTTACAGATTAATTTTAGTAATCTACTCCTCTTAAGAAGACAAATCTATTGGGTAAAAATTCCTTAAGAAAATACAGTCTGTGTTTCCAGATCTATACCCTTTTGTTAGCAAAGTTAACCCAAACTCTACATTGGAAAGAAATCTAGATGAATCACTATTCACTTTTTTAAAATCTGTAATTTGTTGAAACTGTGCCTAGATCTTACTGCTCAGCTGAGAATACTCTGATGAAAAGCGAAACCTATCAAAACCTATAATTAGCTATTTATATTGCTCTTCTCCTTTGCAATAATGTCCTTTAAGTTTTTTTCCCGGGTTGAAACTGGCAAAAGTACCCAGAATAATGGGTAGGATTTAGGATGTCAGAGTTAAGAACAGTGAAAAAAATTGAGGCACAATCATTCAGGACTGTTTTGTATTCAGATTTAGTATCTATTATATAACAAGAATTGTGAGGAGTACAATGCCCTCATGCCTTCTTCCTTAGAGACATTGAGGC
Organism: Homo sapiens; assembly: GCF_000001405.40. Taxonomy (NCBI): domain Eukaryota; kingdom Metazoa; phylum Chordata; class Mammalia; order Primates; family Hominidae; genus Homo; species Homo sapiens. Next base: position 23,140,967 of record NC_000023.11, on the reverse strand, counting down.
CTCTATATTTAGGAGAGCAAATAGCTCCTTGACTGAATGAGCAGTCAGTGGGGTGTAGTGGACATGGCATGGGCTCTGAGTAGGCAGTTTGGGTTCACATTTAACTTACTGCCATTGAGTCGTTGAATGACCTTTTATACTGTTAGTTTGGGGTTCTTCCCAAAGCAGACCCTAAGATGAGAATTTGGGTATGTTCTGATTATCTATGGCTAAGTAATGAACCACTTCAACATCTAATGTCTTAAAACAATGACAGCATTTATTTTCATCACAAATCTGCAATTTAGGCATGGCCCAATGGGGACATCTTGTCTCTGCTCTGCTTATAGCTGGGACAAGAATCATTTGAAGACTTAATCACATGTTTGACATTGATCCTGGAAGCCAGCTGGGATCTTAGCTGGGGTTGTGGTCTGGAGCACCTACATCTGGCCTTTCTGTGTAGCTGTTTGGCTTCCTCATAGCAGAGTAGCTGGGTTCCAAGAGTGAGCCTCTCAAAAAAGCCAGATGGGAGCTGTACTGCCTGCTTATGATCTAGCTTTATCAATAACGTATGTTTCTTCCGCCACAGTCACAGGCCAACGCAGATTGAAACGGAAAAAATAAACACCCTACCTCTCTATGAAAAAGTACCAATGTCACATTGTAAGAAGAGCACATGGAATGGGATATATCGGTGTAGCTGTCTTTGAAAAATACACTTTGTTGGAGGGTACCAGTAGTTTACATGGGAGATGATCTCAGGAAGTTCGGCAAGGGTTTGGGGAAGTAAAACAAAGAAGGGAGAAGAGCCACTAAAAGGTATGTTAGTGAGCAGGTTACCGCTGTGTGTAACGGGCTCAATCTCACCAGGAACCTTTTAAAATCTGTTTGGAACACATACTGGAATTGCCTCACTGGAGAATAGGAAGGTAAGGTATTTATTCACTACCTCCTCTCGCACATTGATTAAGAGTTGCTCTTTGGAGTGTTAACTCCTTGGTCTTTCAGGCCTGCCTCACAAAGTGTGGAGCATACCATGGGGCCAGAAAAATTATTTGGACTGAGTAACATAGCTGCTTGCTGTCGGAAGCTTTTTGCATACACAGAAACTATCCACAAGGCCGTAAGTGACTTCTGAGGTAGGCTGAGGAGTGATAGTTGAGACATCAATAGCTTCTGCCACGGACACTTTTCCTAGGCCGCTGTAAAATAGCATCTCATTACAGAGCTTATTTTGTGATATGCGTTATAGAATTTAGAGACAATCAATGGTTGCCTTTCCTACTGATGTTTTTCCCATCTTGGAAAATTAACACTATAGTTGTCAGAGGGCCTAGTTCTTGTATGTAATGTGGCTTTGTTATGTTCATAAAATTATATAAAGTTGCTACAACTGGTTTTCCTTTTTCTGTGAGTAACATGAATCTTTTGCAGTTATGAGGAACAAATCTCTAGCTAGAACTTGGCTGCAGTTTGGGAATATTAAAAAGACTGTGAATGTAAATGCTATGGTCTAAATGTGGCCCCCCCAAATTCATGTATTAAAACTTAATTACCAATGTGATTTAATTACATTGGCTTTAGGAGGTGATTAAGTTATAAGGGCAGAGCTCTCATGAATGGGATTAGCACCCTTATGAAAGAGGTATGAGGGAGCTACTTCCCTTCCTTTTGCTTTTTTTGCCCTTCTACAATGGGAAGACACATCCCCTCTGGAGGATGCAGCAAGAAGGAGCTATCTTGGAAGTAGAGACCAAGTACCCACCAGGCACCAAACCTGCTGGGCACCTTGATCTTGGAATTTTAGCCTCTAGAACTGTGAGAAATAAATTTCTGTTCTTATAAATTACCCAGTCTCAAATCTTTTATTATAGCAGCACAAATGGACAAAGACAATAAAAAAGAGCCATGTTCCTTATTGCTGCTTGAAGATATTTGTGTAGTCTTGTCTAAGTCATTGACTCTCTTGGAGCTTGTGTTTCCTCATCTGGCAAATGGGTAAAATGATGCCTAACTCCCGGGGCTATTGTGAGCAATATATCAGATAAGAATGACATTGCCCAGTCAGGCAACATGAAAATGCACACTCGTTCAATAAATATCAGATGAATAAATGATGAGGTAATTTACCTAGAAAGTTGCATTTATAAAATGTTCGTGGTTTATTGTGTTAATGTTCAACTTGATGGCCAAAGTACTTGATTTTCGTACTTAAGTGGGCCAGATTTATCTTTAATATATATGACATCTTACAGTGCAGTTTTTAAGAGCTTTGGCAAATAACAGATCTAAATGCTTAGTGACTTAACATTCTGATAGAATGTGTGATAGCTCTAACAGTAGAAGCAGGCCTTAACGAATGATCCTGCCTCCCTTGCTACCATCGTTATTGCTTTTCTTGCCCCGCCAATGTGTGTACATGTGCTACAGAGTGTTAGAGGTAGAGAAGATGAGATAAGAAGGTCAAGCATACAAAAGGGAAAAAATCTTAGAGTAGGGGTGAGATTTGTGCTGTGGGGTTGTGCAGAGTTAGGACTTACATTAAATATATTAAATTCTCCATCCATAATTGGAAGGTTATGGGGGCTTAGGCATGAGACAGGCAAATAGGTTCATGAGCCTTGAGGCAATAGCTACAGCTCCTACCCAGAGAAATATGGACATATTTTCATCTTGAGAAACTTAGCACAGTGTAGATGTGGTTAATATTAACCTATATGCACCAATTTATATATTTTTTGGTGTAATTTAAACCACCAACATGGTTTTCCTTTGAAAACACAAACGTGTGACCCTCTCAAAATTTTCACCCACGCTCGTTGCTTGTGCTTTGGACTCTTGCAAACTCACCTATGAACTAACTTTCCTGACTCTTGGGCTTTGGAATGCTCTTAACTTTTAAGACAAGAGCATATAATTTATTAATACAGTTTGTCAGTTCTACTTTTGTTATTTAAAAAAACACAAGATTTGAAAAAGTTGGTTTGGAAAACAGGGAGAGGCCTCCTTTTCTTTCTTTTCTCTCTTTTTTTTTTTCTTTTGGCAAAACATTTTTCTACTATTCTGGGGATTCCTTTTCCATGATCAAGGTGCATCGTGGAGAATGGGAGGCAGTGCCTCTTTTTTCATGATTTTGTGGGTCAGGAATTCAGTCAGGCTTTAACTAGGTGATTCGTCTTCTCCTTGTGTTGTTGATTGAGGTCGCTCAATGATATTCAGCTGATAGCTAGTTTGGTCTGGAGGGTTCAAGACAACTTCACTCATGTCTAGCCCCTTGGCAGGGATGGTTGCAGACATGGGCTCAGGTAGATCACTTTCCCTTTTTTCTCAGTGCATCTCTAAATGTTCTCTCCATCACAGTAATCAAACTTTCTCCATGGTGACTCAGGGTACCAAGGACCCAAGTCTCCTAAAGGCTGGGCACAGTGTCATTTCCACTATTTTAGCTATTTGGGAAAACAGGCAGAGGCCTGCCCGGATTCAAGGGATGGGGAAATAGGTCCCATCTCTCAATGGGAGGAATAGAAAATAATTTTTATCCCTTTTAATTAATCACAGTTGAAGATATCAAAACTCACTTATAGAAGCTTTGTCTTTCTTAAGTGTGTAGTGTAAGTCTCAAAAGAAAGAGCACAGAAATATCTATAATTACAGAAACGAGCTATATCGTGCCTTAGAACACAGAGTCTGAAGTCAACATGCTAGGACTGAAATCCTTGTTTTGCCACTTTCTAGCTGTGTGACTTGCAGCAAGTTGCATAAACTTTTCATGCCTGAATTTCTTCATTTGGAAAAGGGAATGATGGTATCTACCTTACAGAGTTGAGAGGATTACGTGAAGTAACACATGTAAAGAATTTAAGAGTTATACTTGGGACATGATGAATGTTCTGGGAACAAAGGAGTTCAGCAGCTGGTCTGCATTTCATTTGTCTCTCATTACTGGGGAAACATTCATGGGAAAACAAAGAGACAGGTGACCTGGCCTGATCTCCTTATAAACATGCTAATAAATGATCTCCTGGTGAATAAACTGATGGTGTTTACGAGAGGAATTCATTTCTATGGACTGCTTTTGGCAGGATATCTCTGGTTGAGAATTGCTTGCGGTAAACACATCTAGGGTCCGTGGATTTAAGGAGCATGGCTCCCGGAAAATGTCGTGTAAGCTATGTACCCATCTGGCTGTAAATGGAGATGTTTCATAACCTAAAATATTCCCTGCTATATGAAGTGACTGCATACCTGAGTTGAAGACCTCATCTTTGACCACAAGCCAGTGAGTGCATCTCTAATGTGGGGTGGAAGGGGCTGGGAAGCAAAGCCTATTTGCTGTGTCCTGAACCTCTCCCTGCTTCACCTAGGCCTTTTGAGTGCTTATATCCTTGAAGTTATTAGTAAAGCATGTTGTTGGGGAGACTCTGTGGCTCATGTGAGTCTGATTTGGTAATCTGATCCTTCCTATTAACTCGTGCTCAATAAATGCTAATTAAAACAGTTATGGCCAGGCGCAGTGGCTTACGCCTGTAATCCCAGCACTTTGGGAGGTGAAGGCGGGCGGATCACTTGAGGTCAGGAGTTCGAGACCAGCCTGGTCAACACGGTGAAACCCCGTCTCTACTGAAAATACAAAAATTAGCCGAGTGTGGTGGTGGGCACCTGTAATCCCAGCTATTTGGGAGGCTGAAGTAGGGTAATCACTTGAACCCGGGAGGCAGAGGTTGCAGTGAGCCAAGATTGTGCCACTGCACTCCAGCCTGGGTGACAGAGTGACACTCCATCTCAAAATAAATAAATAAATAAATTAAATAAATAAATAAATAAAGCAGTTATTAAGATAATATACAATTTTAATCTTCGGTTTTATCCCATGGAAAAATGAGGAAGGAGAAGCAGCCTTAAATATTTTTCTGCCTTTCCTAATTTTATTTTAGTTAAATTACTGGAGGCCTGACAGGATTGTATTTACTTGAGAGCAGGGTTATGCTATTCTTTGATGGGTATCCATACTATCTTGGACCGTATACTTATTATATTGCTGATGTGCATTAATTAGATCTTGAGGTAGTTGACATTTATCAAATAGTTCAGGAAGACCAGTTCTTCTATTAAATGATTCATTTCCATGGTTTTTTCAATCATATAATTATCTATTACTTTAAGCCAAAATTCTGAAGTAAGGCTTTGATTTAGAACATGTGTAGGTACAATTTTCATGTTTTCTATGTTGTTGATAATTCCAAATGGTTTCTAATCCAAATACAAGTTCTTTTAGGTTTTGAAATTTGCATTCACATTTGCATATGGGTATGCCAGAGGTCTAAAACTCTCCACTCTTCAAACAAAGACGCACTGATTAAATCCAGCCCAGGAAGAAATCTCTCCAGCTGCTCTAGCTATGCAGTTTACAGGGTACTTTTACATCCATTTACAAAATAATCGTGTGAGGGAGGCAGGGAACCCACCCAAGTCCCCTACCCCATTTCTCTTCCTTCTTGCTGATGACCTTGGATTACTGAATGCTAAAGGCCTCTGCAGAAGATGTATGAGATGGCTCTACTTTCTCTCTGACCTTGTTTCATATCTGAAATAAGTAATTATATAAAGAGGAAGCCTCAAATCCTTCTTCTGCTAGAAGGACACCACTAGAGAAGTGACCAAATTTAGCATGCATGGAATGGAAACAGTGAGAATGCTGTAAGGTAGTACTTGGAGGATATGACTTCACAAACAAAGCAAAGATTCACTGGGGATAAATATAGGAAAAAATTAATATTGTCACAAAGAACCTGAAAACAAAAAATATTTTGGATATGCCGCACTGCAGAGACACACATAACAAAGAATAATAATATCTTACAAAGGTATTTTAGAGATTTACCTCATTTGACCCACCCAGTGACACCAAGAGATGGGCTGGACAAAGAATGTTATTGCATTTTTATTAATGAGAAACCAAGGCTTAGAGAGATTGATATACCCCAGCTCCTGAGGTAAGGAGAGGTGCAACTGGGGTTCTTTGTACTTTTAAACCATGTCTGTCTCTCAAATACAAAAGTCATCACATTAATATGCTGAATGATCAAGTGAATTCAACTGAACCAAATTTTACTGAAGCAGTGTTAGGTACTTTTGGGGATGAACAATATGATTGAGATGCTCTTTCTGTCTTTAAAAATCTTTAAGTTTGAAGATAAAACAAGTGGCGTTCATTCAAATAACCTCAAACAAAGGCAGAATGGTGAAGTATTATACAAGTGACCCGATTTATCTAATTTTTACGTAATATAAATTAGAATCCCTCTATCATAACGATATCCCTTTGGATGTAGGAAAAATGGAATAATGTATACGCTATTTACACTGATGCCAACTTATCACAATAAGAATTATGCTCTTATGTCTGAAAATGAGTGGGACCGTGGCTTAGTTCACTGGTGCATATAAACTAATTCTAGTCCAGGTTGATGAGTAGCTTCCCATTGAAATCTGGCATAAATATTTAGAGAGGTAGTTGGACTAGCTGCTACTAGATATTGTTATCACTGTATGAAGACTGGCTGCTTGAACTAAGTGTGGCTTTGAAATGCAAGTTTGTCCTTATTATGTAAATTGGGCCTCATAGTTCTCAGCTGTTTTCCCTGAGTACACACAAAGCTTCACTGCAAGGTCCAATGAGCTCTCATAGTCTTCTCCAGCTGTCTTGGCAACATTAATTCCTATGCAAGCCAATAGAATATGTTCTGGCTTTGCCTGTAATATTAAAAAAATAGAAAAGCAAAATGAAACTTATGGATGTTAATTAAGATAATGGGACAGGGAATTTCATGTGAAATAATCTTGGATGTAATGATGTGATATCTTATTTGACCCAAGTTTAGCTTTATAAAATAGGAACTTATCAATGAGTTTTAAATCTTGATTATATAATAACATGTGAATAGCATATTATCATGATAGTAACAGTGAAATTGGAAATAAAAACATCTGTAATACATTATTCTGTGTAATAAATGGATGGAGTATTAATAAGAACGAAAAGAAACATGTAAAACCAAATCGTGGTGACTTAAATGAAATAAAAGTTTATTTTTCTCTCGTGTAAAAAAAGTTTAGGGGTGGTGGTCCAGGGCAGATATGCTGGTTTCGCCTGCTCTGCTCTTTTGATCATTCTCCTTACCACGTTAGTTCTTGGCTTCCATATGTGAAAGATGGCTGCTGCAACTTCAATCTTCACAGCCATGTTCTGGGCAGCCGGAAGAAGGAAAGATACATGATGTCACTTGAATCAGTCCCCTTTAATGAGTTCCTAGATGCCCCACCTAGAGACGTTGCTTCTATCTCATTGGCTATCACTATCTATAGTATGCTGAGAATTGCGGGCTTCCTCACTCTTTTCCTTCTTCCTCCCTCTGTCTCTTTAAATTGTCCTCTCTTTCTTCCTTCATATATTGGTGTCATTAGTAATTCAAGGTTTCTGTTATGAGGAAGAAGAGTGAATGTGCAGTAGGCAACTAATAGTCTCTGCTACTGGTAGACTTTTATTTAATAAGTTATTGCTTCTTCTAAACATTAGTGAATACGAAAGTTTACAAGGGATAAGAGAAAATGATTTCTATTAAGGCTTAGTATTGACTCCTTTGGGACCAAAGATGTGCTCACCAAATATCTTGGGATTGGAATGATGAGTAACCTTGTTCTTTTTTCTGGTTTTCTCTTGCTTTTTTTTTTTCCTACCAGTATGGTCGCAATTTATTTTATTTTATTTTATTTTATTTTTGAGACTGACTTTCGCTCTTGTTGCCCAAGCTGGAGTGCAATGGTGCGATCTCGGCTCACTGCAACCTCTGCCTCCTGGGTTCAAGCGATCCTCCTGCCTCAGCCTCCCGAGTAGCTGCGATTACAGGCGCGCACCACCACACTCAGCTAATTTCTTGTATTTTTAGTAGTGATGGGGTTTCACTGTGTTGGTTAGGCTGGTCTCGAACTCCTGACCTCAGGTGATCCGCCCACCACGGCCTCCCAAAGTGCTGGGATTACAGGTGTCACCCACCACGCCCGGCCGGTCACATTTTATTATTATTATTATACTTCAAGGATTGTTTTTTACAGTCCTATGACCGCTCTCTCTCATAAAATGAATTTCTTTGTTTTGTATAGTTCATCGTTGTTCAGAAAATACATTTGCATCTACTGTTTAATTTTTGCCCACTCACCAACCCTACTATGCTGGAGCTGACAGAACAGGAATTATTATCTCAATTTTACAGCTGAGGAAACTGAGTCTCAGAGTTTTAGTGACTAACTCAAGGTCATCCAGGTAGTAAGTAGTGGGCTTGAGATTTGAAACAAATTATTCTATTTCTGAAACCACTTTTCTCTCCTTTACACCAAGTTACATTTCATTTTCTATTTTTTTTTTTTTTTTTTTTTTTGAGACAGAGTCTTGCTCTTGTTGCCCAGGCTGGAGCACAGTGGTACAATGTCAGCTTACTGCAGCCTCTGCTTCCCAGGTTCAAGCAATTCTCCTGCCTCAGCCTCCCGAGTAGCTGGCATTACAGTCGCCCGCCACCACGCCCGGCTAATTTTCGTATTTTTAGTAAGCTATGTTGGCCAGGCTGGTCTCGAACTGCTGACCTTGTGATCCGCCTGTCTTGGCCTCCTAAAGTGCTGGGATTACAGGTGTGAGCCACCATGCCCAGCACATTTCCTTTTCAATAGGTCTCCCTAGTGGCTTGTCCCAGTTGCTTTCCTTGAGCCTGTTTAATTGTAATTATTCATTACTGAGCTCCCTCTGCTTCCCTGGAGTCCACATTGTTGTCTCTTACACTATGTCATATCCTTTTGTGTCCCAAGTGAAGACTGTGGTCAGTTAACCCTGAACATAGATTTTTGGGGTAGACTTGGAGGATTGGTTGTTCCCTCAAGGACTTTGAAACCTCCGCTATTTATATGTTTTTAGAAGTTAATAGAAACAGGACCAAATAAAGACATGGCATGCCTAAAAATGATACTTGTGCAAAATGCCTGAAGTTAGACTTGGTCAGGGAAATTGTTAGATGAACAGATGACCTGTGTCACTTCCCCTTGTCCATGGAGGGGACCACGTTTCAAAGGATTTCACTAGGTTAGTGGATTATGTTTGCTTTCCCAGAACAGAAAACTACTGGATTGATATCCTACCAAAAGATAGAAATGAAACCAATTTTCTCAAGCTTACTTAAAACTAACTTTCAGCTCTCTGACTCTTGTGTTTAGAATACTGGCTTTAAATACCACTTCAGAAATCAGGAAAAAGCATGCAAATTGAACAGTGTTTTGCATCTGTGCTCATGCTCCTGCCACTGGTAATCAGAACTTGACTGTTACAAGAGGACAAGGACTGAGAGATTATGAAACACTTTTACTACTTAGGGAAACGAGGAATCAGTGAAAAATCATCTTTCCCAAATTCACCTTCAATATGTGTATGGTGTATTTTGCATTCATTTCCTAGAAGTTTCTGGGACATACTTGTTTGTTTTCCTGGATTATGCAATGCTGTTTGTGAAGGGTATCTTCCTTCCAGGCATGAAGTGGATTATGGCTATAAATGTTGTCTGTTTTTTAATGAAATTGTCATAGATCCAGTGTCTTTACTAATACTAGAGATAAGCCAGGCATGCCATTGAGTCACATGCTTCTTTCCAACCTACCTTGTATAGTATGGTAGCTGGAGGGTGGGACGATGAAGACAGAGGTTTCAAATAAGAGATTTTCATTTAAATAGCAGCAAGTTATAGTGATAATATTTGATAGAATGAAAATACCACTTGATGGTGCATTTCAGGCATATGGATACAAATAATGAAATGGTCAGGCATTCTGCTAGAGTATACTTCCACATTTGCATCCAAATCACCTCTATGAAGTTAAGCAACTTTCAGGAGTGCAAAAATCCATGACTCCAAAGGTTGCCCATTCACATAATAGACTATGAATATTGTACCCTAGATTTGTATAATGAACAACTTAGACAACTTTATGTAGTGACTCTCTCATATTCTACAAGTCCCGTGAAATGCAAAGTAACTTTCGGGATAGGAAATCCGTACATTGTTGTCATTCCAGTGATTACCTATGCTTTCTGACAAGAAACATTGCAACAAAAATGAGTGTCCAGAAATTATAATGATTTTAGCTCTTTTTCCCCTTGAATTTCTATAATATATAACAAATAATAGGAATAGAAACAAAAAAATAAGAAAAGGAAATATTACAATGTGAAGTCTTTTTATTTTCTCTCTGTAATTTATCCATTTTTCCTAATGTTTTTGCAGACAAGAATTAAAAATACAAACCATTTAAGTAATAGCCAGAGGGTTGGGTGAGGTGCATTGAAAAGTAGGTAACACCACTTTTTTTTTTTGAGACAGAGTTTCATTCTTGTTGCCCAGGCTGGAGTGCAATGGCGCGATCTTGGCTCACTGCAACCTCCGCCTCCCAGGTCCAAGCGATTCTCCTGCCTCAGCCTCCCAAGTAACTGGGATTACAGGCATGTACCACCACACCCGACTAATTTTGTATTTTTAGTAGAGATAGGGTTTCTCCATGTTGGTCAGGCTGGTCTCGAACTCCCGGCCTCAGGTGATCTGCCCACCTCCGCCTCCCAAAGTGCTGGGATTACAGGCGTGAGTCACTGCGCCCGGCCAACACCACATTTACACTCCTCTTTTGGAATTGATGAGTATTGAAGACGTGGTGCATGGGGGCACAAGGAGTTGTTGCCTCCCTACAGCAAAACATTGCTAGCACCCCAGTGCGTTTCACGGTTTCTCTTCATTGTGTTCCTGTATTTTTTATCAGCAATATTTCAGTGATCTCATTCAGAATACAAATATGCTTATTTTTGTAACTCCCCAGTACCTAGTACAATGTTTTCCAAGAATAAACACTCAAATTGTTTATATTTTTATTCAAGCAGTAAATGGAAATGTATATATAAATCCACATAGCAGGATTCTCTAGGCCATGTCAAATTGCCAGAGATTCAGTAAGTTGAATGGTACATTATCCCTCCCTCTCATAGTATGTTTTTCTGGCACCTTGATATGTTACTGATAATAGCTTGATTGTGTGAATTCTTAAAAAAAAATTATTCCACCTGGAAATTTTATTTGCGATAACATTCTTTCAATTGCCCATCCATCACTTTCACTGAATAAATTATACAATATCTGAACCAAAAAGGATTTTAATCCATAATGCTCATTATACTATTAATTGGACTAGAAATCAGGGCCTTGGTTATCATGTTTTATCTCTTAATGACTTCATTGAGTGTTTCTCTTAAAGCAAAAAAGATCCCTTCGTTCATTAGATTGCATGCCCTAGAATCAGAAATTCCCTTTGTTCTATTAATACAGGGAAGAAAAAAATATGCATTGAACAAGAAGTCACCTTTACAGTTTTCAGATCCAGGGAACGAGGGGAAGGTCAAGTGGAGCAAACACACTGGTTATGGTTTGGTAGGTTGCAGGAAACCTGTGTTGATGAAAAGAATCAAACTCTGTAAAATATTTGAAGAGATTTATTCTGAGCCAAATATGAGTGACCGTGGCCTGCGACACAGCCCTCAGGAGGTCCTGAGGACACGTGCCCAAGGTGGTTGGGGTGCAGCTTGGTTTTATACATTTTAGGGAGGCATGGGACATCAATCAAATACATTTAAGAAATACTTTGGTTTGGTCCAGAAAGGCAGGACAACTCAAAGTTAGGGGGTGGGGCTCCAGGCTCCAGGTAAATTTACACATTTTCTGGTTGACAATTGGATGAGTTTGTCTAAAGACCTAGGATGATAGAAAGGAAATGTTCAGGTTAAGACAAAAGATTGTGGAGACCAAGGTTCTTTTGAAGTCTTACAGTGGTTGCCCTTAGAGAGAATAGATGACAGATGTTTCCTCCTCAGACCTTTAAAAGGTGCTAGACTCTTAGTTAATCTCTTCAGGGCTGGGAGGGCCTGGAAGAAAAAGATCTGGCAATGTTAATGGAGATTCTTTACAGATGCAGATTTTCCCCCACAAAAGACAGCTTTGCAGGGCTGTTTCAAAATATGGCAAAGACGGGGCAGGGCGCGGTGGCTCACGCCTGTAATCCCAGCACTTTGGGAGGCTGAGGCAGGCGGATCACCTGAGGTCAGGAGTTCGAGACCAGCCTGACCAACATGGTGAAACCCCGTCTCTACTAAAAATAGAAAAACAAACATTAGTCGGGTGTGGTGGCGCGCGCTTGTAATCCCAGCTATTTGGGAGGCTGAAGCAGGAGAACTGCTTGAACCCGGGACACGGAGGTTGCAGTGAGCCGAGATTGCATCATTGCACTCCAGCCTGGGAGAGAAGAGCAAAACTCCGTCTCAAAAAAAAAAAAGGCAAAGAGGCCGCGGCAGCTCACTCCTGTAATCCCAGCACTTGGGAGGCTGAGGCGGCTGGATCATGAGGTCAGGAGTTTGAGACCAGCCTGGCCAACATGGTGAAACCCCATCTCTACTAAAAATACAAAAAATTAGCCAGGTGTGGTGGTGGGCACCTGGAATACCAGCTACTTGGGAGGCTGAGGCAGGAGAATTGCTTGAACCCTGGAGGCGGAGGTTGCAGTGAGCTGAAATTGCGCCATTGCACTCCAGCCTGGGTAACAAGAGTGAAACTCTGTCTCAAAAAGAAAAACAAACAAACAACAACAAATATATATATATATATATATACAACAACGAATATATATTTATTTATATTTATATATATATGGCAAAGAAACATGTTTTGGGATAAAATACTTGGACTTTCTTCTTTGTCACGTAATGTTATGCCAGAGTCAGACTGGAAAGTAAGTAATGATATATAGGTTTAAATAAAAGCCATCTGATGAGAATTTATGGTTGGTAGGGCATGTCTCCCCAGATCCCTTAGATAGGAATCTCGGCAAGATAAAAGAAATCAGAGCTTAGTTCTCACCTGCACGTTATCCAGGGGGTTTCTTTCCTCTTCTCTGGAGCTCTTTCCCACTATTTTGCTCAGTGTGAGATAATTGCTCATTGCTGTTTGCCATAAACTCTATGGATCCCTGCCAATAGCACTACAGATGGAGCAGGATGGCCTCTATCAAAGCAGGTGAGAGAAACTCCCATGAGGGAGGCCAATGTGTCATTTCCTGGGACTGAAAGGTCAGTATTCCCCTTATTTACCGTTCCCCAGCAGGCTGCTCTGCAGGTCACCTGGCAAATGCACTTTTCCTCCTTAGATCCAGTCTGAATGTACTCACAAATGGCACTCTAAAAATGGCATGCCACACATAATTGCGTGTGTCCGTTGCCAATCGATTTTGTGGGTGACCAGTCAGCTTCTTTGATGAGGGTGCAGAGTAAATGCTACCAAGGTTACTGGTTGATTTCTCCTTTATGGTTACATATTGGATCACCATCAGGCCTGAGTTGTTAGACCGAAGGACAAGTGCCAGTAGAAGATGCAATACCACACGGCAGGAAAACACAGTATCTAGGTGTTTTGACAAGTGGGCAGAACATCACGATAAATAATCTGGAAAGAGAGATGAAGTCAAGCAGGCTACATATTTCCACCTACTTTGCTGAATTTTATATCAGGAATAACCAAAGCCACTGGAGCAGGAGCTAGTAGCACAGTCTCCTGGAGGTTCTGAGACATTAGTATGATTATGAAAACAGGGTTGAAGGCAGATGTTCGGTTATCACAAATGGGATATTAATATGGGAATTGAAACAAGGTGAGTCAAAGGCTCCACACTGGGTCCCAATGTCACGGCTGAGACTGTGCTGCTGTATTTTTTTTGCACCTAGGACTTGAGAGAGGGCTTGGCCTTCATGTGGAAATCAGTGGTTCTTAGATGACGGAAGAGGAATGCAACTTTTGGGAATCAGGCTGGACTCAAGAGACCCTGCCTAATGGAGGTGCAAATAGGTGTCCTCAGCCATAGGGAGATGGATAAGCATGCGTGTAGTTAGAGATTCTCAAATGTGAGCATGCAACAAATCACGTCTTGTTGGACACAGAACACTGGGCTCTACCCCAAGACTTTCTCACTCAGGGGGACTGAAAAAATTGCATTTCTAATGCATTTACAGCTGATGCCGATGCCCATGTTCCAGTGCCCACACATTGTTTGTCACTGATGTAGACTAATGCATTTCTTCATTACTGGAAGAGTAACAGAAGAATCTATCCTGGCTTCTAGTTCCAGAAGGCAGACTAGACCTAGGTGTTTTTTTTTGTTTGTTTGTTTTGTTTGTTTTTTGTTTTTTGTTTTTTGTTTTTGCCCTCCGTGCTGAGAGGGCAATAAAATAATAGTAAAGGAATAAGCCCCAAATATGGAAGAGAATCTCAGATTTTAGAAGAAAGAAATGTATGCCATCCAAGAAAGAGGATGTATGTGTGTTGACAGACAAAACAAAGTGGAAAACAGCAGGCTAGGAAATGCAGCAGGAGTCTGTAAGAAGAGGGAAAGTTGATTTTCCCAGATGATTCTTGGAGAGTTCTAGGCTCATAGTTAGCAGGAATAATGGAAGTTGGCAGTTGGAAAGGTAACGTTAAAAGAGAGTGGATGTGGGGGAAGTATTATACAAAACATTAGCTACAGAATGGATTGTACCAGTTGACTCACCATAATCCAATATCTCACCCTCACACTGTTCATTCAGGCAGAGGGTAAGTCATTCAGCTTTTTACTCTTAGATAAAATAAAAAACATATGAAATGGCATGGTAGCTCATACCTGTAATTCCAGTGATTTAGGAGGCCAAGGCAGGGGAATTGCTTGAGGTCAGGAGTTCAAGAACAGCCTGGGCAACATAAAAAGACCCTGTCTCCACAGAGAAATGGAAAAAAGTAGGCCAGGCGTGGTGGCTCACGCCTGTAATCCCAGCACTTTGAGAGGCCGAGGCACCTGAGGTCAGGAGTTCAATTTTGAGGCGGATCACCTGAGGTCAGGAGTTCAAGATCAGCCTGGCCAACATGGTGAAACCCTGTCTCTACAAAAATACAAAATTAGCCAGGCATGATGGCAGGTGCCTGTAATCCCAGCTACTCGGGAGGCTGAGGTGGGAGAATCACTTGAACCCAGGAGGTGGAGGTTGCAGTGAGCCGAGATCACGCTATTGCACTCCAGCCTGGGGGACAGAGTGAGACTCCGTCTCAAAAAAAAGAAAGGAAAAAGTTAGCTGGGCACGGTGGCCTGTACCTGTAGTCCTGGCTACTCGGGAGTCTGAGGTGAGAGGATCACTTGAGCCCAGCAGTTCGGATTGATAGTGAGCTACAATCCCGCCACTGCACTCTAGCCTGTGTGACAGAGCGAGATCCTGTCTCAAAAACAAAATGAACCAAAAAAACATATGAACAAACTTGACAAACTGGAAATACTTTTATTTAATAAAAACGAAAAAATTTCCTGGGAAGAAATAAGACTACTGTGGTGTAGGCTGGTATCCCTATTCTCAAAATTGGAGGCCTTCTAAAATGCAATCTCCCAGTTAACAATCCCCATCTATGTGCAAAGAATCTTTATCCAGTAAAAAGTCTAGCAGGGTAAGATCTACATGTAGGCCACCAACTGACTTTAATTATGAAAGCATAACCAAAGACCAGCAGACATGTGACAAAAACAGCAACAGATTAAGAGATAACAGAGATCAGAGACCAGTTGATCCTGGAAAAAACAGGTGGTTCTGGAAACAGATTAACACATGAAAAGTCTATAGTTAGTATCCTCAGAGTGATGAGGAGATACTGACTATAACACAAAAGCAAATAAGTATGGAAAAGAAAATGAAAGAGTAAGAAAGAGCTCTTAGGCATTAAACATGATTGCCAATGTATAATTTCAAATAGGAGTTTTAGAAGATGGAGCCAATGACGTCTCAGAATAGAGAGAAAATCTGTAGCAAATGTGAGAAAAGATAAACAACGCGTAGGATATATGTGGGAGAACTAACATCTAGCTAATAGCAGTTCTAGAGAGAATGGAAAATAAAGGGGAAGAAATAAAGACATACTGGAAATTCATTTCCTAAAGCTGCAAAAAAGATACATGCATTATATTGAAAGGATCCAATGAATATGGAGAAATGAATGGAAAAAGACATTATAAATGTTTAATTTATACACATTATAATTTAATTAAATGTAATTTACACACATTATAAAATTTTAGGACACAGTAGATAAAAGAAGATCCTAGAAGGTTTGAGGGCAGGGGCAGGAATTTACCTGCAGAAAATGTATGAAATCACATTTCTCTGTAGCGCTCTGGAAGATCAGAGACAATGGAAAGACTAATAAAAGGAAAGACAATTTTCAATTTAGAAAGTGAAACCCTTCCAAGAAGACTAAAATTAATACTACCCCAAATTGGAAGGAGGATAGAGTGAGATAAATTTTATAAAGAGTTGGGAAGAGAATTACTAGAAAAAAATAAAAATTAAACCTATTATTAAAAGTTTGCTTCTGGAGAGTGGGACTGATGTGTGTCTGTGCATGGCAGAGGGTAGGAGTCATTTTTCATTATAAATCCTTCAGATTATTTTATTTTTTACTCAGGGCATGCGTTACTTGTCCAAATTTTAAAAGAATAAACAAAATCCAAATGTTCTTTGCCACTGAAAGGGGACTGCAGTTTTAAGATAACATGCATGATGAACACACAATTTTTATTATGAATTCTTCCATGAAAGAAGCATTGGCTGAAATAGCTGCCTGTTCTAAAAAAAAAAAAAATCTAAAGATTACAGTGCAGACCTAGCTGTTTATATAAGCAACAACAGTCCCTTTTCCAGCTCTGTTAAGCTCATCTGCTTAGCTGTATAAGAAGTCAGGAGTCAAATTAAAGAGAGGCACTTTATTTTCATCCTATGATAAGTGGGCTCAAAGCTTAGTATACTTTTGCAAACTCATAAAAGATGCAAATACAAATGTGAAAACATTGCAATATTGATTGCCAGTACTTAAAATGAAACTGTACATCACTAAATAAGCTTTTTACAAAATATATGGCAAATAAGAGAATGATTTATCATAAGATCAAATTGCACATACCCTGAGTTATGGAGCATATTGTTCGGTAACAAGTGTGGCTTCAGAAAAGCAAGCATTCTCAAATCGAATTTCCTTCTATGACAGAGAGACAGGCTTGGTAAATGAAAGAGAGGTGATAACAGTAATCTCAAATGACTGGAAGAAAACTCATATAGATGGAAGGGAACACTGTGCATGCTAGATGGCTATGAACTGCTACCCATTTTCCTGAGGAATATAATTCAGATTGGGGTGTATTCATGCACTGCTATCCCCTAGATAGATTGTTAAGTGGGATCCTTTAATGGTTAGTTTGGGAATAAGTTCTTTGATATTCTCGTGGGTGATAGAGTACGGGATGTTCCTTAAAAGAACAGTGAAAAATAAGCTGAGCAGAGGGTGAGAGTGAACAGAAACCTTTGACAAGGTCTATAGGTAACTCTGTTCGTTGGCCAGTTCTGTTCCTATTTCTGACCAGTTTGACACAATTGAGTAATTTACATGTTAAATGGATGACTATAATAATGGTTGCACTGGCACATGTAGACATAAGTATCAGAATTTAAAGTGAAGCTGGTACACTGGAGAAGTCACTGGCGGAAAGAATGACCAGGGCAGGAATAAAATAGGCCCAGAGAGAAAGAGCAGGGAACATCTGTTTAGATATAAGGAAATCAGGAAATGATACCTGGATTCTAACAAGTAACAAACTGACCACAATACAGGGAGACAGACTTACATGCTTAATTGAGTGCTGTGTGATTCGTTACTTATAAAACATAAAGGATAGGGGAGGACATTGCTAGGGTTCATGTGAAAACAAAGAAAGAAAGTTAAGACCTGTGACGAGAGGACGAAGAAAGTGAAATGCTTCAGAATAAAGGAGAGAACACCTGAGGAGGATTTAAATATGGTCTTCAGAAATATGATGAAATTTTTCACGGAGCATGGATATCCTTTTCTACTGAGGACAACACAGTAGGACATAGTTAAAATTTAGGAAGAAACTCCTGCTATTATTGCCAACGTATAACAGAGATCATTTGAGCCTCTTCTGATATTTGAATAATATGGCAGATGGCATTCCCAACATTAACAATTCAGGATTGCTTGTCATATATATATGACAAAGATATAAGAAATTGGTGCCGGGCGCAGTGGCTCACCCCTGTAATTCTAGCAGTTTGGGAGGCCAAGTCGGGAGGATCACCTGAGGTCAGGAGTTTGAGACCAGCCTGGGCAACACGGTGAAACCCCGTCTCTACTAAAAAATACAAAAAAATTAGCCGGGCATGGCGTCGTGCGCCTGTAGTCCCAGCTATTCAGGAGGCTGAGGCAGGAGAATGGCTTGAACCCGGGAGGCGGAGGTTGCAGTGAGCCGAGATGACGCTACTGCACTCCAGCCTGGGCGACAGAGCGAGACTCCGTCTCCAAAAGAAAAAAGAAATTGGATCACACAGTTATGAAAGCTGACATGTCCCAAGATTTGAAATTAGCAAGCTGAAGGCCCAGGAGAGTCAATGGAGTAATTCAGTTCAAATGCTGGCCGGCCTGAGACCCAGAAAGAGCTGATGTTTCAGTTTGAGTCTGAAGAGAGGAAAGAACCAATGACCCAACTCAAAGCAGTCAGGCAGCAGGAGTTTCCTCTTATTCAGCCTTTTCATTCTATGTAGGTCTTTAATTAATTGGATGAGGCCCACCCACATTAGTAATATTCTCTGGTTGCTCAGATGCAAGATTAAGACAGGGCAAGTACTGGGAATAGCAATTGTTATTTCTATTAGGAAATATTGGAGGCAATTGGATTAATATGCACACAATAATGCTTTATAAAAATACTGTATGAAACTTAAAGTTTCAGACAAATGTTAGTGGCATATAATGATGTTAGAGAAGTAGATCAAATTATTTTCTGGCTCAGTGTACGCATTTTGAAGTCATCTAGAGAAACATGAATACAAAGAGCAAGTCAATAGCATCAAAAAATGAACACAGAGTGATAGAGAATGATATAAAATCAATCATAACATTAAATGCAAATAAGAAAGGTCAACAGCTATATTAAAATACAAAATCACAACAAGACATATAAGATGAATGTGGATTTATACACAAAAAATAATTGGATCACTAAGGTCTGTTCGTTAATGTAGAATATGAGGCTAAGAGTTGTTATTTTGGTATTGGAGAAAGTAAATTTTACAAGCAAATTGATTATCACAGTAAAAGATAAACAACCCAAACCAAAATGTTGAATTCACGTGTAACAACTATAGTACCACAAACATTTAAAAAAATAAAAAAATAAAAAACCTGGACAGATTTCTGAGTGTCATTAGAGACGTTTACTCTGCTCACGTGTCACTTTCCTCTTTGACATTCATATTTTTTATCCACTTTCCCGTCACTTGATATTACACCCACAAATCTACCTCAGTATAGTATTATTCCTCTAATGCTGGTTCTCAGGAACCCTTCCCCATAATTGGGATCTGTTTATTCTCAGAAAAAAATAAAGAAAACAAAGACTTGAAGTAGAAATTACATTATTTAACCATGCAAAAAGAAAAAGAAAATTTTATTTTAGGGTAGAATAATATATTTTATTGTTAAGTCTGCATAAATTTTTTAAATAGAGAATAATCACAGTGGCCGGGCATGGTGGCTCACACCTGTAATCCCAGCACTTTGGGAGGCCGAGGCTGGTGGATCGCCTGAGGTCAGGAGTTTAAGACCAGCCTGGCCAACATAGTGAAACCCCGTCTCTACTAAAAATACAAAAAATTAGCTGGGCATGGTGGCGGGTGCCTGTAATCCTACCTACTCAGGAGGCTGAGGCGGGAGAATCGCTCGAACCCGGGAGGCGGAGGTTGCAGTGAGCCGAGATTGCACCATTGCACTCCAGCCTGGGCAACAAGAGCGAAACTCCATCTCAAACAAAAAAAAAAAAAAAAAAGAAGAAAAAAAAGAAAATAATCACATATGTGGACACAGAGACACTAAGATAACAAAAGTAATTGTGGTTTTTGTCATTACTTTCAATGGCAAAAACTGCAATTATTTTTGCACTAAACCAATACTACATTTTAAGATCAGTAGAAATGTTAAAAGTTGTAACACAGGACATCCACATGGAAATGGAGCGCTCTCTAAATAATTTCTGGATCAAGAAGGAAATCCAGTACAATAATAGCAATAAAAAACATAAATGTAACATCAAAATTAATGTGTATCAGTAAGTACGGTTAAATTCCTTTCTCTCTGAATATGCATAGTAATAAGATAAGAAATATAAAAAGAGAATAAGAAATACAAAAACAATGAATTCAGAACACAGAAAACACAGAAAAATAACATAAAATACAGAAAAAATAAAAATAAAAGAATAAGGAAAGGGACAAACTACACTGAAATACATACATAAAATAGAAAACTATGAAGAGATTGAGAACTAGTAGATAATTCATGACCAAAATTGACAAAATGTATACATCAGTGGCTCAATTAATTAAAAAATAAATAAATCACAAATAAAAATATAAAAATCGCATACTATGTAATGCAGTACAACTACTATCCATAGGAAAAAAAACGAAGAATTTGTCAAAGATCTATCCCTAAAGTAGCCACCAGATCCATATAGTTTGCATGAAATTTCTACCAAATCATTAAGGAATACATAATTTGCGTGTTATAGAAACTTTCAGCATAAATCAGTGAGATAAAAACAATGAAAATACCATTCACTGAAGTATGAAGTCAAACAAAAGAGCGGACAGCTTAGGGCGGAGGAGATGATGAATTTGGTTGTTAATATGCTGAGGTTGAAAAGCTTGTTGGACGCCGTGTTTGGAGATTTTAGTGGGATATTGGCTATTCATTCATTTATATGTGGACTATTTTTTGAAAGCCTCTGTGTCAGGCACTGAATACAAAATGGTCTGCATTCTTAAAAGACTATTATGTAATGAAGGAGACAAACAATGGACAGGTATGAACAATACATTGCTGAAAATGTTATGTTATATAGGGCTGCAGCTTATTGTGGTGAGTAAGTGAGAGAAACTTACATAGTGGTATCAGGGCTGTAAGACGTCATCTGGCTTTAGAAATGGTCTGATCTGTTAAACATTAGTCTAATGTGCAGTGCCTAAAGAAGCTGCAGCAAATGAGTCTATTAGAGACACCCAAATTAGCCACTCTGTCGAGAACAAGGGGAATATTATGGTCGGTTTGTTTCTCTCGACTTTAACAGATCTTTGGATATTGGCTAAGGGGATTGGGGTGGGACCTAATCCTGGGGAGAAGTGACTGCACACAGGCAAGAAAATTGCAAAAATTCCTATTGTCTTACTTTGGATTCTCCCAAATTAGACCCAGAGATAAGGATACATGTGCAGATTATTTATTTGCAAGGTGATCTGAAGAACTATGGTGAGAGACTGGGGAAATAAGAGAGGGAAAAAGAGGAAAGTCAATAAAATAGAAGAAAGCCTGTGGTCCATTGGGCTCAGACCCGGAGTTGGGGGGTCCTCTCAGAGCAGGCCCAGCAGGCGTCTACAACCAAAGAATGCCTGCGGGCAGGAAACATGGGATGCAGTTTATGTAGGAACTCACCTAGGAGAACTCCCGGGGAAGCCCTGGGGCTAGAGTTGGGCACTGGTAGCTTCTGTAAAATATCTCCAGCAAGACTCCTGTTTCATTAAGGAAAAGGGTTAAACAAACAGAAATTATGCCAGAACCTCTGTTATATGAATGGTGAAGACGTTGGTGGTGGTGGGATTTGGATTTTGAGGGAAACTGCAGTTTGGTGAGTGTGTTGACCACAAGCATTCATTTTAGGCACACCTCATACCTAACTCATAACCGCAAGACAAATTTCATTCTCCAGCATTCAAGGGTCTGAGTCTGTTGACTCAGTGGTCTATAATTGAATGGAGGCCAGAAACATAATTGATTTGTCTTTGTATTCTCAGTGCCTGATGTATTCTCAGATACTTAATATGTGTTTGTTGAATTGAATTGTTATCGTCCTCTTGGTTAGAAAGCATACGGGGCTGTATCTACTGACAGGAGTTGGGAAAAACCCGGATGACACGTTTTAGTTATGATTACATACAGAGGTGAATTGTCAATCAGATTTATACAAGACAGAGATCTTACCCAGAACTGTGATTTGCCAATGATTAGCAAAGGATACCCAAAAGAAGCCGCAGTGAACAGCACATTGATATTGAAATGCTCCAGGTCCATGAGCTGCAGCTTCCTAATCCCCTTTCCATGTCAGTGTATGTTGGTGTGGAATAACAAGGACAACTGTGAGTGGTAAAAGTTAGCCCAAGAAATTCACTTAGTTTTGGGGCCTCTTGTTTTTGTATTCTGCTAGCCATATAGCCAGAAGGCCTAGGTTGCATTCTTCAGTCAGCTCATTAATACATAAACTAGTTATTTAGAAGAAACAATCCAAACAGATCAAGTATACTGTGAGAAAAGAACTCTTTAGATAAGATCTGGAGGAGTTTATCTTCTAGCTAGTAAATTCTTTCAGTGTTTTAATAAAGAGGTCTGGTTGGGATCAAAACCAATTAAAATATCCCTAAGGTGAAAGGAGTCAAATTACAGATCCACTGTTAACCCTTTTATTCCCTACCGTGGATCCAGAATTCTTAAATACAATTTTAGCATACATAATGTTATTACATTAGAATCATTTTCCATTTTGACCGTAATTCCAGTGAAAATTGAGCTTGATAAGAGCAAAGACTTCATCTGCTTACTTCACCGGTGCATCTCCACCAGTGCTGACAGCAGAGCTCAGCAAAAGTTTGTTGAATGAATACATGAATGAACCCCGGCATTATTTATGGTTTACCTTTGCAGTTTATCACACACTAAAATGTAAAATATTACGTAACTATTTTAGTATATGCCAAAAACCATACAAAACATCTCTTATTAATTTAAACTGAAAATCAAATATTCACAGATTGTATTTTTTTTTTTTTTTTTTTGAGACGGAGTTTCACTCTTGTTACCCAGGCTGGAGTGCAGTGGTGCAATCTCAGCTCACTGCAACCTCTGCCTCCCAGGTTCAAGTGATTCTCCTGCCTCAGCCTCCCGAGTAGCTGGGATTACAGGTATGTGCCCTCATGCCCGGCTAATTTTGTATTTTTAGTAGAGACGGGATTTCTCCCTGTTGGTCAGGCTGGTCTTAAACTCCTGACCTCATGTGATCCACCAGCCTCAGCCTCCCAAAGTGCTGGGATTACAGGCATGGGCCACTGCACCCGGCCTGCACAGATTGCATTTAAAACCTAGAAATGACATGAAAAACAATGGAGTTGACTGTAAGAGAGATCTTTGGGATTGCCATTTGAAACAACTCTCATTAGACATAACATTGGAAGTGTAGGCAATAGCCCCATGCAAAGAAAAGCAACATTAAAGGTAGATCAATAAAAGGGAAAACAAATCATTTTTTACGAATTTTAAGAAAACTTGTCTGCTTAGACTCTTCCAGTATATTGACCAAATAAGTTATGAGAATTCACAAATATTCACACTGATATATTAATGAAGGATGACTTGAAGATACAATAAATAAAAAATCAATTCACAATACCTTTAAAATAATTTTGATGTAATACAATTTAGTGCACATGGAATTTATTACACAATAAAATAAAACACTATGAAAGAATGAAGGAAAACATGGACAAATAAGGTTGTATATCATAACTACAGTAGAGATGGAAATTTTTCCAAGCTATTTTACAGATAACATAATCTAATTGGTATCTTCATAGGATAATTCATAAATTTTAAATGAAACAATACTGATTTTCACCTGCAAGAATACATGGCTAATACTAATACATATTTTAAAAAAATGTAATGATGGTGGTTGGTCCCAACAGACTTAACAAATATATTCAAACTTTAAAGTATATTCTAAATAGACAGAACTGACTGGTATTGAGTTATATATAAAACAACTGAATGGCAGAGGATAGTAGAGCTTACTAAAATATTCAAATTACTATGTTTATCAGGGTGAGGAAATGAAAAGACTTTGAATTGGGACAAGAATCATGACTCTGGCATAACTTTGGGTATTTTATTTCATCTTTCTGAATCGTTTGTTTCTTCATTTGGAAAAAAGAGTTTTTCTGCCTTACACAAAGAGCTATTGATATTATATGAGATTATGTGACATGCTTAATAAACCATATGTAAACCATATTATTTAGGTACATTTACAACTTATAAGAATTATATATGTGAAAAACCAGAAGCTAGTGAATTATGGGAGAAGGAACACAAATATAACATATCTGGTTGGGAAAACTGGAAGGCAATTTGGAGACTCATTAATGTAAACTCAAGCCAAACCTCAAACTGTATACTGCAATGAATTTCGGTTGTAATGAAGAGTTAATATAAAGGAACATAAAATGGTTTGGAATGCCATATTATATTTCCATGCTACTCAGAGTGGAGATGCATTTCTGATTATTGAAGAAATGGAGATTTTGATTACAGATCGAATTAAATGTATAAAATTAAATACCTTTTGCCATTCAAAATGTAATACAACAAACAGAAAAAGGAGAGAAGCAGAACAGGGTAGAGGGTGCTCAATATGTACCCAACATACCTGTTGGATAAAAACACCCACTGGTTTGAGAAGGACAAAATAATCTATGGTACATCAACACAAAGAATGATATGCAAACATTAAAATGACAAGCATGTAGATAGTGTCGATTCATGGAAATGTGTTAGTTATTCAAACTGAAAAAGAATATCAAAAATTATGAAAACATTACATTAGTTAAAACTAGTAAAAGTGGTTTATATATAATGTGAGAAGTAACTTTGAAATTGGAGAAATAAAATATAATGTTCATAAGATTTTTTAAAGTCAGTTGAGTTCATAAAAATGCATTTTTACAAGCTAGCTCTAGGGAAACAAGGCTATTTCTTTTAATATAGCCACAGAAAATTTTTTTTTTTAACCTGGAAAAAAGCATTACTTAAATCTTCTGGTATTCCTCTGGAGGCCAACTATTCAATTTAGAAACTAATATAGAGCAAATCTGAAAACTTTAAACATGTCGCAAAATGCTATGTTCCCAATAACCCAACTTAAATCTGTATTTTCCTTTGCTTCAGATTTGGAAGAAATCTGAACTACTGATTTGATTAAATAATTAAAGTTGAGTATTTTTTTTCTCCCCAATGTAGCTAGGACTAAAAGCCCTGTTTATGTCTCTAAACTCTATTTTTTTTTTTTTTTTTTTTTTTGAGACGTAGTTTCGCTCTTGTTGCCTGGGCTGGAGTGCAACGGCGCGGTCTCTTCTCACCGCAACCTCGGCCTTCCAGGTTCAAGCGATTCTTCTGCCTCACCCTCCCTAGTAACTGGGATTACAGGCATGTGCCACCATGCACAGCTGATTTTGTATTTTTTTTTTTTTTCAGACGGAGTCTCGCTCTGTCGCCCGGGCTGGAGTGCAGTGGCACGATCTCGGCTCACTTCAAGCTCCGCCTCCCCGGTTCGCGCCATTCTCCTGCCTCAGCCTCCCGAGTAGCTGGGACTACAGGCGCCCGCCACTACGCCCGGCTAATTTTTTATATTTTTAGTAGAGACGGGGTTTCACCGTGTTAGCCAGGATGGTTTCGATCTCCTGACCTCGTGATCCGCCCGCCTCGGCCTCCCAAAGTGCTGGGATTAGAGGCGTGAGCCACAGCGCCCGGCCAATTTTGTATTTTTAGTAGAGACGGGGTTTCTCCATGTTGGTCAGGCTGGTCTCGAACTTCCGACCTCAGGTGATCCGCCTGCCTCGGCCTCCCAAAGTGCTGGGATTACAGGCGTGAGGCACCGCACCCGGCCTAAACTCTAGTTTTGAATATAAGGCATATGGCAGAATTTTCCTTTTGGGGGGACAGTTTTGATACCATGATAACTACTTGAGCGTCCTAATGAGTTCTCCAGAATCATCCCCGGTGATCATCTCCATATATGAAGTACCACGTCTGAAAGGTAATTTAGCTGGAGCAACTATGACAAATTCTGATAACAAATGCACTGATTACTAAAATCATACGGTATAATTCTTTAGAACCTATTATTGAACTGTGTCTATTATCTGCAGGTAAGTTCATAAGATAAACTGTCTACATTAAGTACATAGTTCTCAGAAGTTCGATTTAAAAAATAATAGTGTGATTAGAGCAAGAGAATCATAATGGATGAAATTATGATATTATTGTCAACAATACTGATTTGCTTCCAAGGCATATATACAGACATCTCGGTAAGAAAATCTGGGAATACTCAGTACACTTTAGAAGGCACGTAAGTTGAGCTATTTAGCGGAATCAGTTCTCTTTGAATTGAAGAATGTGCTGGCATTGTAGCACTATCTTAGCGCCAGGGTTGGACCATCCTGAAGGATATTTTTGTGTTTACTTGGCGCCTTGTACTGCTGTGATTGACGGCGGAGGGGAGTGTCTAGCTGGCTGCAAATATTTGTCTTTCATTCTTTCGTCCATCTCTTCTTGCCAATAGCATTTACTGGGCCTCTGCTCTTTCTACGCACTGAGATAAATGCTGGAGATAAATATGAGCATGATCTAGAATCGGTCCTTGCCTTTGGGGAGCTCACGATCAAGTGGGAGGGGTAAACGGATGATGTCAGTGTAGTGCAATAAGGCAAGTTAATGGAGGCAAGAATCAAGTGTAGTGCATCCACAGAGGAGGGAACAAATATGGACTGTCTCTAACAGGATGTTCTTGTACAAAAACAAGGACAGCACCATTTTCTGTACAAATCAACCAGTTTGGTCTCATGAGACTTCATTGTCCTCTTGAAATATTGTCCTCATTTCGCTGTGTCTACTTAGACCCATAGTTCAAAGTCCAGGTTAGATTATATCTCTTTCTAACGCTTCCTGTGTGGGTAAATCTTGCCTGAAGCTTGTTCTGTTTTCTTGCCCCTGTCAGATAGTAGACTCTTGAAGGCAGGAACTCTCTCAGATTTGTGTTTGTTTTTTCCTATAGCACTTAATGCTCACATGACAAATATTAATATTCTTTGATGGTTCAAGTAATGTTTGGCCCAGATACCCACTCCTACCAGAAATAAAGAACTTCTGTTTCCAGTTGTAGGTATTAGATATTGTATGTGGATTGTGAATACAGTCACTGACTTTTCTCATTCAAAAACAAAGAAATATTTGACTGTCTGTCACTGAGCCAGAATATCAAAAATTTGCTTTGCTTTATAAAATGTAGTTTTTGCCTGGGATTCATGCATAAGAATTTTGCAGTGCTCATTTTTTTTTCTCAGTGAATTGATTCAACAACTGAAAGCAATGGTTCATATGTCACTTCTGATGAAATATTTTCCAGTTCCTAATTGCTTAATGAGTATTTTGCAGAATGAGTGAATGAAAGTTTTATACCATGTGAGAGGAAGTAATGAAGAGATTGTAAAGAATGTATATACACTGAGAGATGTAGAGACAGAGAAATATATATATAATTTGCTTTCTAGTAAATATATTATCTTAGTTATACACATTCATGCATTATACATTGATTTTGGGAAGTTAGTATAGCATTTATTCTCTCCTGGGTGCATGGACCTGTTGGCTTGTCTGAAGGGCAAATTACCCATGTTGAGACCCCTTCCTTGGTGCAGAGTTCCACTTCACTCCTTTGATGCCGGCACAAGAAAAACTTTCTCTTGCTCTGGCATTGTCTAATGATGGAGTCTCAGGCAATTTCTACCGTGGGAAAGATTGTGATTGTGACAACTCTGTAACGGGAGATGCCTCTGCCTTTGGTCCTCTGCAAATAATGATGATAACTGTAGTGTATTAGTTAAGAGGATGCCAGCTGCTGGAAGAGAAAGCTCCAACTTTCAGTTTCTTAACCCAGTGAAATGCTCCCCAGCAGCAGGCAGTTTTGCTGTTTGTGATGATTGGGATGCCTGGGCTCCTTTCATCTGTGGCTCCATCATCTTCCATGCTCAGCTTTCAACACCACACAGCAAAGGGAACAGGACATGGAGGATCACACGTGGGAGGGCTTTTATGGGCCAAGCTTGGAAGTGACATGTATCTCTTCTGCTCATATGTTATTGGATAAAGTTCAGCCTATGGCCACATCTACCTGCAAGGACAGCTGAGAAATATAATTTAGCTGGGCATCTAGGATGAAACAATGGATATGGCTGTCAGCTAGCAGTTTCTGTTGGACATGGCAGTACGTCTTTCCAATTTAAACCCAGGCGAATCATAAACTCCTTAGCCTTTGTGAAGAGAACCTAAATTTACATCTGGTATTCTGTCTCAGCCGGATTACTCCCTCATATTCAAAAATCATGTGATTGCACGGAAAGGGTTAACATTTGTCACTTTCTGGAAAGTGGCATGAGAGACAGTCAGAACAATTTTGAAAGTCAGGCTTTCAGGAAATAGAGATTGGTTGAAAGATGCAATAGGATGTTCCTATTTCATGACAAGTACCTGAGAAGCAAGTTTTTCCAGCTTGGATCAAAAGGGTAGTCATCTATTAATTTATACTGAGTCAGTGCATATTTTTATACAGTGGTTATTTTTAGCTTATTCCTTCACTATTTTTGAATTATCTTATTGCCCTCTGGCACCCTTTTAAATGTTAACATATTGTGGTTAAGATTCTTTTAAGTGACTGTTATCAATTTTTTTCTCTTTATTGTCTTGTAAACATGGTTGCTTAGTTCCGTGCTTTACGTATATGGAAAAAAGTATCATCACAGCATACCTTAGAGATAAAAGGGAGCCACCAGTAGGTTTTTTTTTAAGGCTCTGAAGTAAATACAAATGCATTTTAAAGTTGGATGATGTTAAATGAGGGGGGAATTGCTTTATAAGCCATTGGTCAGGGCTTTCCAATTTGATTAATACCTCACATTATTATTGTGAAACAATCATTACATATAGGCCTGATATAATGGGATTTCACTTTCTGGAAGAATGGTCATGTAATTCCCATGTTCAACTCTAAGTTTTATGAAACCTGGATCATTGTGTAATGCCCAATGTCAAAACCCTTTTGTGTATTTTTATTTTCAGTGTTTCGAACTTGTTTTTCCTTCTCAGTACGCATATTAAAATAATTCTTCTATGACATAAAATAAACTCAAAGCAGAAGCTACATGGGAATTGCAATGTTTTGGGTTTTTTTTTTTTTTTTTTTTTAAAAAAAACAAAACATAGCAAAGATTACATTCTTAAATGTAATTGCAAGAGCCCCACCTTGGTTCTTGAACTCTGAGGAATACATAAATAGTAAGAAATGGTAGGGAAGATGGGAGAGACGGATGGAGAAAGTGATAGAAATAGATAAGGAGAAAAAGAGAGAGAGAGAGAACCTAAGACCAGCTATGGCTCCATTTCTACTTCCATAGGCCTAATAAGAAGTGGCTATTTCTTCAGAAACAGCCAAGAAAGAATGGGGAAATATTGTCGTCCTAAGCGTTGTTCTTACTGAGAATATTTACTCAGGGTAAGTAAGAAGTTTTAGAAAATCTCCTGCTCAAAAATATCCCAAGTAGTCCTTTGATTCAAAGATCTGCTTGGATTAAGCAGGCTGGTTCATAACACCTTCTCTGACTCAAGTAAATCTCTGTATTTAGAGTTCCTAAATCATGTGATCTCTAAAAATTTTGGTGACATGTTGGCTTGATTCTTTTTTTTTTTTTTTTTTGAGATGGAGATTTGCTCTTGTTGCCCAGGCTGGAGTGCAATGGCGTGATCTCGGCTCACCGCAACCTCCACCTGCCAGGTTCAAGCAATTCTCCTACCTCAGCCTCCCGAGTAGCTGGGATTACAGGCATGCACCACCACGTCTGGCTAATTTTGTATTTTTAGTAGAGATGGGGTTTCTCCATGTTGAGGCTGGTCTCGAACTCCTGACCTCAGGTGATCCGCCCACCTCGGCCTCCCAAAGTGCTGGGATTACAGGCGTGAGCCACCGCGTCCGGCCTGGCTTGATTCTTTTAAATTAGAAATATATATATCTATATAAAAGCCCCAGTCAGGAGGGAGGAAAACGCAGTAAAGAGTAAGGATAAAGGGAAGAATGCAAAACCCAGTCTATGTGAAAAATATGTTACCATCTGTCCTGGTAATTTTTTTTTTCTTAGTAGGTGGGGAAGCCGTGGGGGGAGCTACTGTGCTGGACTTAATTTTACCTATTGATGGTTATTGAAGGTATAGGGAATTTGAGAGAACAAGAATTGCCATGGCATTTGAAAATTCATTGACATGATTAGACAAGGAAAGATTTCCAAAAATCAAAGAAAAAAAACACGTATAACTTATATAGAAAGCCGAAAAGGGAATATGGATAGAAGGGGATGGGAGACTCTGGAAATGAATTTCCAATTTCATGATTGTGCATAATTCTTTGTGGGAGGGAAAGGGGGAGGGGGCATTCTAAGAAGCTAATGTGGATATCCTTAAATTTTGTCTGATTAGTGGAATTTAAAAATTGTATTCATTAAGACATTTTAATTTCAAAACGATCACAAAATTTCAGAAAAGTTGCAAGTTCAGTGCAAAGAATATTTTCTGTGAATATTTTGAGTAAATTGCTAACACAATGCCCCATCATCCCTGAACATGTAAGTGTGTATTTCCTAAAAACAAAGATATTATTCTACATACAGACTATAAAAACATCAAAATGATGAAATTAACACTAACACATTACTATCATTTAATTCTCAGATCCCATTCATATTTCATCAATTGTCCCAATGATTTCTCTACAGCAAAAGTATCCAGTTCAGAATCATGCAATTAATTTAATTGTCATGTGTCTTTCTTTAGTCTGCTGAGTTCAAATTTTAAAAGATATTTTCTAAAAGGTAAAAATAAGAATACAAGAACAAGGTCAAATTCATAAGGGTGATCTTGTCCCAAAAGGATAGTGTTAATGAAGATAAAATCTAGAAATGTAAGTAATGGAATGTTTTTAGTTATCTTCTATGCTACACAAATGAGGAAGGAGTACAGGAATGTGACAGGATGGTAACCCATGATGTGGAGAAAAGAGAGCTACGTAGCTTTGCAAATTGGAAAGGGTAAAATAGACTCCATTGACAAGAGCAACTGAAACCTCAGCTATAAGAGAAGATACTTCCAGAGTACTTTCTGATTTTAGAAACTGTCAGATCCTGCATATGGATGTATACCATCGCTGTTTGTGTATTTTGAATAACTATAAAAAAAGCAGAGGCCGGGCATGGTGGGGCTCACACCCGTAATCCTAGCACTTTGGGAGGCCGAGGCAGGCAGATCACGAGGTCAGGAGCTCGAGACCAGCCTGGTCAATAGGGCAAAACCCTGTCTCTACTAAAAATAGAAAAATTAGCCAGGTGTGGTGGTGGGTGCCTGAAATCCCAGCTACTCGGGAGGCTGAGGCAGGGGAATCGCTTGAAACTGGAAGGCGGAGGTTGCAGTGAGCTGAGATCATGTCACTGCACTCCAGTCTGGGCGAAGGAACAAAACTCCATCTCAAAAAACAAGCAAACAACAAGAACAACAACAAAAAACAAACAAACAAAAAACCAGCAGAAAAGAAAAAAAAAAAAATCCCAATTCTGGAATAAACATCGATCTGGAGGAAGTTCCTAGTGAAATGCATCAGAGCTCTGTCCATAGTATTAAACTATTCAACATGCTGCTTAATTATTTGTTGGAGAACATACCTATTAAATTATTGTTGACTCTGGGATAGAAGATATACTGACTGACAAAATGAAGACCCGAAACCATTTTGACAGGATGGAAGGATGGGTCAAAATTAACAAGATACAATAGAAGATACAGTCAACTGAATTTTGACAACGGTGCAAAGGCAATTAATGGAAGTAAGGATAGTGTTTTCAATGAATGGTGCTGGAACAATTGAACATCAATATGCAAAAAATAAAAATGAACCCAGTCTCAAATCTTACACTTCACACAAAAATTAACTCAAAATGTATCACAGACTTAAATGTAAAACGCAAAACTATAATGTTTCTAAAAAGAAAACATGGGAGAAAATCTATGTGAACTTTTGTTCAGTGAAACATTTCTAGATACACCAAAAGCACGGTTCATGAAAGAAAAAAATCGACAGTTTAGGCTTTATTAAAATGAAAAACTTTTGCTCTACCAAAAACACTGTTAAGAGAATGAAAAGACAAATCACCAACTGGGAGAAAATATTTGCAAATTACATACCAGATAAATTTAGGACATATATCTAAAAAATATAAAGAACTCTTAAAATGCAATAATAAGTAAACAAACAGCCCCAATTAAAAAATGAGGAAACGATCTGATCAGGCACTTCATCAAAGAAGACAGCAAATCAGATGGTGGCAAGGCCGGGCGCGGTGGCTGACGCCTGTAATCCGAACACTTTGGGAGGCCGAGGCAGGCGGATCACAAGGTCAGGAGATCGAGACCATCCTGGCTAACACGGTGAAACCCCGTCTCTACTAAAAATACAAAAAATAAGCCGGGCGCGGTGGCAGATGCCTGTAGTCCCAGCTACTTAGCAGGCTGAGGCAGAAGAATGGCGTGAACCTGGGAGGCGGAGCTTGCAGTGAGCCGAGATCATGCCACTGAACTCCAGCCTGAGCTGCAGAGTGAGACTGTCTCAAAAAAAAAAAAAAAAAAAGAAAAGAAAAAAATAAAAGCAGGTGGCAAATAGGCATATGAAAATATGTTTGACCTCATTTGCATTATGGAATGCAAAATAAGCCCTGTTTAGGGCTTATTTAGAAAATCATTTAGGAGGTCCAGATACCCAGGATGGAATGCAGGCCATGACAAAAGAATCCAACTATATCACAAATATAGGAAATAGCTTCACTGATGGGAATATGGGAAAACGTGTGTACCTAAATAACTTTAGAAATGACTGGAGACTGTGAAACAAAGGGCAAAAGAAACTGCACATAAGCATTGTACTTTAGTTGATAAAGTTGGTTGCCATGGGGGGTACAGATAATCAGTTTTGATGCTGCTATATATGTATACTGGAATTGAATTATTAAGTAAATGAATGGCAGATGTTGGGAGCCAGGTTTCTTACTGTTGGAGTGGGAGGTTACACACAAGCAAGGGGTGAAAGCTAAAATTATGTATGTGTTAAAGGATTAGATTTGGAGAAATCAGTATGAACTCACACAGAGATATAGTTTGATATATTTAGAAATATTTATAGATATGTGTATATGTACAGGTTACTATAAAAACATTTCCTTTCTCTGTTAGATGAGAGGGTCTAGAAGATATAACACCTTGGTGGAAATGAACACAGCTAATGGCCAGCTCTTGGTTTCAAATACTATTCTCTACTGAAAGGAACCAGGGCTCCTTGGAGAAGTGGCTGGTTCTAGGGCTGGATCAGGGAATATATAGAATGAGCCTGTATCATTTCATAGTGCCAGGAACAAGGAGTGCTTTAAAAAATCCTATAACATGCAAACAAATGACAACAATAACAACAGCAACAATGATAGAAATATGTCAAAACGACACAGGGGCCAACTAAAGGAGCTCCCTATGGCTAAAGCTGAAGTAATTTGAGCAAAATAGTAAATAACATAATATTGGATTGTAACTAAAAATATAAAATAAATACCCATGAGCTCAAACGGATATAAACACATGATTGAATAAATAAATAAATGAAGAAGAAGAGACAGATCTCTCATGTAGAAGAATTTCAAATAATTTATATAGATACTTCCTGGGCAAGGAAGTAGGGCATAAATCCCCACCCCTTAAGTGCGGGTTGCACATTGTGACTTGCTTCCAGTGAATGAAGTGGGAAGAGCAGGGAAAAGAGTAACTTTACAGCGGAAAAGCCGGCCAGATACTATCTCATCCCCAGTGATAAGTCATATTGATGACATGTACTCTTGATATGATAGAATGAAAATAGCATTTTACTTCTGTGGTCTTCCTCCCCAAAACCCATTGCTCCAATTTAATTGTGAGTAAAACATCAAATAAACTTTTAATGTGGGATTCCTACAAAAGTCCTGACCAGTACTCCTCAAAACAATCAAGGGGATTAAAAACAGGGCAATTCTGTGAAACTGTCACCATCTAGAGTGGACTAAGGAAACAGGACAACTAAATATAATATGGTATCCTGGATGCGATCCTGGAATGGAAACAAAAAATATACTAGGGAAAAACTAAAGAAATCTGAATAAAGTATGGACTTCAATTAGTATTTGCGTATCAATTTTGTTTCATTAGTTGTGACAGATTTACCATAGTAATGTAAAAAATGTTCACAACAGGGAAAACTAAGTGTGGAGTATACGGGATCTCTCTGTACTATCTTTGCAACTTTTCTCTATATCTAAAAACCCATTCTAAAAATTTTTAAAAGCTTAATAATATAATAGGGATTGATACAAAACCTCTATCCTTGGGTTAGTACTAAGCCAAATACTCATCCTCTATCACTAGGTCTGTTACAAAAGCTTTCTATTCAGTCTTCCTGCTTCTACTCTTGTTTCCTCTTCACAGAGTAGCCAGAGAAACTTTTTTGAAAATGTAAATCAGATAGCATCACTCTCCTGCTCAAAACCCTACGATGGCTTTCCGTAATACCTGGAATAAAATCCTAATCCTGTACTATGGTATACAAAGCCCTACATGATCTGGTCATTCCTTTCCTACCACTCATCTTCTATCACCCTCCCTGTATTCTCTCTTTGCTTGCCACAGTGGCCTCTTGTTCCTCAGATATTCCAGTTGTAGGGCGCACCATATGTAATTATTTTGCCTAGAAGCTCTCTCTCTCTTATAGGTTTGCATTGCTTGTTTCTTTATATCTATCAGGTATTTGTTCAAATGTCATCTCCTAAGAGAGATCTTCCTTTATACCTCAATTTATTGTGGCCTCTTCCTCATCCCTTTTTAAACTCCTTACCTTACTTAATTTTTAATATCACTTATTACTGAGCATCATAATGTTTATGCATTTACTTATTTATTCAGTGTCAGTTTTGTCTATTAATACATTTTTATTTTTAAACAATCTCAAACTTTAAAAAAGGTTGCATGTTCAGGGTAGGCCTTTGGCTTGTCTTATTCATTCTGTACTTCCATTGTCTACAATAGTCTGGGCAATAAGTTAGTGAATGAATAAATAAGCTAAAATGTGGTTATTTTAATTAAGCACAAGTTCTATTTAAGCCAATAGTGGGGTTATCAGACATGCTGACACATACTTAGATTCCATTACTAGAAATACAATACCTTAAATAAAGAAAAGAAAGAATAGTCCCATTTTGGCACTGTCTTGTCAACCCATTTCTAAAGCTATTTGTTCGGTCCTGATTGTCACATTTTCAGATGGTCATGTACAAATTGAGTTTGTACAAATGAATGCAGTCAATTATAATATGTTTAGAAAGCATCACTTGAAGATGATTAAGGGAATTGGGCATGATTGTCCTAAAAAAGACCTAAGGAGGTCTTGATATATAGGTGTCTTTAAATATTTTATTCATTCAAATTATTTAATAACTTTGATAGCCTATTATGTGCAGGCACTGTGCTGAGTCCTGGAAATGAAATGAGTTAACATATAAAGGAGAGAAAAATTGCTTGGACTAGACTTCTTGCCTCTGAGAGTGTTATTGGCTCCAACTGGTGGATGTTTTGGTTGTGCAGATTTTGATTCAGCACATGGAGACACATTTTTAGTAATAAATACACTGTTAATGGAATATTTAAAACTCATATGAGGTTCTGTCAGACACTAGAAATACCTAAGCAGTGACTACTTGTTTATCTTTCCAAGATCTTAGAAGAAAGAATATTAGAAAAAATAAATACTGGACCAGTTGCTTCTGTATTTCTAAACATAAGTCTAAAATTCTAAGATTCCTGGGGATTGCAGGTTTCACGCAGATAATAACATAAGCCATTAAATAGAATAATCCTAAAACACCACTTAGAAAAATGCCGCATTTTTTTCTACTGCTGGGAGTAGAATTCTTTTTTTTTTTAAATTGTTTCTTCTTTTCTTCTTTTTTTTTAACATTTTATTTTTATTTTTATTATACTTTAAGTTCTGGGATACATGTGCAGACTGTGCAGGTTTGTTACATAGGTATACACGTGCCATGGTGGTTTGCTGCACCCATCAACCCATCATCTACATTAGGTATTTCTCCTAATGCTATCCCTCCCTTTGCCCCCCACCCCCGACAGGCCTTGGTGTGTGATGTTCCCCTCCCTGTGTCCATGTGTTCTCATTGTTCAACTCCCACTTATGAGTGAGAGCATGTGGTGTTTGGTTTTCTGTTCCTGTGTTAGTTTGCTGAGGATGATGGTTTCCAGCTTCATCCATGTCCCTGCAAAGGACATTAACTCATTCTTTTTTATGGCTGCATAGTATTCCATGGTGCATATGTGCCACATTTTCTTTATCCAGTCTATCATTGATTGGCAGGGGTAGAATTCTTAACTAATGTTTTCTCTGTGTGGCACTCTGACAGCCTCAGGTGCATGCCATATTTCAGCAGAGATTAGATTAACTATTGTTAAAATTCTTTACAAGGAAGTAGAGGAAGTCCAAGACTTGATTTACAATCTGTTCTCCTTGTCATAAAAAGAATGAGTGACAGAGCAAAAAAGAAATACCTTAAAATACTCTATTCCTGCTCTGATTAGAGCTGCAGTTCTGTCTTCAAATGGGAAAAATAACTGCAAAAGATAATAAATTGAATTAGTGTCCAATCCCTTTAACATCCACTCTTACACAAGATGGCAAAAAGTATAGGAGAAAATTCCAAGCATTTATACGGTTATGTTGTAAAGAATTTGGGGGCAGTAGGGAAGGGAAATAGGACATACGACTGAAAAGTATGAATGGAAAGAGTGTGTATTTTGATGCCCATTCTTTTTATGTTGATAAGGAGCTCAGCAGGAAACAGGAAGCAGGTAGCACACTCCAAGGAGTAATTGAAGAGTTTTTTTTGTTTTTTTTTAATGAAACATTATTTATACAGGATAGGCAGGGTTAAGGGAATCAAAGGATGGTGAAGTACGCAGTGTTGGTAACAGTAAGAAGCTATCGCCACCCCTAGGCTGAAAGAGAAAGGGGAGGAAACCATGACTAGAACCAGGGAAGAACTGTCACTATGTCTGAGATCCTTCCTAAGAGGGCCTATGATCCTAGATAGATGAAGTCAGCGACTACTAAACTGCAGCCAAGCAGAGAGGAAGCAGGAGAATAAACACTCCAAACTCTCTCTATTCGGTGATCTCCTGCTCATTCTTCCCACTAGCCAAACTTAACTGGAAGCCCGATGGTAAGGAGGTCTGGTTGATATAATCCCTAAAGATCAGCATCTCGGGACACGAAGCTTCTTTGAGCCTTACTGCCCTGCTTATCTTTGCATTGGCTTCCCATTTCACTCAGAGTAACAGGCAAAAGTATGGTCAATGTATAGTTATATAGTATAAATATATACCATAAAATGTGGTATAAGTTGTCATAATAATGTCTGACTTGTGGGGTTAAAATCTACATAGAATCATAATATTGGACAATATTAGCAAAATTTTAAAAGTAAGTGGTTGGAGTTGAAGTATTTTAGAATCTTTGCATTGTTCAGGAGGAAGGTAAAAGTATCGTTTAATTTTAGACATTGGAAAATTTAGTATGTTTGCTAAATTATTCAAAATGACCACTGAACAAATAGACAGATTTTAATTTCCAAAAAAGTAGAAAGACAAAAAAATGGATTGAGTAATAAGAGCACCTTAATCAACTTTTAACAAAAAATGGCAAAGGAGAGAAGGGGAGGAATTAAAGAAGCAGGAAAACTAGTAAGGAAAACATAAAATTGTGAAATTAAGATGGACTAACTTTTCAGTTACAAGAAATATAGATCAAAATTGAATTTAAAAATTCAGCTAAATGATGTTATGAGAGTCATATCTAACTCAAAAATACAGAGTATTGAAAGTGAAAGGATGGAAAAACATATGGCATGCAAATACCAACCACAGGAAAACTGATATAGCTCTATAAATATTGGCCAAAATAGATTTTAAAGTAAAAAGTATTATTAGAGATGAATAGATCTAGTACGTAAAATATAATATTCAAAACTGAAGAATGTACATTGCTTTTGTAGACATTGCTAAATCAATAGTTAGATGGACATGTATAACGTTAAATATGTATAGTAGAAGAGAAAAAGATGTTGAAATGAGTTAGGCCTCTAACTTAAGATGTTAGTAAAAGAACAGAGCAAACTCAAAGAATGAAGGAAATTAATATCTATATATATATGCAGAATTGATTAAATAGAAAACAGAGATAGTAGTCAAAAGCCATATAGCTTATTTTTGATAAGAATAAGAAAATTTACAAACTTCTGCCAGGACTAATGAAGAAAGAAAAAGGAGGTACAGATAAGCAATAAATAGGAGACATAATGACAGATGCCAGCAAGTTTGAAATGGACAAATTGCTTGAAAAATATTACCAAAACTAAGTCAAGAAACACAACAGTGGTCCTATAACCACTGTAAATGTTGAATCATTCAATGTAAAAATTCTTCCTGCAAAGAATATGCAAGGCTCAGATGATTTACCAAACACTGCAGTAGCTGATAAATCTAATCTTTCACAAATTGTCCCCAGATTCTCCAACTTATTTTATGTGGCAAGTATGACCTGAATACCCATACTAAATAAGGACGGAAGAAGAAAGGAAAATCACAGGGCAACCTCACTCATGAATATGGATGTAAAAATCATAAACACATTGTTAGCAAATGAAACCAACAATGCACAATATTCCTATGTCATGACTAAGTTTGGTTATTTTAGGATTGTAAGGTTGTTTTGACATTGGAAACATCTAATAATGTAATTCACCACATTAACATGTAAAAGATGAAAAAACATAATCATGTCAGCAGATGAAGAAAATAGATTTAATAAAATTCAACAATTTATGATAAAAAAACTCTTAGCAAAATAGATATCAAAGTGAATTTCCTAACCTGATAAAGAGTATTACAAAATAGCGAGGCCTTACTTAGGAAACATTATCCAGACAAGACTGCCCATTTTTATGACTTCTATTTGGTGTTGTCATAGGAAACTCAGCCAGAGCCTAAGTCTGGCTTTAGCTGCCTAGACAGCTATAGCAAAAGAAGCTGTAGGGATTATGGCCAGTTGCAGTGGCGTACGCCTGTGATCGCAGCACTTTGGGAGGCTGAGGCGGGTGGATCACCTGAGTTGAGGAGTTCGAGATCAGCCTGGCCAACATGATGAAACCCTGTCTCTACTAAAAATACAAAAAAATTAGCCAGGCGTGGTGGTGCAGTTCTGTAATCCCAGCTACTTGGGAGGCTGAGGCAGGAGAATCGTGTGAACCTGGGAGGCAGAGGTTGCAGTGAGCTGAGATCATGCCACTGCGCTCCAGCCTGGGCAACAAGAGCGAAACTCTGTCTCGAAACAAACAAGCAAACAAACAAAAAACAAAACAACAACAACAAGAAAAACAGCTGTAGGGATTGTAATCAAAGAAGCAAAACTACCGTTCTCAGATGATACAATTTTCTACATGGAAAGAACCCAAAATAATCTACAGACGTATTACTGAAATAAACAAGAATGTTCAGCAGGGTGACAATTGTTTTTAAATAAACTGCAACAAACAGTAAGAAAATACAATAATATGAAAGAAAAGATAGCAAGTCCTCAATTTTCGAACTTAGCGAAGGAGCACAGGTGGCTGGCTCCCTCGCCCAAGATCAGCCCTGTAGAAACCACATAAAAGGAAGCAAGCATAGATTAGAGTAAGTAACATACAATCTGAGGAATACTCCTGGCAAAACCAAAGGCTGTTAGTTGGGTAATGGTAGGCTGAACCACAGTCAGCGGGTGCAGTGGTGGGTTTATATTTTTTAGGGAAAGCTTTTAAATTCACTTCTTGCCTCTCTCTCATATTGCTTGAGAGGACTGTTGCTCGCTCCATTTCCCCTGAGCCAAAAATCAGCAGTGGCTAGTCATGCTTGGCCTTCATGAGGAGGTATCGTTGCAGTACCACAGCACTGCTGGGGCATAAAGAGCTGATGAAAACTATTGCAGCTCTCCCAGAATCTCTTGGGGGAACTTCTCCACTGCTACCCTGCCAAGCCATAGCACTGATTCTTCAAAGTGGTTCTAGGAGTGACTATAGGAGAGCCTGGTGAAGAGGCAATAGTGGTGGTTGGTGAAGAAAATGAGGGTGGTGGGGAATCACCTCACCTTTCCCTTGTTCTTTCCTTATGGAATTGCCTCTGGATACATGTTGGACCTTCTAGCTATATATTCTGTGCCTTTTACCCTTTCATATTTTCTATCCCTTTATATCTCCACATTGCCTTTGTGACTTAGTTAAATCTTGATGTAACTTCCCATACACGATTTTGTCTTTAGTATTTATTCTAAACAAATGCTGTTTACTCCTCCTTTGACTAATTTCAAAAAGTATTTTTCATTTCTGGAAGTCCCAATTAGTTCTTTTTCAAAATGCGCTTTTTTTTGTCATAATATTTTGTTTTGTCTTATGGCTTTGATCTTTTCTTTCATGACTTCATCATCTTATTTTATTTTATTTTTTCAACTTATTTTGGAACCAGGGGGTTCCCGTGCATGTTTGTTACAAAGGTATATGGCATGATGCTGAGGTTTGGGGTACAAGTGAACCTGTTACCCAGGCAGTGAGCATAGTACCCAATAGGTAGTTTTTCAGCCCTTACTCCCCTCCCTCCCTTCACCTTCTAGTAGTCCCCAGCATCTGTTGTTCCCCTACTTATGTTCATGTGTACTCAATGTTTAGGCCCACTTATAAATGAGAACATGAGGTATCTGGTTTTCTGTTCCTGCATTAGTTTGCTCAGGATGCTGGCCTCTAGTCACATCCATGTTGCGGCAGAGGACATGATTTCATTCCTTTTTATGGCTACATAGTATTCCATGGTGTATATGTACCACATTTCTTTAGGCAGTCTGCCATTGATGGGCATTTAGGTTGATTCTCTGTCTTTGCTATTGCGAATGGTGCTGCAGTGAACATATATATGCATGTATCTTTATGATAGCATGGTTTCTATTCCTTTGGGTATATGCCCAATAATGGCATTGCTGGGTCGAATGGTAGTTCTGTTTCAAGTTCTTTGAGAAATCTCCAAACTGCTTTTTTCAGGGGCTGAAGTAATTTACACTCCCACCAGCAGTATATAAGTATTCCCTTTTCTCTGCAACCTTGCCAGCATCTGTTATTTTTTCGATTTTTTAATGATAACCATTCTGACTAGTGTGAGATAGTATCTCATTGTGGTTTTAATTTGAATTTCTCTAACGATTAGTGAGGTTGAGCATTTTTTTCATATGCTTGTTGGCTGTGTGTATGTCTTGAAAAGTGTCTGTCCATGTCCTTTATCCATTTTTTAACGGAGTTGTGTTTTGCTTGTTGATTTGTTTAAGTTCCTTATAGATTCTGCATATTAGACCTCCGTTGGTTGCATAGTTTGCAAATATTTTCTCCCATTCTGTAGGTTGTCTAGTCCCTTGGTTAATAGTTTTCTTTGCTATGCAGAAGCTCTTTAGTATAAATAGGTCTCACTTGTCAGTTTTCATTTTTGTCACAATTGCTTTTGGAGACTTCATCATGAAATCTTTGCCAAGGCCTATGTCCAGAATGGTATTTCTTGTTTTCTTCTAGGGTTTTTATAGTTTTAGGTCTTCCATTTAAGTTTTTAATCCATCTTGAGTTTATTTTTGTATATGGTGAAAGGAAGGGGTCCAGTTTCACTCTTCTGCATATGGCTAGCCAGTTATCCCAGCACCATTTATTAAATAGGAAGTTCTTTCCCCATTGCTTGTTATTGTCAACTTTTTTGAAGATCAGATGGTTGTAGGTGAAGATTAAATGGTCGTAGGCTTTATTTCTGAGCACTTTATTCTGACCCATTGGTCTGTTTGTCTGCTTTTGTACCAGTACCA
Organism: Homo sapiens; assembly: GCF_000001405.40. Classification (NCBI taxonomy): domain Eukaryota; kingdom Metazoa; phylum Chordata; class Mammalia; order Primates; family Hominidae; genus Homo; species Homo sapiens. The sequence goes on along the minus strand of NC_000023.11, from coordinate 23,098,817 downwards.
TGCTGTTTTGGTTACTGTAGCCTTGTAGTGTAGTTTGAGGTTGGATAATGTGATGCCTCCACCTTTGTTCTTTTTGCTTAGGATTGCTTGGGCTATTCAGGCTCTTTTAGTTCCACATGAATTTTAGAAAAGTTTTATCTAATTCTGTGAAAAGTGATGTTGGTAGTTTGATAGGAATAGCATTGCATCTAGATTGCTTTGGGCAGTATGGCCATTTTAATTATATTTATTCATCCTACTCATGAACATGGAATGTGTTTCCACTTGTTTGTGTGATTTCTGATTTCTTTTAGCGGTGTTTTGTAATTCTCATTACAGAGATCTTTCACCTCCTTGGTTAGATGTATTCCTAAATATTTTATTTTTCTTGTAACTCTAGTAAATGGGATGGCATTTTTGATTTGGCTCTCAGCTTGAGTGTTATTGGTGTATAGAAATGCTATTAATTTTTGTACATTGATTTTTTTATTCTGAATCTTTACTGAAGTTACTTATCAATTTTAGGAGCCTTTTGGTGGAGTCTTTAGGGCTTTCTAAGTATAGCATCATATAGTAAGCAAGGAGAGATAATTTAACTTCTTCTTTTCCTGTTTGGATACCTTTTATTTCTTTCTCTAGCCTGATTGCTCTGGTTTGGACTTCCAGTACTATGTTGAATAGGAGTGGTGAGAGTGGGCATCCTTGTATTGTTCTAATTCTCAGGGGGGATGCTTCCAGCTTTTGCCCATTCAGTACAGTGTTTGTCATGGATGGCTCTCATTATTTTGAAGAATGTTCATTCAATGCCTAGTTTGTTGAGCATTTTTCTCATGAGATGTTGGATTTCATTAAAAGGTTTTACTGTGTCTGTTGAGATGATCACATGGTTTTTGTTTGTAATTCTGTTTATGTGATGAATTACATTTATTGATTTGCATATGTTGAACCAACCTTGCATCCCATAAATAAATCCTACTTGATCATAGTGAATTAACTTTTTGATGTTCTGCTAGATTGGGTTTACAAGTATTTTTTTGAGAATTTTTGTGTCTATGTTCATTAGGGATATTGGCCTGTGTAGTTTTCTTTTTTCTATTGTGTCTTTGCCAGATTTTGGTATCAGTAGGATGCTGGCTTTGTAGAATTAATTAGGAAGGAGTCCTTCCTCCTCGGTTTTTTGGAATAATTTCAATCGGATTGGTACCAAGTCTTCTTTGTACATGTGGTAGAATTAACCTGTGAATACATCTGGTACAGGACCTTTTTTGTTTCGTAGGATTTTTATTACTGATTCAATTATGGAACTTGTTATTAGTCTGTTCAGGGTTTCAGTTTCTTCCTGATTTAATCTTGGGAGGTTGTATGTTTCCAGGAATTTATCTATATCCTCTAGATTTTCTTTTTTTCTTTTTGTTTTGAGACGGAGTATCGCTCTTGTCACCCAGGCTGGAGTGCAATGGTGCGATCTCGGCTCACAACCTCTGCCTCCCGGGTTCAAGCAATTCTCCTGCCTTAGCCTCCTGAGTAGCTGGGATTACAGGCATCCACCACCACACCTGGCTAATTTTTGTACTTTCAGTAGAGACGGGGTTTCACTGTGTTGGCCAGGCTGGTCCCGAACTCCTGACCTCAGGTAATCCGCCCGCCTCGGCCTCCCAAAGTGTTGGGATTACAGGTGTGAACCACCGTGCCCGGTCTACCTCTAGATTTTCTAGTTTGCGTACATAGAGGTGTTCATAATCTCTGAGGATCTTTTGTATTTCTCTGGGATTGGTTGTAATGTCACCTTTGTCTTTTCTGATTGCGTTTATTTGAGTCTTCTCTCTTTTCTTTGTTATTCTAGTTATTGGTGTATTGATTTTGTTTATCCTTTCAAAAAACAAATTTTTCATTTCATTGATCCTTTGTATGGATTTTTGCATCTCAAGTTCATTCAGTGCTAGTCTCATTTTAATAATTTCTTTCTTCTGGTAGATTTAGAGGTAGTTCTTGTTCTTCTAGTTCCTCTAGGTGTAATGTTTGGTTGCTAATTTGATATCTTTCTAACTTACTGATTTAGTGTTTAGCACTATAAACTTTACCCTTAACACTGCTTTTACTGCATCACAAAACCTTTGGTATGTTGTGCATCTGTTATCATTCATTTCAAATAATGTTTTGACTTTTGCCTTAATTTCATGTTTTACCAAAATATCATTCAGGAGCAAGTTGTTTAGTTTTGCTTGTTTGTTTTTTGTTTTTTTGTTTTGAGATATGGAGTCTTGCTCTGTTGCCCAGGGTGGAGTCCAGTGGTGCGATCTCGGCTCACTGCAACCTCTGCCTCCCAGGTTCAAATAATTCTCCTGCCTCAGCCTCCCATGTAGCTGGGACTACAGGCGCCTGCCAGCATGCCTGGCGAATTTTTTTGTATTTTTAGTAGAGACAGGGTTTCATCATGTTCGTCAGGCTGGTCTCGAAGTCCCAACCTCAGGTGATCTGCCCACCTCAGCCTCCCAAAGTGCTGGCTAAGTTGTTTAGTTTTTATGTAATAGTGTAGTTTTGAGAGCACTTCTTGATATTGATTTCTATTTTCAGTCCACTGTGGTCCAAGAGTATGTGTAGTGTGATTTCAGTCTTTTGAGTTTATTAAGACTTGCTTTATGGTTGAACATGTGGTCAGTCTTGGAGTATGTTTCATGTCCATAGAAGAATGTATGTTCTGTATTTGTGGGGTGAAGTATTCTGTACATGTCTGTTAGGTCCAATGGTCAAGTGTTGAATTTAAGTCCAGATTATTTCTTTGTTAGTTTTTGGCGTCAATGATCTGAGCTGGTGTGGCACTTATGGTCCAGTGTTTTTTACCCCAGCACGTGGTTGTGGGGTCTGCTAAACTCACACTCCCCCAACTGAATCCTGTCTGTTACCTGCCTCAGGAGCAGGCCTGCCCAGCTCGATTTGTTCTAAGGCTTCTGTACCCAGATCACTGGGCTGTTATAGGTTTGTGGGGCTGCAGGCCTCCCTTGGGCAGAAGCTGTGGCTGGATAACAGGCTGCTCCCTTCCCAGGCCAGTCTTGTGGAGGGAGGGATGCCCAGCTCCCATGCTGGCACATAAACCCAGCTCCCATGCTGGCACACATCTAAGCATTCTTTTCTTCCATCTATGTTTTAACATTTATTTTTTGTAAGTCTATACTTTATGCAAGTATTCTATTGATAAATATTCATTTCAAGTCATCTAAATCTAGAACTTGGCATATTAAACAATATATTCCAGTTATACTACATGGAAAAAGTAGTTCATATCCAGTTAAAATGGCATTATTTGTAAAAATTTATTTTATGTACTTTATTATTTTTTTCTATTTGTAAACTTGACTTCTCTGCAAACAACACTGATAAAACATACATGCGTATTCGTGGCATTCATTATTTCTAAGGTATTTATGCCTCTAGGAAAGCAGCCATGCTCAAATAATGTAGCTTGAGGCTAAGGTGAGCTATGAGTTAACTAAGGCCTGGATTGTTGCCAATATGTAGATTTTTATAAAATTTATATCCTCCTTTCTGTTTGTCTCTCACGTGACTATGTATTAGGTTAGTAAGCAGGCTTTGGATGGCTACATTTGTGATTCTGAATCCTATCAATAAAGCCTTTCCTGAACTGGTTGGGATTAGCAAACAATTCTAGAGTAAAAATATCACTATGTAACTGGCATGGTTTAGATATCTGTGTTTCATTAGTATGTAGGAAAGTGAAAAAGCCCTAGAAACCAGAAAGAATATATCAAATGGCCTGTTTTGTTCTTGTTGTTGGAGAAGGTAATCCTCATTGGCTAAAAATAGCTTATTTGGTGGGTCAGTGGTATGATGATTTCAAGGGCTTGTGTGTTTGCAATGTCTGAATAGAATGGCTTATTGATGTAGTTATTTTAGCAATTGCTATTTCTTCATGGGCTTTTCTTATAAGTTCTGGCATAAGTGAGAAGAGATCTCTAAATTGACACCAGCCCTAATGGCAGCTGTTAACTTTCATCCTAACGGGAAATGATTTGGGGGCTGTGGTTCCATTAAGAATTTTTAATAAGTCAGCATACTTTACCTTCCAGATTAGACCAACACGTATTGTTCTACTATTTTTTTAAAAAAGCGTAAAAAATGACTGTCTTAATAATAGCTAGGACTTGCTCCTCTGTGAATCAAGGGTTTTCTGTTGGTTGTTGGTTGTTCATTAGATAAAAGAGCGTTGCGATCAGTTAGTAATTATTTACTGGGATCCTGGGTCCATTCCTTTTTCTTTTACTAAATGAAGCCACTGATCCTCATGAGTAAAGAATAATGCCTTTGAAGTACTTAAGTCTTACATTTTGGGGAAGGAGCCCAGAATTATTGAGCATTTTCAACTACTGATGCCTATAAACATAATTTATTTAATGCAGTTTATGTCATTGACCTGTGATATTTTGACTGTTTTATACATGTGAGCATCTGTAACTTTTGTAGATTATCTCTCATCTCATATTGCCTATCATCTTTCAAAGAAAATTTGAAATTCTTAAGAGTTAACTAGACAAGTTAGAAGATAGATGAGGGTAAAAAAATCAGAAAAATTTTAAGTAATCATGTAGAATAACAAGTAAAAGTCACTGTGATCCTTGTGTGCAGTAGGCTGCCTTTAGGGCAATACAGTTTTTGTAAAATTTTACAAAAATTGGACTCCCCCCATTGAAACACTGTACTTTGAAAGAAACTTCAAATTCAGCATATTTTTTAAAAATCTGGATGATGACTCGTTTTCTTTCTTTCAAACCTTTTAATTTCGACAACATTTAGCTTAAGGCAAATTTTATCTTTGTTATAGCTATTTCAGAACAGCTTTTAAAATGCAATTTAAAAAATGGCATTTAGCAAGCAATTGCCTTTTCAACCTTAACCATAGAGCCTCTTCCATGGATTCCATTATATTTTATTAACATAAGTTAAAATAGGAGTGTTCTGGGTTTCACAAGGATTAAAGTTCCTATCTAATGTGCATGTAACTAAACGCACGTTTACGTACATAATAGCTATTGGTCACAGTTTGTATGATGGTCTTTCAGCCAGAAAACAGGGCTGCAGTTCTTACAGTAGTCCTTGAATAATGACGTTACATTCAACGTCTTTTCATTATTGGGTTATGAGAAAAAAATTTGATTCCAGGTGGGTGCCCCTGTCTGTGTGGAATTTGCACATTCTCCTCAAGTCTGTTTGGGTTTTCTCTGGATACTACAGTTTTCTCCCACATCCCAAACACACGCATCGCATGTTAGGTTTATCGGCTTGTTTAAATGGTCCTACTTTTGAGCAAGTGCGCTGTGTGTGTGTGTGTGTGTGTGTGTGTGTGTGTGTGTGTGTTAGTGCACCCTGCGATGGGATGGCATCCTGGCCAGGGTTGGTTCCTCCTTTGTGCCCTGAGCTTCTGGGATGGGCTCTGGCAACCCATAAGCCTGAACTGGAATAAGCAAGTAAATAATTATTTTGCTTTGTTTATTTTTCTTAAATGTATGTATAGCTCACATGCTTACATGTACTTCATTGTTTGATATTAGAAGTGTTTTTGCCTTTATTTAGAAGTTCGGTGATATTTCTGTAACTAGAAATAAGCCATAAGAACTTAACTCTTGTTTATTATATCAATTAGCCTATGGTAAAATTGATTTTATTATACTACATCATTTCTCTTAAAGTCACAGTTTCCAAGAACCTATCAAGGATGTTAGGTAAGGACTTACTGTATACTAGTTCAAATACCACTGGGCTGGTATTAAGACTACCCCCTCACTCAGCAGTGTGGGGCTACTCAGGTGCAGCTGTCAGCAAGCCTTGCTGATTGGTTCCTTCAATTGGCTGCTTCAGATTCCATGCAATTGACAAGTTTGTCTTCAGAGAGGAAGGCCTTTTAACTGAAAACTGCAATCAAAATTGTTCCTTACATTGCACAAAAACAGCATTTTAAGAGTGCAATAGTCATTCAAATTGAGGACTACATCCTGTAACCTTTTCCAGCTGGACTGAATTAAATATGTAACATCCCCAGGAGTAATTTTTGAGAACAGCACTCGGCTTTACCTTGACTACTGAATCATTAAAACACATGTGGAAACATTCCACATTCCTTCCATCTGACCCTTTGGCGATAAATGGCCACCTCCTGGCAATTTATATTGAAGTCTATTTCTAAAAAAATAATGTACGCCCACTTGGTCAGCCCTTAGGCATTTTGCTGTGTGCTTGAAAACATTGTCATGTGTTCCTGGATTTATAGAATATCCACATTCTCCTTTGAGTCTGCTGATACCAATTTCTTATTCTTTCATCTGCATAATAGCTTAATGTTAATAACTTGAAAAGTTCAGTTCTGTGGATTTAAAGAGGGCAATATAAGTTGATTGCCCTTTAATTATTGAACTTTTAAATATTCGTCTTTTGTCTGTTTCCTAAATGAGCAGAGAATCAAAATGGCATAGTTTTCAATAGTCCTGGCTTAGAGGAAAACTAATTGCAGACATTCTTTTCTTTCTAGAAACCTTCTTTATTACTTAGAGTGTAGAATTCCATATTTAATATGTATTTATAAACATATACTCCTCAAAATGAACAAAGCAGTCATGTAAATACTAGACTTGGATCAATAAAATGCTATGAATGTCGTATATATGGATTTCAGCCTAGTTTTTGATAAAGTCTCTGATGATATTTCTGTTGTAAGAAGGTGAAATATGGCCTATCAGTAAGGACAGCAAAATGCACTGGACCTCTTGGTGGTGGTGAACAGCCTCCTATTCCTTGTCTAGGTTATTGTCAGGTTGATTCTGTAATAATCTCTGGTCTCCTGCTCTCCCACCGACTCCTTATTTTTAGACTCTTATTGTCTTATTTCAAACAATTTCTTACTTAAAGTATTACAAATAAAAAACAAAAAGAAGCGCAACATGTAAAAATACAAAAAAGTATTATTGAACCGTAGGACGGCTCAGGATAAAGTGTATACAGTGAAACACAGAGAGAAAAAATGGAATATAAAGATAAAAGTGTAAGAGGCACCTAGGATATGGTGAAAAGTGCCAACATAGATATAACTGGGGTCAGACAAGGAATAATTGATTAATTATTTTGATATGCCATTTATATTTTTAGTGTTTTGTAATTTAATCTGGTATATGAGATGAGTGATTGGCTTTTAAAAAAAGTCATTCGTTTTTCTAACATTGTTGATTATATAAATATTTTCTCATGATTTAAAATGCTATCTTTATCATAAATTAATTATTATATATTTTTGTGTTTTAGAGTTTCTCTTCAGTTTCATTGTCCCACATGTATAATCCGGCAATAGTTGGATTTTTAATTAAAGTGGTTTTAGGTTTTAATATTCAACAGAACAAGTCCATTCTTTTTTTTTTTTTTGAGACGGAGTCTCGCTCTTTCACCCACGCCAGAGTGCAGTGGCGCTATCTTGGCTCACTGCAAGCTCCGCCTCCCAGGTTCTCGCCATTCTCCTGCCTCAGCCTCCCCAGTAGCTGGGACTACAGGCGCCCGCCACCACACCCGGCTAATATTTTGTATTTTTAGTAGAGACGGGGTTTCACCGTGTTAGCCAGGATGGTCTGGATCTCCTGACCTTGTGATCCACCCGCCTCGGCCTCCCAAAGTGCTGGGATTACAGGCGTGAGCCACCACACCTGGCCAGAACAAGTCCATTCTTAATATTCTTCCCTGTCAAGAGATTCTTAGCTTTTATTGTATTTTGTTCCCTGAAACGATCTTTAAAGTCGTTTTGTCAATAATCAAATATACTGTTGGAATTTTTATTGTAATTATATTAACCTTACAGACTCATTTGAGAAAAATTATAATTTTGAAACTGAGTATTCCTTTAAAGGGACATGATATAACTTTCTATTTAGTATTCATTTGTACCCTTAAGTAAAGTGTTATATTCCCTTTTATATACATTCTATATATTTTTGTTAAGTCTCTAAGTGTTGTATATATTTTATTGCTATGTAAAATGTGATGTTATTTCCATAATATTTTCTAACTAGTCATTTCTTGTATATTGGAAAGATACCAGTTTTTAAATGAGTTGTAACTTGCCACCTTATTGAATCTCATAAGTTTTGTTTTTAGATGACTGTCTTGTAATGTGTAGAAAAATAATCATATAATTTGCAACTAATTGCAATTTTGTCTTTGCAATATTTAAATCTCTGGGGCTTTTATTTATCATGGCATTTTCTAGAACTTCTGAGATAATACTGAATAAAAGTAATAATTGTTAGCTCTGTATTCTTCATAAATTCCCTCATTTGCTATTCAAAAGATTTATTAAGTGCCTGCTATATTCCAGTCTATAAGGTTAATGCAATTCCAATAAAAATTTCAACAATTTTTGTATATTGACAAAATGGCCTTAAAGGTCATTTCAAAGAATAAATGCACGAGACCATGGAGAAACTTCAGTGATTAAAATGCACAAAATCCTTGCAGTCACACATGCATTACCTTCAAATGAACATACTCCAGCAGATGGAGACCATCAACAAATATATAAACAAATAAATACAGTTTTGCATAGTAATAAGTGATAAGATTATGAAGAAAATATAGTTGAGAAATGCAATAGAAAAGGACTATGGACTGGGGATGCCACTATAAAACTGAAAAATACCTTTCAGAGGAGGAGACTTTTGAGATGAAATTTACAAGGGGAAAAGGGCATCATACAAATCTGGTGGGAGACCATTGCCAGAGAAAGAGCAGTAGGTGCAAGTACTCTGTGATAGAACAAGGACATCATGTTCAAGGGACAAGAAGGTGACTGTGGCTGGAGTGTGGTTGGTGGGCGTGAAAAAGATAGACTTTGAGGTATAAAAGGTAGAATGCAGGTGCTCTATGATGACTATGAGTCATCAGCATACAGATGATCTTTAAACCATGGTAGTGGATGAAGTTACCTGGGACGTGAGTACAAAGAGCAGAAAGAAGTATTCAAAGACAACCTTTAGAAGTTGCGAAGATGAAGAGAAGCCAGCAAAAGAGAATGAGAAAGAGAAGCTAGTGAGAAAGAAGAAAAATTAGGAGCATCTGGCACTGTGCTAGGCACTAGAGATGCGGTGGTGAGCACAACCCAACTTGGGGCTCCTACTCTCCTAAGTGCTTTATAGTCTAAATGTATTTTAAATAATTATGGTAATGTCTCTAATATTTCACCATTAAGTATAATGATGTGGGTAGATGTCTTTTTAGAAAAAAAAAGTTGAGCATGTACCCTCCTGTTTCTAATTTGCAAGGAGATTTTATTATTTTAAAATCATGAATCCTTACTGAATTTTATCAGATTCCCTGTCAACTTCTATCAGGCTGATAATACATTAATGAGCATCCAAAAGTTAAACCAATTTTGCATTTCTAAAAGAAACCATTTTTGGTCATGGTCAATTACTTTAAAATCCTCTCGTAGACTGGCTTTGCTATTAGTTTATTTAAGATGTTTTGCTTCTGGGCTTGTATGTGATTTGGCCTCAGTTTATGTTACTCTCCTTTTAAGGATTTGGAATTATGGTTTTGCAGGCTTCATGAAATAAATTAGAGGACTCATTTCTTTATGTTTTGGAGTGGCTTATATTACACAGGAATTATTTTTTCTTTAATATTTTAATAGATCATCCCCCATTCTCTCATAAAACATTTAGGTCCCAAACTTTTTCTTCGATGAGTATTGTTTTATTTATTTTTTTTTACCTTTGCTTGGTCATTTTTGCTCATTCATACTTTCCTTTTAAAAATCATCCATTTAATTAAGATTTTCCAATTTATTAGAATAAATGTAGTATTCATATATTTTTAAAATCTCCATTGTTTGGCTTCTCTTTTTGCTTTCAGATTTCCCAGAGGTTGGCAAGTTTACTGGTCCTTTAAAAGTATTAGCTCTTGGTTTTATTTGTCAGTTCTAGTCCTCGTTACTTGATTTTGCTTTCTAGTTAAAAAAAATCCTTTCTCTTGCTTTATTTTACTTTATTTTTCTGTGATATTTCTCAGTTTTTGAGTTGACTATGTCGTTTATTTCTTTTTTACATTTTTATATAGAAAAAAAGAATTTAAGGCTATAAATAGTCATCGGAACAAGCTTTTTGATATTCTTTTATTTCATATATAGGCTTACTAGTACCATTAATTTGCAAAAAGTTTGCTCATGTGGCTTTGGTTCTATTTTAATTGCAGTTACTCCAAATTAAAGTTTTACGTTTTTAAGTGGCTACAATCTTTTACTCTTTGTTATTAGTGTTCAGTTCTATAGAAGTTCTATGGCAGGTTTATTAAGGTCCTATTTAATCATTATTTTTGGTAAATATCCCATACATTTTGGAAGAAAAAAAAGAATATTCCTTGTTTGTAGGGTAGGTTGTGGAATTTTTCACACTGACACTTTAAGGTAATCTCATTATTTATAATATTTAAGGTCACTGTTATACTTACCATTTTTCTCCTTATTTTATATGTCATTTTCTCTCTTGCTTTTCTTTTCTTTTCTTTTTGAGACAGGGTCTTACTCTCTTGCCCAGGCTGGAGTGCAGTGGTACAGTCACAGCTCACTGAAGCCTTGACCTCCCAGGCTCAGGTCATCCTCCCACCTTGGCCTCCCAGTTAGCTGGGACTACAGGTGCACCCCACCCTGCCGGGCTAATTTTTTTTTTTTTTTTTTTTTTTTGAGATGGAGTTTTGCTCTTGTTCCCCAGGCTAGAGTGCAATGGTGTGATCTCGGCTCCCCGCAACCTCTGCCTCCCGGGTTCAAGTGATTCTCCAGTAGCTGGGATTACAGGCATGTGCCACCACACCCGGCTAACTTTGTATTTTTTTAGTAGAGATGGGACTTCTCCATGTTGGTCAGGCTGGTCTCAAACTCCCGACCTCAGGTGATCTGCCCACCTTGGCCTCCCAAAGTGCTGGGATTACAGGCGTGAGCCACTGCGACCAGCTGCTCTTCCAGTTTCTTAAGGGGGTATATTGAATTCTTCCATCATAACTGTATTTTATTTTTAAAATATTCATTGTATTTGTAACATTTTTGCTTTATATATCTTGAAATATTCAACCCTAATTTTTCAGTGGTTGACTACAAAAGGAAAACTGTGTTTAGTTTTGGTTTTTACTTTCAAGAAAAACAATGATAAACTGGATTGTGGCTAAAGAAGAGTGATCAGAGTGGTCAGAGGACTCAAAGCTATGTCACCAGGTGACTAGTAAAGAGAACTGGGAACATTTGATCTGGATGTTGAATGGTTATAGCTGTTTTCCACATGCTATTTTGAAGAGAGATTAAAATTGTTCTGAATAACTTAAAGAGCAGAACTAAAAAATGGAGAAATAATAAGCACGCTGATTTTGGCTTAGTATAAGGAGAATACTCAATTAAAATAGCTCCAAAATTGAACTGAAAGCTGCTAGAGGTAGTGAAATTCCCATCACCGAGCTGGTCCAGGAAAGGCTAAATGACAACTTGCCAGGCTATGTGGAATAATTCAAGCATCAGCTCAAAGGTAGTATTAGATGCTTATTACTCTGCCTCTGAGGAGACCTGTACTTTGTCATCGTTTCTCATTCACACTTTTTTGTATGTAAATAGTTAGATATTTTAAAAGCCTAAACGTAGCTAGAGTCGCTGGTCAAAGCTCTGTTGCCTCATGTCTGCAACCCTTTGGGACAACACACAAGGGCAAAACTTATACAGAACGTCTCCATTTATTTAGCATGATTGGGAGAATCTGAAAACGGTGGTCACTCTTAGAATCAAAGAATGGCAACATTAAATTGGATTTTAAAGACCCTCCAAATTCCCCTCCTAATCAGGCAGCTCACAGACCTCAAAACTATATTTTTCATTATAGAAGTCATATTCAGTTTACTTTCAAATATGTCTTTTATTTTTTCATAGAATATTGTTCTTTCCTTATAATGTCTAATATGTATTTTAATACTTAAAAATATTTTTCTATAAACTCAAAGATTTTATGGTCTATTCCTACTTTTGTGTGTCATATGAAGCTTTTCAAGATAGATCATTTCTTCGTTCTTTTTTTTTTAATTATCTCAACTTTTTTTTTTTTTTTTTTTTGAGACAGAGTTTTGCTCTTGTTGCCAAGGCTGCTGGAGTGCAATGGCCCCTGCCTCAGCCTCCCAAGTAGCTGAGATTACAGGCATGCGCTGCCATGCCTGGCTAATTTTTTGTATTTAGTAGAGACAGGGTTTCACTATGTTGGTCAGACTGGTCTCGAACTCCTGAGCTCAGGTGACCCACCCACCTCAGCCTCCCAAAGTGCTGGGATTGCAGGCGTGCACCACCACGCCCGGCCTAATTATGTCAACATCTTTAGTGGGGATTTCTTTATGGGGGAAATAATAATAGGCCTGGGCTATTGAAACATATAAATGGTGGTTTTCTGGTTGCTTCTGCCAGTCACCCTAAGGATATTACCGGCTCGGAGCTAATTTTGTTACTGTTTCAACTTGGAAAATCCACCATCACTAGGGAGGGCACATTTGGATTCAAAATCCATGTGTTACACTATCTTGAGGTTGCATTTTCTCAGGAGACTTTTTGTTTTTTAAATTTAGAGACGAAAAGCTGAGGCAATTTTTTTTTTGTTGCCATTTTCCAGAGATGGTGGTGAGGGTTTTAACTAGAGATACAGCCCTTCTCAAAGGTTCTGGTTTTATGAAGAATGTCTCAACACCAAATTCTTGACTTGCACTTATACAAACCTTCATTTTATATCTTTTTTACAGATTAAAACCAAAGTTCCACATCAAGAATATTTAAGAAAATATTGCAAATCAATAATAAAAGCTAAACAGCCCAGTGTAAAAAACAGACAAAATATTTGAACAGACACTTTACAAAAGGAGATACATAAATGGCCTATGAAAAGATGCTCAACAGCATTCATTACTCATTAGGGAAATGCAAATTAAAGTCACATCTACTTCAGAATGGCTAAAATTCAAAAGGCTGACAGTATCAAAGGTTGATAAAGATATGAAGCAACTGGAAGTCTCACTCATTGCTAGTACAACATGAAATGATATAACTGCTTTAGAAAACAGTCTAGCCGTTTCTTAAAAAGGTAAATGTATGCTTATCATACAACTCAGCAATCCCATTCCTTGGTATTCTTTCTAAGATAAATAAAAACAACTAGCTTTATAAAAAAAACTTTATGTGTAATAGATAAAAAATGGGAACAACCCAAATGTTCATCAACTGGTGAATGGATACATAAAGTATTGTATATTCCTACAATGGAATATTACTCAGCAATAAAAAGAATGGACTACTGATGCATTCTTGATTAATGAATTTAAAAACATATGCTGAGTGAAAGAAGCCAGACACAAAAGCAAAATAAGCCAGATATGCTGTATGACTCCATTTATGTAATTCTAGAAATGGCAAAGCTAGGTTGTAGTGATAAAAAGTAGATCGGTGGTTGTCTGGGCTAGGAATGGGAAGAGGAATTGATCGGGTAGGGGCAGATGGGCACTTTTTGGGAATTTGGAAATATTCTATGTCTTGAATGTGATGGCAGCTGGTGTGTACATTTACCAAAATACATTGGATGGCACACCAAAATTTATATATAAATAATGGTGTACCATAATTTATATATAATTTATCATATAATTATAATTATACAATATCTCAATTATAAATTATATAATAATAATATATTATATATTATATAATTATAATTATATGGTAAATTGTATATTTATATATAATAAATCATGTATAATTATAATTATATTTAAATTATATCTCAATAAACTTGATTATAAATATAAAACAAAACAATATATACTTTTATTTTTAATTTCAATCCCTGGGGTGGCTGCTATATTAACTAGTGAGAATTTTGCTTTGAGAATTTGTAAGATTTCTAGTTTACTTACAATACTTTGACTTTGAAATCCACATTTCTGGTATATAAAAATTTATTTTTTTCTTGTGAACTGACTACATAGTTTTAAGTGTTTAATCTTTGTTGAGCAGTGCTAGATGTTATTGCAAGAGCAATTTCACATTAGCCATGTTGTAGTTCTAGAAATTGCAGAGTTCTGTGCTTTTTGTCTTTGTTTTTCTAAATGGTGAATTTATTATGGGAATTAACTTCTACTCCTGAAAAATATCCTAACTGATGAATATTTGATGTGTGAGGAATACAAAGAAGACATTAATATTTATTTTGTGCTTATTGTATGTTGGGCACTGTTCTAGATGCCTTCATATCTGTTGGCTAGTTCAATTCTCATACTAACATTTAGACTGAGTATTTTTATCCACATTTTATGTGTGAGGAAACTGACATTAATAGATTAACTTGCTTTGGTTCCTACTGGCAACAAATTGCAATCTGGAATGCAAACCAAGCCTTCCAATTCCAGTCCAGTTGCTTTTATTTAAGGTTGCAAAAGTATCATGCCCTTAACCTTTATCTATGGTTTTAAAAATGTAAATACAAACATAATATACAACAGATCGCTAGAACTTATTCATCCTGCATAATTAGAATTTAAACCCATCGAACAACAACTCCCTTTTTCTTACTCCCCACAGTCCCTGGAAACCACCATTCTATTCTCTGCTACTGTGAGTTTGACTATTTTTGATAGTTTGTTTAAATGGAATCATGTGTATCTGTACATCTATGACTGGCTTATTTCACTTAGCATAACGTCCTGCAGGTTCATCTGTGTTGTGGTTAAATTTCCTTCTTTTTAAAGGCTGAATAATATTCCATTGTATGTATGTATATACTACATTTTATTTATCCATTTATCTGACAAACATTTAGATTGTTTCCATATCTTGACTATTGTAAATAATGCTGCAATAAACTTGGGAGTGCAGGTATTGCTTCAAAATCCTGATTTTGATTCTTTTGGACATATGTCCAGAAGTTGGATTGCAGGATCATATGTTCTAGTTTTTATTTTTTAGAAACTTCCATACTTTTTTTCCATAATGGCTACACCATTTTACATTCCCACCAACAGTGAAGAAAAGTTTCTATTTCTCTACATTCTGGCCAACGCTTATCTTTTGTTTTTCTGATAATAGCTATGATACGAGGTGTGAGGTGATATCTCATTGTGGTTTTTATTTTCGCTTTCCTGATGATTTGTGATGTTTGATGCCTTTTCATTCACCTGGTGGCCATTTATATGATTTTTAATGAAAAAATGTCTACTCAAGTCCTTTGTCCGTTTTAAAATTGGGCTTTTGTAGACTGTTAAATTATAGGAGTTCATTATATATTTTGGATATTAACTTTCTATCAGATAAATGGTTTGCAAATGTTTTCTTGCATTCCATATTCACCTTTTCACTCTGTTGATTATTTCCTTCGCTTTGCTTTTTAGTTTGCTGTAGTCCTAATTGTCTATTTTTGATTTGTTGCCTATGCATATTTAACAATATGGTATTGTGAACTTAAAAAGTTGTTGAGGGGTAGATCTCATATTAAGTGTTTTTATCACACACATACACACACATGCACACACACACACAACCACAGGGGCACAAGTAAACTTTTAGAAGTGATGGAAATGTTTATTGCCTTGATTGTAGTGATGGTATCACATATGTGTATGCATATGCCCAAACTCACCAATAAAATATGCGAATTTTTGAACATCAATTATACCTCAACAAAGCTATTTTTTAAAAAGAAAATATACAAACAATGTATTTATTGTTGAAAAATCCTTTTAAAGATATTGTACATAATGTTATTTGATTTTCCTTATATCATGGCTCAGGTAAGAAAGTCATCCAAAATTGAATACCAGAAATACCTTCATCTCTTTAAAAATTTGATCATAAAATGGTAATTGTCTGATTTGCCCTCCTTTTTGGTGCTATGGTTTGAATGTGGCCCCCACAATTTATGTGTGGGAAACTTAATATCCAATGCAACAGTTTTGAGAGATGGGGCCTAATAGGAGGTGTTTAGATTGTGGGGGCTCTGGCCTCATTTATGGATTAATGCTACTATTAAAAAAGACTTACAGGAATTGGTTCTCCCCCTTCTGCTCTTCTGCTATGTGAAGGCATAGAGTTCACTCCTGTCTTACCCTTACCCCTTTTGCCATGTGAGCATGCAGCAAGAAAGCCTACATCAGATGGTGGCACCTTGATCTTGGACTTCACTGCCTCCAGAACTGTGAGAAATAAATTTCTGTTCTTAATAAATGACCCACTCCCAGGTATTCTTTCATAGCAGTGCAAAACAGACTAAGGTATTCTGGATGGGTTCTCATGGCTCCTGCCTTTGACAAAGTTCCTGGCTGGGGCTAGGTGTGAAAAGGGACAGGACTGATTTATGACTTCCGTGTTCAAGAAAAAGAGCAACTGTTGTCTGTATGCCAGATAAAGGATATCAGGAAATTAAGGGACAGTCTTGAACATAACAATTCAGGTTTTTAACAGAGGATTACCATCCTTGCACTAGCTTATGGGCTGGAGCATGGAAACAACCCAGGATACATCATACTTAGAGAGAGGGCCCTTTTATGGCCTTTTAACCTGCTGTTAAGTCCAGAGTAGCAAATGAAAATTTTAAAGCACCAGACTTTTAAAGATAAAGATTATGTAACCCTCATGCCCTTTATGAGTTGATTGACAGGAATTTTAGCACTAAATTTATTGCTCAAATTACAGTAACTATACTAGGCCAGTATATTTGCAAGAAGGTAAGCAGATACCAGATCATGGAGGAGCTCATGGTACTAGACTAAGTAGTTAGGAATTTGTCTCAAAGTTGTTGGATAACCACTCTATTATTTAAGTGAGGAACAGTATGGTAGTTTGTACTTTAAGAATTGCTCTGTGTCATTTTGGAGGTGAAGTTGGGGCAGGAAGACCCAGAAGTCAATGATACCAGTGAAAAAGTTATTGCAATTATCTTTTGTAAAGGATACAGACCTACACTGTGGCATTGGCAGAGAATCATAGAGATTGTCAATGGTGGGTAATAGAGACAGGAGTCTAGATTTTTGGCTTAAAGAGTTTAGTGGATCTGGGTGCTATTTAAGAGGATTAGGGATTGCAGGCAATGGATATGGGCACCCACCCAAATATAAGCACCTAGGAATGCATTTTAAAAGTCTTCATTATGGTGACACAAGCTCTAAAGAAGAAGGAAAAGCGTTTCTTAAGCTTTAATGTGCATACGTAAGAACTGGAGATCTTGCTTCTGTGGCTTGTAATTCAGTAGGTCTGTATTTCTAATACTCTCTCAAGTGATGCTGATACTACTGGTCCTTAGAATTCACTTTGTGTAGCTAGGCCGTTTCCATCTCCTGTACTCTCAATGTTTAATCTTTACTTTTACCTCTCTGGTTCTCTTATGTTTGCTTGGTTCCATATTTTGGTTTTCACTTCTCTCTTCTTGGTCCCATTAGTCAACAGCTCATTTTAGATGGCACTTTATAGTTTCACAGTGGAACCTGACTTTCAATATTAAACTTTTGCTGAAGGTATAGATTTGGGAGTTGTGCACATATGTTGTAACAGATTCTGTAATTGTCCTACCTATGTGTGTATGGGCTTTATCTGCATAGGGCAGACTTGCAATTGCATTTTTATGACTAAATATTTTTCGTAGTGTCACAGCCTTCTCTACCCATGTACTCATGTACCTGGAGGAGGCAGGCTGATAGCCATTGACCAATGGCTGACTGAAATTGGTGTATTAATACATAAACTCCCTCACCTATCAAGTTGGATAACTCTGAGGCATGTCTTCTGCAGAGTTTACCAGACTTCCCCAGTGAGTTTTAGCTCTCTTTACCCCCAGTGGTAACTTGCTTGGAAATTCACCCTTTATAGGCTACTTTCCCTTCCCTATATTACTTTTCGACTCCTCTTTTGGTGTTTCCCAGGATCATCTCCCAAATACAGTGGTTTTGTGAGGAACCCAAACATTGCTGGTCGTTAACACTGAGTGTGTACGTGAAATCCATGGGGAAGAGTGTGTAGAGTGAAAGAGAATATGTATGAGGATGGAATAATTAGAAATAAGGTCTATATCTGTGTGTCAAATAAAACAAGTTCAAAGAAGCAGTGGCCAGAGAGGTAGAATAAAAACCAGAGTAGACCTACCTTCCAAACTAGTTCTTTCTCCTGAGCTCTGGACCTACATATCCAACTGCCTTCTGGGCAACTTAGCTTGAACATGAGGGTCTCTATGAAGAAACCTGAGGCTCATCCTTTACTTCTTTCCTCTCTGTTACTACTCACATTCAGGAGACCACTAAACACCACCAAAATCTCTTGCTTCTGCATCCTGAATAGCTGTGAAATCTAGCCATCTACTTCTCTTTGTGCTTTACTGACAACCATTCTAGTTTAAGCTGCCATCATCTCATGCCTACAATGGCCTCCCCATATTTTCCTCTACCTCTGATTTTGACCCCTTTAATCAGTACTCCACGAGGCAGTCACACTGATCACATGTCTCTGTGCTGAAAGTGGTTCAAGATACTCCATTCTTCTCCAAATGAGTTCCAAACTCTTTAGCATGATAAATGTATTCAGACCTCTGTCCTCTTCTCTCACTGCTTTGCCCCAATTCCTTTGACTACTCTGATCACTCTTCTTTAGCCACAGTCCAGTTTATCATTGTTTTTCTTGAGACAGAGTCTCACTCTGTCACCCAGGCTGGAGTACGGTGGCGCGATCTCGGCTCACTGCAAGCTCCGCCTCCCGGATTCACGCCATTCTCCTGCCTCAGCCTCCCGAGTAGCTGGGACTACAGGCGCCCGCCACCACACCTGGCTAATTTTTTGTATTTTTAGTAGAGACGGGGTTTCACCATGTTAGCCAGGATGGTCTCGATCTCCTGACCTCATGAGCCACCCTCCTCTGCCTCCCAAAGTGCTGGGATTACAGGTGTGAGCCACCGCGCCCGGCCCTGACTCTTAAGCTCTCGCCATCCTGAGCTACTTGAAGTTCCCCAAATTCTCTATTCTTTCTTGCCTCTGGGATTATGTATATACTGATTTATCTCTGGAACTCCATTTCCCTAAATCCTTCCCCTGGATGACTTGACTAATTCTTCCAGACTCAACTGGAATGCAATGCCCTATGGGAGCTTTTCCTAACCCCCGAAGTCTGGGGCTGGAGCCCCTATTATTGCAATATTTTCTCACTGTTTTATGACATTACCACTCTGATTTATAATTATCTGGTAATTACTCTGTTTTGCCACTAGGTTGTAAACTCCTTTGAGCTTTGAGACTCTTTTAAAAATTATTATTAATTATTGTATTCCCACTGCCTGGAATAACATAAGTGCACAATATTTTTTTTTTAGTTAATGAAAGGAATGACTCAGCAGCTTCAAGTGCTTGAGTAAGTATTCCAACAAGATGGAAAATAACTGAAGATGATTTTTGCAATGAGGAAGTTATCAATGTCTTCAGCAAGATCAGCTATACTTCAATATGTGGTATACATAGTATTTGTGTTGCTTTGGAGGTCAGCTTTCAATCGTAAGTTGAGATAACAGAAAACATGGAATTTTAGGAAAAAACATTAGGGATGTGGGAGATGTTTAAGAAATACTCCAAGTATTCATTATATTCCAATTAAAGTTCAATTTGGGGTGGATGATAATGTTAAGCTTTTGTGCACTGATGGTTTATTTTGCAAACGTGTATTATTATTCTTTAGCAGATGATCAAAAACTAGGAATAAGTTAAGCCAGACAATTCTCCTCTCTTGGGCACTACTAGTAATGTAACTGGGGGATATACCTTCGTACTTAATACAGTGTGAGAACTCTTAGTCGGTGTCACAGTATCACCAAAAGGCAAAAAGGTTTTGCTTGAGGGGCCATTAGCAGATTTTAACTTTTGAAAATGTCATGTGTGGGAAGGGAGCAACCCTAGCCCAATGATTTTAGGAACATGGCACATAGGGAATTTACCCTTCCTGGCTATGGAGGTTTTCCAGCTTGCTGATACACAAGATGAAAAAGGCCTCTGGAGTATGAATTATTATAAGTGTGAAGTGTCAAAAATGTGCTCTATTTCAAGTATGCCTGAGGTATTCTTCTTACAAATTTTACAGGCACTGATACATTTTATTCATGAAGTGCTGCTCACCAAAATGCTTGCAGCATATCACATGAGTGATAAAAATGTTGGGAATATAATGAAAAGGTTGTAAATTATATACAGAAAGGAACAATGTCTTTTGAAGAGTTCTCAATCTGCATGCCTCTCCCTGTTTTTAAAAGAACTAAAATGAATTAGAAAGAAAGATGCACATTGAGCAATTGTATCTCTCATTTATATAATCTTGATAATTAGTTTTATAAAGAACAACTTCTGCTGCTCTAGAGCAAGTTTGAGTAGAAATATATTTCTTTTTTTTTTTTTCACAAAGCAAAACCAAGAGTATTTATTTTCATTATTTTAAAAAACTGCAACGTTTATTTCACAATCCCTGGAACTGTAAAATAACTATTCTTTTAATTTACAGAATTGAGGGAAGTATTTTAAATGTCAAAATACACATGCTGAATGTGATTTAGCATATAAGCACCAAAAATCCCAAAAGTATACAAAGATTGTTTAAACATATAAGGTGCATTTATTCATGAATTAATTACATTCAGTTTGAAGGAAGAAACAGTACTCCAAAGTTCATCAATATTTAAGAAATTATCCGAATAGCTTCCAACTTGGTTTACAGCTAAATAACAGATACTGCTTTTAGGTTTTTTTATACAATGCATCTAAACCTTAGGTTCGAAATTTAAGTGCTGCCTTA
This sequence comes from Homo sapiens, assembly GCF_000001405.40. Taxonomy (NCBI): domain Eukaryota; kingdom Metazoa; phylum Chordata; class Mammalia; order Primates; family Hominidae; genus Homo; species Homo sapiens. Next base: position 23,077,984 of record NC_000023.11, on the reverse strand, counting down.
CACTGTGAATGGCAGTTTGATCACTAAATTTATGTTCCAGTTTGAGATACTTCATACACAACATATATTTAATGCCCTGAAAACTTCTGCTTAAAAACTGAGTTATTTAGTGAACATCTGAAGGTAACAAAAAAAGATAGATCTTGTATATTTTTATGTAGAATTGGGTATAAAGTCATTTGGGGTCAAACACAATTATTTTTTAAATATTATCAGTCCACCCAGTAATAAGAACTTTTGTAAATATGCCACTATAGCTTCGGGCAATAATTGCTATTATGAAGTTAGATAAACACAGGATTAATTTCTTGGTTTACAAATCAAAATTATTGTGATATTAAAGCATGCCTCCTTCCAAACCACTTGGTCAATGCTGATAACAACTAAGAAAAACGTATGCTAGTATTGCTCTAAATATACTGACTTAGCTGTCCTGAATGACCTAATTAGGTTGGGGAGGGGACTTGGCCTGGTTCTCCAGTTCTGTGAAGCTGCCACCTCCAGCCTCACTCTAAATAGCTTATACAAAATCAAGTTATTCCCATAGCTAACACAAATCCAGCAAGCTGTGGTCCTAAATGCCATCTACATTTATATATTTACTTTTTTACTGTGTACATTAAGAATTTTGTTGTGCTTTTCACATATCCGATGTATGTTTTCATATTAAACATTCCTCAGTTTCTTGGGAAGGAAAGAAAAAGATCATGAAAAGAGGTACATCAGGAGAGTCGGACTGTAAAGTAACATTACACACACAACTAGCCAAATCTCTTTTTAATTTAAAAGATAATGTCATCACAAGGCAACATATAGAAATATAAAAGAAAATAAAGTATCCACCCTAAAATCCCTATTATTCCATGATATTTTCACAGCAACTAGTATATATATCAATATATTTTTCACAAACCATTCAGTTACACATTGTGTATGCTTTTAGAATTTAAAATATGTATTACCATAGCAGTCTAAACATTGTACTTTTAGGGAAATGTGCGGAGACATGGTTCAGTGATTTGATCATTGTGATGATTATTTACAATGCTATCTATTTACGTTAGCAATAAATAATCCTGATATCAAAAGAGACAATACTCATGCACACACCAAGATGGCTGCATGCTCTTAAAATATTTACACATAGCTCTGCCTTTTATAGCTCTCCCATTAAGAGTGAAAGTGCGCTTTCTTCAATTCTCTCCACATTTCCATTAGTCTTGCTTCTGGGGGATGCATCCTTCCATTTCTACAACTTCAGGCCATCCTTCATATTTGTTTGTATCCTTATTGTTCTTTATGTGCTGTTCAAAAGGGCTTTTTGTCTTTTTTTTTTTTTTTTTTTTTTTTTTTTGAGACGGAGTCTCGCTCTGTCGCCCAGGCCGGACTGCGGACTGCAGTGGCGCAATCTCGGCTCACTGCAAGCTCCGCTTCCCGGGTTCACGCCATTCTCCTGCCTCAGCCTCCCGAGTAGCTGGGACTACAGGCGCCCGCCACCGCGCCCGGCTAATTTTTTGTATTTTTAGTAGAGACGGGGTTTCACCTTGTTAGCCAGGATGGTCTCGATCTCCTGACCTCATGATCCACCCGCCTCGGCCTCCCAAAGTGCTGGGATTACAGGCGTGAGCCACCGCGCCCGGCCAGGGCTTTTTGTCTTAATGCCCTTCCCACCACAGAAGACCCAGTTGTCTCTAAAACCAAGATTAGTAATAGATGTGCTCCCCAAATCAGCAATGAGCCGCCGTGCCTCATCATTGAGTTTGGTTGCTCCATCATCGTATGTTCCCATTAAAACTATTGTTCCATCTTGTATGGCCTTCAGAAACTCAATAAATGGTGCCACATCTCCTCCCCACATGTCAAAATATTTAGTGTCTAATACTTCTCCTGTTTTTCCATTTGCCAAGGCAACATTGATCCCTCTTCCAACATTATTCTTAACACCACTCATTAAAACATTATCTTCCAGGCAGATTTTGGGTCCCACCACGTTGGCTGCTCCACTTGCCATTTTAAAAGCAAAATGCTTCTCAGGGCAAGCTTTTGAGATCCCACACTTATATCTGGGAGGCTTTGTAGAACGTGCAGCTGTGTCCAATGCTGATCTTGCAAATAGATTTCCTAAACTTGCATCCATTTTTATTTCAAATACTTGAGAAATAACATAAAATGTCAGTAAAAACACTGCCACAGCTACCACCAACTTTGCAGCACCTGCTACCCTCATGTTTGGTTTTTCAGTTTATGGCACTTTTCATTAATATGCTCCGGCCTCCCGCCCGCCTCTCCGCCGTGCGCGCCCGCCTTCCGGCTTCCCAGCGCTCAGTCCTGCCGGAGGCCGACGGGAGCCGCCGCCTCCAGCTCGCGCCTCCGCTTCCTCTCGGACTCCCCCGGCTGCCGAAATATATTTCTTAAGGACATTATTACATTGAAATGAGACAAAATTATAAGTAGACTCAAAGTAGTAATACTTTTAAAGGCCAATTATAAAGACTTTTGAATAGATATCAAATTAAAGATCACTAGGAATTTAACTATATGCAATTTATGATGCATTATATGTAATGTAATGCTACGATGTTTAGTGTATCTCCTTAGTATACATGATGATATCTCTTTACAAGTGAAAAACAATTTGTTAATTTATTCATTCAACAAGTATTAATTGAGTATGTATTATATGTAGGCACAGTTCTGGCTATGAGGTTTATAATGGAAAACAAGACAAACTCCTTGTCCTCAAGGAATTTATATTGGAAGCAAAAGGATATAAACAAATGGATATAGTATATAATGTAATGTCAGATTATGATAGGTATTATGGAGAAAAATAAACCTTAAGAAGAAGATAGAGAATAGCAAGGGAAGGTTGTGCATACTGTGTGGTTAAAAAGGCCAGGGAATCACTTTATGCCCCAAATAAGTCAAAACATCCACAATTCCAAGTGATGAGTCAAACAAAGGAAGTATATTTAGTGGAAACCAGAAATTACTATTTTGGTAGGACTTATAATTGACAGTATTTTCAGATTTGGTATTTTTTTCTATTTCCTTTTTCTTTTCTTATTTTTTCTTTTTCTTTTTCTTTTTTTTCTTTTTTTTTGAGACAGAGTCTTGCTCTGCCTCCCATGCTGTAGTGCAGTGGCACGATCTGGGGTCACTGCAACCTCTGCCTCCCAGGTTCAAGGGATTCTCCTGCCTCAGCCTCTCGAGTAGCTGGGATTACAGGCACCTGCCACCACGCCAGGCTCATTTTTGTATTTTTAGTAGAGACGGGGTTTCACCATGTTGGCCAGGCTGGTCTCGAACTCCTGACCTCAGGCAATCTGCCCGACTCAGTCTCCCAAAGTGTTGGGATTACAGGCATGAGTCACCGAGCCTGGCTACTTTTTTTTTTTCAACTTTTGTTTTAGGTTCAGAAGATACAAATGCAGGTTTGTTACATGGGTAAATTACACATCACTAGGGTTTGGTTTACAAATAATTTTATCACCAGGTAGTGAGCATAGTACCCAATAGGTAGTTTTTCAACCTTCACCCTCCTCCCACTGTTTACCCTCAAGTGGGCCCCAGTAGTGTCTATTGTTTTCATCTTTGTATCCATGTGTATTCAGTTTTTAGCTCCTACTTATAAGTAAGAATATGCATTATTTGGTTTTCTCTTCCTGTGTTAATTAGGATGATGGCCTCCAGCTGCATGTATGTTGCTGCAAAGGTTATTATTTCGTTCTTTTTCTGGTTGTGTAGTATTCCATGGTGTATATGTACCACATTTTCCTTATCCAGCTGACTGTTTATGGGCATCTAGGTGGATTCCATGTCTTTGCTATTGTGAATAGTGCCATGATGAACATAGGAATGCATGTGTCTTTTTGGTAAAATGATTTATATTCCTTTGGGTCTATGCCCAGTAATGGGATTACTAAGTTGAATGGTAGTTCTTTTTAAAATTCTTTCAGAAATTACCAAACTGCTTTCCACAGTGGCTGAACTAATTTACATTCCCACCAGCAGTATATAAGCATTCACATTTCTCTGCAACCTTGCCAGCATCTGTTACTGTTTTTTAACTTTTTAGTGATAGTCGTTCTGCCTGGTGTGAGATGGTATCTCATTGTGGTTTTCATTTGTATTTCTCTAATGATTAGTGATGTTGAGCATTTTTTCATATGCTTGTTAGACATGTATATGTCTTCATTTGAGAAGTATCCGTTCATGTCCCTTGCCCATTTTTTAATGGGGTTGTTGGTTTTTTGGTTGTTAATTGGTTTGAGTTTTTATAGATGCTGGATATTAGACCTTTGTCAGATGCATAGTTTGCAAATATTTTCTCTCATTCTGTAGATTGTCTGTTTACTCCATTGATAGTTTCTTTTGCTGTGCAGAAGCTCTTTAATTAGGTCCCACTCGTCAATTTTTGTTTTTGTTGCAATTGTTTTTGGAGACTTTGTCATGAAATCTTTGCCAGGGTGTATGTCCAGAATGGTATTTCCTAGATTTTCTTCTAGAGATTTTTAGTCTGAGGTCTTACATTTAACTCTTTAATCCATCTTGAGTTGATTTTTGTATGTGGTGAAAGGCCCAGTTTCAATCTTTTGCATACAGGTAGCCAGTTATCCCAGCACCTTTTATTGAATAGGAAGTCCTTTCCCCATTGTTTTTGTTGACTTTGTCAAAGGTCAGATAGTTGTAGGTGTGAAGCTTTATTTCTGGGTTCTCTAACCTGTTCCATTGGTCTATGTGTCTATTGTTGTACAATTATCATGCCGTTTTGGTTATTGTAGCCTTACAGTTTGAAGTCAGGTAATGTGAAGCCTCCAGCTTTGTTCTTTTTGCATAGGATTGATTTGGCTATTCAGGCTCTTTTATGGTTCCATATGAATTTTAGAAAAGTTATTTCTAATTCTGTGAAAAATGATGTTGGTAGTTTGAAAAGAATAGCATTGAATCTGTAAATTGCTTTGGGCAGTATGTCCATTGTAACAAAATCGATTTTTCCAATCCTTGAGCATGGAATGTGTTTCCATTTGTTTGTGTCATCTATGATTTCTTTCAGCAGTATTTTGTAATTCTCATTGTAGTAGAGATCTTTCACCTCTCTGGTTAAATGTACTTCTAATTCTTTTGTGGCTTTTGTGAATGGGATTGCATTCTTGATTTGGCTCTCAGCTTGGATGTTATTGCTATGTAGAAATGCTACTGGGGCCGGGCATGGTGGTTCACGCCTGTAATCCCAGCACTTTGGGAGGCCAAAGTGGGAGGATCACTTGAGCTCAGGAGTTCGAGACCAGCCTGGACAACATTGTGAGTCCTTATCTCTATGAATAAATAAATAAATAAATAAATAAATAGAAATGTTACTGATTTTTGTAAATTGATTTTTATGTTGAAACTTTACTGCAGTTGTTTATCAGTTCTAGGAGCCTTTGGGCAGAGAAAAAGGGGTTTTCTAGGTATGGAATCATATCATCTGCAAACAGCGATAGATTGACTTCCTCTCTCTTATTTTGATGAGTTTTCCTTCTATTTCCTGATTGCTGTGGCTAGTTCTTCCAGTACTATCTTGAATAGGAGTGGTGAGAGTGGACCTCCTTGTCTTGTTATGGTTCTCGGGGGAATGCTTCCAGCTTTTGCCCATTCATTGTGATGTTGGCTGTGAGTTTGTCATAGGTGGCTCATTATTTTGCAGTATGTTCCATTGATGCCTAGTTTGTTGAGGGTTTTTAACATGAAGGGATGTTGAATTTTATTGAAGTCTTTCCTGCATCTATTGAGATGAGCATGTGGGTTTTTTTTGTTGTTGTTGTTTTTCTATTTATGTGATGGCTCACATTTATTGATTTTTATGTGTTGAGCCAACCTTGCCTCCCTGGAATAAAGCCTATTTGATCGTGGTGAATTAGTTTTCTGATGTGCTGCTAGGTTGGTTTTGCCAGTATTTTGTTGAGGATTTTCGCATCTGTGCTCATCAAGGATGTTGACCTGATGTTTTCTTTTTTTGTTGTGTATCTTCCAGGTTTTGGTATCAGAATGATGCTGTCCTCATAGAATGAGTTAGGAAGGAGTCCTTCTTCCTCTGTTTTTTGGAATAGTTTCAATAGGATTAGTACCAGGTCCTCTTTGTACATGTGGTAGAATTCAGCTGTAAATATATATCATGGAGGGCTTTTTTTGGTTGGTAGGTTTTTTATTACTGATTCAATTATGGAACTCATTATTGGTCTGTTCAGGGTTTAAATTTCCTGCTGGTTCTATCTTTGGAGGTTGTGTGTTTTTATGAATTTATCTACTTCCAGGTTTTCTAGTTTGTGTGCATAGAGGTATTCATAATAGTCTCTGAGGGTTTTTTTTGTATTTCTGTGGGATCAGTGATAATGTCCTTTTTTTTCATTTCTGATTGGATTTTTTGGCTCTTCTCTCTTTTCTTCTTTATTAATCTAGGTATTGGTCTGTCAATCTTATCTATTCTTTCAACTAACCAACTTTTGGTTTAGTTGATCTTTTGCATGGATTTTCTTGTCTCAATTTCTTTCAGTTCAGCTCTGATTTTGGTTATTTCTTTCCTTCTGTTAACTTTGAGGTTGGTTTGCACTTGTTTTTCTTGTTCCCCTAGGTGTGATGCTAGGTTGTTAATTTAAAATCTTTCTGAATTTTTAATGTAGGCATTTAACATCATAAACTTTCCTCTTAATACTGGTTTTGCTGTGTCCCAGAGATTCTGGAACATTGTGTCTTTGTTTTCAGTAGGTTCAATGAATTTTTAAAAATTTCTGCTTTGATTTCATTCTTTATCTAAAAGTCATTTATTTATTTTTATTTTTATTTTTCTTGAGACAGAGTCTCACTCTGTCACCCAGGCTGGAATGCAGTGGTGCTATCTCGGCTTACTGCAAGCTCTGCCTCCTGGGTTCACGCCATTCTCCTGCCTCAGCCTCCTGAGTAGCTGGGACTACAGGCGCCCGCCACCACATCTGGCTAATTTTTTGTATTTTTAGTAGAGACAGTGTTTCACCATGTTAGCCAGGATGGTCTCGATCTCCTGACCTTGTGATCCGCCCACCTCGGCCTCCCAAAGTGCTGGGATTACAGGCGTGAGCCACCGCACCTGGCCCCAAAAATCATTTATTATATTTTATTTTCACATTGAAAATCAGGCTCTTCAGCCTCAAAGAGTGTGTTTATATAAAATTAAATGAGCATTGACAGCGAGCTGCACTTTTTTTTCTAAATGGGAAAAGGTTAAGGATGCTGAATTTTGCTTAATTTTCATGTAATTATGTGATTTTGAGAGTTCTTCTTGGAATTGAGTTCTATTTTAATTGTGCTGTGGTCCAGTAGTATGGTTGATGTGATTTCAGTGTTTTGAAATTGTTGAGAATTGCTTTATGGCTGAGCATATGGTCAATCATAGAGTCTGTGCCATGTGCAGATGAGAAGAATGTATATTCTGTTGTTGTTGGGTGGAGTGTTCTGTAGATGTCTGTTAGGTCAGTTTGGTCAAATATTGAGTCTAGGTCCCGAATATCTTTGTTAGTTTTCTGCCTGGATAATCTGTCTAACACTGTCAGCGGGATATTGTAGTGTTCCACTATTATTGTGTTGTCATCTAAGTCTCTTTGTGGGTCTCTAAGAACTTGTTTTATGAATCTGGATGCTCCAGTGTTGGGTGCATATATCTTTAGGATAGTTAAGTCTTCTTGTTGAATTGAACCCTTTATCGTCATGTAATGCCTTTTTTTGTCATTTTTGATTGTTGTTGGTTTAAAGTGTGTTTTGTCTGAAATAAGAATAGCAACCCCTGATCTTTTTTGTTTTCCATTTCGTTGATAGATCTTTCTCCATCCCTTTACTTTGAGCCTATGGGTGTCATTGGATGTGACGTGGATCTCTTGAAGACAATTGTGATGGTTAATATTAGGTGTCAACTTGATTGGATTGAAGGATGCCTAGATGGCTTGTAAAGTATTGTTTCCGCATGTGTTTGTGACGGTATAGCTAGAGGAGACTGACATTTGATTCAGTGGACTAGGAGAGGAAAACCCACCCTCACTGTGGGTGGGCACCGTCCATTCAGCTGCCAGGGCAGCTTGAACAAAGCAGGTAGAAGAAGGTGGGATAAGTTTACTTACTGAGTCTTCTGGCTCTCTTTCCTCTTCCCATGCTGGATGCTTGATTCCATTCTTCCTCCTCCTGCCCTTGGACATCAGAATGTAAGTTCTTCAGCCTTTAGACTCTGGGAGTTGTACCAGCAGCTTCCCAGGTACTTTTGGGCTTTTGGGCATAGGCCGAAGGCTACACTGTTGGCTTCCCTGGTTTTTAGGCTTTCGAACCCGAATTAGCCACTGATGGCTTCTTTCTTTTCCCCTATCGCAGGACTTTGCCTTGTAATCATGTGAGCCAATTCTCCTTAATAAACTCCCTTTTATATATACATATATCCTATTGGTTCTGTCCCTCTGAAGAACTCTGACTAATAAAACCTATAGTTGAGTCTTGCTTTTTTATCCTACTTGCCACTCTGTATCTTTTAAGTGGGGGTGTTTGGCCCATTTACATTCAAGGTTAATATTGATATGTGAGTATTTGATCCTGTCATCATGTTGTTAGCTGTCTGTTATGTAGAGTTGATTGTATAGTTGCTTTATAATGTCAGTGAGCTATGTACTTAAGTGTGTTTTTATGGTGGCAGGTACCAGTCTTTCATTTCCATGTTTAGCACTATCTTAAGAACCTCTTGTAAGACAGGTCTGGTGGAAACAAATTCCCTTAGCATTTGCTTGTGTGAAAAGGATTTTTATTTCTCCTTCACTTATGAAGCTTAGTTTGGCTGGATATAAAATTCTTGGTTGGAATTTCTTGTCTTTAACCCTTTTCCCATATACCCCAGGAATACTTGCTGGCAGCTGCAGCATTTACTCTGAGATAAATTTACCACAAAATATCTCATTTTTATTATTATTTTTGCATTGCTCCAGTATATCAACTTAGAAACAAAAGACATTATTATATTTATAGCATTCTGTTTATAGTAGTGGTATTTCCATTTACAAAGTATAGTAATTCTTGATCACTGAGAATGTCACATTTTAGAAAATGTAGGAATCCTATGTATGATGTTAACATTGTTCTCAAATAGTTATTGGCCATAGATTAATTTGATGAATCTGATTTTCCTGAAATAGATGATTCTAAAGATTCAAACAATTCTGGTCTTAGTTCTATTTAGAAATAACTCCAAGAACAGTTTTTATATTTTATTTTCACATTGAAAATCAGTCAGATTTTCTTCAGCCTCAAAGAGTGTGTTTATATAAAATTAAATGAGCATTGGCAGTGAGCTGCACTTTTTTTTTTTTTTTTTTTTTTTTCTAAATGGTAAAAAGGTTAAGGATGCTGAATATAGGCCCCCAATCCCTTCTGGATTATAAGGTTTCTGCTGAAAGGTCAACTGTTAATGACATTCTCTTTTTATGTGACCTGTCCGTTCTCTCTGGCTGCTTTTAAGATTTTTTTCCTTCATGTTGACTTTTGAGAATCTGCTGACTATGTGTCTGGGGATGGTCATCTTGTACAGTATCTTGCAAGGGTTCTCAATTTTCTGAATTTGCATGTTGACTTCTCTAGCAAGGTTAGGAAAATTTTTGTGGACAATATCCTCAAATAAGTTTTCCAAATGTCTTTCTATCTCTCCATCTCTTTTAGGAATGCCAGTGACTTGTAGGTTTGATCTCTTTAAATAATACCATATTTCTTGGAAGTTTTGTTCATCTGTGTGGGCTGATGTTCCTTTAATCTTGGATGTTGCTGTCTTTTGGATGAGCCTTTTTGCTTTTGTATTCCTTGAGGTCCTTGAGGGTTTGATTGCAGTGTAAGTTGGGCTTAGTCAATTGGCTTCATTTCTGGATGGTTTCAGGAGGCCAAGACTCAACTCAGCACTGCTGGGCTACATGCTATAAACTCGGGAGGCTGGTACCAAACCCACAGCTTTATTCTCTGGCCTTTTGAGGTTAAGCACCTGATATGCTGGAGAGGTTAGAGTGTTCCAAGTCTGCTAGCAACAACACTCTGATGGGGCTTCTGGGAAAAGCACTCCGGTGGTGCAGTGGTGGGCTCCCGTGCACATCTGTGCTGGCAAGGTGGTGGCAGGTCTGCACACACGTGTGTGCTGGCAGGGCAGCGGGGGGAGGTTGCAGGTGATTGCACACTGGTTGGGGAAGGCTGTGGATTGGTGTCTGCTGGTGGATGTCCATTTGCAGAAGCACTCCAATGATTAGGTGGGGTATGCTGGTGAAAGAGCTATGGCAGTGGTTGTGCTGCAAGTGGCTTCAGCCAGGCAGGAATCCTGGGAGAGGCCAGAAGACAGGGGGTTTTCAGATCAGGCTGTTTCTTTCTCAAGGGCAAGACAGCCTTGCTCTGCCCAGGTCTGGCAGCTATTAATAACAAAGCCTAAAGTCACCTAGAGGAGTATGGCGAGTCTTGGGGGATGGATGCCCATGGTCATGCTCCACTGCAGCCAGTCTCATGCCAAACCCTCTGGGCTCCACACAGGCTGGAGTTCTGTCTCTGCCAACTTGCTAGGCAGTTCTCACTGCCAGCTCAAATGTGCCTGGGAATTGTGGGGTCTCCCATAGCTAGGATCATGGAGGTCCATGGTGAAAGTGGGTCACTCCACACCCATTTCACTCACCCTTTTCCTAGGAGCTTCTCAGGGCCAGGAACAAGTCCTGGTGCTTGGCAACCCCCTACAGGGTTCCCAGCCTCCTCACCTATCATCCAGGGTTTGCATTTGTTGTATGTCTTCTTTCTAAAATGCCTTCTTTCTAAAAATCTGTTCAGAATATCCTGGTCTACTTGATGGTCTGGTCTCTCTTGTTGGTCAAAGCTTTTCCTGGTTGCATCTAGTTGGCCATCTTGGCTCCAGTTGATTGCTTTTTTTTTTCTTAAAGCTAGATTAGGACTGGATCACGAACACTGGAGAAAATGCATAACAGCATTGAAGTTGAAAATGAATGAGGAGAAAGATAAACTGTTCTTATATTTTTACTACGCAAATAGAATCTGTTGGAAAACCGTAATTAGCTAAAAGTTAAATATAAATTGTTTTAGAATAGTGACTTAAAGGATAGTTTCTGCTCAAAGATGTTTGGGTTTACTTTTACTTTCCGTATTTACAACTTTCTAGCAAGGTAAATTTCTTCACTTTCATGTCTCGGTTTCATTATTTGTAAAATAGGTTACTATAGTAATAGTGTTCATTTTATAGGCTTGTTTTTAGGATTATATAAACTAATACATATAAAATGTGAATTAAAGAGCTTGATATTATTTTTTCATGTTTTGATTTGGAATTGATAATTATGTTTTTTCACTTCAATTCTCCTATTCATTTTTTCATGACTTAAATAGTCATGGACATATATTTTCACATTACTATGCAAACGAATTTTAAGTAAATCTTTGTATTTTCTTAGCATACTTCTCAGTTTCTGTCCGCTCTCTAAGCACACTATGAAGCCATATCCTCTTTATTTTTTTTTCTAGTTAGGAGATTGATGAAATGAGTAAGATAAATTTTTCCTATCATAGATTTTAAGAGGCATTATGCAAAGTGGAGGAGAAAATTCACATTGTTGATGTGCTATAGTGTTGGCATGTTGAAGCAACAGAACTTAATTAAGAATTCTAAAGTATAATTTTCAAATTGTCCTGGGAAAATGTCATTATTAGAAACTGTTCATCAAAGTCTTGACAAAGAAAGTCAGTCTTAGGAAAAAAGACTTACAATTTTCATCTATTATATAGCAAGGAGTTTCCATTATTTAAAACTTCCAGTATTTCATTAACGGTAATGCCAACTTTCAAGAAGAATTTCAAGTCATAATAATCTAAATATGGTACAAAGATTAATCAATGTTAGAAATTGTAGAAATTTTCAAAGATGCATCTAGGTTCTTTATTCATGTTTTAGTGGACAAAAGAATAAGATGAGTCATTTACTTCAACGCTAACATTTGGTTTAATCATGCTTTATGAAATAATTAGAAAGCAAACATATCCCTTTGCAACTGAATATATTAAAAACAATCATGTAAAGAAAGACAAGAATTGCATGCTGTAATTTGTGAACTATCATACCTCAGAAGTGAAAGAAATATCCTATATTATTTATCTTTAAAATTTTGAAATTTATCTTCATATTTTAAATTTAATTTAAAATTTTCATTAAATTTTGAATGCAGAAAAATATGTCCGCTTATTATTTCTGTACAAATTATACAGAAAACTACAATGATCATTTAGCTATATCTTTGAGTATTTATCTCTATTTCCCTAAATAACATGCTTTTATTTCTACTTCTTGATTTTCTGGGTATAAATATTATTGATTGACATTCCAGAAAGAAAAATGACAATTCCGTTCTCTTTTTTCCTCTATCCTCACATATTCAGACTTCCTCTTGTAAGTTAATGAAATCTTCAATCTTCAATATTTACATTAGTGTAACTGTGTAAACACTACAACTGAGCTGCATCATATATTGTGATTCTTTGTTTTTGTTGTTTTTTTGTTTTTTTGAGACGGAGTCTTGCTCTATCGCCCAGGCTGGAGTGCAGTGGCGCGATCTCGGCTCACTGCAAGCTCCGCCTCGCGGGTTCACGCCGTTCTCCTGCCTCAGCCTCCCGAGTAGCTGGGACTACAGGCGCCCGCCACCACGCCTGGCTAATTTTTTTTGTATGTTTAGTAGAGCTGGGGTTTCACCGTGTTAGCCAGGATGGTCTCGATCTCCTGACCTCGTGATCCACCCGCCTCAACCTCCCAAAGTGCTGGGATTACAGGCGTGAGCCACCACGCCCAGTGAGAATTTTTTAAATGAACAAAACTTCTAAGAAATATGATATTATTTAAAGAGCTCAAACCTGGGATTACAGGCGTGAGCCACCATGCCCGGCCGCTGTTTTTTGCAAAATATTTTTTTCTGATACTAATAATTGCCTTATGTTATAGTTACCCTATAACATAAAGTATAATTATCACTAACTCAACTTATCACTAACTCAACTTCTCTCCCTAATTAATTATCTAAATTCTCCCTAATGCATCAGGTATTTTATTTTTTTCTGAAGAAATCTCTCTGAATTGGACTGGTTATTTTCTCTGCATGGTGCATATGGGTCATTCTGGGATATCTTTGTCTCTGAGTTTTATGTTTTCTGTATTCGACTTCCTCCTCTATTCTGGTTTACACCCTTCATTTTGATATAACACATTTTTCAGTAACCAAATGAGAAAGAGATGCTAGGAGATAAAATTTTGAGTTTTTGCATATCTGAAAAAGTCTTCTAATTGGTAACTTGGCTAAGTGTAGAATTATAGGTTGGGTATTGTGTTCCTTCAAAAGTTTGGTGGTATTGCTCCATTGCCTACAGGCTTCTTACTTTGCTGTTAAAAAGTCAAAAATAGTCTCATTTCTGATCCTTTGTATATGACCTGTTTTTTCTCCCTCTCTGGAAGCTCACGGTATCTTCATTTTGTCTCCGTGCTCTTAAATTCTATGGTAAAGTTCCCTTGGTGAGGGCCTGATTTCATCTATTGTGCTGCATAGTTGGCAAGTCTTTCCAATCTGGAAATCCATCTGGAAAGTTTTGCTGAATTTTATTTTTTGATGATTTCTTCTCCTTCATTATCACCCTTCATGTTCTGGGACTCTATAACTGTTTATTTATGTTGGAACTGTTGGCTTCCTTCTCACTTTTCTTATCCTCTAATTTTTCATTTCTTTGTCTTTTTGCTTTACATTATTTTTTTCTCAATTTTGTCTTCCAATATTTAATCTAGTTTTTCATTTCTTTTTCATCCCCTAGAGATGAACCATCCAATCTCCTGCCTCGAGTATTGAAGCCTGGCTACTGTGACTGTGGGGAAGGGATTAATGGTCTCAGCATTCAGTAAGTGAATGTTCCCTCAACTCTCCTATTTCCTATATGTTACGTATACCTGCCACTGTGCCCAGTGCTCTTTTTACAGCCTTACAAGTTCTATCTCCATGCTTTTCTACCCTGCTGTCCTGCTCTGTGCTTTAGGAGTCTGACCTCTATTGACATTGTCAATTTAGGGTTCAGTTTGACCAGTGGAAGGGAAGTGGCTGTATTCCTGTATCCAAGGGCACAGGGTGTCTTTTTCCTATAACCACAGATCTTCCTGGGTTCTAGATAATGGATCTCTCCATTATTTTTCTGCCCTACTACTAGTAGCCATCTACTGCTCTTGATAGCCCCAGATCCTTCACCAATCTCATGGCTGTTAGTTTCCCTTTGTTGAAGTAAACAAAACGAAAGTATTTAAAGTGATGTGTTAAGTGAAAGTGTAGAGATATTCTGCTTTAAAATGATGAGACAAGAGCTTGAAAAATTTGTTAACAGATATTTGGGGAATGTTTGTTTACAAAGAATAATTTATTTCTTTATATAGAATTCATCACAAAAAGTAATTTTTGTTAAGTGCACTTAAAATATACTTTTTCTCATAAGATTTACTTCATCCACAAGTTTTATACAGCATATCAACTGCTTAAGGTAGGGAGGAAACTGAGAAAAAAAGAGGATTAGTGAGAAGGGGAAAATGAGAGGGAAAACTTTCAATCTGAGTGTGAGGGCCTGCAGATTTTCAATACTGCCATGGCGTAATGTATGCTGTCTAGGAGCTGTAGTTCTTCTATCATTTAGTTTAAAATTTCTACTCTTGAATGCTCAGCCAAAATAAGTAATGTTAGTGGCATGGAGAATGGATTGATGAGGAAGCAGTTTTATAACTCTAGGGCATGGCTAAAATCTAAAATGGCAAGCGTTGGAAAACACAACTTCTTTTACTTTTAAGGTGCTTCAATTTGTCATTACTGATTAAGGGCTCTCTGGATTGGCTCTCCTGGTCAGTTAAATTATTCCAAGAGCTATCTCATTACTGGGAAATGGTCACGTGAGATGAGAATCCCTTTTATTCCCATGTTGAGCCATAGAAAAAGGACTTTTTGAAGAAAAAATGTAGCTTAAATATAACTTACCTCATCTGCCAAGGATGTTATCATTTCTTAATCATCACATAAGCCACATTTTGCATAGTGGTTAAATTCGGACTAACTAAAAGCTTCAGTGTTTCAAGGCTGCTTATTAAAGCTGTTATTCTCTCAAGTAAAAGGTGTTAAGTGGAAAATTTTCATAACCACTGACATAGGGGAAGTGCAGTGGCAGATTACCTTAAAAAATTTCACTGATAGTGAATTTTTAAAAATCACCATGTCTATGATAACTTTGTTACTCAATGTGTGGTTTGCAGATCAGCAGCTTGGGTATCACCTGGGAAATTGTTGGAAATGTTAAAAGGTCAGAAATAGTCTCATTTCCGATCCTTTGTACATGACCTGGATCCACTGAATCATACCCACTGAATCAGAATCTGCATTTCCGCAAGACTCTCAGGGGTACATGTCAACATTTGTGATGCATGACTGAAGCGCAGTAGGGTAGTCATTGAAGCCCTGACCTCTTACCTAACCCAGGAGAATCATGTTTTCCAATGGTAGCAGTGCCTTAAAAAGTATCTGCAATAGCACAGAATTTTCATTTGCATATAATCCAAGGGTTACTTGGGCTAATTTTAGACTTAAATATCAAGGAAGATTACCAAGAAGGGATTATATGATATCAAGATAGGTGATGTTATTATTTGAAAGTATGTAATTAAAATTCTTATAGGAACAACTTTCCAAATGAGAAATTTTCCTCCCTCTCTGGTCTTCCTTCTCAGAAACACATCTATATTCTATATGTAATGCTGGATTTTTCTCTAAATAAAACTTAAGCTCTCTCCTTCTCCAGAAGGCACAGGTCATTCAAGAGCTGAGAGGTTCAAATAAACTGCTGCTTCTTTCACGTATCTCTAATGTGAAGTGTTTGGAATAATTAGCCTAATTTATATTGCACTTACAAACAACTGATAACACCTTTTAAACATGCTATAGAAAAGTAAACTGGAGATTTTTGGAAAGAATGGTTTTTCTTTATTTTGTTTCTCCTTTCTTTGAAATCCCTGCATACCTAAAATATGCTAGAGCAATGTAGCTATTTAAGTGGTAATTTCCCCTATAGTGTGGATCTCCTTCTACTCCCTCCTTTATTTTTCTTTCTTTCTTTCTTTCTTTTTTTGAGACAGAGTTTCATTCTTGTTGCCCAGGCTGGAGTGCAATGGCACGATCTCGGCTCACTGCAACCTCTGACTCCGGGGTTCAAGCGATTCTCCTGCCTCTGCCTCCTGAGTAGCTGGGATTACAGGCATGTGCCACCATGCTCGGCTAATTTTTTGTATTTTTAATAGAGACCGGGTTTCTTCATGTTGGTCAGGCTGGTCTTGAAATCCTGGCCTCAGGTGATCCACCCGCCTCGGCCTCCCAAAGTGCTGGGATTACAGGCATGAGCCACCGCACCCGGCTCTCCCTCCTTTATTTTAATAAACATGTATTGGCTATCTACTGTGTGCCATGAATGAGAATACAAAGACTAAATCTCTACCCTACAGTTGCTCACCATCTCTTGTAGAAGGTCAAAGACACCATTATAATGCCATATTATAAATGCTATCACAGAGTTGGCAACATATGATGGTAAATAGGAGAAGAAGGGGCTAATTCAGTCTTGGGAATCAATGACTGATTCATAAAAGAGGTGACTGCTTTTGGCACTTGTTAGCATGTGATTTATGATACAGATATACACAAATGTTGGCTTGTGCTTTCAGAGAAGGTGGTTGAATGAATCTTTAAGTAGACCCAAGCTGATATTGGCAGGTTCGATCAGACTGAGCTCTGTCCAAAATGTAACTTGATGGACAGGATTAGAATAAAATAACCTCTGCTAATACGATAAAACAAAAGTGAATGGTCTTTTGAATGCATCTGAATGATTAGCTTTATAATATTCACCCATCACCCTGAACAGTAGTAATATTTGCTGCAGTGGAGACAGGGGGTATTAGTAGGATAATCATAATGATAACAGCTGATACGTGCCTTTTACATAGTGCTTTCATACTCATTACCTTATTTAATTTTCACAGCCACCCCGTAAGGTAGGTGTTATTTGCATTTCCTAGTTGAAAAAATGGTCAAAGTAGGCGGCAGAGCCTAAAAAAGAAATCAGGTCTTTAAAACTCTAAGATTAATATTCTTTCTACTCGAACCAGAACCAGAACTTTCAAAAGTCTCCCTTCATTCCAGAGATTATAAAGAACCTTCTCCCGTGACCTGAGGGTGCTTCATTGGCGAGGGTTGCTGAATGTCTAGGGGTGAAAAGTGGGCCTTTTCTCTAAAACAGAAACTGTTATTTCCCTTGCCAAGCCAGTCCTTCTCTGTTTGTTCCATGGTGATCAGAACAATATGGTGATTTAAAGTTGGTGATAAAGGCAGAGTGGAATTGAAAATTCCTCCAGGGTTTTTAATTTAACCGTGGGTAGATGGTGGGGCCATTAAGGAAGACAAATAATACACCTAGGGTTGGATTTTGGGAACTAGGCTAGCTTTAAGGGCAGGCCTGGTGTTGAGAAGCTAGAGTGATGAGCAGACCAAGCCTCAATGCTGTGGCTTAGGGGAAACTGGGCCAGTTTAGATAGTGTCTATCATCAATAAAAGGTTGGGCAAACCAGAGAGTAACTCTCCTGGAGCTAAAAGTCTTGCATTATGATTGATATTGTCCATCTCAGTTGGAGGAAGACGTGACCACTGCCTGTAATATAAATGCAGTTGGGGGGATTGGTAAGGGTTAGGGAAGATGACAGCTTTGCAGCTAAAATTCTAGTCAATGTTAGGGGACTGAAAGGCAAATCATAAAACAAAGGCAGAGGCCCAGTCAAGTGGCCTGAGCTAACATGGCAAGGGCAGGGGCAGCACTTCAATTCAATGACATGTAGGAATCCTATTTTTAGGCAGGAGCTAAGAATGCACAGTTTGTGTTCAAAATGGAGAATTCCTTCAAGATATGCCAGGCTTATGATAAAAAGACTTATTTTTAATGTTTTTAATTTTAGGTAAGAGTCTTTGAAAACTGCTGGCATTATTTAGGACTGGCTTGAGCAGTAGCAATTCTCAGATCTACAGGTTTGAGCAAAGCTGGGAAAAGTGTAATTTATTCTGAGATTAATGGATTATCACACACATTAATTTATAATTTTATTTATAATTAAATAATTTATTATTTATGTCATATTGACTCACTAGAATTATGATCCATTGGCAAAGATCAAATTCATCAGATTTAATATAAAATTCTATGATGGCATTTGTGGTAGACAGAATAATGTCCCCCAAAAGATGCCCATGTTCTACTCTCTGGCGCTTGTCAATATGTTACCTTACGTGACGAAACAGACTTTGCAAATGTGACTAACGTTATCTCGAGATGGGGAGATTATACTGTATTATCCAAGTCGGCCCAATTTAAGGACCCAATCACATGGGTCCTCAAAATTGGAGAACATTTCCCGGTTGTAGTCAGAAAGAAAGATGGAAGCAGGAGAATGATTCAACACCCAGTTGCTAGTTCTGAGACACTGGGAGTATCTGAGATACTGGGAGTGTTTAGAGAATGAATTCTGCCAAGAACCATAATGAGTGAGGAAAGAAATCTTCCGCTAGATCCTCCAAAAAGGAATGCAGCCCTGCTAATGCCTTCATTTTCGCCTGGTGAGACTGATGTTGGACTTCTTGCCTACAGAACAGTAAGATAACAGAATTGTGTTGTTTTAAGCCACCATGTTTGTGGGAATTTGTTATGGCAGCAATATGAAACCCGTATAATTATGCTATATGAGTTGGAGATTTGTAAATTGTAAGCTCCTCACAGGCAGGGATTTCTGTTTTGTTCAGTAACATATATCAAGTGATTATAACAGTGCCTAGGACAAGTGATTACAACAGTGCCTAGGACATAGTTGATGCCCAATAAGTGTTAGTTGAATTAATTTATTTATTGGTCATTCCATCAACAAATATTTATTGAGTGCCTATGCATACGTGCTTGGTGTGCTAGATGTTGATGGGGATGTAAAGATATAAAAAACATTTTTTCATGAAATCTGAGTCAAGAAGCTTAGATCAGTCTTGAGCAAGAATAGGAGTCAGAAAATTATGGCTTGCAGGCCAAATCTTACCCACTGCTTATTTTTATAAATAAAGTTTTGTTGAAACACAATCATGCTCATTAGTTTACATGTTGTCTTTGGCCACTTTCATGCTATAGTGGCAGAGTAGAGTACTTGTGTAGTTGAGACAGAGACCAAGTGACCCACAAAGCCAATATTGTTTACTCTCTGGTCCTTTATAGAAAACAATAACAACAAACCTGTCAACTCCTGAGTTAGAACCCCATCTTCATGGGTTGCTAGCTGTGTACTTTAGGAAAAGTGTATAACCTCTTTAGGCTTCTCTTTTCTATAAAATTGAGGTGGTGGTACTTTTCTCATAGGGTGGTTGTGAGAATTAAATGTTGAGTGAGAATTAAATGATGGCTTCCAGTCCTTAGTATAGAGGAATAATTCAGTAAATGGTAGTTAAGATTTTTTTAAAGACAATTTTGAGAGCAGTTTTAGGTTCACAACAAAATGGAAGGGAAGATACAGAGATATCCCGTAAACTTTGTACCCTATAAATGCATAGTCTCCCCGGTTATAAACATCCACTACCAGAGTGGTACACTGGTTACAACTGATGAACTTCACTGAGACATCATTATTACTGAGAGTCCATAGTTTACATGGGCGTTGTGCATTCTATGCATTTGAACAAATGTATGAATGGCATGTATCCACCGTTATACTATCATATAGGGTATTTTCACTGCCCTAGAATTCCTCTGTACTCTACCTATTCATACCTCCCCTTCCCCTAACACCTGGAAACCCACTGATCTTTTTACTGCCTCCATAATTTTGCCTTTTCTAGAATGTGATATAGTTGGAATAATATAGTCTGTAGCCTTTCAATATTGGCTTCTTTCGCTTAGTAATATGAACTTAAGTTTCCTCAGTGTCTTTCCATAGCTTGATAGCTCATTTCTTTTTAGCATATGAATAATATTCCATTGTCTTAATGTATCACAGTTTATTCATTCACATACTAAAGGATGTCTTGGCAGCTTCCAAGTTTTGGCAATTAATAAAGCCGCTCTAAACGTCTGTGTACAAATTTCTGTATAGATATAGGTTTTCAATTCCTTTGGGTAAATAACAAGGAGGTGATTGCTGGATTGTATAGTAAAGTATGTTTAGTTTTGGAAGAAATCACCAAACTGTCTTCCAAAGTGGCTGTGCCATGTTACATTTCTACCAGCAAAGAATGAGAATTCCTGTGCTCCACATCATTGCGAGCATTTACTATTTTCACTGTTCTGGGTTATGGCCGTCGTAATAGATGTATAGTGGTATCACATTGTTGTTTTAATTTGCCTTTCCCTAATGACACGTGATGTGGAGCATATTTTCAGTATCATACTGGAAGTCTTAGCTAGCAAAAAGATAAGAAAAGGAAATAAGAGATACACAGTTTGAAAAGAAAGAAATAAAACTGTTCTTATTTGTAGATGACATATTTGTCAATGTTGAAAATCTGAAAGAATTGACAAAATCCTCCTGGAACTAATAAGCTATTATAGCAAGGTTGCAGGATATAAAGTTAATATCCAAAAATTAATTGCTCTCCTATATACCAACAATGGACATGTAAGATTTGAAATTTAAAAACACAGTGTTATTTGCTGTAGCACCCCCCAAAATGAAATACTTAGGTATAAATCTAATGAAACATGGACAAAATCTGTATGAGGAAAGCTACAAAACTGATTAAAGAAAGCATCTTTTCATATGCATATTGACTTCTCACCTCTAGCTATGAAAGTTCTAGATAACATCTTCTTCTGCTATAAGGCTGTTTCATCTAAATTGAAAATCTGTTGTTTAATGTAGCCACTTTCATCAGTGATTTTAGCTAGATCCTCCTGATAACTTGCCGCAGCTTTTATACCAGAACTTGCTGCTTTACCTTGTACTTTTGTATTATAGAGATGGCTTCTTTTTTCATTTCTTTTTTTTCTCTTCTCTTCTCTTCTTTTCTTTTTTTGAGACAGAGTCTCGCTCTGTCACCCAGGCTGGAGTGCAGTGGTGCGATCTTGGCTCACTGCAACCTCTGCCTCCTGGGTTCAAGCGCTGCTACTGCCTCAGCCTCCTGAGTAGCTGGGAGCACAGGCGCATGCCACCACATCCGGCTAATTTTTGTATTTTTAGTAGAGACGGGGTTTCGCCATGTTGGCCAGGCTGGTCTCGAACTCCTGACCTCAGGTGATCCACCCATCTCGGCCTCCCAAAGTACTGGGATTACAGGTGTGAGCCACTGCGCCTGGCCTCTTTTCTTAAACCTCATGAACCAACCTCTGCTAGCTTCACACTTTTCTTCTCAGCTTCCTCACTTCTCTCAGCCTTCATAGAATTGAAGAGAGTTGGGCCCTTCTCATGGACTAGGCCTTTGCTTAAGGGAATGTTATGGCTAGTTTGATCTTCTATCCAGACCACTCAAACTTTCTCCATATCAGCAAAAAGGCTGTTTTGCTTTCTTATCATTCACATGTTCATTGGAGTAGCACTTTTAATGTCATTCAAGAACTTTTCCTTTGCGTTCACAACTTGGCCAATGTTTGGCACAAGAGTCCTATCTTTTGGCTTCTCTTGGCTTTTGACATGCCTTCCTCACTAAGTGTAATCATTTCTAGCTTTGAATTTAAAGCGAGAGACATATGACTCTTCCTTTCACTTGAACACTTAAGAGGCCATTGTAGGGTTATTAGTTGTCCTAATTTCAATATTTTTGTTTCTTAGGGAATAGGGAGGTCCAAGGAAAGAGAAAGAGATGGGTGAATGGCCGTTGGTGAAGCAGTCAGAACATACACAACATTTATCTATTGTTTGCCATCTTATATGGGCATGGTTCATGGCACCCCAAAACAATTACAGTAGTAACATAAAAGGTCGCTGATGACAGATCATCATAGCAGATATAATAATAATGACAAATCTTGAAATACTATGAGAATTACCAAAACGTGACTCAAAGACAGAAAGTGAGCACATGCTGTTGAAAAAATGGCCCTGATGGACTTACTTAATACAGGGTTACCACAGACCTTCAATTTATAAAAAGATGCAATTTTTTTTACAAATGGAATGCAATTTGTAATAAAATGGAATGCAATAAAATGAGCTATGCCTTTATATAAGCCCAGACACACATACCCCACACACTATATATATATATATATACACACACATATATATGAATACATACACATACAAGTATGTATAATGAAATACATTATTGCTAGTATGATTTTGATCTGTTAGATGTTAGATCAATTAAGAATAAAAAAAGTAACAGTTTTTATTTTACTGGCATTCATTCTTTTTTCAATGCCCTTTCTTTAGGTAGATATGAGTTTCTGACCTGTATTGCTTTCCTTCTCTCTGAATAACTTAATATTTCTTGCAAAGCAGGTCTATAGGTAACAAATTACTTCAGTTTTTGTTTGTTTAAGAAAAACTTGATTTCTGCCTTTTTTTCGAAGGATAATTTTGTAGACTATAGAATTTTAGGTTGGTGGGCCTTTTTTCTCTCAATACTAAGTATTTCATTCTACTGTCTTCTTGTTTGCATGGTTTCTGAAGAGAAGTCAGATGTATTTCTTATCTTTGTTTCTCTTTATGTAAATTATTTTTCCTCTCTGGCTTCTCTTAGGATTTTTTTTTTTTTTTTTTTTTTTTTTTTTTTTTTTTTTGAGACGGAGTCTCGCTCTGTAGCCCTGTAGCCCAGGCTGGAGTGCAGTGGCACCATCTCAGCTCACTGCAGGCTCCACCTCCCGGGTTGTCACCATTCTCCTGCCTCAGCCTCCCCAGTAGCTGGGACTACAGGTACCTGCCACCACGCCCCGCTAATTTTTGTATTTTTAGTAGAGACGGGGTTTCACCGTGTTAGTCAGGATGGTCTCGATGTGCTGACCTTGTGATCCGCCTGCCTCGGCCTCCCAAAGTGCTGGGATTACAAGCGTGAGCCACCGCACCCAGCCAGGAATTTTTTTAAAAAAAGTCTTTGACTTCCTGTAGTTTGAAAATGATATGCCTAGGTGTAGTTTTTTTTTTTTTTTTTTTTTTTTTTTTACATTTATTCTGCTTGGGGTTTTCTGAACTTCATGTATGTGTGGTTAGGTTCTGATATTAATTTGGAAAAATTCTCAGTCATTATTTTTTCAAATACTTTTTTCTGTTCCTTTCTTTGTCTTCTTTTTCTAGTATTCCCAATATATGTATGTTACACCTTTTATAGTTGTCCCACAGTTCTTGAATATTGTGTTCTGATTTTTTAATTCAGTCTTATCTTTTTCTTAAATTCTTTTTATTTTTTTATTTTGTTTTTATGTTTAGTCTTTGTTATCTTTGCTTTTCACTTTTAAAAATTTCTATTGGTATATTCTCAAGCTTGGCGATTCTTTGCACAGCTGTTTTCAGTCTACTAATAAGCCCATCAAAAGCATTCTTCATTTCTGTTACAGTGTTGCTGATTTTAGCATTTCTTTTTGGTTCTTTCTTAGGATTTGTATTTCTCTATGCTTACACTGCCCATCTGTTTTTGCATGCTGTCTACTTTAACCAATAGAGCCTCTAGCATATTTGATTTTATGATTAATGTTTTAAATTCCTTGTTTGATAATTCCTATATCCCTACTATATCTGGTTCTGATGTTTGCTCTGTTTCTTCAAACTGTGTTTTTGTTTTGTTTTGTTATGTTTTTTGCCTTTTAGTATGCCTTTTTTTTTTTATTGATAGCCAGATATTGAGAAATAGGTAAAAGGAACTGCTGTAAATAGGACTTTAGTAATGTGGTGGTAAAGTGTGTGTTGAGGAAGCATTCTATAATCCTTTGATTATATCTCAGTCTTTTAATGAGCCTATGCCTCTGGACTGTGAACTTCACAAATGTTTCTCAGTTTTGTTTTCTCCTCTTAGCCTGGGCAGGTTGGCTAGAGTGGACCGGAGTTGAGTATTTCCCTTCTCCCAGGTCAGTTAGGTACTGATAAAACCCCTGCTTCCCTTTACTGGGTCCCCTTGGAGGTTTTGTTTTGTTTGTTTTGTTTTGAGATGGAGTCTTGCTCTGTCACCCAGGCTGGAGGGCAATGGCACGGTCTTGGCTCACTGCAACCTCCGCCTCCTGGGTTCAGGTGATTCTCCTGCCTCAGCCTCCCGAGTAGCTGAGACTACAGGCGCGTGCCACCACACCCGGCTAATTTTTGTATTTTTATTAGAGATGATGTTTCACCATGTTGGCCATGCCAGTCTCGAACTCCTGACCTTGTGATCCTCCTGTCTCAGCTTCCCAAAGCGCTGGGATTACAGGCGTCAGCCATCATGCCCTGCCCACCTTGGAGCTTTTAACTCCAAGGTGTCCATGCCCTGCCTACGGCAATTTGTCAATTTCAGTCCAGATTTTCCTGCATCAGCTTTGGTTCCCAAAGAGGTTTCTGCTCTGCTATGTTGTGATTCTCTGTATCCACCTATCTGTCTCTTCAATTTTGGGGGCAGCAGTTTGCCTTGTGACCACACTTCTCTTATGGATCTAAGAAGAATTATTGATTTTTCAGTTTGTTCAGCTTTCTATCGTTAGGACAAAGTGATGACTTCCAAATTCCTTACATGCAGAATTGGAAACTGGAAATCCCCATAAAAATGTTATGATTTAAAAAAATGGATTCTACTGTTATCCTCCTGCTGCTATCACCACTGCTACCATCATTAAGTTGAATAAGAAAGACATGACCATGAAGGGTGTTTTGGAAAATTATATATATGTATATGTATCATATTTTCTAGAAAATTATATATAAATATTTAATATATATATTTATTTATTAAAACTCAGATCCACTTTGCTTCCTTGGAATTATTATGGTCCAGCACCTACTGTTTAGCTGACAACATTGCAGCTGGTTTTATCTATATCTATTATGCCATTCCGATGAAGAGTAGTAAAGATCTTTACCTTCTCAGTCTGGGCTAATTTTTGATTTGTCATTATGCTTTAAGAAGATTTTTAAATGTTTTAATTTATATAATTTTGTACAATATTTTCATCATATTTACTGCTAATCCCTGAAGTCCCCACGTATTGGTTAATGGCTAGACTTCTGTGTGTATGGTACATTGTGTCTTCAAAGATGGCAGTAACTATGTTTCCCATCCCACATACTCTTTTGCAATGTGATCTTGTCACTCCTTTATGAAAAGGTGGAGTCTGCCTTTTTTCCCTGTTGAATCTGGCCCATTCCTCTGACTTGTTTGGAATGGAATGCATCTCAAGTGATACTGCGTAACATCAAAGGATGAGCCTTAAGAGATCTGTAGCTTACTCATTCACCTTTTTCAATGGTCATTCTTCGAACCCATCTACCCTATTGTGAAGAAACCCAAGTAGCTATGTGGAGAGTCCCACCTGCAGGAGAACTAAAGCCTCCAGTTGAGCTCAGTAACCATCCGGTAGCCAGCCATGTGAGTAGAGCCATTCTGAACTTTTTAGATATCCCTGTATCTTAGCCAACACCATGTGAGGCAGAAGAAACACCTGGTTAATAAACAGAATCATGAAAGATAATAAATTGATTTTAGAAGCCACTAAATTTTTGGATGCATGTTACACAGTAATAGGTAACTGGAATACTACGTTTATGTGACGACTTTTTTTTCTTCAAGATCTCTAACTGTTCATGGGAGTCTATGACATAGAGTTTTTAAAAGTCAGATGAGGACTAGCAATACAGGTGTTAAGCCATCATTTAGAGTCATTTTCGAAAATTTCAAGTTTTTTTCTGAAGAGAAGTGAAGGCTGAAGAGGGTTGAGGAGCAATAAGGATGTTTCCAATCAGAAATCTGTTACTGGAGGGGGCATCATCTGGAAAATACTCTGAATAAAAGTAAAATTTCCTTATCTTAATGTTAAGTCGCCACGATTTAGCAGTGTATTACTTTTTCATCTTGGCGTCTTTACTACTCACCTTTTGCTTTCTTTTCACAATTCCATCACTCGTGTGGTTTCTCCTGTTTGGAAGAACTTTCTACTTTTGAATTACTTGATGAATACCTACTTATTTTATGAAGGCCAGCTCAAATACCACCTCTCCCAGAAAGACATTCCTGATACTCTTAGCCAAAAATTCTGTATATCCCTGGGTATGAGATGTTATCCAAGTTTATGCATGCAGAGAATAAAAATATTGGCTGACTCGCATGTATTTCGAAGATATTCGAATATATTTGAATATATTTCGAATGTACTTTTGAAGATAATTCTCAATGATGGCTTCACATCTGTATTGCTAGTACTCAATACATTTGACCAATGTATATTCCTACTATATTAGTCTACTGACAATATCAAATGTATCAATAGAGTTACACATGCATATTTAAAATCACATTTATAAAACCTCAGTGATTTTAGAAATAGTGCTTTGTTCTGTTTTCACTTTTTTTGAACAATGTTCTTCAAACTTGGCACCTGTACCTTCAGTATCATTGTCTTTATGATCATTAGAGGTCACTCCTTTTGGTCCTCCAACATGGTTTTACATAAGATACCATCTTTGCTTTCACTTATGTTGTTTGATATATACCACTTCCTATAATGTTGCTACTAGAAGCTTTAACCCAAGCTGCAAAAATCCGTACCTGTGTGATTAGAAGAGTGTTTTGTTTCTTATTTTCCATTCTTTAGGCATATATTAGTGATTTCCACAAATTAACCATGTATCCTCATTTGCACATGTAAAGCCACATGCCCCAGGATTATTTACTGAGTTTAGGCCAAATGTGTTTTCCTCTTTAAAAAACTGATTATTATTTTTTGCTTGGTGACTTGTAATATAGAAAAAAAAAACCCTGATTATTTTAGCTGAAATTGGTTGATACTGATTTAAAACAGGTGCTTTCAACCCTGGCCGTAGCCTAGAATTACCTGAAGGGCATTAAAAACTACAAGCAGGGCACACTGAGGTCCTCTCTCCCGTATTCTAATTTAATTGATCTGGGACGGAGCCTTGGAATGTTAGTTTGTGAAATCTCCCCAGATGATTCTAATGTGCAACAAGAGTTTAGAACCACTGATCTAAAACCAATATTAGTAGAGCAGTGGTTTTCAAAATGAGGTCCTCAGACCAGCAGCATAAGCATTACTTGGCTATTTGTTAGAACTATGCCTGTTTCAGCCCCACCCTAGACCTCAGAAAGTTTTAGGATGGTGCTCAGCTATCTGTGTTTTAACAAACCCTCCAGTTGATTCTGATGTACACTGAAGTAAGAGACCCACTGGTTTAGGCTAATATATTTTTCTGGAATAGTAGTTTGTTGTTCAAAGTATATTTACTGATAGAACATGTATTCTGGAAAAATGTATACGGAATGCAATATAAGGGAGAGGTCATTTGTAGAAAAATGACTTGCCTTGTATTCAAGCATATATAGTAACCTCTCCTCTGAATTCCTATATATAATGCTTTAACTGTACATCTTTTAGATATTGACCACATTTCACATTGCAATGTAGTTAATTGCTTAAGCTTTTTCTCTAAAGCTAGGCTAAGTATTCTGAGAAGGATCCAGGATCAAGCAAGAGTATTAAGAATAGGGATCATGAACAGATGCGCAAACTAGAAGGTGACAGATTAAGTGGCATTGATCAGAGGATACCTCAAAACAGTTATTCTCTCAGCTTTCCTCTGGTCTGAAGTCTAGCTTTTATTTTATGCTTCCTCTAGCCTCCTATTTTGCCCTAATTTCTAGAAACATAATGGAGAAAGAGATGGCAGTGTTCTAATTATTTCACGGTTGGTTCCAAGCAATGGGAAGTGGGTTGGCCAAATAATTCCTCTACAAGGCATGGCTAGCTCTGTGCATTTTCAAAGGGCAAGCGAGTAGAGGAGGCACCCATTAACTCTGGGGCCATATGGATAGATGCATATAAAATACAAGAATTTTGGCCTTATTGGCTGTACAACACAGTGCCTATAGTTAACAATAAGGTATTGTGTACCTAAAATTTGTTAGCAGGGTAAATTTCATAGTAAGTGTTCTTACTTCCCCCAAGCACAAAACCACAAAGGCACACAAGAAAACTTTTGGAGGTGACGAATATATTTATAACCTGGATTGTGAAGGTAACATGAGTTTATACATATGTACAAAATCACCAAATTGTATATGTTAATTTTGTGCAGTTTCTGTATAACAATTATAACTAGAAAATTATTCCTTAACAATTATAACTGGTAAAAATAGATTTTAAGAGGGTGCCGTTGACCATGATATCTTAGGGCTCAAACAGAGGCAAGTGAGACTCCTAAAGCATAAATCTTCTTTTCAGTGGTAATTTTAGGAGTTAGCCACACAAGTGGCTGATAAATATACAATGTCCAGTTGTACAGATAAATACACAATGTTCTAATGTTACCTCAAGGCCTGAATTTAGGAATTGAAAGTCTTTGGTTTTTCACAGTGGTGAAGAAACCAGTAGTAACTTTAAAATACCCTTGAGTTTCCCTCTGCTCATTTATCTCCCAAATCTATAGTTCATGTTTTCTTTCTGTGATATCCACTTCCTTGTAATAATTGGCTTCTGAGATTAATAAATTCTTGAAAGCATAGGAAAAAATGAAAATTTGTCTCTTTGAGAGCAGGGACAAGTTTTTTTAAGAGAGAAGAATGAAAAGATGCAGTTATTGTTTTTAAAGCCAGAGGCAGATTGTGCTGGCAATAAAGGAGAATTTGTGAGATGCTTTGTGGAATTGAAAGTTCTGCTTTGCTTTCTCTGCCACACTTAGAGAGCCTATTCATCTGTCCTTTCAACACCACCAGTATTTTTGTAAACATGAAAAACACAACCAAATAACCTCAAGCTCTTAATTGCTGTGGAAACAAGCTGTAGGAAAAATACAAGACTGATGACGTATACCCTGAGCATTCATTGCTCTGTAACAATATTAGAAGAGAACAAACACCTTGAGATGGTTCTAGTTTTGAACATCTTTCCTTGGGGAATGCATTCAGGAATAATCTCTTGAGTTTGCAGAAGATGTGCATTGAATTTCTTTAAAAGGATGGGAATCTAGAAAGTAGTTCCCTGCCAGGTATCACCAAGCAGAAAAGCTCAACACCATTCTTTTCTGCTTCTAGGTGCTTTCCAGTGCCCCAAAGACAGAGATGTTAAATGCTGCATTGCCCACATTCCCTTGGAGCTGGTGTTCTTCATGTCTGCCAAGGGGATATATTAACACTGGATATTGGGAAGGCAGAAGCAAGCACCATATAGCATGGCCCAGCAGCTCTTTCGAAAGGCAAGGTGGTGGATGCATTTGGTTCTTCTGAGGCACATGTGGAGAAGTAGTGTCCACTCCTAGCTTTATGGGTGTCAAGTAGAGGGCACCTGTAAAAATAGCAACTAGGGATTTCGTGGAACACTCCTATACAGTGATTGGAACTTCTCATGGCTGTATGGCTGCTGGCTATGTATCATCTAAGCTCATCCCAAACTTCTTAAGACCTCTGGTCTGTAAAGGTATGTGACCTTTGGCTAGCTACCATTTCTCTCCGAGTCCACATTATGAAACTATACCTTTCCTGTTCATATCTATATACATTCATGTTTCTATTAAATTGATCAGTTAAAATAAATAGGTATCTTAATTTATTTGAGTTGCCCTACTTGGCCATCGAAACAAAACTAACAGTACCATCTCACACATGGACACACACACACACACATACACAACTACCAGCTATGTCACGTTCCTTGGTTCTCTCTTGAGGCTAGCAAAAATCGTGTTTGGAACCTCCATCTCACAAGCAATTACAAGTAGGGTTCACCCCAGTTCCTTCATCATCTCATCACTGGGTTTCAGAAGGGGCCAGTGTCACCTAAGGAATTCATGTTTAGCATGCAGGCTGTTAAAAAGGGACCTATGAAGACATGGTAAGACTAGTGGAGAACCAAGGGACTTGATGGAGTCAGGGTGTGTGTGTATCTTTATGTATGTGCACACATGTGTGTAGGAGGCAACTGAGTTTGTTTTATTTTGATGGAAAATTGGCATCTCAAATAAATTAAGATTCCAACTTGTTTTAACTGATTCATTGTGTATGAATTGTGCAAAAATGTGAGTGGGGAAGGTGTAGTTTTATAATGTCAAAATAGGAGAATAAACTTTTCTTTAAATAAAGATCACTATTTATTCCAAAAATGTTGACAAAAAAGAAAAGAAAGGTTTTATTTCATTACCAATGGTTTTAAAACAGAGTTGAAATATAAGTGAGAAGAGATGGGGATGTACAACATGTTGCTGGAGGGGCAGCCACATACAAAAACTGTTGTGGCTGCAAAGGGAAAACTCCCATCAGTATGGATTTTTACAGGGTATTCTCAAAAGAAAGCTAGATTACAGAAGAAACAATCGTTAGAATTACCCAATTATTACGTTAGATTTATCTTTTATTTTGAGGAAAATGGGACTGAAAACAGAGAGAGTAGAATAAAAATAATCAAGAGGGAAGTAAATGCTGAGATACGTAAGGAATAAGGCATGCCTACCTGTTTTAAAAGATTCCATCTTCAGAACTATATGAATTACCTACAAGGGTAAGGAAAAGGTGTTTGCATATGGTAAACATGTATAAAACATTCTTGAGAATTTGGGGAAAATGTGTCTAACAGTCTCTAGTCACAGAATGCATATGCTACTAATGACTATAACATGAAATCTTGTTTGTTGAAATTACAAAATAGGTTGTTAACAAATTGTGATTGAATGCTTAGAAAAGAAAATGGTGATTACTAGGAGATAGCTTAGGTTCACCGAGGATACCTTATGCAAAACTAATCTTGTTTCACTTTTTATTTTGAGTTTTAGATGGAAAGATAAAATTCCATAGGCATAATGTGTTTTGATTTAACCAATGTCACAGGACTATTTTATGGAATCTATAGAGGGATAAATGGAGAAATGTAGACTGGATAATATTCAGTTAAATAGATTGGTAGTTTGTCAAACAATCTCAGCTTCTCCCCCTAACCCATGAATAGTCTTTCCTTCAAAACAAATAAAATGTAGAATATCTCAGCCATTGGTCTTGTCCTACTCAACATTTTAATGATATGTATAATGACATAGAAGGCTTACTTATCAAATTTGCAGATGACATAAAGCTTGGAGCAATGACTAATACATCGAGTAGCTGAATCTTAATTCAAAACAATCTTGACAGGCTGGAATGCTGGCCAAAGCTAACAAGATGAAATTTAATAGTTATAAATGTTAAATCCTGTATTTAGGTTCAGAAAAAAAAATCAAATGTACAAATGCTAGATGAGAGGAAATTTTGCCTAGAAGCCATTTCTATGAAAAGACGTCAGTTTTTTTCTGACTATACGTTCAATATGAACTGCCAACTTCTATTGATAGAAGGCCATTCATTGAGATAATATTTATTACATTCCTACTGTGTGCCAACACATTAATTATCTTATTTAACTCTTAAAAAATCTCTCTCCAAGATAGTTCTATTTATCTCTACTTTATAGATAAGAAAACCAATTAAGTTGTTCACCTGTATGCTGTTATTAAATGGTAAGGCTTCAATTCAAACTAGATTATCTGTTTTCCTGGTTCAGCATTCCAGTAGAGCTTTGCTACTCAAAATAATGCCTGTAGACCAGCATCTTACTAGAAATAGTTGAATCTTGGGCTTCTCTCCAAACCAACTGAATCAGAATTTTCATTTTAAGAAAGGTTTGATCTCATTGCCAGTCATTTTACAGAAGGGTTGAAATATATCTGAGAAGGAAGGGACAGGGATCTTAAGGGGAA
This sequence comes from Homo sapiens, assembly GCF_000001405.40. Classification (NCBI taxonomy): domain Eukaryota; kingdom Metazoa; phylum Chordata; class Mammalia; order Primates; family Hominidae; genus Homo; species Homo sapiens. The sequence continues at coordinate 23,045,997 of NC_000023.11, read as the reverse complement.
GTGTCTAAATAGTAAAATTTGAGAAGCACTGCATTGTATCACACCTGCCTCAGATTACTACTATAGCGACAGGGTAGTCCCACATCTGCCTCAGTTTACCACTGTAGAAACAAGGTAGTATTTCAGGAGGGTGGCTGGTTGACTAGTGGCTTGAGCAGGCCTCACAGGATGAAGTTATTTTGATTATGTCTGTCAGTAACCATATCTGCACTGGTTATATCACATCGGAAAACTCTGACTTGGTTCTTTATGCCAGATTTTAAGATGAAATATTAATAAACTGAGAGGTCCAAGACACATAAAGAAGTGTTCAGATATGTTGAAAACAGGTCTAAGAAGAACTGAAGAGATTATGAATGTATATCTCTGAGAAGAGTTGCAAATAAGGCAGGATAATTTTCTTCAAGTATTTGGAGGGATACCACTTAGAAAGGGGCTGTTTGATTGATTGGATTCATCTTTTCCATTTATTTTTTCTCATTTATCAGATATTTGTGGAGAATCTAATGTGTATCTGTCATTGAAATATACATATCTTCAAAGTATACGTATCTGTCAAAGTATTACCTTTTATTTGTTTTGGGGGGAAAGACTGCATGGTGTTGGAGAAGGAGATAAACATTAAGATTATTGTTGAGAATAAGAAAGACAAGGTGACTGTTCTCAAGGAGATAATAACCCAGGGGTTATATGGCACACAGCACATTATGTGTACAGGTAATATACATGTAAATAAACACATGCCAATATTATTTCAGAAAATGGTAAGTGCCCTCCAGGTGATAGAGACTTGGAGGGAACTAGTTTAGTTCTTGGGGTCAGGCGGTCAAGAAAGGCTTCTCTGAGATGACATTTGAGCTAAATCCTGAGTGACAAGATGGAATCAGCTATGTAAAGGACAGAGGGAGAGCAATCCAGATAGGAAGAAGAGTAAATGCAAAGGCTCTGGGGAAGAATTAAGCCTGGCATGGTCTAGGAGAGTCCTAAATGGGGCAATAAAAGGATGAAATGGCCAAATGTAGCCCTCCCTCCCAGGTTATCTGCAGATTGAATGTGTGTGATGATGGGTATATTTTTCCTCTGTGCTATTCTCAGCTATGGCGGCTGGCTGAAACAGTAACTGATCGGTTACCATGGTTTCCAATGGAGGCAATGTAGCATGTAATTATTATATACAGCTATCATTACTAAATTCAGTACGGCATTTGATGTAATTCAATAAATAATATGAGTCATAACTCTAGAAGGAGGGTGTGACTGCTTACAGGGTAACATTTTTAGGAAAATTACTTAAAATATTTTTTTCATACAGCTTGCTTATCGGGGCACTGATGAATAAAATTTGATAGTTGGTTCTAATTGCTTTTCTCATATCAGAAGAAAAATTGGTAAAAGGAGGTTTCAGGTCTGCCTTGATAGGTAAAGTAGTGTTGATTCAGGTACTAAATGAAGCAAAACCCTTCATTTGGTTTTTAGCATGGTATTTAGTGAATCTCATTTCGTTGGGTTTGTACATCTTTAACAATGAAATAAAAACACACGCTTTGTGAAACATATAATAGAGAAGAGAGAGAGACTTTTAGACAATCTACCATCTCCTCCTTCTCTACAGATTCCAGAGCAAGTTTCCCCAGTTTGTCACTGAGCACTAACTAATTAAGGAGTTGTCACTTTCCTGGCCTTTCCTCAATGTTATGCACACTGCAGGATATAAATGTGGGTATGAGGGTAATCCTTCATTATATATTCAAGGGAACTGCCAAGTGTTTCCATTTGTATTGTTATCATTTGAAGATAAATAATTTCCATTTATTTTAATAAAAGGCAACCAGACATGTATCTGTGTTAGGCTTCTTCATGCCATTGATAAACCCCTCTCTTAATCAATTTTCCCAGTCACTTGCTTTCGGCATTACTGTGTGAGAAAGTGAACGTCTTAACTAAGTCACAAATTGGCACCACCATATGGAAACAGAGAAAGACTGGTGCCAAATTGTTCTTAATATTTTTATAAACTATGTATCCATTTGCTAAATTTTGAGTTCCTCAGGAATAATCCTCTGGAATACTTGTAGGAATCTACTCATTGATACCCCTATATGATAGCCTCTTTTCCTTGTTTTTCTCAAACATATGTATGATATTATATGCTTTTTGTCATTCGAGATGACGTGGGATAGGAATAGAAAAGTACGAGGAAGGGATATTATACACAATTCCTTTTCTCAAGAGGTGTATGGTCTACTTGAGGGAAATGAGAAGCATGCACAGTATAGGCATCAGTAGAAAGAACACACAGACATTGTAGTATATCTGAACTGGGTTTATCACCTTCTCCCATTTTGCTTGTGGTGCCAATTCACCTCCCTGAATTTCTGCTCTCTTTTATATCAAATGGACATACTCAAAACTGGATAATAGTGTACATGCAAAGATTCAATGATAAAAAATATGAAGTTGATAAATACTGTACTTGGCACATAGTGAATGATCAGTAGAAATACAACAAAAAATAAGGATGAAAGTCAAATATTTTACAGAGACATTGAGCACTGTGCAGTTGGGTAGGAAACACGATTGGAATATTTGGGGAAGCCTTCATGGATGAATTAGGATTTAGACTTAGAATTGAAGGGTAGGCATGCTTTAGACATGTGGAAGCAAGGGGACTGTTTCAGGTGAAGGGAATGGCATATGCAAATGTGTGGATAGCTTTACCATTGCATTTTCTATTAATTTAACTTTCTTCAACACTCAATTATGTTAGTATGGAACTGTGTTTTATTTTTTAAACTATGTTTTCATTCCTCTGGGGTCATATTAAGTTGATGTTTTGTTCATTATTTGAAGAATTAGTGAAGACAGTCTGTATTTTCCATCAAGAGCTGAATGAAAATATCCTATGGCACTTCTCCAAAGATTGCTAAGAAAACAATACATGAAGAGGCAAATGGAGGCAAAATTTGGAAAGTGGAAGTTTTCCACAACTGTCTTTCTTTGGCTCATTCTGCTCCTCTGTACCCACTTCCCCACTCCATCCAGTTATTCTTTTATCCAGTAGCTTCTTTTTGTGCCTTGACTGTGTTCTCCCATCCTGGTGAAACAATTGGATACGTGAAGGCCACTGAGCCTAAATGATGTCCGGCTATAAATTTAGTACCACTTAGGGAATATTGGTATTTTCAGAGTCAAGCCAGAAAGAAAAAGCAAACCCTTCATGGTAAGTCCCTGTTTTAGGTGATAACACTTTACTCCTTAAAGTATAGTGCATTGGTGAAAGTCGGCCCCAGCTTTGAGTAAGGCAGGTAAGCTAGACATCTATACTTAAAGTGAGGGGCAGTGGTTGGGCTGAATAAGAATGGATGCCAAATGCATCCATGTAGGCTATCAAAAAGATGATTATAGGATTACATGGACTCTTCCCTTGGGAATGGATCTTCATAGATTTCATATGTTGCAGCTATGAAATCTGCGATAGATAAGTAGCAGCTATGCCTTCAGAGTCGTGGAAGTATGTGTTTCCCTTTCAGCCTCTCCATTGATTGTACTGAGAGATGCTCTGATCAGGATTATGTTGCAAAAGTGAATGGTATTGAGGCCGATCAATATTCAGAATATCTAGTTTGGTGATCTGCAGTAGACACTAATGTACTGACCAGATCTCCCTTCATTAAAGGATGTGTTGTCTGCGCTGCTAGGAGGGATGCTGGCAAACAGTCTTCAATTTTCAGCCCCTTCAAAGATTGCCACAGTTGTGGAGGGCAGTCTTGTCCAAGGTCACTCTCTTTCCTGAGGTGGCTCACATCCGTTGACTGATTGATGTAGGAGAATAGAGGCATGGCCATCTTCGCCCATCTCAGTACCATTTTGTGGGGCCATTCTAGCTCCAGAGCTCCACTTGGGTTTGGCTGAGGCTGTCAGTGGGCCTGCATCGTAGCTCAACATCCCGCTCTGCTTACTGATGTTTCCTTCTCCCCCTCCTATAAGTGTTGCTCCCAAAGACACTCCTCAATAAATGTGCTGCAGTCTAGCTTTCATCTCAGAGGGTGTTTCCTAGGGAACCAAACTTGCAACAGGGTGTTTTCCTTTAGGTTAAGTCAGTCTTCCAACCAATGTAATGTGGGACACTGGTGTGCAATAAATGAGATTAAGTTGTGTTGAGATGTTCATTCTTTCAGCATTCCCAATGGCTGGGCCTAGCCTAGAGTGATGTAAGCCCAGCTGGTCATCTGGAGTCACTAGATGCCTTGACTACTCATCCCAGGTGCTGTGCAAATAGTTATGCCATGCTATTTAAAGGTTGGGTGAAGGCACTGTGTTTTTAGGAATGCTCCAAAGACAAACACACTGTTATTCCTAGGAGATGTCAGTTTTTTTTGTTTGTTTGTTTGTTTGGTTAGACACCATACCTTTAAGGTTGACACATTTATCAGTTAACAGTTGCAAACTTGAAAGGGAGAGCCTAGAATTCTGAGGCACTGAAGATAGGATAGTTAAGTTTTGATTAGGATATAAAAGAAGATGGGAGTCTATATTGAACTTGGAAAAATGTCCAGTTGAGAGGATTATACAAATTATTTACAAATAAATCAAAATATCTAAATGTTCTCTTTTAGACTATTCTCTGCTATTACTTTCTTTTTTCTCTACCACGCACTCAGATTTCTTCATCTCCAAGAGCTGCACATAGCATTTTTCCTAATACATTATATTAATTTCACAGCAGCACTTTAAATAGTGGCACAGCTGCAGTTGTCATTGAACAGAGTATGAAATAACCTTGGAGTATTAACTGTTATTTATTCGTATGGTGGCTCGTGTTTAATTGTGTGTAGGCTTTGCCTTAACTTATAAAAGGTATTTGTATAATCCTCGTTAATAACTGTAATTCCAGAAGTTAAAAGTTATAAGAGTTTACATTTTGATAATTAATGCTGTTCATACTAGTACCTGAAGTACTTTGTAAAAAATAAATTCTAAAGGGCAAAACTGCTATTATTTGGGCTTAAAATATTTGCAGGCTTTGGATAGAAGAAATTATTCCAAACTCACGTGGGGACAGAAAAGTGTTTCTCTTTCTTTACTTTAGCTTCCAACAACGTTGCTTCCTTCGAAACAGGAAAGAATTGAATGGCTGTGTGGGCCAGATAGGGCTAATCTTGTGTATGTTTAAACTATTCTTGAAGTTCTTGCAATATTATATTTTAAGCACACAGTAGTGTGCTGGAACTGGTTCCCATCACCTTGTGAGAACTGACTGTAGCACATATATTTCCATCTCCATATCCAGTGACATTATATTGGTAACTTGAAATTAGCTACGGTGAGAGTATTTATACCACTGCAGAAGTTAACAATCAATTAGGGTTTTCCTCTCTTTAAATCCAAGGGGGCTGGTTTTTAAACATTTGCCAATATACCACTGCCGTCGACTCATATCATTCCCAGCATAAATTACAGTTGTATATGAAATTTAAAAATATCTAATGTAAAAAGCTTAGAAGGATGGGCCTTCACATCCTTTCCAAAGTTCAGATGTATCCAGATCCTGGAATTTTGGTGGAGGCTGAATGAATTCACAAGTTTTGGATAACTTAGGAAATCATGCATCTTGATTCTGTACCTCAGATCTAACATTTTCCAACATTAATGGCTCTTTGTAGGTGTTTTCTGTGGCCAGGTTTAAACTCACTCTAATAAATAAAACAAAAGATTTTCCTCAGGGGGTTGAAGTTACTTTTCTTTGTTTTTGGATTTGAAGGTATTGTACCTGAAATATATAGGAGTGATTTGATTGATTGCTCATGTATGATTAAGCTCACTTGAATTTTAGTGCAAATAGTTTACTTAGCTTTAAGAGTATGGGTTTAGAGTGGAGCTAGAAAGTGATGGTTATCTAGTAGTTGGGGTGGGGGCTGGAGAAGATCATGATCTCCCCCATTCAGATAGGTGGCCAGAAGCCCGGAAATCCGACTTCTGGCGTATGAAGCCACTGTCTTTTCCTCCTCAGGATGTGTGAAGTCCAGCATTGTAATAAAAGATACATCTGAACACATTCAGCTTTGCAGGTGGTATAGCTGCAGTTTTAACACAAAACACGAAACTTTCCATGTATTTTTACTTTCAACTATTGCACCTGGGAGGTCCATAGTCAGGGTATGCCCTCCGCATTGCTCCTCACTGAGCCCCCAATAGTTACCTCGTTAGATATGATTACCTCCATATAGACAGTCCCAAAGTATTATAACAGTGTATTTGATTGTAATATAAATATTTTATTACACAAAACAAATGGGAGCTTAGAGTAATAGAAATAAAATAAAATAATGATACACATTGAAGACTGTGAAATAATAGTTAAAGGGGGCAAAATCACAGGAAATGCCTTTCTCGGAGCCTAATTAACTAAATAGAAAACTGGTTTATTTTTTGCAACTAAAAAAATAAATAAGTAGAAAGCAGAAAAGGAAAATGAGACAAGCTTATGCTGTAAAATTGAAAAGTGACAGAAAAAACCCCAAAACTCTGCATAGTCTAGTGTAGCAGAAAATAACTCAGCAAAGATAGAAATTGAATAAAATCCCAAGAAGTCCCCTAAATACCACTCAATTTTTGGGAAAACATACCAAGGAGATAAATAAGCAATACTGGGAAAAATCAAGAAACATATCTTTCTGACTAATTGCTCTTTTACATTCAATGGCAAAAGAAGCACAATGCTTATTCTTTTCTGAGAAATAGGGCTGAGTTCAGAGAGCAAGCTGGGTGGACTGGGAGTTGGTACAGGATTTCAGAAGAGAAAGCAGAGCTCAAATTTCCCGATGACTGTTTAAAAGAGTTCTAATGAAATGTTAACTACTCGGAATCCATTTCCATAAACCCAGGAAGGATTGAAAACACTCAAATTGAAGCTCAGACAAGCAGGAAAAACAACAACAACAAAACAAACAAACAAAAAAACCAAAACCCTGAAATAAAGTATGAATGGTGTCAAGGGGAATTCACTCAGAAATGTATCTGGACAAAAAGAAAGTATAAAATATATTAAATATGAGACAGATGAAAAGAAGTAAAATAGAAGCTCTAATAGAATGGAACAAAAATAGAAAACGAAAATCAGTAATAGAAAGAGGGAAAAAATGAGTGAAAAGAGCCAGGAAGAGCAAAACCAGAAGAATCTAATCTTGAATAAAATGCAAACTAGGATACAGAAGAAAGTATTCCAAAATTGTTCATGCTACAGAAGAATTCACAAAGAATATTCATCAAGTTAAAATAGAACTACAAAGATAAGAAGATACAAAAGAGTAAGATGTAAAAGGAGATTGAACAATAAGTAAGCAAATTGAGAACTAAGCACAAGTTATTAGCTTATACATAAATGAGAAAGACACAGCTGAAAATAAAACTTCCATACAAAATCTGGAGCGAGAAAAGATTTAGAGATATAGTAGAGGAAAATTTTTTAGAAACAAAGAAAAATAATCCCTTGAAACTTAAGGAAACACACTTCATAGCAGGAAAAATTATTTGCAATTAATGACACTGAGACATATTTTGATTCACTCATTGTGCTTAAGAATAAAGAAATAATTTTTAAGTAATCACAGGTCTTCAGATATCCAGGGGAAAAATTAGTTGATTCAGAGGGAGAAAAAAAAAATCAGGGTAGTCACTATTATTCAAGAAGTAGTTAATTTCTTCATCCAAATAAAAAGATTGGTATAGTTACTTTTAATTTCAAGATTAAAAAAATGGTCTAGGGAAAGTAAATGGCATACTTGGAGTTACAGATCAATAGCAGAGTTTATACTAGAACCCAGATGTTCTGATTTGTGGTCAAGCATTTGGAATATCAAATATGTAGCTTCTTTCATCCATATGCAATGTGCCATAAAACTTTTCTTTTTTCTGTATCTTAATTTGCTTTTGATTACCTTGGCCCTCCTCATTCAGGAAAGCCATTATAGGCATTAAAATGAGATATACAGTGAAATATCATGATTTTCTGGAAAGATAGTACTTTCTAGACACTATGAGTTTATAACTGTTACTAGGTAAGAGTAGTTCAGAGTAGAGGCCAGAGAAAGGCAAGTGCAGTTCAGTGTCAGGGGCATGGACAGTAGAATTTGACCTAGAAGAAAGCCCATGATCAACCTTCTAAGGGACTCAGGAGAAGAAAACTACGGAAACGACAGTTTTTAAATTCAATGGAGAAAAGATATCATACGGAAAAGGCAGCATTTATTTTTTATTAATCTCTCTAGGCTCTGTTCAGATAATGATCCAATTATATCAGTCACCTTGGATAGAGAACATAAAAGCATAACACTACAGAGCAGCCTGAAATTATAGTTACTGGTAGCCGTGTCTTGCCCCCCTAGACCCCATTTATGCACTGACATTAGATCATCTTTGTTATTTGTAAGTTGTTGTAATACTTTTTGTTGTGAGATTTTTACGTTTGAAATGAAGAAAAAAAATAAAGCACTAACCTTTACTAACCTACCATGAGCTGTGTTTTAGGAATTGCCTTTTGGAGTAAAGTGTACATTCTCTATTCATGCTCTGTTTTTTTTCTGTCTCTGTGACTGAGGGAGAAAAAAACTTCATAAAGGAAAGACAGTGTCCTTTAGGAATTACTATCATGACCTTCTGTGTGAAATATATATAGGCTTTGTAACAGCCTATGGATCTATTAAATTTCTTTGCTGATAGCAGCAGTATTTAAAAAATACTTCAATTGCACTATTCCTTTCTTGCTACAGCTCAAGACTGAAGAAGCTGAAGTCATCGTGCATAATGGCTGTCACACACAGGTCACATGATAAGGAGCTCAAATCTAGCTACTAACTAATTGGAATGTCTGTTTACCCAAAAGACAGGCAGATTCCTGCCAAAGTGTATCTCTAAGTTTGTGATGGTGTGAGCATGTTCCTGTATACAAGGAAAGAAAAGCATTTGCCACTAAGAGGACAGATTAAGTTTTAGGTATTCGAATAGCTTTTGTAAGGTCTACTAGTATTATTTTTCCCTGCTTAGCTGAAATGTTGTTGGTTATTATACTTTTGAATATAAATTATATTGTAGTTAAAAGTGTCACTTTTTTTTTTCCATAGGAGCTGGAACAGATGAAATTACACTTTACTATAATTGAATATTTCTGTAAGAAATGTAAAAATATTTTTTTGTGTAACTGCAAGTACACATGTGAATTAAATATGAGTCTTAATAAGGTATTACATCTATCTAGTTAAGTAAAAGTAAAAATTATGAATTACTACTTAAAATGAATCAATAGCTTTAGAGTTTGAAAAACTAATAACCCAACATTAATCATTTATTCATTAATCAATCAATCAATTATTCACCAAAAATTGTATTAAGCACCTACTATGTGCCAGGCTAGAATTGTACTAGTAAAAAAGACAATCCATGATCTCACAGGCTTTCCAGTCTAATGCGTTAAAAAGTAAGTCCTAAACAAAGAGCCAAAGAGTATAAAATGTCTAGGGATCTCTGGTACTGGATAAGAGTAAACAACTTCACTCTGTGTCTCCCAGTGAATATGGCTGTAAAAGTTGGAATGAATTCATGGAGCAGGTATTTGAGGGGTCTGAAATATAAACAGTAGCAGGCGAAAGCGGAAAGAAGACAAGAATTAAAAGTAGCACTGAGCTGGCAGTGAGTTTATCCCGTTTTTCCTTCAGTATCTGCCAGCATGAAGACAAGGCAACCTGGAACCTGGAAGCAGGCTTGGGGTAAAGAGAGAGAGCTCCAGAAGAAGACCTCTATTTCTGGCTCTAGAAGCAGGAAAATGGTCTTCTAATGCTCAGAGTTGGGGAATCGCCTACTTTTTTTTTCTTTTCTCTTTTCTCTCACACCTCAGCCCAAGCAATCCAATGACAGCAGGGTGGGTAGATGTAATAGAGAAAAAAACCGACAGTAGCCTAAAACACTGAGAGAGGAGAACTTTTCTCTGTGATGGGAGAAGCTGAGATCCCAAGAAGGTGTGGCAAACTCCTATTGAAATTTTTCTTTCTCTGTCTTCTGGTCACTTGTCCCTAAACACAGCACAGGTGGCAGGAAATGTGCACCAAGGTAAGGTAAATAAAACTTCAGATTTCTGGCTAGAGGACCACAAACAAGAGCCCCAGGGAACCAGAATGTCCTGGGGAGATGGTGGAGAGGGAATAGTTTGGGAAAATAAACCTCTTAAAGTTCTTGATGAGCTCTCAAACTCACCGATGACTGTGCATGCTCACATAGGACCTATACAGCCGAATAGACCACTGCCTAGGTCACAGACTGGCCACTTGGCGGTGCAGATGAGGGACAGTTCCAATCAGCACTGAAAAGGCTTTGAAATTGGAACCCACATTGAAAGCACAACCTACAGAAGGCTGGCAAGAACTTGTGGCCTCAACCTAACTGGGTCAATTACCTGCTAAAACAATAATATCAACATTCTCCATATGATTTAAACAAGATCCAGAAGCCCATAATATGATATTCAAAATGTCCAAGATATAATGCAAAATTACTCAGTATACTAGGATCATTTTACGTGCATGAGAAAACATAATCAACACATACCAGCACTGATATTATATAATTGTTGGAATGTTCTGACAGAGACGTTAAAGCAGCTATTGTGAAAATGCTTCAAGTAAGTAAGGATGAACGCTGTTGAAAAAATGGAAAGAAAACCTCAGCAAAGAAATCGAAAATATACAGAAGAACCAAGTGTATACTTTTAGAATTGAAATATAAAATAACCAAAGTTAAAGAAAAGAAAAACTCACCAGAATAATTTAACAGCAGAATGAAGGCGAGAGAGAAAAGGAATCAGTGAATTTGAAAATAGGTCAGAAGATACATCAGTAAAAATGATCCACTTTGAACATTTGAGTAAAAAAGACTTTTAAAGAATGAAAAGAGCCTCAGGGACCTGTGGGAGAATAACAAAAAGTCTAACATTTGGGTCATTGGAATTCAAGAAAGGAGAAAGAGTAATATGCAGAAAAAATATTTGAGGAAGCAATGAACGGAAACTTCCCAGATTTGGTGAAAGACAAACCTACTATAGATTCAATACTGTAGATTTAAGAAGTTTAGTACATCCCAAATAAGATAAATGCAAAGAAATCCATACCCAGACACGTCATAATGAAACTGCTGGAAAATAAAGTCAAATAAAGAATCTTGAAAAAAATCAGGGAAAAATGGCACATTACTTTTTTTTTTTTTTTTGAGATGGAGTCTCGTTCTGACGCTCAGGCTGGAGTGCAGTGGCGCAATCTCAGCTCACTGCAGCCTCCATCTCCCAGGCTCAAGAGATCCTCCTGCCTCAGCCTCCTTAGTAGCTGGGATGACAGGCATGTGCCACCATGCCTGGCTAAGTTTTGGATTTTTAGTGGAGACCAGGTTTTGCCATGTTGGCCAGTCTGGTCTTCAACTCGTGACTTCAGGTAATTTGCCCACCTAGGCCTCCCACAGTGCTGGGATTACAGGTGTGAGCCAGTGCACCTGGCCAGGCACATAGCTTTTTAGAGAATAATGATTCAACCAAGAGCTGATTTCTCATTAGAAACCATGGATGGCAAAAGGAATTGGAACAACATTTTCAAAGTTGTGAAAGAAGAGAATTATCAACCCAGAATTTTACATCAAGCAAAAATAATCCTTCAGAAATAATGGCAATCTCAGATGAAGTATAAAGAGAATTTTTTGCCAGCAGAACTACCTCTGGAAGAATTGCTAAGGGAAGATGTTCAGAAAGAAGGAAAATAATACCAGAAAGAAACTTGCAACATTAGGAGCGAAAAGAAAGAGAAATTGCAAATATCCAAGTCAGTATCATTGGCTCTCATTATTTTATTGCATTACTTAAATATTTTTGATAAATGAAAGCAAAAACTATAATGCTTGATGGGTTTTTAATATTTGTCAGTGTTATACATAAGAGAGTTACAACATAAAGGAAACAGAGTAAAGGGACTTATATGGTGAAAAGCTTTCTACAGACCACTTGTAGTGGTAGAACGTTGATTCTATGTAGATAATAATAAGTTTAGTATAAATGTTATAATTCCTATAGCAACCACTCAAAAATTATATAAGAATATACGGGCTGGGCGCAGTGGCTCACGCTTGTAATCCCAGCACTTTGGGAAGACGAGGCAGGTGGGTCACCTGAGGTCAGGAGTTCAAGACCAGCCTGACCAACATGGTGAAACCCTGTCTCTACTAAAAATACAAGAAATTAGCCGGTTGTGGTGGCAGATGCCTGTAATCCCAGCTACTCGGGAGGCTGAGGCAGGAGAATCGCTTGAACCTGGGAGGCGGAGGTTGTAGTGAGCTGAGATCGCACCACTGCTCTCCAGCCTGGGCAACAAGGTGAGACTCCGGCTCAAAAAAAAAAAAAAAAAAAAAAAAAAAAAAAAAAAAAAAGAATACACAGTAAAAAGTAGAGAAATTAAAATGGAACACTAAAAAGTTAAAACAACCTAAAAGAAGACAGAAAAGAAGGAGCAGAGGAATAAAAAAAAGAAGGAAAAATTGAAAACAAACCACAATTACAGTTGGAGACTTCAATAATCTTCTCTCAATAATTGATAGAACTCAGACAGAAAATCAACAAAGTTATAGGAGAATGTGAAACATCATAAATTAATAGTGTATAATTGACATTTATAGAGCACTCCTCTAATCAACAGGAGAATGCACGTTCTTCCCAAATGTACATGGATCATTTATCAAGATAGAATATATCATAGGACATAAAACAAAACTTAACAAAATTTTAGGCCTGAAATCATAAAAGGTATGTCAATTTATTCTCTAACAATAAAAGAATTAAGTTAGACATAAATAACAGAAAGGTAAGAGTAAAAATCTCCAGTCATGTGGAATTTAAAGAGCATACTCCTAAATACTTCATGAGTCAAAGAGGAAGTCTCAACAGAAGTTAGAAAATATTTTGAACTCAACAAAGATGAAAATACAACCGATCTAATTTGTGACATTTAGGTAAAGTAGTACTTACAGGGAAATTTGCAGCATTAAATGCTTATATTAGAGAAGAGGGAAGTTCCAAAAATCAGTAACCTAAGCTTCCGTCTTATGAAACTAGAAAAGAAAGAGCAAAATAAACCCAAAACAACTAGATGGAAAGAAGAACAAAGATAAGAGGAAGAATCAATAAAATTGAAAGCAAAAAATAAAGAAAATTAATGAAATACTTGTTATTGTGAAAAGATGACTAAAATTGATTGAAACTACAGTAAGACTTAATAAGAAATAAAGACACATATCACCAATATCCAGGAATGAAAGAAGAGATTTCACTGCACACTCTACATACATTAAAGGGGTAATAAGGGAATACTATGAACAATTACACAAACATAATTTACATGAAATGGAGAATTTCTCAAAACTTACAAGTTGCATATTAATGTTTGCTGAAGATGAAATAAATAACCTGATAGTCCCATAATCATTAAAGAGATTGAAGTCATAGTTAAATTTTTCCAAAAAGAAAATCTATAGGCCAAGATGGTTTCACTGGTAAACTTTACCAAACATTTAAGGAAGAAGTAGCACCAATTGTACATAGTGCCTCTCAGAAAATTGCAGAGAAGAGAATACTTCCTTCTAAAATAGATTTAATGAGGCTAGCATTACCTTAATATTAAAACCATACAAAGTCAGTACAAATGAAAAAATAAAAGTATATATTAATACCCCCATGACCAGAGATCCAAAAATCCTCAAAAAAATATTAACAAATAAAATCCAACAATGTATAAAGGGAATAATACACCACAACCAAAAGGGCTGTGTCTCAGGAATGCAAGACTTAACATTTGAAAATTAATCAGTGAATTCCATCATATTAACAATCTAAAAATCTAAAAAGCACAGTTATATCAATTGACATAGAAAAAGCATTTGACAAAATTCAACATCCATTCATGAGAACAACACTCAGCAAACTAGAAATAGAAGGGAGTGTACTCAATGTGATATAGGATCAGGAATAAGACAAATATGTCCACTCTCACTACTCCTATTCAATATTGTACTGGAAATACTGGGTAGTGTATAAGGAAATAAAAAGAAATAAAAGGTATATAAATCTAAAGAGAAGAAATACAACTGTCTCTATTCCAAAATGACGTCACTGTTTATGGAGAATAGTCCGGGGAATCTATAAAGACTTCCTAGAACTAATATATGAGCTTGATGTGGTCATAGGCTACTAGGTCAAAACACAAAAAAGTCAATCATATTTTTATATCCTGCTTAGCAATAAATAATTGGAAACCGAAATTTGTGAAAAATATCATTTTTAATAGCTCCAAAAAATGAAATATGTATGTATAAATCTAACAAATCATTTAAAAGATATGTATGTTGAAAACAAAATGCTGATCAATGAAATCAAAGAAGATCTAAATAAATGAAGAGACTCTGTGTTCATGGATTTGAGGGCTCAACATAGTAAAGATGTCAATTTTCCCCAAGTTGATCTATATATTTAACACAATTTCAATCAAAATCTTAGCAGGAATTTTTGTAGATATGTTAGTTTTTTACTGCTGTATATCCAATTACCCCAAAATGTTGTGACTGAAAACAATATGCATTTATTATCTCACAATTTCTGTAAGTCAGGAATCTGGACATGGATTCCTATTATACATTTCTGACAGGCTGCAATCAAGATGTAGGCTGGGCTAATCTTAACTCTTGACTGGAAAAGGATCCACTCCCAAGCTCATGTACTTATTAACAAGATTCAGTTATATGTGGGCTATTTGACTAAGGGCCTCAATTCCTATATGGTTGTTGCCTAGAGGCCTTTCTCATTTCTCTAACATGTGGGACTCCCCAACATGCCAATTCGTGTCATCAAAGCTAGCAAGAGAGAGAGTCTGTTGTCAAGACAGCAGACAGATTCTTTTTAAACTTAATAATAGAAGTGACATTCCCTCAACATTGCTGAATTCTGTTTTGAGGAGCAAGTTACCTGGGGAGAAATTACACAAGGCTGTGAACACCAGGAGGCGGGGACACTGGGGGGCTTCTTAGAAGCTGCCAATCAGAGTAGATATAGACAAACGGATTTTAAAATTTTTATGGAAAGGCAAAGTTACTATAATATCTAAAATAAATCTGAAGGAAAGTAAAAAGGTGAAGCAAATATACTACCCATTTTTTAGACATATGAAAAAACGACGGTAATCGGGGCAATGTCATTTAGCCTCAAAAACAGATGAATAGATCAATGCAATAGAATAGAGAGTCCAGAAATGGACCCATACAAATATGGCCAATTGATTTTTGACAGAGGTGCAAAAATAGTTCAATGGAGAAAACATCCTTTTTAACAAATGGTATTGAAACTATTGGACATCCATATGCAAAAAAATAAACCTTGAAATAAACCTCACATCTAATAAAATTAACTTAAAATGGAGCATAGACTGCCAGGCCTTGTGGCTCGTGCCTCTAATCCCAGCACTTTGGGAGGCCAAGGTGGGCAAATCACCTGAGGTCGGGAGTTCGAGACCAGCCTGACCAACATGGGGAAACCCTGTCTCTATTAAATACAAAATTAGCCGGACGTGGTGGCGCATGCCTGTAATCCTAGCTACTTGGCTAGGGCAGGAGAATCACTTGAACCCGGGAGGTGGAGGTTGCAATGAGCCGAGATCACACCATTGCACTCCAGCCTGGAGGGGAACAAGAGCGAAACTCAAACTCCTTCTAAAAAAAAAAAAAAAAAAAAAAAAAACGAAAACCATAGACTTAAATGTAAAATGGAAAATTACAAAACTTTTAGAAGAAAGTATAGGAGAAACATTTTCATAATGTGGGATTAGGCAAAGAGTTCATAGACCAAACACCAAAAGTATGAACAATTGAAGAAAAAAATTAACAGAGTGGACTTCATCAAAATTAAAGACTGTTCCTCTGTGAAAGACATTGTTAAGAGAATGAAAAGGCAAGCTAAAGTCTGGAAAAATATTTACAAATCACATACCTAACAAATTATTTCTATTCAGAATAATTAAATAATTATAATAACTCAACATTAAGAAAACAATTTTAAAATTTGCAAAACTCTTAGAAGGCAAGCCCAGTGAGGTTGCCAGATATAAGATCAACAAGCAAAAATTAATTACATTTCTGTATGCTAGAAATAAACCTATGGAAGAAAAAATTTAAAATGCATATAATTTATGATAGCCCCCAAAATATGAAATACTTAGTAGGTATTAATCTAACCAAACGTGCAGACTGAGCGCTGAAAATTATAAGATTTACCTGTGTAACAAACCTGCACTTCCTGCACATGTATCCTGAACTTAAAATAAAATTAAAAAAAAAATTCATGAATGAAATCAAAGAAGATCTAAATAAATGAACAACCATAGAGTGTTCATGGATTCAGAAGACCCAAGATAATAAATATATCAATTCTTTCCAAATCTAGATTGAACACAATTACTAGCAAACTCCCAGAAAAAGTTTTTTTGTAGATAGATAATCTTATTTTAAAATTAATATCGAAAGGCGAAGGAGCCAGACTAGCTAAATTAGTTTTGAAAAAGAAGAAATTAAATCTTATTATATAGCTACAGTAAGCAAGACAGTATGGTATTAGTGGAAGGATGTACACATAGATCAGTGGAATTGAATATAGAATCTATAAATAGATCCACAGTTGTACAGCCAACTGTACTTTTGTACAAAAGTGCAAAAATCCTTTTCAATGGAGGAGAGACAGTCTTTTTAACAAATGGTGCTGAAGCAATTGGATAGCTATAGGTTAAGAAAATATAAGCCTTGATGTAAACTTCACAACTTATACAAAAATAAATTTAAAATGTTTCAGGGGTTTAAATGCGAAACTATAAAACTCTTAAAAGAAAACATAGGAGAACATCTTCAGGACTTAGGGCTAAGTGAAGAGATTTGAGAGACAACAACTGTATAATTCATAAAAGAAAAAGTTGATAAATTGGACTTAATCAAATTTAAAAACATTTGTATTGTTAGGGATCCTGTTAAGAGGACGAGAAGACAAGCCACAGACTGGGAGGTTGCATTTGAAAGTCATATGCACAATAAAGAACTGGCAGCTAAAACATATTAAGAATACTCAAAATTCAACTCTAAAAAATAGTTCAATTGGAATATATGCAAAATACATGAACAGGTATTTCAGAAGAAAAGGGGATACAGATGGCCAAAAAAGTATGTGAAAAGATATTCAACATCATTCACCATTAGAGAAATGCAAATTAAAACTACCACAATATATACATCTATTAAAATGGCTAAAATAAAAAAAGTGATAAAACCAAATGATAGCAAGGGTACAGAGAAATGGGACCTCTCTTACATTGCAATGGGAAATCGAAAATAGTTCAGGCACTCTGGAAAACATTTTTGCAGTTTCTTGTAAAACAAAACACACATTTACCACACAAATCAGCAGTTGCTCTCCTCGGCATTTCTCCCAGAGAGATGACAACTTATGTTCACACAAAAACCAGTACATGAATGTTCATAGCAGCTTCATTTGTAATATCCCCGAACTGTAAACAACCCAAATGTTTTTCAATGGGTGATTGGTGAAACAAACTCTGGCACATCCATACCATGGAATACTACTCAGCAATAAAAAGAAACAAAGTATTGATACATGTAACAACTTCGATGAATCTCTAAGGCAATATTTTTAGAAAAAAAAAAGACAGTCTCAAAGGTTGCATAATGTATGTTTCCATTTATATTACATTCTGAAAATGACAAAATATTAAGTTGAAGAACAGATTAGTGGTTACCAGAGGACAAGAACAGAGGGTGGGGGATTGGTGAGATTAGAAAGCAGTAGCATGAGGGAGTTTCATCTGGGAGATGGACCAGTCTGTATCTTGATTTGTCAACAGTGACACGAACCTATACATGGGATCAAACTGCCTAAAACTACGCATACACACAAATGATTGCTCATAAAAACTGGTGAAAACTGAATAAGGTCGATAGTTTAGCTAACAGTATTCTACTAGTGTTAATTTCCTGGTTTTGATATTGTACTATAGTTATTTAAGATGTCACCAATAAGGCAAGCTGGTCAAAGTATTTATAGAACTCTATGTCCCATTTTTGCAACTTTTTCTACGTTTTTAAATATTTCATAAAAGGCTAAAAAATATTGAGCTAAAGAAACCACACACAAATTAATGGGCAAAGTCTTGAATAGATACTTCATCAATGAGGATATATGGATAACAAAAGTTCGCATGAGAAGGTGGTCAAAATCATCCATTGAGAAATGCAGGTTCAAACCATGGTGAGATACCACTACACACCCATTAGAATGGCCATAATAAAAAATGGTGACCATACTGAGTGCTGGCCAGGATCCAAAGATGAGTAGTCCTACTCATTGCTGGTGGAATGAAAAAAAAAAAAAAAATTGGTACCACCGCCACCACTTGGGAAAACATACACTTACATATGACTTAGCAATCTCCCTTTTAGGTACTTACTCTAGATAAATGAACATTTATGTTCACAATAAAAGCTGTTTAGGATTATTCTTAGCGGCTGTTTGTGATAGCAAAAACTAGAAACAATCCAGGTCTTTTTCACGAGATGAGTGGCTACAAAATCCTTAGAACATTCATACAATGGAATACTACTCAGTTTTAGGTATTATCTACTAAAATTATGTATACCTAAATTAGGTATTACCTAAAATTACCTACTGATTTTAGGTAGTGATTATGTGCTAAGGAAGAGAGATAAATCAGGGAAATGTAATGGAAGCTGTTGAGAGGGTGGCCAGGGAAGGCTTCACTGAGAGGTTGGTTTTAGAGCAGATGTCTGAGGGAGGAGAGGGAATGACCCAGTTATCTTCCTGCAGGAAGATATTTTCAGGCAGCGGGAACAGCAATTGCAAAGCTCTGAAGCAGAAATATGTCAAGAGGTTGAAGACAGAAAAGGTCAGTAAGACAGGAGTCAGAGTAAGCAATGGAAAGGGAGGGAGGAGATGAGTAGAAAGAGGTAACAACAGGTAGCCGGGCAGATTTGCTGGATGAATGTGTCAATGAATCAATAGAAAAAATTTTGTCATTCTTCTACAGTACATGTTAAGGTTTTATCATCTTTATTTTGGAGGGAAAATCCCTTTTATGTCCACCTTGATTCATTAGTATGCAGTTGAATACTGCTACTTTAGCTTGATCCACATTTCAAATGGAGTCGTTATTCCTTACTTGATTATCATCATATTCAGCAATTGAAGTTGATTATTAAATTATTCCTAAGTTTTCAAATTGTTTCTCTGCAAAGATATTATTTTGCAACCCTATTTTCACTTTGTCATTCTTGTTTCTGAATTCTTTGATGATTCTTTCCCAGTCCCTCTTCTGTGATGCAATCCTGGAAGGACTTGAAATTTTATTAGGAATCTGACCTAAGTTGTACACAGAGACCAGTATATACTCTACTCCAAGTTTAAGGAACACAAAATTAAAGCCCATAGCCCAAACTTTTCTGAGAATATGAATGCTTATGAGTTTTAGAGACAGTTACTTTTTTATGAATACTCAGCTCTTGATACTGCTGCTTGGTGTGGAAACTGAGCACCGTTTCTCTAATTTGAACTTTTGAGGGACACTTTGCTCTCCTTGCAGCCTAAATGCTGAATATTTATGAATTTTTAATACATGGAACTCCTAAACATAGCTGAAGAAAAATCAAAATGATAAGGGATCATCCAAATTGCAAATCTTTTTCAGATGTTTCAGAAAAGATCTCGTTTCAGTATATGAATAATGATGTGTAATATAGAAACCATTTATTTCACTAAGAGTTAAAACAACATATATCAAGAGGATAAAATGCCACTTTCCCAACTTCTGTAGCTGGGGCAAAGTCTTGAATGAACTGCTGGGCATTTCTTTTAGTGTCAAGGAAGAAGGGGGACCATTTTCACGGCAGCAATAGGTATGAAACCAAAAAATTAAGTACCACCACACTGAAGGAGAAGAAGGGAACTCCTTACAGATTCATTTAGTGCGTTTATCGCCCTGTCTTCAGGGTGGTCCATGCTGAGGATATGCCAGGCAGATAAAAGTCTACCTTATTTTTAAAAGCAGATTTCTTTTTCCAGGAAGAAATTCTCTGTGGGAGGAGCATTGCCCATGGATCAGTAAATAAGCACAACAGGAATGGCTGCTTTACAGGGAATGTTTTCTCTTTGGGGATTCTGTGAGGTAAACTCAGTAGACTGGTTTTTATTAAGTGCCAAAAGAAAAGGTAAGGTTGTACATATAAATTCTTGCTGCTATCTTTTATGTAGAAGTATATACACACGCACGTATGTGTGCATGTGTCTGTGTATACACAAATACTATGTAGAACCCACAGGCCTCACCTTACCTCTAGGAGTAGGAGGACATATTCTGGGATGTGGTTTTGGGGATCTCAGGAAGAATTTCTTAACCTAGAAACACCTTCACAACTCCAGAGTTGATGTTTGAAATTTCAACACTAGCACTTTGTTTCTTTAAAGTCTTTTTTTTTTTCACTTGAATGCTGCCTCCTCTATTATCACTGAAAACTTTTCTATATTATCATCTAATTGTGAAAGAATTTCATAGTATGTCCAGATTTTAATAAGGAAAAGAAAAAAATGTCCAAAAGACAGACTTGGAACAAAGTTTCAGAATGAGGAGATTGGGCCCTAAATATTATCTATGTCTTGAAATGAATCTGCTTGGAGTAATATATTAATAGTGTGTATTTATTGAGAACATCACTGCATGCTAAGTAGACTACAGCAATTCTGTGAGATACATTAGTTTCCTGGGAAAACTTTCTGACAAATGATCATTTTATATTTGTATGAGAGATATAATTTTACCTTTTAAAATTATCCTTCACAGTTTTTTATTAGTCAGGGTTCTCCAGAGAAACAGAACCAACAGGATATGGTTGCGTTTTAGTGTGTGTGTGTGTTTGTGTGTGTGTGTGTAGAGATGGGGGGCGCAGAGACAGAGAGAGAGTAAGCAAGAGCAAGATTTATTTTGATGAGTTGGCTCGCATGATTGTGGGTGCTTGGTGAATCCAGAATCTGATGAGGTAAGCAGGCAGGCTGGAGACTTAGGGAGGAGTTGCAGTTTGAATCCCCAGGAAGTGTCCTGGCTGAATTCCTTCTTGCTTGAGGGAGGTCAGTCTTTGTTGTCGTAAAGTCTTCAACCAGTTGGATGAGACCCACATACATTATGGAGGGTAATCTGTTTTACTCAAAATTCACCAATTCAAATGTTAATCTCTGATATGATTAGGCTTTGTGTCCCCACCCCAATCTCAGCTTGAATTATAATCCCTATGATCCCCACATGTCAAGGGAGAGATCAAGTGGAGGTAATTGGATCACGGGGGCAGTTTCTTCCATGCTGTTCTTGTGATAGTGAGTTCTCACAAGATCAGATGGTCTTTAAGGGGCTCTTTTCCCTTCACTCAGTACTTCTCCTTCCTGCCGCCTTGTGAAAAAGGTGCCTTGCTTCCCCTTCACCTTCTGCCATGATTGTAAGCTTCCTGAGGCCTCCCCAGCCATGCTGAACTGTGAGTCAATTAAACCTCTTTCCTTTGTAAATTACCCAGTCTTGGGCAGTTCTTTATAGCAGTATGAAAATGGACTAATACAATCTCAAAAAAGAAATGTTACTCTCTTCCAAAAAAATGCCTTCACAGAAACATCCAGAATAATGTTTGATCAAATATCTGAGCACCATGGCTCAGCCAAGTTGACATATAAAGTTGGCCATTGCAAATTTACTAGCAATTTTGCTTATTGTTTATTAATATTCTTCATGTTCTTACAAAAGCAGTTAATTTACTCTCTTCGTTAGGATATTTAATAGGTCAATGCGCAGGATATTAAATTCTTTTTAATGAGTATATATATAGCAGATAAAAATGTTGAAAACTCATAATGTAAGGTTGTAAAAGTTAGGACATAAAATGTAACTTTTCAAAAAAGTCTAGATAAAAATGCAGTGTAGGGATATTTGTGATTTATGAGGTGCATTTGATGTTAAAATATTACAGATTCTAATTCTAAATGATGACATGAAACTATTTCTAGCTATTTCCAAGACCACTTCCAGCACTAAATGTGGTGACGGAAACTCAGGGGAACTCTCTCACTTAGAAATTTATTAGAATTTACCAATTACTTGTGATGAGTAATTTTTTTTTGGTGGAGCCCAGGACTGAAGTAGGCCCATGCATGGACCTGCTGACATTTTCCCATGGAAGTCTTAAGAAAACCAGCCTGGAGTTTTTCCATAGTTAGATTCTCATCTCCTAGTGACATTTTATCATAAAAGTAACCCAGGCATGGTTAGTGGCCCTCAAGAGGGTAAAGTTCGCCAGTAATACCTGCATATAAATAGTCAATTATACAGAAGAAATGGTTCAAATGGATTCTTCCGAGGAGGAATAAACTTTGAAATGAGAAAAGAACAATGCCTAGATATTCTTTGTATAAGAAATTGAGGGACTGTTGTGGGGTGGGGGGAGGGGGGAGGGATAGCATTGGGAGATATACCTAATGCTAGATGACGAGTTGGTGGGTGCAGCGCACCAGCATGGCACATGTATACATATGTAACTAACCTGCACAATGTGCACATGTACCCTAAAACTTAAAGTATAAAAAAAAAAAAGAAACAATTACTAGTCTCTAAAAAAAAAAAAAAAAAAAAGTGGCCCTCAAAGCAATATCAAACTGGCCTCCTGAGAGTTTACTACTTGCTATAAATTGCCTAAATTTTTAAATGTTAATGTCTGTGTCACATTTTGGGATTCCTTCTTTATGCAATGAATAGCTAACAGCTACATTAGTGAAGAAAGAGGATATATTGTAAATTGTGGGGAAACCTATACTAATCTTCCCCCTTATGCCAGATTTGTATTTATTATTTCATTTATATGTGCCAAACACTATGCAGATAGAATTTATGGGGGTTGTGGGGCTTTTTAAACATCAGTCTTATACAGTCAATTTAAGAAAATCTTATGAATGGTTTTATGTATGTATGTATGTATGTATTTATTTATTTAGAGACGGAGTCTCACTCTGTCACCTAGGCTGGAGTGCAGTGGTATGATCTTGGCTCGCTGCAACCTCCGCCTCCCGGGTTCAAGTGATTCTCCTGCCTCAGCCTCCCAAGTAGCTGGGATTATAGGTGCCCGCCACCACGCCTGGCTAAGTTTTTGTATTTTTAGTAGAGACATGGTTTCACCATGTTAGCCAGGATGGTCTCGATCTCCTGACCTCGTGATCCACCCGCCTTGGTCTCCCAAGGTGTTGGGATTACAGGCGTGAGCCACTGTGCCCAGCGGAATGTGTTTTATTTAGTAATGAAAATAAAGCAACTGGTCTTATAGAGCAGTGGTTCTCAAAATTCAGAATTGTTTGATGGGTTTGTTCAGATGCAGATATCTGGGTGCTACAAACAGTATTTCTGATTCAGTAGGTCTTAGGTGGGGCCTGAAATTTGGAATTTTAACAAGTTTCCAGGTGATTCTAATGCTGCTGGTTCTGGGAGTAGACCTTGAGAACCAGTGCTGAGGATTGAACACTTTTCAGCATTGTGAGCTATTGACCTCAAAGAAATCCCTCCAAAGACAAATGCCAGATTCTCCCTTGTCTAAAAAGATCTTAAATGATAGGGGAAATAACTATTTAGGCTATTAATGCAAGATTGTAAATTATTATTATGTATACCATAGTTAGATAAATTTTCAAATTTTCAACTTGAAAGTTTAGGCTTGATCTCTCCTTGTCACCAAATAATGATGCTCAGAGAAAAACCATGACTTAAAACAGAACTACCATTTGACCCAGCAGTCCCATTATTGGGCCTATACCCAAAGGAAAATCTTCCTACCAAAAAGACACATGCACTTATGTTCATCACAGCACTGTTCATAATAGCAAAGACATGGAATCAATCTAAGTGCTCATCAACAGTGGATTGGACAAAGAAAATGTGGCTCATATCCACCATGGAATACCATATAGTCATAAAAAAGAGTGAAATCATGTTCATTGCAGCAACATGGATGCAGCTGGAGGCCATTATCCTAGGCTAATTAAGGCAGACACAGAAAACCAAATACCACATGTTCTCACTTATAAGTGGGAGATAAGCATTGTATGCACTTAGACGTAAAGATAGGAACAATAGACACTGAGTACTACAAGAGAGGAGGGAGGGAGGGGAAAGGGCTAAAATACTACCTATGGACAAACTCTTTATGTATTTTTGACTTAACGATATTTTCAACCTATGATAGGCTTTTTGGAAGATAAACTCATCATAAGTTGAGGAGCACCTGTATATATTTTACTAATGTTTAAAGCTGTAGTTGCCTTCAGCTGAGGACCTGGCTACATAAGTGTGACCCTCAGATCACCAACATCAGCATCATCTGGGAAACGCGTAATCCTGTACCCTATCCCAGATCCAGAGTTCAAATCTGCATTTTAACAAGATCTCCAGGTGGTTCATTTTCAATCAATATTTGGGAAGACCTGCTGTAGGAATAATTTCTTAAGAAATAATACTGGTGATTTCAATGCAGAAGCAGAAACTTTTAAAACACAATGTGAAGTACCTGTGGATTGGCAGGCTGGCTGGGGAAATCAGTCTTAATAAGGTGTTACAGCTGGAAGGCAGGGAAGAGCTTAGCTGTTGACCATTCTGACTTTGGTCATGCTGAGTTTTTCTATTTGTGTAAAAGAAACCCATTAATTAAATATCCTTAGATTCTAAACAGCAGGGAGAAAAATCAATTAGAACACCTTGGAGAGTGGGAAAGAATTGGGAAAAATTCATGATCAGATAGCCAGCATTTCTTGAGAGGGAAGGTTAGGTATGACCTCTCCATGTCACTAGGTAATGATACCCACCCCCATCCTCCCCCCAGAAAAAAATCATGGGGAAATCACTGCTTGTACACAAGTCATTTGACACTTAAAAAAAATCTACAGGCAGTAACCATTTTAAATACGCCTTGATTTCTTTAAGTCAAAGAAAAATGCACAAAGTAGCCAGTGCAAATGAGAGGTAAACAAGTTCAGCACAATTGTTTTGTCATTTGTTTTTGCCAGTATTTCTTATGTTTTTCCAGGTTCTGAATTAAATATGGATTGTCCAATAAGAGTAAATAGAAATAATGCCAGTTGCTGCAGTTGAGATTTCAGTTCAGAGTTGCTTATTTTTGAGTCCTGGGGGAAATGACCAGAATGAATGGCTTTAGAATCTTCCACGCAAGAAAGGCAGCTTTCCATGGTCAGCATACTCACTCTCCTACACTTCTGCAGCCTTTTATCCATCTTGTAGTTGGATGGATCCTTTTAAAACATAAATTATAACATGCTACTCCTCTGCTCAGGGCCCTCCAGGGATATTCCATTGCACTTAGAATAAAATCTAGAATCCTTATCGTGCACTCCAAGGTCATTATCTTGTCCCTGGATCCCTGTCCTGCACCCTCTTGCTATTCCCTTCCACTACACTGTCCTCCTTCTCCTTGACTGACAAGTATGCCAGGGTCTCAGGGCCTTTGCATATGCTTCCTTCACATGATCCTTTCCTCAGTTCTTCTGGGTTTCTACTTCAGTTGCCTCCATGATGGGATTTTTCTGACCATCTGATATGAAATTGTACCCCTCAATCATTTTGTAATCACCACATAACTTTTAACTTTCTTCATCCTGATGTTGTAGCAAATAATAATTTGTTTCTTGTTGTCTCCCTCTTTCCCACTTCAACAAGCATTTATCTGTTTTGCATCACACTCTATTTCTATGCTTGGTACATAGGAAGGGTTCAATAAATATTAATGTTTATTGAGTGACTAATATAATCCAGTTGATTAATCCTTCTGTTCAAGCATCCATAGGATGTCTTTTTTGACATACCATAGCTCAGTGAATATATTTGCATAGTAGTGTGCCCCTGTTTCCCCTTCTGTTTGAGGGTAGAGCCGCAAGAAGAAAACTTCTACTTATTTATTGCATATTGCTCATTCCTGTACATTTATTATGTCATTATTTTTATTCACCACAATATTGTAAGTAAGGCACTATTGGTTTTATTTTATAAATGAATAAATTAAGATGTTGAGAGTTGAAATGGTTTATCCAAATTCATAGAGCTAACAAATGGTGGCATTCTTTAGATCGAGAGGCACAACAAAGAAAGTGAAAGATAGTCCAAAAACCGGAAAAAGATGTTAGCAATCCATATAATTGACAAAGGACTAATATGGAGAAGAAATACAGAACACTTAGAAATCAACTTGAAAAAGGTAGACAGCCCTATAGAAAATGGAGTAAAGGCTATGGATAGGCAATTTACAAGATAATAGTTCTGAATGGCTGATAAACAGCTGATGTTTCACCTGACTGGTAATTAGGAAACTGCAAATTAAAACTACAAAATATGGGCCAGGTGCAGTGGCTCATGCCTGTAATCCCAGCACTTTGGGAGGCTGAGGTGGGTGGATCATGAGGTCAGAAGTTTGAGACCAGCCAGTTTGAGGCCAGCCTGGCCAACATGGCGAAACTCCGTCTCTACTAAAAATACAAAAATTAGCGGGGTGTGGTGGTTCGCGCCTGTAATCCCAGCTATTCAAGAGGCTGAGGCAGGAGAATTGCTTAAACTCGGGAGGCGGAGGTTGCAGTGAGCCTAGATCATGCCACTGCACTCAAGCCTGGGCGACAGAGCAAGACTCCATCTTGGGAGAAAAAAAAAAAACAAAAAAAATCCTACAAAATACCATTTCACACTCATCAGACCAGTGAAAGTTAGCCTAACAATTCCACTTGTAGGGAAATAGGAATGTACATATTAAACTACTGCTTGGAGTGTAAATTAGTTGAACCGCTTTAAAGAGCTACAGGCAATATATCTAGTAAAGATGAAAATGTGCATTCTATATGACCCAGCAGTGATACTTCTAGGTATGTATCAAGGGGTGATATTCAAAATATTTAACAACTGCTCTCAGGGGTACCAATCAATTAGAACAAACATATACTGTAAATGACCGGGTTGGTCATATTGGTCTATTTCACTTGAAAATCAATCCTTTATATGCCTTTGAGAGATTCCTACACACATGCACAAGGGAACTTATCTAACCATGTTCACTACGGCATTATTGTAAGAGTCCCAAACTACAAATAATCTACATGTCTATGTATAGAGTAATGGATACTCAAATAGCCATAGAATGGCATGCTATTCAAATTTAAATGGATGAACTAGATCTACATATTAATAAATCAGCTTTGATAAATTTCACTACCTATTGAGCAAAGAAGATTTTCAAAAAGATTCATATGGCATGACACCATTTATATAAAATTGAGAACATGAATAACAATACTACATAGTAAAAATAAAAATACACATGGGAAGGATGCATACCAACTTCAGGAGAGTAGTTACCACTGGAGTACAAAGGAGGGAAATAGGATAACATAGAATTTTAAATCTCTATAGTCTTTAATTTCTTAACAAAATAAACTCTAAAACAAATATGACAAAGTATGAACATTCTGTAAATTTACATATATATATATATATATATATACACCTGTTATTTGTTAAATGTTTTATGTATGTTTTGTTATTTAAAAAGAAAAAAAATTATAAATAACATGATGGAACTTCTGTAGAACCCAGATCTTTCTGCTTTCAAAGCTGGAAAGCTTTTCACTACCTCGGTTGCAGAAAAGAGACCTAGCCCTGCTTTATAGTATTTCTCTTATCAATAGTGTCAGGAACATGGTTAGACACCAGTGTCACAATGGTTAGTTATTTGTTGGTCACATCCCAGGAGGCCCCTGATCTACTGAGGTACAAGGTGGTCAAATGGTGGGATTCCTGGCAAAATAACGAATGCTTTCTTTGCACACTCCAGAGTCAGATGAATTGGGAGATAGGTGCCAGACTGGGATGTGTATACTTGCCGGAGACCCCTTACTTCAGAGGTTTTGTCACCACTCTAAACATAGGGCTTTGTGCATGCACCTTTTCTCATTTTGCTACTGCTATGTAAGGCAACTTCTATGATGAAGAACTTTTGGCTAGTCTGTGAAGCCCAGCTAGTTGCTGTG
The DNA here is from genome assembly GCF_000001405.40 of Homo sapiens. Taxonomy (NCBI): domain Eukaryota; kingdom Metazoa; phylum Chordata; class Mammalia; order Primates; family Hominidae; genus Homo; species Homo sapiens. The sequence goes on along the minus strand of NC_000023.11, from coordinate 23,017,763 downwards.
TCTTTGCTACTAGGTTTTTCTTTCTTTCTTTTTTTTTTTTTTTGAGATGGAGTCTTGCTTTATCACACAGGCTGGAGTGCAGAGGCAGGATCTCAGATCACTGCAACCTCCGCCTCCTAGGTACAAGTGATTCTCCTGCGTCAGCCTCCTGAGTAGCTGGGACTGCAGGTGTGTGCCACCGTACCCGGCTAATTTTGTATTTTTAGTAGAGACAGGGTTTCACCATGTTGGCCAGGATTGTCTCGAACTCCTGACCTCGTGATCCGCCCACCTCTGCCTCCCAAAGTGCTAGGATTACAGGCGTGAGCCACAGCGCCCGGCCCTTTGCTACTAGGTTTTTCACAAGAGCACAAATTTCTCATGTAGGTCTAACTGAGGGCTCAAGAAGCATCTTGGTTTGCCATGACAGCCTACAGAATTAGGTTTCTGAATAAATAATGAGCCTTGACTCCAGTAAGTGGAGATCATTGGCCCTGGCCAAAACCCAGTGGTCTGAGCCATGTCTTCTTTTCTCTTCACAAAACTACGGTTGAATTAGGAAACTTTAGGGTTTAGTGTTGGGGTTGACAGATCTATATAAACCTTTCAACTCCTAGCCCTACCATGACGCCTGGTATGATCGAATATCTCTCAAAAAATAGGAGCCATCTAGATGAGAGCAAAAAACATATCTGGCAAAAAAATTCCATGAAACATTTCCTCTGAACCAGCAAATTTTGTCTTTGAAACATCCTTCCCCCAATGGTTTAGTACAAATTTAACTGCATAATAATAATTTATTTTCCTTCTCTTCTAAGTTCTTTGACCCTCAAGTAATACTTTGTACAATATTAATATTTATATTTTCTGGCATATTCAATATTGTATTCTAAGATTTTCTGAAGCAGCCAATATGATTAATATTTATTTAGTTTTCTATATGAACTACTTAAATCTCAACATAGAAAACTGATATATTAAGATACCATATCAATGATAAATGAAAAGAAATGATAATGAATTAGACATGCAGTAAATAAGAAAAAAAAAACTTTGTCATATTTGAGAGAGTTATCCTAAATCAATTTCTTTGTGGTTTAGGATGATATGAAAAATAAATAGTGCCAAGAAATATCTTCATCTTATCTAAATCGTAAGTGTAAAAGTCAACATGTATTTTTATTGCTAAAATGTAAATATCTAAATATGATAATGATGATAGTGAAACTGAGTTTCATGTAAAAGTGTTTTGGGGGCAAATAAATTTAAGTGGTATAATTTGTCTTATTTTAGACATGAAAGTTTATTAATTGAACAGCTTCAGATTTTATAAAGAATAGGCTTGGTAGATAATGATGATATGCATAGTATTGTGAGTGCTATCCTTCTTGGAAAATGGTTATTAAAATTCATTAGAAGTAGCTATTGCTTGTCAGATGATTGTATAAAAGTTTCCAAAAAGAATGGGGTAGATAAAATGTGCGATAAAATAAATAATAATGTATATACCAATGAATTGATTATCCAGATAGCATGAAAATCCTCATATTTCAAAGAAATGCTAAAAAAGAACTTTAACAGTCTCTGCATGACAACTAGAAGTGATAACTGGATTCATAAAATAATAAATATATATGAGCTTTCTTCATAAGAAAACCAATGTAATACTATAGCTTCTACAGTCCCCTTTTTCTGAAGATTACCTTCCCTCAAGCATAGGGTTGAGGTCCTAGCAGCTATGGTTGTGCTAGAGGGCTCTGTCACCACTAGCCCTCTCACCCATAACACTTGATTGGACCATGAGTAGATACCTGATCCAAAGTGGAGCAATCAGTTCCTCTCATAAAGAAATATAAACCTGGAGCCAGACATTCTACCTCAATCTATATTGATAGCATTGACAGAAGTAATGTAGATCAGGGAGCTATGGAATCAGCCATATTCCATCACGTGCATGCAGAAACAGCAAAAGGCACTTTGTAGAGGGAGGAGAATGAAGCAGACAGGCAGAGAACAGCAGAGGTCGAAAACATACATCTTCCACAGATGGACCAAATAAGTGGAAAACATACATCTTCCACAGATGGACCAAATAAGTGTCCTCCCCATGGGAACAACTCCGAAAACAAAAGGATCATGTTTTTGAAATTCTTTTATTTATGAGACATTAACATTTATAATTTGTGAGTGACAACTAGGTGGAATTGGCCTGTACCATTATCTTACCATTTTTTGTTTTAAAAAACCTATTGAGTATAATACTTTTTATACTGGTTGCTTTATATGTATATCATCAAGTCTTCATGAAGCACAGGTTAAAATCACCATCCATATTTTAGAGCTGAGTAAACCAAGACTTAGGGCCTTTATTTTTATTTTTTTTGAGACAGAGTCTCGCTCTATCGCCCAGGCTGGAGTGCAGTGGTGCGATCTCGGCTCACTGCAAGCTCCGCCTCCCAGGTTCACGCCATTCTCCTGCCTCAGCCTCCCGAGTAGCTGGGATTACAGGCACCCGCCACCACGCCGGGCTAATTTTTTGTATTTTTTAGTAGAGACGGGGTTTCACCGTGTTAGCCAGGATGGTCTCGATCTGCTGACCTCGTGATCTGCCCGCCTCTGCCTCCCAAAGTGCTGGGATTACAGGCGTGAGCCACTGTGCCCAGCCTAAAATCACCGTCCTTATTTTAGAGCTGAGTAAACCAAGACTTAGGACCTTTATATAACTTGCCCAAACTCACGTAACTGACTGCAGCTGGCCAAACAGAGACTCAGGCTCAGGTCTTTCTGACTCCGGAGACTATGCCCTTAACTATTATCTTATGCTTGAATCTGGAGGCAGCAACTGGTATCTTCTGAAAAGGAAAGGGGGAGATCTTTTTCCCTTATCTACATGAACAGTAAGTTCAGCTTACTCTGCATACTGTGCATGCTGTTCCGAGCTCTGAATGACAGAATGAGGTTTGGGGGAGGTAAAAGGCAGGCTATGTGTTTTCAGCTAAACTGGACACACAGTGTATGCATGTGTAATATATGTGTATGTGTTGCACACTTGTGTATGTGTTGTAGAAGGGTGGGTAAGGAGGAGACCCTTTTCCAGAAGTAGAAAACACTTATCCCCTTTAGTTACCATCATTTAACATTCTCTTATCTGTGAGACAGCAGAGTTAAATTAGAATGAAATGTCATATGGTACTTGATGGGAAGGCACTATAAAATAGCGTGTGTGTTACAGGAAGGGCCTACAAAGAGAACAAAAACAGAAATGCCTGGGAAGGGATATGACAAAGCCACATTTATTGATTGCAGAGAAAATTAAAACATTTATGTAAAATGGCATATAGGTTCTCACAGGGCATAAGCCTAAAGTCAGTTAGTTTGGACTTCAGAGGGATTTTGCTGAATATGAGAAATGGGTTCCAATTGAAATTTTAATTAGGACCCCAGAACACATTGGTATACTTACTGCCAAAAGTTCGCCACATATTGCAAGCTTAGGAAGATTGGATAGACTTTATTTAAGCTGGGTAAACATCATCGCAGACATTTTACCCCATTGGAAGAGCTAGAAGAAAACAGAAACAGAATTTTGCAGTAGGAGAGGGTATCTGAAGAGGGGACTGACATTTACATGAAATGTGAAAACAATGACGGGCTTTTGGTATTGTCTATGTGCTGTGTGAGGAGCACACAGAATTGAAGATTGTGGTAGTTTTCTGAATTTGAATGGCACTGAACAGCTTTAGCAGCAATTGGAAAGTGAAATGGAAGAGTCAGCATAAGGAGAGAAGACCAGTCCTCCTTTCATCTTTTCATTATAGATTTTTATCCAATCAATACACCAAGAAATTCTGAATTACCTTTTTTTTTTTTTAAAGGGAAGGACACTTGGGTTGCAGGAAAGGAGGAGGGAGGGAGAGAAATGTTTTTGCTGACTTTCACAATATTCTTGTAGAAATACTTGCTCTTCTATTTTTTTAATTGGATTTTCAGGCTTAGGTGGGAAAACAAACATGGCCCATCAATTCCTGTCTCCATATTCCTCTTCTATATGAAAAGGTTTTTTAAAAAATTTTCCTTGTGTTCATGAGAAGATTCCTATTGCTTTGGGCTATATATCTCCATTAGGTAGAATTGTTCACCCTGAGCCCCTCTAGGCTGTTGATTGCAAGAATTTCTCCGGTTGGCTACATTTCAAATCTGTCAGAGCCAGTGATGTATTCCAGGTGCAGCCAAGTGTGAATGCTGTTAACGCTATTGGATCAGATGACCTTGATATTGGGTCTCTTCATGACTGCAGCTCAAGTTTTCTACTCTGCTTGTTTCTCACTTCTTCCTCTAATTGCTGCTGACTGTTCAAAAGCTGGGCTTGTTTGATATGCTTCCAATTTTTATAAAATTATAGTAATTCCCTATAGAATCCTGTGTTTTCAGTGTCCCCATTAAATAAACATCCAAGAGAAGAGTTTAATTTGCTTATTATAGTCAACTCTCATCCAAATAAAGTATACCTCATTGGACCCTCTTCTCAATGATGGAAAATTCACAGCCTCCACACAAGGTATTTTATGGCTATTTTTCCAATTTATCAGTTAGGATACTTTGGGCTGCCAGTAATATAATAACTAATAATGACTTAAGCAATAAAGATATCTGTTGCTTTATATAATACAAAGTTCATAGATAGGGGATTCCTGGGTATATTGCTTGGGTCCAATATTTACTGGGGGTAACACCTATGAAAGATAAAGAGGAAAAGTATCAAGAGGTCAGGGAAATCCTTCTGACTGCAGCTCAGATCTGATACCTGTGAAAGTAGAAGGTAAAGAGAGGAGGACTGGGTAGGAAGAGCCTAAAACTGCACTGAGGCTCTGAGAAATCAGGGTGAGCCTAACGGGGAGCTCTGCTGCAAATATGGCCCATAGAAGAGTCCAGTGTTGGGCAGAAATGACTGGGCCCCAGTGTCTCACTGTGCTCAGCTATTGGTTGAGACTTCCTGGAAAAGGCTAGCCTTGGCTCAGATGCTGCCAAGGATTGTCTGCAGTTGGGGGCTGTCAGCTAACTGCACTCCACACAGCTGATCAGCAAGCTTTTTCTTGAATGGAGATGAGCTGCACACCTCCATAGCTGCCACATAGAGTTTAATTCAGCAGCACAGTTATGTGATCCAGCTGCTTTCCAAATCTCCATGTGGTCATACTTAGCATGCTAGTATTCTTCTTCAAATTTATTTCTACATTGTCTAAAAATGACTGTCACAGCCTCATATCTTCACACAACTGTACAAAAGCAGGAAGGACCTCACATGTCTCTGTTTGTAAGGGAGAGAGATCTTTCTCTAAAACTGCCAAGCAGACTTTCCTGTCAGTGCCGTAGGCCACTTTCCTGTCACATACCCATGCTTTATCTGTAAGGCAGGCTAGGAAAGTGAATGTCTGGCTTTTGTAACCTCTATAACAGGAAGTGGGTTATGCCAGCAAGTAGGAAGGGACATAAGAGGGAGGTGGTGGGCGTAGCTGTTGGGTAGGTAAACCACCAGTGTCTGCCACCCTAAATATGGCTAATGTGGCACTTCATAATTTTATTCCCAGAAAAATTCAGATTTTAGAAGTTATAAATTGAGCCTGGATTTATGACTTGTTACACTGGCAGTTTCTTTTGCTTATCTTGCATGCCCCAAATATTCGTATCCCTTCCCCCAGCCAGCAGTATGAAGCTTCACTGCAGTCTTTCTTCAGATCATTTCTTACTTTTCTTTTATTGTTGTCATGGTTCTGTAGTTTACTAAATGCCACGTGAGCAGATATCCAACCAAACCATTTAGACTAATATTTTATTTTATTTTATTTTATTTTTTTTTGAGACGGAGTCTCACTCTGTCGTCAGGCTGGAGTGTAGTGGCACGATCTCAGCTCACTGCAACCTCTGCCCTCCGAGTTCAATCGATTCTCCTGCCTCAGCCTCCCGAGTAGCTGGGATTACGGGCGCCTGCCACTGCACCTGGTTAATTTGTTGTATTTTTTAGTAGATACCGGGTTTCACCTTCTTGGCCAGGCTGGTCTTGAACTCCTGACCTCGTGATCTACCCGCCTTGGCCTCCCAAAGTGCTGGGATTACAGGCGTGAGCCACTGCGCCCGGCTAGACTAATATTTTAAAAAGGACTTGTGAAAAGTCTGATTACTCAGTGATTGTAATTCTCTCATTTTAAGCTTTCAGTTTACCATGCGGGTTTCTCTAGTGCTAGAAAGCTGCAGAGACGCTTAAGGCCCGAGAAGAAGAGTGGTAAAAACATTGCATAGTGTGAAAAATACCTTTACAGGGTTCTTATTTTGCTGTAAACTGAGATGTCTGTGTGCTTTGCCTAATAATGTCTTTCTCATCTCTCCTATATTTCTGTGTACTCTAGGTCGCTTCTTCATTGAATCTATAATTTTCAGCACAGAGATAGCAAGCTCTACTTACTCACTTTTTGAATGTGGGAAAGTTATGCAACCTCTCTGAGCATTAGTCTCCTCATCTGTAAAATAAGATAAAAGTGTCCCTTTTATGTGGGTGCCTTGTGTAAAAGACACAAACAACATATATTATTTCTTATTATAAGGTGAGGTGTAGGCCAACAATTGTCAACAGACAAAACAAGTAACAGAAATAGAAAAGTTTACTTTTGCTCAATGAAAATAAAATAATGTACTTATTTTCATTCAGCTATTTACTGTGCTCCTACTATGTTCGAGGCATTGTTTTTAGCACTTAAGATGCAGTGTTAGCATGGACACACAGAGGGGAACAACACATACTGGGGCTTTTTGGAGGGTGGCGTGTGGGAGGAGGGAGAGGATCAAGACAAATAACTAATAGGTACTAGGCCTAATACCTGGGTGATGAAATAATCTGTACAACAAACTCCCATGACACAAGTTTACCCATGTAACAAACCTGGCACTTGTAACCCTGAACTTAAAAGTTAAAAAAAAGATGCAGTGTTAGAAAAAAGATATCTCCTATTAGTGGCATTTACATTTAAGTGGGGGAAAGACAAGAGATGCTTGTATTTTAAATACCCTCAGATACAATGCCTGTTGAATTAATTTCTGCAGTCATTTAATTATTCATTAAGTTACTTTTGAAGCAGTTATTCAAAAGTTATGCTTGACGTTTTTATTATAATAAAAGTAACATTGTTTTATAGAAATTTTAGAAAATAAGGTAAATATTAAAACCATCTAGTGGCCAGGCGCGGTGGCTAACGCCCATAATTCCAACACTTTGGGAGGCCGAGGTGGGTGGATCACTTGAGGTCAGGAGTTTGAGGTCAGCCTGGCCAACATGGTGAAACCCCGTCTCTACTAAAAATACAAACATTTGCCTGGTGTGGTGGTGTGCACCTGTAATCCCAGCCCCTGGAGAGGCTGAGGTAGGAGAATTGCTTGAACCTGGGAGGTGGAGGTTGCAGTGAGCTGAGATCACGCCACTGCACTCCAGCCTGGGCGACAGAGTGAGACTCCATCTCAAAAACAAAACCATCTATAATCCCATAATGTAGAAAACCATGGTTAGTGTGTGTGTCTATGTGTGTCCATTTCATTTGCTTTTGTTTATATAGATATATGGACCAATGTAGTTTTCTAAAAACAATCGAGATCATTTTATAAACTGCTTTTCCTTATATTTTAAAATATTTGTTAAGAACATGATTTCTGCTATTCCAAATCAAGAACAGATATGCTACAATTTAACTAGTATCATATCATTGGACCTTGAGGATTAAAAAAAATTATGTTAATTAACACTATGATAAATAGCCTTGTTTATAAATACTGGTATGTATATCTGATTATCTCTTTGGGATAAATGTCTGGAAGTAATATTACTGAGCCAAAGGCTGTTAAACATATACAGATTATACGTATAATCTCAACTGTCCCTTCACAGAATAGAATTAAATCGAATTTTAATTTATCAGTGTTTATTTCCCTGCATCCTTTGTAGCATTAGACCCTTAAAAAGAACCTTAACCCAATTTGTTAGAGAAAAGTTACATATTGGTTTAATTTTAATTCCTTTGATTATAAAGAAGTCAAGCACTTTTTAATATATATGTTGTTCACTTGTCTAGTGAGTTGCCTTTTACATTTCAGCCCATATTTATTCATCTTTTACTTTTTCTTTGTAAAAAGCTCCATATATAAAATATAAATAACTATGATCATATTATATATTTTAAATTATTTTTCTGGTGTTTCCTTTGCCTTTGATGATATTTTCAACATTAAGAAGATTTTCATTTTTACTTTATCAAACCTATTCATATTTACTTTTAATTTTCTGTGGTTGCTTTACTGTTTTAAAATTATTTTCCACATTGATATCAGAAATTATTTCTCTCTATAAACTTGATGTTCTTTTGTTTTTTATAAAAGCAATAATCTTGTGGGAATTATTTTCTAACAGTAAGAGTTTTTTGGTTGATCAATTGTCCTGCTATATATTATGTATTTTTCATTTATTTATTTTACTTATTTGGTTTGGAATAGATTTTTCTTTCTTCACTGATTTAAAACGGTCTACCTTTATTGCCTACTAGATTCCTATGCAGATAGTGTAAATGTCAACATTATTCTTTGATAACAAGAACTGTAACTGCAGAAGTTTTGGAATGAAGGAGAGTAGATAGGAACTTAGGGAAGATATGGCACTTTGGCTGGACCCAGAAAGATAAAGGTGATTTGTCTTGGCAGAGAGGAAAGAGAAAGGGCATTCCAAATGGGGGAAAACAGCTTGAGCAACACCCAGAATAGTTAACAAGTATTATATATAGTAGGTGATGGGAGAGGGAAGGTGGAAGGGACCTAATATTTGTTGAATGCCTACTGAATGTGAGTCACCATGCTAAGAATCTTATGCACAACTCTGAGGTCAGCTGAATCCTCGTACTTTGAGTCCTGTGTATATTCAGAGCTTTGCTTTCCATCTGTCCCAATTTGTATGTAGAACTAAGTATTTCTTTGAATTTCTGAAACACAGTTTACTTACACAAAAACTTCACTGGTCAATCAATGCAATCAGTTTCTTGACCTCAACACTGTATGTTCTGGACTGAAAAATCCATTGTTTTAAGTTACTGTGCTGTGCATTTTAAGTTGTTTATCCTTGACTTCTACCCAGTAGATGCCAGTAGCAATGCTGCCCCCTAGTAGGGACAACTAAAATTGTCTCCAGACATTGCCAAATGTCCCTTAGGGAGCAAAATCAACTCCAGCTGAGAAATACAGATTATACCAAAGAAAGGAAAGTTAGTGGAGGGTTTTTTTTTTTTTTAACAGAGTCTTGCTCTGCCACCCAGGCTGGAGTGCAGTGGCGCCATCTCAGCTCACTGCAACCTCCGCCTCCTGGCTTCAATCGATTCTCCTGCCTCAGCCTCCTGAGTAGCTGGGATTACAGGCACCCGCCACCACGCCTGGCTAATTTTTTGTATTTTTAGTAGAGATGGGGGTTTTACCATATTAGTGAGGCTGGTCTCGAACTCCTGACCTCAGGTGATCCACCCGCCTCTACCTCCCAAAGTGCTGGGATTACAGGCGTGCATCACCATGCCCAGCCAGTGGAGGATTTTGTATTGCGCAGTGCACAACAAATGAATATCCTCTTTTTGTTTTCCTTCATAAAGTCCCTTCTTGGCTTCTCTACACCTAGGTTTGCGCTTTTATTTTTGCTTAATCCATTGCAAGGTTTCTCAACTGTGGCACTACTGACATTCAGGCCAGATAATTCTTTGTTTTAGGGAGCTCTCCTATGAATTGTGGGATGTTTAGTGGCATCCTCCGACTATACCCAGGAGATACCAGTACCACCACCATCACCCCCAGTTATGACGACTGATATGGTTTGGTTGTGTCCCCACCCAAATGTCATCTTGAATTGTAGCTCCCATAATTCCCATATGTCGGGGAAGGGACCTGGTGAGAGGTAATTGGATCATGGGGCGGGTCATTCCTGTGCTGTTCTTGTGATAATGAATAAGTCTCATGAGATCTGATGGTTTTATAAAGGGGAGTTTCCCTGTACAAGCTCTCTTGCCTGCTCACCACATAAGACTTGCCTTTGCTCCTCCTTCACCCTCTGCTATGATTGTGAGGCCTCCTCAGCCATGTGGAACTGTGAATACATTAAACCTCGTTTTCTTTATAAATTACCCAGTCTTGGGTATTTCTTCATAGCAGTATGAAAATGGACTAATACAGTAAATTGGTACCAGTAGAGTGAGGTGCTGCTGTAAAGATACCCAAAATATGGAAATGACTTTGGAACTGGGTAACAGGCAGAGGTTGGAACAGTTTGGAGGGCTCAGAAGAAGACAGGAAGATGTGGGAAAGGTTTGGAACTTCCTAGAGTCTTGTTGAATGGCTTTGACCGAAATGCTGATAGTGATATGGACAATAAAGTCCAGGCTGATGTGGTCACAGATGGAGATGAGGAACTTGTTGGGAACTGGAGCACAGGTGACTCTTGCTATGTTTTAGCAAAGGGACTGATGGCATTTTGTCCCTACCCTAGAGATCTGTAGAACTTTGAACTTGAGAGATATAATTTAGGGCATCTGGCAGAAGAAATTTCTAAGCAGCAATACATTCAAGAGGTGACTTGGGTGCTGTTAAAAACATTTAGTTTTATTCATTCAGAAAGATATGGTTTGGAATTGGAACTTACATTTAAAGAGGAAGCAGAGCATAAAAGTTCAGAAAAATTGTATACTGATGATGTGATAGAAAAGCAAAACCCACTCTCTGAGGAGAAATTCAAGCCAGCTGCAGAAATTTGTATAAGTAATGAGGAGCCAACTGTTAATTCCCAAGACAATGGGGAAAATGACTCCAGAGCATGTCAGAGGTCTTCATGGCAGCTTCTCCCATCAGAGATCTGGAGCCTAGGAGGACAAAATGGTTTCATGGGCTGGGTCTAGTGTTCCCCTGCTGTGTACAACCTAGGGATTTGGTGCCCTTCGTCCCAGCCATGCCACCTGTGGCTGAAAGGGACCGACATAGAGCTTGGGCTGCAGCTTCAGAGGTTGCAAGCCTCAATCCTTGGCAGCTTCCACGTGGTGTTGAGCCTGTGGGTGCACAGAAGTCAAGAATTGAGGTTTGGGAACCTTTGCCTAGGTTTCAGAGGATGTATGGAAACACCTGGATGCCCAGGCCGAGATGTGCTGCAGGGGCAGGGCCCTCAAGGAGAACCTCTGCTAGGGCAGTGCATAAGGGAAATGTAGGGTGGGAGCCCCCACACAGAGTCCCCACTAGAGCACTGCTTAGTGGAGCTGTGAAAAGAGGACCAACATCCTCCATACCCCACGATGGTAGATCCACCAACAGCTTACACCGTGCACCTGGAAAAGCCACAGAGACTCATTTCGAGCCCATGAAAGCAGCCGGGAGAGGGGGTATACTCTGCAAAGCCACAGGGACAGAGCTGCCCAAGACCATGGGAACCCACCTCTCGCATCAGCGTGACCTGGATGTGAGACCTGGAGTCAAATGAGATCATTTTGGAGCTTTAAGATTTGACTGCCCAGCTGGATTTCACGCTTGCATGGGCCTGTAGCTCTTTTGTTTTAAGCAATTTCTCTCATTTGGAATGGGCAGATTTACCCAAGGCCTGTACCTCCATTATGTCTGGGAAGTAACTAAATTGCTTTTGATTTTATAGGCTCATAGGTGGAAGGGACTTGCCTTGTCTCAGATGAAACTTTGAACTGTGGACTTTTGAGTTAATGCTGAAATGAGTTAAGACTTTGAGAGACAGTTGGGAAGCCATGATTGGTTTTGAAATGTGAGGACATGAGATTTGGGAGGGGCCAGGGACAGAATTATATGGTTTGGCTGCATCCCCACCCAAATCTCATCTCGAATTGCAGCTCTCATAATTCCCACATGTCATGGGAGGGACCTGGTGGGAGGTAATTGAATCATGAGGGTGGGTCTTTCCCACACTGTTCTCATGATAGTCTCATGAGATCTGATGGTTTATAAATGAGAGTTCCCCTACACAAACTCTCTTGCCTGCTCACCATGTAAGATGCACCTTTTGTCCTCCTTCACCTTCCACCATAATTGTGAGACCTCCCCAGCCATGTGGAACTGTGAGTCCATTAAACCTCTTTTTCTTTATAAATTACCCAGTCTTGGGTATTTCTTCATAGCAGTATGAAAATGGACTAAGACAACAACCCACCAAATCTTTCTCCAGACATTGACAAAATTGGGCCTGGTAGAGAACCACTGATGTAGACTACACCAAAGACAGGAAGTTTGTAGGGATACTTTTTCTCTGCAAAACCCGCAAGATATAACTTAGAAACCCTCTATTTTTTTTTTTTCTTTGACGTGCCTTTTTGGTTACTAAGCAGTTGGTTTTGGTTGTTTTTCTTATGCTGTCTCAGGGGTTCCCCATCTCAGCACTATTGTTTTGTGCCAGATAATTCTTTGTTGTGAGGGGCTGTCCTGTAGATTGTAGGGTGTTCAGCCTCTACCCACTAGATGCTAGGAGCACCTCACCCCCTACCCATAGCTGTAACAACCAATACTGTCCACAGATATTGTCAAAGTTCCGCTGGGGAGCAAAATCACCCTTGGTTAACAGTCATTGCACTATTTCTACTTATCTTTCTCTATACACTGGTTCTTCTGTCCAGCATTATGTTGTAGAAGAAATGCATACATCTCTCATTTCCTTACTCATAGACATTGAGTGATAATTTTTCTTGTTAAGTGTTACTTACACATGATTATGGAAATATACTATCTCAAGTGGTTGAGTTGTTGCATTCTTTTCTAACAAATATAGCATTGCCCCTAAGAATAATTCTGGAAAATAACATATACTCTAACTTGCTAAACATTTATCATTTCTCCTCTTGAGTGAACAGCACTAAGCCATTTGAGCTTCTATTACAGTTCTGCTATAGATTGCCTTTGCATTAAATTTGCACACACTTCTCTATTTCACTAAATCTGAACTTGTAGAGAACCTCAAGACAAGCATATTGCCTTTAAACATAATAACTATACTAAAATTAAAAAATATAAATATTGGAATCAGGCACTGCCGGGTCAAAATATCCCTTAAGTCCTCTAAATATCACTTAATTTCTCTTTAATCAGGTTTAGGGCCCTTAGGCAAGTTAGCTCCTCTGACTTTGCTTCATCCCCTGCAAAATAGGGGTAAGATTTCCTTCCGAGTGGCGTTCTTATAAATATTAGAGATTAGGAGATAAAGCGCCAGGTATGTATCACTCAACAATGTTAACCATTGTTATTAATTTTATCCAGAGATATTAAGGTCTACATTTTAAAAAGCCTTTAAAGTCTATACTTTAAGCCTTAAATACCTATACCTAGAACATTTACTTCTTTCTTTCCCTTATTTTCTGACTTATTTGTAGTCACAGGTAAGGCATGCTGGGGAAAAAAGTTTGTTGCCTTAATTTTTCTCTTGATTTTACCAGAAATGTTAACTAATTCTAATGTTTTCATGAACACTGAATTTTAAAGTTTACTTAACATCTTTGTAGGGATTTCTTTTTGCAGGTGTGAGAAGCACCTTGCTTCTAAATAAGGCATAAGAGGTAGAATTATAGATAAAATTAGGAAGAGTTTTACTAAAATTGGTTCTTATGGCAAAAACGTCATTTGGTTTTTTTTTTGGTTTTTTTTTTTTTGAGACAGAGTTTTGCTCTTGTTGCCCAGGCTGGAGTGCAGTGGCACGATTTCAGCTCACTGCAACCTCTCCCTCCCGGGTTCAACTGATTCTCCTGCCTCAGCCTCCCGAGTAGCTGGGATTACAGGCATGCGCCACCACACCCAGCTAATTTTGTATTTGTAGTAGGGACAGGGTTTCTCCATGTTGGTCAGGCTGGTCTTGAACTCCTGACCTCAGGCGATCCGCCCGCCTCGGCCTCCCAAAGTGCTGGGATTACAGGCGTGAGCCACCGCACCCAGCCCTTATTTGATTGGTTTTAATGTTTTTCCCAGTAGATAAATTTTTCTTTCACTTTAATTTTTTCCCCGATATATGTATCTATATATATATGGTTTTGACCTTCAAATTGAATTAAAATAAAGCATGATGAAAAGAAAAGCAAAGAATAAAATGAAAACCTACCAGTTAAATTGCAAAATCAATAAAAATGCAGAATGCACTATTCTTGTCATTGAAAAGGATTGTTTTATTCAATTATACAAGGATGCAATTTCCCCTAGATTAGACAAAAAAGTGTTAATACAAGGCTGGGGTATACAGTTTTAGTTATAATGTCACCGAATTTTAGAGGTAAAAGAGACCTCTAAATTAATAAAACTGTCCCATTTTATGAGTAGAGAAATTGAGGCCTAGAGAAGGCAAGTGATTTCCTCAGAGTTTTAACCAAGGGTTAGTGACAAAATGCATACAAGGACCTGAATCCCAGTGAGTCAGACATCCTGCTCTGCTGGTGACATCATTCTGATAAAAATAGAATTGTGGAATCTTCTAAAAAATTTAGCACTTATTTTCTAATGAACTAAAACAAGTAGAGAATGATAGTGGAAATAACTTTAAGAACTGTTGTGGCACCAACTGCTCGGGGGAAAAGAGAATACTTTGACTGGATAAGCTTGAAGCTATGCTTCAATTTAGTACAACTATTTTAAAGCCAGAAAAGCACCATTGTTGTCTTCTACCAAGTGTTTTAGAGAAGACAAATGGACATGGTAGACTATAAAATTAACACAAGAACAGAAACTCAAATACCACATGTTCTCACTTATAAGTGGGAAGCAAACGATGAGAACTTATGAACGCAAAGAAGGAAACAGCAGACACTGGGGTCTAGCTGATGGGGGAGGGTGGAAGGAGGCAGAAGAGCAGAAAAGATAATTATTGGGCACTGGTCTTAATACCTGGGTGACGAAATAATATGTACAGTAAACCCCCATGACACGTGTTTCTTTAACAAACCTTCACATATACCCCCAAACCTAAAATAAAAGTATTTTTAAGAGAAATTAAACTTTAACCAACACATAACATTTACTTTCTCTTCACATAGTCTCTCACTCTCTCATTTTTGAGACTTTTTTAAAATTAAGGAACATACACAATATTGAAAGTTGATAAACCCCCATGACACGTGTTTCTTTAACAAACCTTCACATATACCCCCAAACCTAAAATAAAAGTATTTTTAAGAGAAATTAAACTTTAACCAACACGTAACATTTACTTTCTCTTCACATAGTCTCTCACTCTCTCATTTTTGAGACTTTTTTAAAATTAAGGAGCATACACAATATTGAAAGTTGATAAACCCCCATGACACGTGTTTCTTTAACAAACCTTCACAAATACCCCCAAACCTAAAATAAAAGTATTTTTAGGAGAAATTAAACTTTAACCAACACATAACATTTACCTTCTCTTCACATAGTCTCTCTCTCATTTTTGAGACTTTTTCTAAAATTAAGGAACATACACAATATTGAAAGTTGATAAACCCCCATGGCACGTGTTTCTTTAACAAACCTTCACATATACCCCCAAACCTAAAATAAAAGTATTTTTAAGAGAAATTAAACTTTAACCAACACGTAACATTCACTTTCTCTTCACACAGTCTCTCACTCTCTCATTTTTGAGACTTTTTTAAAATTAAGGAGCATACACAATATTGAAAGTTTAGCAGTATTATTTAAGAATTAGTTATGTCTTCAAATGGCTAGTATGTTTCCAATACTTCCTTACATATATTCAATACTGCATATCTTTAACATGCCTGGAATCTTCCAGTAGCCTGGTACAACTTTTCAACTTAAAAAATAAAACTCCTTGCGTCTTTGTCCAGGTTTTCTTGATCGTGTTTCTCTGTGCCTCTTTTGTTGATTTAACTTGTATTGCTCAGCCATTACTACAAGATCTTCCGGAACACTCTGATTTGCTCTGTCCAGAATTTTAATCAATTCACCGGCCATTTTCGAATCTCTCTGAGTGATGAGGGTAACTGATGTGCCAGTCTTTCCTGTCCGTCCAATGTACCCTACTCTGTGTACATATACGTCAATATTCCTTGGGAAATCATAATTATATACATGTGTGACATCATTAAGATCAAGACCTCGGGATACTATATCAGTTGTAATCAGTATCTTTATGTTTCCGCTTTTAAAGTCCTCTACTGCTCGCTCTTGATCACTCTGTTCACTGTTGCCATGTAATGATTCTGCAGATATGCCTTGGATATTGAAGTCGCTTGACAAGTCATCAGCAATATGTTTTTGGCTGACAAACATGATGACTTTGTCGTTGGGTGACATGTTCTCTACGAATTCTTGGGTGAGAGCTCGTTTTTCTTTTTCTGTGGTAACAATTATATTTTGCTTCACTGTATTTACAGCCACTAGATTCAGATTACCAACATAAACAATCATAGGATCTTTCAAATAAGAAAGTGCTAGTTGACGTACAGTATCTGGCCAAGTTGCACTTGTCATAACAGTCTGTCGGTCTGGGCGCACATCTAATAAAATCTTCCTTATCTGGGGTTCAAATTCCATATCCAGCATTTTATCTGCCTCATCTATAACCAAGTAGGTTATGCTTCTTAGGTTGACAGAGTTATTCATTTGTAGGTCATTCAGCCTCCCAGGAGTTGCAATAATGATATCTACACCTTTGCTAATGTCTTCTATTTGTCCATTTCTGTTTCTACCACCATATATGCAAATGCTTTTGAGACCTTTATATGAATACTTTGAACATTCAGCTTCCACGTGAAGAGCCAACTCTCTAGTGGGTGTAAGGACTAGCATCCCAGGCCCATTCCTTTGCTCTCTAGATATTGGTTGAGAATCAAGATGAATAAACCCAGGCATTAGATAGGACAATGTTTTCCCTGTTCCGGTTTGTGCAACTACTATAAGATCTATTCCTTGTAGAATAATTGGCCATGCCTGTGACTGAATTGGCGTTGGCTTTACAATCCCTACCCTTATTATGCTTTTCAGAAGATCAGGGTATTGCTGAAAAGCGTCTTTAAACCTGCAAGTTGGTTTTGGAATGAGACGCTTTTCACCACTTTTCAAGTCATCACACGTTATGTTGAAATTTTCCTTTCTCCAGTTAATCACCTGCATTTCAGACATGCAGCTTGTTGCTTTGGATTCTATGTAAAAGTTTTTCTTAACTGGTGGTAGATCTGCCCATTTTCTCTTTTCGCACTCCACGACTGCTGCCCTAATGCGATCCCAATTTGACAATGGCTCAGCTTCTCCAACAATGTCATTTCTGCCTAGATTTCTTCCAATAGGGGTTTGGGATGCAGCATTATCCACACTGGATTCTGAGTTGTAGCTTTCTTGTTTTCTAATAAGTGTTTCTATAGCCGCTTTGGCCTTTGCTTTCATTTCCCTATTGCCAAAAATTCTGACTTTTGCTTCAGATTCCCCGTTTATGATCTGTATTTTAGTGTTTGTCGAATGTTGTAGATCTTTTATTTTTGATCCACTGTAACCAATGACCACACCAACCATATTGTTCTTTATTTTAAAGCAGAGTGGTGGTTCACGGGAGCCTGCTGCTCTCGGTCCCTGATGGCCGAAGGGGCCACTCCAGCCACTGCCTCTGCTGCCCCTGACATCCCAGCTGGCCCCAAGGTCTCTTGGATTAGCCTCCGCCCTCTTCCACTCTGGGGCCCAGTGGGACATTGTGGGATAGTGGGAGTATCGGCACCGGCTTCTCGCCTACATACGGTTGGAAGTTCAGGTCTGCGGCCTGTTTCCCGTCACCTTCTGCACCAAAAGATGGCGGTGGCAATTATTTCCGGGTGCTAGTCACATAGCTACGCAGAAGTTGCCCCAGAAACCAGTGTTGGCGTCGAATTCCGGGTCGTGTAGGGGGCGAGGCTTTGATGGCCTGACCAATCACAGGGCTTGGACTGGGGTGAGGTAAGCAGGCGTCTGTGACGCAAATTTAAAGAGGCACTCACTCTCACGGGCTGACCCTGCCAGCACTTACAGGACCCTAGGAGTAACTGCCTCCTTAACTTCTGCGTCCCGGGTGCTCCTTTCACTCTTCTCGTGATAGTTCTGGCTCAGCTTGAGAGCAACCTTGAAGCACGCCTTAAACATACACACCATATACACATTGTCCTTTATATAAGCCAGTTATTTCCCTAAGAGAAAAAAATAATGCATTTAAAGTAAAACTATTTATTTATATATTCGTGTGTTCATTTATTTTGGTAAATTTCTTTTGGAGTGAATACAGTACTTTGTCAGGATAAATTCATCATTCCCTGTCCTCTAGTGTAACTTAAATTCTACTAATCAGAAATCTCTTAGGTGCACACTCTAGGACAGCGTTTTGCCTTAATTCATCAACTAAATGTCAACACTTGTTTAGGCAGTTTCCAGATATTATTACAGGGATGATGGTTAGAAGAGAGGTAAAGCAGTGCCTAAGGTACTTTAGGGGCTGTTTTTAGTGGTTTGTCACTTTTCTCAGTGCCTCTTCATTTTTTTTCCTTCCCTGTGGTTTGATAGCTTCTGAGACCTTAGCACTGGAAGGTTGTGTAGAACTCATTTATTAGGTACACGTAGAAGACATTCTAGCTGCAGTCTGGACAGAGGGATATCCAGCTTCCATTTAGACACTCCCAGAGGCAGGGAGCTCACTTCATTTCAAAAATATCCATTCCATTATGAGGCTGTTTAATGGTTACAAAAGTTTTTTGAACCAAAACGTGCGGCTTCCTGTGTCCTTAAGTCCTTCTGAGTTCTGAAGTTATACAGAATAGGCTTGATTCTCCTGTATCCTTGTGTACTAAAGGATCTGTCAAAGTTTTCTTTTTTTTCTTTTTCTTTTCTTTCTTTCTTTTTTTTTTTTTTTTTTTTTGAGATGGGGTTTCACTCTTGTTGGCCAGGCTGGAGTGCAATAGCATGATCTTGGCTCGCTGCAACCTTGGCCTCCCGGGTTCAAGTGATTCTCCTGCCTCAGCCTCCCGAGTATCTGGGATTACAGGTGCCTGCCACCAAGCCTGGCTAATTTTTTGTATTTTTAGTAGAGACAGGGTTTCACCATGTTGGCCAGGCTGGTCTCGAACTCCTGACCTCAGGTGATCCACCCGCCTTGGCCTCCCAAAGTGCTGGGATTACAGGTGTGAGCCACCGCGCCCAGCCTCTGTCAAAGTTTTCTGTGCATCAGGGCAACATTTCCAGTTTCTTCGACGTTTCTTGCTATGACATGGTTTCCAAGACACACATCATCCTATTGCCTCTCCTTTGGAAATGGTTCATTGAGGACCATTTACAATGTAGCACGCAGAACTAAAAAACAGGAAAAGACAAGCAAACAATCTGCAGAAATGGCATTACTCCTACTATTAGGGCATCTTTACTGAGCATGACAATTCTACTAATTTGACCTAAGAACTCCTGAGACACAAAGCTGCTCACAGTAACATGACGTGCATTTAAGTTCTTGCTTCTTTTACTTACTCAGCTGATTTTTTTTTTAATTTGCTTACCTAAATGAAGACTATGTATGTATCCTTTTATAGTCATCTTATTAAGTTTGATCAATTGATGTAACCTATGAAATATAATTTTAATGATTATTCTGTCATCCATCATATTAGTCTCTAGTTTCAAGTCTTCTGCCAATTTAATGTTCATAGCATCTTTGTCTCTTTAGTCAGTCACTGATTAAAATTTCATCATGGTCTAGTATAGGACAGAAGTCTGACACCTTGGGAGAAAACTTCTCTGTGTCAGTACTTTTTGTAAAAGATGCTATTTGAAGAAATAAAAAGGTTTCTGGTCAAATATGTTTGAGAAACACAGCACCCTATATTCTCTCTGTTAAAATCACAATGCTTATTGGATATTTTAGGAGCTATGATATTTACAGACATTGAGAAAAATCAGTTGTTTAATCCAAAGTTCCCCAAACGAATTTGCTAATGGATATCTTCATCAATTATTTAAATAAGCTTTTTATTTGGAATAATTTCAGATTCACAGAACAGTTACGGAGGTAGTGCAGAGAGGTTCCTGTATAGCCTCAGCCAGTTTCAGTTTCCTCTAATCTTATCATATCTCATTATCATGATACATTTGTCAAATATAGGAAAACACTATTGGTGTGTTACCATTAGCTAAATTCCAAACTTTATGCTACCAGTTTTCCATTAATGTATTTTTTCGGTTTCAAGTTCCACTCCAGGACACCATACTGCATTTAGTTATGTACAGTTTGTGAGAGTTTCTCAGTTTTTTCTTATTTTTCATAATCTTTCCAGTTTTGAGGAGTAATGATCAGGAATTTTGTAGAATGTCCTTCAAAAAGGTATGCTTGATGTAACTTCTCATGATTAGACTGGGGTTATGGGCTTTTGGAAGAAAATATCACAGAGATGAAGAGCCTATCTCATCACATCATACTGGGGAGATAGGTACCTGATGTCAACGTGACCCATCATTGGTAAGGTCAACCTCGGTCCCTTGGATAATTTGTGTTATTCAAGTTTTCTACACTGTAAAATTATTATTTCTCCCTTTCCATACTCTATTTTGTGGAATGAGTCACTAAGTCCAGACAACCCTCAAGGGCTCAGTTTGCATTTAAATGCAATCTTTATTATTATTTTTTACAATTAGTAGTGTTCTTTGGAATGTATTTTGGAAACCACTGGTATGGATAAATACAAATTACCTGACCAATTTTTTTTTTTCATCTGGTTGTTGAACCGGATATATTCTGATCAAGTCACATTACAACTCCTCCATACTTCTCCATGAATTGTATTAGGAATTTTAAGGCATTCTCAATGTCTTCTAGTTTATTCATTATTTTAAAAGGAAATTTGTTTAGTTACACGTGGCTTTTACCTCTTGAAGGATGTATTATGTTTCTCTGTCTTTATGCCTTCATCTTTACTTTGAATAATAGTTAATATTACAGAACTGTAGAATTCTACAGGTGTTGGGTACATCAGAGGTCATTTTGTTCTCCCTTATTACAGAGAGTGAAATTGAGGTTCCAAAATCTTTCTGGAATTGACTGAAGGTACTCAGCAAATTATTGAGAGTAAAAATTTAGAACCATTTGTTGACTTGTGGCCAGTCGGGAAAATAGTACAGGACATTACTCCTTTACTACGAAGTGACTTGCTTCTATTCTTATTTTTTGTGGGTGATACAGAAAAATAGAAGAGGCCATGAAAGTGAAGTGAAGAAAAGTCATATTGTTGGGAGAGGGGTAGTTGTAAAATCTGGGTAGAGAGCAGTGCACTTTAAGGTGGAACTCATTGTGGTGAATTACTGTGATGACACAGAACTGGTAGAAGACTTGTGGGTATTGAAGATACTGAGAGGGATTGTGCTTTCAGGATGATTCATTACCATTTACAATTGCCCGTATCAGTTGGAAAAAATATTTGTCAGCTCAATTAAGGGCCACCAGTGTGATGTTCTTTGCTCTAAATATCTCTACAACGGCCTTATTCACTGTATCTGAAATATTCTCACTAAATATGTATCTCTATGGCTTATGGCTTGGTATGTTATTAGCATGGTCCTGGAAAAACAAAACACAAAAATGTGAATTTGTCGGTTAGATGCTTTCCAGTGGAACAGCTGGCTAAAAGATTCTTTTAGGGCAGAGAGTGGGAAAGATGGGAAGAATGTGTAAAGTTTCCCCCAAGGTAAGATAAAAAGGGTTATGTAAGGAAAGACAAGAGTATGTTTAAGACGGTTTCTACCATTTTGCTTAGGGCAGTCCCTATAATCTTAGAGGCAACAGTAAGAGAGTGAAATATTGCAGGCAGTGAATTGGGCTAATTTGCCATCACTCCGATTTCTTCAAAACTCTCTTAAAGATGAGTTAATGTTGCTGGCCTAAAATAGTCTCATATATGGGACTCCCTTAGAAATGATAGTGATAGTGTTTTATTTAATAAATCTGCTGTGATGGTCTAAGGCAAACTTGACTTATGGAATTCCAGTTAGCACTGTTGATGATAATAATTACAGTTGGTTTTGCATCTGTACAGCACTTTACAATTTATAAATACTCTTTATGGAAGTAGTTTCCTTGGGATGATATATATCTGGCCATTATTCTGTTCAATAGGTGTGCTATATTATGGCAAATGTTGCAATTATCATTGTACATATTGGTATGTTTATTTTGTATATAGAATCATACTCATACCACAGAGTCTAAAGAAGTAGCAGCAGTGTGGTGTAGTTAGCAATCAAGAACACTGGACCTTAAATAACTGGGTCCAAATATCACTTTCACCATTTATTCACTGTGAGTCATGAGAAAATTGTTTTAGTTTTGCTGTCTGTAGAATGGCATACTAGTACCTGTCTCATACACACACACAGGCACACACAAAGTTTTACTAATTGGTTCATAGTAGGAACTCTCCAAGTATCAATTATCCCTGTTACAGAAACAGTAGGTATAGAGAGACAATCATGGAGATTCCCTGTCCAAGGATTTTCCTGATAGCTTCCTCTGGTCCATATCAAAATGAAAAAAAAAAAAAAAAGAAACAAACAAACAAAAAAAACAAGGATAATAGAACTTTTTTACCCAAATCTAAATTTATTCAATGTAAACTTTTTTATTCTAACATTATGCCCTACTATCTTTTGTAAAATATACTTTTAAAATGAAATAAGGATTTCAAATTATTTTTAAAGGTCTCTCCTAGGGCAAGAAAGAATGTAAATCTAATGGCCAGTAGCCTAATTAGGCTTTGAAATGTTATTGGTGTATGAAACCCAAGTGCTTGTAAGCACTGATGTGGAACATCGAATGTGGTTTGAATGTTTTTGTTCCCCCGAAGTTCCTATGTTGAAATCCTAACCCCAAAGGTGATGGTGTTAGGAGATGGGGCCTTTGGGAGGTGACTCGGTCATGAGAGTACAGCTCTCATGAATGGGATTAGCTTGCCCTTGTAAAACAGGCCTGAGAGAAACCCCATGCCTTTTTTGTGATGTGAGGTTACAATGGAAAGGTGGCCATCTGTCAACCGGGAAGCGGGCCCTTACCAGACACCAAGTCTGCTGGTAACTTGATTTTGGACTTCCCAGACTCCAGAGCTGTGAGAAATAAATTCCTGTTGTTTATAGGCCATCCAGTTTATGGTGTTTTGTTATAGCAGCCTGGCCAGACTAAGACAATTAGCCCAACAAACACAAATTAGAATGCTATTAGGTGTTAATAATGGTTGCAGGCAAGAAGGGCCGAAGGGAGGTTGGAGAGGCTGGAGAGTTGAGGCAAAGACCTATAAGGGGAGTGGGTTTGATCTGATACTATAGGAGGTATGAAATTAGAGATAGAAGGATGTTAAAGTTTCAGGGAAAAAAAACAAGTGTGGCCTTTGGGAAGAAATCAGGGCAGCCTGGAGGACTAGGACAAAAAATTCAGGTTAAGGAGAAAGGGGAAATGGAGAAGGATGGTTTGGGTCAGGGGAAAGGAAAAGGGAACTTTTAGGAACCTTAAGGACAGTCAATGAACTATCAAGTTAATATGGTAAAACAGTGGGAAACTTAGAATGAAGGAGTCATATGACATTAATGAAGGAAGTGGGTCCCTTTGGAGAAAGTAGAATGCAGGGAAGTGGGGTTGAAAAATGGGGGCTTTGTTTTTGATATCTCAAGTACATGGGACTGAGGGACTTGAACAGAGTGTGGTAGTTTAGCAGTGGGAACTCGGAGAATGGAACAGATAGAAAAATCACGTCTGAGAAGCAACTAACATTTTTGAGTTCTACTATATGCCAAACATTTTAAGTGTATTATCTCATTAAATTACCACAGCAACTTCATGGTATGTATTTTCCGTCTTTTTCATGTGAAAACATTGAAGCTCAGAGATGTTAGATAATATATCCAAGTTCATGCAAAGTTACGGTAAATAACTTTAAACATGAATAAATTTAAACGTGGATATGGTTAGCTTCAAGGTCTTTTCCCTTCCACCTAATCCTAGTTTCTAGGGAAAAAATGTGCTTGATTTGGTGCCTGGTTCTCAGATAAAAAGAGTCTTTAATTAAAGATGACTCAGTCTTCCAGGTTAGAGACTTATTGAAGCAGAGAATCTTGAAGCCATTCGACAGGAAAGGCGGAGGGGAAGCAGAGGAGTTTGGTTTCAGTCATGTCCAGTTTGTGGTGTTGTGGGGGGCATACAAGTAAAAATGCTAACTGAACCTGGAGATTTGGGACTGTAGTTCAGATGAGAAGACGAAGAGAGATTTGAGAATAGTCAGCATAGAAGTTATAGTTGAAACTCTAATTGAATACTTGAACAAATAGACAGTAGTGAAAGACAGGTTTAAGAACATTTTAAGGAACCATAGAATTCATATGATTAGATAATGAGAAGAGAAAAACAGGAAGGTAGGTGAAGAGAGAGTCTACATAGTAGGAAATAAGGCAGGAGAACTTGTCGAGGAGTTTTGGTAAACAATATAAAATTCTTCAGAATGACAGGAGGGAGGTAGACTACTCAGTTTTGGAGATGAAAATCATCAATGACCTTCAAGAATGCCCTTTTTGGCCCAGCGCGGTGGCTCACGCCTATAATCCCAGCACTTTGGGAGGCCAAGGCAAGCAGATTGCTTGGGGCCAGGAGTTCGAGACCAGCCTGGCCAACATGGCAAAACCCCATCTCTACTAAAAATACAAAAATTAGTCGGGCATGGTGGCATACATCTGTCATCCCAGCTTCTCGGGAGGCTGAAGCAGGAGAATAACTTCAACCCGGGAGATGGAGGTTGCAGTGAGCTGAGATTGTGCCACTGCACTCCCACCTGGGCAACAGAGTGAATGACTCCGTCTTAAAAAAAAAAAAATGCCCTTTTTGTAGAATGATGGAGAAACACGTATTTTAAGGGAAACAATTTCAATGAGAGATGACTAGACCACTGGGGAACTTTGTAGTGATGGAGTGAGAACTTTATGTATCTTGTACCTGAAGCTCAAAGGCAATGTCTTAATTTTAAACAATGCTTCTAGAAAACAAGACTTTCGGGGACAGGTTATTGCAATTGTTCTGGTAAGGATCCAATGGACTTCAGGAAAATTACTTATGAATATTGGAAGAAAATGAACTTTAATAGTCTTTGGAAATATGTGGGAGGATATACAATGAGAGAGGGAATCACAAGGATACAAGAACCATTCATTAGCAGTTTCAGAAAAGGAAAGTCTGTTTAAAAGGAGGGAGGAGAGTGCTGAGAGTTCTTTCAAGGAGATTACAGTGCTATCTTTAGCTACGCATTAAACTTTTCTCTATCAAATTTAGTTTATTCTCCACAGAATAGGGGTATGCATTATTTAGGTATGTGAAGAAGTGAGGTTACTGAAGTAATTAATTCTTTTTTCAGCACAGACAGTAAAAAATAGTGTGAGCTGATTAGCACCTGCAATAAGCTCCTTCAGAGAAATCCTTGCTTACCAACTACTTCCTATAGAAATGTTAACATATTGGTATTCATTTTAAAAATAATAATAACCTTGCCTCTATTTTGAGGCATTTGAAGGGCTTTCCAGAACTATTTCATTTCTGATAACTATGATGTAGGTAAGTAGAAAGATAAACAAGATTATCTATATCATTTTGCATTGCATAAAGAAGTCAAACAACAATTCTTAAAATCATGGGGTTGTAGAGGTGTAAAGGATTGACTTTGGAGAGCATCTCTTGTAAAGCTTTGATTTGCAAGTGCAAAGGCTAAGATCTACACATGGCTCTGTCCAATAGATAATTTTTAATTTGTATTTTTAAAAGTCTCTCAAAATATATCCTCTCTCCTAGGTGCTTTTAAACATTTAAAGAGGAATTAACACATATTCTACAATGTTTTTATTACAGAAGATAGAAAAGGAGGAGGGAACACTTCCCAACTTATTTTATTAGGCTAATAGTACCCTGAGACTGGAAAAAGACAAATCCAGTACAAACAAAGAGAAAACTACAGACCAATATCCCTTATGAACACAGATGAAATAAAACCTCAAAAAAAGTTAGCAAATGGAATCTAGCAATATATAAATGTACATCCATACATATGTATATACACACATATATACACACATACACCAACTGGAGTTTATTTCAGGGATGCAAGGCTGTTTGAATATTCAAAAATTTGTCACTTTAATAAAACACTGCATTAACAGGCTAAAGTAGAAAAATTGCATGATTTCATCAATTTATGCAGAAAAAGCATGTGACATAATTCAACACCCATTTATGATAAAAACTCTAGCCAAACTAGGAATAGAGGATAACTTCCTCAATATAATAAAGGACATTTACAAAAAGACCACAGCTTTTTGTACTTTGTACATGTACTTTGTAACAGTAACATGGTTAATAGTAAAAGTCTGAATACTTTACACTTAAGTTTGTAAACAATGCAAGTGCAGGCACTTTCACCACTTTTATTCAACACACTACTGAAAATCCCAGCTAGAGTAATAAGGCAAGAAAAAGAAAGAAAAGCATGTTGATTAGGAAAGAAACAATAAAATTGTTCCTATTTTCCGATGACACAATCTACATATAAAATTTCCAGGAATCTACAAAAATACCTCCTAGAACTAACAGGTAGGTTCAGCAAAGTTGCAGAGACAAAATCAACATACAAAAATCAATTGTATTTTTCAGACTAGCGATGAACATGTTGGAGCCATAATTAAAAACACAATACCAGCTGGGTGCGGTGGCTCACGCCTGTAATCCCAGCACTTTGGGAGGCCGAGGTGGGCAGATCGTGAGGTCAAGAGATCGAGACCATCCTGCCCAACATGGTGAAACTCTCTCTCTACTAAAAATACAAAAATTAGCCGGGTGTGGTGCTGTGTGCCTGTAGTCCCAGCAACTCCAGAGGCTGAGGCAGGAGAATTGCTTGAACCCGGGAGAGAGAGATTGTAGTGAGCCGAGATTGCGTCACTGCATTCCAGCCTGGCGACAGAGCAAGATTCTGTCTCAAAAACACATAAACAAACAAAAGAACCCCAACACAATACCACTTACAATAACTCCTCAGTAATGACATGCTTAAGTATAAATCTAACAAAACATGACAAGACTTGTATACTGAAAATTGCTAAATGCTGATGAAAGAAGTCCGAGATCTGAATAAAGAGAGAAAAACATACCATACTCAAGGAGTGGAAGACTCAATATAGTAAAAATATAATTTCTCCCCCAATTTAATGCAGTTCCTGTCAAAATTTCAGCAACATTATTTGTGAATATATGCAAGCTTATTCTAAAGTTTATATGAAAAGGCAAATGAACTACAATAGCTAAAACAAATTCGAAAGGGAAGAATAAAGAGAAAACAGTCTACCTGATTTCAAGACTTATTATAAATCTTTATTAACCAAGACTGGTATTAGTGAAGGGATGAATATTATAGATCAATGGAACAGAATGTAGAACCTAGAAATAGACCGAAACAACCATGTCCCTTTGACAAAGATGCAAAAGCAATTCAACAAACATTGCTGGAGCAATTGGACACCCATAGACAAACACGGGAACTTGACCTAAACCTCTCAACTTAAAAAATTTAACTCAAAACGGATCAGTGGATCAAAATGTAAAGCTATAAATCTTTTAGAAGAAACAAAAATACTTGGGATCTAGGAATTCACAAAAGAAAACAGTTGATACATTGGACTTCATTGAAATTAAAAATTTGCTCTGCAAAAGACTCTGCTATGAAGATGGAAAGACAACCTACAACCTGGGAGAAAATATCTGTAAATCTCTTATCTGACAAAGGACTTGTATGTAAAATATGCAAAAATATTTCAAAACCCAACAGTAAAAAAACCAGAAGAAACAGATAAAAAACACAATCCAATTAGAAAATCAGCAAGAGAAATGAACATTTTACAAGAGGATATATGGATGGCGAATAAGCACGTGAAAAGGTATTGAATATTATTAGCTATTAGAGAGATACAAATGAAAACCACAATCATATATCACTATACACCTATGTTCTTAAACAACTAGTTTCCTAAAAATACTAAGCATGTATTTAACATATGACCAAGCAGTCACACTCATTGGCATTCATTTCATAATTGGCATTCATTTCATAAAGATGAAAACTTACATTCACACAAATCCTATAGATGAATGTTCATAGCAGATTATTTTTAATAGCCTCAAACTGGAAACAGCCCAAATCGCCAGCACTGGGTTGTTAAACAAACTGTGGTAATCTATCCCATGAATATGACTAAGCAATAAAAAGAACAACTATTGATACATGCAACAACTAGGATGAATCTCAAGGACATTATGATGAGTGGAAAAAAACCTATTTCAAAAGGATACATGATATGATTCTTTTATATAACATTCCTTAAATGAAGAAATTATAGAGGTGGAGAATTTGTGATTCGCTAGGGTTTGCTGACGAGGTGTTAGGGTAAGGATGGGTTTATGGAGGAGTAGCACAAGGGAGATCTTTGCGGTGATGGAATGGTTGTGCATCTCGATTTTAGTGGTGATCTTATGCAGCTACACATGGAATAAAATTGTATGGAACTCATGCACACACACACACACACACACACACACACACACACACACACACCAAAATGTATGCATGTCAAACTGGTGAAGTCTGAATAAGGCGTGTGTATTATATAAATGTCAATTTTAAAATGTTGATGTTGTATTGTAGTTATGTAAGATGTTATCAGAGGGGAAGCTGGTTAAAGGCACTCAGAACCTCTCTGTAATATTTTTGAATTGTTTTGGGACTCTATAATTATTTGAAAATAAAAAAATGTAAAAAGATGCAGGTGTGATAATTTAAATAGTTATTTAACCTAATATACCCAAAACATTATTATTTTAGTATACAATCAATATGAACGCTGTTATTTGTGAGGTTTTTTTTGGTATTAAGTATTCAAAATTTGATGTGTATTTTAGACATAAAATCTGATGTGTATTTTACACATGTAGCCACATTTCAGGTGCTTACTGGCCACATGTAGCTAGTCGATATTGTATTGGATAGCTCAGGTCTAGAGAGACTAAAAGCGGTTTGCTCAAAGTCTCACAACTAACTTAGCATTCACTCATCACTCATGCATGCAACCCCTTAATCAATTAAAAAATGGGTCTATTTTTTCTATGAGGAATGTATGAATAATTAAAATGTGTTTTTCACAGACCAAAGACAGACATATAATCAAACGATTAAAATTCAGCCGAAAGTGCAAACATTGAGATATGTACAAAAGTAAGTGGCTGAACAAAACAGAAAGGTATCATCTCTGAGTATACAGGTCAACAGTGACTCAGGAATAAACTGGATTATTTATAAATTTATCCACTTAGATATGCTTGCCACCAGAAAATTTAAATCATAGTTTTCAAAAGTCACTAATTTTGTGTGCTTAAATGACATAGTCATTTTGAGAATCCTCAACTCTAAAAAAGAATTCTCTGCAAGCATCGCTGAAGAAAAAGGCTACTCTATAACCCCATGTACATTACTTCCCACCTCAACCCCCAGACAGCTTCTCTCAGACTATTCTCCAAAGCCAAATGTTTTCATAGGGATAAATATCTATGATCCATGTATAAACAATTTATGCTTATTCCCATGATAAATTTTGAAGTCAAATGCAGCTGTATGTCAGGAGTATCTGCCTCAGAAGGTACATTTTAACAGGGTATTTTTGAATGCTTTTTAAAAAATTTGTTGTAAGAGTAATCCAGTGTGCTACTTTCAAGAAATAAGAATTGGAAATTGTGAAGACTTTCAGATGTTCCATTTGTAATGCAAGGAGAAAATAGTTCTGCTTTACATTCAAATTTAGCAGACTACTAGTAGAGTGAAGTAGAATACATTTAGGAAGCAATCATTGCTATTTATTTAACAGTATACATACTGAGATAAAGCAAGAGAAGAGTGATTTACTCCATTATAGGCAAACTAAAGAGATAGTGACCTGCACTGCATTTTCATTGCATTCTTTCAACAGACATGTATTTAGTCCAGCACTAGTCAGGAGAGGCTAGGTTATGATGTGGTAACAGAGTCTCTAAACTGAAGTGGCTTAACACACATTTTTTTTGTTTTACTCATAGTACATGTCTACTGTGGTATGGCATGGTACTATGCTGATTGTGGTCCTTCACTGACTCAGTTTCATCTTAATTATGCTTTCATGATCACTATAGTAAGAAAACACAGCTCGGCAAATAGCACATTGGCTTTTAAAGGGTCCTCATTTTAATGATATGTCATTTCTGTTCATATTTCATTAGCCAAAATGGCCACACAGCCATCCCTAACTTTAAAGGGCTGGGCAAATGCAAGCTAACTGTCTGCCTGAAAGGAAAAGGAAACTGGAATATTTTTAAAGAGCGTTGATAGTTTCTGCAAGCCCCTACTATGTGCCAGAAGTAAATCTCGCAACATCCTAGTTTAGGAGAATTGTACCAGTCTTGTGGGAAAATGCCCACGTAGGGGAATGACATATTATGCTATGATATGTGAAGTGCTTTCTGAGAGAGATGAACAAAAGAATGCCGTGGGAATACCAAGAACAGAGTATCTAACTTCGCCGAGGAAGCCAAGAAAGGTGTATCTCAAGTATATTCCTTGAGGTATATCCAAGCATGAACATTAGAGATGGTGGGTTTACCTAGTGAACAGAAATACTATGAGTACGTATATATATGGAGGGAGAGGCATGGGGGCTATGGTTGGAGAAAAGGCAGGCAGGGAGGGATCATTCTAGACAGCGGAAAGAGTGAAAAGACTCTTGAAGGAGGGGCTTAAGGTCCATTGGGTGCAGGCGGGCAGGGGGAAAGGCAGGGAGTAATGGTAAAGAGAAGGGTCGGGCCAGATTACAAAAGATGAATGCCATAATGAAGTGTTTAGATATTTTCCTAAGGGCAAGAAGGAATCAATATAATTTTGGCAGTCAATCAGTATTTACCAACACACCTGTGGCAGATTCAGACTGCCTGAACTTTGCAAAAGCAGGATGAGGTGTATGCTTGAAAGGACGCTCTCAGGAAACAGAAAAGATAACCCACAGAATGAGAGAAAATATTTGCAAATAATTTATCTGATGAGGTACTTGTATCCAGAATGTATAAAGAACTTTTACCACTCAATAATAAAGACAAATAACTCAGTTAAAAATGGGCAGAAGATCTGACTAGACATTTCTTCAAAGAAAGTGTACCAATGGCCAAGAACACATGAAAAGATGTTCAAAATCATTGGTCATTAGGGTAATGGAAATCAAACCCACAATGAGATACTGCTTTACACCAACTAGGATGGCTATAATCAAAAAGACAACAAGAAGTTTTGGGCAGGGATGTGAAGGAGAAATTTGAACCTTCATACATTGCTGGTAGGAATGTAAAATAGTGTGGTAACTTTGGAAAATATATTGGCAGTTTTTCAAAATGTTGAACATAAAGTTACCATATGCCCCAGCAATGCCACTCTTGGGTATCTGTGGAAGGGATATGAAAACATATTCATGCAACAACTTGTGCATGGATGTAAATAGCATCATTATTCATAGTAGCCGAAAAGTAAATAGAATCCAAATGTTCGCCAACTGATGAATGCATAAAGAAAATGTGGCATGGATGGAGCTGGAGGCCCTTATTCTTAGCAAACTAATGCAGGAGCAGAAAACCAAATACCACATGTTCTCACTCATAAGTGGGAGCTAAATGATGAGAACACATGGACATATAGAGGGGAACAGCACTCCCTGGGGCCTATTGGAGGGTGGAGGTTGCGAGGAGGGAGAAGAGCAGGAAAAATAACTAATGGGTACTAAGCTTAATACCTGGGTGATGAAATAATCTATACAAAAAAAACCCCATGACACAAATTTACCTGTACAACAAACCTGCGCATGTACCCCTGAACTTAAAGGTTAAAAAAAAAAAAAAGAAAATATGGCGTGTTCACACAATGGAATAATATTCAGCAATAAAAAGAATGAGGTATTGATAAATGCTTTAGCATAGATGACCCTTGCAAACATTATATTATGTGAAAGAAGCCAGTAACAAAAGACCACATATTTTATTATTCCATTTATATGAAATTTTAATAAAGGTCAACTATATATAGAAAGTAGATTAGTGGTTTCCTAGTGCTGGGGGATCGGGACAGGAGGTGAGGTGAGCTTGGAAGTGAGGTGGGAGGAATAATGGGTAGTGACTTCTTTTTGGGTGATTAAATGTTCTAAAATTAGATTGTGGTGATCCTTGCAATACTCTGAAAATGTACTAAAAACCATTGAATAGTACACTTAAATGGGTGACTTGCAAGGTGAATTGTATCTCAATAAATTGTTAAAGTAAATAATATATGGAACTGTAAGAATCTTAGATTTCCAAGCACTTTGCCTTCCACAGGGGCTTCAGAACTGCTTCTAGTTGATGAAACTATTCAAATTGAGGATTTGGGGCAAAGGCTTATGCTCAATTCTTTTCGATGCACATTACTACAGAGGGAGATAGCAGGTGACTGAAGTCTTTAGTAAGAATCATTTGAGGGGAAGAGAAACACAAAATGACAGTGGTAACTGCCAAAGCTTCTCTTTGGGAGTTTATTGATATTCCTAAATGATAGGAGAAGAAAACTGATGGAAGAAAATGCAACAGCCTTTAAGGGGCATTAATTTGGCATCTTGTTTCTCAGCTAGTCTCATTACAGCACTTGACAGGAAAATAGATGCATTTGATGGCATTTACTCTTTTCAACATAGCCATTACTTCAGAAATATTATCACTTTTGATTTTTCAATTTTTGCTGAAATGGTGTTTGATATAGTTTTGTTCTCATTATGGAGTCTCTGTCTCAATTTGCTGAAAAAGATTGCAACCCCAGTGAAGTATGGCAGAAAATTAATTAATGTGTGTGGCTATTTAAAGATCATTCAGCGAGAACATTAAGTGGTATTTTCTAGACTATCTGACTTTGATCTGAACATTCTCTTCATAGAGTGACACAGATTTCATGACTGGCAAACACTGATTAAAACATAGATGGTTTTATTATTAGTATTAGTATTATGGTAAGAAAACTTACTATGCAATCTACTCTCAATAAATTGTTACGTTTACAATACATTTCAACATATTATATGTTGACTGTGGGTACAATGTGATATAACAGATCTCTGAAGCTTATTCATCTTGCTTGACTGAAACTTTATGCTTGTTAATTACTCTTACATATTCTCATCCCTCCCAGCCCCTGGAAACCTTCATTTCACTCTTTGATTCTATGAGTTTGACTTTTTTAGATATCTCATATGAGTAGAATCATGCAGTATTTGTCTTACTGTGACTGGCTGATTTCACTTAGCATAATGTCCTCAAGGTTTATCCATGTAGCATATTGCAGAATTTTCTTCTTTTGAAAAGCTAAATTGTATTCTATTCTGTATATGTATATACCACATTTTCTTTATCCATTCATCTACCAGTGGACATTTTGGATGTTTCCACAGTGCTGCAGTGAACATAGGAATGCTAATATCCCCTTGAGAGTCAGATTTCAGTTATTTTCGTAAATAGAAGTGGGATTGCTGGATCATATGGTAGTTCTATTTGTAATTTTTTGAGAAACCCATACTGTATTCCATAATGGCTACATTATTTTGCATTCCAATCAACAGGGTGTAAGGATTCCAACTTCTCTATATCCTCCTCAACACTTGTCTTTTGTTTTTTTTGATAATAGTCAATAGTCAATGACTATTGACAGTCTATTAGTCTATTGACAGTAGACTAATGACAGGTGTGAGGTATTGTCTCATTATGGTTTTGATTTGCATTTCCCTGATAATTAGTGACATTGAGCTTTTTTTTTCATATACCTGTTGGCTGTTGATATGCCTTCTTTGAAAAAATGTCTGTTTAGGTCCTCAGCTCATTTTTTAATTGGGTTAGTAGTTTTTTTCTTAAAAATATTGAGTTGTAGGAGTTATTTGTGTATCTTGAGGTTTCACTGCTTATCAGATATATGGTTTTATGGTTTGCAAATATTTTCTCCCTTTCCATAGGTTGCCTTTTCATTCTGTTGTTACCTTTGCTATGCAGAAGCACTTTAGTTTGATGTAGTCCCAGATAGGTAGGTAGGTAGGTAGGTAGATAGATAGATAGATAGATAGATAGATAGATATAGATAGATAGATAGATAGATTACATATATGAGTATCCCTACAGTTTCAGGTATTATGTTTAAGTCTGCCCCATTTTGAGTTGATTTTTGTGTATGGTGTTAGATAAGGGTCCAATTTCCTTATTTCACACGTGGATATCCAGTTTTCCCAACACTGTTTGTTGAAGAGACTATCCTTTTTCCATTGTATGTTCTTGGCACCCTTGTAGAAGATCAGTTGACCATATATGCATGGATTTATTTAGCAGTATACAAAATCAACACACAAAAATGAGTTGCATGTCTATGTACTAACAATAAACAATCTGAAAAGGAAATTAGGAAAACAATCTCATTTATGATAGCACCAAAAAGAATAAAATACCTAGGAATAAACTTGATTAAGGAGGTGAAGACTTGTATACTGAAAATGAGAAAACATTGATGAAATAAATGAAAGAAGACACAAATGGAAGGACATCCTGTATTCATGGATTGGAGGACTTAATATTATTCAAATGTCAATACTTCCCAGAAGGATCTACAGATTCAAATAAATTCTTATTAAAATCCCAGTGGCATTTTTTACAGAAATATTAAAAACAATTCTAAAGTTTTTAATATGGAACCGCAATAGACCATGAATAGCCAAATTGATCTTGAGAAAGAAGAATAAAGGTGAAAACATCACGCTTCCTGATTTCAAAGTACATTACAAAGCTACAATAATCATAATAATATAGTATTGGCTTAAAGGTAGGCATATAGGCCAATGGAACACAGGCGACGTGCCATTCAGAGAGCCACTGGGATTATGAAACTCTCAGAAACAAGTAATTGGTGAGGTGTCAGGGTCCCACTCAAGCAGGCTATGGTTCAAGTTGATATTTTGTTGTCAATAAAACATTGGAATATTTGGTAGAAGGAAACAGGATAGAAGGTTGTTTTATAGACTGCTTCAACCCAGGCTAGGGCTTATGCGAGTGAGACAGAACCCATGTGGTACACTTGGTGCTGTGTCTGTGAGAGCAAGACTGATTCTAACTCCATTGGAAGGTGGGCCAAGATTGCTAATAAAATTCATGCCATCATCAAGCCTGATGGAGGAGGCTGGTTTTTGTGAGTCCAGATAAGAGTGGCTGGAAAGACAGAGGCTGACCTCACTTAAAGATGAGGCTAACACTTGTCTTTGTTATGTAACCAGACACATGCAATAAGATGCAGCAGAGTGTAGTGATTATGAGCAGGGGGCCATATGAGATAGACTGAAGTTAGATTTTCATCTCCTCCATTGGTGTGACATTGGGTAAGTTGCTTACCTGCTCTGTGACTAACTGTTCTCTTTTGTAAAATGATGTTAAAATGATATTTATCTCTAGGGTGGTTGTCAGTATAAAAATGAGACAATTCACATCAAGCGCACATAATAACATGTCAATGTTAGCTATTCTTAATGCTGCTATTATTAAATTAGTCCTTCCAACTCTGATCCCTGATTCTGTCATTCAGGCTTTGATTTAGGTAGAAAGATGGAACATTTTTCCAATTAAATCAGTTCAACAAGGCACAGTATAGATATGATGCCTTGTTACTCAGTATAGTCTGCAAACCAACAGCATCACCTGGGAACTTGTTAAAAATGAATAATCTTAGGCTCCATCCTAGATGTTCTGAATCAGAATCTGCATTTTAATAAGGTCCACAGATAATTCATATGCACATTAAGGCTTGAGAAGCCCTGTATAATGGATTACCTTAAGATATGTATCCTGCTTTCACCAGTTGTTGCCTGTATTACCTTGCGAAATTTACTAAACTTCTCTGACTATATTTTCCCATCTATAAAAATCGAGTAAGTAAGATGTGTTATGGTTATTACAAATATATATAATAACACTTATTAAAGTGCTTGCCACAGGAGCAGGTAGTACAAACTGCCTGCTAGGAAATGATCATGATATAATTGTCAAAGCTTCAGATGTGGTCAGCTATTGCTAAGCCACTCGCTTTGTATGTCCCTCACCATCATCCTAAAACAGATAGCAATAGTAGGATATATATCCAAAAGTGATAATAAATATGGGTTCACAAACTTTTTCTTTTCTTTTCTTTCTGCTGCTTCTTGTTTTTTCTTTGAGACAGGGTCTCACTCTGTTACATAGGCTGGAGGGCAGTAGTACCTCCATAGCTCACTACAGCCTCAAACTCCTGGGCTTAAGTGACCCTCCTGCTTCAGCCTCCCAAGCATCTAGGACTACAAGTGTGCACCACCACGCTCAGCTAATTGTTTTTTTTTTTTTTTTTGTAGAAATGAGGTCTCACTATGTTGCCCAGGCTGGTCTTGAACTCTGGGGCTCAAGTGATCTTCTTGTCTTGGTCTCCGAAAGCACTGAGATTACAGGGTTTACAGGAGTAAAACACACAGCCCAGCCCACAATTTTTTTTTCTCTGAAGGGCCTGATAGTGATTATTTTTGGCTTTGTGGGCCATACGGCCTCTGTCACGACTATTCAACTCTGCCCTTTTAATGGGAATGTAGCCATAGACAATATGTAAGTGAATGAGCCTGGCTGTGTTCAAAAATAAAAATCAAAACAAGTGTCATGATGCATCAGATTGCAAGGAAATGAAGGGGAAATTGGAGGCAGATATTGGAATTCATTCCTTTTCCTTCAGATCTTTGGGAACCTGGGAGGGAAACAGAGATGATCATATCATTAACTCTCTCTTGGAGCTGGGAGGTGTGGGATGGGGACACATCTTTTGATTGAGGTGGGTTTTGCTTCTTGTTTACCATCAAGTTTGTACTTGAGAATGGGTCTACTCCTGGTGTAATCTCTCCTCATTCAATGCTCGCTTATGCCTAGAACCTTCCTGGCCCAAGTGTACTCTGTTAAAAACTTGCTAGAGTCACATCATATTCCCAGGAAAACAATCTTTACATAACGTGGATTATACATGGAAGATTTTTGCATGGCCACACATTGCAGATCCCAGTGGTTCCAAATATGAGCCTGTGTTCAAAGGGAATTGAGTGAAGGACTGTATTGCTGTAAACTGTGTGGTCTTAGTTGGTAGACTCACTTGACCAACTCTGTCTTTGAGCAGGGAAGAACAGAGGCTTAAGCTGAAACCTGGAGACTCTAGAAGCATTGACTGAGCTATATAGTCAGTGTTTTAGGTTGTAGTAAATTTATCTTAAGAGTTGGGTGTGTCATTGTCATCCAGATGATTTAAGCAGTGGCTGAGATCTTGGCAGCAGGAATTTCTGGGTTGCAAGTTTTTCCGGGGAAGTTGATCCGGTGGAGGCAGAGCCTGACCAGGTAGAAACACCAGGCTCTAGCTTTTCAGGAAAGGAAGCTGGCAGGGGCTTTTTGTACACCAAACCCAAAAATCAGATGGAGTAAACCCAGTAGTGAAGCCTAAACACAGGAATAGAGAACGGGCCTGCCAGTACGAGCCAGGGTATAGCCGCATTTCCAGGAGGCTCCTAGTACAACCATCAAGCATATTCTTTTTTATTGAGATGGGGTTTCACTCTTTTTGCCCAGGCTGGAGTGCAATGGCGCGATCTTGGCTCACCGCAACCTCCGCCTCCTGGGTTCAAGAGATTCTTGTGCCTCAGCCTCCCAAGTAGCTGGGATTACAGGCTTGCACCACCACACCCAGCTAATTTTGTATTTTTAGTAGAGGTGGGGTTTCTCCATCTTGGTCAGGCTGGTCTCCAACTCCCGAGTTCAGGTGATCCACCCACCTCAGCCTCCCAAAGTGCTGGGATTACCGTCGTGAGCCACTGCGCCTGGCCAAGCAGATTCTTATTAAAGACAGGTTGTAAGGCTTCTTTGTCCACTGTGAGCCACAGAAGCGTCAAGTAGGGACTCACTGTCATGAAGTCCCAGATTTGTATACATAGTTTTGAGTTTTTGTACATCACTGGATGCTATATGTTACTGTACATATTTTAAATATCATGACTTTGTGTACTTATTCAAAGATTGCTGAGGATGTTGCATTTGGACAGGGAAGGGGAAAATTCACCTGTGTGAGTACTCAGTGGGCTTTTATAGCAATCTGACTGTTCAGAGGGTTTCCAAAAACCTGTTGCATTGGAAAGGCTGAGTAACTTGGGATTTTGTATCACTCAATTTCCAGTGAGGAGGCAGAAATCTCTTCAGTTATTTTAACAGGAAAAATATGTACCTCGGTAAAAAGAATTGTTAACAAGGTATAGCACTGTTAACTAAGAAACTAAAAAGACTGAAAGAACACACTAAGGAATCAGGGAGGGAAAAACTACAGAAAGCAACTTCACCCCTGAGGCCTAGGAAAACAAAAAGAAGAGGTTGGAATTCTTAATACTCTTGAAACTTAGATGGTCAGAGGAGTCTCCATGGAGTTGAAGCCCAGACCTCTGAGGATGGTTGGTTCTGGAGTTTATGAATAAAGCTGATCCCACACGGCTTGGAAAAACTGTAAACTGCATTCAGCTGCTGTCACGGGAGACACTGCCACTGCAGAAGTGAAGTGTTGGTGGAGAAATCCTCAGAGGGAGCAGACAGAAAGAAGCAACTCGCTCTTGCTTCCTCCAGCTCTGCAGCCCCCTTAGAGCCTAATAGGGCTCCAACTAGAAAAGCAGAAATGTGGATTGAAGAAGCCCTGCCTCCACATCACGAACCAGCGCATGGAAGAGTGAGTTAGGAGCTGAATGAGAATGAATTAATAAATCGCTCACAGTACTTGTGTATTTTTCTGGGACAAGCTTTGGGGGTTTGTTGGGCCTGTCTGTCCATTGAGATGAGAATTTACTCAGGAAAACATTCCTGATTTCTCCATCATCATCACCGTCTCCCAACACCTACTTCAGCAATCCATAAAGAATCCATAGTGGGTGCTCAGTTAGTACTGTGGGTTGAGTGACTAACAAGATGAATGAAGAACTCTCGTACTCTCTGATCCTGGAGATTGGAATGAATGCAGTGACAGAATTTTCTGCCTTTATCTTCCAGAAAAATAGAATTCTGGCTACTCTAGCCCACACATGATCCAGTATAAAATGACTACATGGCAACGGCGTAGCCAGAGAAAATGTTTCTGTGACAAGAAAATCAGAGGCAATGTCTTCTGGTAGGCAGTTCTTTTGAATAACACCCATTCTAGAATGTGTTCTACCTCTTTGAGAATTAAGGGAAGTCGGAGTGACAACTCCATCTCCTACACTGCTGCTCAGAGAGGGGAACCATTCTAAGATAACTGTGAAGTTATTTGCAGCCCATATTTGCAAGGAATACATTGGAAGACAGAAATCCTACTATATTCAACACAGCACAGAACAGAATTGGAGCTAATTGGTAATGGCAAGAGCTAGAAGATGTTAGACAATTGGTGACAGTCTGACACTTTTGTAGAGTTGGTTAATTACCCCTGTTACAAAGATGACACCACTCCAAATTGGCATGTAAAGAACAAAGGACAAGAGGAGAAGTAGTGAATTGTAGACTCAGGTACTACGAGAGGAAAACCTGGCTAAGGTTTTCACCTTTTCTTTTTAAGGAACAATTAGAGTTGATGCCAGGCTTACCATGTGTATTTATACCCTAATTTCTTTACCAGTCAATACATCTAGTTTATCCACCAAAAAGTGGGCCTACAAGTTCATAAAAAGTACTTTCAAGTATCAACTGTAGGTTATGAATCCAGATTTACTTTTTTATCTTGCTACCTTGTAATCATGGCTCGCTCTTTTCTTTTCTTTTCTTTTTCCTCTCCTCTCCACTCCTCTTTTCTTTTCTTTTTCCTTCCCTTCCTTCCTGCCTGCCTGCCTTTCTTTCTGCCTTTCTTTTCTTTCTTTCCTTTTTGTGAGACAGGGTCTCGCTCTGTCACCCAGGCTGGAGTGCAGTGGTGCGATCTCAGCCCACTGCAGTCTCTGCTTCCTGGGTTCAAAGATTCTCCTGCCTCAGCCTCCCGAGCAGCTGGGATTACAGGTTCATGCCCCCACACCCCACTAATCTTTGTATTTTCAGTAGAGATGGGGTTTCACCATGTTGACCAGGCTGGTCTTGAACTCCTGAGCTCGAGTGATCCTCCACCTTGGCCTCACAAAGTGCTGGGATTATAGGCGTGAGCTGCTGTGCCTGGCCCATGGTTCTTCTTGATATGCACTGACTTCTTCCATTCTAGTTGGCTTCACATCATGATTTTTCTGACCACCATTATTAATGACCACTTCTGGCTCTATTATC
The DNA here is from genome assembly GCF_000001405.40 of Homo sapiens. NCBI lineage: Eukaryota > Metazoa > Chordata > Mammalia > Primates > Hominidae > Homo > Homo sapiens. Next base: position 22,977,310 of record NC_000023.11, on the reverse strand, counting down.
TAACTGATGATTTTCAGAAAGTAGCCCTTTCTGATCGTATCCTTTGACCTGTGACAAGAGGGAAGGCTTATACACCCATCCCAGGGGATCCCTGCCCCAACAGAAGTCAGAGGTGTGGCATCAGGCATTTCTTTTTTTTTTTTTTTTTTTTTTCTTTTTTTTAAAGCAAACCTACTCTTTTTTTTTTTCCCCCTTCCAACTTTGTTTTAGGTTCAGGAGGTACATGTCTAGGTTTATTACATGGGTAAATTGCATGTCCTGGGGGTTTGGTGTACAGATTATTTTGTCACCCAGGTAACGAACATGGTACCCAATAGGTAGTTTTTTGATCCTCACCCTCCTCCCACCCTCCTCCCTCAAGTAGGTTCCTGTGTCTATTGTTCCATTCTTTGTGTTCATGTGTATTCAGTGTTTCAGCTCCTACTTATAAATAAGAATGTGTGGTATTTGGTTTTCTGTTCTTGTGTTAATTAGCTTAGGATAGCAGCCTCCAGCTGCATCCATGTTGCTGTAAAGGACATGATTTTGTTCTTTTTTATAGCTGGGTAGTATTCCACGGGGTATATGTGCCACATTGTTTTTATCCAGTCTACTGTTGATGGGTATCTAGTAGGATTCCATGTCTTTGCTATTGTGAATAGTGCCTGTGATGAACACGTGTGTGTGTGTGTGTGTGTGTGTGTGTGTGTGTGTGTGTGTGTGTGTGTGTGTCTTTATGGCATCATGATTTATATTCCTTCGGGTATATACCCAGTAATGGGATTGCTGGGTCCAGTGGTAGTTCTAAGTTCTTTGAGAAATCTCCAAACTGCTTTCCACAGTGACTGAACTAATTTACATTCCTGACAGCAGTATATAAGTGTTCTCTCTTCTCCACAACCTCGCCAGCATCTGTTATTTTTTGACTTTTTAATAATAGCCATTCTGACTGGTGTGAGATGGTATCTCACTCATTGTGGTTTTGATTTGCATTTCTCTAATGATTAATGATGTTGAGCATTTTTTCATATGCTTGTTGGCCACATGCATGTATTCTTTTGGGAAGTGTCTGTTCCTGTCCTTTCCCCATTTTTAATGGGATTGTTTGTTTTTTGCTTGTTAATTCATTTGTGTGCTTTAAACATTCTGGATATTAGACCTTTGTTGGGTGCATAGTTTGCAAATATTTTCTCCCATTCTGTAGGTTCTCTGTTTACTCTGTTGGTAGTTACTTTTGCTGTGCACAAGCTCTTTAGTTAAATTAGGTCCCACTTGTCAATTTTTGTTTTTGTTGCAATTGCTTTTTGTGTCTTAAATCATCCCTTTGTAATTACAGTGTAAGCTCAAGGAAGAGTAGCCCCATGCCTTGTTCTGGCACCAATGGCAATTGCAGTTAAGATTCTAATGTCCTGAATGATTAAAACAAGTAATAGTTGCCCCCTACAAAGCAGTATATAAATTATGTAGAGTGTGTTCAATATTGATCCTCCACTATAACACTACCTCGTGATGTCTGTGGTTGCAGGCAAAGTTGGGTGAAGAACAAAAGCCTCAAATTCCTTAGATGTTAGTAAATTTATATTCATATTGCGTTGCTGTGTTCCGCTAAAGCTTGGGCCCATTTCTTCAGAACCACATGAGAAGATTCTCACTGGAATTGTTAAGAGAACAAATGATGTCAGAAATGGAAAATGCAATTTCCAAGGAAAGTAGCAACATACAGGCCAGTGTAATAATTGTAAGTTTGGCCTGCAATGGGAAGTGTCTCTCCTGAAATGAAAAACAAAAGGTTACACACCATCAATTGGTTGGCTGGGCTGTTAGGACTGCCTGAAAAGATTAGGAATTACTGGTTAAAATCATGCCCATGGGAGAAAAATGGAAAGTACAGAATGATATACAGATTAGAGGCAATAAACACTTTTGGTTTGATGACATGGTATTGCAAAGAAAATCTTTTAGATAGAAATAAGGGGAATAAGGTGTCCAGAAGAATATAATTTTCTTTGCATATGTGCCTGCCTCTTAACAATATTAGCTGATAGGTAGCGGTGAGAATTAAGGCAGAGAGGATCTCTGAAACGTGCTAAGCGAGCAGAGATTTCCTTTAAAAACATCCTGACAGGCTGCTTGAAGTCTCCAGGTCAAGACTGCTAAGGATTATGAGATGATGTGAATCCATGTTGGAAATACAAGTGCGTATCATTCAAGGAACAGGGGACCAAATTAGGTTTCCTTTCTTTATGGAGGGACACAGCTAAAATCAAAGAGATATTGTCATTTTTAGCCATACTCTAGGACAGGTTAAATCTCATTTATTTGTTTTATGGAGGGGTAGCGTGCTTTGCCCCATGAATTTCAAGGTGAATTGTTCATTTCAATGACTTATTCACTAAAAATCATTATTTATGTTGACTGTGTGCTTACGCTTGTGCTAGAGGCAAGTCATGCTCTTTGTTCAAGAGTAACCTTCCCCATAGAAAAAGTGGGACTGTAGCTACTTTCTACATTTTGTGGTTGATGAGCCATCCATGAAGCTGAGTACATTGCCCGTGACTTTTGCGAATCTTGGCTCACAGGTTTTCAACTGGATAAAACAGTTGAGGGCCATATGTGCCTATTACTTTGACTTATGAATTGAGCACATGTGGCTTAGAATTGGGTATAAGTTTGCTGATGGAAAGCTTATCAAGATAGTGCATCACACTGCCAAAGTTGGTTAGGGATCTGCTGATATCATCTCAGTGCCTACTTTGATCAATTAGTCTTGGCTGCCTTCAGGGTTGAGTTGAAAAAGATTAATTATGAGGACTCTGATTGATCAGTCTCTCATATGCTGGTGAGGGGAGGCAGCATGCTAATACCGTGCATTTGCCATCCCTGTCCTAAAGAAAAGTATCTAACTGAATAGTTTGATAAAAGTCCAGCTGTTGAAGGGTTGTATTAGATTAACTTGATAAGCCTTCTTCCAACTACCCTTCTGTGTTGTTCTCTGGATATTATGAGGCATGAAGGAACCATCAATATTTTGAACATGAAAATTTACCTACTATTCATTGAACGATTCTATTTAGTGCTGTAACAGCCCAATAATTGTAACCTTGTTGCAAAGGAGATAATAAAAAGTTAATGACCAAAATATTTGAAAGGAATCAGGAAATGTGTTGCTCTTGGAATAAGTTTGTACGTGACAGTGAAAAGTCAAGCCACAAAAATCTCTCATGAGCATTTACTATTTTCAAAGCTTTTCATTGAGACCCACAGTTCATTGAAAAAAGAAAAACTAAAAGAACATTACATGATGAGATCGGTCTAATATTCTGGTCTGTATAACAGTGAAATATGTCAATGGAAATGAGAAGAGCATCTAACAAAAGGGAGAGCAGAGCTTTTTCCTCCTAGGCTTATCTCAGCAATGATCTCTCTTGGTGGAGTTTCATTAATTGGAATACATATCCTGATGAAAATTAGGCCAATATCCAGCCTTGTCTTTCCTTAAGAAGGGAGCGTTCTTTTCTTGTTGAATGAAAGACATCGATTCTGTTTATGTCTCCTTTTCCAGTGTGTCTGTTGTGTGTCAGAAAATCATCCAGCATAAGAAATAGGAAGACATTAGAAGTCTTTTTAAAAAAACCCTAATGCAAACAAAATTTGGCACAATAAACCTTATTGTTCCTCTGCATTTATTCACTGAGAAGTAACTCAGATCCTAAAGTATCACTGGTAAGTATCTGTAAAACCAAAAGTGCTCTGGAAATGAGACAGTACAGATTTTTCTGCTGAAATTTTCCTGCAAGAAAGAAGCAGGCCCCAAGAGAAGTGTTTTCCTGAACTTGAGGACATTTTCCTGGTGAATGGGATTAGATAGTAAATTATAGCAAATGAGTACTAATTCCACTTTATTGGAAGGAAGCATAGTAATAGCCTGCATAATTCTAAGCTATAAATTATTTTGGAAAAAAAAGGCATTTTAAAAAACAACAGTTTTGTCATTTTGGGGTACTAAAACTCTCCACATAGTAAGGGGTTTGGGGGCCTGCTTAATTAATAGCTACCTTGTATTTACTTCATAACATTTAAACACAGGCAACCAACATGGGCTGGATGAGATAATTCAGTATTGTTTGCTTGTCCTGGTGGCCCTTTTGGTCAGGGGCAAGGGTGGAAGTATAAGGATATGTTTATTACATGATGGGTTGTTAGTGGACAAATCATCCAGTTTCTCACTGCTCAGCTGGCATAACTCTGAGGTATGTTCTGCACAGTCTCCTAGAATTCTGTAAAGGAATTGGACTTTATTTGCCCACAGTGGAAACTTGGTTGGTAATGCTTTATTGTATGCTTGTCCTTCACTGCCTCAATTCCTCATTCCATTACAGAGGTTTCCTTGGATCACCTCCTACAGGAACCACTCATACTTGCAGCTTTGTCAAATAATCTGCTTCTCAGGAAACCCAAACCAAGACACAATTAGATAAAAAACAAATTGCATGAGACTGAGAGGGAGAACGGCAAATATAGTTTAGGATGAAAGACCTGGAGGTTTTATTTTACTGTAGATGTAATGAGTCAATGACTGTGATGTGGGAGAGGAAATTATTTCTGTTTCAGATTCCAAAAATGAAAACAAACCTAGTTGTCCAGATCAAGGGAAGTTTTACAGTCATTATCATTCAAGCTATGTGTGTAAGACCAGTCCCTTCACTGTAAGAAAAACATTATTGAGTGAGATTTAAAGATAGGGGCATCATATCGTTGAGAAAGCATTACAGGAACTGGTGACATTCAGGCTATAAAAGAAAAGAAAATGTAATGGAGACATCAGAGTTGTTCTCCAATTGTAAAAGAAGTGGAGGTGGGAGTATTTTTTTTGTCTTTTTATTTTTTTTTTATTTTTGTGGGTACGTAGTAGGCATATATTTTTATGTGGCACATAAGATATTTTGATATAGGCATGTAATGTTTAATAATCATATCAGGGTAAATGGGGTATCCATCACCTCAAGCATTTATCCTTTGTGTTACAAATAATCCAAATATATTATTTTAGTTACTTTAAAATGGACAATTAAATTATTTTTTACTATAGTCCCCCTGTTGTGTTAGCAAATATTAGATCTTATTCATGCATTCTAACCATTTTTTTTTTTGTATCCATTAACCATTACCCCACCCCAGCCCCACACTGTCCTTCCCAGCCTCTGGTAACCATCTTTCTACTCTCTATGTCCATGAATTCAATTGTTTTAATTTTTAGCTCCCACAAATAAATGAGAACATGCAAAGTTTGTCTTTCTGTGCCTGTCTTATTTCACTTAATATAATGGCCTCCAATTCCATCCATGTTTTTACAAATGACAGGATCTCATTCTTTTTTATGCCTGAATAGTACTCCATTGTGTATACATACCACATTTTCTTTATCCATTCATCTGTTGATGGATACTTAGATTGCTTCCAGATCTTAGCTATTGTGAGTAGTGCTGCAATAAACACGAGAATCCAGATATCTCTTTGATATACTGATTTCCTTTTTTGGGGGGTATATATCTAGGAGTGGGATTGTTGTGTTGTATGGTAGCTCTATTTTTAGTTTTTCAAGAAACCTCCAAACTGTTCTCCATAGTGGCTGTACTAATTTACACTTGAGTTGGGCTTATTTTGAATTATTCAGCCAAAGAAAGACTGATTGGGGGATACAGAGAAGGGAATTTAGTGTTCATGGTATAATTGGAATGAGACAAACTTGACTTGAAATCTCGTGTATGGAATTTACTTTGTAAACTTTCTGAGGGTTTTCTCATCTGGAAAAATGGAATAATATCACTAGCTCTGGGATCAGACATGTAGAGAACCTCATCCCCTTTCCCAAATTCTGTAACAGCTGAAGGTAATAAACAATGGCATTGGGAGCTTTGCAGAGGGAAAACCATGACAATCAAGTGTTTAAATAACTAAATCAGTAGTGTATATTGCTTATTGGATTCCTTTGATCAAGAATATCCAGTTCTAGCTCAAGATTCTTTTACTGTAAGAATTTGGGTATACTGAAAGCACCTATATATTCAGATTAGGAAAGGTGATCATTTTGTGGCATCTTCATTCCCTGTCTGACGAGGAAGATGCTGCTCCACCTTTCTTTTAGAGTTAAGGCTCTCCATGGAATCACCCCAACCCCTACACCCTTGCCAGATAATTTTAGCTTAGACTCTGGAGAACAGTGGAAACTATTTTGAGCATCACTCCTCCTCCAGTTTCTCCCATATCAGGTAAGAGCAACCCCCACTCACTGTTCCCTCCACTCAGAGGCTCTTCTTGCAGATACCTCCATGAATGAAGTGGAGCCAACAGGGAGTATAAATGCTCCAAGGCAACAATATGCATTGCTGGTTAGAAGAGAAGGCCAGTGTGACTGGAGTGAAGTGAACTACAGGAAGAGAGGTGGGAGATGGAGAGGACAGGTAGCTAGAAGCCAGTGCAAATGTCAGGTCCACAGAGAGGCCTTCCCAACTGCTGTCTGAAACAGTGCCCTCAACCTCTGTCACTTGCTGACACCCTTACCCCATTTTTCTTTCTTTCTCAAGACTTATCACCGTCTAGCATATTATATATTTATTTTATTATTTGCTTAGATGTTTCTTCATATCTGAATGCAAACTCCATGAGAGTAGATACTTTGACTCTTTTTATCATTTATTTATACCCTGAACCTAGAACAGTGGCAGGCCACAGTAAGCAATTAATAAATATTTGTAAAGCATGAAATGCATGTTGAGCCTGAAGGCCTATCAGGGTCTTGAGAAAGTAAGCAGTTGCTGCATGACAAACCTACTCCAAAGATTAGTAACCTAAAACTACCACCATCTTCCAGGAAATTCATCTGGTCTGGGTCTCACTCAGCACCTTTCTTGGGCCTTAGGCATATGTCTTCCTTGTCTGGTAGTTTGCGAGCAGTTTGGTGAGGTGGGGACAAAGGGGAAGTATATTAGTCCATTTTCATGCTGCTGATAAAGACATACCCAAGACTGGGCGATTTACAAAAGAAAGACATTTAACTTTCTTAAGAAAGTTAAGTTTCTTAAAAGTTTCTTAAGAAAGAGGTTGGACTTTTATTAGTTTCATGTGGCTGGGGAAGCCTCACAATCATGGTGGAAGGCAAGGAGGAGCAAGTCATGTCTTACATGAGTGGCAGCAGGCAAAGAGAGAGCTTGTACAGGGAGACTCCCATTTTTCAAAACCATCAGATCTCATGAGACTTATTCACTGTCACGAGAACAGCACAGGAAAGACCTGCCCCGATGATTCAGTTACCTCCCACCAGGTCCCTCCCACAACACGTGGGAATTCAAGATGAGATTTGGGTGGGGACACAGCCAAACCGTATCAGGAAGGAACCTGGGTTCTGCATTGTTCATCAGCCTGCAGGATTCTGCTTGTGTTAAGTAAACTTCTATTCCTTTAGCCAAGTCAGGAGAACCAACCCAGATTCTAGTGGTGGAAACTGGGTGGGGCCCACTCACTGATGGGTGGAGTTACAAAGGCACATTGATCATGAGGGTTTGGTGATGGGGAAAGGAAGATTCGTGGCTATTTTTGCAGTTTACCACAAGCTCTTTGTTCTTTGTCTAGTTGGCTGGTCTCTATCTTGTTGAGCTACATGCCTATTTTTAGAGCAGTCAGGGAACTATCTTGTTTATCTGAACATTATCTGGTGCAAACTTTCTATTCTAGTCTTTGCAAGTTCATGTCTTTTCATGAAATTGCTGGGAATCCCCAGTTGTTCTGATATTGTTTTATCTTGCCTTTTTTTGTAGATTAATTTGGAAGAATGTAAGCTATTTAAAATCCAGATAACTGTCATTTTGTGGTGATTCTGGCATGTGGCTTTCTTCATAATTTTCATGGTTGGGAGGAGCTAATGTTATTTCTGTCTACTGCAGAAGCATTTTATCATTGTGGCATTTCTAAGCCACCATCTGATGTCCATGATCTACAGTTGAGTCGTTCTGTTTTTCTTTTCAGTAGGTTTTTCCCTTGCCGTTTGGAGGATCTTTTTCATTTCGCTGTTGGCCTACCTTTTTGTCTGTGGCCTAATGTTTTGTCTATGTGTCTATAAGTGTGGCACAGTGTCTTGTGCCACATTTATAGAAGCAATTTTGCTCACATAGCTATATGAAAACATACGTGCTAGTACATACTAAAACATACACGGAAGCAAATGTATGCTGTAGCACGTCGCTTGTGTCCTTCACCATTTTCATCCAACTTGCCTGTACCTAAATGTATTGTTCTGAGGCTTCTCTCTGGCCTCCAGGGTCTTATTTGCCTACCTGCAGCAAGTCATAAACAGTGCCACGGAATTACCCATTTCCCACCCCATCCCTCAACCAATTACTAAAGAGAGTTGGGGGTACAAATCCCGACCTCCTTCGCCTTTGGGTTAGAAGTGATAATTTTGAGATGTGCTCAGATTTTCTCAGAGGGCTCAAGCTCCAATTTCTTACCAGGTAAACCTGCTCATCACTCGTGTACTCTTTATTGCCTGTCTTCCCTTCCCCTGTCATTTGCATTTCCTTCCCAAATAAACTACCCGCTCAGCTGGCAATTCCTTGTCTCAGGTTCTGCCTCTAGGGGACCCCAAACTAAGATATATGCACATATCTTTCTCATTGGCACAGTAACATTTCCTCAAACCTAAACACTGTTTTACTAACTATTACATTACATTTTGTTTCTGTTGCTCCTGGGAATCCAAATCTTAGAAAGGTCAGATTCTGTCAGATAAATTGTGGCTTTTCTAACAATTCTTGCCCCTGCCTCTAAGTCTGTGTGTGTGGTGGGGGGGAAGGAGAGGAAGGTAGGTAGGAATGTAGGTGAGCTTGTGTGTGTATGTGCTGTTTGTGTGTGTTTTCAAGGGGGTGGGAATGGGTGAATATCTATGTGTGTGTTTACATGTATCATGTGTCAATAATGCAGTGAGGGGAAAAAGATGTGGAAGTATATTTTTAAAAATAATTTAAAAAATTAAAATGTTATATATTGTGTTCACTGTTGCTGTTAACAATTTCAAGAGTGGAAGGGTGATGTTAGCACTGCATTTAATGACTGTAACGTGCTTGGTGTTAAGGGCAATTAGTAGTGAAAAGGGAAGTACAATAGCAAGATATCTTGTTTGTATTACTAAATTATAAATTGAAGCATCTGTAAGAATGAGGTTGAGGCTCTACCCAATAATCTCACTGAGTGTTGTCAGTGCAGCTAGGTAAGGAGAAAAAATAGCTTTGTTCTTGCTGCCCGATATGGTTTGGCTCTGTCCCCACCCAAATCTCATCTTGAATTGTAGCTCCCATAATTCCCACGTGTCATGGGAGGGACCTGGTGGGAGGTAACTGAATCATGGGGGTGGGTCTTTTCCATCCTGCTCTCATGGTAGTGAATAAGTCTCATGAGATATGATGGTTTTTATAAATGGAAGTTCCCCTGCACACCGTTTCTTGCCTGCTGCCATGTAAGACAAGCCTTTGCTCCTCATTTGCCTTCTGCCGTGATGGTGAGGCCTCCCCAGCCATGTGGAACTGTGAGTCCATTAAACCTCTTTCCTTTATAAATTACCCAGTTTTGTGTATGTCTTTATTAGCAGCGTGAGAACAGACTAACACACTACACTTCTGTGGGAAGGTAGGATTATGCCCTAAAATCTGCTCAGACAGCTGTTCGTAGAGCATGTGTGTGTGTGTGTGTGTGTGTGTGTGTGTGATGGGGGATGTGAGTGGATGTGCGTGCATATGTATGTAGCAAGGGGTGGTATGTATCTACCAAAAAGCGAAGTCATCTTTCTCTCATGCTCAAATGCTTTCTCAGGCCCCAAATCTAATGATGGCTTACTTTGTGTGTTGCTGTTTTCCCCTAGTGTCCTGGAAAGGATGAGTTACTTTCATTTTCTTAGATACGCCTACCGAGGACTAGAAGACATGTGGAACATGGAAGTATTAGCAGAATATGATCATACAGAGTTGTTGCATATACTAGGATATCATCACCCCGGAATGAATAATCAGTAGTAATTATATAAATTATCTTTTCAAGAATCAGTTGTATTTAGAGCTTTAAGTACCAATAATAAGATTTTAGTAAACATATACTACCTGTTTTTTTTTCCAGTAGAAATAATGGTTCCAATTTAAGAATATTGCAAATATCAGTGGAAGAGAAGCCTCAAATTAATTCTTGTCTGATGATTTTGTTCACTGTCCTGGGAAGTACACAAGCTCTTCACTCAACTGTTAGATGGAGTTTCCATTTATACATCATTCTTTTTAATGAACAATGGTGCTAAATCTGATTTGTTAGTGAAATATAGAGATGGGAAACTAAGATGGGTCAACTGAGATGGAGGAGGTTGTATAGCAGTGGGTAATTCCAAGAACAGCAAATCCTGCCAAGGCCTTACCATCAGGCCTCAAAGCCATGCACCCAGCTGGTCCATAGAGGACTGTCTTGGGTGTATAGTGTTGTGGCTCAGTAGCTAAAATTTCAAAATAATAACATGGTGTTATTGTCAAAGTAATAACTTGTCATCAGCTGCCAAAACTTCCTAGATGCTACCAAATCTCCATCACTTCAACTAGAAGGTGGTTGAAGGGGAGGAAGTGGCAGAAATGATTCCAGCATGAATTGTGACCTTGGCACTTGTTCTTGCCAATGAGTTATGCTGCCTGTACATATGTTGTGGCTTAAATTCAAAACATTTCCAGGGTCAATATTGGATGTTGGGTTAAAATTACTAATATTATATTATCAGAAAATTGAAAACTCAGCACCTCTGGTTATTATTTCAAATATGTGGGTGACAGCCTGCAGTCAAGTTTATGAGACTATGTTTCGACTTTCTTCTTCTAGAGATTTAGCTCTTTATTGAGATGCAACTGCAGCAGCTATGTGCTTTTCCCTTACTATACTTAAATGCATTAATTTCTCATGTATTAGTAGGCCCTTATATTTTAATTTCCTGACAGCACTTCCAATCTAGTTGGGAAGACATTATCTGGAAACTAAGCCCAATATCATATATGAGTGGAGCTCTTCTGTGAGTTTTTTTGGGGATTTCAGGAGTACATAGACTTCTGGAAGGAAGCAGAAAGCAGGGGCCCTGTGGGAGGGACCCTGACTGTTAGATGGGGGCACAGGAACAGGGACACAGACAATGTTTGGTACTCAGAGTCATCCAAGTATGGGACAAGATGATTAATCAGAACAGGATCCAGGAAGCTTGCAAGAGATTGTGGGAGATAGACGGTGAGACACATGGCAAGAGGATCTATCTGCCTTGGTAAGAAGGATGTACTCATATGTCTGGAAATAGTTAAAGTGCTGGTCATGTGGGCTGAGATTTAGGGAAATGTGCAATGCCAATATGATACTAAGGCAAAAACTCAATCCTACAATATAAACAGCAAGTGTGAAGGCAAGATATGGGGTACCCAGGGCTCACCTCATGCATGCCTGCTATGGAGTCTACAACAGGACTAACTTCAGGTCCAAATGTTGAGACTGATGTCTTTGTCACAGTTGAAGTCTATTTGGACCTGGTAGGGAAAGTGGTTTCCAAGAGAAAAATATTAAGGATGACCGGGGAAAGCAAGGGCTTAATTTCTGTCCAAGTTTTAGGGTCATTCCTATACTTCAATTGATTTTGCTGTGGTCTAACTATACATAAGCTCTTTTTTTGTTTGTTTTTTTTTGTTTTTTGTTTTTTGTTTTTGGACACTGAGACTTGTCTTTTCCTACTCCTCAGCTGGATTTCCAGTTTCCAAACCCTTGGCTTGATTTGGCAACAGTGGGTACTCCAATTCCTAATTTTCCACTTTGTATTCAGTTTGTATTCAGATTTTGTGTCTATTACACTGTGAGCTCCTTGAGGGCAGGAAAACATCTTCCTGATCTTTGAATCTTGAGCCTATACACAGTGCCAGGAATGATAGATTTTCAGCAAATAAAGGAATATCTAAATCTTCTCACAGGGCCTGGTCCAATAAATCTTAACCCTGTTTTTCCTTATGTCTTAATATGGCTCTCTGTATGGTTATAGATATGAAAAGACATCATGCTAAAGCTTTGTTATAACCAGATAGGAATCCAGAGTTAACATAAAGCACAAACAACAAAGTCTTATGCATCAGAATTTGGCAAGTTTCTGAAATAAGGTGCCAGTAGCCTTTTTGATTTATTCAGTAGTGACTAATTTTAGCTTATTAGGAAGGGGAAATAAATTCAACTTTTTTTGACACACTCATCTGACAGTCCCTAAATCTCTTATGTCCTAAGTGTTTTTTTTTCTATTATCTAACTGCCTAAGTAGGCAAAAGCCAACATAAGTCAGTCCCATCACCGTCTGTGCTCTAGAGACCTCCTTAGTTCTCACTCTTATTTTCTCCTGGATGTGTCAAGTTCTTACTAAAAAAGAGATCACAAAGTGTCTAGAATGCCTTTTGAAAACTCAGGGAATAAAAAAAATGGTCTTATTTGTTAAAACATACAAATTATCCACCCAATAGTAGCATTAAAAAAGAAATAGTCTCAATATTAATGTTGTTGGTGCCACATCATGTCCCCCCAGCACTCTCTGTGACAGGAGACTCACACAAACAGTTGTGTCTCTTTGCCTGAAGACTTTCTGTGGTTACAGGAGCAGGCCAATAGTGCTAGGGAGTTAGATGCTCCTGGGAGCAGTGCTTCACCAATGATGGATGTGGAGGTGATCATTAAATATCTGAGGTATTGCCTAGAGGTCCCCAGCAGTTCCATGTTGAGCCAGTTGCTCACAGTACACACTGTAGTTGCTTCTTTCCCTTCCCTGCCTTATTCCACCACTCGTCTCCCAAATACACTATTAGTATTCAAAGCTTTGGCTGTGTGTCTGCTTTTGAGAACCCAAACAAAGACGTTGGTTGGAAACAGACATGGACGGTCAATGTAATTTCCTACTGGATATTAAGATGAGCCCATGTAGGTAAAACCAGTATACCTAGGTCTTAGTATTCATGTGAACCCATTTGTGTAGCAGCTGGCTGATAAACTGGGGCAGTGTAGAGAGAGTCAGTGGGGTCCCCAACACTGGTTCACATTTCTACCATTTAAATGAACGTCCTTTTCTCTGGTTATGTCTCTTATAAAATGATGTTCACGGTAGATGGAATTTTCTTTTTTTTGCCTTTTTTAAAATAAAATTACTCAGCAAAATGATAGGTTGGCAAGTATACTCAGCAATCAGCGGTTTTGTGTTTATAATTGTACCTGTCTGTAAAAATCCCAAAGTCCTAAACACATAGTTGTCATGGAAGATGCAAGGGTATGGAAAATATATGGACATAGAAAATGTATAGTACCATATCGGCATTGCACATTTTCCTATACAGGACATAGAAATCCCGATCTGTATTCCAAATCTCAGCATCATGCAATATTTCCATGTAATAAATCTGCACATGTACCTCCATATTTAAAAGCTGAAATTTTAAAAAAGATATCTGAAGTGAAGAAATAAAGGAAATGCACCTGCAATTTTGTAGGTGAGCAGGTAACAGTGCTGTCTACATATTTGGGAGGAAATCCATTAAACTCTCTGGTCCTCTGTATCCTTTTGAGTGAAACAGGAGGCCGTCAGTGATCTCTGAGGCTTCTTCTAAGGTCTAGCAATCTTGAACTGCTCTGGCTGTAGGGCCTCTCAGACTGTAAAAATGAACATGTTCTCTTTGGTGGCCTCTCATCTCTTTTTTTTTTTTTTTTTTTTTCCACATCTTTCTGCTTCCCCAAAGCCTGCCTTAAAGCCTGTTATGCTGTTTTTCCTAATAAACATGCATTCTGAGGACATGAAGCATCTCTTAATCATCCTTTAATCTGTGGTATGGGGGGTATTTATTTAAAATATTATGGAATAAGTGGCTTCTTTAGATCATGTGTGAGTCATTTTGTAGAGACTGGCTGAGTTGGCTAAGAACTGGGGGTGACATAGGGCCCGAGGAGAGCTGGTGCTCAGAAGTTGCCTCCAGAAGAAAAGAAAACTCGAGGCAGAGAAAATTTGAGCAGAAGCCTATTTGGTCTAGGAGATAAGAAGTAGACAGACTATGTGAATTCAGGAAAGGCAGCAAACTAGGGGTGTTATAAAGCCTGACCACTCCTCCCCACGTAGTAAGCTGAGCCTCAGAAATCTAAAGTGTTCCCATCACCCAGGCAGTTAGCGTAATACCCGATCCGTATTCCAAATCTCCGCATCATGCGATATTCCCATGTAACAAATCTGCACATGTACCTCCATACTTAAAAGTTGAAATCTAAAAAAAAGATATCTGAAGTGAAGAAATAAAGGAAATGTATCTGCAGTTTTATAGGAGTGCAGGTAACAGTGCCCTGGGTTTCTACCAGAGTGCTAAACCATTGCTTCCAACGTGGGAGGAGGAAAATGCCAGCGGTGACTTGCTTGCTCTTTAGAATGAAAGGGAAAGGGATGTGCAGATGGAGACTGGCCTCAGGCCCTACAGAGGGGAGAAAAGAGAGAGCACGTGTCAATATTAGCAGAGAGGAGGCACAAGATGTTGCTCTGTCGCCCAGGCTGGAGTGCAGTGGCTCGATCTCGGCTCACTGCAAGCTCTGCCTCCCTGGTTCATGCCATTCTCCTGCCTCAGCCTCCCGAGTAGCTGGGACTGCAGGCACCCGCCACTATGCCCGGCTAATTTTTTTTTTTTTTTTTTTTGTATTTTTAGTAGAGACGGGGTTTCACCGTGTTAGCCAGGATGGTCTTGATCTCCTGACCTCGTGATCCACCCACCTTGGCCTCCCAAAGTGCTGGGATTACAGGCGTGAGCCACCGCGCCCAGCCTTTTGTTGGTGTTTCTATGAGTCCTTCGAATTTTTGTGCTTTCTAAATTGTTTCACTAGTTTTAAAAGTAATACATATTAATTATTACAAATTTGGAAACTATGAAGAAGCAAGAACAAGTGAATAAGTCACCAATAATTTCTATACTTTTTAAATTAATCATTTTTACTACTTCCTCCCTTTGATACTTGCATATGCTTTTTGTTGGTTTTAAAGCTGTGGTGTGTGTCTATGTGTGTGTATGTGTATATAGTTACAGTTTTTTACCCTGGTTTGTTTTAGTTAGTTTTATGTTGTGAATATTTTCCTTAATTATTAGTTTTCCAAAGCATAATTTTTAAAATGATAAAATATTTCACTTAGCCACTTCTTGTTATGCGTCTGGCACTTTGCTAGATACTGAAGTTACAGATATAAGTAGGACAGGACGAATTCCAGCTTTCTTGACAATTAAGACTTTAGAGCACAATCTCATGAACATTATTGGAATTAGAGTTTGTTCCCAGTAATGTCTCATTGAGAATGGCCTCAGGCTTGAGGTAAGCGGTGTGTGTGTGTGTGTGTGTGTGTGTGTGTGTGTGTGTGTTTTGTATAAACATTAGCGGTACAGAGAGTTACATTAGAGATGTTCTCAGTTTTGTCCTGGCCTGTCCTTCTTAAACTCCTGTGTAAACTGGAATAACCCAAAGACAGGCCACATGAACTTTCTGATGACAACTAGGCAGAAAAAATCTCAGTATAAAGGAATAACTGATTTCTTCTCTAAACAAATCTTAAAACTGTGATGGGAATAGAGTACCTCCTTGCAGGATTATTGCTAGCCTAAAAGAAAGGACCCTTTGACTCAAGGCTTCCTCAGTTCATAAGGTAGCATATAGGTTCGGGGCAGGGAGGGAGTCCTTACATGGGTCCTTCCTATCATTGTGTCAGAGGGATCTACTCGTGGGCTCTATGTTCGTGTAGATATATCATCGTAAATGGAATGTCTTGCTATTTCAGGCATATCCATTTCTATCACATCAAAAGTAGCATATCTACTAACTCTGTATATTTTGGGATTTTAAAATTGATTGGATTGATTGCATTTTTTCTAAAGTAGCAAGAGCCTTCTCAGATAAGTCCAAAGTGCACAAACCATAGGTATACAGATGAATTTTCACAAATTGAACATACCATGTAACCAGCACCTAGGTCAGTAAACAGGGAGCATTATCAGCACCCAGAAGCCCCCATTGTGCCCCCTTGCAGCCACTGTTCCCCTCATCCAGGTAACTAACCCCTTTAAGCAGCCTGGATAACTTTTATCTTTTTAAAACTTTGTAGAGTTTGCTCTCTTTGTGTTTGGCTTGTTTTCCTTAATATTATACTTATGAGATTCAAACATATTGTTGAGTGCAATGTTGTTGTTGTTTTTCTTAAAATTCTCATTGCTGTGTATATTTCATTGTAATAAATATACCACAATTTATTTTTCATTCTACTGTTGATGAATATTGAGGTTTGTTCTAGTTTTGAGTTTTTAAGAATATTGCTGCAATAAAAATGCCTATAGAAGTCTTTCGATATGTAATATGCATACATTTCTGTTGAGGACATAAAGCAGAATTATTAAATCATAGGGAATACATATATTAAGCTTTGATAGATGTTGACCAGCTGTTTTTCAAAGTGGTTTTACCGACTTACACTCTTACCAGCAGTGCATGAGGGTTCTAGTTATTCATGCCCTTGTCAACATTTGGTATGTAGATATATTTATGTAGTTTTTGCCTTTTAACCACAGTATTTACAAGACATAACCAAGATTCAAAATTTTGGGCAGTATGTTCAGAGAGCCTTTAATCATCTTTGTATCAGTAATGTTTAATCAGAAGATATAAAACCAGATGCTTAGCAATATTCCATTCTTATTAAGAATGCAAAGATGTTATTTCAGAAGACAATAGTGTTTATATTAGTTTGTCTTTTTTCCTTTTCTCTGAACAGAACTCAGACACAAATATTAGTTTTTCTCTAACATTCACTTGACAAATAGCTAATAGTAGCAAATAAACAGCTGCAGTCCCTTTTCACTCTGGCAAAATGGTTTACCTGAGCTCCGCTAGGAAAGCACAGTGACATTCCATTAACCATAATTTAGCTACACAACCATAGACAATTGAGAAATGAACTTTAACAAATAAAGTTTTATTGGAACACAGCCACATCCATTTGTTTACATATTGTCCGAGACAAAGTTTAGTAGTTGCAGCAGAGAATACGTGGCCTGCAAAGCCTCAAATATTTACTATCTGGCTCTTTATAGAAAATGTTTGATGACCCCTCCCCTAGCAGTATCTATTTTAATTACTAGCAAAATCTGAGAAGCGGGGTTAACATGCCGTTTAGTGAAAATTCCAAAGTCTCAGTCCTCATAGGTCTTCAATTAAAATAGATACCTCTATGGGTAGGGTTCATCAATTGTTTTCTGCAAATACTTGAGGAGATAAAGCTTTATTTGCGGATACTGGATTTGAACTTCATATATTTTTCATGTTTTATGAATTATTACTCTTCTCTTGATTTTTCCCCAGCCATTTAACAATGTAAAATCCATTCTTAGTTCATGAGAGGTACAAAAACAGACGTTGTGCTAAAATGTGCCTGCATGCCATAGCTTACTTATCCCTTCTCTAGGGTATTAATTGCTGACAAGCCCTATGAAGTCAGAGACCTTGTCTGCTTTGTTTCATTGCTGGAGCTCCAACCCTGGTATCACACCTCACGCAGAGTCTATGCTCCAAAATATTTGTGGAATGAAATACTACTGCCATGTTAAATTATGCAGCATGGCACAAATCCTATGTTGAAATTGAGCGGGCTTTATTTATTCTACTCTGCATATATGTATCATATGCCTACTATGTGTTCTCCTTTGTGCGAAAAAAGATATTATTTACAGGACCTGATGCCAGCTACTTGGAAGAAAAACTCATTAATGTGTCATTCATCTTATACTGCAACTGTCCTACATTCAGGACACTGGATATTAGTATAGTAAATTCATGTGTCTATGAATAGCCACAGTTATTATCTGTCAGGCATTTTGATGAGAAAATCAGGAGCATAACTTAACAATGAAGTGGGAGATATTTTTTCCCTGTTCCCATGGGCAAACAAGAGAACAGCTAACATTTCTTTAGATAATGTCTAATAAATTATGCATAAGTTCAAATTTATAAACAAGTCAAATCTCAGCCTGCAACATGGGTTGATATAGTACAAGCTGGTAACACTTGAGTTTTCTTTTATTGTACTCATTATTAAAATAACTAGTCATCATATAAAATTTTTAGACATTTACAGAAGAATAAGGAAGAAAATAAATACCTAGTGAAATTATCACCAAGGTTACCAGAGTTGACATTTTGTTGCATCTTCCCTCACTTTATCATCTGTCTCTTCAGTCAGGACATGAGAAAACTACAAACTTCGAGTTAAACCTACTGGTATTCATGGTGGCTCATGCCTGTAATCCCAGCACTTTGGGAGGCTGAGGTGGGTGGATCACCCGAGGTCCGAAGTTCAAGACCAGCCTGGCCAACATGGTGAAACCCTGTCTCTACAAAAAAAAAAAAAAAACCAAAAAACTAAAAACAAAAAACACAAACATTAGCTGAGCATTGTGGTGTGCACCTGTAATCCCAGCTACTTAGGAGGCCGAGGCAGGAGAATCACTTGAACCCAGGAGGTGGAGGTTGCAGTGAGCCAAGATTGCACCACTGCACTCCAGCCTGGGCAACAGAGCGAGGATCTGTCTCAAAACAAACAAACAAACAAACAAAAAACTACTGGTATTATATCCTCTTTTTGTTATTGGATAACTGTGTGACTTTGGGCAATTACTTAATATCTCCATGTCACAGTTTTCTTACCTGTAAAAATAGGATAATAACAGTATGTACCAATAGGGTATTATAAAGATTAAATGTGATAATACTGCAAATTACTTACCGTAAGTGCACGATAAAGGTTGGTTGTTATTAATATTTAAATTTATAAAACAGGCATCACACTAATTTGGTATTTTTTGTCTCCTCCTCCCCTTCCCTATTTTCCCCCTCCCTTTCCCTATTTCAGTTCTTCCCCTTCCCCTCCCTCTCCCTGATCTACAATGGCATCACAATGTTCCCTTTTATGGGTATGCTCTCATTTACTGTAGAACAGTTAGGATTATTTTTCACCTTTCACTACTCTAGTTTTGTAGTAAATACCCTCGTATATCCATGTATGTTAATTTCTCATTGAATCTCCCATTATTTCCACAGTATATTTTTGTAAAACGTAATTCCCGGGTTAAAATGTAAGCCTATTTTTAAACTTAAAAAAAATTAAAATTTGCCTTTAAAAAAGCTTATACCATATAATAGTCATAAAAGCAGTCTGTGAGACCGGCAGTTTTACTGCCATGTATCTTTTACTACTGGCCGTTACCTGATTCATGCCAGATAACACTGAGTTTGTACTAGGGACTACCATTTCTTGGCTAATGGCTGTTCTTCATCCTTACTTAGTAATAAAATCTCCAGTTTTTAGCTAAGGATGTAGGCGCAGGGAACAAACACAGCATTTCTCATATTCCCGTGCAGTTGAGTGTGGTCATATGATGCCGGAAAATATGACATTTGCAAATTCTAGCGAGAATGGGGAGAATTATAGGGAGAAAGGAGAATATTCCCCTTTCAAGGAGGGAAATGAGATCTTTTGCCCATTCCTCATTCTTACTGGCTAAAATGAAAGCATAATGGCTGCAGCTCTAACTGTTGTGCACCATGGTGTGACCTTGGGAAAGGTCAATAGTGGAGCAGAAAAATAGAAGCAGCCTGCATTCCTGACGCTGAAAAGCCCCCAAAGCAACTCAGGGCTTCTATCTTTTTATTATTTGTGAGACTTTGGCTACTTCTTGATTCTGATTAAGAGTTTTCTTAATAACTTGCAAAAACTCTTTATAAATTAAGAAAATCCATTTCTGACAAATATTTCAAATATTTCTCAGGCTGATTTTTCATTTCATCCATGGTCTTTGTTAGATATAGATGTTTATTATTTTCATATATATTTAGAATAATGTCTACAGTACTTCTTCTGTGCTAAGCATTTTTCTAAACACTTTAAAATATTAACTCAATCTTCACGACAAATCTATAAAATGGAAACTCATTAAATCCCAACGAGAAGGAAATTTAGGCATAGAGAATTAATTTACTTAAGGCCACACATCTAGCATGTGGCCGAGCTGGGATATGGGAGGTCTGATCTGGAACCCATGTCCTTACCCACCGTGCTATCTACTTCAGTTGTATCTCCTCCAAGTCAGTCTGCATTTGTGAGTACTGTGATCGTTTGGGGCTTGCGAGCCGTCTAGATTTTAAAATAAATATGTATTTTTTAACTTTTTTGTTGATCGTTTTTGCTTTCTTTTTATATTTAACACTTTATGTATAATTTCTTTTGATGGATGGTATAAGATAAAGTTCTTATTTGAAATTTTAAAAATATGAAAACTTTCCACTCACTTTTGAGCATATATCCCTTTTTCACTGCTTGTTAAAATTTCCTTTTTTTTAAAAAAAAAGAAACTACATTCTCATACATTCTAGGTTACATTTCAAGACTACTTAGTCATATCTATCTATCTATCTATCTATCTATCTATCTATCTATCTATCTATATTTTGAGACAGAGTCTCACTCTGTTGCCCAGGCTGGGGTACATTGGTCCCATCTCAGCTCACTGCAACCTCTGCCTCCCGGGTTCAAGTGATTCTCCTGCCTCAGCCTCCCAAGTAGCTGGGACGACAGGTGTGTGCTACCACTCCCAGCTAATTTTTGTATTTTTAGGATAGATGGGATTTCACCATGTTGACCTGGCTGCTCTTGAACTCCTGACCTCAGTCCACCTGCCTTGACCTCTCAAAACTCTGGGATTACAGGCATGAGCCACTGTGCCCTGCCTTGATCTATATATTGTTTCATGCTGTATTTGTTAAACAAATGTCTACATAATGCCTATTATGAGCTGGACATGCCATTTAAATTGTTGCAGTTTTATAATATGTTAGTCAGTTGAAGGATTAGGAGGTTCATAAATTTGGAAAGGAGAGCTTTATTTCTTATAAAGAGTTGTAGCCTACAGGGTGGCCATTTTGACAGGCTGGGAAGCCAGAAACAGGCAGTTCAAGAGAGGGGGGAAAAGGGAACAGAAATTTATGCTGAGTAGGTTAGCTAAGTATACACATTCAACAGGTTATAGGAGGAGCTATGAATATTCACGAAGGGGAGGCACAGGCATGCATAGTAGGCCAACATGTATGCAACATGAGTTCTGATGTTCACTTTGGGGTAGAGACTTAACATTTAAATGTATTACAATTAGACCCTGTACCTCAACAGGTGAAGCAGTGGACACAAAGTCCCTCTGTGTGCAGCCTCTATGGATTGGCTAGAACCACCCCATGGACAGTGGTCTCTTACCAGGAAGGAATGCTGGTCAGTTGCTCTGTCAAAACTGCAAAAAGAGAGGGACAGCAGTCAGTGAGATGGTTGAAAACGGTGGTGGAGCAAGTCTTTTGAAAGGGCTAGTTTCTATTTAGCACTTAGGGAAGAAAGCCTAATGGCAGTTAAGGAGTAATGAGGTATAATGAGGCATGCCCGACCTCCCATGCCATCATGGCCAAGAACTCAGTTTTAAAGGTTTCTCTGGGATCTCCTTGGCCAATAGGGTGTCTGTTCAGTCAGTTGAGGAGCTTAGAATTTTATTTTTATTTCTCATGTTTAACAGAGAGCAAGTTCTCAGTCTTTGAAAACCATTCTTCTTCTTTTTTTTTTGAAACAGAGTCTCACTCTGTCGCCCAGGCTGGAGAGCAGTGGCCCGATCTGGGCTCACTGCAAGCTCCGCCTCCTGGGTTCACGCCATTCTCTTTCCTCAGCCTCCGGAGTAGCTGGGACTACAGGCGCCCGCCACCATGCCCGGCTAATTTTTTGTATTTTTAGTAGAGACGGGGTTTCACCGTGTTAGCCAGGATGGTCTCGATCTCCTGACCTCATGATCCACCCGCCTCGGCCTCCCAAAGTGCTGGGATTACAGGCATGAGCCACCGCTCCCGGCCGAAAACTATTATCCTTTTACAAAAAAAGTTAAAAGAATATTCTTCCATTTGAGATTTGTTCTATTAATAATAGAATCTGTTTTGTGTATTACTTAAGCTCATAAATTAACTTGAAGTGATTGACTTATTTTAATGATTCACTCTTTACAGGTGGATCGTAGTATGTATCTCCATTTATGCAAGTATTTTTTCCTGGCTCTCTAGAGTACATATACTCAAGATTATTATCTGAGGTATTTGTACATATTTTGTTGTTATTCATTATCATATAGCTTTTTTTTTGATAAATAGAACACTTTATACTTTCTATTTTTTTTTATTTTGTGAGTTTACTAAATCTTGATTGATTTTAAGAATTTTTCAGTGGATTATCTTGAGTTTTATAAGAAAATTTTTGGCCGGGCATGGTGGCTCACGCCTGTAATCCCAGCACTTTGGGAGGCTGAGGCGGGTGGATCACGAGGTCAGGAGTTCAAGACCAGCCTGACCAACATGGTGAAACCCCGTCTCTACTAAAAAAATACTAAAATTAGCCGGGCGTGGTGGCATGTGCCTGTAATATCCCAGCTACTCAGGAGGCTGAGGCAGGAGAATCGTTTGAACTTGGGAGGCAGAGGTTGCAGTGAGCCAAGATCATGCCACTGTACTCCAGCCTGGGCGACAGAGTGAGACTCCGTCTCAAAAAAAAAAAAAAAAAGAAAATTTTTGTGTCCTCTTTTCTAAATGATATTAATATTGTTTCTTGTTTTATTGCCTCGCCCAACAGTTCCAGATCACTGAAAAAGTAAGAATATAGTTAAAAGAGGCATTTTTGTTCTACTTAGGAATTAATGTTTTTGTGTATGTTTATTGATAATTGACATTTTTCATTTCAACCAAAGTGAAGTCACAGTCTTCTCATTTATACTTGACAAAAAATATCTTAGAAATTGCTACTGAATTTTATTAAATGCATCTTTGACACAGATAGTTTATGCTTCTTTGATTTTTGATATGATATATATTTAATATTTGTCTTAAGTCATATGCACATTCTAATGAAAACTCTACTCGTCATGTTGTGGAAGGTTGAAATAGTTAATGAAATTTTTTGCTAGTACTTGATGTGGAATTTTTGTTCTAATTTTCATAAATAGGATTGGGTTCTACATTTCCTTTTTGTGCCACCTTTGTCAGGTATGACAGTTATTTAGCTTCCCAATATGAACTAGGTAGTTACCTATTTTTTTCTGTCATTTGAAACAGTTTATAGATCTTGGGGATTATCTGTTTTAAAAAAGTATTTTAAAGAGTTCACCAGTGAAATTGGACTGGACTCTCTTTAAATAAATTAAAAAATGCCATCAGAGTTTATGAAAAAAATTCTTAAAAGTACCAAAGATGTGACAAATAGTAAGAAATTGTCATGCATACATTTAGTGAAGATGGGAACACAGAGATGTAGGTAAAATAGTGAAGCCAATTTTTAATTTTATTTTTAAAATTGACCTATATTTTACAATTTACACTGTATACATTTAAGGTGCACAATTTGATGATTTGATATACATGTACAATGTGAAATAATCACCACAAGCACACGAATTGACATATCCATATGTCTCCTCAGCTCTGAGTCTAACTGGAGATCAGAAACCACCTTTGCAATGAGAGGATCGGCTCATTCTGGCACACTGGTTTTGAGTTTTTAAGGTGTCATATTTGTGGATGGGGACAGAAAACAAAAACAGGAAGTAAAATAGGGGAAGCCTCTAAGTTCAGACACCAAAATGTTACAATTAAAACATTTCCCACCACCCCACATCCATGGGGCTGCAAGGAACTTCACCTGCTACCAGGTGCTATTTTAAGTGCTTTTCATACATTAACTTATGTGATTTTCCTAGCAGCCCTATGTGATAAAAAGCTCCTATACTCCCTTGTTACATCCATTCTTAAACACTTCTTTTTATCTAATTTTTACATCTCAAAGGGATCGATCAATAGCATTTTACACTTTTGGTTGTTAATGGGTTTTTTTCCTTTCTTTGAGGCACATATAGTGTTGGCGGGTGGAATTGAGGCAATAACACTGTTTTGTCCTCATTTACAGATGAGAAACCTGAGATAGAGACATATTAGTTGGTAGAATATTAGACCTGGTAGTTGGTAGAATAAGGGTTTGAACCTAGGAGGTCTGGCTCCAGAGTTTTGGTTCACTCCCAGAGTCCCATCCATACTGCTGTAAGCTTTCCACAAGCTCCTTTACTGTATCCCTTCCTCTTAGGCTTCTTATGCTTACTGGATTGTGGTGCATTTGGCTGCTCTAAGCTTTATGACTTGCTTAGATTACCACACCTGCTTGGACTTTCTGAACCTCATATCCTTGATGCCTGCCTACCACCCTGGTCTGCTCTGCTGCCCCAGCGTCTTGGAATCCAAAGTCAAGCCTCATGCCTGTCATATGCCCACCTCTTGCATCTAATTCCTCATCAGCTTATCTCTTAGCCTCATCTTGGCCTTCTGTGCCTGATTTCTGTTTCCCCTGTGTAATTCACTGGTTATCTCAATGTCATTAGTGCCGATAATGATAACAGGAAGGAGATATGAGAATGGGGGTTCCTGAAAACGTGCTTCCAAAAGGTTTTGACTAGCATACCAATCAGTTATGAATATAGAATCCAGAGATAAATTCAAGCATTCACACATTTGTTCACTTATATACAAACATGATAGTGCTATGCCTTTATAACTAGTTATTTGATATAAATTATCTCCCACAGATACTTAAATATATTCAAAATGTTAAACAAATAATTTAGGGGCTGGGTTCAGGGACCTTGTCTTGTAGTCTCTGTCTTCCCTGGAATTTACTACAGAGTTTTAGATGCAGTGAGTGCTCGGTGTGTTTGGATGGGATTCATTGCCTTGAAATGCATTTGGGTCCAAGAAATGACATTATATCCCGTTTGCATTTATTGTTCAGCATTTCTGAAGTATCATTTCCTGCCTAGGTGGGAAACCTTTCTGTAAACAGAACACTTTCTTTCTGATCTGAGCCTGTTCTATACAGTTAAGAGAGAGAACAGTTTCTCAGTGTGGCCTCAAGGGCAACTCTCTGGATAAGGACGATGACTCATCCTCCCAGGGTCTCCCTGCTGAAACGCTGCAAATAAGTATATTCTGCAGAGGACGCAGAGTACTGTGGTACGAGTAACAGAAAGCCCAACCCTTCTGGACAAGGATGATTTGCAGTCACAAAACTGTCAGCCACAGCTGAGAAACCCCTTCCAAAGGAAGAATCAGCGGATTAAATGGTGCTCCTGCATGTTTTGCCACTTTAAAATGGTGAAAGCTTATTTACTTAAAATTTTAAAGAATTTGCTTAATTGCAGAGCCTGGAAGGCAACACTGAAATGCAGAGATAATAAGAAAACATCAGGGCTAGAAAACTAAGGATCTTGGTGAAACATATTAACAGTGCTGAACCAAAAGAGGTGTTTAGCTATATTTATGCAAATAGCTTGTTTTTTGATAATACTTGTAATTATTATAATCACTGGGAAATACAAGAAAACAGGTTTTTTTTTTTTTTTTTTTTTTATCTCTCAACCTAGATGGTAAACTCCTTATTGAATATTTTCTCCAAGGATGAGAACATAAGGGACAATAGGTCATGTAAAATATATTCCTTTAACAAAGCTTTATTAACTTGATCGTATTTGTCATGGCCATGCCAGGTGTGGGAGTAGGATGAGGGCTTGTGTATATAGCTGGAGAAGAGCCCAGAGGTACCCACAATCCATTGCGGAGCAGCCTTGTAAGCACCGGGAGACATAAGAACAAGTAAGAGCCCCATACTTGGGGGAGGGGATGGTAGTGATCAGGAAAAAGATAGATACAGAGCTGTGTTTGGAAAGACAGGCTTGAGTTCCCTGGATGAAGAAAGGTGGAATTAAGGTTGATTATTCCAGATAAAATGAGCAGCTTATGCAAAGAAACAAAGGGTGAGACCCCATTTTCCCTTTGGAGAACTATAAGTAACGTTCTGTATAGCTAGAGCTTAAAGGGAGAAGGGAAGCATGACAAGGCTGAAGTGGAGAACAGGTAGACATTGAAAGGCCATGTCTTCAGTTGGGTTTCTCCAGAAACAGGCCCTGAGATAAAAACTTTAAGGTCAGTGGTTCATTTGGGAGGTGATTGCAGGAAGCACTGTTAGAAGAGGGGAAGTGAAAGCAGATTACAACTGTGGGCAACTGGGCATCTATCCACTGGGGACCTCTGGAGAGACTGTGTGTCTCTGAGTTATCTCACTTGACAAATGGGAACTGGGATCTATATCCACCCAACTCCCATCTATTTTTGGGTGAGGCCTGCTCCCAGGAGAGTAACTCCCTGACACTGGGGGCATTCCCCTGAGGCTAGAAAAAGCCCTGAGGCAGAGACGTACATGTGCTTGTGGTAACAAGCTGGTGGCATGTATAAGAAAGATGAGTGCTAAGAGGATAAGGATGGGACACTAATAGTATCTAGTCTAGTATAGGCCATGTATGCCATGCTAAGAATTTAGGCTTTTAACCTAAGGGAAATGAAGAACCGCTGAATTATTTTAATATGGAGGGTGGTGATGTGATGAGATTCGCATTTTAGAAACATTTTTTTTTTCTGGTACCAGTAAGAAGAATGGATTACAGTGGTCTAAGAAAAGTGGTAGAAATAGGCAATTAGGATGCTTTGCAGTAATTTAGAGGCAAAATCATGAGAGCCGGAAGCATTGGTGTGCTGGTGAATGTTTAACAGTTGACTCACACACATACACAGAAATCCTGATTTGTATGGTTTGGTGATACTTCCAGCATGGCCAAGTTCCAGCTCCCAGTGTGCTGTCACTGAATGCTGAGTCAGGAGGAACTAGATGTGCACTATCATCTCTTACTCCACCACACCACTGGGCCGACTGTGATTGTGTGAAGAATAAGGAAACTATTTGAAGAGAAATTGAGTAGAATCATAACTGATGGGGGATGGGTAAGATGTTATGAGGCAAAAAGAATGACACTCAGATTTTTGGCTTCTATAACTAATTAGGTGATGGATCCTTCATTGAGATGGGAAATTTAGAATAATGATAATATCAATGATAGTAGTGGCAATAGCAAATAGAATGCTTGCTATGTGCCAGGCACTACTTTAAGCCTTTTAAACACATTAACTTAGATAATTTTCACAAAAATCTTATAAGCGAGTTATCATTGTTATAAGCATTTTACCGATAAAGAAACCGAGTTGCAGAGAGGTGAATTCATACACCCAAGTTGTTATGTGGCTGAGTCAAATATCATCAAATATCCAGTTAGTGTTCAGATTTGCCTGATTGTTTTATAAGTACTTTCACAGTTGCTCACTCAAATCCATCATTCTTTTTCATTTATTAGCTGAAATTTTTCTTATAAATGAGATTTTTTTTCATGAATTGTTTGGTAACTTTGATGTATAGTTTTGTGACAGAAAAGCAGGGCAAATGCTTGATTCTTTCCCTTTAGCTGCCAGTTTCAGAACAGTGAGTAGGTTCACTAACACCTCCAAAGATGACCACTGAGTTTTAGAAATTCATCAAAAAGTGGGTGAAGGATATGAACAGACACTTCTCAAAAGAAGACATTTATGCAGCCAACAAATATATGAAAAAAAGCTCATCATCACTGGTCATTAGAGAAATGCAGATCAAAACCACAATGAGATACCATCTCAAACCAGTTAGAATGGTGATCATTAAGAAGTCAGGAAACAACAGATGCTGGAGAGGATGTGGAGAGATAGGAATGGTTTTACACTGTTGGTGGGAGTGTAAATTGTTCAACCATTGTGGAAGACAGTGTGCCGATTCCTCAAGGATCTAGAACCCGAAATACCATTTGACCCAGCAATCCCATTACTGGGTATATACCCAAAGGATTATAAATCATTCTACTGTAAAGACACATGCACGTGTATGTTTATTGCGGCACTGTTCACAATAGAAAAGACTTGGAACCAACCCAAATGCCCGTCAATGATAGACTGGATAAAGAAAATGTGGCACATATACACTATGGAATTCTATGCAGCCATAAGAAAGGATGAGTTCACGTCCTTTGTAGGGACATGGGTGACGCTGGAAACCATCATTCTCAGCAAACTAACACAAGAACAGAAAACCAAATGCCATATGTTCTCACTCATAAGTGGGAGTTGAACAATGAGAACACATGGACACAGGGAGGGGAACATCACACACTGGGGCCTGTTGGGGCGTGGGGAGCTGGGGGAGGGATAGCATTAGGAGAAATACCTAATGTAGATGATGGGTTGATGGGTGCAGCAAACCACCATGGCACATGTATACCTGTGTAACAAACCTGCACATCCTGCACATGTATCCCAGAACTTAAAGTGTAATAATAATAAAAAAATTACCATATGAATACCTGGGTTGTTTTTAACAGCTTTACTGAAATCTAATTTGTATACCATAAAATTAACCCCTTTAAAATGTACACTTCAATGGTTTTTAGTATATTTACAGAGTTGTGGCACCATCACCACAGTTTAATTTTAGAACATTTCCATCATCTCCAAAAGAAACTTCATGAATACATAGAATTTTTTAGAAGATGTTTGATGTGTTTCAATGCATTTTAGTAGTATTCTCTTGAGGTTCAAATTGTGCCATATTTGGTCAGTGGGAGCCCCTTTTGAGATAGGTTTCTATACCAAGTTACAGTGAAAATAAAATGAGAGAATCATTTTCAAGATGCCTAATATTTTGGGGATGCTAAGATTGTGGTCATCAACCTTGGATGCACATTAGAATCACTGCAAGAACTTTAAGACATCTTGATACGTAGTTCATTCCCCATACCAATTACAGCAGAAGCTCTGCAGGTGATATCCAAGCATCAATACTTTTAAAATCCACCATGTGGATTCCAATGTCAAGTCATGGTTGAGAACCACTGAACTTTGAGGATGTGAATTAATTTCCTTTCTTTCTCCCTCTCTCTTTTCCTACTCCCTGCCCAGCCTTTTCTCTCTCAATCCTTGCTTCCAATCCCAGTCAACTACATCACTTTTTGGCCCAGTCACTCAAGCAAGCGACCGTAATCATTGGATACTTTTTTTTCTCCAGCATTCTTT
The DNA here is from genome assembly GCF_000001405.40 of Homo sapiens. Classification (NCBI taxonomy): domain Eukaryota; kingdom Metazoa; phylum Chordata; class Mammalia; order Primates; family Hominidae; genus Homo; species Homo sapiens. The sequence continues at coordinate 22,948,153 of NC_000023.11, read as the reverse complement.
AAATCCAAAGGGTTTTATGAAGATGAATGGCCAGATCATATTTTTACTATAAAAAGGATACTTCTGTCAACAATGTGAAGAAGATATTGATGAATCAAGGGAAACTACTCACTATTTAAGTGCTTGTCCGGGACTTACTGTAATAACCTTTACATTCCTTAGCATGATATTGTAGGCTACCCATGACCCAATCTCAACCTCTGTTATCAACCTTATTACACACTCTAAATCTCTGTGCCCTTCAGTGTGGTCATATTTGTATACATTTTCTCTATCACCTTGCCACAGAAAGGGTGGCCTGTCATGGACCTGTAGCATTGGCATTCCCTGGGATCTTGCTAGAAATACAGGATTTCAGGCCCCACACATAGGCCCAACTGAATCCAGTTTGCATTTTAACAATATTCCCCAGTTGATTCGTAGGCACATTAAAGTGTGAGAACTTTTCTCTAACATACCATGCACTTTCCAGCCTTTTTGTCCCTCCTTATGCCCTGTTCTTTCTATACATGTCAGTTCTTCTTCCCCTTTTCTCTTTTGATTCATCCTTGAAGCCTTAGTTCAAATGCTGTTGCCCTGAATTCTTCATTGATTTCCCACGTTCCCACCTCTGAATAGAAGGGCTCTTTTCTGCCTCACGGCTTTGGTGGTATGTTTGTCATATTATTCTCATAAAACCTTAATTTGGGTTTTTTAGTGACTCAGGTACGTGAGAGATAACTGTATTCAAAGCTCTTGAGTGCAATAATCATGCCTTATTCATTTCTTTATCCACCTAGCACTGTACTTTGCAGATATTAGAATTTATATTTAAAAAGTAAAAAGGGGAATACATGAATGAATAAACCTGGTTAGAGAATGTCAGCATCTGCTTTCCCTGACCCTTTCTGTAGAAGTCACTGATGTCTTCAACTGGCACACTCAGCCAGTTTATTTTTCTATCCAGTCTTGACCAAGGAAAGCAGCTTATATTAACATCACATCCACTAGTTATTGATGTCTGGAATTACTGTGAACATGAACTCTACCGTGTCTGGTGTGAGCTCCGGGCACTGCATGCTCACTGATCTGCTTCCTTTTCCCTATTCCCAACCCCCTTCCAATCTCACTGTGTGCACCCAGCATGTCAAACTAAATTTATTTCTATGCTTGGTTTGAAATCTCATTCTTCTTCTGTCTTCTACCACACTCAGTTCACCCTCCCTGGATATATATATGTTACATGAAATCACTAACATAGTACTTTTGAACACTGCACTTTAGACTGCTGGTCAATGCTGTCCACCAACCCACACACAGACACACATAGGCACACACCACATGGACAGGTTGCTTCCTTTAAACCAGTCTTAAAATTACCCTGCTTTTTTCCTGTGGCTCCTGCTTGAGCTTATTATGGAGAAATGTAGTCTTTGAGACTTTGACTTGGGCTTTGGGACGTAGGGACTGAAGCTTGCACAATTGTGGCTTTACCAAGTACTACGAAAGCTGGTCTATTTTGTTAGGAAGTATTTTTTTATGAAGAGCCTTAGCACTATGCTGAGGTATTTGTGCTCTGTTTGCATTGTGCTGGTAATTCCACCTATGCTATGCCTTCTTGTAACTACTGTCTTAGTCTAACTTAGGTTGCCGTAAGTACCTAAGTACATAAGTACTATGGAATGGTTGCTTTATAAACAACAGAAATTTATCTCACAGTTCTGGAGGCTGAGAAGTCCAAGATCAAGGCACTGGCAGATTCAGTGTCTGGTGAGGGCCCAATTCCTCATAGATGTCTTCCCAGAGTAACCTTACACATGGTGGAAGAGGAGAGGGATCTCTCTGGGGCCCCTTTTATAAGAACACTAATCCCGTTCTTAAGGGTTTTACCCTCATGACCTAATCACTCCCGCAAAGTCTCCATCTTCTAATACTATTACATTCAGGGTTAGGATTTTAACATGAATTTTGGGAGGACATAAACATTCAGTCCATTGCAGCTACTTAGGGCTTAATAAATTGATTCATATCTCATTAATGTTTCTAACTTATTTCTATAGACCCACAAGTATTATTACTGCCAATGTATCTCCTAATTTAGTGTTGTCCTTTATCTCTAAATTGTCCAAAAACTAATGGCTTACCTCACTTTTAGGGGCAGGAACTCAGTCCTCCATCCGTTCTAGATGGGAGGAGAAATGGTCTCTCCACTCCTGTTACCTTTTGCTGCCATAGAGTATTATATGAAGCATTGTCCTGTGACATCCTGTTTACTCCAGGGTAATACGTCTGCTGACCCAGGTTCTCATATAGGCTGCAATGGTGTGCCAGATTTGGTCTCCAAAGCAACAACTCTCTTGGATTCATACTCACATGCATATCTCTTATCTGCAGATATCACTAATGCTAGTGTATCTGGGTCTGAAGGGCCTTCTAAACATAAGTCGTATGCTGATTTTTTTTTTTTAACTACTCATTTTTTTTTTCTTTTTCCAGACGGAGTTTTGCTCTGTCGCCCAGGCTGGAGTGCAGTGGCGCGATCTCGGCTCACCGCAACCTCCACCTCCCGGGTTCAAACAATTCTCCTGCCTCAGCCTCCCGAGTAGCTGGGACTACAGGTGCCTGCCACCACACCTGGCTAATTTTTGTATTTTTTAGTAGAGGTGGGGTTTCACCGTGCTGGCCAGGCTGGTCCTGAACTCCTGACCTCAAGTGATCTACTCGCGTCGGCCTCCCAAACTGCTGGGATTACAGGCATGAGCCATCGTTCCCAGCCTTAACTACTCATTTTATACGTCTAGCCATGTCTGTGTTCTTGGACTAGATTTACTGATTTTTCTTTGCCTATATAATAAATTCCACTCCCTAAATTTGACCTATGACCTTTATCTCCCAACACCAGTTGTTGTTCTTAACTCAGCAGGTTGTTGTAATTCTCAACATTGGGAGATCATGACATTTGCATATTTCTGGATACATGTCAAAATTGTTTTAAGAATTGTTTTAAGAATAGGTAGTGGGTTCCCATTTTATTACGCAATAGGAAATAATTAAAATACTGTTAAACCAAATATAAGTTGGCCATGGATAGGTCAATCATGTGAATATGCCATGAAGTAAAGGTTGTAATGAATCCAATTCTGTGTACCTGGGTTGTAAATAAATCATTTTTCAGTTTTGGTCATACAACTATTTTTTCCCTTCATAATCCAAGTGACACCAAGTAGAAAAGTAGTTCACAATTTTATCTTAGACAATTTCATATCCATCTTAGAGCACATTAGCCTCATTAGTAAGAAATCTGAACTTCATCAATCCATCTCCCCTTTTGGGGTAAGAATCAAACTATAGGCTCTCTGGGGTGTGGAGAAGAGAGAACTTTTCCTTGAAACCCCTGCTTGTAAAACAAAGGGAGTCAAATGCCTGCCGCCATGTGCAGCTTTGGGTCAAAATTACTGGAGATTCCTTTAGAGAGTTAGTCTGTTCAATATTTAGCTAAGTATGTGTGAAATATTATGGGTGATCTTCAAGGCTAGCACCTTTCAAACACTAGTTCTAGAAGACTTTTAAAAATATTGGTAGTAGAGAATAATGTTACCTCTTTATTGAGACATGCCTGCAGCACACATACTGCATGCATGCCTCTCAGTTAGGCTCCAGATCAGTTCCTTGTTGCCATACTTTTTAAGTTTTATTAGCATCTGCAGACTATGAAAACTCTTCTGCATGGAGGAGTTGGTGTTGCCAAGTCTCATCTAAACTTCATCTAATTTCAGCTCTTCTATTTGTTGAATTCCTGAACCCCACACCCATGACCCAATTCTCTGGGAGAACAGTATACTCTGCCAAATGTTGCCCTCATTGGAGGTGACTGGCCATGGAAATGAGTAAGAATTGGCTACCGAATGGTTATTCTCTACTTGGTTTCTTCGTGGAAGAAGGAACAAGAACATGGCTGCTGTTGGGATATTGGTATATCCAAGGAGTATGACTACATTTACTCCCATTTAATTATTTTCCCCAAAGGCCAACAACAATACCTGCTCACTATAAGCATTCAGAAAACAGAAAAGTTTCAAGAAGCAGGAAGAAAAGACTCACCTATGATCCCAACACCCAGAGGTAATAATTTACCATTTTTGGTGTATCTTCTTTGTCTTTTCCTATGTGTTGCCTTATGTAGATATGTAACAGGTTGTGGTTTAAACCGAAGCTATACCCATTGTTTGGAGTCAGGCAGGTGCGATAAATTTGTAGGTGGCTCACCAGAAATCTATTTGCATGATGAACCTACATTAAGCAGAAAATATAACCATTGGGTACTGGGTTTAATACCTGGGTGATGAAATAATCTATATAACAAACCCCGTGACATGAGTTTACCTATGTAACCAACCTTCACATATACCCCTGAACCTAAAATAAAGGTTAAGAAAAAGGGAAGCCTTATAAGACCTAACAAATAAGCAAATGAAAAGATGCTGAAAATCGTTAATCACGAGGAAAATGCAAATTAAAATTACAATGAGATATCATGACACAACCATTAGAATGGCCCAAAGTGAAAAGTCTACCATTGCTAAGGATATAGGGCAACAGGAACTCATACACTGCTGGTGGAAACATAGAACAATATAACTACTTTGGAAAACACTGGTGGCATCTTAAAAAGTTAAACATGTACCTACAATATAATCCAGACATTTCACTTCTAGGTATTTATCTAGTGAAATAAAAGCGTATAACACACATAGACTTATACATGAATTTTCCTAACAGTATTCGACATAGTAGCCAAAATCTGAAAATAACCCCGTTGTCCATCAACACGTGCACAGATAAACAAACTTTGGTATATCTATACAATGGAATACACACAACTTATATGAATCTCATAATACTTGTGCTGAGTGAAAGAAGGCAGAGGAAAATAAGAGTTCATAGTTTATGATTTCATTTATATAAAATTCCAGAAAATGAAAACTGATCTCTAGTGAAAAAATTGCAGATTATTGGTGCTTGGGGATAGGGGTTACAGAGGGGCAGAATGGAAGGATTACAAAGGGACGTAAGGAAAGATATGGAGGTGATGGGTATGTTCAATACCCTCCTTTGTAGTGACAGCTTCACGAATATATACGTATGCCAAAATTTGTCAGATACTCACTTTAAATATGTGCAGTTTATTGCGTGTCAAGGACAGGTCGTGAAAGTTATAAAAACATTATTTCCTGGACGAGACACCGTATTAGTCAGGGATCATTGGTTATAAATTACAGAAAGTGACTTGGTCTCAATTAAATTAAAAGGAATTTATTAAATGGATAAGGGGAATTTATAGGACTGTTAGGAAGGCTGAAGACCAAGACCTGGAATGGAGCAGAATAAAAGACAATTTCAAAGACCCAGAAAACAGGAAGGAGAGGACTACCTCATACCTGGTACCATTTGGTTAGAGTGCCTGTGATGCTTGATGACTACCTCCTGCCATTTTCAGGCTAGAGTAATGGGATAATGGACTTACAGCGTTATCATTCGGTTAAAGAGTAAAATTCCAGTGAGGGAGTATTCTCCTTGGCTGGGAGAAAGGGGCTATGGCTAATTTCTTAGGGAAATCACAGTGCTATTAGGAAGGGAGAGGAGATGCTGGGTACCATTTTAAAATAAAAACAAAATAACAAAAAACAGGCTGGGTACGGTGGCTCATGCCTGTAATCCCAGCACTTTGGGAGGCTGAGGCAGGGAGATCACTTGAGCCCAGGAGTTCCAGACCATCCTGGGCGACATGGTGAAACACCGTCTCTGTAAAAAATACAAAAATTAGCCAGGCATGGTTGTGTGCACCTGTAGTCCTGGCTACTCGGGAGGCTGAGGCATGCTTGAGCCGGGGGAGGTCAAGGCTGCAGTGAGCCAAGATTGGGCCACTGCTCTCCAGCCTAGGTGACAGAGTGAGACCCTGCCTCAAAACAAACACAAAAAGACCCCAAATGCCTACACTCTTGAGAACATTCGCATTCTGTTCCAGTTATTATTGATCCATAACAAATCACTCTTAATGATATCCATTTTTCTGAAGACTTTTTCATCCATATCCTTTTTTTTTTTTTTAATTCCTTTAAGTTGTTTTTCTCCTTTCTTTGGTACCTCCTTGAGTAGCTTACTAATCAACCATCTGAATTCTTTATCTGGCAATTCAGAGATTTCTTCTTGGTTTGGATCCATTGCTGGGGAGCTCTTTTGGGAGTGTTGTAGAACCTCGTTTTGTCCTATTACCAGAATTACTTTTCTGGTTCTTTCTCGTTTGGGTAGACTGTTCCAGTGGAAAGGCCTGGAACTCACGGGCTGCTGTTCAGATTCTTTTGTCCCACGGGGTGGTCCCTTGATGTGGTGCTCTCCCGCTTCCCCTAGAGATGGGGCTTCCTGAGAGCCGAATTGCAGTGATTGTTATTGCCTTACTGGGTCTGGTCACCCAGCAGGGCTACCGGGCTCTGGACTGATGCTGAGGAATGTCCGCGGAGTCCTGTGATGTGATCTGTCTTCGAGTCTTCTAGCCATGGATACTGCTTGGGTGATGGGTTCACCAGAATCTCAGAAATCATCACTAAAGAATGTGTCCAAGTAACCAAACACCACCTGTTCGCCCCAAAACAATTGAAATCATAATAATAAATCACTCTTAAACTTAATAGCTTAACATAACAAAAATAATTTCATTATTTCTCATGTGGGTCAGGAAATTGAGGAAGGACTTGGTTGGGTGGTTTTGGCCCCAGCTCTCTCTATATTTGCAGTGACATGGAGCTGGAATAGTAAGGGGCTGAAGCATCTTGGGCCTTCCTGGGAACCTTTCTCTTCTTGTAGCCTCAGTTTTCTTTATGTGGTTTCTATTCATGAGCTAGTCTGGGCTTCCTTACAGCACAGCAGCCTCATGGTGGTTGAAGTAGTCAAGAGAGAACATTCCAGTTGATGAGACAGAAATTACATTGCCTTCTGTGACCCACACTCAGTGTCACTTCCACCTCATTCTGTTGGTTACAAACAAGTCACAAGCCCACCCACATTCAAAAGGACAGGAGAGATACCCTATCTCTGGATAGGAATAATGTTAAGGTCACATTTTGAAGAAGCACCTGTGATGGGAGACATTGTGGTGGCCATCTGTGGAATATACTGCTATGCTTGCTCTGAATAGTTAGGACATTTCAACTCTTCTGGTCTCAAAGTGTGTAACTTAGCATGCTGAATTACACAATCCTTGTGGGATGGTGTATCTAAACATGAAATCAGTCTTCTGCTTTCTTAGAGGCAGTATAACTTTCTATATGATTCTTAAAGATCTGTTGAAAGCTCGACTCCAAATTTTCCCTTGGCAATGCCTAGAGAAGACATGTCATGGTAAAGAGCACTAGAATGATATTTATAAACTCTAGGGTCCTATCCTGTCTTTGTTATAATCCTTGGCAACTGAATCTCAGTTTAACTCTCTGTAAAATGGAAATTCTATTTCTCCTATGCACTCCACAGCTTTATGGTGAGGAGCAAATAAGGTTGTTAGTGTGAAAACACTAAAAATGGAAAAAGGTCACATAAAAATGAGATACTGCTATTGTCCTTTTAAGTAATTTTAATGTTTCACAGCCCACTGAGGCAGGAAGCTTTTCCTAATATCTGACTTAAATATATTTAGCTGCCGTAGTTCTCTGTAACCAACCAACTTGAAGTTGGTTGTGCTTAATTCTCTGTGTTGAAATGGTGACAGAGTCACATGCTCTGTTGTTTTCACTGTATTGCCACCATATAATTTGATTTGTATTCTGTGCATCACATAAGCCTATTGCTCAGCTAGCAAACAATTCTGATCTTCTGGCTTCTAGCATTATCATTCAAAAATCCCCAAATCATTTTCCTGATCACTGCATTGCATTGCTATGGCTTAATACAGACTTTCTGTTTTGGTTCATTGTCTCTAGACTTATTATTTTACATTTGTCTACATTAAACTGCATTCTCTGTTTATTGGCCCAGTCACCATAAGGTGCCAATCCATCTGAATCATGCCGTTGTATTTTTTTTCTACATAGTGTGTATATACCATATAAAACTAATAAAAATCTATGTACCTTAGAGGAGGTCATGAATATTTTATTGGTTAAACTTCAGGGTCAGACTAACACCTCAAAACAGGTCAAGTCAATGTTCAGGATACCAGGCCACTGAGCAGAGCAGAGCCTTCCAGGAGGAAAGCGAGCCAGTATTTTCCAAGGGAAAGCTTTGATAAAACCTGGTTCACTCTATAAATTTGTACTATATTCTCTGGTGGCCTAGGGCTCATAATTTTAGAACTCTCATTTTATCTCTGTTTAAATACCCATGTTATAGTACCTTTAAAATATACTTTCCTGAAAAGGAATATGATCCATTCGAAATGAGACTGCCTATGTCAGAAAACCAATTAGCTCGGACCACTGTTAAAAAAGTTGCTTAAGAATTAAGCACATTTAATGAAAATTAAACTCAAATGACGGCTGTCTTCATTCATGCCAAACATGTTTGGGGTCTACTATGTGTCGGGCAGTTAGTTGGAGTAAAAAGTACACTGCAGAGATCTGCTTTCAAGAAAATATACGTTAACAAAGGAAAAACTCAGTGATAAATCGTTACAGTTCAGCTCTATGTGAAATATCTTGGGATATTTCCATAGAGAACTGCAGGTGTACAGAGCGTGGGGTGACTAATTCTGCCTGGGAAGATTAGGATGTTTGAAAAGAACAAGATATTGAGTTTAAGCGACAGTATTGAATATTGAGAGTATTGATCATTTTCTTCCTTGGCTTTGAGACATTGTGGAGTATGAAGAAATCACATATTCATAGGGAAAATATAGCCTGTTATCTCCCTGGTCCTCCCTCACCTACCCCAGCTTCTGGAAGTGATAGGAACTCCTAGAAGATTCCTGGTAAATTAAAGGGATGATCAAGAATATGTATATATATATATATACACACACACACATATATATATATACATATATATACATATATACATATATATATATACATATATATGTAATTTCATAATTTCTGAAGCTTACTGAGGATAGTGATATGAAATTATGTAATTTCATAATTTCTGAAGCTTACTGAGGATAGTGAGATGTTATAATTGGAGGATCAGGTAGACGAAATTTGCAAGGGAACTTGAGGTCACAATTCTAAAGAGCGATGTATTAGTTAAGTAGACAAAAGCAGCCAGTTGCTGTTTTTTTTTTTTTTTTTTTTTTAAGATGCATAGGCCTGCAGGGGGTGTGTGATAAAATATTAATGCTATATTTTATTCATTTATTTTGATGAAATCTTAACATCATTGACTAGAAGAGAATATTGTGATTTTTGAAGGATTCTTTTCCAAAACCCAAGTGACAGCATAAGTCAGTTTCCTTCAACTGATAATTAATTATCCATGATAAGGAAGTATGAGAGCAACAAAAATATCCCTTTCCCTAAAGGGCTGGTCATGACATGGGAGACAGTCAGTCATCAAAACAAGGAGGAATTCCAAGAGGAGTCACGAGGCAGTAAGTGATCAATCTGAGCTCATTTGGTTGTTTATCTTTCCTATATTTTGAATGGCTATAGCATTTATTGTCTCTTCTGCCTAATTTAGCACTTAATAACATAGTTTCTCTTTGTCCTTTAATTGTTTGACATATGAAGGTCTTGTTTCTCCAACTAGACTGTATTATCTCTGTGGCAGGAATTTTGTTCTTGGCTGGTCTCCTCTCCCCTCACCTGCCAGTGCCTAGTGGAGTGCTTAATAGCCATCTATTAGATGTCCAGTGAATACATATTTGTTGATGGTCTAAGAGGCCATGCAATCAGGCTCAATTATTCTACTTCTTCAGCCCCAGCTTCCATTTTTGGAAAACCAAGTTAAACTTGGTGATTTTCTAAGGCCTTTTCCCGTCCTGTAAATCTGTAACTAAGATTTTAATCTGCTTATATTTTACTATCTGGAATAAACCTACCATTAACATCAGTAATCATATGTTAATATTATACAGATACCTGCTATTTTTCTTAATTGTGAAGTCACCATATTTTACTTATGTATCCATGAAATTATACCAACAGATGCATAGGTTGCACATACTGTGTGCTAGATATTTTAGGAGATACTGGAGAGCCACTGGTGAGCAATGTAGTTCTCACCCTCCATTGAGAAAGGAAGGAAGGAAGGAAACAGATCATTTGACGATAACCACAAAGTGAGATGAAGGGTATGCTGGGAAGAGATAACCAGATATGGAGGAACATGTCTGAGCACCCAACCCTGACCCTTGGGCTTCTGAAAGTCTTGCTTGGTGGGGATATTTTGTCTGAGATGACTTGAAGGATGAGGATGGGTCAATTGATTAAAGTCGGGGAGCAGAAGGGCAACATGTGTAAAGGTCCTGAAGCAGGAGAGAGCATGACTTACTGAAGGAATTTCAGTTAGGCCTGGGGTGAGATTTTGAAGGAGAGATAAGGTAAGACATGAGATGCAGAGATGGGCTCAAATTCAAACCTTTGGAGAACATTAAAACATCTATTAAGAAGTGTGGAAGCCACTGGGGCAGGGAAACGGGGGAGCAAGGAGATGACATGACAGACTTGTATTTCAAAAAATCCCAGAATGTTCCCACAGTTATGTTTTATGTTCCAGCCATTGAAATCCAACACACATTTTCTGACGTAATCTAAAATCATCCGTATCTGACTTAGACATAAAATGTTTTAAGTTTGTTATAAGTAGCAGATGCTCCTAATTGATTCTCTGACACATTTCAATGTTTTTCAACAGAGATGAACCATAACTGTCTTAAGTAACATTAATGCAAATTTAAAATAGTGCCACTGATTATTTTTGTAATTAACTTGCCGATACTCTTAATAATTTGTTTTCTTTTAATACAGTTGTTGATCTGTAAAAATGTTCAGTCCAGAGTTAGTATTAAAATACAGTCAAATACGTTGGTGGAAAGAGCATAGACTTTGGATTTGGAAGCATACTGGCTCCTTAATTGTTTATAATGCAGACTTGAGTAATTCATGTGACCTCTCTCAGTTTCAGTCTCCCTTTTGCAAAAGAAGGATTATAAATCAGGGTTTTGGTAAGGATTCAAATGACTTTTTGTTACATATCTAGCAAACGATATGACCCACATTAAGAGCTCAATAAATATTAACTCACTTTCTCCTCCCCAAAGGCTCTTTTCAGTGGGAAATGGAAACTGGGGTTTCTCTTTATTTTATATCAAAAGCTTAATAAGAGCTATTGCATGACAAACATCACGCTAGGTCTTAAGAATGGGAATACGATTTAGTACCTGATGATGTGAAACTTAGCCTGGTGGGGTAGAAAGATGTATTACAAAAAATGAGAAAACCGCTTTCCGTTCTAATCCGTAACTTTCCTTCACAGGACAAAGAGTTGTTTCACTTTTTGGCTCAAAGTCTTTATAAGGAAATTTTGATCACGTCTCAGATTAATCAGAGAAGTAGTCAATTTAAAAGGAGCCACAGATGTGTCCTGTGAGAATGGCTTTTATAGTTCCAGGCTTTTATTTAGGTCAAGCTTATGGAAGCCACAGTTTAATCCAAATAAAGTTATCTCTGCCAATTTACATTAGACACTTTAGGGCCAGTATGTAATTCTAAATAAAAATTAATAATTACAAATAACTAATACCATTAAAAGTTGAAAAGCATAAATCAACAAATATTTATTGAAAACCTACTATATTAGTAATAATAACATTATGGATAATATTTGTGTTTAGAAACAAACCTCTATACTACCCTGACTCTATGTGTGATACTTGATGATACTTTTCATTTTGTACATGATGAAACTGAGCTGTAGAGAGGTAAAGACATTTGTCCAAAGATACGTGACACATAAATATAGTTGCCGGAATTCTGACTCAGGCAATTTGGTCCTGGAGCTCACATTCATTACCTCTATGCTACCCTGACTCTATCTGCAATACTTGGTGCTATGTGCAGCTCAATGAGTCAGATGCTATCTGCCAGGTATTCTGTGCACTAGGAATACAAAGAGAAAAACATGTTAGCCGTGACCTCCAAGAATACATGATCTAATTGAGAGACAAATCCACTGACAAGCAATTATGGTACTGCCTAATAATTGTTATTATAGTGTTTATTTCCCCAGCTCCCAGGAGTAAGAGGTGGGAGATAGACAGGGTGAAAGATGTAAACAAAGGAATGCACTCATTATTTATTTATTCTTCATTATCTAAGGCGGAGTCTGAAAATTGGCAGCCCCAGTTTTGTTTGACCTTCAGGATTTTTTTTTTTTTAATTGTATTACTTGCCAGCATTTAAAAGTCAGGAGATTTTACATAAAATTCCAGATTTCTGGTTTCTACTGAAATATCAGAATATTTGGTAATACTGGGCCCATAGTACACCATGACAAAAAGCACCCTGAGCTTAGCAGCTGGCACTCGCTTTCAACAAAAAATGTGCCCCTTTATTAGCTACAAGCTCCCACAGACCTACTTCAGGCATTCACGTGACCTGTTGGTTCCTGTAAATAGATCAGTTTGCAGCCTGCTGTTTCTAAGGTTCTCCAGAGGTTCATAACTTACCAGGGTATATAGTACCCTCACTGATACCTAAATAACTGAAGTAGCTCAGTCCTGATTGCTCAGAGTCAGAGATAGGCTTACCATCGTGCTCATTTCTTTCTTCCATTTTTTTTTTTTTTTTTCCCTGAGCTGGAGTCTTGCTCTGTCACCCAGGTTGGAGTGCAGTGGCACGATCTTGGCTCACTGGCAACCTCTGCCTGCCAGGTTTAAGCAATTCTCCTGCCTCAGCCTCCCGAGTAGCTGGGACTACAGGCGCCCACCACCACTGCATCGGCTGATTTTTGTATTTTTAGCAGATACAGGGTTTCACCATGTTCGCCAGGCTGGTCTCGAACTCCTGACTTTGTCGTGATCCACCCGCCTCAGCCTCCCAAAGTGCTGGGATTACAGGCGTTAGCTACCATGCCCGGCCTGTGCTCATTTCTTGTGTGAGCCTCAAGTCCCTGGGAAAAGTTCTAGCAACAGTTTGACATAAATCATATGTTTTTGAAACATTTGCAAAAGTCAGATATTTTAGGTACAGCTGGTTAATGCTGCTGTCTCTTTCCATTCTGAGTTCATTCCCCACACGTCCCTTCCTGTTAGGGGTGCTGGAGTGGCTGTGGGTATTTAAAATATTCTCTTCTCAATGAATTCACTTCTAGATAAATATTTATTTTTTATTTTAAATATATTTTTATTTTTTAAACATTTTAAAATATGTTTTTTAAATATATTATATTTTAGTTTTTAAAAATCTAATTAAGCATCATATTTTTTCTTAACGAAGGCCCTACATTATATAAGCTTCAATCTTCCTCTGTCCAGGATGCTTCATTCTTACCTCCAAAGGCATTGGTGTGCTGGGGTCAGCTTGTACCAGCTTTTGAGAGACACTGCTACATTATCAGGAGTTTTGGGAGCAGGCTTTTAAGCACAGCCAACAAGAATGAAATTATATAGACATAATTAATACATTATTTTATAAAAATGGAATTAATACTCACAACTCATTAAGTCCTAGTTATCTGACTTCATTTTACTATTATCCATGATCTTGAGGTTATTTACATCTGTTTTCTGTGTATGGTAGAAATACTACATAAGGGGTGCTATTGCACGTCTCTTCCCAACTCCATATTCAGTGATATAATGCTGGTAACTTGAAATTGGCCAGGGTCGGAACATTTACACCACAGAAATTGGCAGTCTACAAATTCGGACTTTTTTTTTCCTGGAGAGTTGACTATTATTACATGTTCATCAACACATTGCTATCTGATGGTGTTGCTGCATATTGAGACTGAGTGGTGCTGGTACCATCTTTCCTAGAGCAAGCAGCCTGAGTTCTGGGGACACACATAGATCAAGATAATGGAATGGTTCATAGATACTTTATTATGCAGTTGGATGTTGTTTTTTAAAATAGGTTTTTTCTCTCTTTCCCTTGTCATCCATAAGGGGAGAATCCAGGGATCATTTCCCATCTGCTGCTGTTCAGAAAATAGCGGTATATTTCACATCCTGCGAGGGAATAGGAAAAGGCATACCTAACTTAGCCTAAGAGGGAGGTGGTGGTGTTCAGAGAAATACTCTGAAAAAGAAGGTAAACCCCCAGAATTTGTAAATGAGATGCAAAAGTTCTAAAATGCAATCAGAAACTAATGAAATAAATGAGGTCGACAACAGGGGTAGATGACAACTTACTTTTATTGAACTTTGAGTGCACCAGGCATTTTGCTAAGCATGTTACACATATTTAATCTCATTTGATCCTCAGAATAAATAATCTTTGGGGGTTGATATTATTATGCTCAATTTACCAAAAGGAACCTCAGGCGTAGAGAGGTTCAGAAACTTGCTAAGATCACTAGCTAGTAAAACGTTCAGGCCAGGATTAGAACCTCGGTTAGTCTGACTGTAGCACCCCAGCCAGCTCTCAAATATAATGCTTTGCAGCCTGTACATTACATATGGTGGAGATGAAACAAGATTTTTCAAAGAAATAGAATAATTTGTGACTCATAGAATGTAGACTCAGATGCATGTTCAAGATCTTGTAGAAATTTGTGTGGTGTGAAGTTAGGTAGTAGGCAGATTTTAACACAATAATTCTGTCATCTTGAGCAAATCGATTAATATCTCTTTGCTTTAGTCTTATGATCTTTGAAATAATACCTTTAGCATTGCTGTGAGGAACAAATTTTTATGGTAAAGTACCTTACATAGGATCTGTTACATTGTGAGTATATAACAGTATAGCTAATCGATATTGAATGTTTTCTAGATGGCAGACACTATCCTAATACCTTTCTATATGTTAGTTAATTCAATTATATCAGGCAGGTACTATTATTATCATCTCCCTTTTACAGATGAGAAAAATGAGTAACAGAGACTAGACAAGATGCCCAAGAAGATAACACTTTGTAAGGGTCAGAGCTGGGATTCAGTCTCTGCTTGTCTGGCTTTTAACCACATGTCACAGTAAACACTTATTATTTTATTGTTATTAGTATCAAAGAACAATAAATTTTGGTTTAGAAGACTTCATCCGGCAATTGGTTATTAAGCACTTACTAAGTATCATCATGCTTGGGGTCATAAAGATAAAATTAATATTGTTACTGCCCTCAGGCTGATAGGCTAGTGGGTAAATTAGATTTGCAAGTGAACAATTATAATACTACGATATATATTATAATAGATGAGAAAACACCTAACATTGTTTGGAGATGTTCCGTATGATCTTCACAGGAGATGGCACAAGCTAATTTTGATAAAGAGAAGGCTCCTGTCTCACAGAAAAGTGAGGGAAAGGGTAGTAAAGGAAAAATAGACAAGAGAAAAGGCATAGAAGTGTTCATTTATTGCTTCAGAAATATTTGTGGAGCTATTACTATATACCAGGCAAACTTCAGTGCGGGGAATATAATGGTAAACAAGAGAAAAGCCTTCCCTGAGCTCCTTTAGCAGGAAATAGGATATTAGAGGAAGGACATGTGGTTCAAGCTAATTGGGCCAGGGAGCATTTGAGAGGGAGTGATGGTGGGAGGCAATTCTAGAAAGGTAGAGCAGAATTCTGGTCATGAAGAGCAGGTAGGTAGAAAGACCCCTTGACTCTGGGTAGAATCTGAATCTCCCTTCCCACACATCTGCTGCCCAGAAGCTCAAGGATTGTATTAATCAGAAATGAGGATGCCATTCTATAGAGTGGCTGCACTTTTGTAGGCTGGTGTGAATGCCTTTCACTGCTCCCCATTCCTGTTAGTACTTTTCTTCCTATATCTCTTTATAATCCTATAACTCCAAGAGAATAATTGAATAGCAAGGGGGGGAGGTGGCCGTGACAAACACGTCTGTGGAAATACAGTCTAAACGGACAAAGATAGGTCTGAAATAAGAGTTCTCCAGTGACAGCATATGTTAAAATTTTTAGTTTATTATTATCAATTCATTATTATTTATTCCTTCTTCTTAAAGATGCAAGGGAGTGAGGACAATAGAGAGTGTGTTTCAGTAACCACAAAAGGACTGCAAAAAGGTTGCTAGATGAAGGACTGTGGATATCACCAATTTACCATTTCATCTATAGATATAAGATAGAAATTTGACTAGTACCCGAGCAGACAGATTGATGGCCAAAGAAAAACTACAGATCCTCTAAATAAATGGGAAAGATAAATAAAACAGCTGGGACTTACAGAAAAGAAGTTGCCAAAACAAATGTGAAAGACAATATCCTCCTGAAGACATAGAGAAAGAGTGGACCTCTGACAATTATTTATTACAGAAATTAGAAAACTATGAAAAATATATTTGGGAGCCTTTAGAGAAATTGCTATCAAACTCTGTTCTATGGAATTCTAGGATTTTGCAGACATCCTTTACTGTTTAAGCCAAGATAACCAAATCATGATGAAAATACATGTATAAAATCATTCAAAGAAACTTATGGCATCAAATATGAGAGAAATTGAGATTATCTGTAAAAAGCTTATTAACATCTGTGATATTGCTAATGTCATTGAGGAAAGTGTGTGTAAGACAAGCAATCTGACACAAAAGTAGAAATAGAACTAGTGTCTGGTAATGGGGTCCAGAGAAGAATATTCACCAAATCTACTTGAATTAGTTTGAATGCTGAGATTATATGAAATGTTTGCAATTTAATGAAAAGTATGATTGCTGTGGATCAGTACAATTTGCTTGTTTTGTGGAGGCTATCATCACCACAAGAAATGTTATTTTTAAAAACATTTGATATATACTCAGTATAACAAAAAATGTAAGATGTTTCTATGTACTTTTAACTGTCATCAAATAGGTGGAATATGTTTAGTGATGGCTGTACTGCTAGGGGAAAAAGAATGGCAAGAAAAATAGTAGGAAGAGAGGATTTTATAAAGGTAGTTTTAAAATATTCAAATATTCAAATATTCGAGGTATATTATGAAGAAAAATACAAAAATTCCAGCATCTTTTAAAGTAGTATTGATTACTGTCATAAATATTGTTATTTTATCCCAGCGTGCATGAATGTGTTTGTGTTCTCCCCACCCGCTTCTTTCTTTCTCTCTCTCTTTCAAACCAGAAATATGCTTACTCTCTGAGTATATGAGTAACACATGCCTATTGTAAAAAAAAAAAAAAAAAAAGATAAAGATAAAAAAATAGGGCAAACATAAGCGAGAAAACCAAACTATCACCCAGATAGTACGTCTACTGAAGTTTTGGTATTTATAATTCTAGACTTTTTCTTAAGCATATGTAATACAAACACTGAAAAACAAACTAGTATAGGCCTTTTCACCGTATTTTGCCAATATATATGATTAGATGATCATGTTCAGTGACTGCATAATATTCCATTGATTAACTCTACCACAGTTTAATCAATTCTCTATTGATGTTTTTTGATCATAAAGAGAATTGCCACAAATGTGCTTGTGCACATCCTTGAAGAGTTATTTTACTATTATTTATGACAAATTGCTAAGTTAAATTGCCAGTCAAGAGGGTATTTATGGATTTTTTATATTAATAACTATTTCAATATTTAATTGAATATATGCATAATCTTTTTTGAGACGAGGCCTCACTGTATTGTCCAGGCTGGTCTCAAATGCCTGGCCTCAAGTGATCCTCCTACCTCAGCCTCCCAAGTAGCTGGGATTATAGTTGTGAGCCACTGTATCTGACCATAATCATTTTAAGATAAGAAAAACTAGAAATAACAAACTAAAATCCTAATACTCGGGGCAAAAATTCTAACCCCTAATATTTTTCTATCTACATAGATTAGATACATAGATGGCAATACAGATAGAGAGAAAGAAACATGAAGGAAGGAAAGAAGAAAGGGAGCCTGGGAGGGAGGAAAGGACTGAATCACATTGGGATTAATTGTACAGGTAGTTTTACATTAAAAGTAATTTAATTTACCTGAATTTTTAAAAAAGATAAGTCCACCTGATTGAAATCTTAACCTCGGATTAAAAACAAACAAGTAAACTTTCCTCATCACAAGAGATATCTTCTAAGAGCACTGTAAGTTTCTTCAGGTTCAAGATGGTGACCTAAGCACGTACATTTGCATCCTCTTTCTCCTGAGACAACCCTACAACAATAAAAAATCAATCAATCATGAAAATAATAATGACATGGTGGCAAAGAGAGTCCCAGTAAAGGATGAGAAATTTCAGCAAATCTCTGGGAATTAGAAAGCAGATGGGAGCAGGTCTACTTATAAATACTACCTACATGCTCTACAGGGGCTCCAGAGGATTAGCAGACAGAGTAGAGGGCAGAAGTGAAAAGTGGGGATGAAATTGGAAGATTAATTGAAGAACAACTGAAGCTTCTTTACCCATCTGTCCTCCTGGATACAAACACACACACACACACACACACACACACACACACACACACACACACACACACACACGATGAAGGACAAGACAAATAGGGGACCATTTTAGTTTACCTCAGTACATATGTATTTATTTAGGGGATGGGGGCTTAACGCATTTTGGGAGCAGGGGCTTGTATTTGTTGTAATGAAAGGTAGTTGCTGGAAAAAGGAGGAGTTAGAATTCAAACGTCGGAAGTCTTGTCTCTAATGCTGTAGACCAAAATATCTGGGGCTTCCAGGGTGCATATTGCTGACCCATAAGTAAAATCTTCCCCAACTCTAGCACGTGGAGGTTCGTAAGACTGACAATGATTTCTCTTTTACATACTTGTCTTTCTTATACAGTAAAGGTGGCCAGTTTATATGTTCTATACAGACACATACAGAGCTCTGAGTCACAATTTCCAGTGAAGGTTCGTGATATTTATAACATTATAAACTGTAAACTTTTCCATTCTAAAATGTTTTTTTCTTATTATATATGTTTTGCTTTGGATACTATTTTGTGTAAAAATTAAGTTGTAAATTATTTTAAGTATAATTTTTCTACTAGTTAACTTTATTTCAAAATCATTCCTTAACACTTCTTCTATGTATCTGTCATGGTGAAATTAAATTTTTGGCATTTCATTCCTCTGTCTTTGAGACAAGACTTAACATGTTTCACTTTCCCTATTTATTTACCTCTTTCCTTCTTGGTCTTGTTAAATGTATTTTCAGTGTTATATTATTGTTATAATATATTTTGACAATTAAGATATTTTCCTTGAAGAGTTACTTGTAACGTTTGAGTTCTAATTTATAATTCTATTATAAACAATTATTTATACATTTCTCTATTAACTGGCTTTGATGTTCATTTTCAAATGCTTTATTCCGTGTCCTTTTCCTTCTTGATCTTTTATTTTTCATTTAATTTCAGTAAGTTTGAAAAAAACAAAAATATTTTATTCAGAAACAACACATGAATATTACATGTTGTCTGCCTTTCAACACTTGCAAACACTTTTTGATGCCCTTACCCATAAGTCAACATTTACTTGGCTATAAAATTTGAAATCATATTTTTCATAAAACTTACTAGAAATTGCTTGTCTTTTACTGTTTGTAGATACGTCTGATGTTAGCCTGATTTTTTTTATTATATGTAACCATTTAAAATATATTCTTATATAAAAATATATATAATAAAATTATATTAGTAAGAAATATATAATTGTTAAGCGGATGGCCCTCCTTGCTGACACCATTGGCCTTTTTTGCTATTTCATCACCTTTCTGAGGGAGCAGCCTTCTTGATAATTGCCTTCCAGGGTAGCACAAATTGGTTTCATCAACTAATAATGATTTTAAAATAGACTTCATCAAGTCTGTTTCTTTGTTTCTCATATAGCATCTACAGTATGGTAATGCTGCTATCTTTGGAATAGTTCATGAGGCCATTATAATACCTTGACTTACTGAATAATAGCAAAACATTTTTATTTGGTTCAAACTATTGAAATGTCCTCTGTATCTGACTAAAGCAGGTTCAGGAAGGAAATAACTCTGAAATGTAGTCTATCGGCCTAAAGATTTGTAATGGATGGTCTCGTGGAGTTCATGCAATACCTTTTATATCAGAACATTGAAAATAGTTCATTAAAAATTAATACTTTAATTACAACTCCCAATTCCTTTAAAATGATGGGCTTATGTTTGTTGTAAAAAGAGATAATGCATTTGAAAGTGCTTTCTAAACAGGGGTAGTGGGTGATGTAGTGGGACATAGATGGGTTTGATATCAAGAGGGTTTGGATTCATAACAAAGGAATAGAAAATGGCTACTTGTGAGCTGATAACTTTGTTTTGCTTTTATGTATAGGGACAATGAAAGTACTTAGTTAATTGCATTTTATAACTATATTTGAATGTATATGATGCATGTAGCACAGTGCCAGGCACAAAGTAGCTTTTTGATAAAAGTTCCCTCTCATAAGAGGAGAGACTCCTGTTAGCTGCTATTGTGCTAGAAAGATGAATAAATAGATGGAGAAGAATAACATTTATCATTGAAACTGATCTCCATCCAGACATTCCTCTTATAAAAGCGATGATTATTAGGTGATGAAACCAATTTGTCTACACTGGAAGACAATGATAAAAACACCTGCTCTCTCAGAAAGTTAGTGAAATGGCAGAAAAAGGCTTGTGGTGTCAGCCAGGAGGACTGTCAGTTTAACTAGGTGCTTCCATCTGAATAGTGACAGTGTTCTGAACTCTAGACCCTTGTTGATGTCTTCCAACTTCTCATTAGCCAAACTGGGCTCAGTGAAGCTCTGATGCCTGGTAGGAGGTGGCCAGAAGATGCCAGGGATTCACGTAGTAGCCAGGTAGGAGGGAGGGCACCTCTGCCCTGTGAGATGTGGGAGTGGAGACATTGATTTCAGGACAATATCAGAGGCTAGGTGGATTTCTAAATAGATTGCAAAGAAAGAGGGACAGACAAATCAATTTCCTCTTATCCCTTTTTCTAGTGGGAAGAAGAGAACCTGACTTCTCAGTTGTTAGTTAGATGACCATGTGAATTTATGCTCTCAGCCCAAGCTGCAGATTGTTTATTGATGGTCCCATGTCTTATGCTAAGCAGGTTATTAAAGGCTTCTGAAATGTCTGAGATACGAAAAAAAATATTATTGGCTCTAAAATATAAAAATAAAAACTGCAAAGTCAAAAGTTCCATTTCAGTGAATATCTCCAAGATGTGCTATCAAGTTAAGTTTATTAACTGTTAACTTTTGGCAGTCTTCGAAAACTTAACTACATTTGAAAACTACTGAAATTTGATTTGATACAGTTCTCCAATATGCAGCGTGATTGATGAGATATTGCAACCAATAATAAATTAATGATACAAGTGTGAATAATATCAAAACTAAAATTATAAAACTCCTCTAAATATTATATAGCAAAACATTTATAATAACTGTGGGATATGAGTGTATTATAATACATTTGGTATGACGTGGGATGGAAACTCTGCATTAGAAAGATGGCTTAGAGTCTACGTAGATTTTAAAATTACTCTAGTACCAAGTGATTTTTATATCTTTTTCTGATTGAAAGCTCTAAAAGCTTAAAATGTTCTTTTGTGTGTGTGCAGAAAAACTCCACAAGCCAGGAGTCTGTGGAGTTGACTTGTTGAGTTGAGGAGTTGACTTGTTTCTGTGAATGCGTATATTAAGGAAAATTTGAGTATATTGCCCAAGCTCTCAGGGACCCATGTTCAGTAACATTTGCAGCATCTAAAAATAGTTGGCATTTCCTGAAATCTGAGAGGATGCAAATAATTAAATCCTTGAAATGAAATAATAGCAAGGGAGTCATCCGTTAACATAGCCACCAGAGTCTTTTGTTATAGGAATAAGCCTAACTTTTGGCAGTGACTTAGGCTGTTAAGCTCAACATTTGCCTAATTTATCATCTTGTTTGTGATCGCATTTATTTGAAAGGGGTCTGACATCTTGTCTAGGTTTTTGGAATATTTATGATGATCCATTTTTTATAACTTGAAAAGTTCCGCTAATCATATTGCAGAATCTGTCTATTTGTGTCTGTTTTGTCTTGGCAGCAAGGAAGAGGTTCAACAGAGTTTGCTCAGCTGTTCTATTACCAGTCCCATGTTTCTGAATCTCAATATTTAATCCAATTGTCAAAATTCAGCTCTGACTACAAGTCACTGCTGTCAAGACTCTTTTAAAAAGCACTGGTGGATACTGTTATTTACCTTTCTTGTTCTTGATTATGCATGCCTCTTAGATCGTTGGCTCAGGCTTGGTCAGGAAAACAGCAGCTTCTCTAGGTATTTCCAGCAGGAAGAAGTTTAATATTGGAAATTAGAGGCTCACACAATTGTTGAAGGCTGAGGGAGTAAAAGTCAGGGGGATGGATTTCAGGAAATTTACCATCTGCTGGTGCCCATGTTCCTCAGTGCAGTTGCCAGAGAAAAATTATGCTCTCCATGTCTAGTGCAATGTGAATCTCTTGCAGCTGCCTCTCATTGGTAGGTTCTAGCTAAAACCCTGCTGGCAATGGAATCTGGGAAATGTAGTTTCCAGACTTTATCCCCAAGTGGTATAGGAAAGAGTTATAGAGGGGTGGGAATACTGCCTAGAATCAACAAATGATATCTGGTTCGTAAGTATATCTGTAATATTTTTGTCCAATCATTCAAAATAAACTGGTCAAGATTAGACCTGGAACATTCACATGATGAAAAATAGAGTGTGGGCATGCTAAATCATTCAACAAACTTTTATTGAGACCTATTGGAAAACCAAGTTGAGTTGTGGTCAAAACATGGGAAGTATTGAATGTAAGATTTTTAATAGTTCATATTTATGTAGACGGCTTTTGCACATGGACAGAGGTTTCATTTGTTTTGAAGAGAAGGAAGACGAAAAAAGTTGATATTCCAAATAAAGCAGTAATAAAGACAAGCACAGTGCTTCTAATCATTTCCCAACTGTATCTTTTCTCATTATTAGTGGCTTATCTTTTTTAAAAAAATTCTCAGTCCCACAGTGGAGGGTGGAAGGGATGCTATTAGTTCTGTACTGTATATTAAATGACATCAGAATATAAGAGAAGAAAGTTAGCATTGATGCAATTCATAAAGTGGCCTTATAAAAATGAACTTGGAGTTGTCTACCCTCTGAATCATTAACCCGTTACTACAGTTAATTAACTAAATCTTGATCCTTTATTAGAGAATTCTAACATTTCAGAGAAATGTGTGACTACATGTTATCTGATCTCCTTGGAATTATTGTCCCTACATATATCCCATAACGTATTTTTGGAATGGAATGACATTGGCAAAGGGGTCTCAGTCATGTGAATATCGAACTCATTCATCTGTAAAGTGCTCTTTTACAGGAAAAATAATAGAGACTGAGTTTTCCGGGAAATTGCTTCAGTGTTCTCTATTTATATAGAGACTATCAGAATTTGGCTGTTGCATCATGATGCCATTTTGAAGAATGGAGTTTAAATTAAATAGCAAGAGTTACAGAATCTTAAGCTTGGAGGTGAGCCTATAGGTTATCTAGTAGAACCAGTCAACTGATGCTTGACTTCCTTCTACAATATTCCTAATAAGAAACTCTGGGCCTAGTTTGAGACCCTTAAAGTAGTTCATTCTAACTTCGAATTTACAGACCTACTGTAGAAATTGTAATGGTTTATAAACAGAACATCTTTATTGTATTTAGCTGAATTCTGCCTCTTTGTAATGTTGACCTATTTTTGCAAACACACTCTTTGAAGCCGTAAAGAACAAACTTAATTCCTCTTCCATATGCCAGCCTTTCACATATTTAAAAATAGTTAGGGTGTTGTCCCTGATTCTTCCTGTATCTGTACCAAATAGTCTCTAGTTTCTTTAAATTTCTTTAATTGTTCCCTATAAATATCATGGTTTTATTACCTTTTGCTGTGTTAATAGCGCACATTACTTTTGCTTACATCCACATCTAGCCACAAGAAAGACTAGTAAATATCTTTATTCAGGGCTGGAATGTGTGTAGCTAAAATTACATTGCTTTTAATTATGGAAGAAGTAGAGAGCACACGTCTGAAGATAACTAACAGTCTTTTATGTGAACATTTCACCCACACTTACAAATTCTACTTTACTTCTCGTTATACTGCTTTCTCCCTTATACTCATTTTTATCCAATACTAGTTTAGATTTGCCAGCTTTCTTTTGAATGTTTTTTTCTTCATATCTTTATCCAATCGTTTATTTTAAGGCTTTCCCTATGTAAAATGATAATCTTTATCTTGTGTCTGTAAACTTTAATGAATTGATGTTGGTGAAGGTTACTGCTATATTTGGATTTTTTCTACTATAGTATTTTATATGTTCTATTTATCCTTTTTCTGGTTCTTTTTCCTTTTCCATTTCTTACTTCCTTTTGGATTGTTAGTTTCTCTTCCTTTTCATCATTCCCCATTTTTCTCTCTACTAGATTGGAAATAAAGTCTATTTTTAGTTTGTAATGATTATCCTAATAATCTTAAAGTGCTGTCAGTGTCCTCCAACCAAAGATCTCTAGGGATATACCTGTGGTCAAACAAAGTTTGGTTTCTTGTGGCAACGATGGGGACAGCATATCCTGAGGAATGGTGAGGTGTCTCAGTTATGAGAGTGTTAGGTGGGGCTTGTTATGGGATTTTGGTTTGTTTTAGGTAATTTTGAGGATGGGCTTTGTCTGGATTGGATGCTCTCAGAAAGTAGGGCCAATTCGCTGATTGGGAAACAATGATGTTTTAACCAGAAGGCAGAAGGAAAGGAGCTGGGCTAAAACTGTCATTGGTAAAGAAGCAGCAGCCATATATATTAGCCAGGATGGAGAATGTTTGGTCATGTTTGTGGTTTGGACAAGGTTCATGTGTTTCCTGCGCTCAGATATGATTACGAAGCGGTCCTGCTTTTGTATTGCTCAATCATAATCACAGAGTGGCCTTGCCTGGTGTTGTTGTTATGTGAGATTGTTCAGTTTTAACAAAAGAACACCATGGCCTTGCTGTGTTAGCCAGACCTCCTCCGAGCTAACAGCAGTCAGGGACTGCTTTTTTTCTTTCTCATTATTGTAATGATTATCAAAGTTTAAAATTGATTTATCATTTTTCCCATTTTCAGAGAAACAGGGACTTTAGAAAATATTAACTCCTATCATGTCTCTTGTTCCTTAAATGATGTTTGTATTTAGGACTTCAGTTTTATCATGGTTGTTTTTAACTTCTCCTAATCCAGGTTACTACTGTTATTGTTGTTGTTTTACACACTAAATATTTACATAGTATACCAGCATGTTTACCTTTTTATTTGTTCTTCAGTCCTTTCTTATACTTCAGGCCATCGTTCTGGGACTACTTTACTTCTACTTGAATTTTATCATTGAGAAGTACCATTGTGGGATATGGTACTGTAAGTGATAACTCTGAGGATTTGTCTCTTTTAAAATTATTGGAATACCATTGGAGCTGGAGGCCATTATCCTTAGCAAACTAATGACAGGAACAGAAAACCAAATACAGCATGTTCTCACTTATAAGTGGGAACTAAAAGATGAGAACACACGGACACATGGAAGGGAACAACACGCATTGGTGCTTATTGGAGGGTGGAAGGTGGGAGGAGGAGAGGATCAGGAAAAATAACTAATGGATACTAGGCTTAATACCTGGGTGATGAAACAATCTGTACAACAAACCCCCATGACACAGGTTTACCTGTGTAACAAACCTGTACATCCTGCACATGTACCCCTGAACTTAAAAGTTAAAAAAAATCAGTAAATTAAAAAAAATAAAATTATTGGAATATTCTTATCCGTTATCTTTTCAAATATTGCCTCACCACAATTTTAATTTCTCAAAGTTTTAACAGACTGATTCATACCTGTCTGCTGGTTTTCATAATCTCTTTTTCTTTTGTTATGCTGTAAGTCTTATATATATATCAAGCAAATTTATATTGTAAGTCTGATAATAACCAAATCTCCAATCTTTGTGGGCCTGATTTTGTACTTTGCTGTTTCTCTTAGTTCTTCCTCATAGTTTTCCTGATGTATTTACTGATTTCTTCTTTATTGTGAGCTCATGTTTCTTGGAACTTTTGTGCCCATAACATATTAAGAATTTGTATTGCTTCTTCAGGAACCCGGGGACACTATCACTCCAGCATCAAATAACCTCATGTTTCATCTTGGGTTTTTTGGGCCATATGGATAGTGTGAATTTAGACCCCACGCCCACATGAGTGCAGACAAGTGGTTAGGCATTGTAGAGTTTTGTTTGTCTGCCTGTTCTATGCAAAGTCGTGACCAAGACAGACAGAAATCTTTACCACTTTTTACTAGTTTACCTATTGAAAGTGTGTCCCTTTAGGAACTGTATCTATATGTTGGATCTTTGATCTGAATTCCCATGCTTCTTGGATCTCAGGGTTTATTTACTGTCCCCACACATAATGCATTAAAACTCAAGCATTAAATCACTATCCCAGAGAACTCACTATGATATACTTAAGAGTCTGTTTTTGATGTGAAGGTGATATTTTTTTCTTTTTAATACAGATTTCATTCTACCACTGGATGTTTACTTTATTATATTTTCTTATATAACCTAGCTCTGTTTTAATTTCATTAAGACATAGCTTCATGTATCTGAGCCAATATTCCTTTGTCTGAGAGGCCTTTCCTGACTCCATAATAGAAAATAAGATGCCCCTTCTTTCTCTCTTACTTTTTACATGTGAATTTCCTCTACTGTATTTATGTAAACCATCCCTATCCCATTTAGAATTTTGGTTTGTTTGTTTTATTGCCCGCATTTCCCAGCCTACAAAGTAAGATGTACTAGTGCAGGGACACTGTGTGCCTTGTTTACCCCTGTAGTCGTAGTACCCACACTTACAGTGATTTCACAGTAAGTGCTCAGATCCCCTGGGATCCCTTCTACCCTTTGTGTGTGCCTATCCCTCAGCTACTCTGCACTTTCCTTCTAATGCCTAAATAGTGTCTGTGCCTCTGTTCAGAGAATTACCCTTTGGCTGCTGGAACTGATTCGCTTGCTCATGCACGCAGAGAGTTGGAACCACCTGGGAGTTTACATAGCCACTCTGGGTGGGCTTTAGCCAAAGACTGACTGGTGTGAGAATACTGGAGGTGCAATTTACACTTCAGGCTGAAGCTGGGAGCTTACATCTCCCACTCCCTCACTGGTCTTTTCTTGGAGTGCTTCCTTTAAAAAAAAAAAAAAAAAAAACACTCGCATAGGAATCCTTATTTCAGAGTCGGCCTCTTAGGTCTGCCAACCTAAGACTGCTCAATAAATATTTATTGAATGAATAACTAAATATATCTTCGCCATCAAACTTTTCTTGTCAGACTGTTGTGCTACCTCATATTTTATCTCATTTCAAAGACTATTTTTTCTTGGATTTTTATTCAAGTCACAATATAATTCACTGTATCATATACTTTATATAACAAATATTTTTTTCTGCTTATCAATGTTGTGCTTCAGTATAGAATATTCTTGTGTCATATGCTGCAAAGTTTTGTTAGCTTGTTTACTGTCATTGAATGAGAAACAGTTGATCTGGGAAATCAGTTGCCATTTAATGGAGTTGAACAATTATTGTTGGTTGCTCTCGGTGTTTACCTGGTTACCATTCAAATCCTCCTTTCTCGACTAAACTGGCAGGCATTTGTATGTTTGAAGCTCTTACCTAATTCCTCAGTGCTACTGGTTATTATTTGATGTTGGTACTAAAACCAGGAAGGACCTTTTGCCACCTGGGTAGTGTTGTATGTTGTGTTTGTGTGTAGGAGAGGGAGGGCTAATTTATTTCTTGATAATTTGGTGGAATATATGCGTCATCATTTACTTCATGTCATACTGTTTTATCTCTGTGAAGAGGACGCATTTTTGATTCATTATCACAGTTTAGTGTTCAAGTTATTGTAAACACATTGCATTGCCCTTGGTTTCTCTCTATTCCAAACATCCACCCTCAGTGTTTGCAGAATTATGTTCTTTAAATAAAATCCTATTACTTCATCCCTTTACATCCCTTGTTAGATCCAGATTTCTTTTGAGGAGAAAGTCCATATTTCTTGTCTTAGTTTCCAAGGCTCTTTTCAAATCCCTTCCCAATCCCTTTTTCCAGACTTGGTTTTTTCCCCTTAACATTTATTCTAATTTCTATTTGGATTCATTTTCACCTTTCTCTGATTATGTTTTGCTCTTTCACCTCCATTCCTTTATCCATGCTCTTCCTGGGCCTGAAGATGGATTCCCTAGCTTTGTTACTTAAAATAATCATCACCATAGTCCATGCTTCAGTTTAAATACCTCTTCAATTACATTTTACCCAGCCTGTACTTTCTGGCTGCGTCACACAGAGTTAGTTGGCTCCCTTCAGCTAAGCCCTGCTGCACTGTGTTTATACCACTTGTTGTCGCTGGGCTTCTTGCTCAGATTCCACTTTAGGATCTATTCCCCCAGTTGCCGAAAATGCATTTCCCTTGTTTGTGAAGAGCTGCCTTACCCAAAGTCATACCTCCTTCTCAGGTGTGGACTGCATTCCAGTCACTCGTTGGTATAGGTGATATGATGACCTGACCTCTTGTACCGGTTTAGGACAATTCTGAACGGCGATCTTGGCTTCAGAGCTCCCCATGAGATTTGTTGAGGACATTGTTGAAACTATATGGCAAACTAGCCTTTCCCTGTGCCAAACCTCTCTTCCTTCTCTTCCTCCATGGGTGTTGATCCATAGAGCACCCCCTAATAAATTTCCTGCATAATTAAGCTTCTCAGAATCTGCATTGCATGGAAACTGAGGTGCAACACCACGATTATGGCTTATTAAATTTGATTTTCATTTCCCTCCCATTGCCGTCCCTACTTAACTGTGAACTTCTTTAGGATGGTACCATGATGTTAATTTTTGTTTTCTAAACACTTAGCATCGACCTGGACATAGTAGATGATCAATAAATATTTCTCAAATAAATGGATGGATGGATATTCTTTTATTCCGACTAGTTTGACAAGACAATAAATCTTGTCTATTTTATTACTTATCCTATTGGCTTATATGCTATCGGTAACTTGCAAAATTTTCTTATCCCAAATATTAGTTTATTACAGTGTCTACAATATATTACACTGATTCTGCTTTCCCCTTAAATATAATTAACTGAATAAATTGAATTTAATCATCCAAGATTAATATAAATGGTTCACATAGGACTACAATTTCAAATTCCATATGTACAAAGAAGTCAATTTTTTTTCCTCTAAAATAAATCTGCAAGTGATTAAGTGATTTCTTTCTGAAGTTAGGCTTATTTTTGGAAGAAGAGAAGCTATTTTTTTTGTATAAACTAATAATGTGGATGACTTGAATTACTTAGCAAGGCTTACTCTTTCTGTAAGTCAAAAATTTCCATTAGAACTTTCTTAGGGGCTACATGCATATTTATTCTACACTTGAAAGGACGTCTCTGTTTATATATACTCAGTATACTCGAGACTGTGTATTCTCTATAATGATAGAGATACATTTTAGAGAGGGAGTGTCATAGAAAGTATGTTGAATTAGGACTCAGATAAGCCCGATTTGTTCAGGTCCTGATAATTTCTTGGAACTTTGAATTATTATTATTATTTTCATTCTGTCTTTTAACATTCATAATGAAAGCATTACCAAAATTAGTTAATATAATAGTGAGAAAAGCCTATAAGTATGCTATTTTCATCTTTATCATACAAAATCATGGAGTATTGGAAGTCCAAGCAACTTACTTAAAGATCACAAAAGTAGAGGAGCTGGCATTTAAGACTGAGTCAAAGTTACACTTAGCATGAAATTTCCTTTAGGGGAAAAATATGAAATGGGTGATATTTGTCTCTGAATCCCACCCTTGTTTCCTATCACCAATCCTGCTAATAATCTTAAAGGTTATCAAATCCCTGAGAAGTGCTTAAAGTATGGCCCCAGGCAGGGATGTAAACTTTTTTTTTTAAATGAGTAATTTTAAAAGACCATCCTTTAGGTTTTGGCTCTTTTCCAAGTTGTCTTCCATACTACGTAGCTGGACAACTGGAATGAAATGCCCAAGATAATACTCAGACTGTCTTCTTTCTTTACTCCTCCTCTATCCTTTTCCCCTTCTTGCTACAAGAAGCGGTGAACAAAAGGAGTCTTACTATAACACTTTGGTTTTCCAAAACCTTGTTTAGGATGTATTTTTACTATAATTAAATGACAAAACACTAATATCATGCTGAGTATGACTGATTGGAATTCCTCATTCACTCCCTCCTTTTTCTGTGTACTGTCCTATTCCGCAAAGGCTGGAAATTGAAAACTGCATTTCCTAGACCCCCTTGCAGCTAAGATTCTACATATGAAGTAGTTCCTTTTAATTAAATTTCCTCATTAGAAGTAGAGGAGGAGTTCCGCTTAGAAGGTGGACTTCAGGCAGAGACCAAATTCCAGAGGCTGTTTCTGCTGGCCTATAGAGATTATAAATCCAAGAATGTCTAGGAAGACCTATGGCAATCAAAATCAAGGTTTCCGAAGGAAACAACCAGCTTAGTTGATGTCCACAGGCAGCTTCCTAATCCTTGGATCACATCTGTATGGGCAGCATAGTTTTATACCTAAGAATTTCAGTGATGGCTCCTGCTTGCTGCTCCTCCGGGGCTTCCACTGGTTTTATAACACCTAAGTTCCTGATTTAAATCTTCCTTTTTCTTCATATAACTAGAATGATTTGTGTTCCCTGCTAGGTGTTCTGACTTAAACAAACACAAATTATAAATACTTCATAGTAGCAGTTGTTTTTTCTTTGTTGCCTTTGAAGTTTAGAGGGCAAATCTTACACCAGTGGATTATTTACACTGAATAACTACAACCACCTAGGTATAAATTGTCAATATTACTAAAGATGGTATTAAATACAGACTTTCTGTAAATCATGGGCTAAAAAGTGCTTTTGCCATCTAGCTTTCAGTGCTATAGCCTATTCTAAGAAGAGTTCTCTCTGATCGTTTTAAATCTTCATTTCCTCTTTTGACATCACTTTTTGCCAACATTAAACTAAAGTGAGTGGGGAAGCAGGTCAAGGGTCAAAGAACAGAGGTCAGAAGACTGGTTCGAAATCTATAGCTCAGCTCTTAACCACTTGTGTGAGTGACCTCAGGCCACTTCATTCCTTATCCTGAGGCTGTGTTTGTATCTAAAAAAATGAGGACACTGATAATCTCTGAACATGTGGCACAGAATCATACATAAAACTAACAGTGTGGTCACTGGTTGGGCTGGCATGTGAATCCTGGCCACCTAGAGTCCTTGGAGAATTTGCACTGATTGACTGTCAGTCTATTTTACGTGGCCAGAGTTACTTGGGTAAAGCATTATTTCCATCTGACCTTGTAAAGCACTAGATTTGGGTCCCGCTCCTCTATGATTTGCTTATAAGACAGATCAAAGAGTGCTTCACAACTTCTACTAATTCAACCTATAAAACCACATTTTAATAGGTTTTCCTATTATTCAAATGCCAGTTTTAAATATTAGCATTATTCGGAAGCTCTACTGTGTTTACAAAAAGGAAACATCAGATAATTAAACTTAATTATTGAAAAGATCATGTCTTTTGTGAACATTGTCTGGATAGATATGTTTTAACTTGCCGTAAAACAAGAATCATCAGTATGCAGTGAGGAGGTATTGAAGAAAATTGCCTTAGAACCAGAATTGCCCCTCTGGAGTCAGCGCTTGAATAGGCTGAATAATGTATTGGTTAAGAACATAGACTCTAAAATCAAGTTGCCTGGGTCGAAACTTCGCTACCGCAATTTATTAACTGTTTGACCTTGGGCCAGTAGCATCACTTCTTTTTAATTCAGTTTATTCACATGTAAAATGAGAATAAACATGGTACCCATTTCATAGGGTGGCTTTGAGGACTTATCATATGAGAAGTTTTCAAAAATTTATAAAGTGCTTGGCACACAGTTAAGTATGAATATGTTAATTACAATACTGTTTTGTTAAGAAACATTTGCCTTCTATCTTTCTGTGCCACAGATTCTCCAGTGGCTCAGAGTGAGTCCTCTATACTCTACTTTATTAACACTTTCCTTGACCTTGCTAACATTTTTTCAGGTAGAAATCTTTCTCTGCTTAATGAATTCTATGCATTTGTTCTCTACATATATATATTTTTTTCTTTGCTGGTCGCTAGGTCAGTTGTATAAATTATCTGTAAAATATCTGCTAATTTAAGGTAATGTTTCTAGTATTGTTTAATGTGACAAATAATGAAATATTTTAATAATTTTATAAATATATACTTTACTTATAAAATAATCCTATGGGTCAATTTCCTTTTTATTGTAGGTTCCAGTTCAGTTGAAGAAATTGATCTTCCTGTGATCTGTAGGCTTCTTCCCCTTGACCTCGTATTAAGGGCAGTCTAGACAGAAAACATTAAGCAATTCCCCCAAATTCCTGGTAGGAGGGCAATAGAGAAGGCTTATAATAGTCCTCAGCAACCTGGGGGTGGCGGTAAGAGGATGGAGATACGGACTGAAATGACTAGCAAGCAATTGATCCTAGTAATTTTCAACACCTTGATGACACTTTTGGAATCTAATAATCCCCTGGATTTGCCTCTGAGACACTAACGGCTTACCTACCTATCTTTTGGGTCTCAGGTTTTTAGAGCATGAGAGGGGCAAAGCCCTCTATCCTGACTTATTGATTGGTGCCTGATTTTCTGCCTTTAAATAACTAGCTTTGTTTCCCAGAACTGAGTTCTAGGTTCCACATTTTCCTGCCTTATCTTGGATAAACTTATCTAGATACAACTCTGCTTCTCAAGATATGCTACTGTCATATCCAAGTTTATGTCGTTAGTCAATTCTCCCAGATTATGCCACTTGTTTGATTTCAGCATCTGTCCAAAATTACACTAGATTCTGAACCTAGTGAGTAGTATTGAATATTGGGTCTTACATTTTGTTTTAGAATTACGTTTCATTAAGACTGTTTATATTTTGGTTCAGATTATAGCTATCCATTACTTTCTGGGCTACTGTTTTGGGCAAGGACTACCCTGCCTGCCAACTAAGTTACTCCCTCTAGTTCAGTACTTTATCCCTCCCAGCATGCTATGTGTCTGCTGAAGTGTCCTAAAGCCCTCCTGTAAAACTTTCACAGACACTATCTTCTTAGTATCTCCATATAGCTCTTGGATTTCTTTGTGGAAATGTGTGAATTGGACAAAACATTCAGGGGATTGGATTTTCTAAAGCTTAGCTCAATGGCCTCCAGAGAACTGAGGGACCTGAGTGTTTGCACAATTTCTGTTTATTCACTCTTTTAAAGTCAGACTTTCCTATTGGAATGGGTGGGATGAAAATAGAAATGAATTCTTATAATTTTTTTATATAGCATCTTGTCTTGTTTCTAAAGGATCACTTTAGGATTTAGTTGTTATAGTAACCTGGAAATTTGAATCATTTCTGTCTATTAAGATGTATTGTTATGGAGTATTTGATATTTTTGAAGTACTTTATAATTTCTTCGAATAGTTATTCCTCACAATGGACCTATGATATAGAGCATTAGTATCATATCATCTTTCCTCTGTTTTCTTTTAGGAGAAGTGAACAACAGGCCATTTATAACTTGTCAAATATTACCAAGTGAGTCAGTGGCAAAATGGGATTCGAAATCCCCGTGCCTCTGTCCCTGATCAGCTATTATTTCTATTCTACCAATATAACTGTACCATTTCCCTATTTATTGTTTAGTCTGCCACTTCTTACTTCAATAAAATCCAATTAAATTCTTCAATGTTACATCTCCCTTCTCCCACACTAATTATTTCTTTTTTGTTTACTTAATCATAAGCATTAGATGAAGACTTGCCTAATAGTAGAAGGATGGATTAAATTATTTCTTTACACCTTTCTAACATTTTTTACCCTTTGATTTTACGTAGTAAAACTAGATTTCAGAATATCTAATCTTTTTGATGGTTAAGTTAAATGATCAAGTTAAGTTAATCAAGTTAAATGATTAAGTCAACTCATACACATTTAATTTTGTAAATATCCAGAAACATATATGATGGTGTAATTTGTCTATAAATTTATTGAAGCCTGGGATCATGGCTTCTAAGCAGGAAGGGAGCATGGTACATGCGGTAAAGGACCTTTAGATTAACCTTCTGCCTCTTTTCCACACCAAATATGTGACTTTGGGCAGCAATTTATCCTCTTCACCCTGATGTTCCTCTTCTATAAAAGGGCAATCATATTACCTCATAGAATTCCATGAAGTTAAACTGCTTGTCATTTAGTGTACCAGTTAGAATCCAGCTAGTTAAACAGAAACCACACTAGGTATTTAGCAGAAAAAAATTAATATAGAGAATTGGATATATAAATGTTGGAGAGCTAAAATAGTAAAAAGGAAAGTAACCCAAAGATAGCTGCAGGAAGTATCTACCATCTCTAAGTCTGGGAATATAAAAGAGAAGAGGTTGAAGTAACCAGAGAGTAGGAGCTTGGAAGAGGGCCTGGCTGAATTGGTACCAGCTGCTTCTGGTAACTTAGGATCTCAGAAGAGAGACCCTAGATAGCTAGAACTCAGACCTCTGAAGAGACAAAAACACCTGAATACTTCTGGTACCTTTGAGTTGGCACAATGAGGCTGGTTCTGGTAATTTCAAGAAGAAATTAAACTGAAAGGAACTGGGGCATGAAACAAAAACAGCTCCCTCTCTTCCCCCTTGCTTTCCAATCTCTCTCTAGCGTCTTCTATTGGTTGAAGCTAATGGGAAGACAACTGGCAAAGTGTCTAGAAAATATAGTTTTCAGAGTTCCAGCCTTAGCATTGTAGAATACACAAGGGTATATTTGAAGCTGAGAGACAAAAGACTAAATAACTGGTACAAATAAGTACAACTAAAAAACAAAACCATAAAAATTCCTTTTGGTTTTAGATAACATTTTTGAAGTCTAGCCAAATTCATCAATATATCATGATTACGTTGTATTCCTTTTATGAATTGTGGCTTTAAATAATGACAAGAAATGGATTGTTACATAATTCATGCACGGACCCCCAGAAAACCACATCCATTTCCAGTGACCACTTTTCTCTTCTCCTTCCTCAAGTATGCTCAAGTATTACTCTGCACCTGAATGAGCAGATGGTTTTTTCTTTGTGAGGCATGTGTTTCATAAAGCCCAGTAAAAAGTAGAACAGCTGCAGATGGGTGTCTTGAAACTCCCAGAGAGACTGTCAAACAAGCAAGCCTCCATGTGAGTAGAAAAGTTCTTAGATTGCTAGGACTCTCATTTATTTACTGAATCAGAATGATGTTGAGGCATTTTTTTTTGAGATGGAGTCTCTCTCTGTCGCCCAGATGCTGAAGCATTTAAATACTTGCTTTGAGAAGTGTGTGATAGAATCTTATGCTGTTTACCTGATACCTACTGCATGGATTAATCTAGTGTTTGTTTGGGTAGCTAGACTGGATGAAATATAAAATTATGTCTAGTATGCGAACAAGACTAGTAATACTTTCAATAATGTGCTCATTTCAGAGAATGTATATTTAGATGTCAATAAAAGCTGATCTTCAATTTTTTTCCTGTTTTTCTAAGTTAACAAAACAAAGATTGAAGCGAAATAAGGAAGTTTTAGAAAAAGGATTCTGACCTGAAGTAGGTGTAGTATGATTGGCCAATATAATTTAGTTGATATTTTAGCAACTGTGCATATATTTGGAGAAGTTCATGAGGTTATTCTTGTCGTTTCTGTAAGGGAAAGGCAGGATTCTTTATCACTTTGTTTTGGTGGAGAAGAGGATACTAAAGGAACTGGATAATTGTACACTTAAGTGGATTTGTAGGTGTCTGAATGGCTATATCCAAAATGCATTGGATAATGGACCATATAAATATTTGTGTAATGGGAGCAGATGTGTACATCACATAGTATTACTACCTTCCATTCTAGCCTGTTAAATTTGAAAATATTCAGAGGCAGGCATAGGAGATACGATGCTCAATTTTCAGATGTTAAAAACCTGGACCGAATTGCTAACACCAGATGTCAAACGACTGCAAGGACCACAAGAACAAAATGATCCAATGATGGATGAGTCTGCTAATAAAGTCAATTCTTCTTAGACTACATTGTACTGGTGTCCAAATCAAGGGAGAAAAAAGTTTCGTAACTCTTCATATGTGAGGTAAGTGGTGAGAAATAATCTTTCTGGTGAACATCCTTACTCTAATAAATCCATTTATAATTGATTTTTGCTGGACCTCCCAAAGATGTTATTCTGAGGTATTTTGACAGTCATAGATAATTATCTAACTGTTGGTCAGTGAATGTTTCTGATTCCCCACATCTCCAATAGAAGAGGGGGCTTGAGAGGGTAAGCCTTCTGAGGGAGCATTTATTCTATGACATTTAATGCTACAAAAAGTGCTGAGGTCCAGTGACTAAGGAACATATTAGTTGGTTTTGTTTTTCCTTTCCTCCACCAACAGTCTTGTTCCTGGGTTTCAGGGAAAACTAGAGTGTATAAGAAGGCTGCCAGACATGAGTGCCACACCCCATTATGGCATCTCTAAGCATGTTTTTAAATGCCTGATGCCTCATATTTATGAGAATGTATGCAGTGAAGTCACACCTGGTTTTCTTCCTCTCCATCAAAAATGGCAGCAGCAATAATGGTCACTTTCTGAGTGTTGATTATATACTGAAAACTACACTAAGTACTTTACCTGCATTATCTCATTCAATTACCATAATAATTCATTATGAAGATGAGTAAACCAAGGCTCAGAGACATGAGCAATTTGCCTAAGCTCACCTAGCTAGTCAGTGGTGAAGCCAGAGCTTAAATCCAGGCTATCTCACTCTACAGAAGTATCTCTGCCTGTAGTTTGAAAAGAGCCATGCACCCTATTTAGGAAGACTTAGGTCCTAGGACAGGTCTGCCTAACCTAATATTGTGATGAAACACTTCACTTGCCTAGGCCTTCACTTTCTCATTTGTAAATTGAGTTGGCTGTGTGGAATGATCATTATGGTATCTTGCAGGTCTAATCTTCTAAATCTAAAGTTCATTGAGAATTTGGATTTCTTTTATTTTTAAGTCAGTGTAAATGAAGGATCGACTAGAACCTGTCCCTTTGAGAATAATTACTTCTGGGGGAAAATTTGAGTGCTGATTTCCCCAGTTTTCAAGGCAAGAGGTAATAAGAACAGATGAAATCAACTCTCTGATATGATTTTGGAAAAATACATCAAACATTAAATGTAAAAATTACAGTTATTTCTCCTTTGGGTGGGTCTCAAAATTATTTTAAGAGGTTTGGTCTTTTATAGACATGTCAGAGGATATCGAATAGGATTGTGTTTCTTTCTCAGAATTTTGGCTAGAGCTGAAAAACTGAAAAAAAAAATAGATGATAAATGCCTACACATTCTATAGAGAGCTGCTAGCTAAAAAGTCGGAAAACTTATATATGGTGTTAAAAGTCAGTTACCGGAAGGAAGTGCAAGGGGAGCTTTAGTGGAGCTGCTAGTGTTTTGGGTGCCCGTTATATGAATATGTTAACTCTGCACAAATTCAATGAGCTATACATTTGTGAGTTGAACATTTTATGTGTTTAAGTTGCTTTTTTTTTTTTTTTTTTTTTTTTTGAGACGGAGTCTTGCTCTGTCGCCCAGGCTGGAGTGCAGTGGCGTGATCTTGGCTTACTGCAAACTCCACCTCCCAGGTTCACGCCATTCTCCTGCCTCAGCCTCCCGAGCAGCTGGGACTACAGGCGCCCGTCACCACGCCCAGGTAATTTTTTTGTATTTTTTTTAGTGGATACAGGGTTTCGCCCTGTTAGCCAGGATGGTCTTGATCTCCTGACCTCATGATCGCCCGCCTTGGCCTCCCAAAGTGCTGGGATTACAGGCGTAAGCCACCGCGCCCAGCCATATGTCAATACACTTTTACCGAAAACATATCAGAAAGGTTCAGCTACCAACAACTCCAATCAATCGCCTCCAGGATATATAAGAGAAGATTAAGTATTTGAAAATATTACTGAATAAATCATTACGGTAGAGAGTTGTCAACTAAATAGAAAGTACACCTTTCCTGACCCTCCCCTCCAGTATATTAGAAACTTCCATCCTCTTTATCCTGTATATATTTTTACTGCACTAATCAAGAGACTGAAAAATTGTGCCAAGATCATTTCAGTATGAAGTTTTTGCCAGAAAAACCCAATTAGAAAAGTGAAATGGCAAAACTAATTCACACTAATATATTCTAGACTCTGGAAAGCCTCTCCCTAGAGAATCTGCATTCTCAAATAAGACCATTGGAAAAAGTAGTGCAGAAAAATAGAAAGAAATCTTAAGTGGTGGACTATGAGGGATCAGGAAGGGAGATATTTGAGGTTCAGGATCTTTTTCAGATAAACGTTTATTCTGCTTTGCCACAGATAAACCTTTTCTATGCTTGTTAGATTTTTAAATATAGGCCAGAAACCCAAATTCTTGTAAATACTAATGTATAAATTAATATGTGTGTATAAATAGTCAAATAAATAAAATACAATAAATTATGACCATTGTCAAAACTATGTTCAAGAGAATGTACAGTAACTCATTTATTCTTTCAAAAATATTCCTACTGAGGACTTATAATGTCCCAGTCAGTAGGCGCAATTCCATGAAGAAACTGAGAGATATATTCTCTTCCTTCATGAAATCTTAGATTTGGCAAAGGAGGAAGACATTTAAAAATTGTTACTCAAATAATTATTTCATTATAAGCTTGATCTACAGTGCTGTAAAGCAAAATAGAGCTACTCAATTTTCTTGAAATAGTGTTTTAAAAGGTACCAAAAGTATATTTACTTTGGGCGTTGGGTATTATAACCCTAGCGTCAGATTTTTAAAATAAAATTACGAAGAAAAATGCCACACAACTAAGCTTTTCTTACTGTTACACTCAGTGTTCTTTATTCCTTTCTGTGTGTGTCAGAGAGGTGTGTTAATCCTATCTAATACCACAGCATATCTATTACTATGCATCTGATGTTTTGAAGAAAATTTCTTCTTTTGAAAACACATTTCTGTTTATCTTTATAGTCTTTTGAAAATTGTGTTGCCATAGCTGCAAGATATTTATTTTGATCCTTTTTCCTTAATTGACAGGGAGGTTGTGATTCAGTAAGGAACAATGGTTTTGTGAATTACTTGACTTAATTTTTAAATGAGTCAGTGGTAAAGTGAGTTTTGAATAATGACCTTCTTTCTTGGCTTCATGTTTATTTTCTATTTAAATGTAATGCATGACTTTAAAATGCTTAGACACAAATGAAGATGTTTTATATTGCTCTGCTTTCAATGTCAGGGAAAACAAAAATCTAAAAGAAATATCTTTTAATCACTGTATTTTCCAGATAGTCCCAAAACCCTTTGCATAGGACATTTATCTAAAACAATTATAAACTTCTCAGCAATAGAGTTAAGGGATTAATAAGTGATGAAGATGGCACCAATACCCAAATGGCAAACCCAAAATTATATTGTCTCTACATTATTTATTCTGGGTTTATTCATTGAAAACATAAGATTGTTGATGAAAATTTACATTCACTAAGCATGTTTTTGTTTTTGTCTGAATGTGATGATTCTTACTTTAAAAACAATGTGTAGAACAGAACTGGAGGAATCACATTACCTGACTTCAAATTATATTATAGAGATATAGTAACCAAAACAGCATGGTACTGCATAAAAACAGACATATAGACCCATGGAACAAAATAGAGAACCCAGAAACAAATCCACACACTGACAGTGAACTCATTTTCAACAAGAACATACACTGGGGAAAGGACAGTCTCTTCAATAAATGGTGCTGCAAAAACTGGATATCCATATGCAGAAGAATGAAACTAGACCCCTACCTCTCACCATATACAAAAATCAAACCAAAATGGATTAAAGACTTAAATATAAGACCTCCAACTATGAAGCTACTGAAAGAAAACATTGGGGAAACTCTCCAGGGCACTGGACTGGGCAAAGACTTCTTGAGTAATATTCTGTAGGCACAGGCAACCAAAGCAAAAATGGACAAATAGGATCACATCAAGTTAAAAAGCTTCCACACAGCCAAGGAAACAATCAACAAAGTGAAGAGACAACTCAAAGAATGGGAGAAAATATTTGTGAACTACCCATCTGACAAGGGATTAATCACCAGACTATAGAAGGAGCCCAAACAACTCTATAGGAAAAAATCTAATAGTCCAATAAAAACATGGGCAAAATATTTGAGTAGTCATTTCTCAAAAGAAGACATGCAAATGGCAAACAGGCCATTTGTGTTCAACATCATTGATCATCAGAGAAACGCAAATCAAAACTACAATGTGATTATCACCTCACCACAGTTAAAATGGCTTTTATCCAAAAGACAGGCAATAAGAAATGCTGGTGAGGATGTGGAGAAAAAGGAGCTCTCATACAATGTTGGTGGGAATGTAAATTAGTACAAACACTATGGAGAACAGTTTCCAGGTTCCTCAAAAACTAAAACTAGAGCTACCACACAATCCAGCAACCCCGCTCCTAGGTATATACGCAAAAGAAAGGAAATCAGTGTATCAAAGAGATATCTGCATTACCATGTTTATTGCAGCACTAGTCACAACAGCCAAGATTTGGAAGCAACCTAAGTGTCCATCAACAGATGAATGGATAAAGAAAATGTGGTACATATACACAATGGAGTACTATTCAGGCATAAAAAAGAATGCAACCCTTTCGTTTACGACAACATGGATAGAACTGGAGGTCATTATGTTAAGTGAAGTAAGCCAGGCACAGAAAGGCAAACATTACATGTTCTCACTTATTTGTGGGAGCTAAAAATTAAAACAATTGAACTCATGGAGATAGAGAGTAATAGGATGGTTTCCTGAGGCTGGGAAGGGTATCAGGTGAGGGGGGTATTGTTAATGAGTACAGAAAGATACTTAGAAATAATAAATAAGACCTAGTATTTGCTAACACAACAGGGTGACTATAGTAAAAAATAATGTAAGTGTTCATTTTAAAGCAACTGAAAAAGTATAATTGTTTGAAACAAAAAGATAAAAGCTTGAGGTAATTTACCCCACTTACCCTGATGTGATTATTATTCATTGCAGGCCTATATCAAAATATCTCATATAACCCATAAACATATACACCTACTATGTACCCACAAAAATTAAAAATTAAAATAAAACAACATGTGAATTTCAAGCAATACAATATTGTCCAACAATCACAAACAAGTTTACGAGGGGGTATTTAATTAGCCATTCATCCTCATTTTATTCTACTTACTGTATCAGATCCTTTTCTGTGCAGCATTTGACACCTTTGCAATTCACAAGATATTCTATGTGGTTAAATTTGTCTCATTTTAAATAGTACATAATGATCTGTTATTCTCAGTGACCCTTTTCATTTTTTTCTTCATTTATCAACATGACAAAATTATTTTGGCAAATTGGTATTTATTTCTGTTATTTTAGGTCATGAGATTTCTTTGCAAAGTAAAGTAAGCAAACACAAAATATTTCCTTATATTCAGCTGGTTTCCAGATTCTTCTCCTAACACAGTCA
This sequence comes from Homo sapiens, assembly GCF_000001405.40. Lineage (NCBI taxonomy): Eukaryota > Metazoa > Chordata > Mammalia > Primates > Hominidae > Homo > Homo sapiens. Next base: position 22,906,339 of record NC_000023.11, on the reverse strand, counting down.
GAATTGAGATTCCCTAAATCTACGAGTTTGTGGCTGTAGGTGAAATAAGTAACCAATTAACTGTCTGTGGCTTCTATGAGTGATAATGTAGCATCTTAAGCCACTAGTCATCCCCTTCATCTCACAGCCTCATTTTCTTGCCAAGATATTTTCGGGAGGTCCTCAGGACTTCAGTGGCAACTCAGGAACTATATATTTGGGAGTATGTCTTTGTTTCCCCTCATCTTTCCATGACTACCTTCTTTCCTAATATTAGAGGTTGTCCGTAAAGTTACTTGAAGGCGGCATCTCATCACTGTCATTGTTTTCAGTGCTTTCTACAAGAATTTTAATATCTGGGCCAAGAGTGTTTTCACTCAGGATTCACCACAAGGAAACCTTAAGGTGTGAAGAAGGTTTCATGTTCCTGAGAGTCCTCTAGAAACTGAGATGAGGAGAATGGGGATTACCCATTCTGTTTCACATTTTGTTATCTGGGCACCAAAGCAGTTTTTTTTTATGGCACCAATATCACTCAAAATCCCTCACAAAAACATGTTAAACCCCTTCATGCATCTCTGTCTCACTGCCATAGTATCTGATATTTCACTATGAGTCTTAGCTTGGAAATTAATATTTTAGACAAACTACTATCTGGCCTTCTTCATCTCAGTTCTTTCGCCAACCCCTGGGATGAATACTCTGTCACACAACGCACTCCAGAACTTAAGTTAAAATGCACAGGCCCTCACCTGTAATCCCAACACTTTGGGAGGCCAAAGTGGGTGGATCACTTGAGGTTAGGAGTTCCAGGCCAGCCTGGCAAGCATGGTGAAACCTTGTCTCTACTAAAAATACAAGAATTAGCCAGGCGTGGTGGTGGGCGCCTGTAGTCCCAGCTACTCGGAAGACTGAGGCGGGAGAATTGCTTGAACCCGGGAGGCGGAGGTTGCAGTGAGGCAAGATCCAGTCTGCACTCAACTGTACTCCAGTCTGGACGACAGAGTGAGACTCCATCTCAAAAAAACCAAAAAAAAGTGCCATACAAATAAACTCATTTAATTCATTTTTGGTAGCTCCACCAACTGCTTTACAAGACATATTTCAGACTTACTTGGATAATAGTAAAATGTTTTTCTTTACTGTCATGCTCTCCTCTTGTGCTCAATTCATGCTTAAAAGCACTTTGTGATTCGCCTTTTTTCCTCAAAGCCAACTTTGTCAGTCTAGAACTCTACTATATTGGTATATGGCCTTCATTTAAAACATTATTAGAACTTTATACATACAACATGGCCAAGGAGATAATAAAAGAGCTAAAAATATAGTAAGTCCAGAGACCAGAAAGGCTTATAGGTTCTTAGAAGAGTTATTGAACCCTGGTCCGTACCAGAATCATGGGAGTAGGTAAGGATTTTTCAAAGGAGTCAATTCTTATTGAAAGTTCATAGAGGGTAAACTTTATATGAAAATATTTTCTCCAATCCCTTCCAAATTCAGCACCCTCAAATTCATGCCCTCCCTCACAACACCCTAGCTTTTATCATGCTTTTATTCCAGATGCATATCAAGAAAAAAGGAAGAATGGACCTGTAAGAATGACCCTCTTTCACGAAACAGGTGGTACAGATGTCCTCTTAAAAGCACAGTATCAATAGACAAGGTGAGCACTAGAGTTAAGAGAAAAGTAAAGAATTCCAGCTAAGTTATAAAATCTTAATGACAAGAGGAGATAACTGAACATTCCAAGAAAAAAGGGGATGTAGGATGTAGGACTATGAGTGCGTGGTGTTTGGGGTTTATAATACTACTTGATAGGAACAAAAAGGCTAGAACTAATAGACCAAAGTAGATTTGAAACGATTACTGGCCACGGCTGAATGACTATTACAGTATATATTATTTCCAAATGAGTAATATCCTCTATAAACCTACACAAAGAGACAGATACTAATGTAGAAATTTAGGACCAGATAGTAGGAACCATAGTATAGCAATTATTCTCAAGACACAAAGGTTTAAAGCAATGGTTCTCAGAGTATGGTTCTGGTCCCAGCAGCATTAGCATCATTTTGGAATTTGTTAGATACAAAAATTATCAGGCTCTTCCCAAGATCTACTGAATTAGAATCCCCAGGGTAGGGCCCAGCAATCCATGTTTCATCTGCATTAATCACCCTTTATGTAATTCTGATGCACATTCAAGTTTGAGAGCCACTTATTTAGGGACAACTTATAAATTAATTTGTACATATGAACAAACATTGTTTAATTGTCTAGGTTCAAGATTCCACAGGGCCAAAAGAGTTATACAACAAAACCCATGCCCTCCAGGGTCATAATACGTGGTTAAGACACAAAGCACAATGTACAGATATTTTCAAAATTCAAAGCAACAATAAAAAAGATGGCATAGAGCAGTCAGGTTAAGATTAACTGCAAATTTAATAGAACTGAATATTCCCAGTGCAGTTCCTATGAAAGAAAAGATTACTTACCACTGGTGGAATAAGGGAAGATAGCTAGAAGGAAGTAATAGTTAGAATTGTTAGGAGGGTCAGATGGAAAGAGAGAGGGGCATTCTTGAAAAGCTCGGGGCAAGATGACTTCAAGGGTGAATTCTACCAAACAGTCAAAGAGGAAATAATACTAATTCTTCTCCAACTCTTCCAAAAAATAGAAGGGGGAACACTTCCAAATTCATTTTGTGAGACCAGCATTACTCTGATACCAAAACCAAAGACATGACAGAAAAGAAAATCATAGGCCTACAGCCCTAATGAAATAGATGCAAAATCCTCAATAAAATACTAGCACAATGAATTCAACAGCACATTAAAAGGAATATACACCATGACCAAGTGAGATTTACCCCTGGGATGCAAGGATGGTTCAACATATGCGAATTAATCAATGCGATACACCACATTAACAGAACAAAAAACAAAACAAAACAAAAAATCCTCAAGAGATGCAGAAAAACCATTTGACGAATTTCAACATTCTTTCATGATAAGAACCCTAAACAAAAGAAGTATACAAGGAATTTATGTCAATACAATAAAGACCATTTATGAAAAGCCCTCAGCTAACATCATAATCCATGAGGAAAAACTAAAAGTTTTTCCCCTAAAATGCAGCATAAGGTAAGGATACCCACTCTCACCACTTCTATTCAACATAGCACTAGAAGTTGTAGCCAGATAAATTAAATGAGAAAAAGAAATAAAAGACATCCAAATCAGACAGGCAGAAGTAAAATTGTCTCTGTTTTCAGACAACATGATCTTATATATAGAAAACTCTAAAAACACCATAAAAATCTGTTAGAACTAATAAATGAATTCAGCAAAGTTATAGGTTATAAAAATCAACATACAAAAATCAGCAGCAAAATCTTTACATCATAACAAATTATCCAAAAGAAATTAACAAAAGAATCCAATTTACCATAGCATAAAAAAATACTGAGGAATAAACTTAACCAAGGAGATGAAAAATCTTTACACTGAAAACTGTAAAATATTGATGAAAGAAATTGAAGAAGACACAAATAAGTGGAAAGGTACCCCACGTTCATTGATTGAAAGAATTAATATTGCTAAAATGTCTGTACCACCCAAAGCAATATACATAACATAGTCCCTATCAAAATTCCCATTCCATTTTTCACAGAAATAGAAAAAACAATCTTAAAATTTGAATGAAACCATGAAAGACCCTAAATAGGCAAAGCAATCTTGAGAAAAAAAGGACAAAGTTAGAGGCCTCACACTTCCTGATTTTAAATTGTACTACAAAGCTATAGTAATCAAAACATGGTACTGCCATAAAAACAGACACATAGGGAACATGTTCCTTAACATTGGTCTTAGTAATCTTGGTAATGATTTTTTGGATATGATCCCCCAAACACAGGCAAAAATAGCAAAAATAGATAAGCAGGACTGTATCTAAAAAGCTTCTGCACAGCAAAGGAAACAATCAATAAAATGGAAAGGCAGTCTACAGAATGGGAGAAAATATTTGCAAACCATATATCTGTTAAGGGATCTATATCCAAAATATATAACGGAATTCATACAACTAAATAGCAAAAAAATAAAAAATAAAAGTGGGCAAAAGACTCGAGTAGACATTTTCTCAAAGGCGACATACGGATAGCCAATAGGAATATGAAGAGGTACTCAAAATAACCAATCATCAGGAAAATGCAAATGAAAACCGCAGTGAGTGAGGCAAACGTGATAGCTGCTACACTATAGAAAGATCTGTACACTTAAAATTACAAAACTTTGATGAAAGAAACAGATGTCAAAGAAGACACAAATATATGGGAAGATATTATATGTTCACGGATTAGAAGAGTTAATTTTGTTAGAATGTCCAGACTCCCCAAAGTGGTCTATAGATTCAGTGCAATTCCTATCAAAATTCCAATGTCATTTTTCACAGAAATAGAAAAAAATCCAAAATTCCTGTGGAGCCACGTACATGATGCACATGTGCACGTGCACACACACACACATACACACACCCCCCACCAAATAGCCAAGGCAATCTTGGGCAAAAAGAAAACTGCTGAAGCCATGACACTACCTGACTTCAAACTATATTACAAAGATGTAGTAATTAACCCATTTAGGCCTGAGGTTGTAACTTTTGGAATTTTTGCAGTCAGATCTTGGCGATGAACTTAACAGTAGGATATAAATAACTCCCACATGCTTAGCGTTCCATTAATGGAACACCAGGGATTGATGGGCTAAAAGAGCATGGTACAGGCATAAAAACAGACACATCAACCAATGGAACTGAATAGGGAGCCTAAAAAGAAACCCATGCATTTACAGTGAATTGATTTTTGACAAAGATGCCAAGAACAAACAATGGAAAAGGACAGTCTCTTCAGTAAAGGGTTTTGGGAAAACTGGATATCCACATTCAGAAGAATGAAATTAGACCCTATCTCACAGCATATACAAAAATCCACTCAAAATGGACTAAAGACTTTAGCATAAACCTGAAACTATAAAAGTACTAGGAAAAAACGTAGGAGAAATGCTGTATGACACTGGTCTGGGCAATGATTTCTTGGATATGACTCCAGAAGTACAGGCATCAAAAGCTAAAATAGACAAATGGGATTGCGTCAGACTGAAAAACTTCTCACAGCAAAGGTAACAACAGAGTAAAGAAACAAACTATGAAATGATAGAATATATTTTCAAGCCGTACATCTGATAAGAGATTAATATCCAAAATATTTAAGTAACTCAGAGAAATCAATATCAAGAAAATAATCAGATTAAAAAATGGTCAAAGTACCTGAACAGTCATTTCTCAAAAGAATACATACAAATGGCAGCACATAAATTAAAAAATGCTCAACATCACTAATGATCAGGGAAATGCAAATTAAAACCACAATGAAATATCATTTCATGTTTGTCCGAATACCCATTATCAAAAAGATGAAAGGTAACAAGTGTTGGTGAAGGATATGGAAGAGAGAACCCTTGCATACTGTTGGTGAGAATGTGAATTAGTAAAGCCACAGTAGAAAACAGTATGGAGGTTTCTCAGATATCTAAAAAGAGAATTGGCATAGAATCCAGAAATTTCACTTCTGGGTATATATCCAAAGGATTTGAAATCAGCATGTTGAAGACATATTTGCACCCGCATGATTATTGCAGCACTATTCATGATAGCCAAGTTGTGGAGTCAACATAAGTGTCCATCAACCTATAAATGGATAAAGATAAATGTGATATATATATATATATATATATATATATATATATATATATATATACACACACAGTGGAATACTGGAATACTATTCAGCCTTAAAAAAGAGAAAAACTGTGTCATTTGCAACAACATGGATGAATCTAGGGGACATTATTCTAAATGAAATAAGCCATGCACAGAAAGACAGATGTTCAGATAGCACATGTTCTCACTTATATGTGAAAGCTAAGAAAAATCAAATGCACAGGAGCAGAAAGTAGGATGGTCATTATCACAGTCTGTGGAGATACGGGAATGAAGAGAACTTAGTCAAAGGGTATAGTGTTTCATTAGACAGGAGGAATAAATGATAAATACTTGAAGTGACGGTTATGTTATTTAGCTTGATTCAATCATTCCACATTATATACATGTATCATAGCATCGATTTTTATTCCATAAATATATACAATTAAAATTTGTCAATAACAACAAATAAATAAAAATGAAAAGAATTCTATGTAAAAAACAGTGAGATATCACCTCGCACCTGTTAGAACGGCTATTATAATAAAAACAAAAGATAAATGTTGTCGAGGATGCGGATAAAAGTGAATCCTTGTACACTGTTGGTGGAAATGTAAATTGATGCAGCCATTATGGAAACCAGTGTGGAAGTTCCTCAAAAAGTTTAAAATTTATCCAGCAGTCCTGCTTTTGGATATCTATCCAAAAGAAATTAAATCACTATCTCAAAAAGCTATCTGCACTTCCGTGTTCACTGCAGCATTATTTACAGTAGCCAAGATATGGACAGAACCTAAATGTCCATCAATAGGTGAGTGAATAAAGAAATTTGGAGGAATATATATATTTTATATATATACTATGTTTATTTATTTATAAAAATATATATTATATATATATACAGTATATATTTTATATACTGTATATTTATATATAATATGTATTATATATACTGTATATTTATATATAATATATATTATATGTAGTATATTTATATATTATATATATATAGTATATTTATATATAATATATATTATATACAGTATATTTGTATATATTATATATTATATACAATATATAATATATAGTATATTTGTAAATCATATATATTATATATAGTATATTTGTATATTATATATATTATATATAGTATATTTGTATATTATATATTATATATGTATATTTATATATAATATATATATTCTATATATTATATATAGTATACTATATAGAATATATTCTATATAGTATATATAGTATACTATATATAATATATTCTATATAGTATATATAGTATACTATATATAATATATTCTATATAGTATATATAGTATACTATATATAATATATATATTATGTATAGTATATTTATACATAATATATATTAGATATATTGTATATTTATACATAATATATATTAGATATATTGTATATTTATACATTATATATATTAGATATATTGTATATTTATACATTATATATATTAGATATATTGTATATTTATACATTATATATTATATATTGTATATTTATACATTATATATATTATATATTGTATATTTATACATTATATATATAATACATATTGTATATTTATACATTATATATATAATACATATTGTATATACATAATATATATTATACATATTGTATATTTATACATAATATATATTATACATATTGTATATTTACACATAATATATGTTATATATTTATAGACATATATTTATAGATATATAAATATATATCTATAAATATATAATATATAAAAATATATATCTATAAATATATAATATATAAAAATATATATCTATAAATATATAATATCGATAATATATATAATATAAATATATAATATCGATAATATATATAATATATAAATATATAATATCGATAAAATATATAATATATAAATATATAATAGCGATAAAATTATATAATGTATATAATATATATAATTATATATTAATATATAATTTTATATATTATATATAATTATATATATTATATATAAATATATAATGTATTAAAATATCTATATATAACAAGGTAGTAGTTGTATAGTAAATATCAACACTAACTAAAAATAGTTTAAGCAATATTTTGTTTGGTTTTGCTTGCTTTGATTTTATTTGTTTTGATATATATATAGATTACAACTACTACCTTATGTTATATATATAATATGTATTATATATATTCCTCCAAATATATATATATATAATACATAAACTTTCTTGTATGAAATAAAAAGAATAAAAAGATTAAAAAATTTTTATGAAAATACTGTGATTAATATTGGCACCATTTCCTTCTGGAGTCACAGTCAAAAGTAAAAGCACTTTATTGAATAAATTTGATAATTAAGAACTGAAGATAAGTAGATTTTTATCTTTGTTTCTAATTAGATATTCCCTGGATTAAGAAAAATATCACTTGACCCAGAAAGAATTTTAACAAAACCATAATTCATGTGTAGTCAAAAATGTCTTAGCTTATACAGGTTTATAAAGATAGCACTGAAAGCACTTCAAAGTATAATTACTTGAATTTTTAAATGAGTGGATAGAAATTTATTCTATGTGCAATGAAAGTTTTCAGATAAATTTTGCTGCAAAAGAACTATTTTCATGTTTTTATTTGATGCTATTGTTTGTTTCTTGGATCTTCACTGCAAAACACAAATATTTAGTCACTAAATTAAGGCTAATAATTTTAATTCCGCTTAACTTAATGAATACAAATATTTTTAGTTTTCTCTTTTAAAAAGGTAATGTCTTGAGACACTTTGGTATTGCCAGTGGTAAATGAGCCGAAAATAGGTGCAAATGTGAATGGAAACTTGATGTATGACAGAGAATCACTGTAAATCAGCAGGGTATGCATGACCTATTCGTTAAATGCCAAGGGAAGTGATGGTTATCTATGTGGAAAAAACGTAACAGTAGACAGACATCGATTTCATCCATATACAAAAATAAATTCCATATTGATCATGGTCGTACATGTGAAAGGCAATAAATTAAAGGATAAATCCTTATGACCTTTGGGTAGGGAGGAATTTATTAAATAAGACATAAAAGCACAAGCCATTAAAGAAAATATTGATAATTTCATATATAAAATTTAAGGACTTCTCTTTATTGAAAGGAAGAATAAAGAGAGAAAAGACTAGGCATAGTGGAAAACGATATTTGTAACACTGATTACTGAAAAAACTGTCATATTCAGAGTATATAAATACTGTCAGAAATCAACATGAAAAAGGCTACGGTGAGGGGGAAAGATGAGCAAATTACATGATTAGTATTTTCATAGAAGAGGAAATTCAAATGAAATGCCATTGAATATATGGAAATGTTTAGATAAAATTACACACTAACTAGAATGACTAAAAATAATGACAACACTAAGTAAAGATGCAGACAACGGGGAATCATTTTGGTTCAATTACTTTGTAAAATAATTTGGCATTACCTAGTAAATTTGAAAATGTGCATACTTGAGGACCCAGTAGTTCCATTCCTAGATGTATAACCTACAAACTCTTGTACATATTCAAGAGGTACACAAAAGAATGCTCATAAGATTGCTATTTGAAATGACAAAAAGACTGAAAACAATACACATATTAAAAATATAATAAGTAATTTGTAGTGTACTTATACAATGGATATTGTTCAGCAGTGAAAAAAGAATGGAATAAAGGCCCAGGCATCTGGGTGGATTAATCTCAGTAACATACCAATATACCAGTGAGAAAAAAAAAAGCTTACAGCCGAATACACTTGTGAGATTCCATAACTTAAATTTCAAAACAAGTAAAACAACAAAAAAATCAAAACAAGGAAAACCAAACAAAATATTGCTCAAACTATTTTTAGTTAGTGTTGATATTTAGTTTACAACTACTACCTTATGTTATAAAACTATAAATAAAAGCAAGGAGATGTTTAACACCAAATTCAGGATATTGAATACCTCTGATGCAAAGATGGAGATTGGGATTGTCAAGGGACAACAGATTTGAAAAAACTAGTGTCTGTTGCTTAAGCAGGATGGTGTAAGTAGAAAGGTGTTGATTTTGCGAAATTATTTTCTGTTCATATTCGCTAAACTGTACATTTATTGTCACACTATTTTGTATACAGGATGTTTTTAAAAATACAAATATCCTATTTGCAAAGTAAAGAATGAAAATGAATAGGACTGAGACCAGACTGCAGGCAAGAACATTGGCTGGGCTACAGGCTGCTGCTGCCAGGGGAGAAATCATCATAGCTGGAGTCAAATAAAGTGGGAATTGGGGAGGTTAGGGGGAGAGGAAAAGGATTTAAAGGGACTATCTGGAGATTAACAGTTAAAAAAAAAAAAAAGTATTTCACACAAACTTAGTGTATAAGTAGTACTTGTCATGGTCTCTCTTTTCTTTTTAAATAAACTTATTAATTGAAGTATAACATACATAGAGAGCAGTGAAGCAAAAGTGTTCATCAGTAAGTTTTATAAAGTAAAAACACGTGTGTAACCGTACTATGCAGAACAAGAAACAGACCATGAACAACACTCCAGAAGCCCCCTTTGTCGCCCCTTCTGATCACCACCACCCCTTCCTGCCCAAAGATTACCATCCTGACTCCTAACATCATGGAATAGTTTCACTTTTTTGGGCTTTACGTAAACGAAGTGGTCAGGTATGTATTCTTTTGTGTCTGGCTTCTCCAACAACATTATGTTGTGTATTTCATGTATTTTCTATGTATAGCAGTATATCATTAATGTTTATTTCTATATAACATTTCGTTGGTTGATCCTACCACAAATATTTATACATTTTACTGTGGCAGAACATTTATGTTGTTTCTTGTTTTGGGTTGTTATGAAGAAAGCTGCAATTAACACTCCTGTGCATGGATTTTTTTGTACATATTTCAGTTGAAAATATATATATGCTTGTGTTCCACTTGTGTAGGTGCTGACGAAAGTGTCAGTTTTACAAAGTAGTTGAGTCCATTTACAATCCTACCAAGAGTTTATGGAATTCCTACTTACTTCATATCCTCATAATATTTTAGATTTTCAGTCTTCTTAAAAATTTGTCATTCTATTCAGTATATGGTGATATTTCGTTGTGGTTTTAATTTGCATTTCTCTGATGATTAGCAACTCAGAACACCTTCACACATATTCGTTGGGTATTTAAATACCCCTTTTCATTCTTGTTTGAATTCTTGGCTATTTTGCTATTGGGTGGTATGTCTTTTTCTGGCCGATTTAAAGACTAATAAAATTGGCAATACTTTTAGTGGAATGTTGAAGAGTAAATTATTAAATTCAGCAAGACAGAAAAAGGAGCAGAAGAGGTACAACTATGACTTAATTCTGGGCCTTACTTTGGTCATCTTTGGAAGAGTGTTAATCTGCCAGTATAAAACAGAATTATTTCTGAAATCGAAAACCAAAATGACTTTCTAGACTCACCTGCTGCACCAGCATTGTATAAAATTGTGGCACATTTTCTAAATCCTCTCTGGCAAATGCGAGAAACTTACCTTTAATTTGTCATTTGTGATTCCTCTTTTGTGTGGGTATTTACTGTCTGTGAGCTTTTGAAAAGTATAGAGAGAAAAAGGCTGAGGATGGGAAGAAAAGAGAGGGGTCTCTTTTAGCACTCTTTTCTGTGCATGATTGCTGATTTGAGAAGTCATAGCAGCCATGGTCTGGGAGATTTTCAGCCTTAGTTCATGAAATTGTCTTTCTAAAATACAATTCTTCTGTATAGTGGGAATATTCCTGTTTCAAAGAGAACGTGAAGGACCATCTTTCCTCTTCCCTAGAAATATTAGTTTGTTCATGATATAAAAATGGACAAGAGTGTTTATTTCTCTCAGAATATCATCTGTTCTTCCAACAAGAAGCACTGTTTAATAATAGACATAATGTCAGTCTTCCCATTTTATAAAGATACTTTTTTTCTTATCCTTTTACTTAACTAGATATCCTACATGGTTTTTGAGAAACTTGCTTGATTTTGCCACATTTTACAGAGGCCTTACAGAATTCCATAAATGTATTTCACAGTCAAAAGTTTCACCAGAACTGGAAGTTAACATGGTTTCCATCTTTCATCAGAATTAGAGAGAGAGAGAGAGAGAGAGAGTGTTAGTGAGTATGTGTTTTAATTCTTGTTGTGTCATCTAATTATACTTTTCCAGTTTAAAAAAAAGTTATAAGGTGTCAAAAATTATGAGGGAGGTGAGGTGCAAGAAAAGGAATAAATCAATCGGTGAATGAATGAAAAAATGCCATGAGTGATTTCATATTAATTCAAATGAAGTAATTTGATAACAAAGGCCTTTATTATGCAATGATAACAGTGATAATACTGATGACAATATTGGTAGATATCTGCTAATGACAGGTATCTTTTCCACCGTGTTTTCTTTGGAGCTTCGTAGTTGCTTTGGAAGGATGTTATTTCGTATAGAATTCTAAAAGAATAACAAATTCTTTGGAAGTTTCATTGAGTGAAGTGGACATGTTGACTATTAATGATGATGATTTTTGACGTAACCTTAGAGAAGAGAAAAGAATGTTTGAAGGGTGGGAAATGGTTTCATCTATTTCGGGAGATAGATAGGTTTGACTTGAGCTGTCATTTATATGAATATGTGCTATAAAGGGCCTGATTTTGATGCTAGTCGAAAGCACCTGACAAGAGTAATTACCTATCACCAGTCCTCTTGGACATTGCATGTACTTTAGTTCTAGTGAGTGGAGCAAATAGAGGGGAAACAGTATCTCTGCACTGAAAAGGTTATATTGTCCAGCATAGGAAAATAAAAATCTACAACCTAACATTGATGTAATTTCAGATTTTTTTTAGTTGGTATTCAGCAACTAAATTTTTGTAAATTTTGGAACTACTAAGTGCCAGGGAATTACACTAGGAATGGGCTCTACTCTCAAGAAGAAATAGAAATGGACATACAAAGAAGGACATTATAACCCAAGTGATATATGTATCAATAGTACTTCATATCTACAAGTTAATCACTGAAAATGTGATTAACTTTCCAGGACGAAGTTGATTAAAAGGAAAGTCATCTGTACTAGATTTTCAAGTGTCTTTAACGTTACCAGGTGAAAAAGGGGGAGAAAAATATTCCAGACAAAGGAAACAGTATTTGCAGAGGTACCAAGATATGAAAAAGCTTGGCATGTTAGAAAAACTACAAGCATTTAGTGTTCTTAGAGGGTGAAGCGTAAGGGAGGATAAATGGATACTTAAGTACAGTGTATAACCTCTTGCTGAGGCCTGAAAAATCCAGTCAAAGTTGGCTTGAAGAACATTAAGAGGAAGGGCTAGTGGCCAGCCATAGTAAGTCTTTTCTTCCCTTTCTACCCCATTTGCTTTCCAATGCAGTTGTACTTATGAGTCAAGATTGAATGTTGTCCCCTAATGAAATGTAATGACAAACAGTTTGAACGTGTTAATAGAGTATGGATAGGCATAATGCATTTGAGATCATGAGGAAACATCAGTAAAGAATATTCAGTGTTTTTTTTTGTTGTTGTTGTTGTTCCAAGTGTTTTCTGACATATTCAAAAAGAAAAAGAGTAAAAATTATTTGAAAAGCAAGTTGGAAAAAAGAAAACTCTGCTCTGGGCCTGCTACAGTGAGAGATCCATCTATACAGATTCATCGTTCTTAAGGAGATAGAAGGATAGCAATGACTGGCATAAGCAAATTTTCCATACTTCAAACTCTCAGAGGATGAGTCACACCAAGTGTCTATCGCACCATGTACCCCCTGGCCTTTTTTCAACCCTGCTGCTGGGTACCAGGGGAAGGGCAGGATGTGAAAGCTGATGGAATGAAGGCACACAAAGCAAGGTAGTATGCCTCTTGCAGGAACTTTTCTTCACTAAGGCCAACAGGATCTGAAGCGATAAGGCCCTAACTGGAATAATAGGAGTAAGCATGTGATGAGAAACATTTGTCACTAAAAGCAGCAAACTTTCAAGACAAGCTCTGATGCTTCAGATCAGCTAGCAGACACCAGTGTTTCTCTTCGTATGTAGAAGACAAAGTATGATTAAAACGTGCACTTGACGGATAAGCTACTTCACTAGGTTTTTACAAAGATTGTATGAGATAATATATGTAAAATCCTTAACACAATGCCTGGCACAAGGGAAATGCTCTGCATAGATAGTAAATATCATCTTATTCTTCATCTCACCATTAATTTTTGTTTTTATTTTGAGAATTGAGGCTCAAATTAATACATACTATTAACAGGTACAGAGGTCTTTCTGTTTTGATAAATATTTTTATATTCTAATGATGTTAATACATAAAGTTTAAGTAGTAATTTAGTTAAGTAATCTATGCATTAATCTTGAAGTCATAGTTAATTGAAATATTTGTATATCCCATAAGTACAAAGTAAAGATGTAGTGGCAGTGTACAGTATCAAGATCAGTAACAGTAGTGGAGATGGCAATTCTATGAGGGAGGGAAATATTGATAAATCTAAAAACAGAACCTATAGAGATAACTCCCCACTATGTCTGTGGGAGTGCCAAAGAAGAGAATGTGATAGATGTCTTAGAGGCAGAATTGACAGGATTTGATGACAAAATTTAAATAAATTTTGGAAAAGGAGGCAATCAAGATGAATCCTAGCTTGCTGCTCTTTAGTGAACTGAGAAAACAAAGGATGAAGATCACTTGGAAGCCTCTTGTGAATGGAGGTCCTGGTAGAGGGCTTGGAATTGGGTGCAGATCTCAGAAACAAATGTCAGGACTGGACACACAGGCTTGGGGTCATTTGCAAGAGATTATAGTCCTTGACACACTATGTTTTAGTGTTTTATTTTAAAGGACACAAAAATCTGAATAAAATGTGGATTTATACCTTTTTTTTTTTTTTTTAAATCACATTTACAATAAACTTTAATGGTGAATCAATGCAACCCAAAGCCAAGGTAGCCCTCTCCATTTGGTGATAAAATATTTGGATGAGAACAAAATAAAAATAACCATCATTTCTAGCATTGACCAAGTAAAATCAAATATAGTAGATGGTACTTCTTTTAAAAGAATTTAAAAATCTAGCAGAACGTGACAGAGTATTTTGTGTAAGGTATTCTTCCCCTCAGTATTTATTTATTAAAATTATAATTTTCAACCTATCTTTCCTTGAGGAATATTTGATGTTAAGGAACAGAAACCTATTCAGAGAAACTCAGATTAAAACTGAGTATACTGCAAGGATACAGGGATTCTCCGGAAATCTGATTACTGGAGTATAGCATGCCTTCACAGATTAGAATCCAATTATGTAATATGTTTTAGCTTTAGGTTTCAATAAAGCCATATCCACCAAAGCGTTCTTGTTAAGGGATGCATTTTAAATTAAATAAATGTTAATATATGTGGTACTACAATGCCGTGGGGACTATACCATTAGCAAATGTGAAATATCTCATCACCTGATTAAGAATGCACAGTGTTTTAGAAGTCCTCCATAGCAGCCATCTTATTTAGTCAGATTGCCCATTAATGCTTTGTTAAGATTATAGTCATCTTGAATTCTCACAACACTTATGACCTTCCAAGGACAGACTATGTTTAGTCACTGGGTTGTATTAACTGCTATTAACATCAGTGCTTATCTGAGATCTTCATCAGTTACAGCTGAAATGTGTGAGATGTACCTGCACACAGATGTGTTGGACTAATGGCCAGAAGGCAGCAAACCCTACCATTTTCCTTGTTATTTAAATATTTTTAATTCTGTCTCTGATGGCTTCCCCTGTCACCTCATGAGTAAGTAGGGCTAATACTGGCTGCAGCAAAATCACACTCTCCATTTATCATACTAATTGCAGTTTAATGAGGAGAGGCCCGAGGCTGGAAGACTTGTCTACGTAGAATACTATTGGAGTGGAGTTTATTATGGTTATTAGTACAGCCTGCGATAATTAAATTGCTTTACTAGATAGGTACTGTATTTATCATAAAGATTCACTATAGCAAAACTTTTGATGATATTCAAAGAGCAGTTTTGAAAGTCAAGTTCTCTGACGTTTTCTTTAGGAGAAATTCTAGTTTGGATCCCATTTTCCAATATTTCTCCTCAGAGCAGGACTGGCTACATCATCTGTGAAGCCCAGTTCAAAATGGAACTGCAGGGCCTCTTGTTGAACAAGCACAAAGGAAGTGTTAAAATATAAAGCTTTCTTCTTTCTTCTACGTATCCTCTTTGCTATTATGCATAATGCATACTTCATGGTCCCATTGGACTTTACTTGTAAAACACAAGTTCAAAGATAAAATCATTAAACATTTCAAAATAATGACAGCATGCAGCTCATCTGAGTGTGGTATCCTGTGTGAGTGCACAGACTGCACTTCTGTGAAGCTGAAAGAAAGAAGTGTAAATGGCAAACCATTTTTACAGAGTTGAGACTGAGCTAATCTTTTGCTAGACCTTGTCATGCAATATAGTATGAAGGAAGCCCAGTCAAATTTGGGAAACAGACAACTGGAGCTGAGGTTGGGGATAACCTTGAGGGCAACCAGGACAATGAAAACGAACCGGCAATAAGGACTAGTAACTTCCGTCTCAGTCAGGAAGCTGCCTGTTTCCTGCAAAGGCAGGAAGTCATTCCAAGATGTAGTCACATTAAAGTCCTTAGGAGGGAAAAAAAGAGCTAAGATAAAAGAATGAGAAGTAGTTTAAATTAACCAATAATTAAAGGTAGCTACTGTATTAACACAAACATGCTAGCATATTCCAACTGAATAATAAAATTTTCCAGATTTTCTGTTTTTTCCCTTCATGCACATTATTTAAATATTGCAGAATGCACTTGAATAAAAATATTCTAAACTGTATTGAAGAAGGTGGAGTGGTTTGTGTTGTGGCTAAACTGGGTTTTTCTTTGTTTAGTTTGATGACTAATCTCTTTCCTAATCATTGGACAAACTCAATAGGACCTAGTACATTATCCCACACATAAATGAAGTCGGTAAATGTTTATGGAAATAATTATATATAATTTACTCTCTACAATGAGTGACTAGTAGGCCTCTTAGGAATATGTTCCCAGGTACTGAACACTCATTGAAATCAGAGCACTAAAAGTACTCTACTTCCACTATGAAGTGGAAGGCAGATATTGTCCAAATATGGAACACCAGTAATAAATAAGCAAACAATGGCTCAGCTGAGAGACTATTCTGCTCTAATTTCCTGATGTAAGTTGTTATTTCACTGGTGAGTAACATCTTCTTGTCACAACATCATTTATAATAATAATAATGATGATCACACAGAATCACCTGTGAATGTCCTAGTCCCCATAGTTTAATATAGAACATCACTCAAATTTAAGTGAGGTCTTTGTTAAGTTCTGTAAATTGAGCTTATAAAGACAAACACTATTTGGAATATTTTTTGATGGCTTGATGGAGAAAGACATCTATTTATTCACTCAACAGTTATTTATCAAGTGCCTGAACAGTACTAGACCCTAAGAATATAACAGCAAATAAGACAGGGATGGTCTCTCTCTTCATGGAGTTTATAGACTGGTGGACTTCTAGAATAATGCTCAACACTATTAATTTCCATCAGGTCCACATGCCTGTGCCTTACAAATAATCATGCATTTGAAGATAGAATTGAACTGAAACTAGGCTTAGAGCAACTGGACATATTCTAAGCCAATTTCCAAAAGTTAATTAATTTAAGTGGCTTCCCCATTAGTTCAAAGAAAAAGAAGATAATAGGAGGGAAAAATACTGATAATTTTCTAAGTTGGACTAAGTTTGGTAAGTATAAAAAATGAAGTGTAGTTAATAGAGTGCAAAGCAGAAGATTTCCTCTTAACTCACAGTTATTATACATCATCATTAGAGAGGGGACTTGCTGGCTCCCTGTGCTAGATTAATAGCCCAGGCCTTCGTCTCTTTGACCCCAGCTGAAGTAAAAGCACCAGGCAACAGAAGCAGAACATGGAGTAAAATCTAGTATTTCATCTGGGCAGGGAAATTAAAAAGAGGAAGCACTTAAATTGTAGAGGAGAATGTTAAAGGGAGGGATGTTGCTCCTTTCTTTCCCTTGATAGTTCTACCCTTTGAGAACCAGCTGGCAGCTCCTGGATCACTAAGCTTAGTCATTCCTCTTTTCAATTATAGGAACATCCTATTAACAGGGAAATGGAGTCGGGAGAGTTATTTTAGTGAGAGAGAAGAAAAAGAGAAGGGGAATATTTTTCACATGGAGAAAAAGACCTCCACCAGGAAACAGGGAGTCCAATGCAAGGTAACACTTCCCTGCCCCGCTGTTTTCATTTTAAACTTGATGAAAGGAAACATTTCAAGGGGTTTAAAAAATAATAGAGAGCAGGCTTTGGAATATATAACTGTTGTCAGGAGAATTTATATTCTATTGCAGGAAATAGAAATAAATGGAGATATTTGAGATTATATGAGTAAATATTTGAGGTGTTTGTTTAAAGAATACACATGCCTTAGTACTGTTGTCAGAGAGAAAAAGTTGGATTGAATGTACCATGGGTTTTTTATGATTCTCTCAGCATCTCATCCATAATTTATGGTTTTAGTATATGTACAAGAAATGTAAATGCATCTGAAATTATTGTAACTCTCATATAGCCATGAGATATTGAACACTGTGATCCATAATTTGTCAGACCTCTCCACTTCCGTGGATCCATTATTTTATCAAAATACTCATTAAAATAAATGTTGCTTCTGACTCTATTATCATCATGTATCAAACTAAAAAAGGAAACAAAATTCTTAATTATGTTTTCAAAGTTAATCAGAGGGTGTGATATAATAAAAATCATATATTTGGTCTTTGTCCCTGATTCCTTGACAGGGGATTCCTAACTGCTTGGAATTTTCTGGGTGATAGGAGCATCTTTTGTTTCAGAGATGCCATTCTTGGTGGGCCATAGATAGCTTCAGGATGGGGGCTGGTTGCCAGAAAGGCCAAAGCATGATCAGAAGGTTGGAACTTTCAGCCTTAGCCTCCAACATTTGCCAATGGCCAGTCAATCATGCCTACATAATGAAACCTTTATAAAACCCCTAAAGAATGGGGTTCGGAGAGCTTCTTGATTGGCAAACACATGGAGGTGCTGAGAAGGTAGTTCACCTGGAAAGGGCATGGAAGCTCCTCCACCCCTTATACTTTGCCATATACATATCTTTCATTTGGCTGTTCCTGAGTTGTATCTTTTATAATAAGCCAGTAACAGTAGGTAAAGTACCTTCCTGAGTTCTGTGAGTTGTTCTAGCAAATTATCAAACATTGGAGGGGATCATGGGAATCCCCAGTTTATAGCTGATGGGTCAGAAGTGCAGATGGCAACCTGGTACTTGTGACTTGCATCTGAAGTGGGGGCAGTCTTGGGACTGAGCCCTCAACCTGTAGGGCCTGTGCTAACTCTAGGTAGTTTGTGCCAAAATTGAGTTGAATTCTAGGACATGCAGTTGGTGTCTGAATTGTTGCATAACTGGTTGTTGGTGTGAAAAAAACCCCACACATTTGGTATCAGAAGTGCTGTGAGTAAAAACCCTTCAGATGGCTATTCTTGAAGTTCTTCTCCCCGTGATAAAATATAAATCACTATCACAGTAATAATAATCTTAATGTGTTAGTATAACTGATTTTAGTAATTTACCACATTTCTTACTATGGGTGAACCAGGTTTAAAAATTAATTGTGGTAACTTGTCCTGGACCACTGGATTTTCTATTCTCTTTTGAGAAATCTTTAAAGACAGAAAATTTTACAATATAGAAAGTAGAGGAAGTTTTTAATGTCATGATAACATAAAGCTACTTGGATTTTCATTTCATACACTTCCAAAATAGTATCTTGAGAGATTCTCTTTTTTGATTGCACATCTAATATCAGAAATTCATTATTTTTATGCATATAGGTAATATGACGATTCTTTAAATGTATCTTAGAATGGGTTTTAGGTTCCATGGATAAAGATCTCAGAAATGCTTTGTAATCTTGGTTTCGTCATGGTTCTACGAGTGTGAATTTTAGTTGGTTCACCTCTTTGAAATGTCCATCCCTCTTCTCAAAATAGCTAGTCATAAACCTGACTCATCTCATGGCTTTATTTTCTAAAGAGAAAGAAAAACTTACAAGCAGTTTGAAAATGTGATGTCAAATACTCAATAGGATTAAAGTTATTAATAAAGCAAACTATAATATCACTGTTTGTTTCTTCATGTAATAGAAGTATTCCCAAAGAACTGTGTTTATTTTTTAATTGAGTTACATTGTAATTGGACTAGAAAATTTTGAAATGTGATTCTTTTAATTGGATGGCTTTTAATTTTAAATTCTTACGAGTCAAAAATTACTTAGCTCAGGTGTGGTGTGTGTGTATGTGTGCATCTGTGTGGGCTGGGTCAGAATAGGACTGGTAGAGACCCTATCCCTAAAAGTTTATGGCCCCCATATGCTGATAAATAACATCAAATAAAAACAGTACCAAATGATAGAAAACTCTGATTTTTCTGTGATGATGAGTATTCTAATGCTTGCTTTGAAATATAATTCATAACTTTTAAATAAATATTTTCATAAGGTCTTGCTTTCCTGATGCCCTAAGCACATAGTATTTCATGCATGTAGGTATCCAAGGCTGTTCAATTTTAATAACGCTAACCGGATATTGACAAACCTCTGCCTCAACTTTTTGAGCAAAGCTTCAGAGTACATCTTCCCAGCTACTTGTTTTTCTAAGTGTTTGTTTTTAACCTAATTTATTTTCTTAGTCTCAGTGGGAAGGAGAAAATTTCAGTGAAATATGTGCTCGGTTTCTTGTTTGGTCCCTAATGAAATTTGTACTTGAAAAAGCTTAGTCTTTTGGAAAATTTTGGAATTAAAAAGAAATATTTGACTCCAGTTATTTTTAAAACCAAAATAAAATATCTCTAGTGAGGAAGTCCAAATCATAGAGTTGAAGAACATTCCAATAATAATATCCAAGGATAAATTAAAGTGCATTGTTTTCTCTGTAATTATTTTTTGGATAATTTCATCGAGCCTAGTATAGGGAGAAGATGATGTGTTTCTCCATTAAATCTGTTCTAGCTGCACGTTAATGCCTGGTGTGTTATAGGCTTGCAGTTCCTTTCTGGGGAGGTTTATGCACAGTTTCCATCTGACATGGTGGTGAGCAGAGGCTAATGAAACTAAACTCTATGCACACTAACATGACTGCATTTGTTTGGTTTACTCTTCTGTTAGTTGTTTTCTCTCTTCCTTGCATTTTACCTTCTAAGGCAACTAAGGGCCAATTTTGAGAGTTGCTTGTGATGGTTCTTTAGCCTAGGGCTATTAAAAATATGCCCCCTGGACTGGAGCTGCTGTAGAAAAGAACAGGAGAAAAGATGATGTTGACAGCCACAGATTAAAGCCAAAGACCAGAAATGAAACTATATTCAAGAACATTTGAGGGATTACAGCAAGTCAGGAATGAAAGTGGGAGCATAGACTAGGGAGGATTCTTGGAACGGACACAGAAACAATAATCCTATGAGGGCAGCAACAAAGTCAAGAAAGCCACAGTATCCATATATAATTGAAGGAGAAGAAGCAGGGAGACAAAGGGACTTTAAAAACTCAGGTTAAAACCAAGATTTAAGATGAGCCTGTAAGAGTTCAGGCTGTGAGACAACAGCAGGAAGAGGAAAATAGGCAGCAGAGGTTGAGAGAGGGAGAGAGGGACAGACAGAGGGAGAGAGAGGTTGAAAGAAGAGAGAAAGAGAGGTCTAGTGGTATGTTATCTAAGGTAAAACTAGGAACAATTTGCACTGTGGCAATGTGACAGTTCTAGAAAATATTTGTTCCTTTGTATTGCTATTTCTGTTATTATATTTCTAGAATAAGCTGAGTTCAGACACAAGAGATCAAGATGATAGTCAAGGGACTAGCACTTCTTTGCTTCATGATTATGGTGATACCTGGGTCTCAGTTTGTCTGTTTGTATAACGGGTTTGAAGGAGATTGAGACCCCGTGGCGTATGTGTGTGCTTGTGTGTGTGTGGTGGAGAGAGAGAGAAAGAGCACTGAAAGTTGTAAATACAATTTGCCCTTCATCTATGTCAAACATGAAGACTTCACAATATTAGAAAGGACACAGAGTTAAGAAAGTTTTACAGTATAAAAGCAGAGATATGAGACCATATAGAAAGAAAGATATTCGTATACCAAAGAGAATGAGAAGCAGTACTTATTAAGGGGAACAGTAAATTTAGCTCTGAGCTTCCTGGTAGCATAAAAAAGAGCAAAACAAGATGAGTTAGAGTTTTCTCTACCAGTTAAAAATAAATGTACAAGTTCCTTTCACTTCATTTTAATTTATTATACAGAGCAAGGATCAGCAACCTGGGGTCTAATGGGCCCATGGGCCAAACCCATCCCATACCTGGTTCTGTAAATAAAGTTGTATTGGAACACAGCCATGTCCATTTGATTACTTCTTATCTATGGCCAACTTTTTGCTACAGTGGTGGAGTTGAGTAGTTGGGACAGAAACTGTATGGCCCACGAAGCCTAAAATATTATAGTTTGCCAGCCTCTGATATAGAAGATTCTAATCTTCTATATCAATGATTGTAACAGGCATTTCAATCTTCTCTCAAAAGATTTCTTTTATTAATATCATAGGTATAAAGATCCAAGGCAACAATTTAACTCATGATTTAGTGAAGGCATTGTGTCGGTGTGCGTGTGTGTGTTTGCATGTATGTGAGAGAGAGACAGAGAGAGAGAGAGAGAGAGAGACTGTTGTTGTGGAGGGGCTTAGGAACTGTAGAATACTCTAGAATATCTGCTCTGTGGTTGTAGAGAATATTTGCTATTCTGAGACACTGAGTGCCAACTTGTTCATATTGGTAAAAGTTGCCTAATTTATTCAGATATCTATTCCTCTCTTCCATGTGCTTCATGGGAAACCTCCCCATCCTTCCACCTGTACCCCCTCACCACACCAGTACTCCAAGGAGTAGGCCCTCAAATCAGTCAGCATATTCTATCCTTCTGGTCATAATACTTGATCCAGGGTTAGGGCACAGGACCCAATTCAACACAAGAAGTATGAGGAGAGATTTTTCTGGAAGCTACATGAGATATATTTATTTTATGCCAGACACAAACAAGAAAGCGTGGAATTCCTAGAAGCCATAGGCTGACATTGTGTGTGGATAAGGAAAACTAAATTTAGGAGGAAGTAGATACAGGAGAAGGCAGAAAAAAGTAAAGTAATTGAATGTTTTAGGTCAGGCCCCATCTGAAACTTACTCCATGTCTGATCTTATTGATATCATGAAGTTTAAAAGCTCTTATTGTGTAAGCCACTTTGAAAAGTTAATTTTGAATGAGAAAAATTTGATGATGCTAGTCATCTTTCAATACATGCGGAGAAATGAGAATTTGAAGAAAGGTAAGTTGTGAAATATCAGAAACATCTTTTGAACTTTTAGTTAAGTCGAAGTCTACTCATAGTAGAAATCTCTGACAAGTGCTCAGAAGGTCACATATCATGGTCTGTACTCATGCACTATGCTTGCTTGGTAAATAGGTGGTAAAGGTGACATTCTCTTAGAAAAACTCAATGTATTCTCCCTAGAGAGCCATTTCGCTTTCTAGAAAGAAGGGTTTCAAGGAGTATTGAAAACGACCAAAAAGAAAAGAACTTTATCAGAGCCTTCATTGAATAATAATGATTTGTTCTTGTTTAGTGCAAATGAGTTGCAGCAGGGAGCTCTGGGAAAATGTGGTTGTCATGGTAACTGATAACACTTTTTCCTACTGGAAGTCAAAATAGCCAAAGACACTACACAGGGCCATGTTTCCTTACAGATTTTTCCCAAGTAAAGGAAATAAGAAAATGGGAAATAAAAGGAAGATCTTGCATTTGGTTGACCTCTGTTCTTCCCACAAAGATAAACAGAATTAAAGGAAATGCTGTTTTGCATAATTGGAGCCAGATAGGCGAAAGTGGCATCTCTGTCTTATGATACAATCATCCCAGTACAGGTGGAGAGATGATTATTTTATAACCAAAGTTTGAGAAAGTACTGCCCAGAAAACATTTCAGAATAAGTTAATTAAGGACAACATTTAACATTTGGCATGCTGAGGAATTGTTTTTCTAGTGGGTTTGCTGTGGGCTGAAACCTGAAAAACAATATTTAATTACTCTTTGAAAGGCATGCAAGCTTTCTGAATTCATTTTCTTACCTGTGAAATGAACAGTTTGGACGATATTTCTTGTTTTCAAATATTTCTCTCAGTAAAAGCCTGCAAGAAAACCAAACCTATAAACAGATAAAATTGCAGTCTCAGATGCAATCTTAGCAGGAAGCTCAGAAACAGCTGCTGGGCTTCCCTTCTCTCTGAAATAGTCCTTAAGACATTTTATAGATAATAACTGGCAGACATATATGCTCTAAAGCTTCTGCCTTTTAAATAGGCGCACATGAAATGTCTTAATTGCTCTAAACAGAGCAATTTTCCACCTGGTAGCAGCTTTCCAAATGGCTCAGCAAGGAGGAAGGAGATACCACCTAAATCAGAGTAACCTACCCTATGGTTGAATAGGTTAATGTAATGTTTGACATAGACAACACTGCCTTCTGGTTTCTGGAAGAAAATAACCAAATTATCGAGACTGTGCTTTACAGATTTGTCCCTATGAAGTAAAAGTCCCATGAAAACCTATACATCTACACCACAATCTCATATGATTCTTGTGACGTTAACAAAGGCAAAATTAGATGCTAGATATAAATGCTCTTTGAAAAGCTGAAGAGACATTCCAAATATACGCTGGTGTGTGTAATATAACATATTGGCTTATAAATAAGACTACAAATCTAGCCAGTGGGATTTATAACCAAACCTAAGATCCTGCTGCAAATTGTGTGAAATTAAATTACATTTGGAGAAATTTTAATATATTATTTAAATATGAATTCTAGTTAGTTCAAACTGAACTAACACTTTTGAAAATGAAATACAGAACTAAATATAAGTAACAGGCATGGATTGATTTACAACAGGTATAAACAGGGACTCTTAAGAAAGCCAGCCATATGGTTACCCTAGTTAGAATACCTTTAATGATGGTAGATCAACTAACCTGAATCCTATACCAGCATGATATGACCCTAATCCCTTCTAAATACCCTCCTTTGGTCTTCAGTTTTAAAAGATAAATATTTTAGAATGTTGATTCAAAATATTTTTTTTTATACTTTATGTTCTGAGATACATGTGCAGAACATGCAGGTTTGTTACATAGGTATATATGTGCCATGGTGGTTTGCTGCACCCATCAACCCATCATCTACATTGGGTATTTCTCCTGATGCTATCCCTCCCCTTGCCCCTTACCCCCTGATAGGCCCCAGTGTGTGATGTTCCCCTCCCTATGTCCATGTGTTCTCATTGTTCAACTCCCACTTATGAATGAGAACAAAATATTCTTTAGTTATTTGAAAACATTTCCTAGATACTCATGGGATTCTGAGTATTTGCGAGCTATAGAATGAGTCAATTACCTTATGCCCAGTTGGTAGCTCACTAAATCTTACTCATCTAACAGCAACTCACTGATCTATTATATCATGAATACATTGTCTGTCTGTCTTCGAGATGTTGATAATCTACTCTCCATTGTAGGTCTTGTCTTCAGTAAAATCTTAAATTTATAAAAGTTTTAATTCATACCTTTTCATGTATCTCTTAGCTTCTCAAAAGTTTTCTTAATCTTGTGGTTATGTTTGGCTTAGAAAGCTAACTATAAGGGTTGATTTGTGTTCACTTCATTGATTGCATTGTCATCATTTTCTAGCGTAAGTCTTTATGATAATAGAATATTTTTAAAAGGACTCTCACTTTAAAATACCTTATGAAAACATTTCATACTGCTTGTGTGAAAAATTCACCTCTGTGTTCTCTCTCTCCACCAACCATCACCCCCACCAGTCTTAACAGATGAACAAATTGCCAATTATATAGTAATGTCAGATGACAAGGAGTCGTGGCAAACACTACATCAGTGGTTCTTCACTTTATCTGCATATTAGAATTTGGGTTGGGGGGGCTTTTAAAATTCTGATGTGCAGGCCACATTTCAGACTACTGTATCAGAAGCCCTGTGGGTGGGGCCCAGTAATCAGTTCTTTTTCAAATGTCCAAGTGATTCCAATAAGCAAGCAAGGTTGAGAACCACTTACTCTAACTATTCCATAATACGAGCTAACCCTTAGGAAAAATATAGCTGTTTTAGAGGCACTGTTGTGAAAGGAGAGTGTGTATATATATGTGGGCATGTGTGTGTGTCTGTGTGTTTGGAGCATTTGACAGTAATAAGGAGTTTTGAGGGAAAAGAAGCTGTGTGATTAAAAAAAGGATAGCGTTAATGACACTTGCCACATCAAGATAGATACACCCAAGAAAATAAATGTATTATTGTAAAATATATTTTATCTAGAAAGAAAGTTTGAAAACCCTCAAGAAAATATCGAAAGAATTAAAGTCAGTCCCTAAAAACCATAATAACATTCTCTTGTGCTTCCTTTTAGTCTTATATCTAGGCATTGGATATTTGTTCACGTGGGCTATAATCTAGTTTAATTGCTTTTAGTTTACTGTCATTGAACTCTGGAGGAGATTTTACTATAAGAATACCTTCTGTCCATTTCCATAATGTAGTAGGATTATTGTGGCCCCATTTCACACCTTTCTATAGTTGTACCTTTTGGTAGTGCCTATCCACCCTGACTTTAGGCTTGGCATATGACTTAATTTGTTTAATGGAACAGTAGCAAACTTGTCAGCTGACCAAAGACACAAAGATCAGTTGAGCCTGGATCAGATCAGCAGAACCACCCAGTCAACCCATAGATTCCCGAGAAATAATAAATTTTTTTTTCAAAGCCATTGTGCTGTTTTTATTTATTTTTATTGTATAGATTTAAGGTATATAACAAGATGTTTTGATATACATATGAGTCTTGAGATGATTTGTTATGTAGCATTAGTGTGGCAATAGATGACTGATTAAAAAAAAAAGGTTATGCCTATAAGAGTGTGTAGTTTTAAGATGTGATTATGATTGAGTGACCAATACCTTCAACAGACTACATGTTTTCTTAGGTCTGGGTGGCAGAGGTATAGAATTTCCTCATGTCTCTTGCAATAAAGTTATAGTTGTGACTCCCATGATAGTTGTCAGTCCCGTGTACCTACCTGTTCCCAAACTAAGTCTTTCTAGGCTTGTGATGCTATTTTTATTTGCCTCTTGTGAACAGCCAGCGAAGGAGCTGTACAAGTTCTTACAAGCCACGTAAGGGACTTAAAAGTCCCTCAGTCTCTTCTATTCTAAGTATTCCTAATAGTTCCTTTGTAATCATCCTACTCATCCCATAATGTGTACTGGAAAAACATGCTCAAAATCCAATATCTCCAAGACAAAAGGAAACATTTCCTAAGAGAACAGGAATATGGGGTATATACACATATTTTAGTGATCTCCTTCCTTTAGAATTTCTTTCTGAAATTTTCAAATAATTTATAGTTATCTTCTTAGTATGGGAGTTCTATTTTGGTTTGGAATTAATCATGTTCTCTAGACCCTCCTGAAGTTCCCTCTTCCCTAGTAGCCATGAATGTAAACTGACAATATTCAAAGTCAATATGTTTCTCTTCTGCAGTGCCTTCTGTGTCCTTAACACTTGTTATTAACTTTTTATAACTCACAGTCCCGTGGTTAAGTCTACCAGGGTTCATGTACCAAAACATTCCCCTATGTGATGAGTTTATTTCGGTAATTCCTTAAGAAACTGGTTTATTCTTCAATTTTTTTTTTGCTTTTAGAAGAGCATAGATCTTTTATTTTCTGAGTCTTGTTTTCTGTTGCCATTACACATTCATTCATTATTTTATTCATTTATTCAATGAATATTTATTGAGTTTTGGCTAAGTACCAGGCATTGTATTAGGTACAGTGGGAAAATATGAGCCCAGCCTAAATGTTGTCATTTTTGTAGTTAATCTCTGCTATCTAACATGGGTACTTATAAACCTATTTTCCTAATATTTAAAAATATTGTCAGCATGTGTCTAAAGTTGAGAGTCTTTTAATCATTTTTGCCTGGAGTATCATGAGCCCTTTCAATTGGCTTTGTGCAATTTTACTCTTAATGATATTTTCTTAATCATGAATTTGATTATTGCTTGTATTCTAGTTCCCTGTTTTCCTGAAAAAAGACTTTCATTCTTAAATTTAACTCCTCATACTCTATTCTATATATTGTAAACTAGTTTAAATTCTTATTCTTTTTTCTCTGCCTTCTGTAAGAATTTCCCAAATGTGACCTGCACTCCACTAATTTGATACTATTTAGAGTGAATTTTGCTCTTTACTGCCTCCAATGGGATTTAATTCTGCATGGTTTTTAATTTCAATTGTAATCTTTTTTATATCATTCTCCTTTATGTATAGTTCTACTGTCTTTTTTTGCCTGTACTCTTATTTCATTAAGAAGGTATCTTCTGATCTTTTAAGGATTTGAGCTTTGCCCTTCCTGAGTTTTTCAGATGCTATACCTTTCTCTGTTTTTAATAGATACCGTGCTGTTGTGTTTTTCTGTTTTGCTCGTCTTCACACAAGTCAAGGAATATCGTGAACTGATGTTTGTGATTGGTAAGATACGTGAGTGCCTTTGGCCTCACTGTTTAGCTAATCCCTTTCTCATAACAATAGCTGGAAGACTGGTTGGTGTCTACAAACCAATTCTCTGCAATTATCATACTATTTTGTAACACAGGATTATTGAACTAATCTGAAATAGTCTCTTATCCTCATTATTTGGAGGAATTAAGAGATAATTTAAAAAATACTACAATTCCCTTTGTGCACTGCCTTTGGACCTTTAATTTATCAATTTCTGCCTGTGGTGTTTTATATGTGAGTAGCTTACATTTTAGAACTCAGTATACTCCAGGAAGCTTCCTATCCACTTTCTGAAAATTTCAGTCTCAAATTGGTGGACGTGGTAGGGGTAGAATGACGCCCCATCAAGTAGAAGGCTAAATGCCCAACTCTCTGGTTAGTATAAGCTTTGAGTTCCTGAATAAAGGATTGAGAGGAACAGAGTCTTCCAACAGACTTGTAAGGGAGCTTAGCACGGTGGACCAGCAACAATGTTTTTAAATCTCTTTCCATCAGCCTTGTTTTAGTTGAAATTCCTCTCACATTCTGAAAACAGATTGACATTAAGGCTAGTTTTCAGTGCTTGGAGTTGTCTTTTTTCATATCATCAAAGCTGTTTTCACTGCAGGTTAAGAGAAGTTTCAACAGAGGCTGCTAGCCAGACTCTATTTTAAACTAAAAGCCCTACTGTGTTGAAGGTATGGAATAAGGTAAAGGGACAGAGATAGAAGCTAAACTTTTCAGAGTATTTCTTACTTTATAGATTTGACTTTGTAACTATAGCAATGTTTTATATAATCAGACCACAAATTAAACTTTTCAAATCTCTTCTTTTTCTGCCAATGTAGTCCTTCCACCTCCTTGTCCATGGTTGTGCATCCTTTGCTTATGCTCATCACACAGAAGTGCCCCTTGGTGTGCTCACTTCAAAGATATCCGAAGTCATTTCTCCCAATGCCCAGGCCTATTGTCACTTAATATATGATCTCCTTCCTTTCTGGATTATTCCCCAGGCTGACACACCTTATCCTTTCTTCTCTATACCTCATCCGTCCTCAGAGAGGATGGAAGGTAAGCGAGATGGCCGAGCAGAAGAGACAAAGGTGAAGAGCTACCTTAATGTTGCTTCTGTGTGTTAAGCTGTGAGGAGTTTCATGGCCCCAGCTGAAGATGATAGAAGCTTTGGGGGTTTATATAACTTTGAAAAATGATGAATCATATATCTTTATGTTTTTAAAGGACATTTTTATGAAGAAGCATTTTTAACTCAAATGCTCTAAGTTTCAAATCAATGGTAAATCCATACTATACAGGCGTTCTTAAACTATAATACATTTGTTCTAAGCATGAAAATGAAGCAATATTTTTAAACCTGATTTATATTCTGCACGATACTGGGGTCTGTGACGAACACGGGAGAAGGGTTCCTGTTCTGTGCCCCTAAGGATAAGAAGCACTAGTTGAGAAGATAATGTTGCACTTCAAGCAACAAGATAGCATGATTAAGGCCTAAAATATATGGCAGAGACTCAGTGTATTATAAGAATAATGAGATCCATGAGGGTATTAAAACATTAGATCAATTAGATATTAAAAGTTCAGTATAATTTAGTGCAGCAGAGTGAATGAATGAATGCAGCAGAATGATCCTGAGAATAGAAGAAAGGAATCTACCTTTTATTTATTCCTTTGACAACCTCTCCAACCTGACTTTTCAAGCGCTGGCCACAATTATAAATAGGAAACCATGTCTGTTGAGACTTCTCAAGGGTTACATAAGAGTTTATTTCTGTGAGCAGCTTTAGGTTCACAAAAAACATGAGTGGAAAGTACAGAGTTCCCACACATCCACTCACCCTTTCCTCAACAGTTTTCCTCGTTATTATCATCTTGCATTAGTATGGTACTTTTGTTACAATTGATGAGCCAATAGTGATGCATTATTATTTACTAAAGTCCATAGTTTACATTAGAGTTCACTCTTTGTGCTCTACATTCTATCAGCTTTGAGAAATATATAATGACATGTGTCCTGTTACAGTTTCATACCGAATAGATTTTCTGCCCTATAATTCCCCCATACTCCACCTAGTCATCCCTCCCTCCCCACTCAATTGCCTGGCAAAGACTGATCTTTTTACTGTCTCTATCATTTTTCCTTTTCCAGAATTTCATGTAGTTGGAATAATATAGTATGTGGCCTTTTCAGAGTGGCTTCTTTCACTTAGCAACATGTATTTACGTTTCCTCCATGCCTTTTTGTGGCTTCAAAGCTCATTTGTTAAATCGTTGAATAATATTCCATTGTATGGATCTACCACAGTTTGATTATTCGTTCACCAATTGAAGGATATCGTGGTTGTTTCCAAATTTTGGCAATTATGAATAAAGCTGTAAACATTTGTGTGCAGGCTTTTGTGTGGACATAAGTTTTCACCTCATTTGGGTATATTCCAAGGAGGGCAGTTGCTGAATTGTATGTTAAGAGAATATTTAGTTTTGTAAGAAACTCCCAAGCTGTCTTCTAGAGTGGCTGTACTTTTTCGTGAAATGTCAATTCAAATATTTTGATCATTTCAAGTGGGCTGTTTATATTTTTATTGAATTTGAAGTGTTCTTCTTTATTCTGGATAAAGGTCCTATATCATATATATGATTTGAAAATATTTTCTCCCAATCTATGATGAGGCTTGCCATTCTCTAAATAGAGATATCTTTTAAAGTACAAAAGGTTTTTATTTTGATGAAGTCTAATTTGTCAATTTGTTCTTTTATGAATAGTGCTTTGAAGTCATATCACAAACGCTGCCTAAACCAAGGTCATGAATATTTTCTCCTATGTTTTCTTCCAGAAGTTTTATAGTTTCAGCTTTTACATTTAGGTCTGTTATCTATTTCATTACTTTTTAAATGTATGTGGTTGGTTAAGAGCCAAAGTTCCTCCTCCTCCTCTTCTTTTATTATTATTATTATTAAGTTTGTTGAAGAGACTATCCTTTTCCTGTTGATATATCTTAGCTGTTTTGTCAAAAATCGGTTGATCATAAATGCAGGGATTTATTTCTGGTTTTTAAATTCTTTTCCACTGATCTACATGTCTATCCTTGGGCCAGTGCCGTACTGTCTGGATTATTGTGGCTTCATGAGTGTTTGAAATTGGGTAGTACGTATTCTCTAACTTTATTATTTTTCAATGCTTTTGTGGTGTTCTAAATCATTTGCATTTCCATATAAATTTTCAAATTACACTTTCAGTTACTGTAGGAAAGCCTGTTGGAATTTTGATATGGACTATATTAAATCTTTAGATACATATGGGGTTTATTACCATCTTAACAATCTTAAATCTTTTGATTTATGAAAATGGGATGTCTTTCTACTTAATTAGATATTAATTTATTTATTGTTTATATTTTTCAGTGTACAAGTCTTGCACTTCTTTTGTTAAATTTACTCCCGAGTATTTTATTCTTCTTGATGCTATTAAAATGAAATCATTTTCTTAATTTCATTTTCAAATTATTTTTTGTTAGTATATAGGAATACAATTGATTTTTGTATATTCATCTTGTATCCAGAAACATTGCTGAATTTTTTCATTAGCTCTAATAGGTTTTTTTAAAAAAAATTCTTAGGATTTTTATATATAAAATCATGATATCTGCAATTAGACATAAATTGTATTTCTTTTGCTTCCCCATTTGCTCTGCTAAAACTTCCAGTACTATGTTGAATAGAAATGGCAAAAGTAGACATCCTTGTCTTGTTCCTGATCTGAGGAAGAACAGGAAGTTCCCGTCTATTCCTTGATTTTTGAGTGTTCTTAACATGATTGAGTGTTGTATTTTGTTAAATTCCTGTATCTTTTCAGATGAGTATGTGTTTTTGTCCTTTATTAATATGATATTATATTGACTTAATTTCTTATGTCAAATTACCCTTTCATTCTTTTAATAAATTTCAATTTTTTATGGTGTATAATCCTTTTCTATGTTGCTGGATTTGATTTGTTAATTTTTTTAAAGAATATTTTTTGTGTCTACGTTAATGAGGGATACTGGTCTGTAGGTTTCTTTATAATGTCTGTCTAGTTTTTATATTAGAGTAATACTAGCCTCATAGAAGGCTTTGGAAAATGTGTTCCCTCCTCCAGTATTTACTGAAAAAGTTTGTAAAAATTTTTTATATTTTTAAAAAATTTGATAAAATTCACCAGTGTAACCATTTGAACCTGACTTTTTTTTTCTTTATTTCCTCTAAAAACAAAAACAAAAACGTGATACATGTGCAGAATGTGCAAGTTTGTTATATAGGTCTACTTGTGCCATAGTGGTTTGCTGCACCTATTGACCCGTCCTCTAGGTTCCTCCCCTCACCCCCACCCTGCAACAGGCCCTGGTATGTGTTGTTCCCCTCTCTGTGTCCATGTGTTCTCAATGTTCAACTCCCACTTATGAGTGAGAACATGGGGTGTTTGGTTTTCTGCTCTTGTGTTAGTTTGCTGAGGATGATGGCTTCCAGCTTCATCCATGTCCCTGCAAAGGACATGATCTCATTCCTTTTTATGGCTGCATAGTATTCCATGGTGTATGTATGCCACATTTTCTTTATCCAGTCTATCATTGATGGGCATTTGATTTGGTTCCATGAACCTGACATTTTCTTTGTGGGACTTGACGTTTTTTTTAAACAGCTTTATTTTGCTACAATAAACAGTACATATTTAAGTCCGACAACTTAATGAGTTTTGTCACATGTATACACCAATAAAACCATCACCATAATAAAAAAAATAAACACGTACATCACTTCCGAACTTTTTCTAATGCCTCCCTTTTGCCCCTTCCTCACCTCAGGTCCCTCCGAAAACACTGATATACTCTGTCACTATAGATTAGTTTCTAATTTCTTGAATTTCATATACATTGAGTAATACATTATGTACTCTTTTTTTTAATTATACTTTAAGTTCTTGGATACATGTGCAGAACATGCAGGTTCGTTATATAGGTATACACGTGCCCTGGTGGTTTGCTACACCCATCAACCCGTCATCTACATTAGGTATTTCTCCTAATGCTATCCCTCCCCAGCCCCCTACTGCCACAACAGGCCCAGTGCGTGATGTTCTCCTACCTGTGTCCATGTGTTCTCATAGGTCAACTCCCACTTGTGAGTGAGAACATGTGGTGTTTGGTTTTCTGTTCCTGTGTTAGTTTGCTGAGAATGATGGTTTCCAGCTTCATCCATGTCCCTGCAAAGGACATGAACTCATCCTTTTTTATGACTGCAGAGTATTCCATGGTGTATATGTGCCACATTTTCTTTATCCAGTCTATCATCGAAGGGCATTTGGGTTGGTTCCAAGTCTTTGCTATTGTGAACAGTGCTGCAATAAACATGCATGTGCATGTGTCTTTATAGTAGAATGGTTTATAATCTTTGGGGTATATACCCAGTAATTGGATTGCTAGATCAAATGGCATTTCGGGTTCTAGATCCTTGAGGAATCGCCACACTGTCTTCCACAATGGTTGAACTAATTTACACTCCCACCAACAGTGTAAAAGCGTTCCTGTTTCTCCACATCCTCTCCAGCATCTGTTGTTTCCCGACTTTTTAACGATTTCCATTCTAACTGGCGTGAGATGGTATCTCATTGTGGTTTTGATTTGCATTTCTCTAATGACCAGTGATGATGAGCTTTTTTTCATATGTTTGTTGGCCACATAAATGTCTTCTTTTGAGAAGTGTCTGTTCGTATCCTTCGCCCACTTTTTGATGGGGTCGTTTGTTTTTTTCTAGTAAATTTGTTTAAGTTCCTTGTTGATTCTGGATATTAGTTCTTTGTCAGATGGATAGATTTGAAAAATTTTCTCCCATTCTGTAGGTTGCCTGTTCACTCTGATGATAGTTTCTTTTGCTGCACTGAAGCTCTTTAGTTTAATTAGATCCCATTTGTCAATTTTGGCTTTTGTTGCCATTGCTTTTAGTGTTTTAGTCATGAAGTCTTTGCCCATGCCTGTGTCCTAGGTTTTACTAGGGATTTTATGTCCAATGGTATTACCTAGGTTTTCTTCTAGGGTTTTTATGGTTTTAGGTCTTAGGTTTAAGTCTTTAATCCGTCTTGAGTTAATTTTTGTATAAGGTGTAAGGAAGGCATCTAGTTTCAGTTTTCTGCATGTGGCTAGCCAGTTTTCCCAACACCATTTATTAAATAGGGAATCCTTTCCCCATTGCTTGTTTTTGTCAGGTTTGTCAAAGATCAGATGGTTGTAGATGTGTGGCATTACTTCTGAGGCCTCTGTTCTTTTCCATTGGTCAATGTATCTGTTTTAGTACCAGTACCATGCTGTTTTGTTTACTGTAGCCTTGTAGTATAGTTTGAAGTCAGGCAGCATGATGCCTCCAGCTTGTTCTTCTTGCTTAAGATTGTCTTTGCTATGTGGGCCCTTTTTTGGTTCCATATGAACTTTAAAGTAGTTTTTTCTAATTTTGTGAAGAAAGTCAATGGTAGCTTGGTGGGGATAGCATTGAATCTATGTGGCCATTTTCATGATAATGATTCTTCCTATCCATGAGCATGGAATGTTTTTCCATTTGTTTGTGTCCTCTCTTATTTCCTTGAGTAGTGGTTTGTAGTTCTCCTTGAAGAGGGCCTCCACATCCCTTGTAAGTTGGATTCCTAGGTATTTTCTTCTCTTTGTAGCAATTGTGAATGAGAATTCACTCATGATTTAGCTCTCTGTTTGTCTATTATTGGTGTATAGGAATGGTTGTGATTTTTGCACATTGATTTTGTGTCCTGAGACTTTGCTGAAGTTGCGTATATGTTTAAGGAGATTTTGGGCTGAGGCGATGGGGTTTTCTAAATATACAATCATGTCACAGCAAACAGGGACAATTTGACTTCCTCTCTTCCTATTTGAATACCTTTATTTCTTTCTCTTGCCTGATTGCCCTGGCCAGAACTTCCAATACTATGTTGAATAGGCGTGGTGAGAGAGGGCATCCTTGTCTTGTGCTGATTTTCAAAGGGAATGCTTCCAGCTTTTGCCTGTGCAGTATGATATTGGCTGTGGGTTTGTCATAAATAGCTCTTATTATTGTGAGATACTTTCCATCAATACCTAGTTTTTTGAGAGTTTTTAGCATGAAGGGGTGTTGAATTTTATTGAAGGCCTTTTCTGCATCTGTTGAGATAATCATGTGTTTTTTGTCATTGGTTCTGTTTATATGATGGATTACGTTTATTGATTTGCATATGTTGAACCAGCCTTGCATCCCAGGGATGAAGCCGACTCGATCGTGGTGGATAAGCTTTTTGATGTGCTGCTGGATTCGGTTTGCCAGTATTTTATTGTTGATTTTCGCATCTATGTTCATCAGGGATATTGGCCTGAACATTTTTTGTTGTTGTTATGTCTCTGCCAGGTTTTGGTATCAGGATGATGCTGGCCTCATAAAATGAGTTAGGGCAGATTCTGTCTTTTTCTGTTGATCGGAATAGTTTCAGAAGGAAGGGTACCAGCTCCTCTTTGTACCTCTGGTAGAATTCGGCTGTGAATCCGTCTGGTCCTGGGCTTTTTTTGGTTGGTAGTCTATTAATTGCTGCCTCAATTTCAGAACTTGTTAATGGTCTATTCAGGGATTCGACTTCTTCCTGGTTTAGTCTTGGGAGGGTGTATGTGTCCAGGAATTTATCCATTTCTTCTAGATTTTCTAGTTTATTTGCATAGAGGTGTTTATAGTATTGTCTGATGGTAGTTTGTATTTCTGTGGGATCAGTGGTAATAACCCCTTTATCATTTTCTATTGTGTCTATTTGACTCTTCTCTCTTTTCTTCTTTATTAGTGTAGCTAGTGGTCTATCTATTTTGTTAACCTTTTCAAGAAGCCAGCTCCTGGATTCATTGATTTTTTTGAAGGGTTTTTCGTGTCTCTATTTCTTTCAGTTCTGCTCTGATCTTAGTTATTTCTTGTCTTCTGATAAGTTTTGAATTTGTTTGCTCTTGCTTCTCTAGTTCTTTTAATTGTGACATTAGGGTGCCGATTTTAGATCTTTCTCGCTTTCTGCTGTGGGCATTTAGTGCTATAAATTTCCCTCTAAACATTGCTTTAGCTGTGTCCCAGAGATTCTGGTAAGTTGTGTCTTTGTTCTCATTGGTTTCAAAGAACTTCTTTATTTCTGCCTTAATTTTGTTTTTTACCTGGTAGTCATTCAGGAGCAGGTTGTTTAGTTTCCATGTAGTTGTGCGGTTTTGAGTGAGTTTCTTAATCCTGAGTTCTAATTTGATTGCACTGTGGTCTGAGAGACTGTTAGGATTTCCATTCTTTTGCATTTGCTGAGGAGTGTTTTACTTCCAATTATGTGGTTAATTTTGGAATAATTGCATTGTGGTGATGAGAAGAATGTATATTCTGTTGATTTGGGGTGGAGAGTTCTGTAGATGCCTATTAGGTCCTCTTAGTCCAGAGCTGAGTTGATGTCCTGAATATCCTTGTTAATTTTCTGTCTTGTTGATGTAATATTGACAGTGGGATGTTAAAGTCTCCCACTATTATTGTGTGGGAGTCTAAGTCTCTTTGTAGGTCTCTAAGAACTTGCTGTATGACTCTGGCTGCTCCTGTATTGGGTGCATATATATTTGGGATAGTTAGCTCTTCTTGTTGCGTTGATCCCTTTACCATTATGTAATGCCCTTCTTTGTCTTTTTTGGTCTTTGTTGGTTTAAAGCCTGTTTTCTCAGAGACTAGGATTGCAACCCCTGTTGTTTTTGTTTTTGTTTGTTTGTTTGTTTGTTTTTTTGCTTTCCATTTGCTTGGTAAATATTCCTCCGTCCCTTTATTTTGAGCCCATGTGTGTCTTTGCACGTGAGATGGCTCTCCTGAATACAGTACACCTATAGGTCTTGACTCTTTATCCAATTTGCCAGTCTGTGTCTTTTAATTGGGGCATTTAGCCCCTTTACACTTAAGGTTAATATTGTTATGTGTGAATTTGATCCTGTCATTACAATGCTAGCTGGTCATTTTGCCTGTTAGTTGATGCAGTTTCTTCATAGTGTCGATGGTCTTTACAATTTGGTATGTTTTTGCAGTGGCCTGTACTGGTTTTTCCTTTCCATATTTAGTGCTTCCTTCAGGAGCTCTTGTAAGGCAGGCTTGGTGGCGACAAAATCTCTCAGCATTTCCTTGTCTGTAAAGGATTTTATTTCTTCTTCGCTTATGAAGCTTAGTTTGGCTGGATATGAAATTCTGGGTTGAAAATTTTTTTGTTTAATGTTGAATATTGGCCTCCACTCTGCTGGCTTGTAGGATTTCCGCAGAGAGATCCACTGTTAGTCTGATGGGCTTACCTTTGTGGGTAACCCGACCTTCCTCTCTGGCTGCCCTTAACATTTTTTCTTTCATTTCAACCTTGGTGAATCTGACGTTTATGTGTCTTGGGGTTGCTCTTCTCAAGGAGTATCTTTGTGGTTTTCTCTGTATTTCCTGAATTTGAATGTTGGTCTGTGTTGGTAGGTTGTGAAAGTTCTCCTGGATAATATCCTGCAGAGTGTTTTCCGACTTGGTTCCATTCTCCCCATCACTTTCAGGTACACTAGTCAAATGTAGATTTGGTCTTTCCACATAGTCCCATATTTCTTGAAGGCTTTGTTCATTCCTTTTCATTCTTTTTTCTCTAATCTTGTCTTCACCCTTTATTTCATTATGTTGATCTTCAATCTCTGTTATCCTTTTTTCTGCTTGATCGATTTGGCTATTGATACTTGTGTATGGTTCACGAAGTTCTCGTGCTGTGTTTTTCAGCTCCATCAGGTCATTTATGTTCTTCTTTAAACTGGTTGTTCCAGATAGCAAGTCGTCTAACCTTTTTTCAAGGTTCTTAGCTTCCTTGCATTGGGTTAGAACATGCTCCTTTAGCTTGGAGGAGTTTGTTATTACCCACCTTCTGAAGCCTACTTCTGTCAATTTGTCAAACTCATTCTTCGTCCACTTTTGTTCCCTTGCTGGCGAGGAATTGTGATCCTTTGGAGGAGAAGAGGAGTTCTGGTTTTTGCAATTTTCAGCCTTTATGCGCTGGTTTCTCCCCATCTTCGTGGATTTAGCTGTCTTTGGTCTTTGATGTTGGTGACCTTCGGATGGAGTCTTTGAGTGGACGTGCCATTCCTTTCTCTTTGTTAGTTTTCCTTCTAACAGTCAGGCCCCTTTGCTGCACGTCTGCTGGAGTTTGCTGGAGGTCCACTCCAGACCCTGTTTGCCTGGGTATCACCAGCTGAGGATGCAGAGCAGCAAAGATTGCTGCCTGTTGCTTCTTCTGGAAGCTTTGTCCCAGAGGGGCACCTGCCAGATGCCAGCCAGAGCTGTCTCGTATGAGATGTCTGTCGACCTCTGCTGGGAGATGTCTCCCATGAGGAGGCATGGGGGTCGGGGACTCACTTGAGGAGGCAGTCTGTGCCTTAGCAGAGCTCAAGCACTGTGCTGGGAGATCAGCTGCTCTCTTCAGAGCTGGCAGGCAGGAACGTTTAAGTCTGCTGAAGCTGCACCCACAGCCACCCCTTCCCCCAGGTGCTCTGTCCCAGGGAGATGGGAGTTTTATCTATAAGCCCCTGACTGGGGCTGCTGCCTTTCTTTCAGAAATGCCCTGCCCAGAGAGGAGGAATCTAGAGAGACAGTCTGGCTACAGTGGCTTTGCTGAGCTGCCGTTGGCTCCACCCAGTTTGAACTTCCCTGTGGCTTTGTTTACACTGTGAGGGGAAAACCGCCTATTCAAGCCTCAGTAATGGCAGACGCCCCTCCCCCTACCAACCTCAAGCGTCCCAGGTGGACTTCAGACTGCTATGCTGGCAGTGAGAATTTCAAGCCAGTGGATCTTACCTTGCTGGGCTCCATGGGGGTGGGATCTGCTGAGCTAGACCACTTGGCTCCCTGGCTGCTGTGCCCTTTCCAGTGTAGTGAATGGTTTTGTCTTGCTGGCATTCCAGGCGCCACTGGGGTATGAAAAAAAACTCCTGCAGCTAGCTCAGTGTCTGCCCAAATGGCCACCCAGTTTTGTACTTGAAACCCAGGTCCCTGGTGGTGTAGGCACCTGAGGGAATCTCCTGGTCTGCAGGTTGTGAATACCATGGGAAGAGTGTAGTATCTGGGCTGGAATGCACCGTTCCTCCCGGCACAGTCCCTCACACCTTCCCTTGGCTAGGGGAGGGAGTTCCCTGACCCTTTGTGCTTCCCAGGTGAGGTGACACCTCACCCTGCTTCAGCTCACCCTCTGTGGGCTGCCCTGACTGTCTAACCAAGTCCCAATGAGATGAGCTGGGTACCTCAGTTGGAAATGTAGAAATCACCTGCCTTCTCTGTTCATCTCGCTGGGAGCTGCAGACCAGAGCTGTTCCTATTCGGCCATCTTGCCAGCTCTCCTGCCTATGTACTCTTTTTGGTCTGATTTATTTCACTCGGCATATTTACTATGAGATTCTTCCATATTGTAGCATGCATCAATGGTTCATTTCTGTATTGTTCTATTTGGGCTTCTATAACAAAATACCATAAACTGGGTAGTTTAAAAACAGTATAGATTTGTTTCTTATAGTTCTGGAGGTTGGAAAGTCCAAGATCAAGGTGCTGGTAGATTTAATGCCTGATGATAACCCACTTTCTGGTTGATATGAGATGACTTTTCAGTGTGTCCTCACATGATGGAAGGGGCTAGATAGCTCACTGGGGTCTCTTTTAGAAAGGCAGTAACCCCATTCATGAGGGATCCACCTTCATGAACTAATCACCCTCAAAGGCTCTACCTTCTAATACCATCACCTTGGAGGTCAGGATTTCAACACATGAATTTAGGGGAACACTAACATTCAGACCATAGCAATTCCTTTTTTATTGCTGAGAAGTAATCCCATTGTATGACTGTACCACAGATATTTTTGCTTTTATTCTATTCAACTGTTGATGGACATTTGTATCTCTTTCTAGCTTTTGGTTATTACAAATAAGCCTGTTGTAGGCTGGAAGTGGAGGCTCATATGCTATAACTGCTATAACTAAATACTACAGACTGGGTAATTTATAATGAACAGAAATTTATCTGGTTCATTGTTCTGGAGTCTGGACAGCCCAAGATCAAGGGGCCTGCATCTGGTGAGGGCCTTCGTGCTGTGTCATAACATGATGGAAGGTATTACATGGTGAGAGAGGAAGAAAGGGACCTACTCATTTTTACAAAGAATCCATTCCTGCAATAATGAACCCACCCTCAATAATGGCATTATTCCATTCATGAAGGCAGAACCTTTATGACCTATTCACTTCTTAAAGTTTCACCCTCTCTACATCACGTTATTAGGGATTAAGTTTCCAATACACGGACTTTGGGGACACATTTAAACCATAGCATTGGTCCATAGTTTTCTTTTCTTATCAGTTTTCTGGCTGGTTTTGTTAATAATATAATGTTGGTCTTAGTAAGTGAGTTGAGGTATTCTCTCCACTTCAATTCTGAACAGTTTGTGTAGAATTGGTATTATTCTTTCCTTAACTATTTGGTAGAATTCACAAGAAGCCATCTGATCCTGGAGTTCTCTTTGTGGAAAGGTTTTTAACTACAAATTTCAATTTCTTTAATATATATAGGATTATTCAGATTATCTGTTTTTTCTTTAGTGAGCTCTTGTTGTACATGCTTTCCAGTAATTTGCCCATTTTATCAAAGTTTTCAAATTTTTTGACATAAATTGCTCATAATAGTCCATCATCCTTTTATATTTTCTAGAATCTCTAATGGTGCTACTTCTTCCATGCTTGATATTCATAATTTGTGTATTTTTTTTCTTGGCTAGCTTGGCTAAAAGTTTATCACTTTTGGGAAGCTAGTAAGGGATGATAAATACTTAATAGGTACAATGTACACTAATTAGGTGATAGTTACACTAAAAGACCACAATTCAACGCTACACAACATATGTATGTAACAAAACTGCACTTGTACCCCTTAAATTTATACAATACTTAAAAAAACTTTCCAAAAACCAGTTTTTGGTTTCATTGATTTTTCTTTATTGTTTATGTTTTCATTTTACTGATTTCTACTCTGATCTTTACTATTTGATTTCTTCTATTTGCTTTGGGCTTAATTTACACTTCTTTTTTCTAGTGTCTTAAGATAAAACTTGCAGTAATTTATTCGAGAACTTTTTTCTTTTCTAATATTGGCATTTTGTCCTTTAATGCCTCTGTAGAGGTACCCTATGTGTTTTAACATATTGTGTTTTAATTTACATTAAGTTATAAAGGCTTGTAATTTTACTTTTGTTTGACCTCTTAGATCTTTGGGTTATTTAGAAGTATGACAGTTTTCAGAGATTTGTGGATTTTACAGAGATCATTTTGTTATTGATTTCTAATTTAATTCCATTGTGGTCAGAGAATATATTTAATGTGACTTAAATCAGTTTACTGTTATTGAGACTTATCTTATGGCCTAAAATATGGTCTATCTTTCTAAATGTTCCCTGTATGCTTGGAACAAATGTATATTCTGCCACTGTGCAAACAGGCTGCAGAGAATGACCATATCAGTGAAGCTCTCAGTCCTCATGGCCTGCCCTGCTCTGGCAGAACCACCATGAGAATAGAGCTGGGAGGTGTTGGGAGCAGCCCCAGGCACCCCAGGCAAAAATGTCACAGATTCCTACTCTTCTTTTTAAAAATTCAGAATTTTTTAAGCATAAATATTTCTTACATTGTTGTATGTCTTTAATCTATACCATAGTGCTCAGATGGTTGTTTTTATCGGTTCTGTTCAGCTTCATAGTTTCTTTTTGGGAAGAGAATTTGCCAACCTCCTCACTCAGCCATAGCTGGAACTCAGTTGTGGGCTATGATATTTTAAGCAATTTGTGGAAAAGTTTTGAGGCAGTACTCTCTTAAAAAATTATTTTCTTGGCTGGGCACAGTGGCTCATGTCTCTAATCCCAGCACTTTGGGAAGTCAAGGCAGGTGGATCACCTGAGGTCAGGAGTTCAAGACCAGCCTGACCAACGTGGTGAAATCCCGTCTCTACTGAAAATACAAAAATTAGCCTGGTGTGGTGGCACACACCTGTAATCCCAGCTACTCAAGAGGTTGAGGCAGGAGAATCGCTTGAACCCGGAAGGCAGAGGTTGCAGTGAGCTGAGATCGTGCCATTGCACTCCAGCCTGGGCAACAAGACGAAAACGCCGTCTCAAAAGATAAAATAAAATAAAATAAAATAAAATAATTATTTTCTTCCTCCAAAAGGCAGGGTAGGCTCTTCTACTTTTGCCCCAACTGCTGAGAGAAAAAGTTATCTATCTATGCATAAAATGTAACTGCAATAGCCTGTTTTACAGTCTGTGTATTGGAAGAGATGTATCTCTTATACCAGAATTTTTATGTGTTTGCTAAGTAATAATTAGCATTTGAGCTACAGAGCTATTTAAAATACAAGGGGCGTAGTTTCTGCTCTATAGCCTTCCCTTTGAGTAGTTACTCACAGTACAACTGAGATGTCCATGGAGTTTTCTCTGAAGCAACTAAAGAGAACTGCTTTCTGTAGAATATCATGGATGGTGAACTAGGCTGTGATATAGCTAAGATCAGTGGATAACAAAGGACCAGAACAAGAGTAGAAGCAAATCTGGATATAACATTTCCTCCAATTACTTGTAGCTAAGCCATTTTCTTGCCCCCCAGCAAGTCTGGATTGGAGTTAATAGCATTTATACCACAGCA
This sequence comes from Homo sapiens, assembly GCF_000001405.40. Taxonomy (NCBI): domain Eukaryota; kingdom Metazoa; phylum Chordata; class Mammalia; order Primates; family Hominidae; genus Homo; species Homo sapiens. The sequence continues at coordinate 22,863,037 of NC_000023.11, read as the reverse complement.
ACATTTGGTAATTATTATATCTTATATATGTGTTTATCTTACATACGAATATGCTATCAAGGCTATTTGTGAGGTTACATGTTAAGTGGAAAATTTTTATCCAGTAGAGATGCAAATAAGTTATCCCACAGAAAAGATAACTCCGCAGCTTAGAGTTTATTGCCCTGTAGACAATTATCGGTTTTGTATTTAACCCAACAATCTTCTGCTAACATTCTTTATTGAATTTTCAACCAATAGCTATCTTCTCAAATGTTCTTTGAATCAGTCTTAACATTTTGCTGTTACCTTCATTAATTCGTTTTTGAATAAAATCTTTGACATACAAATTATAATTATAATTTTAAAAAATTATACCTTAGTAATGCTTATGTGTGTATAGGTAGAATAGAGAGAGTCAGAGGGAGAGAGAATGTTTAATGTTCAGTAAAATATGTATAATTATTTCCATATGGTAGGTTCCATTATGTTTTTCATTATAAGGCTCTGGGTTAAAACAAATCTTTCAGATACAGTTAAGGAGAGCCATCTGAACTGAATGGTCACTGTGTACAATGCCAGTTAAGATTATTGTTCAGTTTTGTGTCTAACTCCTTGCTACTCAGAGTTTGGTGCAAAGAGTAGAATGATTAGCATCACATGGAAGCTTGCTAAAATGTCAGAATCCTAGGCCCCACTCCATACCAATGGAATTGGAGAGTCTGCATTTTAACAGGAACCTTGGCTGATTTGTATACACATTAAAGTTTGCAAAACCCTAGTCTAGATGTCATGGAGTACGTGAACAGTTCCTCCTTATAAAACAAAAGAGGTTCACATTAGAATTTCCCAGGAGCAAGTTTAAAATGTAAATATTCACCTTCCCCCTTCCTCTTTTCCCTCCACTTCTGTTACACTGTTAGGATTGGATATTGCTGCATGTGAGAGAAACCAAATTACATGACTTGCCTTAATAGTTTACCTATTTTTTCCTCGCTGATCCAGAAGTTAAGAGATAAGCAGCCCAAGCAAAGTGTAGCTGCTCAACAAAGTAATTGTGGCTCAGGCTCCTATTTGCTTTCTAATCCTCCAGTCTTAAAGTTTGGTTCCTCATGATGGAAAGACGTTGGCATTGCCTTTAGCTATGATTCCCCATTTCAGGCAGGAAGAAGGGGACAGTGGTAAAGAGCAAACTAAATTTGTCTCTCTTTTTTTTTTGTTTTTCAGGAAAACTGTAGATTTTCCAGAAATCTACAATTTTCTTCTACTCTTGTTCTGGTCCTTTGTTATCCACTGATCCGTAGCTATATCACAGCCTAGTTCACCATCCATGATATTCTACAGAAATCTCTGGCCATGCAGTAGATTTTCACTTTTATCTAATTAGTTAGATGGGGTCACAGAGTCAAGTTCAGTTGTCTGGAGAGGTGAGCACTAATGGACACAGAGTGCTCTCAATAAATCCGTGTTTTCATTAGGGGAGAATCTGTTCTGGATAGGCAACTGGTGATTACAACCACCAAAAGAATATTCAAATCTGAAGGATGGGGTATTTCTGTGTAGTTTGAAAATTTTCCCCAGTTGATTCCGGTAAGTTCCCGTGTTGCCAAATTGATTATTGCTTGAATAATGGTGTCTGAACAGAGCTTACTCTTACCTTATGATCTGCCTATTTTACAAGACCATTCAGTACTAACCATTACTTTTATAATTATAAATAGATATGTTGGTACCTTTCTAATACTACAATTGTACTTCTCTTTTTAAATTCAGATTTTCATTCTCTGTCTCTCCAAAATGGCATTTTGACTGAGTTGTTGTTTTTGACATTGCTTCCTAAATTGCAAAAGTTTAAACCAACAAACAAAAATCATAATTTCCTTGTCAAGCTAAGATTGGTCTTTCATTAAACTGTCAGTATTTCAAAGAACAAATTTAAACCTTGAGTTCAAAAATTCGTTTGTAGAGTTTCTTAAAGTTTGGTTACTAAGCTTCTATATAGTAGTTTTTCTCTTGTTTGTTCTCTCCCTCTTTTCATACAAACAGACTAGACATAAGCTCATAAGGGTAAGAATCCAATTTGTTTGTTGTTTGTATTGGTATCACCAAGTCTAACACATACGTAGAGCTCAATAAATCTTTGAAGAATGAATGAATACCTCAAAATAGCCCGATTGCATTGGAGGGATCATTTTATATAGATATCATGTGGACATTATTGTCTGTCTAGCTATTGAGTAGATTTCTTCTTTGCTGAAATTTTGCAACTAACATCATTTACTCATTAGCTTTTCCTTTAAAATCAAATTTATATAGTTCTTATATAGTTTCCTGCTGGCTAGGAAAATTCCTTGAGGGCTAGACTCATAGTTTAGAAGTGTAGAATGGCTATCTTTGCTTCAGAGATGAACACAGCAGGAGGATAGAGCTACAGACCTTGTTAAAGTAATACTCGTGAACAATTTTTGCCTTGTTATCTGATTGTGAGGTCTTTTATGTTTTCTTTTCTGGAAGAAAATATTGTTCTGCAATTGAGAAAGCCAGAAGGCTAAAAATAACCTTTCCATTCTGCGTTTATGACTATGATATGCAGTCTCAAATATCAGAATACCTCCTGAATGCAAATAGTACTCTGGGAAAAATGACTAATGCTTTCTCAAATTGAATATAAAGAGAATTAAGGAAATAATATTTATGGTTGTTGTTTATATCTTAATCTCCAATGTTACTTTGTAATAAATAATATTTTCCACTCTAGGCTTTTTTTTTGAGACAGAGTCTCACTCTGACATCCAGGATGGAGTGTAGTGCCGTGATCTCGGCTCACTGCAACCTCCGCCTCCCGGGTTCAAGCGATTCTCTGCCTCAGCCTCCAAGTAGCTGGGATTACAGGTGTCCACCACCATGCCTGGCTTATTTTTTTGTATTTTTAGTAGAGACGGGGTTTCACCATGTTGGCCAGGCTGGTCTTAAACACCTGACCTTGTGATCCACCTGCCTCGGCCTCCAAAAGTTCGGGGATTTACAGGCATTAGCCACCTCACCCAGCCAGCTATTCTTTATTCACTGGAAAAGTTATCAAAAATTTGGAAATAGGTAAGAAAGATTACTAGCAGTTCTTTCAGTGCAGTTCTGTGCTTGACTTTCTATTGTCTGGGCTATTTAACATATTTAACATTTCTGGAGGGGCAGAGTTTAATTTGTAAATTTTTGTCCAGAAGAAATGCAAATCATTTCTGTTCCATAGAACAGATAATCCCATTGTAGAGTTGCCAGACTTAGCAACTAAAAAGTGCCTGCAGTATTTGGGACATACTTGTACTTAAAAAAGAAAACAACATTGTTCATCTGAAATTTACATTTAACTGAGTGTCCTATATTTTATCTGGCAACCCTACCCCAGAAGTTCCAGTTTATGGTCATGTAGGTCGTTGACCAGTTTTGTGTCTAATTCAGAAATCTCACTGTAACACTGCCTATTAATACCTAAATTCTCAAATGTTTTTGGACTTTTTTTTTATAATCTTAGTGTTTCCCTAATTAATTAATGAGTTTTATGAAATATGTGACACATATTTATTTTATGTATGCATGAGAGCTCTGACTTGGTCTTTTGGAAAATTATACTTTTACAGTTTTGGAGGTCATCTACTTAAATATCCACATGGCCGCACCTGATGGAGCCAAGTAAATTGCAATGCCGGGGAAGTGCACCTCAGGGACAGTTTCAGCCCAGTTAGATGTTTGCTTGGCTCTCAGAATAAATCTGAAGCAACAATGTAACTTAAACCTTGTTTATTTTCTATTTTTGTTTTTGTCTTATTTTTGTTTTTCCTATTGATTTTGTGTTTTTATTTCTGGTGAATGTATGGCCAAAAAGTTATTCTCCATTGGTGGCAGTAATAGTTGAGATTTTCTTTATACCACCTGACCCATGTGGCAATCGCTGTTGGAAGGATGGTACATATCTATGTTGTTGGATGAAAGACAACAGAAAATCTGAAGTGTTGGTCTTTATTGTTTGTTTGTCTGTTTGTCTACTTGTAAGCTCAAATCAGTTAAGAATTCCTTGCCATCTGAGAAGGAGAAAATCCCTTTGAGATTTGCACCAGTGAGATTTTGTGATTCTATGTTTATTTTTGACCTGCAGCTAAGGTTGTAGAACTATAGCTATAAGCTCTTCATGTATCTCTGTGTCTCTGTTCTTGAGAAAGGCCTTTACCTTTCATTATGTGAGTGTGAAATATTTTTCTACTTACAGAGGGTTTTAACGTATTACATTATTACATGTCTTAAAGAAGCTCTGTTCTGATTGGTTTTAAGGATATGTGCTTATGTAAATAGGATATTCCCAAAATTCACAGGAAATAAAGAAATTGAAATTCTAGTATTTTAAAAACTACTAGCTTAGAAATGTTTTTGAAATCCAAGTTTATATGATAAAGATTAGTATTTTGACACATTAGCCTAAATTAGTAATTTTGGTTTAAAATAAATGATAATTTATATCATTTCTTTGAATTTATCAGAAGGAGGCATAGGACAAGTGCACATTTTATATTTTTAATAAGATTTTGATTTACCATACCTCATGAACAGAATAGTTATTTTAAACTTTCGAAACTTCTAATATTGGTTTAATAATCAAATAAGCTCACGTTTTTTCTATATATTTAAAATTATTAAAAATATAAATTTGTGATCAGCTAAATTGATTCTCTGTTCTAACAAACTTTATACTAACAGCAATTATGTTATGTATTTTAGTAGCTTAAATAAAATTTTATACATCCTTAGTTAATTTAAAATCCTGGACTAATCTTAAATTGAGTTAATTTATGGATAATTATTAAACACCAATATAATTCTTAAGAATGATTGGATACTGTAGCATTGATTACTAAGTTTATATACTTTTATTCAGATATGTTTCCTTCTAATATGTTGTAGAGTAGCCTTATCTATGAGTCATGGTAAAAAAGGTGTTCCTTTTTGTCATTTTAACTAAGTGTAAAAGGGGTTTGAGTGGCTACAAAAAGTTGTGTTATTTGTATTTATGAGCTTTGCTACTCTGCCAGAATGCTTGTATATGACAGATAGTTTTCAAATATATGACCCCTTTTTAAATTTTCCTGTAAAAACACAAATTAGTCACTTTGTTTATATGTGGTTCAGACTATACAAGGAGCAATACTGACAGAGAAATGCAACCCCTTATTTGCAGTTGTAAATGAGTGAGGTTTTGTTCTGCAAGAAGAAAAGTGTTATTATCCTTAATTGATGTAGAATGTATATAGAAAGTTGAAAAAGTTTGTAAAAAGGGATTTTTAAATTGTCTTTGTTTGTAATAGTTTCAAATGCTGAGTCTGAAAAGAAGCAACAAAATGTGTTTCTATTTTGACAAAGTTGGCTCAGTTTTAATTGGTTTAATAATCAAATAACATATTAATTGAAACTAGAGCTTAGATTTCTCTCTGTAAAAATGATAAATTTGTCTTAGAGCTTCTACAAGGGGTAAGAAGATGTATGTATTCCTTTCCTTCCTGGTAATCTGCCCAGATAGCAGTTTCCATATCTCACCATAATTGAATTCTCTGCTTTTGTTGATTTGATTATATTTTCAATTTCTATTTTTGTGTGTGTGTGCAAAATAGCACTTCTAAGAGAAAGAGAAATAAATGAATAAAGGGGAGAAAAGAGGGGGAGGGAGGGAGGGAGGAAGGAAGGAAGGAAGGAAGGAAGGAAGGAAGGAAGGAAAAAAGGAAAAGAAAAACGGACAGGCAGGAAGGCTGGCTGGCTGGCTTACAGTATAGTCCCCTATCAGTGAGAACTGTCTTACCCCATGTAATTCGCAAGACCATTCAAGGCACATTGCTGGAATCAGAGGAATGGTTTGTGACTATGGAAACAATTATGATTTTTCTAAACAACAACAAAAAAATGTTCCTCACTTGTGAAAGAGCTATGGTTCTTTATAATCATGCTACTTTTCTCTATGTCTATTTTATTTTCTTTTGACTCTTTCATTAATAGGCATTATTTCTTAAGCATTCATGATTCTGTATTAATAAACTGACCAAATCTTTCTGAAATCTCTTTTAATTATGCCTTTCAAGAGCAAATCCTACATTAAAATATAAATAAAAATTTTAGATTATCTTTAATATCTGAAATTGTCTATGAGATTTCCCAAAAAGTCCCTAGAAAAGCAAAAAAAAAAAAAAAAAAAAAAAAAAAAAGCTATTTTACCATATCAGAAAGGGATGCCAGAAATAATTAAGGTGTTTTTTGACATATTTCTTAATTACTCAACACTATTGTAAAATTTTCATGGAAAGAATTATCAGATCAGAAGAGATTCTCAACCTTCTTAAGTTTGTATAGGTAAATTTTTATTGATATAAATATTTTAGAGATTGTAAACTTTATGGCAAGGCCCTGGAGGTTTGTCAGTGCTTTCACAGTTCATAATATATTATTATTTTTAAGGGACTCATTGATCAAACCCTTCAGAAATAGTTATTTCTCTATTTCCAATAGAGAAATCTACCTTTCTGTGTCTGTATACTACTGGCTACGGTGACTGTGATAAATTAACCACAACCATCCAGTTGTATTATCAGTTTTATCCTTCCACTTGATGCTTGCTGAAGGCTCTGCTATAAGCTACAGGTTAAAATTTGTGAAGAAAACAGTCTCAGGGCCGGCTGCGGTGGCTCACGCCTGTAATCCCAGCATTTTGGAAGGCTGAAGCGGGTGGATCACTTGAGGTCAGGAGTTTGAGACGAGCCTGGCCAACACGGTGAAACCCTGTTTCTATCAAAAATACAAAAATTAGCCGGCGTGGTGGCGCGTGTCTGTAATCCCAGCTATTTGGGAGGCTGAGGTAGGAGAATCACTTGAACCCAGGAGGCAGAGGTTGCAGTGAGCGGAGATCATGCCATTGCGCTCCAGCCTGGGTGACAGAGAAAGATTCTGTCTCAAAACAAACAAACAAACAACAAACAACAAAAACAAACAAAAAAAGAAAATAGTCTCAGAATCTTGAGGGAATGACTTTCCAATGTACCATGAACTATTGATACTTTAGGAAATAGACTTTTAGCTAAGATCTGTAGCTGGTTAAGCTGTCAGGCTGTACTATGACAGCTGGTTAAGCTGTCAGGCTGTACTATGGACTGTTAGGAATTTTAGGAATCTTTTCAGTCTGAAAGCAAACATGTTTCATGAAAGCAGAGTGCTGGTCAACAGAACAATTAATTACCTGGGACTAAATAAACTGATGAAGAAAATATTATTGTGGTTATTTATTTGGAGTGGTGTTGATATAAATTTTGAATTTTCTTTTTTATAGGTAGCCCTTTCTTTTTTTCTTAAGCTATTCTTAACTCTCAATTTACTAGATTGTGATTTTGTAGACTGAAAACATTTTTGGTGGTATCTGACTCTCATTGAACCCTCTCCCAATTTAAATGAATTTTGAATACTATTAAGAGGTTGGAGCTGTGATTTTTCATTTAACTATGTGGCTAAATTTTAGGCAGGATTGATTGAATTTACAGCATGCAAAAACAAGATCATTTGCTCTATTACATTTCTTCCCACCTCACCCCTCCTTTCTAATTTGTTTTTAGTTAAATTTTTACTTTTTATATAGTTGGGGCTTATAATAACAATTCGATTTTGTTCTGTGCCATTAATTTTGGCATATACTCAGTGTTATTCTATACTTACCTAAATTTAATGCTCATCACCTGGGCTTTTGCCATGGCCATTACTGAGTACTTTGTTCTGATTAATCTCTTAATTATCTGGATTTTGTTGTCAACTAGTTCTTTCAAGAAGGGCTTATAATACTGTTTTCCCTAGATCTTTCCTATTTGAAAATTAAGGTTTGTTCCCTATATATTTTTAAAACATCATAACTTATTATAATGTTCTCGGGATATAATTTCATTCACTAGAAATATGTAGCTATTGTCCTCATTGTTTTTTGGCATTAAAGACTGTTGTGGAGAAATCTGAGAATAGCTTGTTTTCTTCCCTGTAGATGACTTGCTTTTGATGGATATTTGGGGGGAATTCTTTATTTATAGTTGAAGTTCAATAATTTTACTAGGGTGCTATGCTTTGAATATGGTTTGTCCTCGCCACATCTCATATTGAGCTTGGTCTCCAATGTAACCGTGTTGAGAACTGATGAGACCTTTAAGAGGCATTTGGGTCATGAAAGGTCACTCTTGAGAATGAGTTCGTTCTCCCTCTCAGGGGAATGGATTCATTCCCACAAGGACAAGTTGTTATGAAGTGAAATTGCCTCTCATGTTTTGCCCTCTTTGTGTGCACACAATTCTCCGTCTGTTTCTTTGCCATGTTTTGACATTGCAAGAGGCCCTCACCAGAAGTCAAGCAAATTCTGGCACAATGCTTCTTGGACTTCCCAGCCTCCAGAATCATGAGCCATATAAACCTATTTTCTTTATAAATTACCCAGTTTTAGGTATTCTGTTACAGCAACAGAAAATGGACTAAGATACAGGGTAAGATCATCTGGTATTTTCCTAGAGCATTTATTACCCCTTCAATCTACAGATTCAATTGTTTCTATAATTAAGAGAAATTTTATTATATTAACAAATAATCATATCTACCCCATTTGTTGAGTTTTATTGTATTTTTAAAAATAGATTCTATTTTAGGCTAGTTTTAGGTTAATTGCAAAATTGGGCAAAGAGTACAGAGAGTACCTGTAAACCCCTCTCCTCCCAATACATAGAGCCTCCCCCACTATCAACATCCCTCATCAGAGTGGTATATATAACTGATGAACCCCACTTTGGCACATCATTATCTTTCAAAGTCCATTAGTGTTCACTCTTGGTGTTGTACATTATATTGATTTTGACAAATGTGTAATGACATGTATGCATCACTGTAATATTATACAGAATAATTTCACTGCCCTAAAAATCCTGTGCCCTGCTTATTCATCCCTCCCTCTTCCCTAACTCCTAGAAATCACTGATCTTTTTACTGTCTCCACAGTTTTGCCTTTCTGTGATGTCATATAGCGGGAATCATACACTACACAGCCTTTTCAGATTGGCTTCTTTCACTCCATAATATGCATTTCAGTTTCCTCCATTTCTTTGCATGGCTTGATAGCTCATTTCTTTTTAGAGCTTAATAATATGCCATTATCTGGATTGTCGTAGTTTAATTATCCTTTCACCTACTGAAGGTCATCTTGGTTGCTTCCAAGTTTTCCCATTCATTTTTAAAAGAGCTGTATAATTTCAATACTTAATTTTTTTCTCCATGATTATCTCAACATATCCCTTCGTGGTGGATGTTGGTAATTCAACTTTTATCCATCTTTCTTTAATTTTTTTTGGTATTTCTGATTTCTATTAATTATGAAATTATGTTCTCTTGGTTTTTAATTTAGTTCCTTAGATCTGCTATCTCTATTTTCATATAATTCTACTTTTTATGATCTTAAGTTTATGTTTTTGCTTTCATGAATCCAGGTCCTTATTAAGTTGTTTTATAATGTAAAATACTTGTGGGGATTTTCTTTCTGTTTTATTGTCTTATGTTTTCTTTAAGAGTGGATTTTTCATCTGTCGTTACTTTTTTTGGTCTTTCTTTTTTGGTATTGTTGTAATATGTTTACATATCTGGAATTTTTGTGTGTTTTTAATTTATCTTGCCCATATGTTAGCATGCAGTGAACACTTCTATTTTCTCTTTGCCTGACTATCCTCGACTTTTTTCATAACATCTGAGCATAAGTTTTGGGACTAGGTATTGAAAGTGTGTGGTATCCAGGATGGCAGGAAAATTCCACTGGGGCTTTTTGCAGGCTCTGTTAGAACATGTGGTTTGTTTCTGTTTCTTGAGAAAACCTTAAATTTCTTGAGTCAGGGTTAATTCTCTCCAGTCAGGATGTGTCCTGTTTCTATGGAGGGATATAGTCTGGCTTTAAATCATTTCCCCAATTGTGTAGATAGTAGAGCCTTTAGTTCTCTTAGAAAGAATTTTTCATTTTATTTTACATTTTCTGCATTTCACCACTTATCCCAAGTCAGAAGAGGAATAAGATAGAAACATTGACTAAGCTTTTTTCTATCCTAAATTATGGATATTGTTAGAGTTCCTATGATTTTGCCAATTCATCAGTCTGGCTCATGATTAGGTCTATAGTCAGGAAACTTTCAGCACCTCTCTGACAGTTACTGCCTTTTTCCTTAGGGCATCAGTTTTTGAAGTTTAGTTCTTTGAGTCATGTTCTGTTATATGTTTGATTGCAAATAATAAGTATTATCTTCTGCTGCTGTTATTATTTTCATTAATTTTATTAATGTTAGAGGGGAATACTTTTGATTTAGTTTCATTCCACTCTCCTTATCCAGTTGAACTTCTTCAAACTAAATTTAAGTCATTGAGTATTATATAACAAATCTGATCCTCCTTTATTTATTAGCTGTGTTACTTTGGGCATCTCAACCTCTCTGGTCTAAATTTCTTCACCTTTGCGTGATACGATATTTATCTCATGGACCTGTAGACAGGCTTAGTTCATATAATATATATAAACACCTAACTTCAATTAGGAGACTACTGGAATAGTCTAGGTAAGAGATGATGCTGGTTTTAATGAGATTAGTAGTATCATAGAAGAGAAGAAGTGGTCAGAGATAAGACATTTTTAGAGACAGACATGACGGGACTTGAGTCAGGTTGTGAAATCTAACAAACTTGGGTGTAAATCCTGACTTTACCATTTTTATGACTATGTGCAACTACATTAATAGCTCTAAGTCTCAAATTCATCAAAGATGGAAGGTAAAATTGTTATGGAGATTGAGAGAATGTGAAGCTCCTAGGATAGAGTCTGACAGAACATAAATACTTGGTGAATTTTAGCTACTATTAGCAATAATTGCATTAGCATTAATATTACAATTGGTAATAGTATTTGTATTTAATTCAGAGAGGTGAAGAAAGGAAAGAGATCCTGAAAGACTCTTAGGCTTTTTGACATTTGGGTGAATAGTGGTGTCATTCATGGAAATTTGGATAACTGATAAAACATTTTTGAGGGGGAGGGAGTCAAATCATGAGTTACTCCAAGTTTTCCATGTATGACAATATCTAAAATCACCTTGACAGTCTGGTTGCATTTTTCCTGAAAATTCCATTTTGCCATTTTCCCATTTAAAGTGTGTTATTCAGAAGTGGAGACAATGTTGATACAGACACCATGTTTATTAATAGAATTTAAAGTATCATTATCTCTTTGGAAGCCATTTCACACTCTTGCTTTATACTGCCCCAGGAAGATCCTACATCCCTGATGAAAAATTCATGCTGAAGATTTCAATGGTCTTGACCCTTGCAATGTCTTATGATAAACAGAGGAAAATACACTTTCCAGGTCAAAGAGCATAATGGCGTAAGTTCAGATTAGACATTGCAGTAACGTTCATATGACGTCTAAGAGTTGAATACTTGCATGTCCGTTATTTTAAGAAGATAAAAAATAATGAATTGCATTTAAATGAAGAATAAAATAATCTCTGTAACTCCCCCTAGGGCTGGTTGTAGTGAAACATGCGTAAATAACAGATGTGGCATGATCAGCCAAGTATAAGGTTTATTAAAATACCATTCATTAACAGTTTCATTCATTAATTGAGAACTTATCTTTAGAACCTACCATGTGACAGACACTTGAGAAACGTCAATGAACTAAAAGTTTACTGTGCAACTTGTATGTCCTCTTTGGACAATAGCATATTGAAGGTAACAATTAATGAAGGAATTTAGTTTGAATATCTGCCTTGAACAACCCTTAGTCATATTCTTTTGGTGCAGGACCAGGTAAAGACAACAGAGAGGGTTAATTAAAAATGAGAATGTCCATAATATGGAATGAGAATGAGACAGTCCATGAAACAGTGACTTAAATAGTGTGTGTATGTATGCATGTGTGTATGTCTAATGAATATAACCATATGATTATATTAAAATATAATACAAACCACAGACAGCATACCTTTTGGTTCTGGTATTCCCTTTAAATCAATCCCACCAAGCTCTTGGTAAAATCCTTAATGAAGTAGTTGAAGGGAAATGTCTTCGATCTAGTGCTGTACCGATTCTCTTCTCTTTGCCATTCTGGTATCCATACTGGTCTGCATCAGATTGCTACTTCCTTTTATCAGGTGTTTGTACTAACTGCAAAACTTCTCAATATCCAAATCTAATTTGTTCTCAAAGCTTATTGTTTAACATACATCTTCCACTGATTTTCTGTAGCTCCAGCTACTGCTGCTCTGAATTTCCTAATCCACGGATCCTTCATCCACTGCTGGATCTTCCATTGTGTCCTTGACGGTACATCTATTGTTTGTTACCCCAGGAAGGGCTCTTTCCTCTCTATATTTCTTGTCTGCTGCTTGTTCTCTTTTTCAGTTCTTTACATGTTCTCATCTGGGCTGTAGTAGGTGGGAAGGGTTATGGCCTGCCCTCAATTTGACAAAAATAAAGCATCCTGTAAGTTGAATAATGTATTTTTAAAAAGTCTTCCCCTCCTATTTATTGCTCACTCTTTGTGCCAAATCTCCTCCACCAGACCACCTCCCGTGACTGACCAAGTTCCTTTTTCTCTTGTCCTACTTTCTCGCTGACATACATGAATATATATTAACTTGCCTGTCAATATAGTGATATTTCTTTTAAAGTTTTTAAAATCCATTTTGATCAGTCATACACTGTTCCTAGAACCTTTTTACAATTATCTTCATCTAATGCAGAGTTTATCTTCTATTAACTCCTGTAAATCACCTTCTTAATCTTTGTTCATGGCAGCTGGCAGCTTTGTACAGAAATTCCTTACGTTACAGTAAATGAGGAGGCTGAGAGGAAGTGGCAGGTCCTTTTAATGCCAAGGTTTTCTTAGTGTCTTGTATACTTGGGCAGAATTTTTGTTTTCACAGTAAATACAGTAAACACAGATAATCTAGGTAAAATACCTCTTATATTTGAGACCTTTTAAGTTTTTTCTAAAGGTATCTGTTATCTAACTTAACAATTATATTAGACCAATATTTTGTATATTTAATTGACTTAAAAGAATTGATTCTTGCATTTCAAAAATGAGTTTGATGGTAACAGTTATTTAGAAATTATGCTCAAGTGTATCACCTGGACCCAAATATATTCATTTGAGACAGGGGCTTTCAATTTTAGTAGTTTAATAGCCGAACACTGTATTTAAACAAATCTCATTTGCAAAACTCTTAAAATTCATTTCCCTGAATCAGATCTGCAAGCTCTCCAAATTTACTCTTCACAATTCTACCAGAAATATATTCTCAACTGTGAATCTGAATAAACTTAATCCTGTTTACACCTTTTGATGTGTTTTCTCCATCTTCAGGGTAAAGATGAAAACCTTTAAATATGGACCTCAACGACTTCCATGATGTGGCCTCAGCCTACATCTTCCAGTATCAACTTTAGCCACATATCCCCAAACTCACACTCTAAAGTCCAGTCATATCATTATGCTATTTCTCCTCCTCTCCTTATCTCATCTGCTTGTCAAGAATCTTTCGTTATCAACAAACTAGAACTTGGTTAGTCATACTTTTTTAAAAAAATAATGAAATTGGTATGGGTTGGTAAATATTCTCAAACACTAAGATACTGAAGAAAATCTAGTGTATTGGTGGTCCTATGATTTTTCTTTTCATGATCAACAAATGCTCAGGCTTGAAAGCAAGTCTAATGTTATATTCCAAAGAGCAGGTACCATCATTATTCTTGGAAAGATTGGTGTGGAGATCAAAGTCAAGGCATGGATCCATATTCTCTTGCTAGTGTGAAGCTCAGTGACTGCTTAAAACTCTAGGATATCATGTTTTAAATTTTTCAAAAATTGAACGATTCTCACAGAATTAACATTTTCAAGTGAAACCATTCCGTGCCTCATCACTGCATACCCACACCTCCAGCTTGACAATACAGCTAATCAGTAGGATTGCCTGAGTATCTATAGCTTAGTTCATTACACTTTTTCTCTCTCTTAATCTAGTTTAGACAAATATTGTCAGGATTCAAACATTAAAATCCATAATTTCTTCAACAGTAAAATGGAAAATGATACACATGTGTTTCAATTCTGTTCATCTAGTATTCCACCTCTGACATTATATTTTCTTTTAAATTGGAATATCCTTTTCCTACCACGTCACCATTCTCTCCCACTAAGAAATGTAAGATTTTCCTCTTTGTGAATCTCTTCATGGATTTCCATTGCTAATTCTGCACTCATCCAATCAAAGTTCAAACAAAAAGTGTGTGATAGATGAACAGAGTAGAGATCAGAGAGAGAACTTCATGTCAAAGTTATGTTTTTTCAACTAGAGTAATAAAAATAGTTATAATTCATCCAGGAACACATCACTTGGGATCAGAAAGAAAGAGACTTCTTTCACATTTGATGCTGGAGAATATTTTTAGGTAGAACTGGTATATTTAAAATACCAAAGTACCCAGTGTTTCCCAGATTTTGTTTTTTTACCAGAAAAGACTCATAAATACTTCCTTTTCTTATAACAAGACATATGATTTACCATTGATTTTTTAGTGGTATGATTTTTATGTTGGATGACCAGAAATAGTCTGTCTAATAATTCTGAGATCCTAAGAGCAAGTATGGGCTAGTGCTTGAGAGCCCAGACTCTAGCTTAATTCCCAGCTTTGCAATTTCGTAGCTCTGTGGGAGAATCACCTAAACTCTCCATACTTCAGTTTCATCAACTGTAAAATGGAAATAATAGTGACATATACTTCAAAGGTTGTAATAGGTTTAAACTAGTTAAAATACATCAAATGCGTAGAAGAGTAGCTGATACATAGCACCATGTAAATATTTGATATTATTATTGTTGTCTTCTCTTTGATTGATTCCCTATCTTAGCTCGTTTGTTTCCCACTCACACAATGAAAGAGTTTAAAGTAGCCCTTTGTAGACCAGAACTTTAAAAATAAAAAGATTTTTTCTTTCTTTTCAGTAGTTTAGGATAATGAAGTTCACATCCCAGATTAAACCTTTGGAAAGTAACTGTAGTATAATGCAGTCAGTGTAGAGCCAGGATTTGTGTTATCCAATAGAGTATCTGCTAGCCAAATGTGGTTATTTAAGTTTAAACTCATCAAAATTAAAAGGTTAGTTCCTTGGTTGCATGAGTCCCACTAACCACATTTCAACTGCTCGATAGCCACATATGGCAAGTGGTTACCACACTGGGCAGTACAGATGCAGAATATTTCCATCAACACAGAAAGTTATTTTTGACAGCACTAATGATCAAAATCTGATGGACTACTTTGGGTTCTTTCCTCTCATACAACAAACAGTGCCACTCATTTCTATCTACCTTATCACATCTAGTCAAGGAGCATCTTTCGTTGTTCTGACCTTCCTCCCCTGCACTTCTTCATTTCAATTCACAACATATTAGTCATTTAGGAATTACTCACATGATAAAGACATCTGTTTGCTGAACATAAGCAAGATACCTTCTTTTTGAATTGGACTCTCTTAACCCCTCTTCCAAGCAAGGAAGGGGCCCTGATACTTCTTATAATATTGCCTAGATAGTCAAGGCGTTAGATTTTCTATTTTCTAAAAAATAGAGAATTATGATATAAATACTTGAATTCAATTTTTGCATTGAAAATAAAGGGCAATTTTTGTTCAGGTTTGGGCTAATTAGAATTATTTTTTAAATTATGCTATTTATTGTCTTTCCATTTTTTTTTCCTCTGAGACAGAGTCTTGCTCTGTCATCCAGGCTGGAGTGCAGTGGAGCTATCTCGGCTCACTGCAACCTCCACTTCCTGGGTTCAAGCAATTCTCCTGCCTCAGCCTCCTGAGTAGCTGGGATTACAGGTGCCCGCCACCACACCTGGCTGATTTTTGTATTTTTAGTAGAGCCGGGGTTTCGCCATGTTGGCCAGGCTGGTCTCGAACTCCTGACCTCATGATCCGCCCTCCTCGGCCTCCCAAAATGCTGGGATTACAGATGTGAGCCACCATGCCTGGCCTATTGTCTTTAAAGCCTCTCCCATCTTCATCGCCACATAGTTCTCTAGAAATTTGCGATTAAGTCTTTATATATATTCTACAGGTATTATCAATCCTATCTTAATCTTTTTCCAGTTTCAAAATAAGCCTGAAGTAAAAGGAAACAGGAGGTTATTCTAGTTTGGATTTCATGAAAAGCAGACTGTGAGACAGAGATTTGTATACAAGTAGTTTATTTGGAAAGTGATTCCGGGAGGTACTATGAGGGAATGAGAAACTGTGACAGGGAAGAGAATAAAGACAATACTGGGAATGCTAATGAGTAGTTTTCTATGGGGAACTGGGGCTCAGTCCTGCTGGGGAGCCATCAAGAGACTGTGGACTACAACTCGGAGTTGTCCCACAGAGAGGTGAGAAGTAGAAATCTAGGGTATTTATGAAATCCATCCTCCTGCCCCTTAATTGTTGAGAGTAATTCTTGGGGTATTACCCTCTCTACATTTTTTGCCTTTCCCACCAGTGGATTAATCAGAATTCTGAGGCAGGAGAAAGCCCTGGGCAGAGACATATAAGAAGCTGAGTATGGAAACTGTCTCTGGTGTAGGCCACAGGTTATGAGTGGGGTGCCAATACCATCTGCTACAGCTGACTACTACACATAGTTTGAGTGGCAATCTAATATATATTGAAATGGCAACATAGGAATATCTTTCAAAATCTTTTCAACAGGTTATATCCTTTTCACCTTACAATTATATTTCTAGAAATTTATCTTAAGGAAGTAGAGATATGCAAAATGCTAGCTTGCAGTATTATTTATAATTGTAGAAAATAGAGAGCAACCTAATTCCAAAAATATGTTATTGGTTAAATAAGTTTCATGTATTGTTATAATGTAATATAATGCAGCCAATAGAAAACATAATTGTGAATAATTAAGGGCCTATGTAATATATATAACATATGTAGAATATTCGTGATGTATTAATAAGCATAAAACAGTTGTCAAAGAGTATATTCAGTATATGCCCAATTAAACACACACACACACACACACACAGAGGCAATGAAAAATGGCTGAAATATTATATAAAATAATTAACAGTACTTGTCACTAGGTTTTAGGATTAGAGGTAATTTAATTTTTTATTGATGCTTTTCTAAATGTTCTGCAATAAATGTTATTTTTATAACCAGAAAAATCATTAGGTGCAATTTTAAAACAAAATTAACCTTTTTGAATATCGACATTTTCAAACCTGTAAACCCATTGCTTCTTTATGTGTAATTGCAAGTTAGATTCTAAATCTAGCAATTACACCAAGAGCATCTCACATTTCTTTTCCTCAGACAGAGTAGAAATATGTATAATCTTTGGGAGGACTTGATTGCAAACATGTATGTGCTTGGAATGCAAGAAGACAGATTGTAGCTAAAGTTATTTTCTCTGCCTAACTGGAATGATGTTGTGATTTAGCCTGTAGGATTCCCCTGAAAATGGATTTTTGAAGGCAGATAAACTGTGTCCCTGCATAAGATAGGCTTCTGACATATATGAAAAACAAGTTGGTTATTGACCTGTTTGTATGCCGCATACGCTATTTCTTATGGTAACATCATCTCAGTACTGCAAACACTATAGACACTAATAAATTATTAAGAATGACTCTGAAGAAAGCTAGAGTGGTGAAGTTTGTGGAATCTGACCTGAAGTATATAGAGAGACAGTTTCATAGCCACAGCCTAGCTCCCTAACTTCATAGTCCTATAATATACATATGAAAAGAGTGAACCAATCCAAGTCCATCACCTAACACATGCCCTTCCCATTGCTGACGGCAAAACAGCTAAAAGAAAATGGATTAGTCGTTTGTTATTATCATCATTGCTTTATAATTAAAAAGAAAATGAATTTTGAAATACTACTCTAGGTGCTAAATGAACTACCAGGTTTGTCGTGTTAATTGGAGAAATATTGACATAATTGTGTTTGACATTTCATCTGTGTATGAAGTGTTTGAACATATAAACTCAGTTTTTAGATATGTACACAAACAGAGCCAATAGATATAAGCTTCAATGACCTAGTAGTTAGTAACTCAACTTCTCAGAATCTGGTCTGAAGAAATGGCCAGAAATGTTAGCAAGAGACTTATGCACAAATATTTTATTCATATAAGTGTTCTTACCAATGTAAATTTCATAACAACCTAAATAATCAATAATCACAAAATACTTTAAATGACATCATATATGCTATATTTTTCATTTTTTATTGTATACGTACTTTCAATAATTTTGTGCCTGAAACAAATTTTGAATGCATTTTGACTGTGACCCATCACGTGAGGTTAGGTGTGGAATTTTCCACTTGTGGCATCATATTGGCACTCCAAAAGTTTCAGATTTTGGAGCATTTTGGATTTTGGATTTTTGGAAAAGGAATGTTCAACCTGTATGAGATCTGGGTTTTGGCTGTTACGCCCAGTGAAAATTGAGGTTACTTTTTCGCATCGTCTCTGCCTATTGTGGTTGTGGCTAAGTCCTAAAGTTTCCTTTGATTTCCCTTAAAGGGTTCTTGAGTAAATTCAGCTTTTCCTGGCACCATGCCCACCAAGGAAAAAATTGCTCCAGTTGATCTTTATTGAAGGACTTTTGGCAGCAGTTTCCTGAGTGCACTAGGACCCTTTGGGCTACTACTTACAGAAATCCGCTTGTGCTAGTTTGAACATAAAAGGATGATTTTTGGTTTTTTGATAAAGGGATGTCTCATAAGACCCAAGAATAAGTGTGCATCTGGGCCTCAGACACCAATGGGATACAAGCTGTAAGTATTTTTCTCTTTTGCTGTAGAATGACTTTATCTGCTTCCTAGTTTACAGGGCTGGGTTAACATTTCTTACGTATAAGAGATAGCCAGAGTGAAATTGGAATTTCTTGGCCACAATTACAGATTTCCAATGGTAGCATCTGGAGCTAGATCAGCGAGCTCTGCCAGGGGCTGTGTGTTAGTTTTCTAAGACTGCTGTAACAAATGACCATACACTTGGTGGCTTAAGACAAGAAAAATTTATTGCTTCACAATTCTGGAGACCAGGAGTCCACAAAGTTGTCAGCAGGGTTTGTTCCTTATGAAGGCTCTGTTGGACAATCTGTTCTGTGTGTCTCTAGTACCTTCTGCTGGCTGCTAGCAACCCTTAGAATTCCTTGACTTGTGGCTGTATAACAGCCAATTCTCCTTTTCTCCCTGGGCACCTTCTCTCTGTGTCTCTGTGTCTCAAATACAGTATCCCTGTACTTTCTCTGGTAAATATACTAATTGTTGGTGTTAAGATCCACCTAGGATGATCTCATCCCAAGATCCTTAATTATATCTTCAAAGATTCTAATTCCAAGTAAGTTCATATTCACAAATATTGCAGGTTGGAACTTCCATGCATTTTTTTGAGGGGGACACGATTTCACATTCTATGAGCTGTGTCTTCATTGTGTGTACAGATGTGTACTGGGATCCCTTATACAGTAACCATATTAGTGGAGAAGGAGTGGTAATTCCCAAAACAGAGAGGAGACTGGGAAGCTATTCCCAAAGAGTTCTCTGCACTAGCACTGAATTTGGAGGAGACCCATGACCTTGGAAACAGGTATATCTCAGCCAGTTCAGCTCTAGCTTTGAGACATAATTGTGCTTCATATAAGTGACTGATATTAGATCTATGTTCCTCTGAAAGGGATAGAGGAAGGAGAGACTGAGTGGATGGAGAGTCAGTGTCAAAGATGACATAATTGTTTCACTGTGATGGAGGGTTGCTGCCATGGCCTCTCCCAAGGAATATGGGATATTTTCTTAGACTATAAATTATCTTTCCAAACAGCAATAGTAATAGAAACAACCACTGCCTTGGTTTCCAGGGAAAAGGGTGGTTAAAGAAGGAAAGTAGCCTTTTTGTGCGATGTGCCCAGCCTTGTGCCTTAGAGCTTTATCTAAAATTCCTCACTTAATCCTCAGAACAACCTTGGGGAGTGAGAGGAGACTTTTTCCTAGGTGGAATTGTCTTCCCTCAGGAGGACATAATATCGTATTGTTTTCATTTTTGGTGGTGTTAGTAGCTGTTGATGCTCAATGACTAGTTTCATTAATTTTTTTTTAGGGTTTTCAAAATGGAGATATTCTATCATTTTTTTCTTCACATACTACTTGAAATACTGCTATAAAGATAACTTTCTCCATATCTACTATTTGTTTACCTAGTCGTACAATTTGTATAGGAAAGGCAGGATATGTATATAATTATCTCCTTTATTTGCTAAATTCCAAAATAATGACTTGTTATTTATTTAACATCCTTTCACTAGTAACCAGTTGCATTTTATTTTTTAATAATATAAAAAGTCAATAGATGTAAATATACTTGATGTATCTCAGTCTTCTCCCTTTTTCAATTGATACAGAATATTTTGCATATTTATGAGATGCATGTAATATTTTGTTACATGCATAGAATGTCTAATAATCAAGCCAGGGTATTTCAGGTGTCCATCACCTTGAGTACTTATTTATATGTGTTGGGAACATTTCAAGTTCTCTCTTCTAGCTACCTTGAAATATACAATACAGTATTGCTAACTATAGTCACCGTACTCTGCTTTCAAAAATTAGATCTTAAACATTCTATCTAACTGCATCGTTGTACCCATTGACCTCTTTGCATCCCTCTTCCTGCCAACACACCTTTCCCAGCCTCTGGTAACTATCATGAGATTGACTTTTAGCTCCTACATGTGAGTGAGAACATACAAAGTTAGTCTTTCTGTGTCTGGCTTACTTCACTTAGCAGAATGACCTTTAGTTCCATCCGTGTTGTTGCAAATGACATTATTTTATTCTTTTTGTGGCCTGATAGTATTCCATTGTGTATACATAACACATTTTCTTTATCCATTACTCTTTCCATGGACACTTGGGTTGATTCCATATCTTTGCTCTTGTGAATAGTGCTGCAATAAACATGTGAGTCCAGGGATCCCTTTTATATACTGATTACTTTTCCTTTGGATACATACCCAGTAGTGGGATTGCAAGAGTGTATGGTAGTTATATTTCTAGTTGTCTTTGAGAAGTCTCTATACTGTTTTTCATAATGGCTGTACTAATTTACTTTCCCACTAACATTGAGTTCTCTCTTCTCTGCATCTTGCCAACATCTGTTTTCTTTTTTTGTCTTTTTAATAATAACCATTCTGACTGGGGTAAGATGATATCACATTGTGGTTTTGATTTGCATTTTTCTGATAATTAGTGATGTTGACCATTTTTTTCATGTGCCTGTTGGCCATTGGTATGACTTCTTTAAAGAAGTGTCTATTCATATCCATTGCCTGCTTTTCAATGAGATTTTTTTTTTCTTATTGAGTTGAGTTCATTGTATATTCTGGATATTAGCCCCCTATTGGATGAATAATTTGTACATATGTTCTCCCATTCAACAGGTTGTCTCTTCACTGTGTTGATGGTTTCTTTTGCTATGTAGAAGCTTTTTAGTTTAATATAATCCCATTTGTCTCTTTTTGTTTTTGTTGTCCGTGATTTTCAGGTCTCGACATAAAATATTTGCCTAGACCAGTGTCCTGAAATATATTCCTTGTTTTCTTCTAGTGGTTTTACAGTTTCATGTCTTATGTTTAAATTTTTTATACACCTTGAGTTGATTTCTATATGTTGTGAGAGATAGGGATTCAGTTTCATTCTTCTCCATATGGATGTCCAATTTTCTCAGCATCATTTGTTGAAAAGCCTGTCCTTTCCCCAAAGTATGTTCTTGGTTTCTTTGTCAAAATCAGTTGGCTGTAAATATGTGGATTTCTTTCTGGATTCTCTTTTCTTTTCCATTGGTCTATGGTCTGTCTTTTTTTTAAAACAATACCATGTTGTTTTGGTTACTATAGCCTTGTAATGTATTTTGATGTCAAGGAGTGTGATGCCTCTAGCTCTGTTCTGTTTGCTCTGGATTGCTTTGGCTATCTGGACTCTTTTTTGGTTTCATACACATTTTAGGATTGTTCTATTTTTCAAAAATGATGTTGGTATTTTGATAGGGATTACATTAAATTTGTAGATTGTTTTGGGCAATATGGCCATTTGAAAGATATTAATAATTCTGATCCATGAGCATGGGATGTCTTTCTGTTTGCGTCTTCTTCAATTTCTTTCATCAGTGTTTTGTTGTTTTCTTTGTAGAATTCTTTAACTTTCATGGTCAAACTTACTCCTGATTATCTTTTTTGTTGCTATTGTAAATGGGGTTGCCTTCTTGATTTCTTTCTCAGCTAGTTTATTATTGGTGTATAGAAGCATGACTGATCTTTGTATGATGATTTTTTATTCTACAACTTTACTGAATCTATTCATCAGATTTAAGAGTTTTTTGTTGGAGTCTTTAGGTTTTCCTAGATATAAGATCATATCATCAGGAAGAAGGGACAATTTGCCTTCTTTTCCAATTTGGATGCCTTTGATTCCCTTCTCTAGACTAATTGCTCTGGCTAAGACTTTCAGTACTATGTTCAATAGGAGTAGTGGAAATGTGCATCCTTCTCTTGTTTCAGTTCTTAGGGGAAAGGCTTTCAGCTTTTTCTCATTAAATATGATGTTAAGTTGGGCTTGTCATATGTGACCTTTATTCCTTTATTATGTTAAAGTATGTTCCTTCTATGCCTAGTTTTTTGCGTTTTTATGATGAAGGAATGTTGAATTTTGTCAAATGCTTTTTATTAGTCTATTGAGATGATTATATGTTTTTTGTCCTCCTATATAAAAATACATATGTGTTTATAAGTATAAAAAGAATAAAAGGAAATAAAATACAAGCTGCATTTATCCATGGATAGTGGGTTTATTTGCGATTTTTATTTTCTTCTTTTTTTCAGTTTGCGTTGCTCATGTTATCTGTAATGAACGTTTTATTTTTTACTAGTAGAAAATGATTAACTAAAGAAATAGATATCATACTTAGAATTTTACCTGATTTTCTCCTTAACCCTGTCTCACTGCATTCAGAATTGGCCATTTGTATCATCAAGTAAGAACCAGGTGCTCAAATGTGAAAATAACTGGATTTCACACACTTTTCATGGGACAATTAATTCATGACTGCTTAAAAACATGACTTTGGAAAATTGTTCCAAAGAGTTCATACATCTATGTATTAATATTAATCTTTCAAAAAGTATGTATTCATTGTCCAACACGTACCCTGTACTGTGCTAGCTCTTGTAAAAAAATATATAAACACATAAAGCAGTTGCTACTTTCAAGGAATTTCAAATTCTAAGGAAGAAGGAAAAAAGCTGATAAGTAAAACAAGTGGTGGATAATACAAAAACTATGATTGTTCTGTGCTAAATAACATCCTGGATTCTTTGAATATTGAAGTTTAGAAAAGATAGCTGTGAAATTCTGGAAGTTAACTAAAATATGCACCGATATGGTTTGGATCTATGTCTCCACCTAAATCTCGTATTGAATTGTAATCCAATTGTAATCCCCAATGATGGAGGTGGGACCTGGTGGGAAGTGATTGGATCATGGCAGGGGTCGGGGTGGATTTTCATGTATGGCTTAGTGCCGTTCCTTTGGTAATGTCCTCATCATAGTGAATGAGTTCTCATGAGATCTGGTTGTTTAAAAGTATGCGGCACCTCCCCACACTCTTTCTTGCTCCTGCTCTTGCCATGTGAGACACCTACTCCCGCTTTGCCTTCTGCCATGACTGGAGGCTTCTTGAGGCCTCCTCAGAAGCCGGTGCTGCTATGCTTCCTTTACAGCCTGCAGAACGGTGAGCCCATTAAACCTCTTTTCTTTATAAATTATCCAGTCTCAGGTATTTCTTTATAGCAATGTGAGAATGGACTAATACATGTACTATGCATTCTTAATGGTATATATTTTTAATCATTTCCCTTGCTACTTCTCCTTGCAGGAAATCTTCCAAATTCTATCTGGACTACAGGTTGATGGAGATATGGGTTAGAATATTTTTAGGTAAAGTAAATGCTATCCAAGTGTGAGCTAGATTGAGGAAGACGTATGGATGAAGTATTGTGCTATAGTCAATACTTTCCACAAAAGCATTAAACTAGGAGTCAAGAGACTAGGGTTTGTCCACCCAGCTCTGCATGGGACCTGACTGTCCGGGCCTGCCATTTAACCCCTATAAAACTGTTTCCTTATCTACCACCCAAAGAGACCAGATGATTGGCAGGGACCTTCTAGTTTTACCACTTTCATTCAGCCATGAAATTACAAAAGGACTGGAATCGCCAGTATAGAAAGTAAAGTGAGAGGTGGTATCTTCAGATCAGAGCTCTCCTGTATTTATTATCTCTTCTTTCTTCTTGCCGTCATTGTCTAACTTCTTCAGAGAGTGATCTCCAACATATTTTCACTTTTTTATACCCTACTAAACCCTATCTACTTGAAATTGCAGTCCCATCCCCAGTACTCTCTCTAATTGCCCATCCAATGGGATGTCTCCTCAGCAATCACGGGCCCCTGGACTAACATAGGAAGCTGCTTGGAGACTGTATTAGTCCATTTTCACGCTGCTGATAAAGACATACCCGAAACTGAGAGCTAACTGTGACGTTGCTTCTTGATAAACATCAGCACTTAGTCACTAGTGACTATTCCCTCCTCTGCAAACTGGAAAAAGTATGAGATTTGGAGTCTCACAGTACTAAGTCGAAATCCTGAAATTTGTCAGGATTTTCTTATGTGTGTTCTTGAACAGGACAGATTTCCTCTTTGACCATAGTTTCTACATCTAAAAAATATAGATAATGCAGCACATGAATCTACTGAGTTGTTTTAGAATTGAATTAACCTATAGGTGAAGTGCCTGACACTTGGTGGATGCTCAAAAAGTAACAATCCTCCTATTCCTCTCTTGGTTTCTATGCTGAACATCCTTCTTCATATCTATGCTTACTTCCTCATCATCCTTCTGGCTGATTCCTTTACTTCCTCTTTTTGCCTAAATATGGGTGTCAAGTCGGTACTGTTGTTGGCCCTCTACTTGAGCGTGTCCCTCTCACAGTTCATGTCCGTTTTTATAGCATTCTTTCTCACTGTATACCTCTATAGAGCCAAGCCTGATACTCTGCCAACCCCACATGTCCAAATGCCTAGTGGAAGCTCCGTTTGGATGCCCCACCCCACTTTAAAATCAGTATATCCCCCTGTAATCCCAGCACTTTGGGAGGCCGAGGCGGGCGGATCACGAGGTCAGGAGATCGAGACCATCCCGGCTAAAATGGTGAAACCCCGTCTCTACTAAAAATACAAAAAATTAGCCGGGCGTGGTGGCGGGCGCCTGTAGTCCCAGCTACTTGGGAGGCTGAGGCAGGAGAATGGCGTGAACCTGGGAGGCGGAGCTTGCAGTGAGCCGAGATCCCGCCACTGCACTCCAGCCTGGGCGACAGAGCGAGACTCCGTCTCAAAAAAAAAAAAAAAAATCAGTATATCCCAAGCTAACTATTCACCGATCTCCTTGTCACATTCCCCATACCATCCCAATTATTTCTTTGACTTTAATTTGTCCCTTGTTGTTACTACTAAAAAACTTTGAATATGATTTGATTTATCCCCCACCTTCCAATCCATATCCAGTGGTCAGCCTCATGCTTTTTGATATTCTCATGAGATGGAGTATATTATAGGAATAAGCATAGATATCTTTTGTCTTAAAGCTCTGAGTCCAACACTTAGTTACATAGTTATATTGGCCTTAGGAAAAATAAATGACCTCTGAACATCACTTTTCTCATCTAGGAAAACAGAATAATCATACCTCTTTCACAAGTTTCTTGTTGGAGATGTGAATGTTCTTTCTAAACAAACAAATGGTTATAGATAGATAAATAACTAGGTAGGTAGGTAGGTAGATAAAGATTTTATAATGCTTCTTCTGTCCCCATTATAGTCCAGATTATATTAATCAATCTCCTTGACTCCACTCTTTCTTCATCTCTTATCTAAAATATCATATTCATTTTTTCAAGTTAAAATAACATTTTCAGTAACTCCTCATTGCTGATAGGTTTACATCAAAACTCATTTTTCTACTCGACTTTAGGGAAAACCAATAAGGGAAGGAAAGTAATATTTAGTGAGCATCTATTCTATATGAGGCATTGTGCAGGGTGGGGTTGGAGCCAAACTTCAAATTCAGCTGCCTAGCTCAAAACTTATATATATCGTACCGCTTTTCAACAGTGGAAAGTCACAATATTTTCAATATTATTTCCCATTATCAGGACAGTCATTTGAATCAAACTTAAGAATTTGTGAGTATTAGAAATAATAGTAGTAGCCTTCAAGTATTCTCCCCTCATATGGTTATTTGTTTCCAGAATGGAACAATCTCTGAAATTTCACAGTTCAGAGAATAACAGTATTTCAGCTTGACACGTGAAAGTGTCAATAACTTGAATAAATGGGAAGGTTTAGCTGTCAATCAGAAAACTAATTGTACTGGTCAATATTAGGTGGCCTTTGCCTGTCTTTGTAAAATCGGTGATGCTTACTCAAAAATCTGCATTATGAGACTCTAAACTAATTACATTTCAATTTGAAATAGTATATAAACATTATTACATAAAAATAAAAGTTAAATTATAGGGTTGTTTGAATTGCCTTTGTAAAATTTTTGGCAGTGTTGTGCTGGTCCTGCTGATTGCTGGTTCTGGGCAGAGGCTTCTGTGAAGTTTGCATATTGAAACAAGCCCCCAAATTGTATACATCATTGTATTTGTATTGAGCAGCTGCACAAACAAAATAATATACATGAAATATGCATCACAGATTTTGTAACCTAGGAAGGTGGCAAACAAAGCCCCTCTGTGACCAAGTATCCACCAATACAAGTCAGAGACATTTAGGTGCAAAACTTGTCAGATGTAAGGAAGAAGCTGGGAATAACTTAGCTGCAAGGCATGACCTGGTGGCAAGTGGTTTCTGAAAAGGTGACATTAGAAATGAAGATGCATAGCCACTGTGAATGGTGTTGGAAAACTGAGAAAGAACTGTTGGGAAACTGTTTTTGAACATACCTATGTTTTAATTTTCTTGAGGTTAATTATGAAGTTACTTGACCACTGGTATTTCAAAGGTAAAGTATTATAATTTTTTATATTTATACATTGTTTAACAACTGCCATTTTTTATAACTCCAACATACAGAGACTCTACACTCATATGGCAATTAGTGGATTGAAGTGGGGAAATTGGAATTCATTTTGTTTCCTGAGAATTTATTTATTGTGAGATTATCTAGTTACCTTGCAGAGGACAGACCTAGAAAGATCTAGAGTGGCCTTATGAATCAAACCTTTCTTATTCTATTTCATTCTATGCAAAATAAAATATATAAACATTTTGTTTATCATTATTTTCTATATAGAAGTGGAATCATAGTTTATAAAACCAGAGCAAATCTTCTCATCCAATGTGATAATTTTACATGCAAGTAAACTGAGAGGATAATTGGTTGATAGGGTCATGCTGCTACTTAAAAATATAACCAGACTCAGGATACACACTTAAGATTCACAGTCCATGGGGCTTTTATTATAGTGTTACTTTGCCCCTTCAAACAAGGTCCCTGCTTAGAGTTAAGGCATTTTAGGGTTACCAAACAGACCCACATCACACTTTAGAATTATATCAGAGGCATGTACTTGCCAATTAAGTCAATAGTTGTCAAATGTAACTGAGTTTAAAAACAGGTCTGTACAATGCTTGTGCCCATTATTTTAGTGTACATATAGTATACATTTCCTGGTTGAGGAACCCAAGATATGAGATCTGGCTTTTCATTTAGAGAGTTCTGAGGAAAAAATAGTTTTTCACACTTTATATTTTTAAAATTCTAGTAAGGCATACCTCCGCAGCCACCTCCATGCTTCTGCTGAATTCAGCTCCTTCATTTACTCTCTAGAGTCATTGATTTCAAGTCTACTCTCTCCAGCCAAGTGGAGCCTTGAGTAAGGTTGAAATTGATGAATTCATGTTTGTGAGTTTCAGTCACTGCAGTCAATGGTATCTTCTACCACCGAGTGGTGCTTCTGGAGGCACAACTTGAAGTGGAGGGCCCTATGCTTCAAGGAGAGAGAGGAGGTCCCATGTTCAATTTCTAATCTGGGCTTGAGAGGAGGCTGTCTTCTTTGTCTTGCTCTCTCTCTACCCATTTGTCATTCCTCCTGTCTGTGTTTATGTGTGTAGGTGCATGCATAGGCTCACTATCCCTCTTTGTCCCTGTTACTCTCTTGGTGTTTCAACTGTGTTTCCTTTTATGTCCCTTTCTTTCTGTGTCTGTCTTCAGGATAGAAATAGTAATCCTCTCATTGACTGGGTTAGTCAAAGGGCATATCATTCAATCCCAGCACAGCCATAAACACTCAAGGAACAGAAGTTTCTGAGAAAGGCAAAATTCCCTAGAATGTCCACGACAGTAGCTTCTTTTTTTTTTTGTTTTCAATTTTTTGGTATAATCTACCTCGTGTTCAGCTAAGCATTTAAAAGGCTGTCTGCAAGAATTGATGAAGCATCTAGGGCTGCAATGTGTAATATGGTAGCTACTAGTATATATGGTTACTAAGCACAGAAAATGTGGCTAGTGCCACATGTTAAAATAACATTTTGGATATTTTGGGTTAAATATATTATTCAACTGCTAAAGTATATTATTAAAATTAATTTTACCTATTTGTTTTTACTTTTCTAGTGTGGCTACTAGAAAACACAAAGTTATATACGTGACTTGCATTATATTTAGATTTGACGGTGCTGATTGAGGCGGTATATTTTATAAATAGACTCATAAATTTAAAAAGCTGTTTCTGGTCAATTGTATAAAATATAGTTATTTCATAACTGGAAAGTTTTCAAAATATTTATCATGCTGTATTTTGTGAATTGAGATCTAATCCTTCCTTCTGCTCTGTCTAATCCTCTGTTGAATTCATGCATTGAGCTCTTTTAAAGAATCTCAGTGACTGTATATTTTTAAGACATTCTACAGTATTTGGTTCTTGATTTACAAGACCCTCCTCAAATATAACCTTATTTGTGAGGCTTTTACTGATCACTTGATATAAAATAATACTTCCACAAACCATTGCACCACACACACATACACATACACATGCACAGACACACACACACAGACATCATCTTTATGAGTTTTACCCTGCCTGGTTTTTCTCTATAATAATACATATCACCGTCTAGCATAATATATATTTTCTAGTTAATTATCTGTTTCTCCATGTTCCCTCTTTCTCCTTTTGCACTCATGTTATTACTTAAGCCCAATGAAGGCAAGCACTTTGTTTATTTAGCGCACCAAAGTTTCCTGGTGTCTGGCATATAGTGGATACTTGATGAATCATGATTGAATGAATGGGTCATATTACCCATTTTATACTTATTTCATGACTTGCACTGTCCATTATGATAGCCAATAGCCACTAAATATCAAAGACTTAGTATGAAAGATGTTAAGTAAAGCTAAAATCAAAAATAAAAATTAAACTATATTATTAAAATTAGTTTCACCTATTTCTTTTCCCTTTTTTTTTTTTTTTTTTTTTTTTTTGAGACAGAGTCTGGCTCTGTCCCCAAGGCTGGAGTGCAGTGGCACGATCTAGGCTTACCACAACCCCCGCCTCCCGGGCTCAAGGGATCCTCCCATCTCAGCATCCTGAGTAGCTGGGACTCCAGGTGCAGGCCGCCATACCCGGCTAATTTTTGCATTTTTTGTAGAGACAGGGTTTTGCCATGTTGCCCAGGCTGGTGTCGAACTCCTGGGCTCAAACGACCTGCCCGCCTCGGACTCCCAAAGTGCTGGGATTACAGGTGTGAGCCACCATGCCTGGCGCTTTTACTCTTTTAATGTGAAATTTTAATTGAATTTAAAATTGCATAGGCAACTCATATTTGTGGCTCACTTGTATTATGTTTATATTGAATAGTGTGGTTATAGAATCATAACAGAAAAATCTGTAGGCCTTTCCTCAAGTTACTGGAATGCTAATTCATTTGTTTGTAGTGTCTGATGTCTTTGCCATGTTTGGTGATTCCATCTATAATTTTTAACTTTTGTTGTTAGCTTATCTAAAGGGGAGCTTGTTTTTTTAGGAGGAATCTCTTGTAGCCTCGGTTATTTCTCCAGAGAGTTTGCAATTGTTCCTGTTGGGCTGTTTGGGTATCCAAGGCCCAGAACAAATGTTTATGCTCATTTATTGACTTGGTAGATCCTAGCCTCTGAGTTTAGAATACACAGACTCTACCTATGTGAGGGCCAGTCACAGTGATTTAATTTCCCTCTGAAGATTTATTGTGAACTCAATGGGTAGGTGCATGGAGCATTTTTATTTTCTCTTCACTGGGATCACAGTCTTTCAAGGTTCTTAGCTTTACTCCCAGGTCTTAGTTCCTGTGTCCAATCTTGAGTGAATAAAGCTGTTGTCATCCATGCCTTTGTGTGCATTAAAATAATAACTCTCCTATTATTGGGCTAGTAACATGTTCAAGGCTACAACAATATCAGCATATACTTCTGGAATTCTAGCTCTCAGGGACCTCATCAATTCTGGTTCCTGAAGAGTTCCGTTTTTGAGGTGAACTATATATTAAAATGTATTATGTTTTAAATATGTTATATTAAATGTTTATTCAACATCACTACATTTTATAGGGAGAGAGTTTATGCATTAGCTGAGTAAGCCGTTTTTGCTGGAATCTGAAATCTTTAATTTCCTATTGTTAGACACTATATTATTTCTAGTTCAATGTGAAAAAGCTGCACTGAACATCCTTACATGTATATTTTTTCACATATGTCTAGGTCTTATGGAGAATTCTTATTTTTATCTCTTATGGATAAATTCCTGGAAATTATTGTGGAATCAAAAGATAGAAACAGGCCAGATGTGGTGGTTCATATCTGTAATCCTATCATTTTGGGAGGCCGAGGCAGGAGGATGGCTTGAGGCCAGGAGTTCAAAACCAGCCTGGGCAACATAGTGAGACCTCTGTCTCTAAAAAAAGGGGGAAGAAAAAGGAAGATGGGAACACAAGACAACATCTTATAGAAAAATGAGTGAACACATAGGTCAGTGGAACAGAATGAAGAGTCTAGAAAGTGACCCACCATAAGTACACCCAGCTTATTTTTGTCATAGGTGAAAAAGCAATTCAATGGAGGAAGAATGATATTTTCAGTAAATCATGTTGGAAAATTGGTTATCCGTGGACCAAAAATAATCCTAAATCTAAATCTCATACCTTATACAAAGATTAACTGAAATGGCAGAGATCTAAATGTAAACAGTAAATATATAAAACTTTTATAAGAAAACACAGGAGAAAACCTTCATGATTTGAGTTAAGCAGAGTTTTTAGTCACAATACCAAAGCGTAAGCCATAAAAGAAAATATGATAAATTTGTCTTTATTAAAAAATTTAAACTTTTACTCTGTGAGACTATTAAGAGGATGAGAAGACAAGCCACTGGCTGTAAGAAAAATTTCTACAGATCACATATCCAACATGAAGCTTGTAACCAGAATATCTGAATAACTCTCTAAACTCAAAGGTAAGATAGCAATCCCATTAGAAAATGGCAAAAAACTTGATCAGACACTTAAACAAAGAGGATATGCGGAGGACAAATAAATACATAAAAATATGTTCAACATTATTAGCCATTAGATAAATGCAAACTAAAACCATGATAACAGTATACATCTACCAGAATAGCTAAAATAGAAGACAGTGGCAACACTAAATATTGACAGGATGTGGAACATCTGGATCTGCCATATATTGCTGGTAGAAAAGTAAAATGGTACAATCCTCAGAGAACAATGTGGCAGTTTCTTACAAATTTATACCGTATACTTTCCGTAGGAGCCAGGAAACACAATCTTGGATGTTTATCGTACTGACTTGAAAACATGTATGCACACAAACACCTGGACACAAATGTTCATAGCAGCTTTGTTTGTAATATCCCCTAAACTGCAAATATCCCAAATGTCCTTCAATGGGTGAAGTTTATCCAAAGAAACTTGTTCATTCATGTAATGGGAATACTTCTCAGTCATGAAGAGAAATGAATTATTGATACCCACAAAAACTTAGATGGATCTCTAGAGTATTATGCTGAGTGAGGAAACAAAGTCAATCGCATAAGGTTACATACTCTATTCCATTTATATAATACTTTCAAAGTGACAAAATTATGGTGATAGAGAACAGATCAGTGCTGGTCAGGGGTTACAGTTGGTAACATAAACCATAAAGGGGTATGATGACTGAGTTTTTTGTGGTGATGGAACACTTCTGTATCCTGATTGTGAGGGCCATTATATGAATCTACAGATGTGATAAAATTTCATAGTAGTACACACCCAAAACACAGATGAGTCCATGTGAAAACTGTGAAATTGAAATAGGTATGTAGTTTATAGTATTATAATAATATTATACCTATGTCAATTTCCTGGTTTCGGTATTTTACTATGACTATGTAAGATGTTATCATTAAGAAAAAGCAGGTAAAGCAATCATATTAATGTTCTACTATATTTGCAACTTCTTGTTTAATTAAAAAAATGGTTAATTTTATGTAGGAACACTTAACATGAGATCTACCTTCTTAACAGATTTTTAAGTGTACAATACAGTATTGTTACCTATAGGCTCAATGTTGTACAGCAGATTTCTGGAACTTATTCATCTTGCATAATTGAAATTTTATACACATCGGTTAGTAACTCCTCCTTCTCCCTTCCCATTTCCCCTGGCATCCACCATTCTATTTTTTGTTTTTATGAGTTTGACTATTTTAGATAATTCATATAAATGGAATCATGCCATATTTGTCCATGACTGGCTTATTTCATTTAGCAACATGTCTCCAAAGTTCATTCATGTTGTCACGTACTGCAGGAGTTTTTCCTTATTAAAGGCTGAATAATATTCCATTGTATGTATATACCACATTTTCTTTATTCATCCATTTATGGAAATTTAGGTTGTTTCCACATCTTGGCTAGTGCAAATAGTGCTGCCATGAACATGGGAATGTTAAGATCTCCTCAAGATCCTGATTTCAACTCTTTATAAATAAGTTCCCAGAAGTGGGATTACTGGCTTATATGGTAGTTCTATTTGAAATTTTTTTTGATAATCTTCCTTCCTGTTTTCTGTAATGGCTGCACCAATTTACATTCCCACCAACAGTGTACAAGGGTTCCAATTTCTCCACATTTTTGCCAACACTTGTCTTTTGTTTTTCTGATAATAGCCATCTTTACAGGTGCAAGGTTATATCTCATTGTGATTTTGATTTGCATTTCCTTGATAGTGATTTTGAACACCTCTTCATATACCTGTTGGCCATTTGTATGCCTTCTTTGGAGAAAAGTTTATTCAAGTGTTCAGCCCATTTTAAAATTAAGTTATTCATTTTCTTTTTCAGTTGTAGTAGTTCCTTATATATTTTGGAAATTAACCCCTTATTAAATGTATATTTTGAAAATATTTTCTCCCATTCGGTAAGTTGTCTTTTCATTTTGTTGATTGTTTTGGCTGTGCAGAAGCTTTTTACTTTGTTGTAGTCCCAAATGTCTAATTTTGCAATTTCTCGCGAGTCTAAAATTGTTTTAAGGTAAAATTTTTTTTAAAGGTATGGACATTTGTAAAACTATTGATGCACACTGCCAGATTAGCCTTCAAAAAGATTGTGTTCATTTTCTCCCATTTAAATAGTTCTCTCAGTTGCTTTCTATCCATTTATCCTACTTTACATTCTTCACGTAAGTATCACCCTTTGAAACCGTACTGTTATTTATTTTGTCTGTATGTTCCTTTGTATTTTTTTCCTCAGCTTCATTGAGATACAACTGGTATGCAAAAACTACGCATAATTTGGAAAGTTTGGACATATATATACACTCATGTTACCATCAGCACAATCTAATTAACAAACATATCCAGCACGTACATAAGTTTTCTTGAGTTCCTTTTTTGGTTACTTTTTTTTTCTTTTTTGGATGGTGAGAGCGTATAACATGAACTACCTTCTGAGCACATGTTTAAGTATAGGGTACTTTATTCGTAACTATAGGCACTATCTTACAGATCACTGGAACTAATTCATCTTGTATAACTAACTTTATATGTGCTGCTGCTTTTTGTTTGTTGTTTGTGTTGGCGTTGTTGCTTTTGATGTAGAGTCTCCCTCTGTCACCCAGGCAAGAATGCGGTGGTGCAGCCTCGGCCCACTGCAACCTCCCCCTCCCGGGTTCAAGTGATTCTTCTGCCTCAGCCTCCCAAGTAGCTGGGATTACAGATATGCACCACCATGCCTGACTAATTTTTGTATTTTTAGTAGAGACGGGGTTTCACCATGTTGCCCAGGCTGGTCTTGAACTTCTGGCCTCAAGTGATCCACCTGCCTCGGCCTCCCAAAGTGCTAAAATTTCAGATGTGAGCCACCATGCCCGGCCTGTTTTTTATTTATTTATTTTTAATTTGATTACTATCTCTTTCTTTTTCATGAGGGCAGGGATATGGTGGCATTCGGCTCCCTATTCTTAGTGACCCACAGCAATACCTGGCATAAAGTTGGTCATAAATAGTTGTATTTTGAATGAAATAATGAATGTAGGTAAAATATTTTTGCGTTACTTTCAATGTTAGAGAGATTGAAACAACTTTGTATGTTTATTGACCATTTGTAGTTTTCCTTTGCCCACTAATGCCATTTGTCGCTTTTTCTCTGTTGGGGGTTTATTATTTTTTTAAGGAATTATTTATATATAAAACTATTTATCCTTTACATTTTTTCAGATATTCCTCTGGCTTCAATTTTGCTTTTTAGTTCTTTTAATTATTTCTTGTAACTTTTAAACATGAATATTGTAAAATTAAATTTATGTCTTTTAAAAAATAGTTTCTCTGTTTTTATGATTAGAAAGATCCCCTAGACCTAAGATAATATTTTTTTCTAGAAATTATAAGGCTCTATTTAAAATGCAAATTATCCACTCACAATTTATTTTGGGGTTAAGTGAAGGTTAACTTGTTTTTCTGTAATAGTTCTTCTTTAGCACGTCATTACAGTATCTTTTTTCTTTATTGTTTCAGTTTATGTTAGTATAACCGATTCTTAAATATTTATTTCCCCTGGAATTTTTATGCTCTTTTTCTGGTTTGTATATTCCCCTAATATTACTACAGTATTTTAACTACTCTAGAGCACATTATGATATCTGGTTAGGCAAATCCTTCTTTTAAAATGTTTCTTTTCTTTCTTATTCCTACTTTTTATTGGTCAAAGTGAACATCTTACAAAGTTTGAAGTAAAAGTCCCTGGCTTTTTGATGTTACATTTGATTTAGAGAATACTTTGGCTATAGCTGGCATCTTCAACGTATTTAGTCTTTCTAACCGACAACGTAATTTGTCTTTTTTCAATTTATTTAAGCGTTCTTTATGGCCTTTAGTCAAGTTTTATAGTTTTCTTCCTATGGACCCTGCACATTTTTTATCCAGTTTACTCTGGGGTACTTTATGCTTTATTGTTAAATCTGAAGACAATCTATTTTTGATTTTACCTTCTCACTA
The DNA here is from genome assembly GCF_000001405.40 of Homo sapiens. Lineage (NCBI taxonomy): Eukaryota > Metazoa > Chordata > Mammalia > Primates > Hominidae > Homo > Homo sapiens. The sequence continues at coordinate 22,827,259 of NC_000023.11, read as the reverse complement.
GATTTTCTGCTCTTTGTATTTTATTTGTATATTTATTATGAAACTAACTTCCTTACTAATATTTTAATAATTCAAGTATTTTTCAATTTTTATTGTTACTGTTATAGGACAAGCAATTCTATCATTGTTAATCAATGATAATGTTGGAATACAGTAAGGAATACTTTTCTATATTTATAACCTATTCATTTCTCTGGTCTTCTATCTTGAGTAATGTTAAATAAAAGTAATGAGAATCATCATATTGCTCATATTCCTGACTCGAGTGGGAAAACATGTATTGCTTTACCAGTTAGCATTGTGCCATCAATATGAGAAATATATAAACCATCATGTTTAAAATCTGCTCGTGTATTTCTAATTTAACCAGCTTTTGGGATTTTTGTTGTTTAATTTTTGGAACATAAATGAACTTACATTTCATCAATTGCCTTTTAAACTGCCTACTGAATTATTATTTATTTTATCTGACATTGTGATGTGATCCATAGCCTTTCCAATATTGAAGCACATTACAAGAAGGCAATGACATGTAACGGTATTTTTTTTAAAACATGTTGCTGGATTCAGTTTGTAAATATCTTTGAAGAATTTCTTCAGCTACGTTCATTAGGGATGTTCATTAACTCATTTTGTTCATATTTGTTAGGTTTTCTATTAAGCTAATTTTTGTGCCTAAAAGGTTTGGCAAAACTTCCCCCAACCTCCCCTTAGCCATTGGTCATTGTGCAAATTTGGGTCCTTCCACCACCCTACTTGCTTTCCTCCAAATACATTCTAAATTGTCTGGTCCTTATACTCCATGGCAGCGGCTTGGAATTGAAATCTTGGATGTTATGGCAATGTGACCAAGAATCGGGCCATTGCTTCCAGGCTTCCAGGCTTTAAATTATATATATGTACACACACACACATACATACATATACTGATAATGGCTAAGATGACACAAGCTATATATATATATATATATATATATATATATATATATATATATACACACACACACACACGCACACACACACACACACACACACATATATATATATATATATATACACATATATATATATAATGATAATGGCTAAGATGACACGTAGCTACATAATGGTGTTGACTTTTGTTGGTCTTGCAATCATCAAAAACCCCTAGTCTTTCTCAGAAACTTCTGCTTAGCCAGCTGAAAAGTTTTCTGGGTGGTTTGTTGAATCCACTGACAGTCCTTCATATCAGTTCCTCAAATTTCATCTCATTATATTCAGACCATTATCTTAGCCTATGTTCATTCTTTGTGAATCCTCACTGTCATCCAGTGAAGCTACTGTCCTTAGTTTCATGCCATTCACAAACGGAACATTTACTTGCTATACCTTCCTCCTCACCACTGATTAAACCGTAGTTTTGAATAGGCATAAGTCAGGGCCTCTAGCTAGACACTAAAATCTCCATTCAGACAGGTGTATATAATCATTAATCATTTGGTAAGATCATTCAAATCATTACGGATTGGAGTTTGTTCTTTCGTTAAATAATAATTGAACACTTGTGCTTAGCCAGGCACCATGGTAGCTATTAGGGATACAACAACTAATAAAATGTGTTCAGAGAAACCAGACAAGTAAAGAAGATGAATCTAATATGGTATTCATTATGATAGAGAAATGTGAAAAGCTTTCAAATCTCAAGAAAGAGCTAAGGCAGAAAGGAGTAAATAGTTATTTTTTAAAATTTCATTGATCCAGGTATATCTGGTCTGTGGTGGGTGCTGTGATGTACAACTAAGATTCTGGTTTAGAAATCAAAAACTAATACCCGCAGCAGCTGAGAGTGCTGCCTGCAGAAAGTCCACAGCTGTCATCTCCTTACAAAGATGCCTCTGCTGAAGAGAGCTAGTTTGTCCAAGGTAGAGCCTCCTTTCCAGGCGGCCTACATCCAATGACCAATTGATGGGAAAATGTAAGGGCCTGGCCCCCTTGCCAGTTTGTAAAAATTCTGAAGGGTCATTCTAGTTTCAGAATTCCCAGTAAGGTCATCGAGGCTTTCCCTTGAGGCTGCCTTGCAGTCCAACTTCTCTTTGCCCACTGTTGCTTTCTTCCCTTCTATTTCCTTCCACAGATATTGATTCCCAAAGGCACTCTCTAGTAAACCCTTTGCATGCTAATCTCTGTCTTAGAATCTATTTTTTTGGGCACCCCACTTGTGACATGGTTATACTGATTATTTTGGTCTTCACAGACCTTACTCCTTCTTGTCTATTTCTGGTTTGATTTAGGATCACAGGTGGGTATGTGATGGTGGTGTTATTTTGTTTGAATTTTTAAAATTCAACTCAAGATTTCTTATTGTTATAGACCTTGTAACTAAACCACTTAAAACGTTTTATACTTCCAACAATACATTAATAAATGTGTTCTAGATTAATTATTGCAGCATTGTTTGCAACTGCACATATGGGAAATGACTGAATGCTCATTTATGGGAGATGGCTGAATGAGCTATGTGTAGCACATCTGCACTATGGAGTACTATGAAGCTGTAGAAAAGAATGAAGATTTTAAGTGTTCTCACCACAAATAAAGAATAAGTATGTCAGGTAATGCATATGTTAATTGGCTTGATTTAATTATGCCACAATGTATACATATTTCCAAACATCATGTTATATGCTGTAAATATATAGTTTTGTCAATTAAAAATCAAATACTAATATAAAAAGTGTTTTTAATATAACAAAGAAGAATTAGTAAAAAAAAATGAGAAATCATCAGACAGACATAAGTTGGGGATCATTTTACAAAACAACTGGTCTATACTGGGAGGAGCTCTTCCATGTAGAATGACTAAAGAGTTATGACCGCTAAATGCAGTGGTGATCCTAGACAACTTCTGGACCATAAAGAATGCTATTAGTACAGTCGATAATAATTGAATATGCATGATATATAGAGATAATATTTCATTAAACTGTCAGAATTTATTATAGTACTTTTCAGAGAATGTTCTTTTTCTTCGGATATACATGCTAAGGTATTTAGGAGTAAAGGGTTATGTTCCTGGCAAATAATTAAACTCAATAACTCAGCAAAACTAATAATAATACTATTCATGACATTATAAAATATTTAATACATATAGTACATTTATAATATTACAAAATATGGTATTTAAATATAGTATATTATTTATAATGTGAAATATGGTGTTTATTACTTTATTATATGATATATAGAGAGAGTGAGTGAGAGACAAGGGGGAACAAATGTAGCCAAATATTAATGATTAATAAATATAGCTGAATTATATTTGAAAATTCATCATCTTACTCTTGCAACATTTATGTAAATTTGAAGTTGTTTTCAAAATAAAAATTAAAAGAAAACGCTTCAGTAATACATATTTATATGTAATTTAATATTTAAAATGCTTTTTCCATAAATTTTTCCAGTGCTTTTTGAAGCACAACAGAACACTATGCCTGAGACTTAATATATTCTGCAATAATTGGCACATACTCCGTGTCTCTAAAGAACTAGAAAAATAATTTGCACTCAATATATACTAACTGACTAAATTTTGTGGCTCATGAATAACATTCTTGGAATATGTGCTCAACTAAGGGTTATTCCTCAAGCCTATGAGCATAACATGTGTCAAACTTTAAAAAAATACACCTTTCTCCAAATTGGGGAACTTACTTTGATCAGTAATTTTACTTTTATTACATTTTTTAAATTAGTGATGAATGATTAGAGAAGCTTTTAGTTGGCGTTGACCATAATTATTTTTAAATTAAATTTACAGAATAAATTTCAGATAAATTTGAAAGATAACATAGATTTCTAAAAAATTAATTTTATCTTCATTAACCAAGATGCCTAAAAGACCTAGATTAATTAAATATGATTTCCTTACCATCTACAGAATCCTTTTCAAAATACTCTGAAGTGTACTTGCAGCAGGATAAGTGTCTTTTTATCCTGTTGATCAAAATTTTAAAATATACTTAGATACTGATGACTAATGGAAAAAACTGGAACTCCTTGTTGGGGAAAAATGCTGCTGCATAGAATTTGACAGCAAAATCACAAGAATAGATAATCATACATAAAGTATCTTAGATAGATTTTACAAATATGCTTTCTTGGGATTACAATTCCAAGAATATGAAATAGATCTGCTTTTTCCTCTTCCTCCTATTAAATTCAACTAAAAACCCTAAATATGATCTATAAAACAAACATACCAAGAATCTAAAAGAATGAAAGGAGGATGATCTTCTGGGAATCTCACAACCTCAGGAATGGCATAGTAGTGAGTTCCTTTGCTTTTCTTTTTAACTTATATACCCCAGAGTTGGAGCTGAAAAAGCTGGCAACCCTGAAACACCAATGGGTACAGACAAAAAAACATACCAGGTTGGATTATTCCCATAGCCTGACTCATAACTGATTTAGATTATTTATATGATGAAATATTGAACTTTTAAGCTGAGAAAACTTAGATGAAATTTTGAACTTGAGTTGATGCTATAATGAGTTGAGATTTTTAGAAACCTTGAACTAGGGTAAATGCATTTTGCACGCTGATGGACATGCATTTTTGTTGGCCGGAGGGTAGACTGTGGTAGATAAAATAATGACCCCACAAAGATGTCCATGTTCTAATGCCCAGAACCTGTTAATATGTCACCTTACATGCAAAAGGGACTTGCAGAGGTGGTTAAATTAAGAAGTTTGAGATGAGAATGTTCTGGACTTTCTGGGTAGGCCCAATATAATCACAATGGGTCCTTAGAAGGGAATTAGAAGAAAACCATGAAATCAAAAACAGAAAATCAATAGATAAAATAAAGGAAACAAAATGGAAGTTTTTGAGAAATATAAAATTTACAAACATCTAACAAGGGTAGCAAAGAAAAAAATAGAGAAGGCATAAATTGCCAATATCAGGAGTGATACCAGGTAGCACTATAGACTGAAAACATCAAAAGGATTGCAAAGGAATACTACAGATAAGTATACAGACATAAATTTGGCAAATTACACAGAATAGACCTCTTTCTCAAAAAACACAAACTGTCACAACTAATAAGGAAACAGAACTGGTAGTCAAATAACTTACCACAAAGAGAATCCGAGGACTGTATGGCTTTAATGAAGAATCCTACCTTGCATTTAAAGAAGAATTAACAACAATTCTTTACAATCGATTTCCAAAAACAGAAAAGTAGGAAACACTTTACAATTAATTTTATGAAACTAATACTGCTCTGACAACAAAACAAGACAAGCGCAGTACCAAAATATCACTACAGACCAATATCCCTCATTACTGTAGACATAAAAATTCTTAACAAAATATCAGTGAATAGAATTCAAAGTGTATAAAGAGAATTATACCGTATAACCAAGTGGGATTTATTCCAGAGATGCAACGCTGGTTCAGTATTCAAAAATCAATAATGTCATTTAGGCTAAAGAAGAAAAATCGCATGATTATATCAATATAGATAGAACATTTGACAAAAGTCAACACTTGTTTATGATTTAAAACGCTCTCAACAAACTAGGAATAGAGAACTTTCTCAACTTGTTAGTGAGCATCTACCAAAACCCTGCATCTAACATTGTACTTGATGCCAAAGACTACAGGCTTTTCTCTTAAGATTGGTATAAAGGCAAGTTTGTTCATTATCACCCTTTTGTTCAACAGAGTGGTGAAAGTTCTAGCCAGTGCAACAAGGCATGAAATGGCAATAAAAGGCATAAAGATATGAAATGAATTAATAAATACAATGATTTACGTTTGCAGATGACATGCTTGTCTACATAGAAAATCGCTGAAACTTACTAGAACCAATAAATGAGTTCAGCAATGTCACAGGATACAAGATAAACATACAAATGTCAATTCCATTTCTATATACTAGCAATGAACACTTGGACATTGAAATTAAAAATATAATACTATGTGTAAGTACCCCAAAAAGAAATACTTTAGTGAAAATGTAACAAAACATTTACAGGACTTGATGCTTAAAATTACACAATGCTGATTAAGGAAATAAAAAATCTAAATAAATGGAGAGACATGTCAATTCTCTCCAAATTAATACATAGATTGAATGCAATGTCTATGAAAATACAGGAAGCTTTATTGTAAAAATAGGCAACATTATTCTAAAATGTATCTGGGAAGGCAAAGTACTATAATAGCTAAAACCATTTTGAAAAAGAATAATATTGTAAGAGGAATCAGTCTATGCTATTTAAAGACTATATTGCTACAATAATCAAGATTATGTGGTATAGATCACATAGATCAATGGAACATAAGAATTCAGAAATAGACCAACACATATATGCCAAGCTGTTTTTAAAAAATTTATTTTATTTTGTTTTATTAGATATTGAAAAGTTATAGTTATATTTTCAGTGGAGGAAAGATAGCCTTTTAAACAAATGGTACTGGAGCAATTGGTTGTCCATAAGTTTCATACCTTATAGAAAAATTAACTCAAAATTGAGCACAGACTTAATTATAACACAAAAACAAAACAAAACTATCAAACCTCTGGAAAATAATCATAGGTAATAATAATCAGGATCTAAGGCTAAGAAAAGTATTATTTGACTGGGTACCAAAAGGATAATTCATAAAAGGAAAAACTGACAAATCATAATTTATACAAATTAAAGTTTTAGCTTTGTGCAATACTCTGTTAATATGATGAAAAGGTAAGTTACAAAGTGGGAGAAAACATTTGAAAATCACATATCTGACAAAGGACTGTATGTAGAATATATAAAGAACTCACAAAACTCAACAGTAAAGAAGCAAACAATCCAATGAGAACATGAGGAAAACACACGACACTTTTCACCAAAGAAGGTATACACATGGCAAATAACCATATAAAAAGATGTTGAACATTTGCATCCATTAGGGAAATGTAAACTAAAACCACAATAAAATATTATTACACAGCTATGAGAATGGCTAAAACTTAAAAAATATATAGTCATAGCACCAAATGCTGGCAAAGATGTGGAGAAATTGGATCACTCATGCATTGATGGTGGGAATGTGAAATGCTATAACTACTCTAGAAAACGTTTAGAATTTTCTTGAAGAACTGAAATTGTAACTATCATATGGCCCAGCAATTGCACTCCTGGCATTTATCCCAAAGAAATGAAGACTTAGTTTACACAAAAACCTGTAGTGGAATATTTATAGTGGCCTTATTTATAGTAGACAAGAATAACCTAGATGTTTTTGCATGGGTGAATGCTTAAATAAACAGGGGTACGTTCATACCAAGGAATGATGTTCAGCAATAAAAAGGAACAAACTATTGATCTATGGAGGAATGTGCCTGTTTCCACAATTTGAAGAATTTTGCTGAGTGAAAAAAGACAATCCTGAAAGGTTATATACTGCACAATTATATGTATATAACATTGTTGACATGACAAATTAGAGAGACGAAGAACAGATTAGTGATTTCCAGGGCTTAAGGAGGTACCGGAGGTGGGAGGAAAGTGAGCATGGCTATACTACAGAAGGGCTACAGGAGGGATCCTTGTCGTGATGGAAATGTTCTGTATCTTGACTATATCAATGTCAATATCCTGGTTGTGATATTGTGTTGTAGTTTTGAAAGATGTTGCAATGGATAAAAGAGTTAATAATACACAAAGTATCTCCATGTTACGCTTTTAACTTTTAAGTTCAGGGTTACAAGTACAGCTTTGTTACACAGGTAAACTTGTGTCATGGGGGTTTGTTGTACAGATTATTTCATCACCCAGGTATTAAGCCTAGTACCCATTAGTTATTTTTCCTGAACACTTGCATGTGACTCTACAATGCTTTCAAAATGAAATATTTAATTAAAAATAATATTCTCTTTTTTTCTGCTTTCTGTAGCTGGTATAAAAGATTCTGAAAAATCCTCCCAAAAGTTGGAGACAAGGTTTAAAAAAATGTAAGAAGAGGACACAAGAAAGTGTTATAAGACCCACTACCCTCTACCCTGTCATAAAAAATTGTAGAGGACTTTGAAATTGGGGAAAATAATTCAGTGAATGTCCTTTCTAGAGCACCCTACATGGTTATATCAGTCTTTCATTTACTTTGAGCTTTTTTTCAACATTATAAAGTGTAGAAAGCTAATAATAAGGCAAATAATGCATGTCCATAGAAATGCAAATTGTACATTGAGGAATGCAATTGATTACTGCTCTGTGATTACTGATCAATTATGTATCAATTAAGCAAATTCGTTTCATCATTCTTGGTTGGTATATGCTGTGGTCCGAATGTTCGTGTCTCTTCCAAATTCATATATGGAAATCTTAACCCTCAAGGTGATGGTATTAGAAGGTGGGATCTTTGGGAGGTGATTAGGTCATGAGGGCAGAGCCCCCATAATGGCTGTTACCATCCTTATAAAGTTGGCCCACGGGTGTTCATGGGAGGATGCAGCAAGAAGTTACCGTTTTTGAACCAGGAAGAGTGCCGTCAGCAGACTCCAAATGTACTGGTACCTTGATGTTGAAATTCCCAGCCCCCAGATCTGTGAGAAATAAATATCTGTTGTTTATAAGCTACCCAATTTATGATATTTTGTTATGGCAGCCCAAATGAATGGAAACAGCATACATATTTGTCTTTTTTTGGATTTTGCTTTGAACTGGTTGTACCGTCTTACTGATTCCCTCATTAACTAAAGAGTTAAATACAATCTTTGACACATATTTACCCCATGTTTGTATGAGAATCATGATTATACCCTTCTTTAAAATTTATGTTTTATTAATGCTAGGAGTTTTTATCAATTTATCCATAAAAATATTGGGGAATACTCAAGTCCAAAATAAATGTCTAAAGCCCATACTCAAGGTTTGGCCATGTCATAACAAATGTAACCAAACCAATTACAGTGAAACTGTACCAGCTTAAGGATATATATGAGTCACTGTGGCAGAATACATGCCCTGAATTCCAAGATATTGGATAGAAGCCACTTATATCTTGAGATTGTTCCTAAGAAGAAATCTATTTTTCACATTTTTGTTATTAATGGCAAGGAATGAAAGGGAACTTCTATATTTATACTGTGAAATATGCAAGGATGTGGAATTGTCTGGTGGGAAGCCTTAGCATGGAGCTTGGTCATCAAAAGAGGTATTGTAGGACCTGCAGTGGCAAGTGGGCCTTGAAAAGGGAGCTTTATAGCATGAAACAAAAAGAACTAAAAGAATAAATGTAGCTGCTTTAGCTTCAATTGATATGTCAAAGTTGTGGGTCGAGGCTTGATAAGAAATGAAGTTGCTATGTTGGAATCAAGGGGAAGAAATAAACAAGGGGGACCGGTGTTTTGTAGCAAAAAAGGAGAGGCGTTTATATGAGAATGGTAATGATCAACTTTAGGATGGCTGTAATTAGGTGTCCAGCTTCTGTAGTTAATTTTAATTATAACCTTCTGGCATCATGGTTTTGTCAAGGGGAAAATACTTTGAGGGAGTACAGTGCATTGAATCCTGTGACTGTTACATGTCAGGATAGGCAGGTGGTCCTCAAGAAAAGAAAATGGTTTTTTCAAAAGCAAGTAGCCTGTGTATCTATCACTTCTAGGGAAAAAGTTGATCATAGAATCCTATCTGTCTTCTAGAGAAATGTATGCCTAGAGTGGAGAAAGGTAGCCCTGCACTCAAGTTAAATCATAGCTTCCTCTCCTTCCATTTGTCTTATTTCTAGTCAGACCAAGCAAACTGAAAGTTGTTTCTTGAATGGTACTTAGAGAGGGCACTGAGCAAGTAAATGCCCATTTTCAGTTATCTTTTCAACTATGATTTATTCATTGTAAATAAAAATGGGATATATGGCTCATAATCAGTTTTCTATAACTTAGGTTGGTCAACATTTTATATAATCAAGATTCTAGACTTAGAAATCTGAAGATAAGCTCCTGAATTTGTGTGCTTTCTTCAAGGCCCTGTGCCGGATCCCTGTCTAATGTCTATGGTGGGCTTTTTTTTCTTTAATATGCCTTTATAAAAACACCACATTTAACAACTTTTGCATTTATATGACTTACACAGCATAGCTTCATCTTTGCGTTAAAAGTCATTTCCCATGTCTATATAATTTCTTCCCTGAAAGTATTCTTTTTGGAAGTGCCTAAATGTTTAATTGCATGTGACTTTTTTTTCATTGTGAAAATAAGCCTTGCCCCATATACTCTAAGAACCTAAAAGAAACTTGGGAGAAGTCCTTAAAATGTTTCTATTACAGTTTTCTACTCCTCTTCTTAAGAAATCTTTTTAAATGCATAGGGAAATGTTAGTGCTGCAGGCTTATTTTCATAGTAGTAGTAGGAAGAATGAGAAATGGGTCCCTAAATACCATTGTCCAAGTTCCTGATGAAAAGAGATGGGAATGTTATTCAGATAATTCATACAGAATAGATGCAATCTATTTAAATCCCTTCTTTGCAAGTAGAGAGGCTAGAAATCCTTCAGAGAATTGACAACTCAAGGTAGAAACTGGTTGGGGACACGTGAAGCCAGAGAACAAGCTTTGCTTTCATACCTGGTAATGAAACTTCACCTAATGAAGTAACTTAGGTAAAAGTGGTGCTAAAGCATTTTCTTTTCAGTTTTTCACATTTTTGGGAAAACTAATGTCTTAGTTTAGGAAGTCAAATAATTTTTACTAGAAGCAAATGTTTGCGGCCCATCTATTCCTCTTCTGTTACAATGGAGTTTTTCTTCTGCGAATAGCAATCCTTGCATGTGTACTCTAACCTTTTTCCCTTCTCAAAGTCATGATTCCATCAGCTCTCCATTTTCTCTCCTGCAACTTCAAACTCATGTTCTCTATTGGATCTTTCCACCACCAATCAAACATACTCTAGACTCTCCCATTATTGAAGAAAATGGGGTCATAAAGCAAATCAACCCAAATAATATGGTCAATTTATTAGATGTACATGTTGTCTTAGTGGGGTTTTATTTATTTTTCTCCTTACTCCAGTCAAGTTTCTGTCCACACACTTAACTACAATGACTTTTTTAAGGTCACAATACCCTGCACCTGATTAGATCTGATAAACATGGTTGAATTCACTCTTCATTTGACTTGTCAGGAGTATAGATCAATTGGCCTCCTCCTCCTTCATAAAAACATTATCTTCCCTTAACTTTTGTGACATCATAGTCTGTTTTTTCCCTACCTCTCTGGCTACCTCTTTATCTCTTTGTGGGCTACTGTCTTCTTCAAGCAAACTTGAAATACTGGCTGTTCTCAGGTCTCAGTCTTGACTCTCTCTCTAAGAATCAAGTCCCGTATCTTTAAATATCTTCTATATTCTGATAGCTGTCAAACAAATTAATTTCTGAAGTCTAAGCCAATGTATCCAACTGACTACTTGACATCTTTATTTGGCTATCTCATAGGTATCTAAACATCCACAAAACTGCACTTCTTATTCTCACTTCTAGCCAATCAATCTGCTTCTTCTCTACTCTCCCCCATATCTGTAAATTGTACTAGTGTCTCCTCATTTTTGGAGTCCAAAAATCCAAAAGCCATTCTTGAAGCAACTTGTTTTTCCCCTTTCCCCATTTAATTTATCCTCATGTTCTGTTGCTGCTACTTCCAAATTATGGCTCAAATTCAATCTCTCCACTCCCATCGTATCTCTCTTGAACCAGTACAGTAGTGTCTTATTTTCTCTCCCCAAATCCAATTTTCTCCCCAAAGCTTGTCTTGTTCCTCTCAAATTAACTCCCCATAGAATGGCAATGATTTTTTTAAATTGCAAATGTGATAGTTTCATTCTTCTGTTTAAATTCTTCAGTGTATATCCATTATCCTTAGAACAAAGAACATAATCCTCCAAATGACTTACAATGCATGACCTGTCTCTTTCATACTTCTCTATTTCATCCTTCATTATGCTGCAGCTACACTGATCTTCTAGGTTTCTTCCTGCCCTACAGGTCCTTTGCACATTCTGCTCTCTATCCTTAGCACACCTCTCACACCACTCTTTTCTTGAGTAACTCTTCACTGATCCTTCAGGTTCAAGCTTAAATGCCACTTTCTCAAGAAGGATTTCTTTTAGTCCTCATGCTAGATTAGTTTGCTGTGGTATACACTCTCATAAAACTCTCTGTTTTAGCATTCAATGCTTGGTGTTGTTTATAAGTATGAACCCTAAAGAGAAAGTCCCTAAGTTCAGGAACCATGACTGTTGGTTCAGTACCATATCTGCTTCACCTTGCACAGTTCCCGGTAGGTACTCAAATATATTTTCTAAATGAAATCTTAGTTTTGAGCGTGGGTGGATCCAGAAAAGAGAGATTAAATGTATTGCTCGGATCTAATAAAATATGTGTGAACAGACTGATGTCTCTAACACTGAGAAAAAAAATCACTCAGGAATAATGGAATAATTAGATGAAGTCTATTTATTTAAATTTAATTTTCCTTTTAGGCAAGATGTATTTTTTTCTGATCTGAAAAATAATGCCTAAAAGCCTCAAATCCAGCTAGTCATAAAATAATGAATGTTAAACTGTAGCTCTGACTCAACAAGACATGACTGTACATAATCAGTAATTAGCATGCTATTCATTACTGTAGAGTTTGTGATACATTGAGATGGGGCGGGCTGAAATGGCCCTGATCATTAAGAATAAATTATTTCTGTAAATAAGATTTCAACTGAAATGTTTGAAACACATAGAGTACCTACCCTGTTTTCAAATAAACACTATGTACTATATATACTATACAAAATGGCTGCCTTAGTTGCATATCATCATGCTTATTGTTAAAAGTTAAAATGCACACAAGTTCAGAAAAGAAAATAATGATCCATTCTTTAATCAAGAGAAAATTATTTACAGTTTGCTAAACTTCTTTTCAATTGCATGTATTGTGTGTGTGCACATGCAAATGTATATACGCGTGTATGTCTAAGAATCCAGTGTTTCTCAAACCTGCATGCACATTGGAATAACCTGGGCAGCTTTTAAAACTTACCAAAGGACAGAGCTCATTTCAGACCAATTTCATGTGAATTTCCATGGGTATCATCCCCAGAGCTTTATGCTTTTTAAGTTCTTAGGTTGATACTAATGCTACACTGGGCTGGACATTGCTTCTTGTTGTTTTGTTATTTGTTTTTTTTAAAGTAGAATCACAGATGTATTCACTTAGGTGCACTACATTGTATTTAACTATATCTCTATTGTTTTAAAAATATTTTAATAATTATTTGAAAATTATGAGCATATATTATATGATAACATGACGTGATTTCCTTAGGTCATATTCCTAAAAGTGAAATTGTTTAGCATTAGGTACAAACCTGCATGTTGTGCACACGTACCCTAAAACTTAAAGTATAGTAACAATAAAATAAAAAAAAAAAGTGAAATTGTTATTTTTTAAAGGCGTAATTTTGATAAGTTTCTCATCAAAAGAACCTTATCAAAAGGCATAATTTTCTAAATATTTTCAAATTATTTATTTAAAAAGTGTACCAATTTAACTCTTAAAAGGAATATACAAAAATGTTCATTTAATTTTACCAGTACCAACGTTGTATATTATTTTAAATAAAAGAGGCTAATTTTTAATTCAAAACTAATAAATATATGTATGTATGTGTACAATGTCATGTTTTGATACAGGTATACATTACGGAGTGATTAAGTTAAGCCAATTAACATATCCATCACCTCATATACTTATCATTTTTTTGTGGTAAGAACATTTAAAGTCTACTGTTTTAGTGATTTTGAAATATGCAATAAATCATGATTAATTATAGTCACAATTCTGGGCAATAGATCACTAAAACTTTTTCTTCCTGTCTAAAATGTTGTACCCTGTGACCAACATCTCCCCGTTTCTCATCCTCCCTCCCAAACCCCCAACCCCCACACAGCCTTTGGTAACCACCATTGTACTCTCTATTCCTATGAGTTGGGCTTTTTTACATTTCACATGTGAATGACATCATGCAGTATTTGTCTTTTTGTGCCTGGCTTATTTCACTTGGCATAATGTCCTCCAGGTTCATACCTGTTGTTACAACTAACAGGATTTCCTTCTTTTTATAAAGACTAAGTAGTATTCCATTGTATATATATGCTATATTTTCCTTATCCATGCATCCAGTGATGAACACTTGGGTTGAGTCCTATCTTGGATAATGTGAATAATGCTGAAATGAACACAGGAGTGCAAATATATCTTTAACACACTGACTTAATATCCTTTGGATATATATCCAAAAGTGAGACTGCTGGATTACATGATAATTTTATTTTTAGTTTTTTGGGGAACCTCCATACTGTTTTCCATAATGGTTGTACTAATTTACATTCCCACCAACAGTGTGCAAGGGTCCCCTTTTCTCTGCATCCTTACCAACACCGATTATCTTTCATCTTTTTGATAACAGCCATCCTAACAAGAGAGAGGTGATATATTTCATTGTAGTTCTAATTTGCATTTCCCTGATGGTTACTGATGTTGAGCATCTTTGCATATACCAGTTGGCCATTTGTACGTCTTTCTTCACAAATACGTAGTTGGGTACTTTGCTCATTTTAAAAATCACATTTTTTGTTTTCTTATTATTGATTTTTCTGAGTTACTTATACGTTTTGCATATTAATTCCTTATCAGTTGTATGGCTTGAAAATGTATTCAATCATTTTGTAGTTTGCGTCTTTGTTGTTTCCTTTGCTGTTCAGAAGCTTTTTAGTTTGATGTAATCCCACTTGTCTATTTTTGCTTTTGTTGCCTGTGCTATTGGAGTTATATCCAGGAAATATTTACTCAGAATAATGTAATAGAGCATTTCTTCTATATTTTCTTCAAGTAGATTTATAGTTTCAAGTCTAATGTATAAGTATTTAATCCATTTTGAGTTGATATTTGTACATGGTGTGAGATGAGGGTCCCATTTTATTCTCCTGTGTGTGGATATGTAATTTTCTCTAACATTTTTTGAAATGTTTTCATTGTGGGTCCATTTTAAGCTTCCTATTCAATTTTTAAAATTCTGAGTTCTAAAATTTTTCTCATTTTATTTTTTATTTAAAAATATTTAATTGACAAAGACTGTATATATTCAAGGTGTACAACATGCTGATTTGATATACATATACATTGTATAACAATTATCACAATCAAATTAACAGTGCACAGCACGGGAGGTGATGAATGTGTTCACTAATTTTTTTTTTTTTTGAGATGGAGTCTTGCTCTGTCGCCCAGGCTGGAGTGCGGTGGCACGATCTTGGCTCAATGAAACCTCCGCCTCCTGGGTTCAAGCGATTCTCCTGCTTTAGCCTCCTGAGTAGCTGGGATTTCAGGTGTGTGCCACCATGCCCAACTAATTTTTTTGTATTTTTAGTAGAGACAGGTTTCACCATGTTGGTCAGGTTGGTCTCAAACTCCTGACCTTGTGATCCGCCCGCCCTGGCCTCCCAAAGTGCTGGGATTACAGGCGTGAGCCACCGCGCCCAGCCAAATTTTTTGTTATTTTAAATGCATTTCCTTTGTGTACATATGTGTAGCAAGATGTATCATCCCTAGAGAAAATCGCATAAAATATATAACAACAATAACTACTATAATTTAACATATCATGACATAACACAGCATGACATGACATAACAATTATAAAGATCACACATTTTTTATAATATCACAGCACAAGATAAGACTACCATACCACCAGTACCCCAGAAGCCATGTGCCTTTTCTCAATTTCATCAACTCACTGCCTCCACCCAGAGATAACTGCAATTCTGAGTTTTGTGACAATGCCATATTTGCTTTTCTTTATCGTTTTATTTGTAAATACCTAGTTTAGTTTTATTTGTTTTGGAAATTTATGTGAAATGAGTCATACTACAGTTATATTTTTTCATGTCTTGTTTTTTGTCTGCTCAATTTTATGTTTCTGAGATTTATCCAGGTTGTTGCATGTACTGTGTAGGTCCTTTATTTTCATTGCTGTGTGGGATCCAGTTGTATAAATAAACCATAATTGACTTGTTTATTTTCCTGATGATGGGCATAATTATGGATATGTTCATGAGCCTGAACAATACTATGGACATTCTTGCAGATATATTTGGGTGCATATGTACACACATTTCAGTCTGGTTACACCTAAGATTGGAATGGCTCGGTTGTACAATAGGCACATCTATCACTTTATTAAATAATGCCAAACTGATGTCTGAGATAGTTGAACAATTTATACTCATATCAGCACTGTATGTGTGTTCGTATTTCTCTGCATTTTCACCAGCTTTTACCAGTTGTCAAACTGTCAAATTTTTTCCAATCCGAAGTCTGTTTAGTGGTTCCTCATTGCAGTTGCAATTTTCTTCTCTTTGATTAAAAATGAGATTGAGCTGCTTTTTAACATGTTTATTTCCATTTGTATATATTCTTAGAAGTATCTTCTAAATTGTTTGCCCATTCTTCTATTGTATTTCTGTCTTGGTGTCTCACGATTTTTTAAAATTTATTTTGTATTTTTTAATTGACAAGTAAAAATTATGTATATTTACGGTATACACCATGCCACTTTAGAATGGCTAAATCAAGCTACATAACATAAGCATTACCTCACAAACATCATTTTTATGTGGTGAAAGCACTTAAAATCTACCCTGTTAACAATTTTCAAGTATAGAATATATTGTTATTAATTGTAGCCACTATGTGGTACAATACATGTCTTGGATTTATTTCTCCCATCTAATTGAAATTTTGTATCCTTTGACCAACATGTCCTCAATCTCCCCGCGCCCCCTCCAGGCTATGGTAACTACCATTAAACTTTCTTTTTCTATGAGTTTGAATCTTTCGTGTTCCACATATAAGTGAGATCATGTGGTATTTGTCTTTCTGTGCTTGCTTATTTCACTAAGCATAATGCTCTCCAGATTCATCCATGTTGTCACAAATCACAGAATTTTTTTCTATTTAAAAGTGGAATGATATTCCATTGTGTATATGTATCACATTTTCTTTATCCATTCATCCACTGATGCATACTTAGGTTGTTTACGTATCTCGGCTATTGTGAGTAATGCTGCAGTGAACATGGGAATAAAGATATCTCGTCAGTATATTGAATATATACCCAGTAGTGAGATTGCAGGATTATATTTTTCTTCTAATTTCAGTTTTTTTGAGGAACCTTCATGCTGGTTTTTTATGACTCTAAGTTACATTTCCACCTATAGCGCACAAAAAGGGTTTCCTTTTCTCCACGTCCTCACCAACACTTATTTTTCACATATTTTTATAATAGCCCTTCTAATAGGAATAAGATGATGTATCTCATTGTGGTTTTAGTTTGTGTTTCCCTGATGATTAGTGATGTAGAACACCATTTCATACAGCCATTGGACATTTGCATGTCTTCTTTAGAAAAATATCTATTCAGTTACTTTACCTGTTTTTAATTGGGTTATTTCCTTATAATTGAGTTAAGTTCCTTATACGTTTTGGATATTAGCTTCTTACCAGAGGTATAGTTTGTAAACATATTTTCCCATTACATATGTTGTCTCTTCCCATTCCATACATTATTGATTGTTCCCTTTGCTGTGCAGAAGCTTTTTAGTTTGATGTAATCCTGTTTGTCTATTTTTGCTTTTGTAGCCTGTGCTTTCGGGGTCATGTAAAAAAATCTTTGCCCAGGCCAATGTCATGGAGCTTTTCACTTATGTTTTCTTGTACTAGTTTTACAGCTTCAGGTCTTACATTTAAGTCTTTAATGAATTTGAGTTTATTTTTGCATACGGTGTGAGATGAGGGTCTAATTTCATTATGCTGCATATGGATATCTAGTTTTCCCAATGCCCTTTATTAAATAGACTGTCCTTTCCTCATTGTTTCTCCTTGGCGTCTTTATTGAAAATCAATTGACAGTAAATGTGTAGATTTATTCCTGGGCTCCGTATTCTGTTTTATAGGTCTATGTGTCTGTTTTTAGGCCAGTACCATGCTGTTTCAATTACCATATCCTTGTAGATTTTAAAATCAGGTAATGTGATGCCTCCAGCTTTGTTCTTTTAACTGAAGATTGCTTTGGCTTTTCTGGGTTTTTCGTGGTTCCGTATAAACTTTAGGATTTTTTTTCGATTTCCTTGAAATATGACATCGGAATTTTGATGAAGATTGCATTGAATTTGTAGATTGCTTTGGTAGTATAAACATTTCAACAATATTGATTCTTCCAGTCTGTGAACATGGAATGTCTTTCCATTTATTTGTGCCCTCTTCCATTTATTTCTTCAATATTTTATAGTTTCCAGTGTACAGATCTTTCACTTCCTTGGTTAAATTGATTCCTAAGTATTGTATTTTATTTGTAGCTATTATAAATGGAATTGTTTTCTTGATTTATTTTTTAGATAGTTCATTGTTAGTGCATACAAATGCTACTGATTTTCATATGTTGACTTTGTACCTTGCATCTTTACTGAATTTCTTTATTAGTTCTAAGTGTTCTTTTTTGTTGGAGTCTTCATTGTTTTCTAAGAATAAGTTAATGTCATCTGCAAGCAAACAGAGACAAATAACTTCTTCCTTTCTGACTTAGATGTCTTTTATTTCTTTCTCTTGCCTAACTCCTCTGGCTAGGACATCCAGTACTACATTGAATAAAAATTGCAAGAGTGGACATCCTTGTCTTGTTCCTCACCTTAGGAGAAAAGTTTTCAATGTGGCATTGTTGCATAAGATGTTAGCTGTTGGCTCATTGTAACTTTGTTGAGGCGCTTTCCTCTTATGCCTAATTTTTTCAGAGTTTGTAGTATGTTACATTTTGTTAAATGCCTTTCCTCCATCTATTGACGTAATTATATGGTTTTTGTCCTTCATTCTATTAATGTGGTGTATCACATTGATTGATTTGCATATGTTGAACCATCCTTGAATCCAAGGTATAAATCCCACTTGATGATGGTGAATTATTCTTTTAATATGTTTTTGAATTTAGTTTGCTAATATTTTTGAGGATTTTTATGTCTATGGTCATTCTTGTAGTATCTTTGTTTGGCTTTCTTCTCAAGGTAATGCTGGCCTTGTAAAAAGTGTTTGGAAATTTTACCTCCTTTTCATTTTTTGTTTTCTGAAGAGTTTAAGAAGCATTGGTATTAGTTCTTCTTTAAACGTTTGCTAGAGTTTAGCAGCTCAGCCATCATGTCCTTGGCTTTTCTTTGATGTGAGATCTTTGATAACTGTTTCAAACTCTCTGCTTATTATTCATTTGTTTATATTTTCTATTTTTCCATGATTCAGTCTTCTGTGGTCATGAAAGGTACTTGATATGATCTCAATCTTCTTAAATTTGTTAAGACTTGTTTTTTAGCCTAACATATGAATTATCCTGAAGAATGTTCTGTGTACACTGGATGAAGATATGTATTCTCCTGCTCTTGGATGGGATGTTCTGTGTACACTTGATGAAGATATACATTCTTCTGCTCTTGGATGGGATGTTAGGGTCATCTGTCCCCAAAGTATAATTCAAGTCCATTGTTATTGTGTTGATTTTATTTCCAGATAATCTGTCCATTGCTAAAAGTAGGGTGCTGAAGTTCTCTACTGTTATTATATTAGTGTATCTCTCTTCAGATCTATTAATATTTGTCTTTTTTTTGAGACGGAGTCTTGCCCTGTCGCCCAGGCTGGAGTGCAGTGCTGCGATCTCGGCTCACTGAAAGCTCTGCCTCCTGGGTTCATGCGATTCTCCTGCCTCAGCCTCCTGAGTAGCTGGGACTACAGGCACCCACCACCACACCCGGCTGATTTTTTGTATTTTTGGTAGAGACGGGGTTTCACCGTGTTAGCCAGGATGGTCTCAATCTCCTGACCTCGTGATCCGCCCGCCTCGGCCTCCCAAAGTGCTGGGATTACAGCCGTGAGCCACCGTGCCCGGCCAATATTTGTTTTATTTATTGCTTTATATATTTAGTTGCCCCAGTGTTTGGTGTATATACATTTACAGTTGTTATATATTCTTGATAAATTGATCTCTTTATCATTATATAATGACCTTTGTCTTGCTTTATGGCTTTCTACTTAAGGTCTATTTTATCAGATGTGAGTAGAGCTACCTTTGCTCTCTTTTGATTTCCATTTGTGTGAAATATCTTTTTTTGTATGTTTACTTGCAGTCTCTGTGTGTTCCTGCTAGTAAAATGAGTCTCTTTTAGATAGCATATAGTTGGGGCTTATTTTTTTTTTTTTTTATCTTTTGAACCACTCTATATCTTTTGATTGGACTATTTAATCTATTTACATTCAAGGTAATTATTGATAGGTAAAAACTTACTATTGCCATTTTCTTAATTATTACTGGTTGTTTTGTAGATCTTGTGTTTCTTCTTCTCTTGCTGTCTTTCTTTGTGATTAGATGATTATGCTTTTATTTCTCACTTTTTATCTTTTGTATATGTACGATAGTTTTTGCTTTGTAGTTGCCATGAGACTTACGTAAAACACTTTATATTGTAACAGGCTATTTTAAGGTGATAACAAGCTAATTTTGATCTCATAAAATAACTCTACACTTTTACTTCTCCTCCCCCACATTTTCTGTTTTTGATATAACAATTTACATCTTTTATATTGTGTATTCTTTCACAAATTAATGCAGCTATTACTATTTTTAATAGTTTTGTATTTTAACCTTCATACTAAAAACATAAGTGATTTACATGCCACCATTACAGTATTAGAGTATTCTGTATTTGACTATGTTGTTACTTTTACCAGTGAGTTTTATAATTTCATGTTTTCATGTTACTAATTATTGTCCTTTTCTTTTAGCTTGAAGAATTCCCTTTAGCATCTCTTACAGGTCAAGTCTTGTGGTGATGAACTTTCTTAGCTTTTGATTGTCTGGGAAAGTCTTAACTCTCCTTCATTTATGAAGAACAGTTTAGCCAAATAGTCATCTTGGTTGGCAGTTCTTTGCCTTCAGCATGTTGAATATGTCATCCCATTTTCTCATGGTCTGTAAGGTTTCTGATTAGTAATCTGCTGCCAGCGTTATTGTGATTTACTTCTTATTTGTGATTTACTTCTTTTCTCTTGCCTTTTTTAGGATTCTCTCTTTGTCTTTGATTTTTGATCACTTGATTATAAAATGTCTTGGTGTAGTCTTCTTTGGATTAAATCTGAATGGAGACCGTTGCTCTTCCTTTACCTGCAAATGCATATCTTTCCCGAGATTTTGAAAGTTTTCTGCTATTATTTTTAAAAATAAGTTCTCTACTCTTTTATCTCCCTCTTCTCCTTTTTGAACTCTTATAACTTGAACCTTTGCTCTTTTCATGCTGTTCCATAAATCCCACAAGCTTTCTTCATTCCTTTTCATTCTTTTGTTTCTTTTTTCTTCTCTGACTATATATTTTCAAATAACCATCTGTTTCAAAGAGGCTCAACAGAGGCCACTTTTTGGGAGAGGAAAGTGCAACTGTATCTCCCTTTTGTGTGTTTCCCAGCAGGTATGGCTATTGGTTACCTAAATAGCAAGAGATGCAGGTGTTCTCTGCAGTGCAGGCCTCTGGGGATCATAGTGGCTTTCACCAAGTGACTGATATCAATAGCCTCCACCTTTGTTTTTGCTCCTAGCCATCTCCTGGCATCTTGGGTATGCCATTGTTTGTTTTTTCCTTTTTTTTCCACAAAGTCTCACTCTGTTGCCCAGGCTGGAGTGCAGTGTGTGATCTTGGCTCACTGCAACCTCCACCTCCTCAGTTCAAGCGATTCTCCTGCCTCAGCCTCCTGAGTAGCTGGGAATACAGGCGCCCACGCCACGCCCAACTAATTTTTGTATTTTTAGTAGAGACGGGGTTTCGCCATGTTGGCCAGGCTGGTCTTGAACTCCTGGCCTCAAGTGATTTGCCCGCCTCGGCCTCCCAAAGTGCTGGGATTACAAGCCTGAGCCACTGTGCCCAAATGTGTATGCCAATTTCACCAGCAATCCTTTGTATGTGGTGGACGTCCTCCCTGTTTCTTTGTTTCACTGTGTTGCTGCAGATTCTTTAATGAGCCCTTGAGTCCTCTCTGGGCTATTTTTTGTTTGTGGATCTTGTTGAGTGTGTGTGTGTATGAGAAAGAGAGAGAGAAAGAGAGAGAGCGTGCGTGTGTGTGTGTGTGTGTGTGTGTGTGTGTGTGTGTATGTACTTATACATACATGTATTTTGTGAGGTGATGAAGACTGGTGTCTCCTACTCCACCATATTAGTGATGTCACCCTATCATAAAGTTTTTAACATTTTCTGGATACTAGTCCATTTTCAATTATTTATATTTTCTTTCTGAGTAAATTTTAATCAATTATCAATTTTATCTGTTTTTGTAATATACCTTTCAAATCTCTACTGTATTTGTAATTGTACCACTTTTTAATTCTTAGCATTATTTTTTTCTAGACTAGTTAAGCCTAAGGTTTTAAAATTTCTGTTAGTCTTTTCAAAGTGCTACCTTGGGTTTTTATTAATCTTCACTATTGAATGCTATTGTTCTATTTTATCAGTTTTATTTTTATATTTTTTATTTCATTTCTTCTTTTGTTATTTGGCTCATTTTGCTATCATTTAAAGAAATTATTTCAAGGGTGTTTTTATTGTCAGATTTTCTTTATTTCAATACAGTAGACAAGATATTTAAGCCTATAAATATTTCTCTGATATTCATCTTACTATACTCTACAATATTAATTTTCCATTTTAATCACTGACCACATCTAAATATTTAATATTTTCTATCATGATTTTTTCTTTGCTCCAAGTGTGTAGAAGTGACTTTTTTAAATGTCCCAAATATTTTTAAAAATCATATTTATATTTTCAATTTCTGATTTTTAAATTTTATTTTTATTGTATATATTTAAGTTGTACAACATGATATTTTGATATAAGTATACAATGTTTGAATAAATGTGATCAGTTGTGGAAAGATGTAGGAAAACATTGGAAATGAGAGAAAAAGAGGAAAAAATGAACAGAGTTAAAGAATTAAGAAGGGAAAATGAAGATACTGAACCAATGTCCTCAGACTCCTGAAGTCACAGATTGGTTGAAATTATCTTCAAGGTGCATTATTTTCTCAAAAGTTATAATTTTTTAGGTGATATGGTCTGGCTCTTAGTCCCCATTCAAATCTCATCTTGAATTGTAATCCAAATTGTAATACCCGTGTGTTGGGGGAGGGGCCTTGTGGGAGGTGATTAGATCATGGGGGTGGTTCCCCAATTCTGTTCTCATGATAGTGAGTGAGTTCTCATGAGATCTGATGGTTTTAGAAGCATCTAGCGTTTCCCCTGCTGGCACTCAGTTTTCTCTCCTGTCATCATCTAAAGAAGGATACGTTTGCTTCCCTTTCCACCATGATTGTAAGTTTCCTGAGGCCTCCCAAGCCCTGTGGAACTGTCAGTCGATTAAACCTCTTTACTTCTTTACTTTATAAATTACCCAGTCTTGTGCAGTTCTTTATGGCAGCATGAGAACAGACTAATACACTAGTTGTTCATAACACAAACTTTAGGTGCAGTTCCTGATAATGTTAAAGTTTGCATAATTTGCCTGTTTCTGGGCAATCATGTATCTCTAAGGCTGTGAAAAAGCCCTGTAAGTGAAAAAAAAAAAAAAAAAACAGAAACCCAGAACCAAAACCAAAACCAAAACCAAGCCTTGTAAATCAAATGAGTTTTTCTAATGTATTTCAGAGGTACCATTATAAATCAATGCTTTTTGGCTGCAGAGCAAAACTATTTAAATTTAAAAAAATACTTAAAAGTTTGTAATATTTGTCATGTTTATTTACCTTGGCATTTACATCTTTTGTCCTATTTCCAAAAAATCTTCATTTATGATAGCTGTTTTTGGTAGGAATCTATGGAAATGGATAATAGAAAAAAAAAGATTAATAGAGGCATATTATAAAGCTTATTGAATTATGGAATAAAAGCCATTAAAATTGCTTTAAAGTAAAATCTAATACTATGTAATTCAATTCAGTACTAACAACTTTAAAAAATACAAACAAGCGTAAAGATATAAAATCTGGATGGAATAATAATAGATCTAATATTATTTAGATATTTATCTCTCTCCTACAGATAGAAAGGTATTCATTAAACTGTTAATTTTGAATTTGTTGTAGATATGCATGGAGTTGTGGGAAATAATACTCAGAGGCCTTATGTGATCTTTACCCTGTTTAGGTATATTTTTAATTTTCAAGTTGGTTGCATAAACTATTCATTAGTCAACAGATACTGGACAAAATCTACCATTGGACTGACATTTTTTCTGTTTTTGGTAGAAAAATAAAATGCCAAAATATATGAAATACTAACAACAAATACACAAATAGAATATGTATTCTTCTATCGTTGGTTAGAGAGTTTTAAAGACATCACTTAATTAGAGTTGGTAGGTAATTTGGGAGTTCTGGTGTTAGGTGCATACACATTTAGGATTGATAATTCTTGATGGATGGGCTCCTTTGTCACTACTTAATTTCCCTCTTTATTCCTGGTCACATTCATTGTTCTGATCCCAGGAATACAAAGTTGAATTAACATTTGGAAATAAATCAATATAACCACCATACTGCCAAATACAGCAGAAAACCCATATAAGCACACAAAACGTGCAGAGAAAAAATGTGATAAAATTCAATGGACATTTGTGATTTAAAGAAACAAAACAAACAAAACTGTCTGCAAACTAGGAATAGAAAGAAATGTCTCCAAGCTGGTAAGCATCATCTATGGAAAGCCCACAGCTAACATAATACTTAATGGTAAAAGATTGAATGATTTTTCCCCTAGGATAGAGAGTAAGGTATGGATATCTACTTTCACCATTACTATTTAATGTTGTATTAGAGATCTCAGCCTCAATGATGAGGCAATAAAAAGAAATGTAAAAACCTAATGATTAGAAATGCAAGAAAGCTGTCACTATTTATAGATGACATGATTATATATATATATATATATATATATATATATAAAACACTGTAGAATATTCAAAAAATGGAACCAGTATGTTAATTTAGTAAAATAACAAGATATAAGCTCATTATATGCAAAAGGCCATTGTATTTCTATGTGCTATAAACAAATATTTGGAAAGTTATATTTTAAAATGCCACAAGATCATAAATAACATACCTAAGAATATACATAATGAAGGAAATGCATTTCTCTCAATTGCTGAGAGAAATGAAAGGGCACCTAAATAAATGGAGCAAAATAGAATGTTCATGTATTTGAAGAATAAATATGGTTGAAATGTCAATTTCTCTAAATTTATCTAGTAAAACATTCTGAATCAAAATTTGACTTCTAGATATCTGCACATAAACACAAACACACAATGAAAATTATATGCACAGAATGACTTGTCCAAGAACATTCATATCAACCTTTTCATGACAGTCAAGATGTGAAAGAACCTAAGTGTCTATTTACAGGAGAATGGATAAACAAATTAAGTGTATTCTTATAAAAGTATGTAAACTCAGCAATATGAAAGGAATGAGTTTACTGAAACACAATGACATGGATTGATGTAAAATCAAAGAAACAAAAATTTAAGTTGAGTAAAAGAAGCCAGACACAAAGGAGCACAGACTCCATTGAAGTCCAAGAACAGACAAAACTAAGTTCTATTGATTGAAATGAAAAGTGGTTGCCTTTGGGATGATTGCCTCTAAAAGGACAGAAGAGAACTTTCTGGGATAATATAGATGTTCTGTTTTTGGTTTTGCGTGGGTGCATGCAATTATCAAAACTCATCAAACTTCAGGTTTCTGCTTTTATTTTGTATAAATCATATATCAATAAATTAATGTTACCTAGACTATTATTACTCACCAATTTATTGGCCTCATGAATTTTGAGAAAAAAAATGTTCTGGGACATTTAAAAACTCATTAACACTATACATGCAAGTCATAGAGATAGTAAGCAAGAAAAGCTTTTCAAAAAATGACTAATCTTTTGGACACTGGACACTGGCAGAGAAAAGTTCAGAAAGGAAGCTGCCCACTGATGAACATTGTATGACAATTGCTTCCCTCCCCAGGGTTGCTCCAACTGCCTTAAGGCTGTATGGTTAGAATTCAAAATATCTGACAGGAATGTCCTTGACATAGTTACAATGATCTCCATCACTGCTTCAGCAAGAGTGATGTTTTAATGTCTTTTTTTTCTTTCTCCTTAAACTATGCTGTTAGCTTTAAGCCTCGGGGCAGAAGCACAGTAAAGTGGATAACTAACTGAAATATTTAAAACAACCAGACAGCAGTATTCATGAACCAGCACAATGACATAGCAGAGAAAATCTGCCTCCTCAATAACAGCATTTGTTAGATTAGGAAAGACACTTTTAGATTGAGAGCTCATCAAGGACAGGAATTTGTCTTTTATTTCATGTAACATGTCATATGTCACAATGTTAGGCACACATGTTCAAGCACAATTTTAATATAAGCAGGAGCAATGCTGTCTAAATGTTCTTCATGGGGATATATCAGTAAGTTAGCTTTTGTCACAATGATGTTGCATAACATACCACTCCAAAATTCGGTTGCTTAAAACAACAATCATTTATTCTCGGGGATTTGTGGTTGGCTTGGGCTCCGCTCTGCTGACTCATGCACTTATCGGGGAGGAAATGCAAAGTCACATGGCAAAGGGTTTGCATACCAGGAAGGGTGAAGCATTGGAACCAATGATGTAATTTACTACATGAGGATCTTAAATTTTAAATAAAAATTCTAGGAAGCCTGTTGGTAAAGTATGAATGTAAGAGCATATTGCCCTACTGAATCACCTTGATTATATACATCAAAGTAAACCAAGAGTTTTGGAACATTATTGCCTGGAATATGAAGTCTTGTCTGGAGTGTAAATTTCTCTGCCTGCTTCACTACTTTTTAAAAATAGATCTATAGATCAATTTTGGGGTAATTGAGATCTAAACAATATTGAATCTTTCTATCCATAAACACAGTATGTCTTTCAATATATAGTGAGATTCCCATTACCTTTTGCTTTTAATTTTAGAGTTGATTTGAAACTCAATTATATAGAGCATGTGCGCTCTCTCTTTCTCTCGCTCTCTCTCTCTTTCCCCCAAAGAAGAAACATTTTTATTATTTGCAGATGTAAATAATTCGACTCCTTAATTTATTCCCAAATTGGGACATAGAGTCCCTTGGATAATAAGCTGCCTAAATTCTGTAGCTTTGGTTTGAGTGCGCTGAAGAATATGAAAACTTCATACCACAGATCCTGACAACTAAGTCTAAACTTCAACCCTATTCCCAATACCTACCCTGCCTCATATGATAACTGACAGCATTAAGGGTGATAGGGACATGCCTGAAAGGGCAGAGTGATAAAGCAACTCAAGTGGTATGATGGTTTTTGGTCTTACACATGATCAGCTCCAGAATTTACTTATTATTAAAAATTATTTATCAATACACAGTGCCTTATGTACTAGACTCTATACACATAATCTTCTATTCTCTCTTGGATGATAAATTCCCCTACCTATTTACCTATTGTTTTAGCAACCAGATTAACATTCTATGGTCATGTTAAGTATGGGATTGCAAAGATTTACACAAAAATTGAAGATTAAAAAATGCCACAGCCTTTCGAGTTTTCACAATCAAATCTGAAAGGTAACGTGCAGCTCAGTCTGTTTTCAAAAGTTGTCAGTATACCTCAGGATCACTTTAGTTACCTCTCCACCTTGATGACTATAGGACACTGGTGCCTAAATAAAGGACCCGATGGATCTGGCTCACTTAGGGAATTAGGAAGCCATGTTTTCCAGTTATCCAAGTTTGTATTTTTACCCTGGTGAGTGAAGGAACATAATTGTAACCACTGGGGAGTTCAAGTTTTGAAATACAAAGTCTTCTTTCCATCCCAAGATTGAGATAGTGGACTTGTGCCACATCACAAAGCAAGGAAAGAGAGGAAGAGGATCACAATAAGTGTTGTGGTAATTTTGTATGATGTCATCCAAGATCTCCCTCTGAAACAGTAGGGGATTTTGAAGTATCCCTTATAAGGCTAGCCCAGCTTGGTGACGACATGGGCTATCTCAGTGAATGTTCTACAAAGAGCAGTTCCCCAGAAGTAGTACCGGTATCAGATGACTCAGCTACCCAGGAGTATGGAACTATTCTAGAAAGCAAGGGAATATCCACAATTCATAGAGGAGCCAATAGAGCTACTTTCAAGAGTAGCATATGAGAATCCTCTATGCTAGGACCTTCCCATGCCTTAGAAATTGTGACCCACCAGAGATACTGGTGGAAAAAGCCACTTAAATTAGAGAAGCTGCTAAAAATCACAAATACTTAACAAACTACTTCCATGGAGGAACTACCATCAGAATTTCTTTTTGGCAAGAACCATTCCTGGGAACATAAAATGGCTTTGAACTCAGGAAATTCATGTGCTGTGGTCTTCTCTGGCATGATAACATGTGTTATTATCCTTCCTCATGCATAAGAAGATTTGATTTTATATTGGCCTATCAATAGAGTTCTCAATGAGAAAAAAACAATAGCAATATAGCAATTATTTTCACCAATATGACAAGAACCAACTTAGAATTGGAAGCCCCTAAACTTTGCATGTGGATTAATTAGTTACAGTAGCCTTGAATTATATCCCATATTTTGGAGCCCAGTTGATTCTGAGAATAGAGGTTTATACAGAGATGGACATGTCTGGACCAACAAAATGGAATTGTGTTTGTCTATTTCTCTTAGTTTTTAAGGTTTTCACTGAAACGCACTTTTGACAGTAGACAGAGTATATCAGCTGCATACTGATATTCAGCTTAATTTTATGAGAGGCAGTAGAGTAGAAGATGATAGCTGTAGTTTAGAGGAATTCACTTTGATAAATGTGGATGTTGCTAATGCAAATTTAATTGGAATTGATGAATTTTCAGAACTTGATGTCTTGCCTGATCTTTAGCAGAATGTGTAGGGAAATAAGAATGTGTAACATAAAAGGATATTTTGTCCTTTTAAAAATTTCAATTAACATCCTCACATCATGCTTGTCTTTAAATAGAAGCCAAATATGTTCTGGATCTGTAACATAACACATTTTCTGCTATCCATGTTACATAGCTTGCAACAATAACCAATCTAATAACTGTGGCATTGTCTCTGCAAAGATTACGGGTAAAGATTAAAAGCTGTCCTCACACAAATAAAATCTTATAACATTCAAGTTTGTTTAATCTTCAGTTGTCTGTGGTAGAGAAGACTCATGTAAACTTGGGACTGAGGCACATGTTGAACCTCTCTGGACATCTCTCAGTTTATCCTTGGAGTGCAAGTAATCTGGATCTTCATGGAGCATATCGTTTTTCAACCTTTGTTTTTGAAAAACCATGAGTGCCATTTTTTACCATATCAGAAAAAAAATCTGAGTGCCCGTATGTTATTTTTATACTTCCTGGATTTCTGTCTTAAGGCACAAATAGCCGGATAGTACATAGATGCTAGTTATTAACCTATGGTTATATATGGGAAAGTAAATTTGAGTTCCATTTCCAAATGCATCAACAACAACTACAGTAGGAGGATGCACTCATCTTCTCCCCGGTTCTAGGACTCAGACAATGGTTTCCATGTCTTATATATGGACTCAAGAAGAGTGAAGTATAGAAAAATAAGAGGCCAGGATAGGAGCAACAGGGGTTGGGAAGAGAAAAGAGACACACACCTGGTAAGCAAATAAGTTATGTATAGGGAACTGCCTCTAAATCCACCATAGGCATTTCGTTATTGAGAATTCCTATTTTCTATTTAAAATTAAAATCCTTCACCGAAACCTTTTCTATAACTTTTTCCTCTAAATAAATTGAATTTGTAATGCTCTAAGCTGTCAAGAAATACATTTTGGAAGTTACTTGCATTTCTCTGAAACGCAGTTGATACATGAAAATAAATCCAGATTACTGCTGCTTATTCTTTTCTTTCATATGAATTCTAAACATCTAGAGTTAGTCATTTACATTTGTTTGTTATAAATTATTAAGTCACTCTTAAAACCACCATATGTAGTTTTCTTGAGTAGTCAACTATTAAAACGATATGCTTTGTAACAACCAACTACAAAAATCTTGGTGGCATATACCGATAAATATTTGTTTCTCACATTCTCGCATGTCTGAGAGTAGGCCGTAAGTTGGCTGAGCTAAACTAAGCTTGACTGTCATGATTTGGCTGGGGCAGCTCTGTTCCTTATATCTTTCATTCCCCTCCTGAGATCGGCAGGAGCTTTTTTTTTTTTTTTTTTTTTTTTTTTTTTTTTTTTTTTTTTTTTTATAGTAACGGCAGAAGTGCAAGAGAATAAACCTGATCATATACAAGCATGTCTAGCATTTTAGACACATGACTTCCGCTGTCATTCCATTGGCCAAAAAATGTCACATTATCTAACTCCAAAACCAGGAGTAGGGAAATCAACTTCACCTCTTTAGCTGGAAAAACTAAAAAGTTACATGGAAAATTGTCTGCCTGGAATCAGAGAGGAATAAAGAATTGGGGCTATTAATGTTATCTACTATACCTTATAAACTCATATGGGACATATCTTCTTTATTTCTCTTTGTAGAGGTACATACATGCATATGTATGCACAAATGTATGCACACACATATACAATGTCCTTAACTAAATGATAATGTTTTCTTATGGGGAAAGGTAAATCTATCTTAAGTAAACATAATTTTGAGAGGAAACCAATTGGTAAGGAAGGAAAGCAACAGCAGACAAACTAGCTAGAAAACCTGAATCAGTTGTTGTGATCAGGATTCTCCCTGCTCTCTCTCTTCCTCTCTCTCTCCCCCATACACATTCACAGCAGCTTCCTTGAAGTTGTAGTGTATAAGAACAGGACATTTAAAAGTATTCAAATAACCTTCTCAGATAGGACATTTTTCAGTAGTTTCTTTGAATATATATATCAGTCATGAAAATAATCCTCATTTCTTTGTACCAAAAAAAAAATGATCAAATGAGTTTCAGTTGTTGTGAAAATGGCATTGGGAAATTGCCTTGGGTAAATCAGCAACATAGAGGAGGGAAAAGCCCACACACTCAGTAGGCGTATCTTTCTCAGAATCCTATGTATTGCAAAGAGATAGATAAGTAAATGCCACCAAGGAAATCTCAGTCCAGCCTTGCTCAGGTACCTGAGTCACTCTTTAACATCACCGGTATGACACTTTCAATTTTTCAGAGCTGAGATAAATCACCAAGCCTCGCAGCTATGAGTATCATGCCGTGTTCTGCAATACCGCCAGATCTCACCACCCTCATCAGTCCAATCACAGAAAGCAGCAGTTACTCATCAAAGAATTTTCTCCTCTTCAGCCCTGACCTTTAGTCATTGCTTAGCTCATCTCTCAGTGAATCCCCTCTGCATGCCAGCCCCCATTTTTTGTTTTTTTTTTTGTTTTTTGCTTATGTCCTCATTACCATTTCTTAGGTTATTGACAACAATTTATCAAAACAACCTTTTCCCTCTTCCTACTCCTCTAATTGAATCTATCCTGTATACTATTCCCGTAGGCTTTTTCTATTATTATTATACTTTAAGTTCTGGGGTACATGTGCAGAACGTGCAGGTTTGTTACATAGGTATACACATACCATGGTGGTTTGCTGCACCCATCAACCCGTCGTCTACATTAGGTATTTCTCCTCCCCCCTCCCCCCACCCCAAAACAGGCCCCAGTATGTGATGTTCCCCTCCCTGTGTGCATGTGTTATCATTGTTCAGCTCCCGCTTATGGGTGAGAACATGCGATGTTTGGTTTTCTGTTCCTGTGTTAGTTTGCTGAGAATGATGGTTTCCAGTTTCATCCATGTCCCTGCAAAGGACATGAACTCATCCTTTTTTGTGGCTGCGTAGTATTCCATGGTGTATATGTGCCACATTTTCTTTATCCAGTCTATCACCGATGGGCATTTGGGTTAGATGTAAGTCTTTGCTATTGTGAATAGTACCACAATAAACATACGTGTGCATGTGTCTTTATAGTAGTGTGATTTATAATCCTTTGGGTATATACCCAGTAATGGGATTGCTGGGTCAAATGGTACTTCTGTTTCTAGATCCTTGAGGAATTGCCACACTGTCTTCCACAATGGTTGAACTAATTTACACTCCCACCAACAGTGTAAAAGTGTTCCTGTTTCTCCACATCCTCTCCAGCATCTCTTGTTTCCTGACTTTTTTTTGTTTGTTTGTTTGTTTTGAGACAGAGTCTCTCTGCTCTATTGCCCAGGCTGGAGGGCAGTGTTATGATCTCAGCTCACTGCAACCTCCACTTCCCAGGTTCACGCCATTCTCCTGCCTCAGCCTCCCGAGTAGCTGGGACTACAGGCGCCCACCACCATGCCCAGCTAATTTTTTGTATTTTTAGTAGAGACGGGGTTTCACCGTGTTAGCCAGGATGGTCTTGATCGCCTGACCTCATGATCTGCCCGGCTCGGCCTCCCAAAGTGCTGGGATTACAGGCGTGAGCCACCATGCCCGGCCCCTGTTGTTTCCTGACTTCTTAATAATAGTCATTCTAACTGGCGTGAGATGGTATCTCATTGTGGTTTTGATTTGCATTTCTCTAATGACCAGTGATGATGAGCTTTTTTTCATATGTTTGTTGGCTGCATAAATGTCTTCTTTTGAGAAGTGTCTGTTCATATCCTTTGCCCACTTTTTGATGGGGTTGTTTTTTTTCTTGTAAATTTGTTTAAGTTCCTTGTAGATTCTGGATATTAGCCCTTTGTCAGATGGATAGATTGCAAAAATTTTTTCCCATTCTGTAGGTTGCCTGTGCACTCTGATAATAGTTTATTTTGCTGTGCAGAAGCTCTTTAGTTTAATTAGATCACATTTGTCAATTTTGGCTTTTGTTGCCATTGCTTTTGGTGTTTTAGTCATGAAGTCTTTGCCCATGCCTATGTCCTGAATGGTATTGCCTAGGTTTTCTTCTAGGGTTTGTATGGTTTTAGGTCTAACATTTAAGTCTTCAATCCATCTTGAATTAATTTTTATATATGGTGTAAGGAAGGGATCCAGTTTCAGCTTTCTACATATGGCTAGCCAGTTTTCCCAGCACCATTTATTAAATAGGGAATCCTTTCCCCATTGCTTGTTTTTGTCAGGTTTATCAACGATCAGATGGTTGTAGATATGTGGCATTATTTCTGAGGGCTCTGTTCTGTTCCATTGGTCTATATCTCTGTTTTGGTACCAGTACCATGCTGTTTTGGTTACTGTAGCCTTGTACTGTAGTTTGAAGTCAGGTAGCGTGATGCCTCCAGCTTTGTTCTTTTGGCTTAGGATTGACTTGGCAATGCGGGCTCTTTTTTGGTTCCATATGAACTTTAAAGTAGTTTTTTCCAATTCTGTGAAGAAAGTCATTGGTAGCTTGATGGGGATGGCATTGAATCTATAAATTATCTTGGGCAGTATGGCCATTTTCAGGCTATTGATTCTTCCTACCCATGAGCGTGGAATGTCCTTCCATTTGTTTATATCCTCTTTTATTTCCTTGAGCAGTGGTTTGAAGTTCTCCTTGAAGAGGTCCTTCACATCCCTTGTAAGTTGGATTCCTAGGTATTGTACTCTCTTTGTAGCGATTGTGAATGGGAGTTCACTCATGATTTGGCTCTCTGTTTGTCTGTTATTGGTGTATAAGAATGCTTGTGATTTTTGCACATTGATTTTGTATCCTGAGACTTTGCTGAAGTTGCTTATCAGCTTAAGGAGAATTTGGGCTGAGACGATGGGGTTTTCTAGATATACAATCATGTCATCTGCAAACAGGGACAATTTGACTTCCTATTTTCCTAATTGAATACCCTTTATTTCCTTCTCCTGCCTAACTGCCCTGGCCAGAACTTCCAACACTATGTTGAATAGGAGCGGTGAGAGAGGGCATCCCTGTCTTGTGCCAGTTTTCAAAGGGAATGCTTTCAGTTTTTGCCCATTCAGTATGATATTGGCTGTGGGTTTGTCATAAACAGCTCTTATTATTTTGAGATATGTCCCATCAATTCCTAATTTATTGAGAGTTTTTAGCATGAAGGGCTGTTGAATTTTGTGAAAGGCCTTTTCTGCATCTATTGAGATAATTATGTGGTTTTTGTCTTTGGTTCTGTTTGTGTGATGGATTACATTTATTGATTTGTCTATGTTGAACCAGCCTTGCATCCCAGGAAGCCCACTTGATCATTGTGGATAAGCTTTTTGATGTGCTGCTGGATTCGGTTTGCCAGTATTTTATTGAGGATTTTTGCATCGATGTTCATCAGGGATATTGGTCTAAAATTCTCTTTTTTTGTTGTGTCTCTGCCAGGCTTTGGTATCAGGATGATGCTGGCCTCATAGAATGAGTTAGGGAGGATTCCCTCTTTTTCTATTGATTGGAATAGTTTCAGAAGGAATGGTACCGGCTCCTCCTTGTACCTCTGGTAGAATTCGGCTGTGAATCCATCTGGTCCTGGACTTTTTTTGGTTGGTAAGCTATTAATTATTGCCTCAATTTCAGAGCCTGTTATTGGTCTATTCAGAGATTCAAATTCTTCCTGGTTTAGTCTTGGGAGGGTGTATGTGTCGAGGAATTTATCCATTTCTTCTAGATTTTCTAGTTTATTTCTGTAGAGGTGTTTATAGTATTCTCTGATGGTAGTTTGTATTTCTGTGGGATCGGTGGTGATATGCCGTTTATCATTTTTTATTCCGTCTATTTGATTTGTCTCTCTTTTCTTCTTTTTTAGTCTTGCTAGTGGTCTATTAATTTTGTTGATCCTTTCAGAAAACCAGCTCCTGGATTCACTAATTTTTTGAAGGGTTTTTTGTGTCTCTATTTCCTTCAGTTCTGCTCTGATCTTAGTTATGTCTTGCCTTCTGCTAGTTTTTGAATGTGTTTGCTCTTGCTTCTCTAGTTCTTTTAATTGTGATATTAGGGTGTCAATTTTAGATCTTGCCTGCTTTCTCTTATGTGCATTTAGTGCTATAAATTTCCCTCTACATACTGCTTTGAATGTGTCCCAGAGATTCTGGAATGTTGTGTCTTTGTTCTCGTTGGTTTCAAAGAACATCTTTATTTCTGCCTTCATTTCGTTATGTACCCAGTAGTCATTCAGGAGCAGGTTGTTCAGTTTCCATGTAGGTGAGCAGTTTTGAGTGAGTTTCGTAATCCTGAGTTCTAGTTTGATTGCACTGTGATCTGAGAAACAGTTTGTTATAATTTCTGTTCTTTTCCACTTGCTGAGGAGTGCTTTAATTCCAACTATGTGGTCAATTTTGGAATCGGTGTGGTGTGGTGCTGAAAAGAATGTATATTCTGTTGATTTGGGGTGGAGAGTTCTGTAGACGTCTATTAGGTCTGTTTGGTGCAGAGCTGAGTTCAATTCCTGGATATCCTTGTTAACTTTCTGTCTCGTGGATCTGTCTAATGTTGACAGTGGGGTGTTAAAGTCTCCCATTATTATTGTGTGGCAGTCTTAGTCTCTTTGTAGGTCTCTAAGAACTTGCTTTTTGAATGTGGGTGCTCCTGTATTGGGTGCGTATATATTTAGGATAGTTAGCTCTTCCTGTTGAATTGATCCCTTTACCATTATGTAATGGCCTTCTTTGTCTCTTTTGATCTTTGTTGGTTTAAAGTCTGTTTTATCAGAGACTAGGATTGCAATCCCTGCCTTTTTTTGTTTTCCATTTGCTTGGTAGATCTTCCTCCATCCCTTTATTTTGAGCCTATGTGTGTCTCTGCACGTGAGATGGGTTTCCTGAATACAGCACACTGATAGGTCTTGACTCTTTATCCAATTTGCCAGTCTGTGTCTTTTAACTGGAGCATTTAGTCCGTTTACATTTAAGGTTAATATTGTTATGTGTGAATTTGATCCTGTCATTATGATGTTAGCTGGTTATTTTGCTCATTAGTTGATGCGGGTTCTTCCTAGCGTCGATGTTCTTTACAATTTGGCATGATTTTGCAGTGGCTGGTACTGGTTGTTCCTTTCCATGTTTAGTGCTTCCTTCAGGAGCTCTTTTAGGGCAGGCCTGGTGGTGACAAAATCTCTCAGCATTTGCTTGTCTGTAAAGGATTTTATTTCTTCTTCACTTATGAAGCTTAGTTTGGCTGGATATGAAATTCTGGGTTGAAAATTCTTTTCTTTAAGAATGTTGAATATTGGCCCCTACTCTCTTCTGGCTTGTAGAATTTCTGCCGAGAGATCCGCTGTTAGTCTGATGGGCTTCCCTTTGTGGGTAACCAGACCTTTCTCTCTGGCTGCCCTTAACATTTTTTCCTTCATTTCAACTTTGGTGAATCTGACAATTATGTGTCTTGGAGTTGCTCTTCTCGAGGAGTATCTTCACCACAAGTTTTAATTCAACACCTACTACCCCTAGACATGGTTTTAGAAATAGGGGATAAAAGAGTGAATGAAACTCTATACTCCCCACTCTCATGGTTGTTATATTACATTACTTTTAATGGCATAAACTGCAATTACTTTTACACCAACCTAATAGAGGCAAAAAAGCCTTGAACCAACAATTGCACAGATACATTTATATTTGTAAATTGTGGTAAGTACTCAGAAGGAACTAAATGGGGTATGATGGGCATTTAACAGCAGAATCTAATTTTGATTCAACTGTTAATAATGCTTTCAGAAGAATTAAAACCTGAGTCCCAAAAGACTAGCAGAATTAGCCAGTGAAGGAGAGTTTGGGAGGAAAAACATTCTTGCAGAGGGAGCAGCGTATATGAAGCTCTGAGGAAGGGAAAGAAAAGCTTATTCTGGAACAGAAAAAATGCCCATCTGTTTGTATAGCGGTGACAATAGGAGTGCTGGGTGATAAGTGTAGAGGAGAGGATAGAGACTAGAGCAGGGAGGTCCTTACAGTCCAGAGAATCTTGATCTTGACTGCAGGTTGGAATCACTTAGAATTTTATAAAATCCGGACACCTGGTTTCCTTCCCAGAAATTGTGGTTCAAGGTGTAGATTAGGCATTAGGTGTTAAAAAGTTTCCTTGGTGATCTGAATATGCAGCCAAGATTGAGATCCACTGCTACAGGCTATGTGAAAGTTAGAATATTTTCCCCAAGTGTAACCTTTGAGCTGTTTCCTTGGACAAGAAAACCTCACCCCAGTTTTTACTTGTTGCAACCCTACATATATTTCCCAAGTTCAAGTGATATCTTTTCTTTGAGTTTTTTTCTCTTTCCCTGACTGAAAATAATCCTCTCATTTCTCTTTGCCCTTTGGTGTTTTGTTTAGATACAGCATGGAAGAGCATCAGAAACTAACATTATAATTAGTTTTGCAGACGACTTTGATGTGGCTTTTTTTTTTAACCCATCAATTGCCTCATTTGTCTTTTCCTCATTCCCATCCTCCTCTCTGCCCCTCAAGAGTTTAGTACCTAGATTTGATTGCAGTAGATACTAGGTATGAGTTTATTAAATTAAATGGACTACCAGCTTAAGAGGAGACAAATGCACGAGACAGTACAGCATCTCTAAATCTTGGATTTATATTCATGAGGATATACAAGCTTACATCCACTCAAACATTACTTGGCTGTCTTTGAGATAACCACAGGCCAAAGTAATTGTCATTTTTTATTTAGTGTTGTAAGCCAAGATGAAAAAAAGATGGTGTTCTGCAGGCTCCAAATTTGATCTTACTTTAATGGTTTTATTTTCCATTATAACTTTTAAAACTTAGGAATAAACATGCTGAACTCTTCTTTATTTGTATTTTTCTGGTGAACCATATATCTAAATGGTGTTCATTTGCTTTGGATGTTCCTGGCATCATTTTTATTTAGTGCCTCTGATCTTGTTAAAGGTAGAATCCATTTTTATTTTTTAATCAAGAATTCTGTCTTTGATAGTGAGTTACTGAAAAAGGAATTGATAAAACCTGAACTCTCCAGAGGGAATTTCCCTGGCCTGCCTTGTGGAGATAGCCCAACATCAGGCTGGGTTATTAATCATGCCTTTCTTTATGGATCTCAAGTTCTTGTTCTTTCTCCTACTGTTGAAGCAAAATAAAAGCACTTAAATGAAAACTCAAATACATGTTTTACATCAAAATTCTTGTATGGAAATTAAACATATACCATTCACTCGGTAATCTGCAAGCATAGATGTAGAGAGAAAGGCAGAATATTTCCTTTCTGAAATTGCTTTATCAATTTGACTACCTTTGATAGGAAGTAGTATAAAAGTAAATTCAAATAGAGTTAAACAGTAGGGAAAGATTTTTATTTCACTAACCAGAAAGACAAGAGATGGGACAACTCTATGGCTGATTAAATCAGAGGCTCAGTGACCCTTTTAAGAATTTGGATTTTTCTAATTTCTGTTTGCCATCCTTCCTGTTTCAAGCTCTTCAGGCTAATTTCCCTCATAACAGTGAGATGGCAGCCTCAGTTTCAAGAATCACATCCAAACTCAACAATGTCTGGAAAAACATTCCTTGATCTTCTTCGGTCTTCTTTTTTAAAAAGCAAGTAAATACCTCCCCCAAAGTTTCATCCTCCTTCCCCACTGAGAAGACTTCCTCTCACCATTTCATTGACTAAAATTATGTAACAAATCCATGTCCAAAACAAACAAAAATGATATCACCACCGTAGATTCATCTCTAAGGGCAAGTTTCTGAAACACATAGCCAACACTTCTCAGTATTTTGGCTAAGATCAAATATAGTGTCTAAAACACATGGCCCAGTGGAGGAGGGTAGATAACTGAACAAGACTGAGAAAAAGTAATAGAATAAAAACAGATGGAGAGAACAAAGTATCAGTGTCTGCTATAACTGGCATGGGGTTGAAAAGACATGAACTGTAGACCATTATATTTCCTCTTTAAGAGGGTTTTAACGTTAAAATTGGAGGCTTTAGAAAGGCTACTCTAATTTTTTATTTTCAATTTCAACTTTTATTTTAGATCCAGGGGCTAATGTATGGGTTTGTTACATGTGTATATTGTGTGACACTGAGGTTTGGGGTGCAGTTAAACCTGTCACCCAGGTAGTGAGCAGAGTACCCAATAGGTAGTTTTTCAACCCTTACCCCATCCCTCCACCTCTTGGTAGTCCCATCTGTTATTCCCATCTTTATGTCCATGTGTACCCTCTGTATGTTTATTGATTTTTAATTTCAACTTTTAGTTTAGACATTGGACACAGGCTGGGCACAGTGGCTCACGCCTGTAATCCCAGCACTTTGGGAGGCTGAGGCAGGCAGATCACCTGAGGTCGAGAATTTGAGACCAACCTGACCCACATGGAGAAACTCCGTCTCTACTGGAAAATTAGCCAGGCGTGGTGGCACATGCCTGTAATCCCAGCTACTCGGGAGGCTGAGGCAGGAGAATCGCTTGAACATGGGAGGCAGAGGTTGTGGTGAACCCAGATCGCACCATTGCACTCCAGCCTGCGCAACAAGAGCAAAACTCTGTCTCAAAAAAAAAAAAAAAGATATTGGGGACACATATGAAGATTTGTTATGTGGGACTATTGCATGATGCTGAAGTTTGGAGTATGGATCTTGTCACTCTGGTAGTGAGCATAGCACCTGATAGGTAGTTTTTTTAACCAACCCCCCTCCTCCACCCTCTAGTAGTCCACAGTGTCTATTGTTCCCCTCTTTGTGTCCATGTGTACTCAGTGCTTAGCTCCCACTTATAAGTGGCAGCATACGATATTTGGATTTCTGTTCCTGAATTAATTTGCTTAGGATATGGCCTCCAGCTCCATCTATGTTGCTGCAAATGACATGATTTCATTATTTTTTATGGCTGCATAATGCTCCATGGTGTATACGTACCACATTTTCCTTGTCCAGTTTTCCATTGATGGGCATCTGGGTTGATTCCATGTCTTTGCTATTGTGAATTGCTCAGTGATGAACATATAAGTGGATGTGTGTTTTTGGTCGAATGGTTTATTTTCTTGTGGGTATATACCCAGTAATGGGATGGCTGGGTCAAATGGTAGCTCTGTTTTAAGTTCTTTGAGAAATTTCCAGATTGCTTTCCACAGTGACTGGACTAATATACATTCCTACCATCGGCGTATAAGTGTTTCATTTTCCCCACAGCCTTGCCGACATCTGTTTTTGTTTGTTTGTTTGTTTTTGTTTTTGACTTTTTAATAATGGCCCTTCTGAATGGTGTGAGATGGTATCTTATTGTGGTATTGGTTTGCATTTGTCTGATGGTTAGTGATGTTGAGCATTTTTTCATGTTTGTTGGCCACTTGTATGTCTTCTTAGAAGCGTCTGTTCATGTTTTTTGCCCATTTTTAAAATGGAGTTATTCATTTTCTGCTTGCTGAATTGCTTAAGTTCCCTATACATTCTGGACATTAGGCCTTTGTCAGATGCATAGTTTGCAAATATTTTCTCTCATTCTGTAGGCTGTCTTGTACCCAATGTGTACCTTGTATTTATAAGTGAGAACGTGCAGTATTTGGTTAGAAAGGCTACTTTAAAAATTCATTGATTTCAAAATTTCAAAAATGTGAAGAATAGCTTTTTCAAGGAAAAACAGCTTTCAAACTCATCAAATTATAGACATTGAATATATGCAGGGTTTTTTTTTGTTTTCCAATTATACCTCCATAAAGCTGTTAAAAAATTGGACGCTCAGACCTGGCCCAGAAGATTTTTAAACACCAGGCCTCAAACAAACAAACAAGCAAATGAAACCTTCAACAGTGCCTCCTGGGTTCCTTTCTTGTGCGATTTTTTTTTTTAAGAAGAATTTTAGCATTGTGGACATTTTTACACTGTGTGTGGATGCAGTGTGAAAATGTGATATTGCTAGGAGGTTGAATTGAAGCAGGACAATGAGCATGGTGTTGATCAGGAGTTGATGGTAAGAAATCAGAGTTTGAATGGGAGGTTTTGATTAGGGAGAATAAGCTGCTAGCATTGGAGGGATTTACTCAGGCTGGAAAAATTATCAAATCTAATGTTAGGAGAGATGGAGGGATGGGAGAAGGGGTTAATCAAATTGCAAAGCTGTGGCGGGGGTGGGCAGCCATTTTTGAATTTGATAGTTTACTTCTAAAGGGTTATTGCCAAATAGACTGGTGACTATAAAACCCTAGGATAGTAAAATCCCACACATTTCATGCCCAGAAGACAGTGTAACACATAGTGACAAGTGGGTAATTCTGTCCATTTGTAGAAGAAATCTCAAATAATTGCGATGCTCCGGCACCTCAAGAAGTTAAGCACACTTAGCCCAGAGGTGCCTGGAGAACCTCCTGTGAGCAGCAGTGCCCGGAGAGAGACCATTGGTCGGCAGGAGTGGAAATTCTTCCTTCAGTGTATTTGATAACAGGGACCCCTGCAGGGACTGCAAGTCATAATCATCATGTTTATCTTTTCAGGTAAATAGAAGTTTTCACTTTCTTGTTATACCTAGTCAGACATTTTTTTCCCACTGCTTAATTCTCTTTGCTGGTACCAAAATATATACAAGATTTTTGTGTGTATGTTGGTAATTTTTTTCTCTTACTGTTCTTGTTGTTATTTATTGATTAATATATTTTTGCTCAATATTTATATCAAGCTTATATTAACTGCATCAAATATTAATTAACTTTCTCTCCTTTTTTCTTTGAAACATTTTGTATAAGATAGGTCTTATACATTTCCTGGATATTTAGTAAAGATTTGCCTGCAAAATCATCCGGCTTTATTATCTTTTAAGAAGTAGAAATTGCTGTTGTTTTTTTCCATGTAATTTAGTTTTTAAAATATTACTGGTGTTTGTACATTTTCTGGGTCACGTTTGTTTCCTTAATTTATTTTTTCTATCCCCTCAAGCATTTATCCTTTGTGTTACAAACAATCCAATTACATTCTTTAAGTTATGTTAAAATATACAATTAAGTTACTGTTGACTATAGTCACCCTGTTGTGCTATCGGATAGAAGGTCTTATTCATTCTATTTTGGGTGATTTTGGCAATTATAATTTCTAGACAATTTATTCATTTCATTTAATTTTTCAACATTATTGGGAATATGATTTATATCAATGTAAGTTTCAGAATGTTTCATTTGAGGTTTATACAAGCTTAATTATTTCTCCCAAGGTAAGATAATTAGCCCTAATATAACTAACGAGTAATAGCCATATAATAAAGCTGAATGATGAATCAAGCTGGATATATTTTGAGGATCAAGCTTGGTATAGTGGGTTTTGGGGTGGAGGGTATCCAGAGAAATTGAAGCATGTTAGTATTTGGAAAATGCTACGAATATTGGTTTAGCAGGTGGCGGAAATATATGAGTATGAGTGGAATGCTGATTTGCACTAGGCAGCCTCATCTCTTGCAACTCAAAGTGGGAAATTGCAATTTATACTCATTTAAATACTAATTTACATGTATTGAAGGAGGAGTTATTAAATAGTAATGAGGTAAGAGGGGCATTCACGCAAAAGGTGAGCTTTTTGAGGGCAGGGGTTTTTGTCTTTTTTGTTCCCTGTTCTGTTACCAGGAACTAAAACGGTTCCTGGCACATAGTAGGTGCTAAATAAATATTTGAATAAAGGAAAGAATGACAAAAATCCAATTTAATCCTCATAGCAACCTTGTGATTATAATAGCAAATATTTACTGTGTGTTTACCCTACATCGGATATCATTCTAAGTCTTTACATGTCTTAATTAATCTAAATCCTTATGAGACAGGAAATTCCATACATATCACAATGAGTTTAGTTGTTAAGTGTGAGAAAGTGATTCAAAAATAATAAGACAGAAAGCAGCCGGGCGCAGTGGTTCACACCTGTAATCCCAGCACTTTGGGAGGCCCAGGCGGGTGGATCACCTGAGGTCAGGAGTTCGAGACCAGCCTGGCCAACACGGTGAAACCCTGTCTCTACTAAAAATACAAAAATTAGCTGAGCATGATGGCAGGTGCCTGTAATCCCAGCTACTCGGGAGGCTGAGGGGAGAGAATCACTTGAACCCGGGAGGGAGAGGCTGCAGTGAGCCAAGATCGCACCACTGCGC
Source organism: Homo sapiens (assembly GCF_000001405.40). NCBI lineage: Eukaryota > Metazoa > Chordata > Mammalia > Primates > Hominidae > Homo > Homo sapiens. The sequence continues at coordinate 22,784,055 of NC_000023.11, read as the reverse complement.
TACAGCCTGGGTGACAGAGCGAGACTCTGTCTCAAAAAAAAAAAAGAAAACAAAAAAAAGAAAAGAAAAAAGAAAAGAAAAGAAAAAGAGAAAAGAAAAGCTGGGAGGGGGGCTGTGGTTAGTTTACTTAGCTTAAAAGTACAGGGATGAATTTCCAGCACTGCTGGATCAGTGTTTTCAAAATCTTCCTCTCTCCTTTTAGCTCTGTTTCCCTCAACTCACCCCATGAATTGGCAAAAGTATCCACAGCTCATCTCAGGCTTAACTCATCATCTCTGTGTATGAGTACATGATCTAATATTTTGATGTAGTAGGTGGGATTCAATGTAAAAATCTAAATAATTATTTTAAAATTTAGTTCTAAGAAATTCCTTGCATTTTCAGATAAGCTCTTTAATATATTTCCTTCATTCTGATAAAGCAAATTATAGAGTGGATTATATTTCTCTTTTTTTTACACTGGTTGCCCAGGAGATCAAGTCAGACTATAAGCTTCACAACAAATAATACATTTTGTTCATGTTTTAAAAGGTCACTCTGATTTATTTACATTGTTTTTTTGTTTGTTTTAATTAAACTATTTTAAGAATATTGTAGATCAATATGTAAATATAAGAAGTAGTACAGAGATATTCTTTGTATCATTTACTCAATTTCCTTCAATGGTAACATCTTTCAAAACCACAACACAGCATGACAACCAGCATATTGAGACAGTCGAGACACAGAACATTTATTTTCATCGCCACTAAGAACTATCCTGTTGCCCCCTTTTTTTTAGCCATAACCACTTTCCTTCCACCCTCCTCAATACCTTCTTAAGCCCTGCCAATCACAAATCTGTTCTCCATTTCCATAATTTATACTTTCAGAAATATAGAAATGTACAGTATATAACCTTTTTGGATTGCCTTTCTTCACATAGAAAAATTACTGGAGACCTGTGGAAAATCAGGCAGGTTCCTCCATGGATCAATAATTTGTTTCTTTTTATTGCTGAACAGTATTCCATGGTATGGATGTACCACAGTTTATTCAGCATTCACTTATTCAAAAACATCCGTGTTGTTTCCAGTTCTTGTCTATTACAAATAAAGCAGTGAAGCTGCTATAAGCATTTGTGTATGCAGCTTTGTTTTTGGTTTTGCTTTCTGGTCTAAGTAACTTTTTATTTATTTATTCATTTATGTTTCATTGACAAATAAAAATGGTATGAACTTATGGTGTACAGTATGATATCTTGAAATATGTTTACATTGTACAATGGCAAAATCAAGCTAGTTAACATATGCATTACCTCACCATTGTTTTGTGGTGAGAAAACTTAAAATCTAATCTCTTAGCAATTTTCAGGTTATACAGTACATCATTATTAACCATAGCCATCATTTTGTGCAGTAGTTGTCTTGGGCCTGTTCCTCACGTCTAACTAGAATTTTGTGTCCTTTGACCAACATCTTCCCCATTTCCTTTGTTCCTTACTAGCCCCTGATAAACGTCATACTACTCTCTGCTTCTATGAGTTCAATTTTTTCAGATTCCACATATAAGTGAGATCATGTGGCATTTGCCTTTCTGTGCCTGGCTTATTTCGCTTAACATAATGTCCTCCATGTTCATCTATGTTGACACATTGACAGGATTTTCTTCTTTTTGAAGGCTGAGTAGTCTTCCTTTGTGTATATATTTTTGCATGAACACAAGTCTTAATCTCCTTGAGATAAATGCTCAGGAATGCAGTTGCTAGATCATATGACAGTTGCATGTTTAGTTCTTTAAGAACATTCTAAACTGATCGCTTCTCAGCCTTTTGGGTAAGATCAAGTGTAGAAAATTCTAACCCGTCTTCAGAGTGGCTATAGCGTTACACATTCCCATCATCAATGTATGAGTTATCCAGCTTTTCCTCTTTTCTAATGTGTGTATTTAGCGCTATCCCTTTCCTTGTTAGTACTGCTTCAGCTGCGTCTCACAAGTTTTGATATTTTGTATTTTTGTTTTCATTCTATTTAATGTATTTTTATTTCTCTTGAGACTTCCTTGTTGATACATTTATTATGTCCTTTGTTTCCAGGTGTTTGGGGATTTTCTTGCTATTTCTCTGTTATTGATTTCCAGTTTCATTCATTGTTGGAGAACACGTTCTGTATGATTTCAATTCTTTTGAATTTGTTGAGGTTGTTTTCATGGCTTGGGACATGATATATCCTAGTATGTGTTCTGTGGGCACTGAAAAAAATGTGTATGATGCTGTCGTAGGGGTGAAGTGTTCCATAAATGTCAATTACATCTTGTTGGTTGATGGTGTATCTGAGGTTTTCTGTATTCTTGTTGATTCTCTGTCTACTTGTTTTATCAATTATTGAGAGAAGGGTGTTAAAGGCGCCAACTGTTATTGTGATTTCTTTATTTCTCCTTTCAGTTTTGTCAGATTTTTCTTCACATAATTTGCAGCTCATTTATTTGGTTCATACACACGTAGGATTGCTGTGCCTTAGTGGATTGACCCTTTTAACATTATATAATGTGCCTGTCTGTCACTGGTAACTTTCTTTGCTCTAACATCTATATTATCTGATATTAATATAGTTACTCCTTCTTTTATTATTGTCTTCATGGTATATCGTTTTCCATCCTTTTATTTTCAACCTGCCTTTGTCATTATAGTGTATTTGAAGTAAGTGTCTTGTAAACAGTATATAGGTGGGTCATATTTTAATGCACTCTGCTGCTCCCTATCTTTAATTTGGTGCATTTAGATCATTTACACTTAATATAATTATTATGTGCTGGGGCTAAGTCTGCTATTTTATTTTTTGCTTTCTCTTTTTTCTCTTTGATTTGTGCTTCTCTCTCTCTTTTATTTTTCCTGCTTTCCTGTGGGTGACTTGGACTATTTTTAGAAATCCATTTTGATTTATCTGGAGTGTAGTATTCTCTCTATATATTTTTATAACCTTTTATTGGTTGAGATACACATATATGTATGTGTGTGTGTATATATGTATACACATGTGTATTCTCATAACAGTTTACTGTTGTCATCATTTTATCAGTTTAAGTATAGAAACTTTACATCTCTCTTTAAATCCTTTTACTCACCCCATTTATAATAGTTATTTTATATATTGCCTCTACATACATTTAGAACCACATCATAGGATGTTATAATTTTTGCTTCAACCATAAAATATAATTTTAAAAACTCAAGAGGAGATGGAAAGGCTATTGTATTTACCCATATTTTTGCCTACCATGTTCTTTCCCCCTTCCTTACATTCCATGGTTCCTTTTTTGTCATTTTTTTTCTGTTTAGAAAACTCCCTGTTTACATTGTTTTTGGGTAGTTCTGCTTGTTGCAAATTCTTTTAGTTTTTCTCCATCTGAAAATATTTTGATTTCTCCTTCACTCCTGAAGGATATTTTCAACTATAGGACTCTGCATTAACAGTACTTTTCTTTCAGCACTTGAAAAACTTTGTGCCATTTCCTTCTGGCCTATATGATTTCTGATGAGAGATCTGTTGCCATACAGTGTTTTTCCCTTACAGGTAAGGAATTGTTTCTCTAAAGCTGCTTTCAAAAATTTTTTCCTTCTCTTTAGTGCTCCAAAGTTTAATTATTATGTATCTTGATGTCATTTTCTTTGAGTTTATCCTGTTTTGGATTTTCTTGGAATATTTAATCTACAGGGTTGTGTCTCTTGCCAAATTTGAGAAGTTTTAGCCAATTGTTTCTTTGAGTAGCTTTTCAGCCCTTCCCTCTTTCTTTTCTTTATTCCAGTTTACCCATGACATGAATATTAAATACATTATTTTGAATTCCACGACATATATTTTTATTTTTTAAACGAAACAATTCAATTTGGGAGTGAATACATACAGATATTATACATAGATATATCTGGTATTTCAAACGTAGGATTATATCCAGTCTTTTTTTTTTTTTTTTTTTTTTTTGAGACAAAGTCTCACTCTGTTGCCCAGGCTGGAGTGCAGTGGTGCAATCTCAGCTCACTGCAACCTCTGCCTCCCAGGCTCAAGCAATTATCCTCCCTCAGCCTCCCGAGTAGCTGGGACTACAGGCACATGCCACCAGGCCCAGCTAATTTTGGTATTTTTTGTAGAGATGGAGTTTCACCATTTTGGCCAGACTGGTCTCAAACTAGGATTATATCCAGCCTTAATTGGAAAGTGTTCAAGGTCCATATAAGAGGTAGAATATTCTATAATTTAAAAATTCTAAAATTTTTGAATTTTTAAAAATGACTTTGAATTCTGACATCAATCTGTGATAATTCATCCAGAAAAGCAAGATTGGCAAACAGCACAAAACTGTTCGATGTTCCAAAGAAGAGCTTTTCTATATTTTGAACTAATTTGTTTTGCCAATATGGCTTTCAATAATTGAGATTTAATATGGGCTGCATTTTGATACCAATTTGTTTACTTTGAAATAATTTAAACTGAAATAAACCTGCTCAAAAATATTTAATGTTTATAAAAATACCTCAGCAAAAATCCAAATAAGACTTTAGTTTTGGGATTTGACCAAATGTAAAAATAATTACTTGTAGGAGGTCACAACTGCTGTAATTTAAGTAATGAAGGTAGTATTCATTTTTAAGACAAACTCACTACCAAGAGTAACAATGATTAACCTACTTAGAATCCAAAAATAAAACAAAAATGGGATCAGATAATCTGTTAGTATTAAGTTGCAATCAGAGAAAAATTGTAATTCATATGAAGCCAAAATAGATTCCATTCAAATAGATAGTGATTCCTTCCATTAGATGCAAAGAACCTGACTGTAACCATTAGAGTAGACAGAATACCTGAGCTCCTATGTCAACTCTACCAGGAACATAATTCCAAGCAAAATTGTATATGATTCTCACAGAGCCATAATAATAAAAATTGCGGTACTGGCTACTAAGGTCTACTAGACATTTAGACCAGTAGAATAAAATAGAAGGCCCCCAAATAAGTCTTTGCATATATAATCAAATGATTTTTGACAAGGGTACCAAGAAAATTCAGTGGGGAAAAGAGAGTCTTTTCAACATATGGTGTTGGGAAAACTGGATACCCACATGCAAAAGAATAAAATTGGATATTTACCTTACAAAAATTAACTCAAAATGGATGAAAGACCTAAATGTAAGAGCTAAAACGATAAAGCTCTTAGAAAAAAACATAGAGGGAAAGTTTTGGTTTGGCAATTATTTCTTGGATATGACACCAAAAGTACAGGCAACAGATGAGAAAATAGCGGCCAGGTGCGGTGTCTCATGCCTATAATCCCAGCACTTTGCGAAGCTGAAGTGGGAGGATCACTTGAGGCCACGAGTTCAAGAGCAGCCTGGGCAACATAGCAAGAACCTGTTTCTTTACAAAAAATACAAAAATTAACCACGCACAGTGATGCATGCGTTTAGCCCCAGCTCTTTGGAAAACTGACGCAGGAGGATCACTTGAGCCCAGGAGTGAGGCTGCAGTTTACGATAATCGTGCCACTGCACTCCAGCCTGGGCAACAAAGCAAGACTTGGTCTCAAAAAAAAAAAAAAAAATAGATAAATTGGACCACATAAAAGTGAAAAACTTTTATGTATCAAAGGACACAATCAACAGAGTGAAAAGGCAACCCATGAAATGAGAAAAATATTTGCAAATCATATATCTGATAAGGGCCTAATATCTAGGATATGAAAGGTCTCCAACAACTTGACAAGAAAGAACACATAACCCAATTTAAAAATGGGCAAAGAACTTCAGTAGACATTTTTCCAAAAGACATGAAAATGTTCAACCACACGTGAAAAGATGCTCAACATCACTTTCATTAGTTAAATGCAAATTAAGACCACCACGAGATAGCAACTCACTCCCATTAGCATGGCTACTCACAAACAAACAGAAAATATCTGTGAATATGTGAAGAAATTGGAACCTTTGTACTGTTACATTGTAGAAATATAAAATGGTGTGGCTATGGAAAATATTATGGCAATTCCCCAAGAAACTGAAAATGGAATTACTTTAATCCAGCAATTTCACTTTTGGATGTGTACTTTTAAAAACCTGAAAATAGGGTCGCAAAGAGATCTTTGTATACTCACGTTCACTGCAGCATTATTCACAGGAGCCAAAAGGTAGAAACAACCCAAATGTTCCTCAGTGAATAAATGTACAAATAAAAAATGGTGTATATACCTTAAAATGTGGTGTATACCTTAAAAGGGAAGGAAATTCAGACAAATGCTACAACATGCGTGATCTGCGAGGGACATTAGGCTAAGTGAAAAATGTCAGTATTCTATGTGAGGTACCTAGAGTAGTCAAATTCATAAAGACAGAAATTAGAATGGTGGCTGCCAGGGGCTGGGATAAGTAGGAGAGTGGGGAGTTGTTTTTTAATGAATTAAGTTTTAGTTTTGCAAGACAAAAAGAATTCTGGAGATTGGTTGTACAACAATGTAAATGTACTTAACACCACTGAACTGTGCACCTAAAAATGATTAAGATCGTAAATTTGGTGTTACGTGTATTTTACCAAAGTTTTAAAGATTTTAAAAATGTATAAATCTGCTAATTAGAAGTAGGTGGGCTTTCTTTACAAAGTTGAATCTGATGATTAAAAAAAAACCAACAGAGTTGAGATGAATCATTGTTATCACTGTTTCCTCCAGCATAAGTTTTAGATCTAAAAATTAGCCAGAATAAGCATTAGAATTATTGTCTTTATTTTAACTGTAAATTGAGTCTTCATAAAGCTGTCCAGTGATGCTCCTATGTCCAAATCAATTACCATTTCTTCTGACATCCATCCCAAAAGAATGTTTTTTTCAGTAGAATAGTGTGTGTATTGCTAGAATAATCCACTTATTTGTACATGTGTCTGCCTCTAGAGTTTAATGTCGAGGATTATCCTTTAGATTACTTTGTTTTCTTGCTTCTTAGTATGATGTCAGGCACGGAGCAGGCGGGTAATAAACAATTTACTGAATTCATTAGGCAAACATTTATTAAGCACTTAATATGTACAAGGGACAAGAGAGATGCATTTTTTGATGTTGTCTTTCTTTAGTAACAGTCAAACTATCACACACAAAATAATTTAAAACTTAACCACAATGTTATTATTGACCAATTGGGTTTAATACGTTTTCTTCAAAAGATGTTTGATATTTTGTAGGAGACAAAATCATGATTTAGCTTATGAGAAGATAGGGCATAATTTTGGAAATCCAGGCCTCTGAAGGATGGAGGTGCGTGTTTTAGACACAAAGAATCTTCCTGGTATCTTTGAATAAATCCCATATTTGGTAGTACTGATTCTTAAAATTAGATCTGAAAGGTGCATTTTCTGCCAGGAAAAATGTGCCTGTAACTTGCAAGTCAATTACAAATATACTAATGATTATAGCTAAGTTTAGCTGCTCAGTGTAGCTGTATGGGAATGTAGAACGTAAACTGTTATTATTGTGAATGCCAGTGTGGTATTCACAATTACCATAAACTTTAATATACTTATAATAAACTGTTACAAATAGGCACACCACTGTTTTTACGTTGAGTTTACGTGCAAGTATCCTTAGTAATTGTATGTTACCATTTATTCTCACGTTGAATAATTATGTGTAAGCAATCCTTCTGAGTAAATAATATCATCGTCTATATTATGTTAATTGAATGAATGTATGTTCCATTGTTTATGGAAGGTTCAGTGGTGCCAATATTTCTTAAGTTCACATCTTTGAAAAATGTCCAATTTATTAAAAATCTAATTTTTAATTTTAGTTTCTAAGTAAAATCTGGAAGTATGGTGTTTAAAATAAAGATTAAGGCCAACAGGAGCCTGAATCAGGGTAAAGTGAAAGAAACTTATAAACTGATCAGATTCAGATTTGTGAGATCATCGTCTTTCATTTTACAAGCTAAAATAAAAGTCTAGGGAATTTATGGTTTGAATCGAAAGGTACTTTTAAAACTTAGAATTGTTCTTTGTGTTTCCGTGTTCAAGAAGAACAAAAATATGAAAATAATTATAGTGTTCAGAAACATTGACTTCATGATAGAGAATGACAGAGGTCTCTATTTGGAGAAGGCTAGTGGAACCCTTTTAATGACCCCTGATTATTTTAAATATACACAGTTAGAGTCAGCCATGAGGAACATCTGTCCTTATGAGTAGTAAATTAATTATTCTATGACTTGTTTTGACTTTAAGTTCTCTACTGAATTCGGAGACAGGATGGGAACTGGGGATTGCCTATTACAGTTTCATTAAGTATATGAGAGATTTAAAAAGTGCTCAGAAGTATTTTTAAGACATCATGATGTTCCTGCAACTTCATGGAATGATTTCCTATATTGGTGAGGGTTTTCTAACCAAATGAATCCCAGAAGTATGGACAAAATACATACAATATTAGAAAAGTGGCAATGGGCTGACTGAAAACATCAGGCAATGAGAATTTTTTCAATGGCAGAAAATTGACTAATTTGAAAGATATAAGAACTATCCATGGATCTATAATGAGACAGTATGTTCTCTCCCTTAACCTACCACCAGGAAGGAATTGGGGACAAGAGTAGTGGCTAGAACTGTAAACTCAGGCACTAGTTTCTATGATTGTTAGCTTCTTCCTGCAAGACTAGAGTGGAGAGGGTATCTGGGGCTGTGATGATTATGCTGCTCCTTCCATATGCCAAGAAAGAGCTGAAAGTTACTTGGACTCTACTTTATCCCTATTATAAGTGTCAGTACAACGTAAGTTTCAGGTGGCTGCAGCCTTTGTTTTGCTCACTGTTTTGTCACCAGCACCTACCATACCGGTAGCTGGGCACATTCTTGGTGCTCAAAAATATTTGTTAAGTGAATATAATGAATTAATATGGACTTACGCCTCGTTAGAAGCTATATCAAGAGAGGACTACAAATGAACTGATCAATATTAGTAAGTGGGAATTCTGGGTGATAATCCAGCGTCATTTGGTATAGCCTAATGGAGCATCCCAGCGGTACAGAAGACACCCGGAACAAGTATTTTAGAAAGACCTATTCGTGTCGTAGAGGATCATGTAAACTGGGGACTAATGAGAAAAAAAGGCTTGAATCTAAGTTAAACAGCTATTTCCTTTGGTTTTCCTTTTGTACCTATTCCATATGTTACGCTTAGAATTATCATCCCAAAGAGGGAAACCTTTCTTCTGTCTCTTTTTTTCTTTCCAAAATCAAAAAAGAAAGTCTGGGTATGAGTAACAGTAAACTCATACCATAATCTTAGTGATATTATAAAGGAAAGTAACGGTAAACTCATACCATAATTGTATTGATATTATAAAGGAATTCTATTGATATTATAAAGGAATCTTACTGTGTCTATATGCCTGGAAATGGTGTGTGTGTGTGTGTGTGTGTGTGTGTGTGTATGTGTGTGCACGTGTGTGTTTGGTGATGAAGGAAGAGGTACTAAATTTTTATTTTGCTGGCTGGTATTATGTTTAATAATATTATCTTTAATTATTCCTATTATTATCTTTAATTTATTAGTTCTCATCAACTTTTATTATAGGGCCACTGTTACTTAATACTTAGGCATGATTTGTGATTCTGGCTCTGCTATACTCTTCACTATTTGTTACCAAAATACAATCATTAAACAATGATGCTGGCAAAATAAAATCCATTATAAACAAAACCACTGTCAGAATTTGATGAGCATCATATGAAAAATATAAAATAATAATTGTTGAAGTACAGTTTCAGAAAATACTTTGGAAGAAACTAGAGGAATTACATTAGCAGAAAATAGTAATATAATTATAAATTAGAAGAAACCATAATATATTGTAGGAAACTACTGCATATTTCATTTTTTCTCTATTTGCATCTCTGTTACCTATCACTACACACATTTGAGTATGGATGTCCTAACATATAAACAGAATCATAGAATAGGGCTGAATTTGAGAACAAAAAATTCCTGTGCAAAATGAGTAAAAATAAAGTCATAATACTGTATTAGAAGTTGCAGAAGATAAATTTACATCATGCAATGTGTATATTTTTCTAATGATTACGTGTATCTGATAGCTATTACACATTTGAAAAATAAGCTAGAAAAAAAATAGAGTCTGAAATATGTTTTGAATCCCAGTAACAAATCTGGCATCTTCATGATCTCATTCAATGCTTAGTTCCATGATTAAGCTTTCTAAAAAACAACAAAAAACTGGCAAAGATGTTCCTAGATCACTTGACTTCCAATGCAGTGTTTCTTCCACTACCTCAAGTTGCTTTGCTAAACAGTGGTATCACTTATGATAACTTCTTTAAATGAACATGAGAGAATTTCCTGTTGATTTTTGAGCAATGCAATTAATATGTACAAATTGACAATACCCTTAACACTTCTTTGTAACAATTTTTTTTAACGGGTCCATGTTTTACCCCAAGAAAAGCTAACAAATGTAAATATTTATTCTCTCTTACACTGAAACTCTTCTGACAATGTAAATTTACTTATGCTTGTAACAATATACATTTTTGACATACGTGAACAAGACTTGTCCCCAGTTTAAGTTTTCTTGGTTATAAATAAATTATGATTTGTAGAAGGCTTTTCTTTTTCTTTTATCTTCCTTTTGGCTATGAAGAAAATTGACAGCATCTATACCAAACCAAGTATGTAAATAGTCAGAAAACACAACAACAAAGCCACATCTTTAGGGAAGAAGAAACGTTTTTGGAGTTATATAAAGAGAAAGATAATATGAAAGAGGTAATTTAGTCTTTCGGGTCCAGGAAGATCTCATAGTGGCTAAAAATTTGGATAAAAGAAGGACTGAGTAATGAAATATAAGGATAAGCCCATATCAGAAACAATTAAATTTCTGTAAGTTCTTGATAAATATTTGGGTTGCTTTGGGGCACTCATACATCTTTCATTTTGCCCCTCTTATTTAAAATATTACTGTGGTAGGGGACAGGGAAAAGAACTTTAAGCATTCAAAATGCACACATTAACTTATTTTTCAACTTTTATTTTAGATACAGGGGGTACATGTGCAGGTTTGTTCCATGGGTATATTGCACCCAGGTTGAGCCTAATACCCAATGGGTAGTTTTTCCACCCATGATCCCTCTGTTCCTCCACCTTCTAGTAGTTTGCAGTGTCTGTTGTTCCCATGTGCAATAGACACTGCAAATTTATGTCCACGTGTGCTCAATATTTAGCTCCCATTTTTAAGTGAGAACATGCTGTATTCGATTTTCTGTTCCTGCATTAATTGTCTTAGGATTATGGCCTCCAACTCCATCCATGTTGCTGCAAAGGAAATTATTTAATTCATTTTTATGGCTGTGTAGTGTTCCATGATGGTTATGTACCACATTTTCTTTATCCAGTCTACCTTTGATGGACATCTAGGTGGATTCTATGTCTTTGCTATTGTGAATAGTGTGGTGATGAACATACAAGTATATAACAAAATTTACACATATTAACTTTTTAAAAACTCTATGAAATTTATAAATGGAAATGTGGTATTGTGGAAAGAAATGCAATTGTTTCTATAAGGGACCCCCTAGGATAACTAAATAAGTCTTTTAAATCTATGTCAATCCCAGCCCTTTATTGCATAGGATTTCCAAGATAGTGCTATTCACTTTTCATTGCTCTAAGTCCCTTTGCTATATTGATCTGAGAGAACATGCTAAGCAATAGATGTAAAACAAAGTACCTAAGTATTTGGCAAACAGTGGAGGCCTAAAACTAACAATACCTTCAAGAGTCTCTAACAGGGTGAATTGCTATAAAATGGCTTGACCAAAGCAAATTGATGTTTGCACACATTTCACCATTCTCCCTCATCTGGGAAAAATCATATTAAATTATTTTGTGTCTTGGCCAACATATCACTGACCTTTGCTTTTTGGCATTTCAACTCTGTCCTTTTCACTCTTGTAACAACCACAGCCTCATTCTATTGAGAGATATATGGGACATTAAATATATAACTGAAGGGATGAATGTCACACTAAGATTAAAAAATAAAATAAAAACCTTAGTTTTCCAGAAAGAAATGTTATTACCTCTTCACATGTGAAGAAACTAACTTATCCTGTTAAGATGGGAAAAAATAGGTGAGGAAAATAGATTTGTAAGATATGCAACAGTCCAGAAAAGTAAGAAAATTGAATTACCACTTCACTTTCAAAGCTTCAAAGAATGACCTTGTTAGCACACAGGACTTGAAGTCATTTCACCTTCCTGAGAAGAAACCATTTGAATATATTCAATGTTTAAGTGTCTTTTTATTCCAAATAGTATTTTCTACTTCCTCCTTTCTTAGGTAATTAGTTTTGGGCTGTGTTTCTTCTATGGACATGCATTAGCATGGACGACTAGAGAATTACACTGTTAAAAGTTGGAGAGCCATGTGGAAATCTGTTAGAAAACTCTGTTCTGTGCTGTCATTCACTGTGTGTGCCCATTCAGTATAAGGAAGGAAAAGGGAAATTTTAAACACTAAATGTTGTGCTTCTCTGAAAAGTGTGCAATGCATTTTTTTTTTGTTATTATACTTTAAGTTTTAGGGTACATGTGCACAACGTGCAGGTTTGTTACATATGTTTGTAGTATACCATCTATGTTCATCAAGGATATCGGTCTGGAGTTTTCTTTTTGGTTATGTCCTTTCCTGGTTTTGGTATTAGGGTGATGCTAGCTTCATAGAATGAATTAGGGAGGGTTCCTTCTTTCTCTATCTTGTGGAATAGTGTCAAGAGGATTGGTACCAATTCTTCTTTGAATGTCTGGTAGAATACTGCTGTGAATCCATCTGGTCCTGGGCTTTTTTTTGTGTGTGTGTGGGTAATTTTTTTTTTTAATTAGCCAACTGATATATTTAAGGACAAAATTACATGAATACAATAATTGTTCATTATTTGCTCCTTAAATTTAAAATTTTACATATTCTTTTTTTAAATTTTATTATTATTGTACTTTAAGTTTTAGGGTACATGTGCACAACGTGCAGGTTTGTTACATATGTATACATGTGCCATGTTGGTGTGCTGTACCCATTAACTCATCATTTAGCATTAGGTATATGTCCTAATGCTATCCCTCCCCCCTCCCCCGACCCCACAACAGTCCCTGGTGTGTGATGTTCCCCTTCCTGTGTCCATGTGTTCTCATTGTTCAATTCCCACCTATGAGTGAGAACATGTGGTGTTTGGTTTTTTGTCCTCGCGACAGTTTGCTGAGAATGATGGTTTCCAGCTTCATCCATGTCCCTACAAAGGACATGAACTCATCGTTTTTTATGGCTGCATAGTATTCCATGGTGTATATGTGCCACATTTTCTTAATCCAGTCTATCGTTGTTGGACATTTGGGTTGGTTCCAAGTCTTTGCTATTGTGAGTAGTGCCGCAATAAACATATGTGTGCATGTGTCTTTATAGCAGCATGATTTATAATCCTTTGGGTATATACCCAGTAATGGGATGGCTGGGTCAAATGGTATTTCTAGTTCTAGATCCCTGAGGAATCGCCACACTGTCTTCCACAATGGTTGAACTAGTTTACAGTCCCACCAACAGTGTAAAAGTGTTCCTATTTCTCCACATCCTCTCCAACACCTGTTGTTTCCTGACAATGCATATTTTTTAATAGAACTGGTTTGCCCATCAAAATGGAGAACTATGACCTTGCTTTATATATGCATGGATGAGTAAACAGTATGTGTATCCCATCAACTTGCCCTGTTAGAGATTTATAACTTATAAATTAATTATATTTTCATTTATGTAAGATACATTGGGACTTGTGTGTGACAAGTAATAACAGCTGGACTGAAAGGAATGGGTGGTGGGAAATGGGTCTGAAAATTTAGTTTGGGACAAGGTTGTTAAAGGCCTTCTAAGTCAAGTGGAGGAACTATTGACTCCATTTTCTTCAATGCGGATATATATCGGTTCACACTTTCAAGAAAGTCCTTGTCTGGTGGAGATAACGAAGGAAAACAACAATTATAGCACAGTGTGTTATGTACGGCGTCAACATCCCCAGCACATTTTAGAAATGCAAAAATCTCGAGTTCCACCGCACACCTATTGAATCAGGCTCTACATTTTTAAAAGATCTGTGGATAACTAATTGCACATTGAAGCTTGATAAGCAATAGTATAAAAGAATATGAGAAGGGCATCCAGTAGAATCTGGCTGTGCGTGAGGTGTGCAGTAGAGTGAAAGGATGCATACAGGAAGTTCCAGACAGAGAAAACAACATGGTCAGTGGAACAGAAGAATTAAAGTACACGGCACATTCAGAGACCTGAAGATAGTTTGAAGTGGCTGTAACACAGGACACATAGATGAAAATGTGTAAAAGCAACTAAGATATCCTTCAATAGATGAATGGATAAATAAGTCATCATACATCTGTACAACAGAATAATATTCAGTAATAAAAGGAATGAGCTGTTAAGCCAAAGAAAGACATGTATTATTCTTAGTTGCATATTGCAAAGTGAAATAAACCAATATGAAAAGACTGTATACCGTGTGATTCCATTTATATGACATTCTGGAAAAGGCAAAACTATAATCAGACTAGTGATTGCCAGGGGTTTGGCAACTGCCCCTTAGTGAGGTACTTTTAAAAGTTTGGATTGGCTTCACTGGGATAATTTTTTTTTTTTGGAAAGTTATCAAATTTTTTTACACTTTAAGTTCTGGGATACATGTGCAGAACGTGCAGGTTTGTTACATAGGTATACACGCGCCATGGTGGTTTGCTGCACCCATCAACCCGTCATCTACATTAGGTATTTCTCCTAATGCTAGCCGTCCCCTGTCCCCGTACCCACCGACAGGCCCCAGTATGTGTTGTTCCCCTCCCTGTGTCCATGTGTTCTCATTGTTCAACTCCCACTTATGAGTGAGAACATGAGGTGTTTGGTTTCTGGTTTTCTGTTCTTGTGTTAGTTTGCTGAGAGTGATGGTTCCCGGTTTCAAGTCTCCTTAAGTCACTTATAAGGTTACATTTATTTCAGCACTCTCTAACACTAGTCATTACCAATAAATAAGCAGGCTTTTTAATAGGCACTTGAGCATGATGGACAACACAAAATGATACTACTTCCCATTCCCCAATTTCCCCCTTCTTCAATTCCCCGCACCCGTGACTCCTATGTAAAAGAATCTTACAGGGTCAGGTGTGTTTCTCCTGGTGGTGGCTATTGCTTGATGTTGGTAGATTAGATGTCCACAGCTCCTCTTTAGCGATAGCTCAGTGTTCTGGAGAAGTTGTACTAGCTGAGTGCTCATGGAGGAGTTACTTAATCTGCAAAATAGAGATAACAATAATAGTTACTTGATTTTTTAGATAAAGAATAAATAAGTTAATATATGTGCAACATTTAGAACAGTACCTACCATATTGTAAATGCTCAATATATATTAACCATTATGAAAATCATCAATTCCAAGACCCACATCATATCACAATTTGAATTCTCTGTAGTTAGGACATATTTTGCAATTACTGGCATCTTTGATTCAAAGCAATATGTTATTATCTGAACACTGTTCTATTTTTCTATATATGAGAGGAAACCATTTGAAGGAGGGAAGAGTCCTATAGAATAGCCAATACCTGACTCAGTTTTAATTTTCTCTTCCCTTTCACTACTCTACCTTTATGAAGGTTACACAGTCATTAGATGAGAAATGTCACTACAAATCAAATGTTTTCTCATTGTTCACAACAATCCAACAAAGTCAGATACTTTTATAACTCCGTTTCACAGGCAAATAAACTAAGTTTTACAGAGGTCAGTTAATGTGTTCATGGTCACCCAGTGAATAGATTACTGAACAGCAGTATTCAAACCCAATTAGTCTTTGAAGCATTTGCTAATTCCACCGTACCTCTAGACCCGGTAGCCTTTCGTAATAATTTAACAAAAGAGCTTCTCTGGGGGAATTACAAGCACAAATGTCAATTAGAACAAACCCAATAAATGTTCCATATTACATTTACAAAACAGAAAACTACTAATTTTTATTGAATTGGGCTGATTTGTTTTCTCCTTGAAGGTGACTGTTTGGGGAGCTAAATAATGCTATTTCATTCATTGGGATGCTTTACGCTTCAGCTGCTGTAAATATTAACAGTTAAAGAATTTAACAGGAGGCTAATGTGAGTGCTCTGAGAAGCTATTCTATAAGGTTCTTAGACTAGGCAGGTTTTTATTTTATTAGAGCCTTGTTAATTTAAAATATATTGGAAGTATTGATTCTACCTGTTACTCTAAGCATTTGTATGATATTAGCTACATTTTCTCAGCTTTCTACAATTTACTCATTTGTAAAACAGATGAAGGTGGAGATAAACTATTATAATTTTAGTAGACACAAACATACTGTAATATACTTAGTTTTTATCTTTTTAACTCCTCAAAATTATACTTTGTGATAATTTAAATAAGGGCTTCCCTGGACTAATGTTCATATTGTCTCTGACTATAAAAATATATTACCAAATATATAAATGCCATGAAAGATTATAAAGAGTATCTTTTGACCTGCTTAACATATTAATCTGCTTCGAGCCTCTTACTAGTACTATTTACATGTATTATTCATATATATGCCTAAAATTTTCTAATTGCCCTCACTTTGTTAGCCTCATTAAAATCAGCACCTGTAAGAATATTTTACCACATTATCTGTTTTCAGAAAATATGCTCCAGTCTTTCTAGAAATCCAGATCAAGAGTTCAGGTTAGTAAAGTTTATATTTAATTTGCCTTATTTTCATACATGATGGCCATCAAATATGATGAGATAAAATGCTCCATGTACAGCTAAACATTAGGGATAAACAAATACAGAAGTAAGAAAATGGCCATACAGGCTAATTCTCGTGTAAGGAATACCTCCAAGTCCCAGGATCTCAGAGTCCCCTGAACTCACTAAGCAAATGCCTAGTTACCCAGTGACTGAGCTAGTTCTAGTCATAACTGAGAGTTCATATGGTTCATGGAAAAATTAAATGCAAGTACTGAATCCCAGCCATAAAGTTAGCACTCTAAATATCCTTGGTAGTTTACTAAATTCTTTACACTGGTTATAAAACAGCTGCACTACATGAACAAGTAAATAATCCACATTTCATAAAGGCATTTGTTTTGATGGAAACTATTTTACTGACTGTGGTTATTCAGCATAAGATAAGAATAAAATTTAACAAATTAGTTAAATTAATATTAAGAATGCATCTGTCTATATAGTTATATCACAAGAGAATTTACTGAAAAAGCACACTGTTTATACACAGAATAATAAATACATTGATAGACTCCTTGATAACTGAATAGAACTATACTTTGGAATTGCAAACTGGGAATTGCATGATCCCTAGTATCAAGGGGTTCAAAGCCTACTGAGGACATCAGTGTGGAAAAGCCATTATCCCATTACAATGTGAAAAATACAATGATAATGACGGCAAAATCTTAAGGGAGCATCCAACTACTAGAAGAATTGAAAAGGTCTTCAGAAAAGAGGCAACGCTTAGGATTGGCCTTAGCACTTATATTTCACCATAGAGAAAGAGGTAGGACGGTGACTGTATTAGTCTGTTCTTATGCTGCTAATAAAGACATACCTGAGAGTGGGTAAGTTATAAAGGGAAGAGTTTTAATGGGCTCACATTTCCACATGGCTGGGAAGCCTCACAATCATGGCAGATGGCAAAGGAGAAGCAAAGGTATGTCTTACATGGTGGCAGGCAAGAGAGCTTGTGCAGGGGAACTCCCATTTATAAAACCATCAGATCTCGTGAGACTTATTCACTATCATGAGAACAGTATGGGGAAAACTGTCCCCATGATTCAATGATCTCCACCTGGCCCTGCTCTTGACATGTGGGGATTATTACAATTCAAGGTGAGATTTGGGTGGGGACACGGCCAAACCATATCAGTGACACTAAGAAAACAGACTAAGGCCAAACATAAAGAGTATTTGATCAAATAGCAGAGAAGGCTAACACATCTACCCTTCTTTCCATTCATTCAAAATCCTAAACACTGAATATGTATTTATGTAATATCAATACACATACACACACATATATACACTTACATATGTGTACACAAACCCCTACATCTATAACTTAAGACAGATGACCACACATAGACAAGAAGACTTAGAGAAAGCTGAAGCAGAGAGCCAATGGGATTGTACTGATCCATTTTCTAGGAAAGCATAAATTACCCAAATTAACAGGGAAAGATGTAGAAATACGAATAGATCAAAGATAGTAAAATTTCTGATCCTTAAGAGAGATACCAAACAAAACTCACCTATGATGAAGTAATTTGAATAGTCCAATAACTATTAAAGAAAATGAATTTTTAGTTTAAAAAGTCCTGGAAAAGATTGTATCCTTTGCTGTGCAGAAGCTTTTTAACTTGATATAATGTCATTTGAAATATTTAGGTCCAGATAATTTTACTGGATAATTCTACCAAACATTTGGAGAAGAATTTACACCAATTTAACACTATCTCTACCAGAGAATAGGAGAAGAATCTCCATCTTATTTTATAAAGCCAATATCACCTTGATGCCAAAACAAGACAGGACAATAAAAAAAATAGAAACAAAAAACAAAAACCAGCATCCCTAAGGACCATAGATCCAAAATTCCTCAACAAAATATTAGCAAATCCAATCCAGCAGTACATTTAAAATTATACACCATGACAAAGTGGGGTTTATTTCAGAAATGCAAGGCTTGTTCAATATTCAGAAATCAATCAAGGTAACCCACATATTAACAAGCTAAAGAAAATCACATAATTATGTTAATTGATACAGAGCAATACTTTGACAAAATCCCATACCCATTTATGATATAAAAAACTCACCCAACTAGGAACTTCGTCAAATTGATAAAGAAATTTTACTAGAAACCTGAAGCTAATATCACACTTAATGGTGAAATACTAAATGTTTTCCCCTTGGAAACGAAGAAAGGATGTCCTGTCTCACCAATTTTATTCAACATAATGTCATTTTGTTCTCTAGGACTAGAATTCCTAGAAAATTCTAGAAATCTAGAAATCCTAGAGAGCAAAATGAGACAAGAAATGGGAAATTTAAAGGCATCAAGTTTGGGTAAAAAAGTAAAACTGTCCCTGTTTGCAGATGGCCTGATTGTCTATATACGAAATCCCCAAGGAATTTATATGAAAACTATTATAATTAAAAAGTTACTTCAGCAAGGTCACAGAATACAAGATCAGTAAACCAAAATCAGTTGTGTTACTATAGACTAGCAATGAACATGTAGAAACTAAAATTTAAAACAAAATATCATTTATGTTCATTCAAAAATGAAATACCTATGTATACATTTAACAATAAATATGTAGGAATTGCATGCTGAAAGCTACACAACTCTGATGAAAGAAATAAAAAAAAACATCTAAGTAAATGGAGGATATACCATGTTGATAGATTGGGAAATTCAGCATAGTAACAGTGCCATTGCTTCCCAAAGTGTTAAACAGGTTTAATTCAATTTCTGTGAAAAGTTCAACATTTTTGTGTATATAAACAAGAGAATTCTAAACTTTATATGAAAAGGCAAAGGAATAGCTACAACAATTTTGAAAAGGATGAGGTAGGGTCAGATATTTCTTGAAGTTTTTTTAGATTTTTTTTCTGTACTATTCTTTCTATTCTCCATCTAGGACTCCACATTCACATAATTAAATTTGTTACATTATTCTACAACTAACCAATGGTATTAGCTATTCTCTATTGATGTATCTCTGAATTTACTGACTCTTTTTATATTATCTCCCATCTTCTATTACGTGATTTTTAGCTCAGTTATTATGTTTCAGTTCTAGAATTTCTATTTGTTTTTTTAAATTGTCATTTATTTGTTGAAATTCTCTTTTGTCTATCATGAGAATATGTTCACTCACTTTATTGAACAGTTTTAAGAACTACGGTATCTTCATATATCTAGTAATTTTGAATTGCATCTCAACATTATTAGTGATACCACTTATAGACTGTGAATTCTGTCATGTTCCCCTGAAGAGTGTTGATTTCTTTTTTGCTTTAAGTGGGCAGTGAACTTGGTTGAACTCAAATTCCAAACTGTGTTTCTTGTGATAGGCAGTAACTGAAATCTCTGTCACTCCTTTTAGCTTTAGCCAGGCTGTTTGGAGTCTGTCCTGCACATGTGTAGTACACATAATTCAGGAGTCAGTCAGAAATTTGTGCTGAGATTATACATGCAGCATTTGGATCTTCCCCTCTATGGCTCTCTTTGTCAAGATTTTAATTTTTACCTTCCATTTGCTGTGGTTACCCTAAATTCTGACCTGTGGTTTATTAACCCAGTAAACGGTGGCTTTTTATCTGAGTTCTGGATGCTTAACACAGTGCCTGAGACCCGACCTTATGTGAAAGGCGATGAAAGTGGAAAATTCTATGAGTGACATTCCCTTCTCCTAATGAAGCTCCCTAGGCCTGAAGTTTCCTTGTAGGAAGGTTTTTTAAGTAGCTATTATTTCACAATAAAAAAAATTAAAAATACCTTTAATCTCTTTAACTCTATGCAAGGCACTTCTAAAATTCATTAGCATTTTCTTTTGCAGTGTGTTATAATTTGTTAATATTTCATTATAATCCTTTGTTAAAACAATAATTTTATGGAATCGTAAGGTTAAATAATTTATTTCTTTTTCATAGTGTTGAGACAGTTTCAATTCTTATTCTAATAATTCATATTCTATTTGTATTATGTTAAATTTGATTAAGTTGCCTAAAATTGAAACTCACTGGAGCAGTATTTTAATTTTTGTTCCTAATAAACAGGAATTTTGTTCCCAATAATCTTATAGCCCTGTTCTTTAATACTCATCCATAAATTTACATATGACATTCTTTCAAATGTATTAACCACAATCAAAAAATAAAATGGAGAAGAATAATCTTTTCAACAAATGGTGCTGATATCCATATGCAAAACAATGAAGTTGGACCCTTAACTCATGTCATACACAAAACTGAACTCAAAATGAATCATAGACCTAAATATAAGAGCTAATACTATAAAACTCTAAAAAAATTGTTTTCTTGGTTCAGCCAATGATTTCCTAGATATGACACCAAAAACACAAATACCAAAAAATAGATAAATTGCACAACCTCAAAATTAATACAAAACTTTTTTGTTGCAAATTATACCATCATGCAAGTGAAAAGACAACCCACAGGATGGAAGAAAATATTTGCAAATCATATATCTGATAAGGGGATTTTATCCAGAATAAAGAATTCTTAGAATCTAATTTTAAAATGGGCAAATAATTAAATGGACATTTATCCAAACAGGATATGTAAGTGGTCATAAGTACGTGAAAGGATGCTCAACATCATGAGTCATTAGGAAAATGTAAATCAAAATCACAATGGATACCACTTCACACCCGCTAGAATGACTGTAATTACAAAGTCATATTCTAGCAAGAGTTGGTGAGAATATGGGGAAATCGGAACCATCATACATCACTGGAAAGGATGTAAAATGGTGCAGCTACTTTGGAAAAACGGCCTCACAGTGTACCAGAATATGGTACAGTATTATCACTCTCTATGTGTTCTAAAGCATGACAGATTTCGAAGAGTACTTATCTATTCAAGTCTTTATTTTCCCAATAGCGAATTCAGTTACCTTGGATCATTGGCTATTTGGTCTCCTCAGAAAGACAGTATAAGGCAAAACTCAATCTAACTCCAGGTGTCTAGATTAAAATAGACTAGCCTAGTCTGACTTCAATGGAATGAAGTGGAATTACAGTTGACGCCTGAACAACACAGGAGTTAGGGATGTTGACCCCTGAGCAGTCAAAAATCCATGTATAACTTTTGACTTCCCAAAAACATTTAATACTAATAGCCTACTGTTGACTGAAAGTCTTACTGATCACAAAACAGTCAATTAACAGACATTTTATAAGTTATGTGTGTTATATACTGTATCTTTACTATAGAATAAGCTAGAGAAAAGAAAATATTAAGAAAATCAGAAAGAAAATACGTTTACGTTACTGTACCGTATTTATTGTTACTGTAAGTTTACATTGTCTGTTTACTTGATGAATTATCTATCTGAAATGGCAGCAACTACAGCTGCAGACTTCAATCTATAGTACATATCACTCAACTCAACTTTTTCTCATAATGTCATGACTTTTCTTGGCTTCTTGGAAGCACTTCCAGCATCACTTGTGGCACATCGTATGGGTCCCATGGTGTTATTCAAGGTTTATGGTATTGCACTAAACATGATGAAAAGTATGCAACAACCATGAGAGATCACTTTTTTTTTTTTTTTGAGACGGAGTCTTGCTCTGTCACCCAGGCTGGAGTGCAGTGGCACAATCTCGGCTCACTGCAACCTCTGCCTCCCGGGTTGAAGCGATTCTCCTGCCTCAGCCTCTCCTGGGATTACAGGTGCCTGCCACCACGCCCAGCTAAGTTTTTGTATTTTTAGTAGAGACGGGGTTTCACCGTGTTAGCCAGGATGGTCTTGATCTCCGGACCTCGTGATCCGCCCACCTCAGCCTCCCAAAGTGCTGGGATTACAGGCATGAGCCACTGCGCCCGGCCAAGAGGTCACTTTTTACTGCCATCTACAATTTACTGGAGAGACGAACTGCTCACAGGGAGAGGATTAGTGTCCCAGGACGTTTTAAGCAGATACTCGCAATACTTGAGATCACCACAATAGCAACAGGAGGTGGCTGTGAAACATTACAGTAGTACAGTCTGTACTACAGTTAATTTTATGCAGTTATGGTTTATTACTGCATCTTTACATTTGTTTACATCTCTCTCGACTGCAAATGGTACCATGTATGGTCTGTAAATGTTTGTGTGTGTTAGTTTTGATAAATTTTAACTTATTAGAATAGATTGGGGTATAATTTATGGTAGTAAAGGATAAAATAGACTAGTATTTACATATTTTATGCATTCATGACATACTGAACTTTTCCTTATTTTTAAAATATTTTTAGACTACATAATTCATCTGCAAGTTTTTTTTTCAAATTGTTGCAAATCTCCAAAACATTTTTCAACATATTTGTTTTTAAAAATTCAAGTATAAGTGGATCCACACAGTTGAAACCCCTGTTGTTCAAGGCTCAACTGTATTTTATTTTGCATCATTTCCCATAGTGGTGAAAGCTGGGAATGCAGAGTGTGTTAAAGAGAGGCTGTGTTCCCAGCATGCACCACTACCAGAGCTTTCCTGTCTACCCCATCCTTCAGTGTTTCACTTGTAATTGCTACACACTGCCAGGATGAGAGGCACCTTTGTCAGTATCCCATCTATTTCTTTTTCTCTTCTCTTTTTTTGGGGATGTTACATTTTAATCAGATAAAGAAAATTGGGACAGGGGTAGAGATGAAGGGGAAATTAAATTACACTGATTAACTGAGTAAAGAGTGTATTAGTTTCCTAAGTCTGCTGTAATAAAATACCACAAACTGGGTTGTTTAAAACAACAGAAATTGATTTTTTCACAGTTCTAGAGGCTAGGAGTCTGATATCAGCGTTTCAGCAAGGCTGTGCTCTTTCTGAAGGCTCTAGGGAAAGATGTGTTCCATTTATCTCTCCTAGCTTCTGATGGTGGCCAGCAATTCTTAGCATCCTTTGGCTTGCAGAAGCATCACTCCAGTCTCTACCTCCATCTTCATGTGGCATTCTGCTCTCTGTGTCTGTGTCTCTACATTCACTCCCTCTTCTTTTAAGAACTCCAGTCATTGGATTTAAAGCCCACCCTAATCTAGTATAACCCCATCTTAACTAATTACATCTGCAAAGACTCTATTTCCAAATAAGGTCGTATTCACAGATTTCAGGTGGGTGTGGATTTTTAGGGGTCACTACTCAACCCAGTACAAAAAGTAGTATGTGTGATACAGAAGACTATCCAAGAGTGTATGTATGTGTGTGTGTGTGTGTGTGTGTGTGTGTGTGTGTGTGTGTGTGTGTGTGTGTGGTATAGAACCTAGGAGCAGTTGGGAGAAAAGGAGTAGGTATATCTTCAGTATGTGCATCACTGAATGCATTCTTTGCTTCAGGCCCCTCACTATTAGGCAAGCAGTATTTTATTTAACCTTTGCTACAACTCTGTGCCATTGAGTATTGTTAATTCCGTAGAAGAGCAAGCTGAGGTTGAAGAATCTACCTAAGGTCACACTGTTCCTAGGAGGTTCAACTTGGATTCAAATGATGCATGCCTGCCTCCAAAACCCATTAACTTAAACACTAATCTCTACTGCCTAAATGATTTTAAGAAAAAGTGATAGGTTTTAATTATTCAAATGATATAAGGGAAAGGAGAAATCTAAGGTGATGCAAGTCCGAGATTGTATAACTGGGGCATTAGCTGGTACCACTAATACATATTAATAAGAGGAGATCATCACAAGGCATGATGTGGATTTTCCTTTTGTTTCCGTTGAGGAATGGAGTGAGAGTGGTAAATGATAGTCCAGACTAAAATATATATTGATATAAAGAATCTGAGAATTTTATTGAGGGAGATAAATTTGTGGTCTGCATTATCCCTCAGTTCCCACAGCATCATTTTTCAGCAATAGGTGACTAGGTACTTTTCATTTGATTCAAAACCTACGGTCACGCATGAAGCCACCTGCCTCAAGTGCCGCATGCTACCACAGAAAATCTCTTTCTCACTCAAACAATGTTGTATTTGTTTTACTTTGTTCAAATTTATTTAAAATGTATTAATTATAAAAGAAAAAAAAGTCATTCCCCATGTTTGTGTTTGCTTTTCCTAATGAAATATGTGCAGCTGGATCTAACTTCAGCCTTTTTTTCATGTCTAATCAGAAGCCACTGTACCCAATTTAGCTTTGTTTCAGCCATTACATGCTGTGTCCTCTGCAGTGCGTGCCTAGATGAGTCACTCTTCAGGTGACTTCTTTTTATTAAGGCTATTTGTAAAAAGCCACAACCACTGCAAAATGAGAGTACTGGATTGGTTTGTTACATTAAAATAATCATTTTCAAGATTAGATGTGGTGACTGTAGCCAGAATATGCGAATGGAAACATTGCACAAAATGTTTCATGTTGCTTAAAACAAAAATAGGCTGTGAGGTATCTTTATTAACTATGCAAATTGTAGACAATGGATTTTTTAATGCTTGCAAACATGCTTAATTTTTCTTGGTGGTACTTACATTTTATAGCATAATAAGTTTAATGTCTATTTTTAGAGCATATTAAAAGTATTTGACAATGTAAAATCGCTTGCAATTCAGAATATTCTATTATGAGACATTTCCTTACCACTTAAGAAAAAGCCAAGAATATTATTTTTTATAAAAGTATACTTCAAATATTTAATGACCATTTTATTTAATATTCCTTATTAGAACATATATTTCAAGAATGTTTTTGGAGGCATAAGTAAGCATTAGCAAAACCTAGAATATTTAGATCCTATTCTTCTGGAAGAGATAGATTCGAGAAAAAAACCTTTTAATTTTTGTAGATGTGACTAGAAGATTTACCCTTTCCCTCCATAATGTCTGCCTATTTCATAATATTTATTTATGCTTTCATTTTCTTTTAATTGCTAATTTGCAATGAGCTCCTGGAGAAAAGATACTGATACTTATTGTGCAACCGTGACTTCAGAAGCAATTCACAGTTCCTAGGAACCATATCAAATAAGTGTGCCATCCCTGAAATGGGTGGGTCAAATATGGTTTAAATTTCTTTTAGTAAAAAATAAGGTTTTATTGGACCAGATATATATCACTTGTAGAATCAGTTGAAAAGATTTGACATATTGGTTTATATATTCCTTAATCTTTTTATGCAAATTTGTGAATTTATTTTGAAAAATATATATTTCTTGCCAGTACCTGAGAAAATACTGAAATTCATATTCAAAATATAATCTTATGAATAGTGACATTTAGAAATAAGTTTCTAAACTGAAGGTTTTCATTGTATAACAATATCATTGACCGGGCAACTGTATTCTGGTTGCATATGAAAATTACTGTGAAGGAAAAGACAATTGGGAATAGTTTATAATTCCAATATCGAGCTGACAAAAATATTCATTATTATGACAATTTATTTTCATCTTCTGGAATTCTATTTAATCAGCAGAAGAGTTGTGGACATAAGAATAAATAACATTATGCTAATACAGGGAATAGCTTCCAACTGCACGATTTATGGGCAGACATTTTTGTATCTTAAAAATTTTTGAGTATTCCAAAATGTGGAAAGCTTTCCCTCTGAATTTTCTTGGGCCACTCCTGTCCTTCCTTTGCCTGGTGATAGGGGTAGGGAGGTGACTCTTACCCCTCCTTAAGGCAGGTCCAGGCAGTATTCCTCCAGAAAAACTTCCTCAATTACATACCCATAAGCCATTTTATTGAGAGACCCTGTGCTAGGTACTAGATATACCAAGATGAATATTAAGGAGTCCCTGCCTCTAGGTGCTCACAGATACAGGGAATGAATGAGTATGAGAATTATAATAATGTGATAGGCACTATTCAGAGGGTCTGAGCAAGGCCCCAAAGCAGACACACTGTATAACTCAGGTGAGAGCTTGAGTTTTGAAGTCATGAGATATTTTGATTTGAATCTTATTTCCACCACTAACTAGCTACATGACCATTGGCAAGGTACAGCATCTCCTTGAGCTTCCATTTCCTCATCTCCAAAATGTAGATACTATTATGTTAGATGTGTCATATGACAGTTCTGAGGATTGAATTAACTCATGTTTGGATATTCTTTAGGACAACATCTAACACATGGTAAGTGCTCAAAAATAATAACTACTCTTATTGTTATTTGTTTGTACCAGCTATCTCGAGGCAATCTTTTGTACTTCACACAGAGCCACTGCCATCTACCCCTCAATCACTGCCCTTTCCAATCCAGCCCTAAGGGAGCTAGACACAGCACCCCCCACTACCAACACCACATTATCTGCTCAGTAAAAAACATCTTAATCAATCTTGCACATACAAGATAAAGACTAAAACCTGGCAGTTATTATCTAATCAGGTTACTAACAGTTTTTCCACTGCTCCAAGTATGAAAGTATATATACACTAACAAACGCCTATAGATCAGGGCCCAGCAACATTCTATAAAGAGCCAGAGAGTAAATAACTGAGGCTTTGAGGGCCATGATTTCTGTGTCACAACTACTCAACTTTGTTGTTGTATTGCCAGAGCAATCATAAACAATATGTAAAAAATGGATATGACTGTTTTCTAATACAATTTTACTTATAGAAAAATCTCCTTAGATTATAGTTTGCTGATGCTTGTTAGAAAGCATATAGTATGGTTATATATTATTTCTATATCATAACAAAATACACTGTGAATTCATTGAGGCCTTACACATCTCTGTTTTACACACACATATATACATACACATATACATATACATATACACACATTTATATGCACATTTACACATTCCATTGTGTCTCAATGAATATACTTCTGAACAAGTAAGTTGATGGAAAAATTAAATAGCTCAACAACTGTATCTTGATAAAAATATGTATATATAGAGAGAAAAGGGGTCAGAGTTATCTTTCTATAAAAATGATGTAATAGGTCAAATTAATTTAATATGTAAATTAATTCAACCTTTAAAAATAAAGGAATAATGGGGGAAGATGGAAAATAAGTGATCCATTTGTTATGAGGGTGCTAGAAATAGATATTGTAATCGTCTGTGTTTATGTGTGTGGAGAGAGTCTGAGAAAGAGAGAGACATTCAGATAAAGTAAGAGAGAGGTTTAGAGTAGGAAGACGCTGGATACCATGACAGAGCATTAGATTTTGTTCTGAATTTTCAGGCAGTTAAAGCAAAAAGCAAAACACACTAGAATATATAATCAGGTCAACAGAAACCTACACTTTCTTCATAAGGGATAAACCTTTTT
Source organism: Homo sapiens (assembly GCF_000001405.40). Lineage (NCBI taxonomy): Eukaryota > Metazoa > Chordata > Mammalia > Primates > Hominidae > Homo > Homo sapiens. The sequence goes on along the minus strand of NC_000023.11, from coordinate 22,755,966 downwards.
CCTGGTACTGAAAGAACTATAATATGTTTTTTTCTACAAGGAATACTGAACAACATAATAGATCATGTTTCCAGTAATGGGTTTAGAAAGGTACACAGTGTCCTTCACTTTACTTTTTCATATGCAGATATTTGACAAAGCCCAAAGACACAGCATTAAAACATTATTGAAAAGATGGCTTTTGGAGAAATTTGATTTCGGAATTATTTCTGTCTTGTATTCTACAAATAAGGACAGATTCAAAGGATGGACTGGTGGTGTGGTTCATCATTGTTCCTCAGTATGTCCAGGCCTCTAAGTGATCACTGACTTATTAGTCAATGATTAGAAGCCGTGAAATTTATGTCAAACAAAGCACTTTTCCATATATTATCTCATTAGACCTCTCAACAACCTTGGGCAAGCATTATTATCACCAGGTTTATGAATGAAGAAATTACACTGATAAGTTATGAAGTATGACAACTCCAAGTAAAAGAATAAAGGCTATATATAGCTCACTCTCTACACAGATTAGTAGCATCTTCTGAGATTCATCATTCCAGTCTAAAATTTCCAAGCTTATTTTTTAAAACAGAGTAAAACTTTCTTAGAACACAATGTGAAAACTCGATATACAAAAGAAATACAGAGCTGTTCTGGTTAAAAACAAGTGGGACAGGTCCAGACACCAACTTGTTTGATGTCCCACTTCACCTCAATAATCTTCCAGAATAGTTCCCAATGCACAAATATCCCTAAAAATCCTTATTGCTCAGTTTGAAAACCACTGGTCTATATCAGTGAAGATGCAAAGTCCTCCACTTAGGAGACAGATAAGCACAAATTTAAGAAGTGTTTTATAGGACCCAGGGCATGATTGGCTTTGCCATTTAGTATAAGACCCTAAAGGATTAAAATGCATGGTTTCATTCTACAAGTATGCCTGATGACAGTTGGTTGAAACTTATGCAAATGTATTTAAGAAATAAAATAATCCATTGGGAAATACTATTGTTATCTACCAAATTTTTGAAATCCAAAAGAATTTAGCCATGATAAATTCTTTAGCCATGATGAAAGTCCATGTATATTTATGCACATATGCGTGTGAACGCGTGTGCACACACACACACACACTCACTCACACACATAACTATTTGGCACAACTAAAACAACCTCTTTAGGCTGATTACCTGTTTACCTTTACTGAAACTTGGCTGTCCTCAAAGGTTGTGGATCCTATCATCCTCTAAAACAAAGCTGTACTGTCTTTCTCTAACATTTCAGGACAGATATCTCCCCTTTCTCTCCATTTGCAGTTCCAGACCTTGATACTCTTACTGTTCTGTATTTTTTTTAAAAAAAACCCATAAAATTCTTTATTCTTTGAGGGGCGGACCATCTGGCCTTTTCTACTTTCTTATTGCTACTCCTTTAAAGTTCTTGGTCATTCTTTTCGTTCACTGAAGAATTTTATCACCTAGTTCCCATTCTTCTTTCACGCCCCAGTCACTGTTATTATTTTGGCAATTTCAACATCCAAGTGGCTAAAAACTCACTCTGAATTATTTGACCCATACTCATTACCACTGACCTATTCCACCCCTCCACACCAGCTTGAACCAGGGCCTCAAAATCTGCACTAACTCCAAAATCAAAAGTTCAAATATTCTACTTCCTAACCGTAGCCTTCTTGCCATCCAGATATTTTGCTCTAAAACTTAAACTACAACAATTATTACCTCCAGTCCATTGTTTCTATTGATAGATTGATTGTTCTTTATCTACCATTTCCCTTTTTATCACTTTCATCCTGACTAACCTAATCCCATTGGTCCTTTGTAAAAAAAGACTTCCATCTCATTTCATTGTATTTCCCTTGAAAACCCTCTAACCTACTTAAACCAACCATTTACCTTTTCCATCCCAGCCACTTTGCTGGAGAGGATTGTAAAACCGGGCAGGTTTCGTTCCCGTTAACTTCCTTAGCTCAAACCTAAACGGACCCTCAGCAAGCTCAGTAACTCTATATTATTCAAGTCCTCGAATAACTAGTTTAGTCCTTCTCTTCCCTCTTTCAATCTCCTTGCTTGGATCCTTCCTCTTTACTCCGAGATTATGACCTCATCTCATGCTTTCTTAAGGAAAATAATAAATATTACGTGGAAATTCCATCTTCTTTCCGCTACCAAATTATGAACCTACTGCATCTCATCTTCTTTCCTGTTATGTCTCAAGGAGCATCTTGCCTCCTACTGAAGGGCGGTGCTTCTGCATGTGCTGTTGGTTTCATCGGCTAGAAAACAATCTCCATGAGGAAAGATAGTGTCTGTTCTCTTTTTACCATAGATATACCTCAAACTTTGTACAATGCTTGGTGTAATATATACTTCGGTATATTATTTATATTTGTATGTGTGTGTTTGTAAGAGAGAGAAAGACAGAAAAAGAGATGCATGTATGCTACATGTCTTGGCTTGGCTTAGAAAACCTAATAACCAAAATCCTTTTATATTGCCCTGTGATATTTTAACTGAATGTCTCATAAAAGATTATGGCATTGCAAGGTACAGTGCTACCTCTTCATTTCAGGAAGAGTACCAAGCGACCAGGTTATCGTGCAGACAAGATAGAGAAATTATTCCTAGTCTTCTATGAAAATCAAAACTGCTAAATTTAACATCCCATACATAGTAAGAATAATAAGCCTATAATGTACTCACCGAGCTCTGAAATTGCATTCACTTAGAGCATTAATTTTCCAGAATTATTTCAGTTGATTCTAACATTAATAAAAGTGCATTACCTGTTTTAATAATTTGGGAGGAAAGAAGAATTAGTCTGGCTTCTAATCTGCACATGGAGTGCGTGAGCACTGCGGAGCATATAAGTGAATCTTGCAATGATGAAGCGCTCCTCTTACATGCAATTCAAATAGAAATGAAAATCTGAAGCGACTAGATTTGCTTCAAATATGAACACTGTGCCTTAAGAGTACATTGTAATTTTTAAATTTTGAATTGGAGCTGCTTCCAGAATCCTGCTTGAAGACCTTGCTGGAGATGTGTGGTCTCCAAATAACCCAAAACAAAGTAGCTGGTTGTAAAGATATGGAAGAAAGCCAGGTTCTAGGAAGACAGACTAAGACAACAGGTTCTAGGAAGAGGCAAGGGACCTTGGAGGTCCCAAAAAGCTAGTGGTCAAAAATAGAGCTGGAATACATAAAGGTCAGTATCAGTGTAAATCAGACTAGTCTTTCTTAGTGTTTCTCAAGAGTGGGAGAGCTAGAGAAGTATTTGCTTTGCAAAGGGCTTCCTTGGCAGACTGCTTCTGGAGTTAACAGAGAGGCTGTAATGATGTCGAGAAAGTAAGTCATTAAGCAAAGTGTGATTTGATACTTTAAAAGGAAAGGTGGGGTGTGGCGGCTCAGCTGGGCTCGGTGGCTCCCCCCTGTAATCCCAGCACTTTGGGAGGCCCAGGCAGGTGGTCACCTGAAGTCAGGAGTTCGTGACCAGCCTGGCCAAGGTGGCGAAACCCTGTCTCTACTAAAAATACAAAAATTAGCCGGGTGTGATGGCACGTGCCTGTAGTCCCAGCTACTTGGGAGGCTGAGGCACGAGAATCCCTTGAACCCGGGAGGCAGAGGTTGTAGTGAGCCAAGATCACGCCCCTGCACTGAAGCCTGGGTGACAGTGCGCGACTCCATCTCAAAATGAATGAATGAATGAATGAATAAATAAATAAATAAATAAAAGGAAAGCAGAATTTTATTGTGAACAAATCCTAATGGGTTGTTCTTACTGGTTTAGAAATGTGATCTCAGCCTACTCACTCGTGAAATATCTCTTTGGTCCTCCTAATGCAACTCCAACTATAATTACCTTTTTTTTCTTCATGAAAAAGCCTTTGTGAATGTAGTGTTAGATATGCTGAACTGTATTTATTATTCATTTAAGCTTCATTAACGTCATCATAACTGAGATATACTTTCTCTAAGTGAAAGAAAAACTAGATAGTATTCAGAACAGAACTTCCTTCTGGTGTATCCCTGTTATTTCTTTCTCGTAGTCTCAAACATACTAATATTTCTCTGCACAGTAGTGATTTGTGGAGGGATTCAATGTTCTATAATTACTCTAAACTGATAGCAAAATGTTGTGTGCATGTACATTTTCCCTTTTGGAGAGGAAAGTAATAAGGCATTTGAGGACTTTCCTCCCCCAAAGGGAAGAATTTGATAACTTTCATCAAATTCTCAAAGGGGCCTATGACCTGAAACAGATTGAAGGCCTTTACTAAAAAATCCTTTAAGACTCTCCAAGACAACATGGTGAAATCAACCACATTTGTCTTTCACTACGTCCGTTTTCCCTGTGCCTGTCCTCTTATACACAGTTCCTTCATGATCTCTGCTAGCTTCCCTTTTAAAAAAAAATGTCTACAGTCTTGCTTCATTATAAGGCCGATGCTACTATCGACAGCTTAAAATGGTATTCATGATGTTTTAAACAAGTTGAGTGTTAAAGAACTGATATAGTTTAATATTTCTCCCCTTCAGATCTCATACTGAAATGTTATCCTCAGGGTTGGAGGTGGGGCCTGGTGGGAGGTGTTTGGGTCATGGGGATAGATCCTTCATGAATGACTTGATGCAGTAACGAGTGACTTCCCATTCTATTAGTTCACAGGAATGCTGGTTCTTAAAAAGAATCTGGCACCTCCCTCCCCTTTCTTGCTCCCTCTCTCTCCATGTGCCACTCCTGCTCCCTCTTCACTTTCCACTGAGAGTAAAATCTTCCTGAGGTCCTGACCAGAAGCAGATGCTGGCACCATGCTTTTTGTACAGCCCACAGAACTGTGAGCCAAGTAAATCTGTTTTCTTTATAAATTACCCAGCCTCAGATATTCCTTTATAGCAATGCAAAACAGACTAATACAAGAATTAAACCCCTAATTCATATTTCAAGAAGTAGTCTGTTTCAGGGGAACATTTTATAGGTAGAAATCTCTACCACTGTGGGCAGACTTGTATTTTTTAAACAAAAACAAATGATTATCAGCCTTAATTATACTCTGTTTTTTTTTTTTTGTTTTTTTTTTTTTTTGTTAAAGTTCTAATGAATGTTCTTTACCTGGTAATCATCAAGTCTAAGTGTAATATTAATTCCTGGAACAAGATCACTTGATAGAAATTTAAAAAAATTCGAGGTTACTTTAACTTCAATTTTACTTGTGAGGACAGGCCATTCTTAATGTTAAATCTTCATTCTCCGCTAAAGAATAGAGAACTTTTTTTTCCAGGAAGCCTTAATTGTTGAGTTCCATTTTCTGCTTTCTCATCGAATAACCATTTCCTACAATATATTATCTAAATTAAATAGTAACAAAAGTAATTTCCAACTATATAAGAGCTTCTCCTTTTTTGTAAAACACAATAAGCAGTTCTTTTAACTTTTATCTATCAAATGCCTACTGTGTGAAAAATTATAAGGTCCAGTGAGATAAATAATATGAATGTTTTGTAACCTGGTAATACTATTTGACATTTAAGTTAGATTGAGAAAAGAAGAAATAGTATTCAACAGATGCTATGGGTGCCTCATCCAGATTCCCTTTATCAGGCCAGGCCACCTACCCCCTAGCTTCTGTGGTGCTGAATGCTAACAGTTCACATTCACTTCTCCAGAGGATTGCCCCATTCACAAAAGTCTGGGAAGCTCTGCCTCCATTTCCCAGTGTGCTCCTTGGCAAAAGTCTTATCAATATGGAGATACAAAAGCCCACCTTGCTTGCTTTCTTTAACGTGGGAAAAACAGTGATACAGTTGATGCTCCAGAGCTCCCTGTGGGATCAGGCTAAGGCTAGTCTTCTAAAATCTTATCTTTGCTCGGCTCTTTCCCCTGCCCTGTCTTTCTAAACCCACTTCCTGACAGGTTTCTCCCGAAAACCCTCAGGAAATAACTTACAAAAAAATCCTTATCTCAGGCTCTCCTTTCAGGGAATCTGACTGAAGACAGAGTAGAAGCAGTGCTTTTACAAACTACTTTTTTTTTTTTATTCTATAGTAATTATATAATCACCAAACTATAGAGTTGCCAAAGGCCTTAGGATTTACCATCTTTGCCTGTTACATATGGGTAACGAGGCCCACTAAGTGGCTTTAGAAAAAGACAAAAAATAGTTTAGGACAGAACATAAACACAGGTCTGCTGATTTCCATCCCTGTGGCCTTCAAATGATTATTACAGTTAAGACTATGTACTTCCTTTTATGAATCCATGAATGAGGAGTAAGCCTTCTTATATAAATATACATAAATTTGTTTATTCAGCAAAGGATTATGAAACAAAGTCAAACCATTCAAATTTGCAATGTTTAGTAATACTCTGGAGAACCCATGTTATTAATTACTGGCAACATTTTGCCCCCTTTCGAAATAAATATTTTATTCCATCAGCCTCAGATTTTTAAATGTTTCTTCTTTTTCCTTTTTTTTTTTTTTTGAGATGGAGTCTCACATTGTCACCCGGGCTGGACTGCAATGGCGAGATCTCGGCTCACTGCAATCTCCGCCTCCTGGGTTCAAGTGATTCTCCTGCCTCAGCCTCCTGAGTAGCTGGGATTACAGGTGTGCACCACCACGCCCAGCGAATTTTTGTATTTTTAGTAGAGACGGGGGTTTCACTATGTTGGCCAGGCTGGTCTCGAACTCCTGATCTTGTGATCCACCCGCCTTGGCCTCCCAAAGTGCTGTGATTACAGGCGTGAACCACTGTGCCCAGCCTGTTTTTTCTAAAAATACCTCAGACTTATCTCCTACATATCGGGAAGATACTGAGTCCTATAGAAATTTAATTATCATGCAAAGCATGCCTACTTGTGTTCTAGTACACAACCTTTAGACTTTGTCCTTTTTCTGTGATCCTTTTTAAAACCACTTAAGAAAAACTGAAAATGTTGCCAATGTTAATACCTATTAACATCACATTTGCTTATTAAATAAGAAAAGTATGTGAGATAAAGCAGACAAAAGCAAGATGGTCAACCTTGTTAAGTACAGATACTGAAGGAGAAGCTTTTTATCTCCTATAAGGCAAAGTTGGCATGTTCAGCAGGCCCTCAGCATCCCCTGAAATGAACCCAGGTTGCATCTTATCATTCTGAGTGTTGGAGCGGCTGTTGATAATGCAATCTGTTATGGCAAGCTAATAGTTAAAGGCTAAATTGCTGCTCCTGTCCTTCTGTAAATGTGAGTGCCTAACTGGGGCCTTATGGAATCACAGACAGCTCTCCTAAGCTGACAGGTGAAGTGGCTTTAATAGTAGCCAGGGCCTAGAGAGGCCAACAAACTGTTTACACAGACTTGCCAGCAGGGGGAGCGCTTAAAAATATGCCTGCGCAAACTGCATCTGCCAGGGAAACACTTGCTTAATGCAGAGAAAATTAAGAGCAAGTGCTTTCCAATTTCAGGCAAAGCATATACATTCGTAAAGAGCCAGAAGAGCAAGTCAGAGTGGGCCAGTGAGTGCTAACGATGTAAGAAATCTTTGGCAGTTCTTATTCACAGAGCAGTGGCAGAGAATCAGAGAGACAATCTGGATATTCCCAGGATGTCCTGAGCTCCAGTTAAAGCATAGCTTTATTGATTGAACTGGATAGAAGGCGTCAGGAATTGAGGCTTTAAAATTGCTGACGTTTTGTAATTTCTCTTCAAGTAAAATTCCAAAATGATTGGATCTTCCATTTATGGAGTTTTCCTTCACTATCTATACACAGCCAAGTCAAAGCCCTTGTTTCTCCTTTTCCTTATCTCACACACTTAAGTGGTTTTTCTAACAAACCCTGAAGTTCATACTGTCAGATGTTGATGATAACACTTTAGGTTTCTGTGAACTGGGAATAGCAAGCATCACAGCAAAAATACAAATTCTGACAGTCTTATATAGCACAGAAGAATGATTACCCAGATATTAGCAGACAACATTTCAACATTTCCGAGTCTAATGGAATGAGATTTGGATGGAGGGTGGATATCAAAAATTAACAAGACCAAGTCAGGACTGATATACAATCTGGGAGAATCCTGAGTCCTATAGAAATTCAATGATTATGCAAAACATGTCCACGTTGCTAGGTTTTTATTATTTTGCACTTTGCTAAGTCATCGCTACGTTGAGACTGACCTCAAATCTAAAATTAACCGAGGTACACCACTTGTAAACCAATAAGATAATATGTGTTCACCCCAAGAAAAGATGATGATCTCTAGTGATTGATTAGCTGTTGCTTACTTGCTGCGAGTATGAAGTTGATACTGTCTAAACTCCCTTTTTCCCCTAGCATAGCATAAAGAATATCCTACAAAATTCATTCTGACCTGAAGTCCCATGATTCCTTCACGCGGATTCTTCTGAAAGAACAGACTATAGTGAGTTTAAGCAAGTATTTGTATGGGTGAAGTGTTTCTTTTAGGGATCACTCTTACATCTTGCAGTCTTTCAACTTTCTCTTGCTTCTCACTTCCCAGATATGAATATGTAAATGGACCAGAAAAGAGTGGGGTAGCTTTCTGACTTTATAACTTCACACTGAAGATAAAGGATAGATGCGTGATAGTATTTTCTCCTTAGATTGCCAACCATTTAAATGCCAAATCTTCTCCCATCTTAACTCATATGAGAATAATAAAAGTCATTTAAATGGAGGTTGCCATGTGTTCATTTATTCAAGAAAACTTTGTTGAACACTTAGTAAGTACAAGGCACCATATTAAGGTAGAAAGGTGAATAAGATAAGTACAGCTCTTTTCTTCATTGAGCTTATGGTCTAGCATCCTTACTAATTCAGTATCTAAAATAGCTAATCACTTGGGTTGTATAATTTAGCATCCATTAGAAGCACTCCAAGAGGCTTGGCTGGGGGGCATTTGTAGGTCACTCAAATGAAATGTTAACTCCTTCTAGGCTTTATTTAGCAAGTCAAACTTAACACCTTCAATATAGGCAATTAGGATCAAAAGGTGTTAAAGCACATTCAGGCACAAAGCCATCTATCAAATTAAATTACTTAATCTTTCAACTAGTTGCTTTTAAAGTAAATGACCCTCCAAAGTTAGTGGGCATTAGTGTGGCCTAATGTTCAAATGCAGTTTAAAATCTAAATGCTGATATTCTAAACAGATCACACTCACCCTCCCATGAAATGTATCCTTGATTTTAGACTTTTCCCCTTAAGAGATGTTTAAAAGTAGGTATCTCCTCTTTCTACAGAGAACAGGGCCATTTTTTTTAGAGTAGTCATCAGTGTGCCATTGTAAGTGGAAATTGTGCATTATGAACTGAACAATTCCAGGAATTCTATGTCTAACCTTGGGTTCTCCCAAAAGTATATCACGAGACAAGAAGTGGGTTCAGGTAGTTAATTATAAGAAGTGCATACAAGAAGGCAGGGGAAGTGAGACAGAGAAGGGAAAAATCCCTAAAAGAATTTTAATAAGCAGGTTATCTCAGTGGACTCCTAGGCCTCAGTCCTATTGAGGACCCTCTGAGCAACCATGTAGAACGTGCTTCAGAATAATTCCATCAGAGAACAAAGTAATATGAAATATTTATCTGCCAACTCTCAGCCATTATGGGTTGCGGGTAATCCCTAGGGCGGTTAAGTTTCAGAGGCTTCTAGGCTTCCCAACAAGCAGGCTGGGCAAGCTGCCACAGTTGCAGAGAAAGCCCTTGCATGGAGAAGCAGTGAAAACAGGCACTTGCAGTGGAAAGTTATCAGCATACTAGGAAGTGTTCACTACACCTACATGTTTATTTAAAGGTGGGCTGAGGGGATATGAGGCGGAGCATCCCCAGCATTGGTACACCCTGCAAATTGCTGTAAACTGGATTTGCTTAAAAAAGAACCATGATTAGCTAACATTTGACAAAATGTTGGTCCATAGGCTTATTTGGAAACAATACTTTGTTTTCTGCAACGCGTCCAAAGAAAATTTGTGTACATGTAGATTTATAGCACTTAAAATCTTATCACAGTAATGTTTATTTCATCGTATCAAAAACTGCATATCATCATTTCTTCTTGCCCATACCCGTGATTTTTCTGAGGGCTAAGAGGAAAAGGGTATTCAATGGAGCAGTTCGCCTCTACAACAGAGAAAACAAGGGATGTTAAGTTCAGGGTGCCATTCATGCCACATTTATTCATTGATGATAGTAATACCTTGTGCTTCTTTACCAGCTTTTCCCATTTGGCCTGATGACAACATCCTTGGAGTGTCAGAGAAGTTATTATGACCTTTACTTTACAGCTGAAGAAACTTTGTTTTGTTAAAACCATGAATTGTGCACTTGGGATGTACTCTATATTGGGTTAGATGTTCTCCCTTAAGATAGTTCAGTTAATCTTGCCCAGAAACTTGGGTATTTTTGTCCTTGTTTTAGGGATGAAAATTCTGATCAGGGACTGGTGGAGTTCCCATGAGGCAAGAAAGTCTGGTAGCAAGACCCAGTTCCTGAAGCTTCAACTTCAGTGTTCATTCCCCTGAAACACTTGACCTTTCCAGGTTGTCACCAGATTCCCCCAACGTTCCCCAACAGATATCTAGTCTTACATGTTACAACTTTCATAGGACCTTGCATGGTACCAAATTTGTTGAGTGAGTACATTCTACACAATCACAACACACTGAAGATATTTTTTATCTGTGCAAACTTGACCTCCATCCAGATGAGAGCTGATTTGATTAAAAGGTTCATGAGACAACACCCGCTGATCAATCAATGTTTTATGTAATCTACTTCCTTCTGCTTTCTACCAGCTTTCACTTGGTTAGTTACGCCTGGGTATTCTACTTATTGACTAGGCTCCAAGGCCACATGTGAACTGGCTTTTCCTTATGTCTACAGCCTCATCTCACAGGGAGCTCCCTCTCATTCTCTCAGGTGTAGCCACATTGGCCTCCTGTTCATCTCTCTTACATGCCGTGCTCTGTGTCATCGGTGCAGCATTGAACATGCTGTTTCCTCTACCAACAATGTTGTTGCCCTTTGTCATCACCAAGTAAACTCCTGCTTATGCTTCAGATCTCAGCTCAAGCATCACTTTTTCAGGGAATCTTCTCTAACTTATCCTCTGTAGACTCTAATAACACTATGTGTCTCTTTGTTGCTATTATTAGAACTTTATAATTTATGTGTGTGTGTGTGTGTGAAGATTTAATCAATATGTGTCTCTCATACCATCTTGCATGATCCATTACAGCAAAATCCTTATTTGTTTGGACTTACCAATGTACCCCCCAGCACCTAGCAGCCAGCTACCATAGGGCCTTACACATGGCAAGCACTCAGTAAATATGTCTTGAATAAAATATATCAATCTATGTTAATAATTCCTCTGAGTTGGACCTAGAGTCTTGTTCTCAGCCCTAGTGTTTCTCACTTAGGAAAGTACTGCCCCACCCTGGGGGCATTTGGAAATGCCTAAGGGTGTTTTCTGGTTGTCAGGATGACTAACTGCAACTAACGGGATTTGGTGGCAGAAGGGATAATGATCATGTCACGTGTGGATAGTCTATCCAAGGAATAATTGTTTCACCCAAAATACCAGTAGAACCCTGTGAAACACTGCAAGAAAGATTATGTATTACAATAGTAGGCATCTAAAGTGTCTAAAAATTGTGGAGTTTGGGGCTTTTAAAATTCTTTATGATATAACTATACATATTTATGGGGTACAGTGTGATTATTTACATGACTTATACAGTGTATAGGCACAAGTTTATGTGTGGATGTGCATATGTGTGTGTGACTGCTCTTTTTAGTTAATCTTATGTCAATTAGTAATTAGTTTACAGATTATTTTCCCAAGTGGTGTCAGAAAGAAGGGCTGCAGGGAAGCAGAAGGAAATGGCGATAGGAAAACTGTCTGACAGATCAGAAATGTTAAACCTAAAAATGACAAGGGGGGGTCCCATGTTAATCTGATTTATACTGCTGATATTTCCCTATATATTTCCTAAGTTCTTTCTTGCTTTTCTATTTTTATCTGGCTTCTTATTTCTTCTCCAGGTTAACTCCCCATTCTGACACGTTCATGTGTTTGCTTTCTTCCTTTTAGTTCAAACAGAGAATTGAGATTAATTTTCTGTACTGTTTGTGTCCAGAGTCACAGCCTGTGGTTGCGATAGAGAAGCTTGCTAAAGCCTGTGTCAGTGTTTCTGTTATACCATGAGAGCAGTCCAAATGTCAGTGGTAAAGTTTCCTTTACTAGACTGAAAAAAATCATTTTCATCATACCTTTCCTGCATCAGATGCCTGGAAAAATACGGGGCAGAGATGAAAACTACTGTAAGATAATGGGACAAAGCACTAGATGGGGACTCCAGACACTGGGGAGCCCTACTGACCAACTCGAAATCATTTAACCTCTTTTGACCTTGGTTTTACCATTTTAAAATAATCAGAAGGCCAGACAAGATAGCCTCTAGGGTCCTTTTCTGATCTAAAATTGAGTTTTCAAGTTTGACAAGGGATAAGGGAGGAGAAAAAAAGATATAGGAGATGTTATCTTGGAAACTAGGTAGGTGTATGCCTTACCATGTATGAAATTGTAAATCATGTCTTATTTCTTTGGAATAGTACAGAAGCTTCTATTCTGGAATAGAACAGCTAGCATACTACCAAGACTTTTCAAGGAGCAAGAATGGAGCTCCCTGGAGAACTGACTGAACATGGCTTCAGAGGCAGTATCCATGTAAGTAACTACATAAGAGTTTAAGTGGGCCATGGGGATAAACCCACGCTTTAATCCCACTTTCTGACTGTCTTCTATACACCAGGCTTGTACTTATCCACTCTAAACCATTGTTTCCTCAAGTGGAAAATGGGAAGGATGGTAGCACCCACTTCACAGGATTATGGTAACTAAGTGAAAAAATGTCACATGAAAACATGTCTTAGCACATGGTAAGTGCTCCATAAATAATTGATGTGATTACTATAAGCAAGCTAAACTGATCAAGAATGGAACCATTTAATAAATGATTCTTTGGTTACCAGAATTCTGCCCCCACTGCAACCCACCTCTTCCGGAATGGCTGATAAATGCTTGCATGAAATAGCCACTCAAATGGCTGCTACCAGTCAAATGCTGATAAAAGATATATTTAAAAGGTATTACTTATTACTTTTTATTGAAAAGGTATGATTACTTTTTATAAATTTATTTCTGTTCTTAAAACTGCTACAGATGGTTCTGACTTTTGAATTAATCACACTGATCTAGGAAAAGGCCACATTTACTGTTTAGTCTATCGTGGATTATGGAGCCTCATGTGACTCACTGATAATTTTCTTTTATTATTCCTTCCAGAGACATAGAGACAAAAAGTGCCCTCACTTTTACTGTATTTTGACCTGGACCAGTCTACATTTATATGAATAGCTACAAAGCAGCTTTCAGCACAAGGCTGTAGGGTAGGTTCAGATTTGGCCTCTCCATTAATTAGTAAGTACCATTAGCTGGGCAGACAGCTGCCAAAGGGACTTTCTCCACACTCCCATGAGTTGGTCACAGAGATGTTACTGTACTTTTTTACTCATCACCATGATTAATTGCTGCACTTAGTTCATAATTTCCCCTGGGAGTTAACCCCTAGCTTGGGATAAACACTAAGGTTTTGTCAAATCCTCCCATTCTAAGATTGGAATATTGTTGCATCATCCTGTTGGATGATTCAGGATTTTAAAAGTTCAGAGCACTCTGATATTCCGACAATTATATACACATTGTTTTCAGTCTTCTTCTGCTTTATGATCCTTGTTTATATTTCTTTGTGTCATTCTTTTTAGTAATTATTTCCATCGTTTCTTAAGCATAAACATGTTCTAACTGGCTGTGCGGTAGTGTTTCAATAGAGCTCGTCATTTCTAGGCAAGCTCTTCTAATAATATTTTATATTTTTAATTTATCTCCTTATATTTTGCTGTAATATGGGTTTCATTGATTTTTAAAATGAGTTTTGTTTGTTGTAATATAAGGTTAATTCTGTTATGTGCCAGAATTATACATTTGACAGTTTTCCATGGAATTATTTCAATTGGCAAATTAAATAAACTCAGACTATAGCCTCAGTATTAGTATTCTTAATGGATACACTTTTTAAAAGTAAAGACAAATTCCCTGACCTAAATAGTTAGGCAGAAAATGAGACATGTAAAGTAAAATCAGTATTTCGTTTCTTTGAAACTTTATTGTGACTTGAAACAGTGCAACAAAATATCAGTCTAATGCCATATTACTGATTTTACCAGTGCTGTAATTTTTAAATAATAAATGTATACTTTACTGATTAATGACTTGAGAGCTGCTTACTCTTCATCAACGTAAAACTGCTCTTCAAGTTTCCCATTCCACCTCTGCGGTATCACTTACTTTCAATAAGCTCATCTCTCATTTAATTTAAAATGTAAGGTAGTACATTCAATAGCTCTCTACATCAATTGTTTTTAACTAGATTAATTTATGCCTATGTAAGTATAAATAAGGCCTTGAAGTTGCTTGCGTGATAAATAATAAATAAAATACAAATTGTTGAACAGATCAATGGAAAAGGAAATAAGAGTGGATTAATAAAATAAAACCAGAAGATACAATTAGTTTAAGAAATGCCTACTGTAAAATCCCATTAAATCACTAGAAGTAGAATGTAGATTTGGCTCTGAGCTTCCCAGTAGCCAAAGCAAAAAGAACTGCATTATTTGCAAGGTTGACTGTTTTTGTAATATGTTTTAAGGTTTTGTTTCACAAAAAACCATCTTTTCCTGATATGAGCATGAAGAGATATTTCTCTTGAGAGTCCTGATGAACAGCTTGTTACAGGATATGAAACACATTGTCCTCAACGTCACTCTGACAGTAATTTCGAAGGGAAGTTTCTGTATTTTTGTTTCTCAAAAACGTGAATTGTAGCAGTAATGCCAAAGCAATATTCAGTAACACCAGTTTTACATGTAACCAAAACAATGGAATACAAGTTTGGGAACAATGACATTACATGTTTTATCCAAGAATAATATTTGGCTACTCCCGAAGAATGAATGACCTTTATATTCTTCATTCACAAATATATATTTATGTGAATAAAAATAGAATACAAGTACAACACTATTATATTTTTATTTATTCAGTCACCTGTGATTTGGGGTTCAAAGTATTGACAAGGACACCTGAATTTTTCTCTAATATACTCTGAGATGGCTTTTTTTGAAGTGTTTTTGTTTTGTTTTGTTTTGTTTTGTTTTGTTTTGTTTTGTTTTGAGATGGGGTCTCACTCTGTCACCCAGGCTGGAGTGCAGTGGCATGATCTCAGCTCACTGCAACCTCTGCCCCCTGAGCTCAAGCGATCCTCCTTCCCCAGCCTCCCAAGTAGCTGGGACCACAGATGCACGCCACCACACCCGACTAAGTTTTTGTATTTTTGGTAGAGATGGCATTTCATCATGTTGCCCTTGCTGGTCTTGAACTCCTGGCTTCAAGTGATCCGCCCGTCTCAGCCTCCCAAAATGCTGAGATTGCAGGCATGAGCCACCACACCCAGCCAGCTTTTTGAAGTTTTGGTACAGTAATTACCTGGAGTAAACAAGGTGGTGATACAGGAATACCTGAACAGTGCAGAAGGCTTAAGGAAGTAAAAGGTTAGAATAGATTTATTTTGTGATAACAGTGAACCCACCACCTGACCGTATTCCCCAGAGGGGTCATAGGACAGTTCCTTCACTCAGGCAATAAGAAATGGCAATGATCAACGAAATGTCCTCTGAAGGCTAGGGTAGACAGAAAGACATGCTGCCATGCAATTGGACCTCCTAATATCAATGGAGAAAAGAGGGAAATTCCGGAATGGTAGAGGCCAAAAGCAACACTTAACCTTCAGAGGCAAGGCAGTCTTTGTCTCAGATGCTGATTTTTGGGAAACCCCAAGATAAGACAATGATGAAGGCAAAAACCAACTCATTTTACTGGATTATTTTATTTGTATTGCTACGTAATAATTGTACATATTTAGGGAGTACATGTGATATTTTGATACATGCATACAATGTGTAATGATCAAATAAGAGTATTTAGGATACCCATCACCTCAAACATTCATCGTTTCTTTGTGTTGAGAACACTTCACATTTTCTTTTCTAGCTATTTTGAAATATACAGTAAATTATTGTTAACTATGCAATATAGAATTACTTGCTACTTTACTTATTTCTTAGCACTTACAAGTTTAAATTCACTTAAAATGTTATGACCTAGAAAGGCCTACATATTTTCATTATGACAGTACAGCACTTCATCATTTAGTAAGTCTTTTTTCTGGTTTCTTCTCCCTACCTCCCCATTTTTAATAATTGAAACCACTTTGCTTTTGATCATCCCAAGCACTTAAGTGACATAAGTCTTTCAGCTGCTGGATGAATAATGTATTTATAATATTCATAACTGCGTGTAAAATAAACAGCTCATTTGTTTCTATTAACGTAGTCGTTTTGAAGTCTGTTCTTCCTCTCAGATTCTTTTGCCAATTTAGAAGTGAAAATATATATATAGAAATTGATTCAGTCTTAATGACTCCCACTTAATTCTTCAAACTGGAAAGTAGCTGGGTAAATGACTCACTATGGAACTATTTCTTACCATTACAAATGTTCTCCAGCTACTCTCAGTAAAATACCTTTATAAAACACCTAATATGTGCCCAGTATAATGCTAATTTAAAAAGAACTCCTGGCCGGGCGTGGCAGCTCACGCCTGTAATCCCAGCACTTTGGGAGGCCAAGGCAGGTGGATCACCTGAGGTCAGGAGTTCGAGACCAGCCTGACCAACATGGTGAAACCCCATCTCTACTAAAAATACAAAAACGTTAGCTGGGCGTGGTGGCGGGCACCTCCAGCTACTCGGGAGGCTAAGACAAGAGAATCGCTTGAACCCGGGAGGTAAAGATTGCAGTAAGCCAAGATCACGCCACTGCACTCCTGCCTGGGTGACAGAGCAAAACTCCATTTCAAAAACCAACCAACCAAACAAACAACAACAACAGCAACAGAAAACAAAAACTCCTTAAAGCTACTCAGGATTGGATATAAATTTTATATAGACATCCCCAAAGATGTAAGTACTGAGATATAATCCCTGAAAAAAGATAGTTACATACATTTGGATCAACAAAAGTGTTTGACTATCTTTGCCCTGGCCTCAGGTAGGTCTATAAGAAGACTTTAAGGATAAACCAAAGGTAATAATAAATAAGTTAACATACACTGGAAGGATAAGCACTGGGAAAACTGAGCAAGGAGTGAAGTTTATCTTTAATCTCCCTCTTCCCCTTTCTGTATCTTCTAGTATCTGAGATCCCTGCTATCTGTCAAAAGCCTATTGGGCATTTCATTCCAGACCAGTCACCCCCTCAGTAAAGCTTTACACCATAATAGGTGTGTGTTAGGAGCTTGGTGCCAGGGGATCTTGAAAACTGAGAGACCTCTAAACCCCAAAGCTATGATTCTGTAATGGGGTGATTTCAAGCATTGCTGCAAGTTAAAATTTTAGGGTAAAAAAGCATTATTCCTTAGGATTTGCCAAGCACTTTTTGTACCTAGAGGCAAAAGAGCCCTAAAATCACTTCTCCATGAAACTTTCTTTGACACAGAAACTTAGAATTGTCCTGTTAAATCTTAACAGCTAATGGTGATCATCTGGTGGTTGTGTGATTTTCTTATAAAACACAGCTTTTTTAGGATTGTTTGAGTTTTCCAGTGTGTCTTTCTTGCAAGTATCCTCTCTTATTTAGAACATAATCTTGGCAAGAAGCTGTGTGACTATTTGCCTTGACTTGCTTGGACCAAACACAAGCAGTCAAAATAAATTTAAAAGATGAAAATGATGATTCATTTGAGGTATTTTTTTAAGGTCCTCGCATGTGTCCTAGAAACTAGGTTCTTTGACACTATTTCATTTTGGGGGTCAAAGAAGAGAAAGCTCCAGGATCTGTCAAATTAGTTTTTAAAGGAATATGTGTAAGAAAGCTAGGGAAGGATTTTTTTTCCCCAGTAATGTATGCCATACCACATTTAAAATAAGGAGCAGTAAATGCATGGAGTAATATTTTGTATGCACAGATGGATATATAAATTAGTACCTCCTATTTTAAATGGAATGCTTCCAAAAGTCTTCTATTCTTCCTTCCTGGAACAGGCAGTTCAGGGATGACATAGAGACTAATAGATGGAGTGTTTTAGAAGGGATTTAAGCCCGGGGTGAATGGTTGGACTAACCGACCATTAAGACCATTTCCAAACCAGATGTTCTATGATTTTATGAAACCATATATGAAGCCTATTATCATGTTTCTAGGTTTCTTTTTCAAAATTAATTATATTAAGTTCACAAATAATTTTCCTAGCATGCTTCACATTGTCTCAAGCTATGATATAATGTTTGGTTGAGTTTTAGTTAAGAGACCATGTGCGTTTAAAAAAAAAGATATATACATAGTACCTAAAACTACCAGAAAAACAGTGATGACTGGAAATCTCACTTATTAACATCTTTAGTAGAAACAATACATGGTACAGAGGGTTAAAGAAAGATAAGACGTGTATGCTTATGGAGAAAAGGGGTCACGCTAACCAAGAACTTTTTTATTTTTGAAAGACACAAGGTAAGGTTTATGACAGGGAGCCCATCAGTCTTAAAATCATGCTTTCTGACTCAAATCTAAATATCAGTATTGAATATTGTGTTATAATGAATAACACTTGCACCGCCTTGTTTGTTTCAAACAATATGATGTTATCAAACACCACTCTCAGTATGTCAATAAATACAATTGTGTATACTTCAGTTATACAGAGAGTTAATATAAGTTCAATAACTGGCATATTTGTTATTAAATAGGATTGTAATAACAGGTCTTGGTGTTTCTGGACTGTAGCACAGCTAGGTGAATCGTCCTCCCTGACATTGAGCATCAAAAAGTCTTTTTACTTGCCACTCATTTTGCAAGGTCTCAGGGGACAGACGTTTTGCAAACTCTGTGAAATCTTAATAACAGCCTAAAGGAGAGATTGCAAATGTAAATGAACAGCCACAGCCCCTTTAAACATGACTATATCACACAGATGCTATACATAGCAGCTGAAAGCCAAATAATGGTTTGAACTGAACATGACTGGACGATTAAGGTCACCTTCCGCAGCTTTATAAGCAGTTTCTTATTATAATGGTCTTCTGACATTTTTTCTCCTATGACATAATTGTTGCAAGAGGTTGACATTCTCATTGGCTCATGGGAACATTTCCTTCTTTCATTTGCCTTTTAGTCATGTGTCTGAACTTTTATTTGGTATTTCCTCTTTACAGTGAATCCTAATATCAATGAGATTCAATACAATAACTTTTCTAGAACTTGATTGAAGGTATTGGTGTTTTTTTCAAGTATTTGCTACTTATTACTGGCTATACCTTTTTTCTTTAAAAGTATACTTTTCTATTTATGATGGACAATTTGAAAAATATAAGAAAATGATCACCATGATCTCATGATCCAATGAGCTAAAATATTGTATTTTAAATTCTTTCAGAACCTGTTCTATGCATATATGCATATAAAAATGAAGTTTGACTTACTGCAAATAAGTTTATCTTGCTTTTGCCTTTTTATGATTGGTTATTTTATATATAACAAGAATATCATACACACGTGAGATATGTGAATAAGGGTAATATAAATACCCCTGAACTCACAATCATGCTTGAGAGATGCAACATTTGAAGTTCCCCATGGGCACCCTATATTGCCCTCTCCAACACTATCCCCTTCTCTATCCCACTCCCCAAAGTGGACACTCTTCTCAATGTGGAGTGACTGCTCTGTCAATTTTCTTTATATTTTTGCTACACTGGCATGGTGACTCTCAAATAATGATACTGAACTTTAGGAAATCTTCTGCAACTTTTTTTCACTCAACATTTTGTTTATGAGAATCATCCATTTTGAAATATATGAACATTTCACTTCTATATGGTATTCCCTATTGAAAATATACCATTTTTATTTATCTGTTTCATATCAATGGATGTTTAAAAGCATTAGTATGAACACTTCCCTATCAATGGATATTAAAAACAACAGTGGTATGAACATTTTCACCCATATCTCTTAATGAAAATGTGCAAGTGTTTCCTTAGGGTCTAAATCTAAAGTGCAATTACTGGGTTGCAGGACGTGCTCAAAATTCAACTTTATTAGATAAAAATATTTTACCAGAATGGTTCTTCCAATTTATACTTTCCCTAGTAGCATAAAAGTGTTCCTGTTATATCTTGCTTTTATCACTTAATATGATTAGCTTTTTCTCAAGTTCAGATGGTCTGTCTTTCTCTAGGCTCTCTCTACCTCATCAAAATGCTTGCACAATCATGTGATTTTCCTCCATATGCCAAATCTTGAGTAGACAGCCCATAGGAGGCTCTAAGCAGGCTAATCAACATGGAGACACTCCAGAAATAGTTGAAAATAAGGCTTGTTGCCAAATATATGAAATATTTTTGCTCATCTCTTTGTACAGTAGTCTCTCAGGATGTCTTTTGAGTACCACGCATACATATCCTCCATACACATATCCTTTAAATATAGCTTAAAAACCATAGCAGAGCAAATTGTCCTTCCTACTATATATGTCCTTGTTTATCTTTCTTCATCTCTTTTCACTTTATAGCACTGGTAGCAACTGGTAAACAGTACAGGATATCAACACACAATTTTTGTTGTAAAACAACGGATAAAAATCTGTTTGTTCAATCAGAAGTAAGAGTGAAAAAAAATAAGGTTGACTCAGGGTCAGCATAGCAAATAGATGGCGTGCTCTACTGGAAAAACTGAGGAAAGCTTAATACGGGGCATACTGGCAATTGTATGAGCAGGATTAAGAAGGGGAACTAACAAGGCACAACAGAGTCTCCAGACTAGCAACAGTGGGGAGCCATTACCACCACTTGGGCCTGAAGATACAGCAGGAGGGAATGATTACTGGCATGGAGGAGGAGTAGCCTTCAGGAGAGAAAAGGAGCCCCTGTTAATTTTGTCAAACAGGAAATGAGCAAGGAAAATAAATATCTTCACCTCACACTCATTCTTGTTGATTTCCAGTAGGTTTTTTTCCATTGGCTCCACCCAACTGAATGTCAGAGAACAAGAAAACTAATTTGATGTGATCCCTAAAAGCATAAAGCAGGGTGGAACAAGTTGGAGCGTAGATATAGAAGTTCTAGGAAAGTAAAAACATGGTGATTAATTAATAAACATAGGTCCTTTGGTTTTTCTCAGGTCTGATTTTGTATCTGATTTTTTTTTTTCAGTATTGACAGGAAGATGGTAATTAAAGATATTAGAAGCATGGACTTTTAAGTATTGCCTTGAAAAATGTCTTTGAATTTGTACAGTAGCTAAAATCAGCTCTCAGCATAACTGCTCAGTCATTTTGTTTTGCTTGACACATATCTGAGATTATGCATGTTATAACAAGCACTCTGGAATTAAAAATCAAGCCAAGGGGTTTTGTTTGTTTCTTTTGTTTTGTTTTGTTGGTTTGTTTGTTTTCAAATCAAAAGATAGCATCTTGAATTGCCCCATTATAATACGCTTTCATTCATGATGTTTGGATTATGTGCATAGTAAGGTCTCTTTATAACCTAGCCTTAGTGATAAAGGATGAGTTTTATAGCATTTTAAAAATCTATCTTTTCAATTTTTATATCTTTCTCTAGCACCAACAGTAGCCTAGTGTTTCCGGATGCCAGAGAAAGCCTTTAGTGGCTTTTCACAGTAGTTTTTTTTTAGATCCATTTCTTCTCCAGGTATCTCTCCCTTCAAGAAAATGTGTCTAAAGAGCTCCATGGAGGAAAGAACTCAGGATACTTTACCTAAAGGAAAAGGACTAAGAGAAACCACTCATTTTACCTTCTTTGTTGGATGCCATGCTTGTACAGTCTACAAAACTATGAGCCAAATAAACCTCTTTTCTTTATAAATTACCCAGTCTCAGGCATTCCTTTATAGCAAGGCAAAATGGACTAATACATCCCCCATCTTCTCATTATTCTTGTTGATTTCTAGGTTCTTGACCCACTTAAGTTTTCTAAAACCAAAGCTGTGCCTGATTAAGCACAGAATAAACAAATATTGTTTAATGAGTTCAACCTAATGGTATCTAGGGATATAGGAGAACATGTCAATATCATCTCCATTTATTTCTTTACAATTGTGATTCAGCCTCAATACAAATGAATCATATTTGTCAAGCTAAAATGACATTTTCCATCATTTTTCTTTAGAATCTATCTTTAATCTTGCCCCTCTTGGATATACTGTTTAAGTCTACTTTGTTTTTATTTCTTAGCCTTAGAGTGATATTGCTCCTAGACATAATTGTGAATTAGGTGAAATTTGTTTTCAACTTTCCTGACCTTATATCCTTTTAGTATTTCATTTCCTCTTCCTTCTTACCACCCAGTGGTGTGCTGGTAAATATTTAAACAACTAGATTTCATGGGAGAAAAGGGTCCTGATTTATAATATTTGTAGAGCTTCCAGGGTGATGTCTACTGGCTTGCAAAATTTCTGAAAATTTAACAGCTGGCTCTTGTGAATTGGTATCAGCCAGCTTCAACATACCACAAACCTTATTCACTACTTGAGGATTTAATGTGGCTCACA
This sequence comes from Homo sapiens, assembly GCF_000001405.40. Classification (NCBI taxonomy): domain Eukaryota; kingdom Metazoa; phylum Chordata; class Mammalia; order Primates; family Hominidae; genus Homo; species Homo sapiens. The sequence continues at coordinate 22,733,215 of NC_000023.11, read as the reverse complement.
CATACTGCCTAGTCCCTCAATTCACCTTCCCTATGTCTGCTCTAATTCTGTCTTCCAGGTAGTACACCATGTTCTTCCTCAGCAACTTACCTGCCATATGTCCATTTTTTTCCTTCCTGACCATGTCAAGTAACTGACAAACCAAGCTTGGAAACTGACACAAGATGAGATGTTAATGAATGACAGATTCAGTGGGACAGCATATCCTCAAAAGGACATTTGTCAGAAAAAGAATGATGGTTTAGAAATAGCAGTGTTGAATACAGACTAGGGCTAGGCGATGGAAGGAATAATATTTGACAAAGAGTTTGAGAATACAGAAGAGTTTACCATGAAATAAGAGTTCCCAGAGAACACAGTGAGATGATTTGAGAGGAAGGAGAAATACGGGAGTAAAGGTCAAGGTAGGCCTATATGGAGCAATGTGGGAATAAGAGTTTGGAAGAGTTTAAATGACCCAGGGATTTACAACCTGGGCAATGACCAAGGATAACATATATGTAAGCATGGCATGTTGAACTCACCTTAAGGCATCCAAAAGAATCAAATACAGCCATTCTGTGTTTAATTAGGAGTAGATTTGAGAATATGAACTATGCACCAGTATACTCAGAAGAAATCAGCAATGAACTGGATTGATTTTGTTTCCGAGGGAGTAGTAAATCAGGAGAATAAGCCTGACATGGCATTTTTTTGGTTTTCAGGCATATCACTACTAGGAAACAGGGTCAGCCTCCATGGGAGAATTTAAATTTGGTGTAGAAATATATACAGATTTATTATATGCTTCGTTGGTGTAAGCTGTATGTCCCATAATTTTTACTTAGAGGCCCAGTCTCTGTGCATGGACACTGAATTGTTGACTGTTCTTTGTCCTTGAATTCAGCTCTTGCTGACTCTTGAGAGTTTTGCTCCACCTTCATCTCTTCTCTTTGTAGACTCCTCGTCTGATAATTTTCTCTTTGACTTTAAGATTTCCCTTATTAGGGAAATAAAGTGTCTTCATTTGATTGTATTTTGCAAGCTAGCAACAGCCCTGTGTGTTTCCTGTTCCTACTTTTTTAACACCCAGGATCACAAGAAGGTTTTTACGCTATCTTTTTCCATTTCCTTTCCAGTCAATTCCTTATTATTCTTTGAAACTCTGCTTTGCTTCTTCAAGGAAGCTTATTTCTCTGAAATTTAAAAAAGCACCTCATTATTGAGAAATCAAATACCTTTAACTCTGTAAATTTTTACCAAGATTTTCTGCTGACTTTGGCATTAATGCCCACTCCCTCTTCTATACTCTTTGCTCATGTTCATAAAAAAGTCTTCTATCATTATTCTCTTTTGGCAAATTCAATGAATATTTAAAATCACTCCACTTTATCCTCTACTTTACTTATCTGAATATTTCCAATTCTTGATCAACAACCTTCCTACAATGATTAAACTTTAACCTCTGAGTTCAAGTGTTTTCTCCTTAATTCCCAATTCTATCTTCTCTCTTAAATTACATAGCTAAATACTTATAGGAGGAGAATAGAGGAAACAGATATGCTAGATGTGGCTAGACTTCTACTTTCGTAGATTTGCTTTGGAACCGTGTAAATATTTTGCCTAATTGTAAAGAAATATTAATAATTTTGAAAGGTAATCCACAAATCTCAAAAGAAAATGAAAGGAATGAATGTAACACCATTGATAATCATTTTTTAATATTACTCAGAAATGGTCATGCATATGTTGTGAGATAAAGTTAATCATTATACTGATGTCACTGAGAACCCAGACATCTCTCATGAGAGAGAGGAGAAACATGTGTACGTTTGATGAGGTTAAATAAAAGCTCTTCAGTCCTTGGTAAGAAAAATAATCATGGCAGACGGGAGGCAGGACTAGATTGCAGCTCCAGACAGAGCACCTTGCAGAAGCTCACATTGGGAATTTTAGCTCCAGATCAACTGCAAGAACAAATCAGCAATCCCGAGAGGACCCACAGACCCTGTGAAGGAAGCCGACTGCTCCTTCAAGGACCTGGGAGACACCGCAAATACTGTGAGTGCCCCAACTGCGGAAATGGGACAGGGAGACCCTCCTCTCCCAAACACACACCCCCACTGGAGAAGCCAAAGGTCTGTTTGTGGGAGAAGTTTCTGACTTTAACTGGGGCTGAGTCAATTTACAGCCAAGTGAAATACAGGGGAAGAAGAAGCAGCAGAAAGGACCTGGGAGCTTGCCGTGTCCCCTAGCAGGCCATTCCTGCCTGGAACCACAGGGATCCATCAGGAGGGTGACCAGAGGAGCAGCGGGTACAACTCCATAAGGAAGAAATCTCTAGCTGAACTTTGTAACAATTTGAATGGGCCAAGAAGCCTCCTGGCCAGAACTTGGGGGAGGGCACAAATCTGGTCTACAGGCTCCACAGGCAGGGGAAGAACCAAGCCCTTCCCCCGCACCCCCTACTGCAGCTGGGAGGCGGGTAGCCCAGGGCAGGTTTTCAAGCGCATTACACCCTGCCCCTAGAAACAGACTCAGGGCTGTTGGGGCAGGTGCATGGTGGGAATGCAAATTGCCCTTCGGTTTATGTGGGAGCTGGGTGAAGCCTGTGACTGCCGGCTTTCCCCCACTTCCCTTACAATCTGCATGACTCAGCAGAGGCAGCAGTAATCCTCCTAGGTACACAACTCCAGTGACCTGGGAATTTCATCCCCATCCAAGCAGTGGCAGCAAGACCCACCCAAGGAGAGCTCGGACACGCCTAGCCTTGCCCCCACATGATGGTCCTTCCCTATCCACCCTGGTAGCAGAAGACAAAGGGCATATAATCTTGGGAGTTCTAGGGGCCCGCCCACTGCCAGTCCCTCTCTACAGCTGATGCTTTCCAGAAAGCACCACGTCCTGGTAGGAGGCAAACCAGCACAAAAATAGAGCATTAAACCACCAAAGCTAAGAACCCTCACAGAGTCCATTGCACCCCACCCCCTGCCACCTCCACCAGAACAGGTGCTGGTATCCATGGCAAAGAGACCTATAGATTGTTCACATCATAAGACTCTGTGCAGACAATCCCCAGTACCAGCCTGGACCCGGGTAGACTTGCTGAGTGGCTAGACCCAAAGAGAGACAACAATCACTGCAGTTCAGCTCACAGGAAGCCACATTCATAGGAAAAGGGGGAGAGTACTATATCAAGGGATTACCCCGTGGGACAAAAGAATCTGAACAACAGTCTTCAGACCTAGACCTTCCCTCTGACAGAGCCTACTCAAATGAAAAGGAACCAGAAAACCAATCCTGGTAATATGACAAAACAAGGCTCTGCAACACCCCCCAAAAATCACACTAGTTCACCAGCAATGGATCCAAACCAAGAAGAAATCCTCGATTTACCTGAAAAAGAATTCAGGAGGTTAGTTATTAAGCTAATCAGGGAGGGACGAGAAAGGCAAAGCCCAATGCAAGGAAATCCAAAAAATGATACAAGAAGTGAAGGGAGAAATATTCAAGGAAATAGATAGCTTAAAGAAAAAACAATCAAAAATTCAGGAAAGTTTGGATACACTTTTAGAAATGCAAAATGCTCTGGAAAGTCTCAGCAATAGAATTGAGCAAGTAGAAGAAAGAAATTCAGAGCTTGAAGAAAAGGTCTTTGAAGTAACCCAGTCTGACAAAGACAAAGAAAAAAGAATATGAAAATATGAATAAAGCCTCCAAGAAGTCTGAGATTATGTTAAAGGACCAAACTTAAGAATAATCAGTGTTCCTATGGAAGAAGAGAATTCTAAAAGCTTGGAAAACATATTCAGGGGAACAATCGAGGAAAACTTCTCCAGCTTTGCTAGAGACCTAGACATCCAAATACAAGAAACACAAAGAACACCTGGAAAATTCATCACAAAACTTCTTCACCTAGGCATATTTTCATCAGGTTATCCAAAGTTAAAATGAAGGACAGAACCTTAAGAGCTGTGGTGAGACAGAAATACCAGGTAACCTATAAAGGAAAACCTATCAAATTAACAGCAGATTTCTCAGCAGAAACCCTGCAAGCTAGAAGGGATTGGGGTCCTATCTTCAGCTTCCTCAAACAAAGCAATTATCAGCCAAGAACTTGTATCCAGTGAAACTAAGCATTATATAAGAAGGAAAGATACAGTCGTTTTCAGACAAACAAATGCTGAGAGAATTCCCCATGACCAAGCCACCACTACAAGAAGGGCTAAAAACAGCTTTAAATCTTGAAACAAATCCTGGAAACACATCAAAATAGAACCTCTCTAAAGCAGAAATCACACAGGACCTATAAAACAAAAATACATGTTAAAAAGCAAAAACAAAAACAGAAACAAAGTACACAGGCAACAAAGAGAATGATGAATGCAATGGTACCTCACATTCCAATACTACATTGAATGTAAATGGCCTAAATGCTCCATTTGAAAGATACAGAACCGCAGAATAGATAAGAACTCACCAACCATCTGCTGACTTCAGGAGACTCACCTAACACCTAAAAACTCACGTAAAGTAAAGGGGTGGAAAAGGGCATTTCATGTAAATGGACACCAAAAGTGAGCAGGGGCAGGGGCAGCTATTCTCATATCAGACAAAACAAATTTTAAAGCAACAGCAGTTAAAAGAGACAAAGAGGGACATTATATAATGGTAAAAGGCCTTGTCCAACAGGAAAATATCACAATCCTAAACATATACACACCTAACACTGTAGCTCCCAAATTTATAAAACAATTAGTAATAGACCTAAGAAATGAGATAGACAGCAATACCATATGCTGTCTGGCTAAGTTAGTTATAAAGTTTATTTAGAAAAAATACCTAAGAAAATCCTAAAAAAAAGTGCAAAGAATAGTGGCGGGTAGACCACACTGGATATTAAGACATACTATAATGCCTCAATAACTAAAATGGTTTGGTATTAGCACATGGAGAGGTAGACTAATAAAACAGAAAAGAGTTTTATAATACCAGTGGGGGACTTTAATACTCCATTGACAGCATTAGACAGGTCATCAAGACAGAAAGTCAACAAAGAAACAATGACTTTAAACTATACTTTGGAACAAATGGACTTAACAGACATATACAGAACATTTCATCCAACAACCGCAGAATACGTATTCTATTCAACAGCGCATGGAATGCTCTACAAGATATACCATATAATAGGCCATAAAATGAGCCTCAATAAATTTAAGAAAAATTGAAATTATATCAAGAGCTCTCTCAGACCACAGTGGAATAAAACTGGAAATCAACTCCAAAAGGAACCTTCAGAACCATGCAATCTATAATCTAAAAGAGACATATCGATCAATTGCAATGTGTGAACATTGTTTGTATACTGATTAGAATATAAAACTTTTTTAAAAATTGAGGCAATTGGAGAAATTTAATCACTGACTAGATATTTTATACTAATAAGTAATTATTGTAGGTTTTTAGGTGTCAACTAAGTTTTAAAAGCTATGTTTTAAAAACAGTACTTATCTAAAGTATATACTAAAATACATATGGATTAAATAATATGATTTTCAGATTTGTATCAGTATAATCTAGGAAGAAGGAGGTAGATTCTGTTTTAGATGAAATAATATTATTAATGAAGTGATGATTGTTGCATCTGGGAAATGGGTATGTGGGGGTTTTCTCTAAGTTGATCTATGAATTTAATGAAATCCACATAAAAGCACCATTTTGTTCTGAAGTTAGCTAAGTTAGTTATAAAGTTTATTTAGAAAAAATACCTAAGAAAATCCTAAAAAAAGTGCAATGAATAGTGGCGGGTAGACCACACTGGATATTAAGACATACTATAATGCCTCAATAATTAAAATGGTTTGGTATTAGCACATGGAGAGGTAGACTAATAAAACAGAAAAGAGAAATCCAGAAACAGGCCTAAATGCATATGGAAATTTAGATTTTTTTAAATAATGATGACATTTCAAGTCAGTGGGAAAATTGTCTTCTAATATGTTATTGGCACCACAGAAAAACTACAACGAATATATCATTGGCTGAATTTCTCACAGAGTTCCAAATGGATCTGAGATCTAAAGTGCAAAAAAATAAAAAAATAAAAAACTGTTCAAGTAGTGTAAGAAGGCATAGATGAATTCCTTATTTGCTTTGTGGTTTTATCTTTGTTTACTTCTTGGAGTAAGGAGAATTTCCCATGGTAAATGCTGTGATGAGTCCCTCAGAACCCCTTGCAAAGGAAGAGCTTATTCCTCCAGCTATTAGAAGTCCTCTGACCCACACGTAGTAGTTACAAGGATTCCTAAAAAAAAGTCCAGCACCCTTGTTTCCATCTCACAGATTGCTTCCTGGGGAATCTAACCTGTTGCATTTCCAGTGATTAAAAATACAGAAGCAAGACCAGGCATGGTGGTCCACACGTGTAATTCCCATGCTTTCAGGGACTGAGGTTGGAAGATCACTTGAGACCATGAGGTCAAGACCAGCCTGGGCGACATAGCAAGACTCAGTCTCTTCGAAAATAAAATAATTAGTCAGGTGCAGTGTAGTGTCTGTTGTCCCAGCTACTCATGAGGCTGAGGCAGGAGGATTGCTAGAGCCCAAGAGTTCAAGGCTGCTCCTGGGCTCTCTGAAAACAAAAACAAAAGCAAGTAAGGAAAATACTAATGCATGTGATCAAATATATAAAGTTTTGCATAGCAAAACCAAAATACCACAAGCAGAGTACAAGCCAGGATAATTACTTTCAAATAGCATTGCAAATTTTATCTCTAACATTTAAAGAGGTGCTAACAATTGAGTGGAAAAACATCAAAAATCTGACTTTTAAAAAGCAAGATATGAACAATATTTTACAGAAAAGAAGTATAAATGACCCTTTTCTTGTGAAAAGTTACCAATTTCAATCATAATAATGGAGATATAATTAAAGCTACACTGAAATAATGTTTCTCACCTCTCTGCTTGACAAAATCCAGCATAGTCTGCTTTCCAGTCTGTGTGGAAACACGGCTCTCATACATTGCTGTTGATAATGATACAACGGCTGTTGAAGAGAAGTCGACAGTATCAGACAACACTGTTTATTCTTTTAGCTTTTGACCCAGCATTTCTGCCAAGATACGAATCTATCCCAAAGATATACCGGCAAAAATATGGACTACTATATGCCCAGAGTTGATTGCAGCACTAATTGAAATAGCAAAAGTTTGAGTTCGGCCATATTATTTAAAAGAAACAATATGAAAATAAGCAAAAACTTTAAAAAATGACTCTGAGTGGGGCATGGAGGGAAGCTAGCAGAGAAGACAAGACTAGAAGTTAGATCTCTATGCATGTACCTTGCTCTATAATGTTAAACCTTGGAACCATATACACAAATGGTTTTCATAATTATAAAACTCAGTTAAATTGGAAAGAAAAAATCAATCTCTAAAAATAACAACCAAACAAATGAGCCCAAATGTCTATCTAGCTGATGGCATAATCATGCTGAGAATTACTTCAAGTGATTTTAAGTACTTTGACCCTACATTACCAGGTAGATATGCCCAAAGGAAAAAATAATCACAAAGAAATATTCTTTTACAGCTTTATTGAAACGTACTTGATATACAAATAACTACATATATTTGATGTATATAATTTGATGAGTTTGGATATATGCATACATCCATCACCTCCAAATGTTTCCTTGTGTCCCAAATAAATCTTAAACTGCATTCAGGTGCATTATTTTAAATACTAATTTTTGAATTGTTATTTCAAGACTATGGTGTATAGATACCAAATAGTAGAATAAAGAAACTAAATAATTATTGCTAATATAATTTAGGAAAGAAGATATTAAATAGGGTCATGCATTGCTTAACCGTGGGGATACATTCTGAGAAATGCTTTCTTAGGCAATTTAGCCACAGTACAAACATCATGGTGTACTTACACAAACTTCCATGATATAGCTTACTACACACCTTGGCTTTATGGTATAGCTTATTGCTCTTTGGCTACCGATCTGTACAGCATGTTACTGTATTGAATATCGTAGGCAATTGTAACACAATGGTAAGTATGTATGTATCTAAACATATCAAAATATAGAAAGGATACAGTATAAAAATGGCACACATATATAGAGAACTTACTATGAATGGAGCTTGCAGGACTGCAGGTTGTTCTGGATGAGTGAATGGTGAGTAAATGTGAAGACCTAGGACATTACTGTATACTACTGTAGATGTTATAAAGACTGTAGTCTTAGGCTACACTAAATTTATTTTAAAATATTTTTCTGCAATAATAAACTAAGCTTACTGTACCTTTTTAATTTTATAATCTTCAAGTTTTTTAACTTGACTCCTTTTTAATAACACTTAGTTTAAAATGCAAGCACATTATACAGCTGTACAAAAATATTTGTTTTCTTTATATCCTTAGTCTATAATCTTTCATCAATTTAATTTTTTTTTTTTTTTTTTTACTTTTTAAGCTTCTAGACATTAGCCAATGCCTAGAAGGGGTTTTCTGATGTTATCTGCTAGAGTCTTTATGGTTTCAGGTCTTAGATTTAAGTCTTTGATCCATCTTGAGTTGATTTTTGTATAAGGTGAAAGATGAGGATCCAGCTTCATTCTCCTACATGTGGCTAGCCATCTTAAAAACTAAGATGTAAACACGCAAATTAGCCTAGACCTACACAGGGTCAGGATTATCAATATCACTGTCCTTCACTTCCACATCTTGTCCCACTTGAAGCTCTCCAGGGGCAATAACATATGTTGAGTTGTCATCTCCTATAATGACAATGCTTCCTTCTGGAACAACTCCTGAAGGACCTGCCTGAGGCTGTTTTACAGTTAACTTTTTTTTTTATAAGTAGAAGGCACTCTAAAATAATGATTAAAAATGTATAGGATAGTAAATACATAAACTAGTAATATAGTTGTTTATTAACATTGTCAAGTATTATGTACTGTACATAATTGTATTGCTAGACTTTTATATGACTGGCAGCACAGTAAGTTTGCTTACACCAACATCACCACAAACAGGTGGGTAATGCATTGTCCATGGCATTAAGGCACCTGACATCACTATGTGATAAGAAATTTTCAGCTCCATTATAATTTTATGGGACCACTGTCATATATAAGGTTCATCATTGACCTAAATGTCATTATGTAGCACATAATGTATAAGAAAAAAGATTCAGAACAATCAAATAAGTGATAAGTAATAAGCCTGACAATTTTAAATTTAAATAGAAAATGCCTGTATGAATCTGATTTATTTTTATGCTTCACATTACAAGGCAAGAATGCCCACTCTTACCACTCCTATTCAACATAGTACTGGAATTCCTGGCCAGAGCAGTCAGGCAAGAGAAAGAAATAAAAGGCATCCAGGCCGAGCGTGGTGGCTTATGCCTGTAATCCCAGCAGTTTGGGAGGCCGAGGCGGGTGAATCACAAGGTCAGGAGATTGAGACCATCCTGGCTAACACGGTGAAGCCCCGTCTCTACTAAAAATACAAAAAAAAAATTAGCCGGGCGTTGTGGCCGGCGCCTGTAGTCCCAGCTACTTGGGAGGCTGAGGCAGGAGAAGGGCATGAACCCAGGAGGCGGAGCTTGCAGTGAGCCCAAATCACGCCACTGCACTCCAGCCTGGGCAACAGAGCGAGACTCTATCTCAAAAAAAGAAAAAGAAAAGAAAAAAAAAGAAAAAAAGGCATCCAAATAGGAAAAGAGTAAGTCAAACTATCTCTCTTTGCTGATGATATGATTCTGTACCTAGAAAACCCTAAAGACTTTGCCAAACGGCTCCTAGACTTAATGAATTACTTCAGCAAAGTTTCAAGACACAAAATCAATGTACAAAAATCAGCAGCATGCCTTTACACAAATAATATTCTAGCTTAAAATCAAATGAAGAACACAATCCCATTTACAACAGCCACAAAAAAATGAAGTACCTAGGAATACAGGTAACCAAGGGGGTGAAAGGTCGCTACAAGGGGAACTACAAAGCACTCCTGAAAGAAATCAGAGATGATTTCAAACAAATGGAAAAACATTCCATGCTCATGGATTGGAAGAATCAATATTGTTAAAATGGCCATACTGCTCAAAGCCATTCCTATTAAAATACCAACATCATTTTTTTCACAAAAATAGAAAAAACTATTCTAAAATTCATATGGAACTAAAAAAGAGACTGAATAGCCAAAGCAAGCCTAAGCAAAAAGAACAAAGCTGTAGGTATCACATTACCCCATTTCAAACTATACTACACGGCTAAAGTAACCAAAACAGCATGGTACTAGTACAAAAGACAGACACATAGATCAGTGGAACAGAATAGAGAGGCCGTAAATAAAGTCACACACCTACAGCCATCTAATCTTCAACAAAGTTGACAAAAATAAGTAATGGGGACAGGACTCCCTATTCAATAAATGTGCTGGGATAATAAGCTGGCCGTATGCAAAAGAATGAAGCTGGACCTCTACCCTTCACCATGTTCAAAAATTAACTAAAGATGGACTAAAAATTTAAATGTGAGACCTCAAACTATAAAAATCATAGAAGAAAATCAAGAAAATGCCCCGTTCAACATCAGCTTTGGCAAAAGAATTTATGGCAAAGTCTCCAAAAACAATTGCAACAAAAACAAAAATTGACAAGTGAAACCTAATTAAAGAGCTTCTGCACAGCAAAAGAAACTATCAACAGGGCAAACAGACAACCTATAGAATAGGAGAAAATATTTGCAAACTATGCATCCAACAAAGATGTGATATCCAGATTCTATAAGGAACTCAAATAAATCAACAAGCAAAAAACAAATAATTGAATTTAAAAATGAGGAAACAAGATGAGCAGACATTTCTCAAAAGAAGACATACTAGTGGCCAACAAACATGAAAAAATATCATCACTAATCATCAAAGAAATGCAAATCAAAATCGCAATGAGTTACCATCTCACACCAGTCAGAATGGTGATTATTAAAAAGTAAAAAAATAAAAATAGCAGATGCTGGTGAGGCTGTAGAGAAAAGGGGATACTTATACACTGCTGGTGGGAATGCAAATTAGTTCAGATACTGTGGAAAGCAGTTTGGATATTTCTCAAAGAACTAAAAACAGAACTACCATTCAACCCAGCAATCTCATTACTGAGTATATACTCAAAGGAAAATAAATCATTCTACCAAAAAGACACATGTACTCATGTGTTCATCTCAGCACTATTCACAATAGCAAAGACATAGAATCAACCTAGGTGCCCATCAATGGTGGATTGGACAAAGAAAATGTGGTACATATAAACCATGAAATACTACGCAGCCATAAAGAAGAATGAAATCACATCCTTTGCAGCAACATGGATGCAGCTGGAGGCCATTGCCCTAAGCTAATTAATTCAGGAACTGAAAACTAAATACCTCATGTTCTCGCTTACAGGTGGGAGCTAAAAACTTAGTACACATGGATGTAAAGATGGGAACAATACACACTGGGGTGAGAGAGAGGGAGGGGAGTAAGGGCTGAAAAACTACCTATTGGGTACTATGCTCACTACCTGGGTGACGGGATCATCTGTACCCCAAACCTCAGCATCATGCAATACACCCAATGTAACAAACCTACACATGTACCCTCTGAATCTGAAATAGAAGTTTCTTTTTTTAAAAAAGAATTTCTTCTGTGAAAAAAAGATAACATGAAAGTTGGTAAATGCCAAAAAATTAAAAATGATCAAATTAAAAAGTTACCATTTTACAACACCTTTTGGAATAATGGATATAGGTCAAAATTACTGATAGATGCTAAAACTATTAGGTAAATGATGAGAAATTTTATAATGGATGAATCAGGTTTGCAAAACCTCAACCCACTTCCCATTATTAACATCAGTAAAATTGCCTTCCATATGATGCAAAAAGAGACACAGCATCACCTATTAATATTCTCACCAAAGAGAAGAAAAGCCTTAAATCTAATCAGCCTCTAGAACCAACTATCAACTGGCAGAAAATATGAGTATAGAAAAATATGTTAAATGAAACTAAAATGATACTATCAGTAAAATATAGAATGTAAGACATTCTACAGGATAAATGGTGCCATTTCTTAAACAATTAAATGATATGTGCCAAGAAAAAAGGGGGTGAGGGGAATTTTCATAGATGGAAAAAAAACTGAAAGAAATATCAACCATGTGATGTGTGGACCTCATTTGAATCCCGATTTAAACAAATCCCCTGGAAAATGTTTTTGGGACAGTTGTGGAAATTTGAACATAAACTAGGTTTTAGATGATATCATAAGGCTATTGTTAGTTTTAGCAGGTGTGACGATAATATTGTGATTATATTTTAAAAGGTATGTATTAAAGATTCATAGCAAAATATCATAGAAAAATATCAAGAATTTGCTTCAATATGTACAGGAAGAACAGGAGAAGGAGGAGAAAAAAAGTGAAGAAAAAAGAGCAGCAACAGCAACATAGGGTTAGAAGTGATTAAACAAAAATGACTACATGTTAATATGTTGATTTCTATGAAGCTGTGGGAAGAGTGCATGGAGGTTAGTTCCGCCCTGCTTCTATTGTCACGCAATTTTAGAAATTTCTATCATAAAAAAGTTTTTAAAGTATATGAGCTGAGTGGATGTTTGACGTTGTTGAAGGATCCAGAACTTAACGAAGAGCAGGGGAGGGGTCTCTAATACCCTTGATGTTTTCTCAGACGACTTCTCCTTCTAGAGTGCTACTTCCCATGGGGCTCTCTTCTGGAAGGTCCCCCGCTGCCAGGGGAGCCATGCTGAGGACTCATACCCCTAGCTCTAATATTTATTTAAAATTATCCTTATTTATGTGCATTTATTTATAATTATCCTCAGTTGTACTTTGCTATTTTAATATACAGCTGTGTTACTAGCATTAAATGCATTTTTGACTTAGGATATTTTCAACTTACAATGAGTCTATCAGAATGTAGCCCCTTCATAAGTCAAGGAGCATCTGTATTAAATTGTGTAGCTCTATCTTTTCTAGTAATATCCCTTGTCTTAAAACATAATTACCTTGAAATAAAAACCTCAATTTATTGTTTTCTATACCTTTAAAAATATTTATTTTCTACAGATGTGTTTATGACTATATCTTTTTTCTAGCCTTGCATCTTATATTTCAGATTTTAAAATACATTTCAAAGTCACTATTTTATATTTGAAGTTGTGTAGCGCTTATTTTGACCTTTTATTTCCCTTTTTGTTTTAATTTTATCTTATATTGTTCTTAATTTCATTTTAATATATTAATCTTACGTTTCCCGGTTATTATCTTATATGTTCGCCTTTTTAACTACTATAGTTTTCACTGTACTTTAAGAATTTTCTTTCTGGAATGCCCAGCAGAAGTGGAGCCACGAGGCAAGTGACACTGGAAAGAGCCCATGCTACAAAAAGGAATTCTAAAGGGTTTTTCTTCACAGGTATCCTTAGAGTAGCTCCTTGGCACTCAGAAATAATAATAATGACAGATCCCCCATTAAGTTCAAGGATATCTCCCCAAAACACTTTTTCTGTGCAACTCAGCAGAGAAGCTGTTAAGTCTTTCAAGGCAAAAGTTAATTCTCTGTGAGGATGGAATGCTTTTGGTCCTGAAATCCTTCTGATGTTACTTGGCAACCAGTTCTTACATAAGGAACTACATGTTTCAAAATCTACAGTTTCCAATGTAAATCTGTAGGATATGGAAAAAATTATGCTATAAACCATAGAAATAGACAAGCAGTTATACCTGTGCAAACATTCATCGTATGTCCCCCCTAGTATGACCCTGGGGAGGTATCAAGGAAATGTTGAATAACCTGAAAGATCTTCAAGCTGAATTCAAGGATCATTACAATTTTTCTGTTTCCATTGTATTATGTTGAATTAAAATAGGCAGAATAATTTATTATTCATGTTGTCATTGATTGTATCTGATGTCTCATTATAAATCTGTAATTAGAAAGAAACCAATTCAATTATAGATGTTCGTAACCATCTTATGAAGTCACTTTTCTCAAATTTGCCATTCTGCTTTGCTGTATCGTGGTTCCTTAACATAAACCTTCTTTTTGTTAATTTTATATTATTAGTGACTTATTTTGCTATAAATGACATATAGAATTTACATAGGAGGAACAAGACATATAACAAAATATGCTTGATCAATTTTGTTCTTAAAATCATACGTAATAAGAGTACACATCGTAGGCAGAATAAAACATTATGTTAGAGCAACCACATTTCATTCTGAACTTTCTACAGGTTTTCAGAAAATCAGATGCTCTGAAGAAAAAGCTTATGCTATGGTATTTCTTGTGATTATAGCTTAATTATGTTTTATAAGTACCTTTTGTTAATAAAATGGTTTATAGGGCATTTCAAAAATGACTATAGGAAAACAGACAAACTTTAGAGCTTAGAGTGCTTCCCTGATATTACACCAAAGAAGAATTCAAGGATATTTTTTGGAATGGAAATCTAATGAATTTTTAACTAAAATATACATGAAATGTACAAAACATCTCAATTAATTTGGTCTTTTGTTTTAAAGCCTGATAAATTCTAATAGAAAAAGATTTCAACACTACTGGTTTTTATTGTGGCCTGCCCTTTTGATCATCTTGTTAATACTCAAAGACATTGGCATCACATGGTAACCTTGGAAGATAAATGCTACTCTATAAATCTGTATCCTTGTTTCACACCTTGAATGAAGCACATATGCTATACTTTGCTTTCTTTTTTTCCTGTTTTAGAAAAGAATCAATCCTAGGGAAAAGTCATGCAAGCCTTAAAATTGTTAATATTCTATGAATCAAAAATTCTGCTTCTAGGAATGTATTGTTGTAAAATAATTGGACAAGTGTGTGAATATATGTGCATGATTGCAATGTATATTATTAGAAACATGCTTATATATTATCATAGCATCCTTTATAATGCAAAAATGGAAACAATTGCCCATCAAAAGAGGATTGTTAAATTAATTAGGGTAACCCATACAATGATATATAATGCACTAATTGTAAGTAATGATATAAATGCATATTTAGTGGTAAGGAAAGAAGTTCACAGTAGAATATAATGTACAAAAGCAGATTACAAATGATATCTATAGAATAATACCATGCTTTCATCTGTGTGTATGTATTTGTGTGTTTGTGTGTGTACCATATATATATATATATATATATATATATATATATATATATATATATACATATAAATTATTGAAGCAAAATGTTAAGGGTTTCTGTAAACTCTATGGGGATAGAACATTCTTTTCTTTTTAAAAATTATTTATGTATTTATTTATTTTTAGAGGGTGTGGTTTCACCACATTGGCCAGGCTGGCCTTGAACTCCTGACCTCAAGTGATCCACCCGCCTCTGCCTCCCAAAGTACTGGGATTACAGGCGTGAGCCACCGCCCCCAGCCAGGGACAGAACATTTTGTATGTTTTGTTTACTGCTGAATCTCCAGTGCCTACAACACTGCCTGGCACATAAAACACATTCAATAGATATTTGTAGCATTAACGAGTAAATGGCTATATCTGAATGTGGAATTGCAAATTATTTTTTTTGCTTCTTATTTTTAAAGTGTGGCATAATGTTCATTAATTACTTCCTCAGTAAAAGTCCACTATTTTTTATGTTGTTTCATTTTGAGAAAAAATAGGGTTGCTGTTAGCCAGGCACAGTGGCTCACGCCTGTAATCCCAGCACTTTGGGAGGCAGAGGCGGGAGAATTGCTTGAGCCCAGGAATTCAAGACCAGCCTGGGCAACGTCGCAAAACCCCATCTCTACAAAAACTACACAAATTAGTCAGGTGTGGTGGCATGTACCTGTGGTCCCAGACACTGGGGAGGCTGAAACAGGAGGTTCACTCGAGCCAAGGAGGTTGAGGCTGCCGTGAGCCATGATCTTGCTACTGCACTCCAGCCTGTGTGACAGAGTGATACCTTGTCTCAAAAAAAAAAAAAAAAAAAAAAAAAAAGATTGCTATTAATCTTTTTCAGATGTCTCAAAAGTGGTCAAAAATGTTTTCATAGAAACAAATTACAAGCAAAGTAAAAACTATTCCATAAAGGATATGTCACAGAATTTTTAGAAATGTTTACCTTCTGAAGGATATATTACACTCATTTTACACTCCTGATATTGTTGATATTTTAATTTTTGCAATGAATATGTCTGTTGGCAATTCACTGGCTTTTTATGTAAAAAATATTTGAGGTAAAAGTATGCATGCTCTTGATATTGTTAAGTAATTCAAATCAATACTTCTTAACAACTCAACTTTCCCATAGGCCTTAATTTTATGTGGCATCTCAGACATAGAGCATGCATCATTACTCTTTAAACATCTACTGTAATTGTGCTTTTAATTTTGTAGCCTTTACATAGAGACCCAGATCTGTTGACAGAGCAAAGAAACTACAAATCCTGTCCTTTTTACTTCGTCACCCTAGCTGCTTGGTAAATTAGGTTCAGGTTTGCAACAGGGTAATATCATTGCCAAAGTTCTTTAATCCTGATATTTAACATGGGTGGAATGTAAATATTTTCAATGCACAATAACACAAAGTTTGTCTCTTTTTTCCTGAAGTAATGTCCTTGTCACAGTGTTCTGTTCTGAAACAGCTGTGACATAGTGTAAACCCTTTTGCTTATAAATGTCTTTTAGACTTCTTCAGTGAAGGGAGGGATGCCAGATTTGAGGGCCTCAAATTTGCTTGTAATTTCCAATACCCAACAATATTACTGAGCTTGGATTACTAAATATAAAGTGGAATTTTAAATATTAGCAAGGTCTGTCTAAAATCCTTCCCAAACCCATGTATTTTGATAACTGAAGAGCCAAAAGCTCTCTAATATCTGAGGGCATGCAACTCTGCAGTAAGGCCTCAGGATGTATGAGAGTAAAGGAGTTTCAGGGTATGAGCCATTTAATTTAATGCTCAGATACAGACTGAGGAAGCAAACTCTCAGCACATTTTGAATTTAGAACTTCCCAGGGAAGTAAATATGTAAATTCCTGAGTTCGCTCATGAGAAAAAATTTCAAAAAATGATTCAAGATACTGCCATGAAAGAAAAATTAATGGAGGAAAGTTATGTCTGATCACTGAAGCATGGATAAAGAATAAAACCATGCATAGATTAGGTACCCAAAAAAGAGACTCATAAATGTATAAAATCCAGAGGAAATTCATGTAGGTTTAGGGATAGTGTTTTCCTCAGAGCAGTACCATCCTTTAAGCTTAGAATTATTAAGGTATCATTTGCATAGAGTAAAATTCATCCTTGTGAGGCATACGGCTCAATGAGTTTTGACAAACATATTCATTTATGTAACCAACACAACATTCAAGATAACTGAGTATTTCTACCACTCCAAGAAGTTCCCTCATGTTCTTTTGTACTCAGTTCCTTCCTCCCATCTGCAGTTCCAGGCAGCTACTGATCCGATTTCTGTCTGTATAACTTTACCTCCACCAAAATTTTATAGAAAAGGAATCATATATCATTTTGTGTTTTCACTTAGTACAATGATGTTGAGATCCACCCATGTTATTGCGTGTATCAGCTGTTCATTCCTTTTTATTGCTGGGTATTTTTCAATTGTGTGGATATTTCCATTCAGCAGTTGCTGAGCATTATTCTACTGTATGCATGTATCCATTCACCAATTGATGGACATCTGAGTCATTTCCAATATCTGGCAATTAAGAATAAAGCTACTATAAACTTTCCCATACAAGTAGATAGATGTTTTCATTTCTCTGGGTAAATACCCAGGAATTCCCAGGATCACTGGATTGTATGGTGGTTGTATGTTTAACTTTATGAGAAACTACCAGACTGTTTTCCAATAAAAGTATTTGTACTGTTTTGCATTCCTACCAATAAACTGTGGGAGTTCTAGTTGCTCTACATCTAGGCAAGTCTAGTTGGTCCACATCCTTACCAGCACTTGGCATTATCAGTTTTTATTGTCTTTTGTTTTAATTTTAGCCATTCTAATATGGCCATATGGTATTTTACTGTGGTTGTATATTGCATTTCCCCGATGACTTATGATGTTGAGCAGCATGCATATGCTTATTTGTTATTTACATATCTTCTTTGATAAAATGTTTATTCAAATTTTTGGCCATTTTTAAAAAATCAAGTTATTTGAAGTCCTTTATCAGACAAGTGTTTGAAAATATTCTCTCTCAGTCTGTGCCTTCTCTGTTCATTCTCTTGTGTCTTTCAAAGAGCAGACATTTTAAATTTTTATGAAGTCCAATTTTTATTTTATGATTTGCAATTTTTATATCCTATATAGCAAATCTTTGCTTAACCCAAGAACACAAAAATGTCTTCTATATTTTCATCTAGAAGTTTCATAAAGTGTCACATTTAGGTCTATGATTCATTTAGAGTTAATTTTTGCATATTGTGTAAAGAAAGAATCGATGTTCCCCGTCCTTCCTTCCTTCCTTCCTTCCTCTCTCTCTCTTTCTTTCTTTCTTCTCTCTTTTCTCTTTTTTCTCTTTCTCTTTATTCTGTCCCTCCCTCCCTTCTTTCCTTCTTTCCTTCCTTCCTTCCTTCCTATTGTCCCAATACCATTTGTCCACTTGTTGAGAGTACTCTCTTTCCATTGAATTACCTTTGCGCCTTTGTTCAAAATCAATTTGCCAATATCCACACATATATATACAGATGTATTTCTGAACTCTCTATTGATCTATATGTCTAGGCTTGCACCAGTGCCACAGGCCTTGCTGTCACTTTATTGTAAACTGTGAAATTAGGTAGTATAAATC
Source organism: Homo sapiens (assembly GCF_000001405.40). Classification (NCBI taxonomy): domain Eukaryota; kingdom Metazoa; phylum Chordata; class Mammalia; order Primates; family Hominidae; genus Homo; species Homo sapiens. The sequence goes on along the minus strand of NC_000023.11, from coordinate 22,714,356 downwards.
CTTCAACTTTGTTCCTCTTCTACAAAGTTGTTTGTACTTTTCTGATTCTTTGTTTTTTCCATACATCATTTTTATATTGTAAAATTCAAATAATTAAATAATGTATAGGCTATAGAGACCCATGGGTTTTAAGGAGCAAAGCAAACTGGCAAATATATCTGTATGTATAAAGTAAAATACATTTAATCCTATTAAACTTATTGAGGGGTTATTGGGAAGAGAGAAAACTGTAAAAGAAAGAATACATATAAAAAAGTAAAGGTAACAGAATCTCGGGGACCACAATTACTGTCATTAGATCCCAAATATAATTGAAATAGGTTTACTAGTAAGTTAATCTGATAACCTGCATTCTATTTTGTTAAATATTTCTTAGAAATAAGTTCCTATGCAGTTTGAGGAGTTGGAATTTTTAGATCCATAGTTACTGACAATATGAGATGTACTTTCCTTCCTATCTTGTCTTCTTGTTTCTGTTAATGAAAGCAAATGTATAGTAGTCTCCCGTTCTGCACAGAGGATAAGTTCCAAGACCCCCAGTGGATGTCTGAAACCATGGATAGTACCAAACCCTATATATACTATAATTTTGTCTACACATACATACCTATGATAAAGTTTAATTTATAAATTAGGTACAGTAAGATGTTAACACTAATAATAAAATAGAACAATTATAACAATATGCCAGCATCACTACTCTTGCACTTGGAGGCAGTTATTAAGTAAATTAAGAATTACTGGAACACAAGCACTGTGATAATACTGCAGCAGTCAGTCTGATAACCAAGATAGCTACTAAGTGACCAACAGGTGAAGAGTGTATACAGTGTGAATATTCTGGACAAAAGGATGTTTTACATCCCTGGTAGGACAGAGTGGTGTGTGTAGAGATTTGACACATGACTCAGGATGCCACTCAGAATGGCACATCATTTAAACCTTATGCATTGTTTATTTCTGGAATTTTACATTTAATATTTTCGGACCTCAGTTGACCGTGGATAACTGAAACCGTGGGAAGTGAAACCACAGATAGCAGGGGAGTACCATATACATTTGAAAATACATTTGAAATATTCAAATTATTCGCATTTTTTACCTATTTTTCTCCTGCCTTCCCACTGCCAGCCCTCCAGCAGTGGCACCATCTCAGACTTGCACCTAAGACTCACACTTCCTTTCCCACACCAGGACCAGAGGTGGTGGCGGTGACAGTGGCTGGTCCCCGCACCCTACCAGCTTCCCTGCGCCCTGCTTCCTCCTTCTCTCCCCACTGGAACCATCACCCTTTTAAAATCATTTGTGATATACAAGCAACAGAATACTCATTTGCTTATTCATTAATCTGTTGATAGAAATATGGGTTGTTTCCATATCTTGGCTATTGTGACTAATGCTGCAATGAACATGGGAGTGCAGGTTATCTCTTGGAGATCCTGATTTCAGTTCTTTTGGGTATATACAAAGAGGTGTGATTGATGGATCATCGTCAGTAGTTCTATTTGTGAGAAACCTCCATAGTGTTTTTCATGCACCATTTTGCATTCTCACCAACAATATACAAGTATTCCAATTTCTCCACATTCTGACCAACATTTATATTTTGTTTTTTTCTTTATTTGTTTTTCTAATAGCCATCCCAACAGGTGTGAGGTGAGATCTTATTGTAGTTTTGATTTGCATTTCCCTGATGATTAGTGATGCTAAGCACTTTTTCATGTACTTGGTGCTCATGTTTATCTTCTTTGAAGAAATGTCTATTCCAGTCCTTTGCCTTCCTTTAGTATTTTTCAATTTATAATTGACACATAATAATTGTACATATTTATGAGATAAAGTGTGATGTTTGAAAGCATGTATACATTGTATAATGATGAAATCAGGGTAATTATAATATGCATCACCTTAAATATCTATCATTGTACTGATAACATTCAAAATCTTCTCTTCTAGCTAACTTGAAATATACATTACATTGTTATTTGGTATAGTCACTCTACTGTGTAATAGAACATCAGACCCTGTTCCTCTCATCTTACTAACTTTGTACCGATTTACCAACCTTTCCCGGTTCCCCACTCCCTGCTACCCTCCTCAGCCTTTAATAACCACTATTTTACTCTCTCTTTTTATGAAATTAACTTATTTAGATTCCACATGAGTGAGATCACGTAGTATTTGTCTTTCTGTGGCTTGACTTATTTCACTTAACATAATGCCCTCCATATTCATCCGTGCTGCTACGAATGACAGTATTTCATCCTATTTTATGGCTGAATAGTATTCCACCATATATAAATAATATATATAAATTCTACTATATATACTATATATATAATATATATATTCCACTATATATATTCCACCATATATATACTATATATTCCACCAAAAAGTATATTGAACTATATATAACATAAAAGTTGAAATTTTAATAAAAGAAAATGTTTTATATACATATATATACACACATACATACTATATATACATATATTCCACCATATATATAGTGGGATATATCTATGGTGGAATATGTATATATAGATATATAAGTATATAGTGGGATATATCTATGGTAGAATATGTATATATAGATATGTAAGTATATAGTGGGATATATCTATGGTAGAATATGTATATATAGATATATAAGTATATATATAGTGTGTTTATATATTATATATATATATAAAAATTTTCATTTATTAAAATTTCAATTTTTATGTTAGACACAGAGGGTACATGTGCAGGTTTGTTACACGGGTATACTGTACCCAGGTAGTGAGCATTGTACCCAATAGGTAGTTTTTCAACCCATGCCCTCATCCCTCTCTTCCCCTTCTAGTACTCCACAGCGTCTGTTGTTCCCATGTTTATGTCCATGTGGCACACAACATTTTCTTTATCTGCTTATCTGTGCATGGATACCCATGTAGGTTGTTTCCATATCTTAGCTATTGTGAATACTACTGAAATAAATACGGGAGTGCAGATATCTCTTTGACATACTGATTTAATGTCCTTTGAATATTTACCCAGTAATGGGATTGCTGGGTCACAGGGTAGTGCAATTTTAAATTTTTAAGGAACCTCCACACTGCGGAGGCTGTATTAATTTACATTCCCACCAATGGTGCATAAGAGTTTACCTTTCTCCACATCCTCACCAGCATTTGTTATTTCTGTCTTTTTCATAATAACCACTGAAACTGGGGTTGAGTGATATCTCATTGTGGTTTCATTCACATTTCCCCAATGAATAGTGATGTTGAGCATCTTTTAATATATCTGTTTACCATTTGTATATATCTTCTTTAGATAAATGTCTATTCAGGTCTTTTGTCCATTTTTAATTGCATTATTATTATTATTATTATTATTTTGCTGTTATTTGAGTTATCGTGGGTATTGACCCTTTGTCAGATGCACAGTTTGCAAATACTTTCTCCCGTTCTGTAGGTTATCTCTTTACTCTATTGCTTGTTTTCTTTGCTGCTTTTGCATTTTTTAACCAGGTAATTTGAGGGATTTTTGCTGTTTAATTGTGGGAGTTTCTTATATATTTTGGATATTCACCCTTTGTCAGATAAATAATTTGTAAATATTTTCTCCCATTCTTCAGGTTATCTCTTCACTCTGTTGATTTTTTTTCTATACAGAAGCATTTTAGTTTGATTTTGTCTCACTTGTCTATTTTTGCTTTTGTTACTTATGCTTTTGGTGTTATATCCAAGAGATCACTGCTAAGACTAGTATCAAAAGTTTTTGCCCCTATGTTTTTTTCTAAGAGTTTTACAATTTTAATTATACCGCAATAAAGCTGTTTTAAAAAATAGAATACTCTTTTGATGCATGCTTGATGAAAGCATTGTCACTTTGTACTATGATCTAGATCACTGGTCACCAAACCAGTAAGCACAGGCCCAATCCACACTGGACCTGTTTTTATAATTAAAATTTTACTGGGACATGTTCATACTGATTTGTTTGTATATAGTCTTTGGCTAATTCTCATGCCACAGTGGCAGAGGTGAGTAGTTAAGACGGGACCACATGGCTCACAAAGCCTAGAGTAGTTACTATCTAGCCCTTTTCCAAAATGGATTTTTGGAGAAGATTCGAGGTTAAATAAGGGCAAGGAGATTGAAGAATTATTCTGGGAAGAAATGTGTGTGTCTGCGTGTTGTTTACCAAGAACAGACATAAAGGTTGAAAAAGTCTGTGGGGCCAAGCTCTAGAGAGCTTTGAACCTAAGATTAAGGGACTTGAATTTTATTATAAAGACAATGAGCACACACTGAAGGTTTCTAAGTGGTAAATTAACATAATCAAACATGAGATTATACAAGAAAGAGCTTTCTGAAATATGAACAGAGAAATAAAAGTATGCTATTATCATAGTTTTGATGAGTCATGATAGAGACAGCAAGAATTTTAAAGACGTTTTCTAGATGGAATTGACAGAATTTAATGGCTGATTCGTTGTGAGGGTAAGAAAGGAGGAGGCGATGCTAATTTTGACGCTTACGACTAGAAATATCATTAATTGAGACTATGGGACTTTTGGACATGTTGTTAAGTTTGAGGTACCTGTAAGAGCTCTACCTGAAACTGTCCATTAGGTAGCTGGAACTAGGGATGTGGAGCACAGCCAAAATATCAGCCCTCCTATTAATGGTACTAACTATAGTACCACTGATGTCTTCATTTTAAGCCTGCATTTTGCTGTACACATTGATGAAGGGCACAGCAATGCATTTAATGGTAATGACAAAATGAGAAATACAGTAAAAAGTGCAGTGCTGACTCAAAAATGGCAACAGGTTGACCATCTGCAGGGATATTACCACTGGACTAAAACAAAAAATAAAGGCAAACATTGCCTTATATGTAACATTTCAATTCCTAATACTGATTATTGTTAATTTTGTCGTTCTGTTTTGGAGGAGATGATCTCTCGATCCTTCATGAATAACAATGTAAAGGGAGATTCTTGATTATACAGAGGATAGGAAAGTATTTATATTTCAAAAGCACTTCAAGTTATGATTATGTGTCCTATTTTCTTCTGAGGCCAGATGTCATAATTTCTTTCTTATATTTTATTAGGGTATGCACAAAGAAAGAGCTGGTTTTGTCTTGTCTTATTTTTTCAAGTAGTAGGTATTCAAAAAATTCTTGTTAAATGAATTAATGAAACATTTTAGTTGTTCCATAGCCAACAAGTGCGCTGTATAGTCAATATCATACCAGTTATTTTCAAAAATACACAAGCAGAATGATCCAGCAACTTAAGAACCATACTGGGAAAAGGCAAGTCATACACACATATGCTATTTGGAAAATAGTATACAAGCAATATAAAATTAAAATATATAATGCATACAGTAAGTACTATAGGATCTTAGAGAAGAGAGAGATGAAGTTGGGCTATAAAGTTTTGGGAATGCTTTATTACGGAGGTGGGATTTCAGTTGTTAAAATATGTGGAGACAAAGATGTGGGAAGGAAAAAATATGTAAACTCTATGTCATGGAGTAAAGGCTTAGATACAACAGATACAGGAATGAGCCTATTTAGCATCTTGAATACTGAGGAACAATATAGATCCGTGGTTTTGTCATACTACCTTGACTGACTCAGAAGTTACATATAGGAGCAGGATGCGTATGTAGTAGAGGTGGTTATGGTTAGACAGAATAAGGAAGTAGTTTATGCAGTCCTCGGAAATATATCTGAGCATTCTAAATTTTAATATAGAGCATTGAAATGAGAGCAGAATTTGAGGAGCGGTTTAAGAAATACTCCTGACTTTGTGGTACCTTAGACTGGTTAGTGTATTAAAGCATCAAATAGGACCAATACTGTATTTTTTATAAAGAAGAAAATGGTACAAATATGTTACAGTCAAATTAAAATAAATTAGGCTTGGAAAATGGCTTAGAAAATGGGACACACACACGCACACAAATCCTATTCACATGTACTAAGGATTGACATGGGTACATATTTATCATGGAATGTTTTGGTGCTAAATTATTTAAAGTGCCTGGGATGGAGTAGTCACAGTAGTTGTTGGATCCTACTCTCCTCACTCTCTGTCCCTGTGCTCTATTCCTGATTCACTCAGAACTACTGTTGTCCCCAGTAATAAATTATAATTTTAAAATTTATCCAGTGGTTTGATTAAAGAGATATGTTTCTATAATCAGCTTACTAACACTGTCTGTAACTGACACTAAGAATCTCTGTATTGTTTTTCTTATAAATACAATGGATTCTCCTTGGCTGATAGTTCTGCGAGGACCCTTTATTCTAGTGGATTTTAGCATCTGGTATAAATTGAGTGTCAAAAGTGCAAAGGATTTTTAAGCTCCATATAATGTTATTGTTAAAGTTTTAATTTGCATCAATTTAATTCTCTTGTCAGTTGTCACTCCCTATTAAAGTCGTGCCCCATCACATGCTGATTAAGCAAATTAAGTCTGAGGTACAAGATGATGTGGCTTCTTGGGAAAGGCTATCCATAGGTCCAGATTCCAGCTATTTTGAGCTCATCGGTCATTAATTTTTATATCTTCTAGGAATGCAGAATAGCACTCTCTGAACATCAAAGCTTTGTAAATGGTGTCAGCATTTTACAGCTCTCTTGAGAAACCATGAAAGCCACTGTTTAATGATAGAAGATTTCTTTTTCTCTCCTTGGTTATTGTTATTGTTCTTGTGGTGTCAGTTTACAGTATATTCATTTGCATTAACCTTTCCACCTTCACAGAATAATTCTTTAAGACCTAAGTCAGATCATGGCATTCCTCAAATCCATCCAATGACTTGCCACTTGTCTCAGTAAGGATACTTAAAATGACCTACAAGGCCCCACATGATTTAGCCTCTCACTTCCATTCTGACTCCATCATCTATTTCTCTCATCTTCCCTCATACTAATATAGTTACACTGGGCTCAATATCCTTTGAAAATGGCCAGGCATCCTTCTGTCTCTGAGCCTTTGCGCTTGCCCTGTCCACCTCCCTGAATTGTTTTACTCCTAGCTATTCACGCGACTTACACACACTGCCTCACTTCCTTCCATCCTTTACTCAAGCATCATCTTCTCATTGACAGTTGCTCTGAACACATATCTAAAATTGCATCTTCCAATCCTTGACACTTCCTGCCTCTCTTTCTTGCTTTATTTTTCTTCTAATCTTTGATCACTGTCTTACAGGCTATATATTTTACCAATGTATCCTTATATTTTCCGCCTCTCTTCAATTAGAATACAAACTCCATGAGAGAAGAGACTTTTGTCTATCTTGTTCACTTCTAAATACATAATCTCCATAACAGTGCCTGATACAAAGTGGGATCTCAATAAATATTTGCTAAATGAACGAATGAATTTTAATTTACTCTGTCTGTACACATTTTAGTATATACAACTCTTTCTTCCCTCTTTCCATCTTCCCTCCCTTCTCTCTTTCTTTCTTTCCAAGTGGGGCTGTAGAACAAATAGGTCCTCAGGTCCCTCTGAGTTTTGTCAAGGTTATCAGTTTCCCACAGACTCTCAGAGATAACCCAAATGAAATGACAACTGTGTTGATTAAGCCAGAGGGAATTCCCTACCCTGGTCTTGTAGATGTCTGGCTTTAGAAGGACGGATGCTATGGATTTTCTTAAGTAAAGGCATTGTCAGTTTTTTTGGAGTGTGTATGAGGTCAATCCACTACTTGTGTACAAAGGGTAGGGTCTCATGACCTGTCCATTTATTCATCATTGTATCTCCCATGCTTTGCACAAAGCCTGAAAGTTACCAAGTATTTTTAAAGTATTTGATGAAAGAAAGCTAAGATCATTCAGTCTTCCTATTCTGACAGACCTATCAATCTTCTATGCAAGAGTACCTTCCTCACCTGAAACAAACAGAATGGGAGTGGTTGGCAGCCATGTTGAAATTCCATCCTTGCTATTTACTTTGAGCAAGTAGTCAAGGAGTACAACTAACTCCCTATGACAGTGTAAAATGCCCCCCCCCCAACTTTTTTTTTTTTTTTTTTAGACGGAGTCTCCCTCTATTGCCTAGGCTGAGTGTAGTGGTGTGATCTCAGCTCACTGCAATCTCCACCTCCTGAGTTCAAGTGATTCTCCTGCCTCAGCCTCCTGAGTAGCTGGGATTACCACACCCGGCTAACTTTTGTATTTTTAGTAGAGACGGGGTTTCACCGTGTTGTCCAGGCTGGTCTCGAACTCCTGACCCCAAGTGATCCACCCGCCTTGGCCTCCCAAAGTGCTGGGATTACAGGTGTGAGCCACCGTGCCTGGCCACAACGGCCCCTCTCTGTGGAGACCTACCAAAGGTAAGGAAGTAAAACAAGCCATCTTTGAAATTTTAACAATTCTTTGAATGTCAAATATGATAACCCCAGACAGGATGTGGAATGTAATAAGGTCTATAACAATGAGAACTAATTAGATATGCCAGACCATGTAACTTTATTTCAAAAGCCAGAAACTTTTAATGGGCCTTTTTATTTCCCTTGTGTGTGGCCTCCTTCCTTCCAACACAGGTTGTTGTCCAAAACTCTCTAGTCATTCTTAATTACCTGTTTGCCTCAGGCAAGAGGTTCTGACTGTCACTCCGAAAGCAGCCTTGGGCAAAATAATTCACAGCTATATTTACCAAAAATTATTTCACCAGTGCATTTCTTCACTTCTCATAATCATACTTGCCTTGATGCTTTTAAGATTGTTCATTGCTTGGAGTTGTTTGATTCTATCCATACCTCTGTATTTTGAGATTTTGACTTGTTAGACTCTCTGGGTCCCATGGGTCTGCATCTATTCTTAGCTAACCTAGGAAATCAATACTCCAATATTTTTCAAGATCACGGAATTAAAAATGTATGAGCCTGAATTAGGGGAACATCTCATCTAACCTTCAGCTTTTTGAAACTTATTTAATGACTGCATACATACTATATCCTGATTTGTTCCAAAAGGAATTTTAAGCATCTGAAAAAATGAATACAGTATGAAAACATAATATATTGAAAATAAGTGATGGACATTTGAGAAGATAGACTAGAAAGTGAATATTTGCCTCACATCCTTCTTTATTTCTTTATGAAATAAGAGAATAAATTTATCAAAAAGGAATAAATCTATAACGGGGAAGAAAATGGGAGAGGATATCACCAACAAATGAGATTTTTTTTAAGTTTCCATGAAAATAACCTAATCGAATAGAGTTCAGAGGACACTTACAAAAGGGCACCTAAAAGGAGATAAGAATAATCAGAATATCCTTAAGATCTGTTGGCAACATTGCATGTATACTAGAACGTGATGAAGCAGTGCCTTTAAAATCATAACATATGTTTCCATACTGAGAAAAATTACAAATCAAATGTGAGGACGGAATTAAAAACACGCAAGAGTTCATAAATGTTTCCACCCACACGCCTTTTCTTAGAAAGTTGTTTCAGGATGTGCTTTTCCAAAAAAGAAAAAAAAGAAAAAGAAAAAAGGTAAGCCAAGGAGGAAGAATACATGGGAACTGGGAAACTGTGGATCCAACTCAAGAGAGTGCTGGAGCAATGTTTGGATCTAACAGAGACTCTAGAAGGAAATGTTCCGGGTAGTGGGATGAGGGATAGGAGAAACTGATAGAATAGAATGTATGATTGAGTACTTTGGGGAAAAAAGGAAAGGGCTGATAAAAGAAAACCATTTAAAAAAGAAACATTATTTAAAACTCCAGCAAAAAAAAACAGAAAATCTGTTTAGAAAGTCACGGTCTAACTATGAAACCAACTAAATTGTAATATAATATTCAGCAGTTAAAAAGTATAAGACGATAGTACCTACTTACACTGGATGCTATAATAGAACCATTCCCCTTCATGTGGCTCAAGGATCACAGCCTTGAGCTCAAGGTGAAGGAAATACAGTCCCAAGGTAGAACTTGACCTGCACGGAAAGTGTTGACATTGTCCTAATAATGAAATTGCTATTTATTGATTTTGAGGTTTTATAATCATCCTATCAAAAATACTTGAAATGTTGATATTGATTGAGAACAGAATTTAAATGTAAACTATTTGATAAAATAAATGTATGTAATTCAAATTAGCTAAGGCTAGGACATGAGTGGAGGGTGGTTGGAAACATGGAAGAAATGGTCCGTGTGCTAATAGCCTCAAAGTACAGAGGGAGTCAAGAGACACTGATGGAAGTTAGCAGAACAAGGAATTTAATGTATTGTTTAAGGTAACATATGTAATTAATAGAAGAAATAAGTCTAATATGTATATCAAAGATTCAGAGGAGAAAAGAAAAAGGATACAATTAGTAAACTTAAATCTACATCTTTCCTAGATGAGAAAATAGAAGTATATGTATATTATTTAGAAATGTGGAGGTTACCATCATAAATTCTGTGAGGAGAAACACTCAAAATAAGTTGTTTTAGGGAAATGGTACTTGATGGAGGGTTAAGGAGAGGAAATCTATTGCTATCACGGTTTTTCGGTTTCTATTGTTTGTTACTATGTGTATCATTTTGATTTAAAAAATAAATTGAGTGCTTCTGGCATTATGGAAAAGTAAGTGCTGTTGAGACTGCAGAGTAGTTACAATTGGGATAGAACACACACTACTGGGTTTAAAGGGGGTAGGCAAGTATCCCCAGAAGCCCTATAATCCCAAAACAGGTTTTGGGTATAAGCTAGGAATATGGAGTGGAAGAAAGCTGGGAAAGGGAGACTTCCTGAGTATGAATGACTATAGTAGCAATGTCTGTGTTGGTATGAACAAGCTTTGATCTAGAGCCGAGAATGGAGAAACTGAATGTGGGACTCTGAACTAAACCGGGACTTTAAGGGAAGTAAAAATGGATCCTAGGAAGTGGGCATTGGCCATTAGCAGAAGCAGAAGCAAAGCCTTTATGAGGTAATCTTCCTTCATTTAGACAGCACTCTCATACATTTGCATCAAGCAATGACTTCACAATCAAACAGCACACACACACAAAAAACAGCAATGAGAAAAAATCAGCAGAAAAAACCAGAACACATTATGACTCCCATAACTATTGATATAGAGATTGTAACGCATGTAATATAAAACTGTTGTGTTTGAAATGATTTTTTAAAAGAAAGCAATTGCAAACAATAAGAGGCCATTAGTAATAGACTAGAAATTTTGGTAAGTTTAGAAGTTGTAGAAATTAAAATGTAACTAGTAGAATAGAAATGTGATAATATTTTCATAAAATAGGGTACTATTTAGTTATGAAAATGAATGAACTACAGCTAGTTCACCAAGTTGCCTTCTTGCATTCTTTCTATTCATTCCTTTTGGGATTCTCACCAGGATGTGAAATTTTCAGAAGTGATGGAAAATGTGAACAGATATAGAAAACACAATGAATTCCAAGCATGATAAACCAAAAAATACTAATGCAAAGGCTCATTGTAGAGAACCTACAGAACATCAAAGACAAAGATATATTAAAAGTAATAAAATAGGAAAGATTGCCTGCAAAGGAAAGACAATTAGATAGATAGCAGACTACTAAACAGCAAAATCAAAATGAGAAAAATGTTTAGAGAAAATATAACAACTTAGAATGTTATACTCAGAAAACTATTTCTCTATAAAGCAAAATAAAGGTATTTGAATATCATCATAAACTGTGAAACTTTAACCCCCAGTGACTTACACTCAAAGAAACCTCTAGAGGATGGTGAAAGAGAAGGAAAACGTTTTTAAGCACAACAAATAGAAATAAAAAAGTAAGATACGGTAATGGAAACAAATCCTAATACATAGTAAGTGATTATAAATGGACTAAACTTACCAATTAAAAACAGTAGTTACTATATTGGATAAAAATGGAAAAATTACAACCATCACTAGGTCTTTTTGAAAGATGCACCTAAAGCATGAGCACAGAAGTAAAAAAACTGAAGTATGAGATAAAAATATGCTGGGTAAATACTGACTAAAAGGAAAAGAATATTGTTATATAAATATCTGACCCAACAGACTTTAAGACAACAAAAAAGCCTATTAAAATGAAGAGGGTCACTACATGAAGTTGAAAAAGTTCAACTCATCAGGAAGATAACATAATTCTAAACTTGCATGAACATAACAAATATGTCAAAATTGATAAGGCAAAAGGTTGACACAATTATATGGGGAAATTGATACATTCACTGTTGCATACTTAGTGGAAAATTTTAACACACCTTTCTTAATAGGTCAAGAGTAAAGAAAAATCAATATAAAGAAACAAAAACAAGAAAACTGGAAACAACCCAAATATCCATTTTATAGTAAAGTAGAGAAAAAAAAAGATATCTTTATAAAACAGAATACCATACAGCAATGACAGCTGTGAAAATAAATGAGCTATCGCTATATCAACAGTATATGTAAATCTCACAGACATAACGATGAGAAAAACAAGCACGAAAGAGTCTATACTGTATGATTTCTTTATATAAAGTGCAAAGACTATAATATAAGAAGTCAGTTTTTAAACTTAACAATCAGATCTTTGTCAGTCTGCAATGGGGACAGGAGAGCTTTCCCTTCCAAAAATCAAGACTTATTATAAAGCTGTTACAACTAAGACAATGTGGTAGTAAAATGTGTTAAAACAAATTGACCATACATGTATTGAAACATTACATTGTACCCCATAAATATATACAATGACTATTTGTCAATTAAACATAAAACTTTTAAAAACCAAATTGGCCAACAAATTAGGATAAAGACCCAAGAAATGTGAATGCATATATAGAACTTTGTTATATGACAGAGGTGTCCTTGCTTATAACTAGGCAATAGAAGGACTCTTTAGCAAATGGTACTGGGAGAAAATGGTTGTCCATGTGGAAAATGTAAAGCAATTGGATAGTTACTTAAATTGCAACATTCATAAAAACTAATTGCAGAAGCATTGAAGACTCTAATGTGAAATGCAAAACGTTAAACATTTTCGAAAATATAGGATAACCTTTATGACCTTCGTGCAGGGACAGTTTTTTAAGACAGAAAAAAGATCTGAGTATAAGATCTTGGACTGCTCTGTAGTTAAGTATCGCTATTCATCAAAAAACAAACTAGAAAAAGAGGGAAAATGAAGCCACTAACTGGGAGAAGCTATTTGTAAAGCAAATAACAAAGGATTAGTGACCAGAACAAGTCAGAAATATAACTGAATAAGATAAACATGAACAACCCAATAGGAAAGTGGGGTAAATACATAAAACAGGCACTTCACAGACAATGAAATATCTATAGGCGATAAACAATGAAAAGATTCACAAATCTTTTACTAATGCAAATACAAAATAAGAATAAAATAATATAGCACCACGCACCCACCAGAATGGCAACAAATTAAGAAGGTAGACAGAGGAAGTGTATCAACGGGAGCGTAAATTAGAACCGGGGAAAAGAAATTGTCATTGTCTCTCAAAGCAGAGCATTCACATACTCTATGACCAAACAGTGTCAGAGAAATTCTTGTATGTTTTTATCAGAAGATCTAAATAGTAATTTTCATAGGCCATTTGTATGTTTCATAGGCTATTTGTAACAGTCTCAAACTAGTAACAATCCAATCCAAATGTTTAGCTATTGGAGAACAGAGAAATATATATAACATATATATATATGTGTATATGTTTATATATGTATGTTTATATATGTTTATATATATGTTTATATATATATATAAAACATAACATACCTCTATCTTCAAATGTATATATTTTTCACATAATGGAATATTATCTAGTAGTGAAAAAGAAGTGAGCATAACTACACACAGAAACATGGATTAATCTTAGAAACATAATGTTGGGTAAACAAAAATACCAAGTCTCCACAGACATATATGGTATGATAGAAAACAACTTTTAAAAAAGAAAAACTGAGAAATGTGTTGTTTAGACTTATATAAATGTGTGATAAAACTATTTCAAAAAAACAAGGGAATGATAAAATTCAGGATAGTAGTTTTAGGGAGGTGGGTTTGTGGAAAAACACATAGGTAGAAGCAAGGTATGGGCAACGACCTATTATTTGGATGTTAACTATATTGTTATGCTTTATGATTTGCATATATGTTGCATTTCATATATCATTTTATATTAACATTACCAAGAGAAAATGAAAAAGCACAATTCCAAGAAACAGTGGCAGAAAACAAAGCAAGAGGAAACCGAAGAGTTGCAATATCAAATAGAGCCAGGGATGAGATTAGAATCTCAAATTACAGGAAGTCCTATAAGTTGCTAGGAGAAGAACACAAATTTGGACATAAGCTTCTTAGCAACTGAGGAAACGAGAATAATTGATTACATGGGTCATGAGATTCATAAAACCAAATTTTAAAAGAGAAACAACTATTCCTGCTACAGCACATCTATTGTTGACTTTGGAACTAAAGAGCTACTTCAATCCAAAAACTAAACTATATAAAGCTATAAAAATAAACATATCCCTAAGATCCCAACTCCTAGCACATATTTCTCTAATTTCTCTGACTAGTCACGCAGTCAGTCTTTAGGCAGCTCCAGGCTGCAGAGCCTCAGAAGGAAGAATGTGGTGGGGCTTTGGAGAAAACAGATCCTGCCTTTCCTGGCTGCACTCTCAAGTCCCTCCTCTCCTCTCAGTTAATATTCCGGAAATCTCGTGCGCCTGTGAAATGGCTTAGCCAAGTCCATGGTAATAGAATTGGTATGCAACTCCCCTGGATTTGTCGACTGTCCCAGATAGCAGGAAGAAGACATGGAGATGTGAGGGTGGTGATTGCTTTTGTTTTATCTGTCTGTTTTCAGAAAGTGTCACCAAAGGCAAAATGTGACTTGGTATAATAAGAATTCTTTTTCATGCAGTTGGTCGTTGAAACAATTATTTCTAGAGGAACTCTTTATGGATAGTTTGAATATCACTTCATAGTATATAATATATAATGTGCATGTATTTAATGCTAATCAGTTGCTATTTAGTGCTGGCCTTTACTTTTGTGAGAAATATAGAAGTATGAGATTTGGGAAAAATTACAGGCCAACCCGCTTCACACACACAAACATACGGACACACAAAACTATATATTGTGTAAAGTGAAAATCCCCTTGCATAGTATCCATAACCCTTTACACCCTAGTCCCAACCCATTTCTCTAACATCTCATGCCATCCTCTTGAGTGTTTTCTAAGCTTTCCCATACCTGAATTTTTACTCTCCCAGTAAAATTTCACTCCTTTCTTGCTGGGGCAGCCTCTCCACTTCTGACCTGATATTGCCCTATTACCCCCATCTGGCACATTCCTGTCTCCTTCAAAACTCAGTTCCAATTTTGGCTTCCCCATTCTCTCCAGACCAAGGCCAATGTTATTTTTTTTCTATTATGGTCCCAATAGCTTCTTACATACTTCTATTTCTTTTCTGTCTCTCTTCCTATGTCTGAAGTTGGTTCTTCACTTCAGTCTTAGACTCAATGAGATGATGGGCAGACATTTGTGTGGCTACATGAATCATCTCTAACAATGGATTGTTATTTATTAATACTGATCACTATATCTGTTTATTGCTTTACATTTTTTTCAAAGTGTTTTGATTTCCATTAGCCATTTTAGTGTCACACTATTTCTGGGAGGAGATATTATTACTGCAGTTTTGCAAATGAATCAGGTATGTATATATGAGTTGTCTGAGAATGAAAATAGTAATTTGACAATATCTAGCAAAAATAAATATGCACTTACCCTTTGACCAGCAACCTCACTTCTAGAAATCAGTCTCAAGGCAGGCATCACAAAAATAAGAAATGATCCAAGTAAACAGCTATTAATTACAATAGCTTAATTAAAAAGACACTAGAAATAATGTAACTGTTTATCAAGAGGGAACTGGCTGAGTAAACTATAGGACATCCACCCATAGGAGTGTTATGCAGCTGTAAAAAGCAAACAGGAAGATCTATATCCTGTGGAGTGGTAGCTCCAGGACATACTGTCAAATGCAGGATGCAGAACAATCTATGTGATATATTTCATTTGTACATGTGTGCTATTTTTAACTTTAAAAAGAAGCAAAAGATAAACTAATAAAAATGGTTACTTATAGGAAAGAAGGGAAGTACAGCTTGGAAGAAAATAGAATCTATATTTCTCTGAAACTAACTTTTTCTATAGTTTTGACTCGGTAAGTGTGTAAATGATTTAAATGATTCTGAAACAAAAGATTTTAAAGGTAAATTCTTAAAAATGTATAACATACTGAAAAATGTTTTACATATCAAATTGGTAGATAAACACACAAGAAAGAATTATTTTAAGTGACTTTAAAACAGAGTATTTTTGCACTACTTTCTTAGTAGCATATATTCAGAGGACAAAAATAAAACAGAAATAAATCTTAAACTGCAATCAGAAATCTCATTGTTAGAATATTACAGTATTATTTTGAATCTATATGGAGAGAGAAGAGAGAGGGAAAGCAAAAAATGATATCAATATCATTAGGAACTTAAATTTTGATAAGACAAAAGAGATTACACTGTATGATACAATTTTGTATTTAACATGTGATCTCGCATGTGAAATTGAAATATCACTATGTACTCAGGATTTAGTTTTCTTTTTCTAAAAATTACAATTTTCTCACCTCAACTTTCTGAATAAAAGCATTGAAGTAACGCTTACCCCTAGCTACCAAATTGTCATCTTAAATACCAATCCCTATTAAATGAACCTGAATTCCTAGGAGAAATGGGATATTTCAGGTCTGAGACAGGGTATGTACAAGATGAGCTTGGGGTATCTAGTGCCAGAAGCAATATCTACTGGGTCCTGTTAAAGCAACACAGAAGCCAACCTTAGGGAAATCCTGCTGTCAAAGTTAGAACAATTTGAGCATTATAGGACTAATGAGCGCAATGGACACATGAAATATATAAACAGAAGATAATTCATAATGCTAAAAAATAGTCTACTTTGGAGTTTACTAAGGAATCAACTCATTATTCTAAAAATTGGTAAATAAAGTATGATAATGCAACATTTAACCTGCCAGTTGTGTTTGAATTGTATTTCAGGGTAAATGAACAGCTTCTAAGAAAACATTATTTTTAGAACTCAAACTAATAAACTCAGGACCAGAAAATTATAATTGTGTAAACTCTCAGAAAATGCTAGATTGGGTCCAGGCAAAAATTATCTAAGGGTGCTACAATTTTTAAGTGAAAAGTAGGTGGGCAAATTTAAGATAGATGGATCAGGCTTAAAACACTTGAACCCACTGATCAATCTTAGCATTACTACAAGTAGAGGAGCCAGTCTTCATGTACCTCCCGATGGGATGCAATAGGCAGTTATATGCTGCTCTTGAAATACACTTGCAAAAAGAGAGGGGAGCTAAATTTAATGATGCCTTTACAGCTAACATCTAATTTCAGGAAATACAAAGAATGGGGGAACCTATTAAATTATACCAGGATGATACAATTGGCCAAATCCATAACTTAGTTAAATCTACAGAGAAGCATGGTCTGCTTTCTTTAGCAAATTCATTTCATAGGAGGAAAAAAAAAAAAGGAATAGCGGAACTGTTATAAAGTAAAAGAGACTTATGAGACTTAAAAACCAAATGCAATGTGTGAACCATGCTGACATCTTGATTTAAACAACTCAACTGTAAAAAGACAGTTTGGAGACAATTATGAGAATTTGAATATGGAACATGTATTAGAAGATATTTAGAAATTATTGTTAATTTTACTTGGGTCGTGATGGTATTGTGGTTGTACTAAAAACATTCTTCTGTAAGGTCGAATAATATCCCATTTTGTGTATATAACATATTTTCTTTATCTATTCATCCATCCTGGGGCAATTAGGTTGCTTCCATATCTTGGCTATTGTGAATAATGCTGTAATAAACATGGGAATGCAGATATTTAGATGAGGTGGTGATTTTATTTCCTTTGGGTATATATCCGCAAGAGGGATTGGTGGGTCATGCGGTAGTACTATTTTTAATTTTTGAAGAACCTCCTTACTATTTTCCATAATGGTTGTACCAATCTACATTCCCACTAACAGTGTACAAGGGTTTCCTTTTCATCACCCCCTCACCAGCACTTGTTATCTTTAGTTTGGATAATAGCTTTTCTAACAGGTGTGAGGTGGTAGATATCTCACTGTGGTTTTCACTTGCATTTCCCTTACAATGAGTTATATCAAGCATCTTTTTACACACCTGTTGACCATTTCTGTCTTTGGGTAAAGGTACATGCATGTCATTTACCCATTTTTAAAATCAGATTATTTAAAGGCTTTTTGCTATCAAGTTATGTGAGTTTCTTACATGTTTTGGATATTAACCTCATCAGATCTAAAATCTGCAAGTATTTTTTCCCATTTCTTGGTTGCCTTTTCATTTTGTTGATTGATGTCTTTGCTATGCAGAAGCTTTTTAGTTTGATGGAGTCTTATTTGTCTATTTTTTTTTTCATTTTGTTGCCTGTGCTTTTAGTGTCATATCCAAGAAATCGTTAGAAGAGTAGTGTGAAAAGCTATTTTCCTATGTTTTCTTCTAGGGGTTTTATGGTTTCAGGCTTTATGTTTAAATCTTTAATTCATATTGAGTTGATTTTTGTGCATGGTGTAAAATAAGAGTCCAATTTCACTGTTTTGCATGTGAATATCCAGTTTTCCCAACACTAATTATTAAAAAGACTATCCTTTCCCCATTGTGTACTCTTAGCAATTCAGAGTCTTTTGTGGTTCCATATGAATTTTAGGATTATTTTTCTCTTTCTGTAAAAAATGCCATTGGGATTATTATTATTATTTTTTTTTTTTAGGGATGGGGTCTCACTCTGTTTCCTAGACGGGAGTGCAGTGGTGCTATCATAGCTCACTGCAGCCTTGAACTCCTGTGCTTCAGCAATCCTCCCACCTCACCATCCTGAGTAGTTGGGTTTACAGGCATGCATTACCACACCTAGCTAATTAAAAAAAAAATTTAGAGAGATGGGGTCTCCCCATGTTGTCCAGGCTGGTCTCAAACTCCTGGCCTCAAGCAATCCTCCCACTTTGGCCTCCCAAAGCTGTGAGGTTATAGGTGTGAGCCACTATGCCCTGCTACCATTGGGATTTTGATAGGGATGGCACTGAATATATAGATCAATCACTTTGGGCAGTATGAACATTTAAGCCATCCTAATTCTTCCAATCCATTAACATGGGGTCCTATAATTTATTTATGTGTCCTTTAATTTCTTTCGCCAATGTTTTGTAGTTTTCAGTGTTTAAGCTTTTCACCTCCTTGGTTTAGATGATTCCCAGGTGTTTTATTCTTTTTGATGCTGTTGTAAATCGGAGTACTTCCTTAATTTTCCTTTAGAATAGTTCATTATTAGCATACAGAAACACAACTGATTTTTGTATACTGATTTTGTATCTTGCAACTTTACTAAATTTGTTTGTTCTAACAGGGTCTTTTGGTGGAGTTTTCAGAGAGATCTATATATAAGGTAATATTATCTTCAAGCAGAGATAATTTCGCTTCTGTCTTTCAGATTTAAATGGCCTTTATTTCTTTTTCTGCACTCTCATGTTCATTGCAGCATTATTTACAATAGCCAAGATATGGAATCCACTAAATACCCATTATTAGATGAATGGATAAAGAAAATGTAGTATACACATACACAATGGAATATTATTCAGCCTTTAAAACAAAAGAAATCCTGCTACTTGCAACAGCATGGATGAACTGGTAGGACATTATGCTATGTGAAATATGCCATACACAAACAGACAAATACTTCATTATCCTGCTTATATAAGGCATCTTGAATAGTCGAACTCATAGCAGCAGAGTAGAAAGGTGGTTGCCAGAGGGAGGGGAAGGGGGAAATTAGGAAATATTGAACAAAGATGACAAAGTCTCAGTTATATAAGATGAATAAATTTTGGAGATCTACTCTATAGCGTAGTGCCTGTAGTAAGTGATATTGTAGTGTATACTTAGAATTTTGCTAAGAGAGGAGATCTTCATTGTTCTTACCATCTACACATACATACATACGTACATGCATACACACATAAATGAAAGAATGAATGGATAAATAAATGTAGCAGAGGAAGCTTTTAGAGGTGATGGATATATTTATGGCCTTGATTGTGGTAATGGTTCCAGCGGTGTGTACTTATCTCCAAACTCATCAAGTTGTACACATTTAAAATGTACAACTGTTTGTATCTCAATCAGACCTTAATAAAGTGGTTTACTAAATGACGAGAACACATGGACACATAGAAGGGAACAACACCCACTGAGGCCTATTGAAAAGGTGGAGGGTGGAAGGAGGGAGAGGATTAGGAAAAATAACTAATGGACTTAATACTTGGGTGATAAAATAATCTGTACAACAAATCTCCACGACACACATTTACCTATGTAACAAACCCACACATGTACCCCTGAACTTAAAATAAAAGTTAAAAAAATAAAGTGGTTTAAAAAACACTCCAGATAGGGGAAATAAATTCTAGTGTTTTATACCACTGTAGGGATGACTATAGTTAACAGTAATATATAGTTTAAAATAGCTGGAAGAAGGATATTAAATGTTCCCAATACAAAGAAATAATAAATGCTTGAGATGATGGCTATGCTAATTACCCTGATCTGATCACTATACATTATATGTATGGAAACATCATTATGTACCCCATAAATGTGTATAATTAGTATAAATAAATTAAAAATTAAAAAGAAAACATTCTTACTAAAATTGATACACTTTACATAAATTATATTTCAATAATTAAATCCTGATTTTTAAAAGGATTGTTAGAGATGCATACTTCTGATGTGTTCGATCTGCTTCACAATATTTAAGTACAAGGGAAAATAGCATCTATCGATGAGATAGGATTGGTAAATTGTTGATAAATATTGAAGCTGGATGATTGATACATGGAAATCGATATGGTTATTATGCTTTTGTATGTTTGAAAATTGTCATGATAAAAATTAGTAGAAAAATAAATGAAAGCAGGCACATCCTATTAGTAGAATGCCAGCCCAGAGCGTCTGAGCCTAATGCTCTTTATAGTAACTTTAAGAACTTGACCGAATATAGGCGCTATGGCTCACGCCTGTAATCACAGCACTTTGGGAGGCCGAGGTGGGTGGACCACCTGAGGTCAGGAGTTCGAGATCAGCCTGACCAACATGGTGAAGCCCCATTTCTACTAAAAATGCAAAAATTAGCTGGGCGTGGTGGCGGAAGCCTGTAATCCCAGCTACTCCGGTGCCTGAGGCAGGAGAATCACTTGAACCCGGGAGGCAGAGGTTGCAGTGAGCTGAGACCGTACCATTGCACTCCAGCCTGGGCAATAGAGCGAGACTCCGTCTCAAAAAAAAAAAAAAAAAAAGAAAAGAAAAGAAAAGAACTTGACCTAGGCCAGGCATGGTGGCTCATTCCTGTAATCCCAGCACTTTGGGAGGCCAAGGTGGGTGGATCACGTGAGGTAAAGAGTTCGAGACCAGCCTTACCAACATGGTGAAACCCCATCTCTACTAAAAATACAAAAAAATAGCCAGGCGTGATGGTGCGTGCCTATAATCTCAGCTACTTGGGAGGCTGAGGCAGGAGAATCACGAACCTGGGAGGCAGAAGTTGCAGTGAGCTGAGATTGCGCCATTGCACTCCAGCCCGGGCAACAAGAGTGAAACTCCATCTCACACACACAAAAAAAGAACTTGACCTAACAGCAGACAAGTGTATTAAATATATAATACAGCATCCCGGTTCCTAGTACCCGACAAAGAACTTGGGAAGATAAGACTCATTCTCAAACAACTCTAATGCAAGGCACCATTCCAGGAGCCCAGAGATTTAGATCCATTCTAAGTATAGGTTCTCTGGTTATCTGTATATGCCTAGGAACTCTGGGACTCCAGTCCACGAAGGAAGGACATTTCCCCTCTTGCTACGACAGACAGTTTGAGTGAGTATAAAAATAGGCCCATGCTTTCAAATCTGAAAACAGTCTGCCCAAGAGGTACCTGAAGTCTACGTTAGACCCATTGCAGTCCCCACATTCATTGTGCTGCAGATTTGAGAGGAAAAGCATTTCCTTTGCCTTTCTTTGCTGACAGCTGAACTGCTTGTGTTAGTCAGCCCCTTCCTCTATAGAGACAAACATAAGTTTTATTTTTATGACATAAGGGATCCATTGTTTTGTCAATAATCTGAGGGGCTGGGGCTGAGTGCGAATAGAGGTGACAGTATTCCAATGTATGTCTTGCAACTGTTGTTTTGGGTTGGATTTTTGGTGAAGCTGGTAGTGACAAGGTGGTGTGTGTGTGTGTGTGTGTTCTGCTATTCCACACACAAAATATTAAGTAAATGATGTGTTTTTACCATCTCTGGGAGGAATAGGAGCAGTAGTGGTGCCAATGGTGAGAGTACCAGTAGTGGCATTGGAAAGGGGAAGGTAGAGAACTTTGAGGTGCTTCAGAATTAGCTGGCCTTAGGCAGTGGGGACAACAGAAGGCTGGGCTACTTTGATTAGCTGTGGTAGAGACTTGTCCTCAAGGAACCAAACCAAATAGTTGATCTGCTAAGACAGTAGTAGAGATAAAAATAAATTACCAACTGAGAAAAAAAAGTGTAACTGAACTCTGACTAAGGATTGGAGATAGATGGGGATAGAGACAGTCAAAATGTATCACTCTTAGTAGCGGCATATGGAAACTGGTGGAAGGACAGCAGAAAGAGGTTGGAAGAGCTCAATCCCCTGTCCATAAAGGACTTCTGGATTGGGGTATGGGAGCTAAGCTCTAAGAAGCAGTTATCACCCCTGGAGCAGGAACCTGTTTGTTTACATATTAAATTGACAGAAGAAGGATAGTCTTTCAATTGTCATATCTCCAAGATTTTCTTTTATTGCAATGATATATTTTATGTATTTTAAGTATTAGACTGGCTTATAAACTTATAGACTTGAGTATCAGAGAAGTTTAAGGCAACAAGAAATCATTTGGGGAAGAACAGAAAAGATTCATGGTTCAAAAATAATTAGAATTGAATCTTGAAGTATAACATAGTGGTATGATATAGCTGGAACCAAGAGAATAGATACAGTCTATGAAACAGTATAGAAAGAGAACTGTGTAAAGGTAGAAGGCTGGATTTTGAGGAGTGTCTATCATAAGAGGGTGAGGAGGGAAAAGAGAGTGAGAAAGAAAGAATGGAATAGGTAGGCATCATATAGTATCATGGAAGCTAAAAATTAGAAAGATGCACTAATGGTTGATAAATGATGCCTAATATCATGAAAAGGTCAAGAGCAGTGGAGGATGGAGAACAGCTCAGCTTGATGGCTAGCCAGACTTTGACCTTGGAGGTGCATACACCCATTTCTGCTATTTGATCTGTTTTTGTTCTACTGTTTTGGAACCTCGGGCAATGTATAATTGTCACTGGGAGATCTACAGTAACCAAACCTAGAGTACTTGCAAATGGAAAGGATTGGATGATTAGCTGGGTTACCTTCTCAGGTCCAGGGATAAAACCTTGAGCCGAAAGAAGTGTGAGGCACCCTCAGAGAGCACTGGGGACCATTGGAGAAAAGGGGCTCCTGGCACAAGAATTAAACAACTCCTGACAACATATATGCATTTTCTTTGCATCTCTGCGAAGTCATGGAGGCACTTTAGTCTTAATCCACCAAAATATGCCTTTCAAAATGATTAGGTAATTTTGTGCCATAATGTACTCCCAGGTAAAATTCCCTGGTTGAAGAAAATGTCCTCCCTCTGAAGTTATCCTTTTCCTAGCCTGCCTGCAATGCAAGGACTGCACAGAGCCAGGCTGTATATAAAGCTTTAAAGAAATACACTGTTAACAACAGAATGCTTCTGTGTGACAGAGTGAGGGAGGGATACAAACTAAAAGGGTAGCTGGAGAACGTGCCAGATCTCTGGAGTTTTTCCATGATGCAATCATCCTCAGCCTGTAATCACCCTCGCTGACACCCTCACCCCACTGTTTCTCCTCACTCACGCCACTTTTCGTCAGCACCTTCCTATTTAGCAGAGATCCCCATTTCTGGTACTTTGCGGGGGCTAATTATCTTCCATTTATCTGTGCAGCCCTGCATTTGCCATCTATTAGTCCAGAAACATAAATGATGTAAATCCTTTTATATCTGGCTGCACCACCTAATTATTCGTCATTTGTTTTTATTCTCTCTCAATTTAGCATCATCTGCAAAGTTGGAAATCATGTTTTCATATCATAATTAGGGCTCTAAGAACCGCAGAGAAACTGGCAAATACACATGCCTTTGCTTTTCATTTTAATTGTGAATTTAAAAGTGAGAAAATAAAGTAGGGCTGAATGATATAATAGAGTAAAATGAAAGTTTCTGGAATATAGATGAGGAAACGTGATAGAGCAACATGGGCTGAGAAACTTCCAGCATTAGAGTGCAAAAGCCAACCCCCAAAGTGAAGCCGTCAAGTAGATCAGCATTCTTGCCTGTTTTCTTTGCTGATGAGCATCATCTTTAGATATTTCATTCCGTACTTTGGATTATGCCTAGAGATGCACAATTTTGCTAATTGAATGAACACCTCTCCTTAAGTATACAAAAGTTTTACTTTTTTCTAAGACAGCAATCTGGTTAAAATTGAACAGTATGTAAATTGAGAAGACATGACCACTACTGAGTGGAACAGAAAGAATCCTTAGATCTGAAGGGGTGGGGGAGGGAGGGATGGGAATGACCTGGTGAGTAAGTTCCTGACATTCTTACTGTTGTTATGTCTATGTGCTTCCACAAAATAACACCTCCTTGGAGGAGCCTCTCCCATGATTCACTTAGCTTTTCTTCTCCAGAAGTTTCTTCAAAGTTCATTTACAGAACTTTCTAAAGTAACTTCACCTGAGTCTAGGTCATCTAGAGGTTTTTCTTCCCTGATACATGTTTCCTTCTTATCCTTCCTCTTTCAACAGTTCCATCTATATTTCTGTACTAGGTGGGATTTGAATTTGTATGTATCATTTATATAAGCACAGATATGTGTATTTGTCCTACCTACTATAGTAGTTAAAAATTTCAAGGGCAAGGTTAATGTATTGGTCATAAAAAAATAGGTTATGGTTTTGTAACAAGACAACTCCCAAATAGCAGCAGCTTAATAGAACAATGTTTATTTCTCACTCACATTTCATGTCTATTGCAGATCAGCACTGGGGCTCTGCTCATGTTTTCTCACTGATCCAGGCTGATAATTCCAGATACTTGCTTCCGTAATCCTAGAAGGAGGCATAAAAGAAACTGGAGAATTATGTCCTGACTCTTAAAGTTCTGTCGCTAAGTGATACATGTCACTTCTGCTCATATTTTACTGGTCAAAGGAACTTATCCGGTCATGCCCGAGTTCAACAGATAGTTGATGGTATAGGTAGGGTCTCTGAATAGCTGTGAACAATAATACAGTATATTCCAAATGGTACTTTCCATCTTTATCTCTTTTTGTAGAACTAGTAAGAGTAGTTCTCTAAACACAGTGACCACCAGGGTGTCAAAATATACAGCTAATCAGCCAAAGAAATAATTTCGGTATTTTTCTATAAGACATTACTACCTCTTTAACCAGAAATCTGCCTGCCGATTCTTTGAGCCCACGAACGTTACTCTGTGATATTCTTCTGAACTATGTTTCCGTTCTATACAACTAGCAGTAGGCACACAGAAGCAAAGTGAGAAGTTTATATGTACATTTGACCAAAAGAAAGGATGATTCAGTAAAGTTTGAACTTATTCTCTCCCTTTTTAAAAGAAGTAAGCATAGGACACCAAAAGTACAGGCAACAAAAGCAAAAATAAACAAGTGGGACTACATCAAACTAAAAAGTTTCTGCACAGCAAAGGAAACAATCAATAACACAAACAAACAAAAAAACAGTGTACAGACTGGGAGAAAAATATTTGAGAACCATGTATCTGACAAGATGTTAATATTCAAAATATATAAGAAACTCATAGAATTCAACAACAAAAAACAAAAACAAAACCAGATAATCCAATTTAAAAATGGGCAAATGACCTGAATAAATATTTATCCAATAAAAATAAATAAATAACAAAAAACGAAGAAGACATAAAAATGGCCAACAGGTATATGAAAAGCTGCTCAACATGGCTAATCAGGTGCTCAACATTTGCTAATTGCAAATCAAAACCACAGTGAAATATCACCTCACATCCATTTGGATGGCATTTATCCCAAGGACAAAAGATAACCATTGTGGTCGAAGGTATGGAGAAAAGGGAACCCTTGTCCACTGTTAATGGGAATGTAGATTGGTACAGCCATTGTGGAAAACAGTACTGGAGGTTCCTAAAGAAATTGAAAATAGAACTACCACATAACCCAGTAATCCCTCTCCTGTGTTTGTACCCAAAGGAAACGAAATCACCATCCTATAAAAATATGCATTCCTATGTTTATTGCAGCATTATTCACAATAGCCAAGATATGGAAGCAACTTAAGTGTCCATCCACGAATGAATGGATAAAGGATTTGTGGCATAGAATACTATTTAGCTTAAAAATGGAGGTCCTACCATTTTTGACAGCATGGATGAACCTAGGGGACATTATGCTACATGAAGTAAGCCAGACACAAAAGTAAAAATACTGCATGATGTCATGATTCTGAAAAAAAAAAAAAAAATCAAATACATAGAAACGGAGAGTAGGACAATGATTACCAGATGCAGGGATGAGGGTGGCGGTGGGATGGAAAAAATGGAGAAATGTGGGTCAAGGGGTACAAAGTTATCGTTATGGAGGATGAATAAGTCTAAAAGTCTATCGTTAATAATATTGTATTGTATACAGAAAATTTGCTAAGATAGCAGATTTCAGGTACTTTTACCACAAAAAGAAAAAGAAAGGTACCTATGTGAGATGATGGATATATTAATTTCCTTGACTGTAGAAACCTCTTCACTATTATATGTACTTCAGTACATCATGGTGTATACCTTAAATGTATACAATTAAAGAAAGAAGTAAAATAATTTCAACCAATTGGGACCATTACAGAGATCGGCCTTTGAACTTTAATATAGTAACTATCTCTATTCTATTTTTAAAAACCTCAAAATATTTAAATTTTCTTGTCTGCAGCTCCATATCCCTGAATGCTTTGTGCCTTGCTCTAGCAGGCCTAGATATTGAATTCAGCAGCCTAGCCAACACCCTACCAGAGCTGCTGCCATCACGAATTATTTTCAAAAAAGGAGAGCTTGTTACGGGAGGGAAAAGGGACAGTAATTAGAATTTACTAGACTATGTTAAAGTCACAAACCAAGTAGAGTACTGAAGAGGGAGCAACATGAGCAAGCGTGACCTCTTTTATTTTTATTGGAAATAGCTTTAATTAGAAGTACCAACAACGGGAGATGGAGAGATCACAAAGAAAAGAATCAAATGTCCTACAATTATAGTTTGGCTTGTTTTAGTGTTAGCTTTCCATTCTTTGACAGTGCTCCCTTAACCCTCTAATCATCATGAACTCAATCTCATAATCCATTCACTTTTGCTTGAAACATTTAAAAGCCCTGGCATGAGAACATAGAAATCTTATTTCGGAAATGTTGAAGCTATTCAAAATATTGAGCCCTCAAGCAAAAATGTCAGAAAAGTCTTCTTGTTTACCCCTGGTTTTCTACAGAGTTTCCATCTCTATCCTTGTCTCAGCCCCTCCGCCTCGGGGTCCCTGGAGGGGGCTTGAAAACATGGACTGCTTCTGAGAGTCCAGGTTCTGCCTTCCTAACCAAGTGCACCTGCAAGGCTTGCGTCAGCCAGTGCAGGCTCTGGGCACCACGGGGACCCACGTGTCAGAACTGACATCTCCTGCAGCTTCTGCAGCCTTGGCTTTCAGCTGCCCGTGATCACAAACAACAGTACTGGCCATTGGAGGTTAGCACCGCTGAGCTGGCTGCTGCTTCCTGTTTTTTTTGGAGGAAAGGCATAAAAATTGCAGCTTGGTTTGGAAGTCCTTGCCATTAGGTAAAAAGCAGATGGATGTTTTCTGGAGAGGTGCCAGAGCATTCATGCTTGAAACCAAGAAACACACACACACACACACACACACACACACTTTTTTTTTTTTTTTCACTATTCCCAGCCTCAATATTTGGATTGAATCATGTTTTAGCCATTTTGCTTACTTACTGGGGTGTATGTGAGGTCATTTAACACTGGAAAATAAGGATTAAACTTTTCAAAAATATTTTATTTAGAAAGAACTCAGTAGTGATGTTTTAGAAAGTTAATCTAATTTCCAAAAATCGTCAAACACCTGACCATATAAAATCACAAAACTCAAATTGAAAGAAACCCGGGCAGTCATGTGGTCCAATCTGTCCATTTTACATATAGAAAAACAAAGCCCAGGAGGTGGAATGACTTGCCAAAGGTCACCCAGATTGGGAGTAGCAGTCAGTAGAGGAACTCAGAACTCCTGAGTTATCTTTACTCTTTCTATGAGGCGACACTAGACAATCTACAAATATCTGTTTATTTTGGAAAATATCCTTTGATTTTCTGAGAAGCAATTTTTATTTTAGACTAATATTAGGAATTTTGGAAACAGAAGAGCTCATAAAGACCATTCGGCCAACCCCAGTGTGTATTCTTCAAGTTCCTAGCAGCTTGGGATTGAACAAGAAGCATGTTGATTTGAAGGAGAGTTGATCTGTCATTAAGAAAAACATGTCATAGATACTTTTACAGCTTTATTGAGATATATTTCATATACCATATGATTCACCCATTTAAAGTAGATAATTAAGTGTTTTTTTTAGCGTATTTGGAGTTGTGCAATCATTGCCACAAGCTAATTTTAAAACATTTTCATCACCCCCAAAAGAAACCCTTGTACCCATTAGCACTCACTCCCCATTTGCTATTCCTCCAGCCCCTGGCAATCACTAATCTACTTTCTGTCTCTATGCATTTGCCTATTCTGTCACAGATAAATGAATGACGTGTGTGTGTGTGTGTGTGTGTGTGTGTACAAAAACACTTCCTTGTAAGTTTTGAGCTAGGACTGCTCATTACAAAAGCAGTATATATGCATTTTAGAAAATTTGAGAACACAAAAAATAAGAAAACAAAGGCATTTTATTTCTACAACTTCGATTATGTCACTATTAGCCTTTTATTACATATTCTTCTAGAATAGCTTCTATCTATATCTATAGCTCCTATTTTACCAAAATTAGATCACACTGGATATGTTGTTTGCCATCTTGCTTTTTTTCACTTAATACTCTATAATGTCAGTAAGTTGCTCTTCAATTATCAGGTTAGACCTTGAGACCAACACCTCTATGGAAGGGAAGTACCCAGATAAAGAGCACTTTTGGGAAAATAGAAATCAGACATCAAGACTGGGATTGAATTTATGAAATACCTTAAAAATATTTTCATGTTTGCCTCCATAAAATAATTAGCTTATTAATGATAATATACAGCTGATCCCATCTTTGGGAGATTATGATTCTGGCAAGATATCACATTTTCGTCAGGCTGAGGAGATGGGCAGCCAGATATCTAATGCTGTTTGATCCCAAATACCGCGTCCTATTATCCCTAAACTTATGTTCTTTCTCAATAAAAGGGTTCTATTTTACTAGGTTGTCTCTTGGTGATTTACGGGAGTCCTTGGTTTATCTCACGGTGTTTCTTTTGAGAATCAAAGAAATTCCGAGACATTAACAGAAAAACGTCAGCTATCTCCAACAACATACTAATAGGAGTGATATCCATTTCGAAGAAATGCTAATAAAAAATTACAACTCAAAAATTTAGTGAGGTTATCATTTAACCCACAAAAGCATTAACCATTTGATTCCATAAAAGTAGTTTACTTTATATTTTAAACGGCTAGAGTAGTACAAATTTATTTGTCACTTTTTTCAGAAACCTACCAGTATATAAATTGAGGCATGCTATAGACACTGTATAGTATATGAAAAATAAGTTTATTTTGGGAAACAAGAGGAATACCGTAAGGTTATACCAGGAGATGGTGTTGACATGTAAGTTCAGGATATAGTCCAAGTTAAAATTCTCGTATTTTACTAGCTCTGTAAACTTAGCAAATTACATCATCATATCATTTACCTGAGCCTTATTTTCCTCATATGTTAAACGGATATACAAATGCATGGCTCTTAGCCTTGTGAGAAGTAAATAAGAAACTTCTGGAAAGAATATGACTTGTCACTTGCTTCCATAATGCTTAATATGTGCCAGGCACTCTTCTAAACACTTCACATGCATTGACTCATTCGATACTCACCCTACGAGGCACATACTATTCTCACCATCCCCATTTCACAAATAAGTAAACTGAGGCCAAGAGAAGTTATGTAAC
This sequence comes from Homo sapiens, assembly GCF_000001405.40. Classification (NCBI taxonomy): domain Eukaryota; kingdom Metazoa; phylum Chordata; class Mammalia; order Primates; family Hominidae; genus Homo; species Homo sapiens. Next base: position 22,683,844 of record NC_000023.11, on the reverse strand, counting down.
TTACCCAAGGTGGCACAACTAGTATTTGATAGAACGAAGATGGGAACCCAGGCAGCCTGGCTCTAGAATTGGTGCTCTTAATCACTTCACTCCAAAAAAGTTACGGTAGCTCTTTTCTTTTTTTCTTTTTCTTTTTTTCTTTTTTCTTTTCTTTTCTTCTTTTCTTGCCTTCTCTTCTGTTTTCTTTTTTTTCTTTTCTTCTGTTTTCTTTTCTTTTCTTTCTGTCATTTTCTTTCTGTCCAACTGTAGTCACTTTTTTGTCTATTCAACAAATAGATAAAGTGTAAGGTGATGTGTGGTTCCTGCCCTCACTAACGTTACCCTGTCATTGATCTCAACTGCCTTCCCTTCACTGAAGAGAAAAAAAATTTTCTTTGATGACCTAAACTGGGCACTCTGATGTGAAGACATCATCATGGACTTAAGGGCAGGTCTGATTTCATGGGCATGCAACCTGTACAGTCACACAAGGCCCCAAACTCAGAAGGGCCTTACCTTTGGTTTAATGCTCTGTTATCACCAACTTGAAATTCTTATTTATTTATTTTATTATACTTTAAGTTCTAGTGTACATGTGTACAACGTGCAGGTTTTTTACATATGTACACATGTGCCATGTTGGTATGCTGCACCCATCAACTCGTCATTTACATTAGGTATATCTCCTAATGCTATCCCTTCCCCCTTCCCCCACCCCACGACAGGCCCCGGTGTGTGATGCTCCCTATGCTTTGTCCAAGTGTTGTTATTGTTTAGTTCCCACCTGTGAGTGAGAACATGCGGTGTGTGGTTTTCTGTCCTTGCGATAGTTTGCTCAGAATGATGGCTTCCAGCTTCATCCGTGTCCCTATAAAGGATATTAACTCATCCTTTTTTATGGCTGCATAGTATTCCATGGTGTATTTGTGCCACATTTTCTTTCTTTTTTTTTTTTTTTTTTTTTTTTTTTTTTTGAGACGGAGTCTCGCTCTGTCGCCCAGGCTGGAGTGCAGTGGCGCGATCTCGGCTCACTGCAAGCTCCGCCTCCCAGGTTCACGCCATTCTCCTGCCTCAGCCTCCCGAGTAGCTGGGACTACAGGCGCCCGCTACCACGCCCGGCTAATTTTTTTTTTTTGTATTTTTAGTAGAGACGGGGTTTCACCGTGTTAGCCAGGATGGTCTCGATCTCCTGACCTCGTGATCTGCCCGACTCGGCCTCCCAAAGTGCTGGGATTACAGGCGTGAGCCACCGCGCCCGGCCGCCACATTTTCTTAATCCAGTCTATCATTGATGGACACTTGGGTTGTTTCCAAGTCTTTGCTATTGTGAATACAGCCGCAATAAACATACGTATGCATGTGTCTATATAGCAGCAAGATTTATAATCCTTTGGGTATATACCCAGTAATGGGATGGCTGGGTCAAATGATATTTCTAGTTCTAGATCCTTGAGGAATCGCCACACTGTCTTCCACAATGATTGAACTAGTTTACAGTCCCACCAACAGTGTGAAAGTGTTCCTATTTCTCCACATCCTCTCCAGCACCTGTTGTTTCCTGACTTTTTAATGATCACCATTCTAACTGGTGTGAGATGGTATCTCATTGTGGTTTTGATTTGCATTTCTCTGATGGCCAGTGGTGATGAGCATTTTTTCATGTGTCTGTTGGCTGCATAAATGTCTTCTTTTGAGAAGTGTCTGTTCATATCCTTTGCCCACTTTTTGATGGGGTTGTTTGATTTTTTCTTGTAAATTTGTTTAAGTTCTTTGTAGATTCTGGATATTAGCCCTTTGTCAGGTGGGTAGATTGTAAAAATTTTCTCCCATTCTGTAGGTCGCCTGTTCACTCTGATGGTGGTTTCTTTTGCTGTGCAGAAGCTCTTTAGTTTAATTAGATCCCATTTGTCAATTTTGGGTTTTGTTGCCATTGCTTTTGGTGTCTTAGACATGAAGTCCTTGCCCATGCCTATGTCCTGAATGGTATTGCCTAGATTTTCTTCTAGGGTTTTTATGGTTTTAGGTCTAAGATTTACGTCTTTAATCCGTCTTGAATTAACTTCTGTATAAGGTGTAAGGAAGGGATCCAGTTTCAGCTTCCTACATATGGCTAGCCAGTTTTCCTAGCACCATTTATTAAATAGGGAATCCTTTCCCCATTTCTTGTTTTTGTCTGGTTTGTCAGAGATCAGATGGTTGTAGATGTCTGGTATTATTTCTGAGGGCTCTGTTCTGTTCCATTGGTCTATATCTCTGTTTTGGTACCCGTATCATGCTGTTTTGGTTACTGTAGCCTTGTAGTATAGTTGGAAGTCAGGTAGCGTGATGCCTCCAGCTTTGTTCTTTTGGCTTAGGATTGTCTTGGCAATGCAGGCTCTTTTTTGGTTCCATAAGAACTTTAAAGTAGTTTTTTCCAATTCTGTAAAGAAAGTCATTGATAGCTTGATGGGGATGGCATTGAATCTAAAAATTACCTTGGGCAGTATGGCCGTTTTCATGATATTGATTCTTCCTATCCATGAGTATGGAATGTTCTTCCATTTGTTTGTGTCCTCTTTTATTTTGCTGAGCAGTGGTTTGTAGTTCTCCTTGAAGAGGTCCTTCACATCCCTTGTAAGTTGGATTCCTAGGTACTTTATTCTCTTTGAAGCAATTGTGAATGGGAGTTCACTCATGATTTGGCTCTCTGTTTGTCTGTTATTGGTGTATAGGAATGCTTGTGATTTTTGCACATTGATTTTGTATCCTGAGACTTTTCTGAAGTTGCTTATCAGCTTAAGGAGATTTTGGGCTGAGATGATGGGGTTCTCTAAGTATACAATCATGTCAACCACAAACAGGGACAATTTGACTTCCTCTTTTCCTAATTGAATACCCTTTATTTCCTTCTCCTGCCTGATTGCCCTGGCCAGAACTTCCAACACTATGTTGAATAGGAATGGTGAGAGAGGGCATCCCTGTCTTGTGCCAGTTTCCAAAGGGAATGCTTCCAGTTTTTGCCCATTCAGTATGATATTGGCTGTGGGTTTGTCATAAATAGCTCTTATTATTTTGAGATACGTCCCATCAATACCTAGTTTCTTGAGAGTTTTTAGCATGAAGGGCTGTTGAATTTTGTCAAAGGCCTTTTCTGCATCTATTGAGATAATCATGTGGTTTTTGTCTTTGGTTCTGTTTACATGCTGGATTACATTTATTGATTTGCATATGTTGAACCAGCCTTGCATCCCAGAGATGAAGTCAACTTCATTGCTGTGGGTAAGCTTTTTGATGTGCTGCTGGATTCGGTTTGCCAGTATTTTATTGAGGATTTTTGCATCAATGTTCATCAGGGATATTGGTCTAAAATTCTCTTTTTTTGTTGTGTTTCTGCCACGCTTTTGTATCAGGATGATGCTGGCCTCATAAAATGAGTTAGGAAGGATTCTGTCTTTTTCTATTGACTGGAATAGTTTCAGAAAGAATGGTACCAGCTCCTCTTTGTACCTCTGGTAGAATTCGGCTGTGAATCCATCTGGTCCTGGACTTTTTTTGGTTGGTAGGCTATTAATTATTGCCTCAATTTCAGAGCCTGTTATTGGTCTATTCAGGGATTCAACTTCTTCCTGTTTTCATCTTGGGAGGGTGTATGTGTCGAGGAATTTATCCATTTGTTCTAGATTTTCTAGTTTATTTGCATAGAGGTGTCTATACTATTCTCTGATGGTAGTTTGTATTTCTGTGGGATCGGTGGTGATATCCCCTTTATCATTTTTTATTGTGTCTATTTGATTCTTCTCTCTTTTCTTCTTTATTAGTCTTGCTAGCGGCCTATCAATTTTGTTGATCCTTTCAAAAAACCAGCTCCTGGATTCATTGATTTTTTGAAGGGTTTTTTGTGTCTCTATCTCCTTCAGTTCTGCTCTGATCTTATTTCTTGCCTTCTGCTAGCTTTTGAATGTGTTTGCTCTTGCTTCTCTAGTTCTTTTAATTGTGATGTTAGGGTGTCAATTTTAGATCTATCCTGCTTTCTCTTGTGGGCATTTAGTGCTATGAATTTCCCTCTACACACTGCTTTAAATGTGTCCCAGAGATTCTGGTATGTTGTGTCTTTGTTCTCGCTGGTTTCAAAGAACATCTTTATTTCTGTCTTCATTTCGTTATGTACCCAGTAGTCATTCAGGAGCAGGTTGTTCAGTTTCCATGTAGTTGAGTGGTTTTGAGTGAGTTTCTTAATCCTGAGTTCTAGTTTGAATGCACTGTGGTCTGAGAGACAGTTTGTTATAATTTCCGTTCTTTTACATTTGCTGAGGAGTGCTTTACTTCCAACTATGTGGTCAATTTTGGAATAAGTGCGATGTGGTGCTGAGAAGAATGTATATTCTGTTGATGTGGGGTGGAGAGTTCTGTAGATGTCTATTAGGTCCACTTGGTGCAGAGCTGAGTTCAATTCCTAGATATCCTTGTTAACCTTCTGTCTCATTGATCTGTCTAATGTTGACAGTGGGGTGTTGAAGTCTCCAGTTGTTATTGTGTGGTAGTCTAAGTCTCTTTGTAGATCTCTACAGGCTTGCTTTATGAATCTGGGTGCTCTTGTATTGGGTGCATATATATTTAGGATAGTTAGCTCTTCTTGTTGAATTGATCCCTTTACCATTATGTAATGGCCTTCTTTGTCTCTCTTGATCTTTGTTGGTTTAAAGTCTGTTTTATCAGAGACTAGGATTGCAACCCCTGCTTTTTTTTGTTTTCCATTTGCTTGGTAGATCTTCCTCCATCCCTTTATTTTGAGCCTATGTGTGTCTCTGCATGTGAGATGGGTCTCCTGAATACAGCATACTGATGGGTCTTGACTCTTTATCCAATTTGCCAGTCTGTGTCTTTTAATTGGAGCATTTAGCCCATTTACATTTAAGGTTAATATTGTTATGTGTGAATTTGATCCTGTCATTATGATGTTAGCTGGTTATTTTGCTCGTTAGTTGATGCAGTTTCTTCCTAGCCTCGATGGTCTTTACAATTTGGCATGTTTTTGCAGTGGCTGGTACCGGTTGTTCTTTCCATGTTTAGTGCTTCCTTCAGGAGCCCTTGTAAGTCAGGCCTGGTGGTGACAAAATCTCTCAGCATTTGTTTGTCTGTAAAGGATTTTATTTCTCCTTCACTTAGTTTGGCTGCAGATGAAATTCTGGGTTGAAAATTCTTTTGTTTAAGAATGTTGAATATTGGCCCGCACTCTCTTCTGGCTTGTGGAGTTTCTGCTGAGAGATCCGCTGTTAGTCTGACGGGCTTCCCTTTGTGGGTAACCTGACCTTTCTCTCTGGCTGCCCTTAACATTTTTTCCTTCATTTCAACTTTGGTGAATCTGACAATTATGTGTCTCGGAGTTGCTCTTCTCGAGGAGTATCTTTGTGGCGTTCTCTGTATTTCCTGAATTTGAATGTTGGCCTTCCTTGCTCGGTTGGGGAAGTCCTCCTGGATAATATCCTGCAGAGTGTTTTCCAACTTGGTTCCATTCTCCCCGTCACTTTCAGGTACACCAATCAGACGTAGATTTGGTCTTTTCACATAGTCCCATATTTCTTGGTAGCTTTGTTCATTTCTTTTTACTCTTTTTTCTCTAAACTTCCCTTCTCGTTTCATTTCATTCATTTGATCTTCCATCACTGATACCCTTTCTTCCACTTGATCGAATCAGCTATCGAAGCTTGTGCATGCATCATGTAGTTCTTGTGCCATGGTTTTCAGCTCCATCAGGTCATTTAAGGGCTTCTCTACACTGTTTATTCTAGTTAGCCATTCGTCTCATCTTTTTTCAAGGTTTTTAGCTTCTTTGTGATGGGTTCGAACATCCTCCTTTAGCTTGGAGAAGTTTGTTATTACCGATCGTCTGAAGCCTTCTTCTCTCAACTCATCAAAATAACTCTCTGCCCAGCTTTGTTCCGTTGCTGGCGAGGAGCTGCACTCCTTTGGAGGAGAAGAGGTGCTCTGATTTTTAGAATTTTCAGCTTTTCTGCTCTGGTTTCTCCCCATCTTTGTGGTTTTATCTACCTTTGGTCTTTGATGATGGTGACGTACAGATGGGGTTTTGGTGTGGATGTCCTTTCTGTTTGTTAGTTTTCCTTCTAGCAGTCAGGACCCTCAGCTGCAGGTCTGTTGGGAGTTTGCTGGAGGTCCACTCCAGACGCTGTTTGCCTGGGTGTCACCAGTGGAGGCTGCAGAACAGCAAATATTGCAGAATGGCAAATATTGCTGCCTGAGCCTTCCTCTGGAAGCTTCGTCTCAGAGGGGCACCCGGCTGTATGAGGTGTCAGTCAGCCCCTACTGGGAGATGTCTCCCAATTAGGCTACTTGGGTGTCAGGGACCCACTTGAGGAGGCAGTCTGTCCATTCTCAGATCTCAAAGTCCATGCTAGGAGAACCACTACTCTCTTCAAAGCTGTCAGACAGGGACGTTTAAGTCTGCAGAAGTTTCTACTGCCTTTTGTTTAGCTATGCCCTGTCCCCAGAATGTGGAGTATACAGAGGCAGGCAGGCCTCCTTGAGCTGTGGTGGGCTCCACCCAGTTTGAGCTTCCCGGGCTGCTTTGTTTACCTACTTAAGCCTCAGCAATGGCGGATGCCCCTCCCCCAGCCTTGCTGCCACCTTGCAGTTCAATCTTGGACCGCTGTGCTAGCAGTGAGTGAGGCTTCGTGGGCTTGGGGCCCTCCAAGCCAGGTGCGGGATGTAATCTCCTGGTGTGCCATTTGCTAAGACCATTGGAAAAGTGCAGTATTAGGGTGGGAGTGTCCTGATTTTCCTGGTACCGTCTGTCATAGCTTCCCTTGGCTAGGAAAGGGAATTCCCCTACCCCTTGCACTTCCCAGATGAGGCAATGATCCGACCTGCTCCATGGGCTGCACCCACTGTCCGACAAGCCCCAGTGAGATGAACCTGGTACCTCAGTTGGAAATGCAGAAATCACCCGTATTCTGCGTTGTCCACGCTGGGAGCTGTAGACTGGAGCTGTTCCTATTCGGCCATCTTGGAACCTCCCTCCCTTGACATTCTTAATAATTTTATCCTTGAACTTGTGTTTTATAAGTGAAGTCCTAGGGGACAAGGGAGCATGAATGAGCAGAGGAGACATGTGCAATATGTGTGTCCCCCACTCCTTGCTGCCCTGCTCACATATTAGCATTAGAGATGCTCCTATGAACACAGAATTCCAGTGGTCTCATGATGTAGGGGAGTTCAGTGAGACATAAATCAAGTATAAGATAAATGTGTTACTTCTATGACTGAGTAAGCAGGAAAGTGAGGGACTGCTGACATCCTGGAGAGGGCACATTTTTCATTCCAACAGGAACTTGCTTCAGACACGCAGCAAGAGGATAAGGGCATTCTAAGAAACATGTAGAACTGAGAAACCCTGTCGTATCCATTCTTACTCCTGTTACTTCCCCATATTAGCCAACCACTTACACTGAAAAAGATGATATTGAAGTAAAGGGAAAAGATAGGGTAATCCATAATTTCTTTTCCTTTCAGTCTTTCGTTACCCATTATTAAGTTGAAGGTAGGGAGTGTTGGTACATGTGGTCATATCAAGAAGGTAAACAAAAACTTGTGAAATACATATGCATGTATGAGCTATGAAATATGAACTGTGATTTTGTAAACAAGTAAAATGTTCCTATATTTCCATTTAAAACTGGCATTGCACAATATAAAAATGAATGTTAAAATATACGGGAATGATTAAAATTTTTGATTTTGCATTACTCAGAAGAACATCAAATAGATTTAAAACACCATGAGAAGTTGAGAGAGACTGCAGAAGAAAGACAAAGGTTTATATTTTAGTACACTTAATGAAACTTTTTACTGCTTTTTGAACAAGGGCTTCCACATTTTCAGTTTTCATTGCCCCCTCCGACCCCCAAATTATAAGTGGTACTTCTTGAGGGTAGAAAACAGCAAGAAACATAAAAGTGAGGTTCTTGAATAGAACCCATCAGGAAACAAGTGGTTGGATTGAAGAGAAGAGGATGTGAGCAAATGAATAGAGGACATTTTATTTGCCAAGCTGAAAGAATAAAATTGATTGCAAAAGCAAAAAGGATTAGCACATTGTTGAGCAAAAAAAAAAATGTATTTTATGACATATTGTGATACATACAAATGATGGTTTTTAAAATACTGATAGAATTCTCAATGCAAACACTCAAGGAAGCAAGCAACCAGGCCAATAAATAACCAAGCAAACAAACAAGCAAGCAAATAGCCAACAAACAAAATAGTACTTTAAGTTCTAGAGTGGTGGACAGGATAAAATAGAGATGAACTGGAGGCTGGGACAATAGGTGAAAGAAGGTTGCGTTTGATAGAACGTTCAAAATATTAAAGAGCCACTTAAGATCTAAGAATAAAACCACAGCAGTGGTCTTTTAATCTTAGAAGAGCCATCATTTCACATTTAGAGCCTTTCCTTTAAATGTGTCTACTACCTGAAGTAACCTCTCCTTCCAGTCTTTTCTCAGAAGTCTCTTCTTGAAAGAAAATGCAGTTAGCCTTTTATTATTTTTTAAATGGGCCCACAGACCCTTCACTGTAACAGCTCATGGACTGAGAGCCTTTCTCATAGCTACAGCCCTTGGGCAGAGTGTGCTCAAGCTGCACAAGGCCCTGTGGACAAAAGACAAACACCCAGATATCAAGGTAATTACCCTGGAGACCAAACATCATGCTGTTTGTTTTTCTGCCTTGTCTGGTCATCTCCTCCCCTTGCTGCTGTATTCATGCTTGAAGGAACAGATGTTATTCATGCTAAAAAAGCAAGCTTCTTGTCCTCCTTGCTCATCAAGCACAACTCATTTCATGCTGGTGCTCGCTCTGCGGGTAATAGGTGCATTTAATAAGACTGGCCATCACTCCAGAATGACAGAAGAGCACTCTACAGAGGTCAGCGGCTTTGGGCCATGTCCTGTGTTAACAGGGAATGGGGCAACGCTCGCAAGGAGTAAGCATTTTGTTATGACTGCAGCCTGACTTCCAACCTTGTTCCTTTCCAACTCCCCCTGGCTCTGAACATGGAAGACACTTTCCTTCCAAAAGCAGCTTTATAAAGAGTGAACTCTCTCTAATTTATTTAGCTTTTCTTGTGCCAATATCCTAATAGTTAGACAGCAACTCCCAGTAAGTGGTTGATTACATTCAAGCAAATACACAGCTGAGCAATTAAGTGCATTCACTTGCACCTTAGAAGACCTGAGGTGGTAGGATTATCTCATAGAAATAATTATGGCTGCTCTATCCTGCCTTTCTGTCGTTTGGGAAAAATTGGCTCTTGAAGTTGGCTTTGGGTCAAGGGAGCTGTTGCCTGGCTGTTTCTGACTGAGAAGTATTTAGATGTATTGTTTTTTTTTAAATTAGGTTTACACTAAATGTCATACCAGTCTTTCACACAATGGACACTTACAAGCTGAGAACAGGGATCCCCGTGCCCAATATAGATAGACTTGGTGAATCAGGTGATTTTGTATATATTATGTGTATTTTAATTTTCAAAGAATCGTTAGCAAGCATTTCTTTGGGAAACATTATAGTCTTATGGAAAGAACAGTCAAGAAGCAGGAAAACAGCATCTTCCAGCTCTTTCGCTAATTGGATAGTTGACCTTAAGTAAGCCTCTAATGTCTCTGTACCTCAGTTTCCCTTACTATTATTACCTACCTCATAGAGTTGTTATGAGATGCAAATGAACAGTGCATAAGAAAGTGATTTATAGACTGTTGAACATTGCAGATGCAATGCAAAACTGTTGAGTTTAGGTGTTGCACTGTTAGGTGGGTGCAACCAGTTAAACAGAAATAATTTGTTCACCAAAGAATTTTGTTCTGCAGGAGTGAGGTGAGACTAGTCAGGGCCAGATACTGTAATAATAACTATAATTTATATAACAGGAAAATGGGGATGTGGGAGGGGAGACTACCATTTGTTAAATGCCTCAGTGACAGTCAAAAGCATTGTTACCTCACTGAATCCCCACAATGACTCAACACATTTGCATCAGAATCACCCTTCCCAAGGCTACTGCAGGAAGAGACAGAAAATCGGGGTACCTTGAAATAAAAATGAAGAACTGCTTTCGTATCTAGGCAATAAATAGTAGAAGTGTGTGAAATTGGTGATGATAGCTAAAATTTTAGAAAGCAGCATGGTATAAGCAGGAGCAGCTGTGGCCAAGCCTGAACAAAAACAAACTGGAGAACTGGAGGGAAACCATGCATGGGATAAAGATAAAAGACAATTAGAAAAGTGGTCTTAAAATGCTTCATAACATGGTACATTAATTGTACGTAGGAGTATTGTCACCTTTTCTACTCGCTATTGTAGTCCTGTTAGTGTGCTTATGGTTATAGGCTGAATGTGAATTAATTTATTGGTTTTGATCCAAATACACTATAAGGGTATATATCGTTACATCCTCATATCTTTCCGTTATCCACACACAGCTGTGCTGTATCTAATTTATTTATCTAGAATCAATTTATGCCAGTTACACAAGGTGAAACTGTAGTGCTGGACAGTTTCTGTAGGAATTGCATGGCAGCTCCCAAGTACAATGTAGAGGCAGGCTTACTATAAGCAACTATTACCCTATGAGGCAGGCCTACTATAAGCAAACACCTGTCTAGAGAGAGGGCAACAGAGAAGATTCCTTAGTAATCCAGTCTGCCTTTCTCTTGGCAAACTCTTATTTTATAAGCCTAGGTCATGTTGTCTACAATGTAATGTTTATGTTAGTATATAAACTAATATAACTTTCTCTTGATAGTTAATCAGCTAATATGTAGATTGCCTGGCACATAAAGCATTTCTTCATTTTTGTTTATTCAGCCAGTTCTTTCTCATAATATCGCATATTGTAGGTGCTCAAAACAGATGAACACATGGTTTCTATTGCCATTCTTATTAGTAGAATCCTTTCTTTTTGCTTTCTGAAAGTAGATAATCATGAAATTAAATGCATTCTTTATCAAGTTATTTAATGTGCAGATACTTCTTTTAGTTTTCCATCATTGTTAACCAAGTCAATAAATTAATCCATGTCAGAAGTCTAGAACTCAAACTGACCCAAACCATCCTTCTCCATTTCCCTTGTATCCTTAACCTGAATTTTTTGTCCTAGTCCTCCAGGCTGCCCTGATTTCTTCCCAAAAGCCACATTGGTTTTTTTGTCCTGAAACTTTAACATCCTTCTATCTCTAATTTCTTACCTCCTATAGTATCAGATCAGACCTACCTCCATTATAGGTCTTTGCCTCAACTCTCCAGCCTCTCCAACCTCCCTTCAGCCCTTCTTGCCTGCAACCATGATTCACACCTAAAAGCATTCTAATCTGGGTTCGTTTGCAAATTGTTTTAGTCTGGTCACACTGCTATAACAAAACACCATAGACTGGGTGGCCTATAAACAACAGAAATTTATTTCTCACAGCTCTGGAGCCTGGAAAGTCCAAAATCAAGTTACCAACAGACTTGGTGTCTGGTAAGGGCCCGCTTCCTGGTTCACTGATGGCTGTCTTTTCATTGTAACCTCACATGGCAGAAAAGGCATGGGGTCTCTCTCAGGCCTGTTTTATAAGGGCAAGCTAATCCCATTCATGAGGGTTGTCCTCTCATGACCTAGTCACCTCCCAAAGGCCCCATCTTCTAACACCATCACCTTCGGGGTTAGGATTTCAACATACAAATTTTGGGGAACAAAAATATTCAAACCACATTTGATGTTCTAGATCGGTGCTTACAAGCACTTGGGTTTCATATACCAATAACATTTCAAAGCCTAATTAGGCTACTGGGCATTAGATTTACATTCTTTCCTGCCCTAGAAGAGACTTTTACAAATTATTTGTGATCCTAATTTCATTTCTAATGACCAATTTCACTTTAAAACAGCGAGGAGGCATTACACTCCGATGCTTAGATCTTACAGAAGAAAAGCACTTTAAGCCTAGTCATGAGAAAGCTCCTGAAAGCTGCATTGTGATCAGACCCAAATTACTACTGTCATTGCTGCATTTCTTCAGAGATATACACTGGTTACTTACATGGCATGCAAGATACTAGCTGAAGGAACTGAGATCTGTGAATCAGATATGAATGCTGCCCTTGAAAAATGTATCGTTGAGTAAGGGCAAAATGATGTAAACTCGTGTATGATAGGGGCTTACTTGTCTTAAGAGAGGCGCAAAGAGAGTGGAGTTCATTTTCAGAGTGAAGAAGAATGGGTAAGTGCTTTCTGGAAAATCCTGAAGAAAGCAGCAATTAAACTTGGAGCTGAGGAGAAGGGCATTGCGGTCATTCCAACAGTCTGAATTATTGTCCCGAGTGTTCCTTTCTGCCTCCACCCCCTGATTTTTTAACCTTCATTTTAGGTACATCATTGTGTTAGTCTGTTCTCATACTGCTATAAAGAACTGCACGAGACTGGGTAATTTATAAAGGAAAGAGGTGTAATTGACTCACAGTTCCACAGGGCTGGAGAGGCCACAGGAAACTTACAATCATGGTGGAAAGGGAAGCAACATGTCCTTCTTTGCATGGTGGCAGGAGAGAGAAATGAGCATGAAGGTGGGGAAAACCCCTTATAAAACCATCAGGTCTTGTGAGAATTCACTCACTATCACAAGAACAGCATGAGGGTAACCGCCCCCATGATTCAATTACCTTCCACCTGGTCCCTCCCACAACACGTGGGGATTATGGGAACTGCAATTCAAGACGAGATTTGGGTGAGACACAGCCAAACCATATCAATCATTTTACACACACACATGCTGACAGAGTAAAGAAGAAAGTTATTGCCTGTGCCCCATATATCTGATATGTTCCTTAAAGACATTCGTTCCTGGGTGACAGTCTCAATGAGTGATGTACCAGACACCCTTTGGGTCCCCTGCAAATATTAACGCCATTACTAACACGATTTGGGGAGGGGTAACTCATTGTTGTTTTACTTTATGAATTTCACCGTAGGTGCCCTCTGAGCTCAGCTAGTCTTCCAGCTTTTTTCCTCTCAATGCTGTTTCACGCCCTCATGTTCTGCAGACAGCTCCATTTATAACAGTGTGATTGAGTGGAGTAGAGGATGAGTGGAACTGGGAACAAACCTAAGGGAATCTATGAATCTGGTAGTCCTTGTGCCTCGTGGGTCCTCCTGGGGCAGCAATTCACAACAGTATAAGTGGCTGTGGGTTGTGTGTAGACCTTTGGAGTTTGTTTGGTGCTAGAGGAGCGGCTACATAGAATTTCCAAAATGACTCCTGCATGCACAAGAGTGACATAGAAGTACAAGTGGCTACAGAGTAAGCCGAAATAGAGAGCGCCTTAGACAATCTCAAGGAGTTTCCTGGGAATGGAGTAATCTGTGTCCTCAAAGGTAACATGGACATAGAAGCAAACAATGCCAGACCCAAGAGAGTCTTGTGAACAGAATCAAAGTGCCGGTGCATAGCATTACATGACCCACAGCCTATATTTTAAAATTATTTTTCTGCTCTTTCTTTTCATATTGTAAGTATTGGGCTACTATAACCTGATTTTTTTATTTATGATGTTTATTTGTGAACATCAGTGGTCAGCCTTGACATAGCAGGCCCTTCTAACTGCTTATGAAATACATTTTATCACAAGAGAAAAAGGAAAATTGTTCCTTCTTGTGTGCAGTTGCAGAAAGGCAGACAGTATTTTGCATTGTAGAAGGTATCCTAGAAATGTTACCTCTGCCTCGGGAATCTCAAAAGAGACTCAGACTTTAGAGAGTGTTGTTATGTCCTATGAAGGTTTCTGTTAGTTTCTAAAAAAAAATCTGTAAGTGTAATTCCAATTGTCTTTTATACAAATGTGGTGTCCTCGTATTAATAATTAAATTGGATTATCTGGTTTGCAAAAAGTATAAAATCATGTGAGGGCTCTTCTTTAGAACAGTAGAGGATCACTGGCAGCACACATGGAGATTTAAAAAGTATAAATTTTCATAGGTTGGGTTCCCCAGGAAGCACACAGAATTTAGCATATAGGATGTGTTTTTTTGTTTTGTTTTGTTATTTGTTTTTTGTTTTTTGTTTTTTTTTTTGAGATGGAGTTTCACTCTTGTTGCCCAGGCTGGAGTGCAGTGGCACGATCTCGGCTCACTGCAACCTCTGCCTCCCAGGTTCAAGTGATTCTCCTGCCTCTGCCTCCCAAGTAGCTGGAATTACAGGTGCCTGCCACCACGCCTGGCTAATTCTTTGTATTTTTAGTGGAGACGGGGTTTCACTATGTTGGCCAGGCGTGTTCTTGGGACCAATCCCTGTGTAAGGGAGGAGAAAGGAAGCAGGGTTAGGTAGATGGGAAGGTTGAACTGTGAATGCTAACCTGACAACAGCCTCAGCTGACCTAACCCCGGGAATGTCCCTTCCAAGTTGTCCTGAGTTCACCAGGCCATTCTACTCCCACATAATCAGTCTTTTTCTACTCCCACATAATCAGTCTTTGGATATGGGCCACCACGCATGGTTTGCTGGAGCTAGCTCATACCAGCTCCCATGAGCTGACTGTGTGCATCAATTCCCATTCTGCATTCAGTGAAGTCAGTCATGTCAGTATCTTGAAATCGGCAATGTAGGGAGTATTTACATCACAGAAATTGGAAATCGATCAATCTGGGCTTGTTTGTTTATTTTATTGAAGAGCCACTTCTTAAATATTTACCAGGACCCCGCTGTTACCATGGGGTCTTGAGTGAGGTATCTCTCCGAAATTAGGGCTGAGAGTGGTAGGCTGTATTCTGACAGTGCTTCTAGCAGCTGGAGGTTACACAATGTCCACCACAACTATGATTCTGTTGGCTTCCTATTTAAAGAAAGAGTTTGGTGAAGTTTTGACTCATTTAAATTAACAAATGGTCTTATAAATGGAGAAATAAACTGAGCAAGGAACAGATGACTGAGTATGGTGAGCCCACACTGACCTCAGGTAGGACCTGGCAAAGGCGAAAAAATGAACCTCCTTCAGGGACATGGTGAGGATTCTGGACACCTCTGGATTATACCTGTAGATTGTTGGGAACTATGTTACTAAAAGACTATTTTTGGTAGAAAACCACTGAAGTATTATTTTTTTTTTTGTAATCGCATAGTATGGGTTGAGGTTTTTGTTGCTGTTATGATTTCTTGTGGCTTTTCCCAAACTTGTCATGGGGATAGATTTACAAAATAGTTGGCTAATGCTGAACTCAGAGACCTGAAGAACTTTTTCTACATTTTAAAGTTGATCAGGTTAAAACACAATGTAAATTGAGAAGTGTGGGTTATCATTTTTTAAGAGAATGGAGACCCTTAGAACTGCAAATAGACCAGATTTTGTACCTTTGGTAAGCAGGCTGTCTTTCCTCACTAATAAGGAGTTGCCACCCTTCTGGAGGATGAATATAGGGCTTAAAATTTGGATGATGGAAAGCTCAGTGGCATGAATGTGTTTTCTCTTCCAAATGCATTTCTTCCCATGTCTTGTAGTTTTAGCCATATATTGTTGACAGAGTACAGGAGCATGAGAATACCAACACTGGAATAGGTGTGATTGACACACAACAGCTAAGCTATGTACTTTGAATTAACATTTTCAGTAATGCGAGTATATATGCTCTCCTGCCCCAATTGTGAGCCTCAACACACACGTTCAAGATGGTTGCTTGGGACTTAGACTACAGTTGGTAGTCTTGTGGTGGGACAAATCTAACCCATTCCATGTGGCAGTAAACATATTGTAAACTTAAGCTCACCCTTTGACTTGATACCTTGTCTCTAATCAATTAGCATCATAAGTAATTTGTGATGTCACCTATATTAATTAAGCCACTCTTGCATTGCTATAAAGAAATGCCTGAGATTGGGTAATTATAAAGAAAAGAGGTTTAGTTGGCTCAGGATTCTGCAGACTGTACAGGAAGCATAATGGTATCTGCTCAGATTCCAGGGAGGCCTCAGGAAGCTTAACAATCATGATGGAAAGTGAAGGAGGAGCAGGCAGATGATGGAAGGTGAAGGGGGAACAGGCATGTCACATGGCTGGAGAAGGAGCGAGGTGGGGAGGAGGTGCTACACACTTTTAAATGACCAGATCTCACAAGAACTCACACACTATCATGACGACAGTACCAGAGGGATGGTGCTAAACCATTCTTGAGAAATCTGCCCCCATGATCCAGTCACCTCCCACCAGGCCCCACCTCCAACAATGGGATTACATTTCCACATGAGATTTGGGTGGGAACACACATCCAAACTATATCATCACCCATAGTATCTCGGCTGTTCCATCTTAAAAATGCCCAAAAATCTAGTTTTAAAAAAACTGTTGCCTATTAGTATTCCAGTTCCTGGGAGCATACCTTCCAGCTTAATGTAAAGATTTCCTAAGAGTATTTCAGTTTTTTACTTTCACTCTTGGAAACAGAGATTTCTTAATGCCCAATAATAGTAATAGGTTTTTAAAATTTATGCAATTATTATGTGCTAGGCACTGGTTCTATACATTTTATATCTCTACTTCTTTTTTTTTTTATAACAGACTCAGGAAGTAGATACTATTGTTATCATCCCCATCATGCCTAGAAAGATTAAGTAATTTGCCAGAAGACACATAGCTAATGTGTTACGGAACCCGGCTTTGAATCCAGGAGTATTTCTTCAGAGCTCACACTCTTAACTACTATGCTATATTGTGTCTCAACATAAATTTCCTTCATAAACTACCTCGCCTCATTTTTGTCTGTCTCAAGAACCTAGCACAGTGCCCCTACCCAAAATTATTCCGTAAGATAGTGGATGGAGTATGAGTGAAACTCAGAATCTAATAGTCACATGGCTAAGCCATTTTACCCGTGTGCCATTGAAAGAAAGTCATCCAAAAAGAGATTACTATAATGTGGGATGTAACTCTTATTTGCTCTTCTCACTGAAGAATTCTGTCTACTAATGCAGCAGCCAGTCAAATTGGTTCTTAAATTGTCTTCCCTTGAGCAAGAGTTGGGAAAGGGAAGGAAAAGGTGGAGCATGAATGGCAGTATTTCTCTAACTTTGATGTGAAAATGGTAATCTTGCTAAAATGCAAATTCTGATATGGTCCTTCTGGGGTGGGACCAGATGTTCTGGATTTCTGCCAAGGGCCCAGTTGATGATGCAGTTCTCCAGACTACATGTTGAGTAGCAAGAGCATAGCGTAGAAGAGCTCCCCCTACAGGCCTGCAATGATGCGTTTTGGAAATAAAAAAGCTATTGTACCGGGGCCATGTAATCAACCGCACACAAACAGAATGGGGGTGGGGGCGGGGCGGGGCGGGGCGGGGGCGGGGGGAAGAAAAGGTTAGGGGAAGTACAAGTGAAGAAACATGTAATGCATTTCAATTTACTGTACCAAAATAAGTGAGAGGAGAGATTTGGGCACATGAAACCTGGAGCAATGTATTTAGTTCTGGCTAATAAACCTGAGTGCAAATGTTTCATTTCTAACCATAAGGTTCTAATAATTATAATGGTTATGACAGGCATCATGTTTATCACATATTCTAAACAGAAGAACATAACAACTTACTAGAAACTTTTGATTATGTGTACATAAGTAACCTACTTTGTGAATGATCCTCCAGAGATATGTTTATCCTGCACTATGCTTTGGGTTGCTTTGTCTCACCATCACATCAGTTTGTGTGTGTCCTGAGATCATGAATTTGTTTTAAAATCATCTAAAGAAAACCTCAAAGTCTGTTATTTTATTTTATTTTAGATTTGGTGGTGGGGGGGGGCGGTACATGTGCATGTTTGTTCCATTAATATATTGCGTAATGGTGGGGATTAGGTTTCTAGTGTACAAACCTTGAAGTCTTTATGTGTGTATATGTATCTGTTAGGAAAGATATAAATGAGTAATTTTATGCTGTTTAGTAATTCCTGAGCCATCAACCAAGGCCTTAAGATCTGTCTGTGCTGGATTGAATCAGCAGATATATGTTTGATTTATTTAAAATTCTTGAATAAATTTAACTCAACTCTAGAAAAATAATTCTGTCCCTAAGAATGAAAATTCTCAAAGCTGCTGTTGTGACAAGTTAGATCATTTTGAAAATGAGGGATTGAATAGGTAAAGAAGCCATATTTCAGAGATACGCCCAAATTTGACAGTTCACCTGTATCAGGCTGTCATTCAAGACGTTAACTGAGAAAAGCAATTAACACTTCACCTGTATGGGCTAACGTGTTTATTCATTAATAAGGTTAAAAACCCATTTTGTGTTTTATGGAAGATTTATGCAAATAACAGACAGCAATTAAGATGCTTCTTGCCCAGATGTCACTATCAATTATGAGACAGATTCCTATAGATTGAAGATGAGCATGGAGTTGACTTACAGGGAACCTGAGCAACATAATCAAGTGTAAATATGATAGAACAGTGCTAGTTTGGGAATGTAAGCAAACAAAAAAAGTAAAACAGAAAAGAAACCTAAACTCTGATCTGTGTGAAAGGTCTGCAGAAAACGACTTAACACTTTGAGATAAGGTAAAGCATGTCAGAATGAGCTGGGGGGGAGAAGAGCTAGAGAAGCAGGCAGGCAAGCCAGAAGGCGGACAGCAGGAACCTCCAGGTGAATGTGAATGAGGCCTGGGTAAAGAGAGACATCGAGAAGCAGTGGAACGGAACCACTGAAGTGCAAAGATAGGAAAGGAAAATGTGTCAAGGAATGCTTCAGGTACCCATGGCACAAGTGATTTCAAGAACTCTTGAATCAGAGTAGATAAGTCCCTGTTGCTACAAGCACAGCTTACGGAAAAGCTGGAGATGGTTATCTGACAACTGCCTGGAGTGCCCAAGGAGACAGAGAGGAGCACTTGAAGAAGGAGGTCCTACAACCATGCTGGGTCCAAGTGGTGTCTGAGATTGAAAACAAACAAAAAAACACTTAACAAAGCTAGGATTTTGTTTTCTTTTCAATGTTCAAAAACACTTGGATGAAAAAACACAACCATGTCTGCCTCCATTTTCCAGGAAGGTCATTTATTCACAGAAATGTTTTTTTTCTCATTTGCTTGCTTGCTTGCTTGCTTGCTTGCTTCCTTCCTTTCTTTCTTTCTTTCTTTCTTTCTTTCTTTCTTTCTTTCTTTCTTTCCTTTCTTTCCTTTCTTTCCTTTCTTTCTTCCTCCCTCCTGCCCTGCCCTGCCCTGCCCTGCCCTGCCCTTCTTTTTTTTTTTTTGGAGATGGAGTCTCGCTCTGTTGCCCAGGCTGGAGTGCAATGACATGATCTCGGCTCACTGCAACCTCTGCCTCCCAGGTTCAAGTGATTCTCCTCTCTCAGTCTCCCGAGTAGCTGGGATTACAGGCGCACACCGCCCGCCACGTCTGGCTAATTTTTTGTACTTTAGTAGAAACTGTGTTTCACCGTGTTGCCCAGGCTGGTCTCGAACTCCTGAGCTCAGGCAATCCACCTGCCTTGGCCTCCCAAAGTGCTAGGATTACAGGCGTGAGCCACCGCACCCAGCCATTTTTCTCATTTTCACTTCAAGTTGACAATGTTCCTGACTCTTTGCATAGGTATTTCTATTTTTATATTAACGTGTCTGGATATCCATCGAGTTTTCCATTGCAGGGGACTAGAAAATGATTTTGTGAGTTTCCAGATTTGATGTTGTTTTACTTCTTCTGGGAAATACCAAAGGTTATTGATGTAGTTCGGATATTTGTCCCCCACCCAAATCTCATGTTGAACTGTAACCTCCAGTGTTGATGGTGGGGCCTGGTGGGAGGTATTTGGATCATGGGGGTGGGTCCCTCATGAATGGCTTAGGCCAACCCCTTGGCGATAAGTGAGCTCTTACTGTGAGTTCACATATGATCTGGTCATTTAAAAGTGTGGGGCACCTCCCCACCACTCCACTTTCTTTCGCTTGTTCCTGCTTTCAACATGTGAGGTGCCTGCTCCCCCTTTGCTTTCTGCTATTATAAGCTGCCTGAGAATTCACCAGAAGCCAGGCAGATGCCAGCACTATGCTTTCTGTAAACCATGCAGAACTGGGAGCCAAATAAACCTCTTTTCTTTATAAATTACCCAGTCTCAGGTATCTCTTTATAGCAATTCAAGAACAGACTAACACAGTTAAATTCAAGCTCATGAAATAAAACTCATAAGCACAGTTTAGTTATTTTCATATCTCTGATTTTCAGCTCAGATATACATTAGAAACACCTGGGGAGCGTTTTGCTGATGCTGTGGTCCCCTTCCTGAAAAATTTTTATTTTGTTTCTCTGGGGCAGTGCCAGGATTTTAGCACATTTGAAAAACTCTTAAAATGATTGTAGTGCGCAGCCAGAGTCAAGAAAGGCGGGTTTAGGTATGGTGGGAACAAAGTCAAATAATACTGTAATACATTATTTGTAATGAAAAGAAAGATTAAAATTTTAGACATAAAGTATTTAGATCATGCCAGTATGGGTGACATCAATTTTAAAGTTCAAAAAAAATGGTAACAATTGCAAGAAGTTCTGGTGCTTAGAGTGGGTGCTCATTAAGAGTAGCCAAGGACTTAACTATTTTTTGTAGGTCTTGCTTTATGATAATTTTTTAAAGATTCATCTTTTTAATATGACCAGTTAACTAACGAAAAGGAAACTATGATTTTCTCTTGATAGTTAGCATATTTCATTAGCTACAGATGAGATGATTCTTTCCTATCTAATAAAGTGTATTTTCCATCAACGTGAAGTGTGATTTTATTAGGCTGGTCATACAGACCTTCTTTAATTCTCAAAAGCACTGTACCAGTAATTTACATAATTTGCCACAAGGTGGATGTGGATACCTGGATTATGACCTCATCATATGAATCAGGGGCCAATAAACTATTTCTGTAAAGAGTAATGCAGTAAATATTTTTGACTTTGTAGGCCATATAGTCTCTGTTGCAACTACTCAATTCTGCCATTGCAGCCATAGACAATATGTAAACAAATTGGTGTGGCTGTGTTCCAATAACACTTTATTTACAAGAGCAGGTAGTGGGCTACCTTTGGCCTAGGAGCCAAAGTTTGTCATCTCCTAGTATAAATAGGAAAACTATTTTTTATTGGTGTGCTAAATGCAAATATCAACCATTCTTTTTCTTTCAAAAATGTAACTTTCTATTAAAATATAAATAGGAGGCTTAAATATTACAATACAATAATAGACCAAAATTAAAGAAATATGAGACCCTAGAAGCAACTTTTCCCATTAACCTTTAACCACTTTAATTGCTGCTTAGTTTAGCTCCTATTCTCTTTTCAGACTAAAGTAGAAATCTATTTTTTTTTCAGTTACCCTAAAACATTTTAAAAGCCAGAAGCCCATTTGTTATACAAATACAGGCAACAATGGTTTTCAGATCTTAGTTTGGGGCTTTAGAATTCTTGGCCTTTACTTCCTTCTGTTTTCCCACCTTTAACTGCCTGTCTGTAGTTATCACAGAGAAGATATTACATTATCGTATACCTCTCAGTTGCTTTTGCTTTTGGATCACTTTCCTTGAGTCCCATTTATTTTTCCTGCCCTATGGCAAAACCATCTGTAAATACATATATACAACGCGATATATATGTGTGTATATATATATATGTCGCGTTGTGGGACCATGACCTGAGTTTTCATAAAAATCTTATAACCCTTTTCCAACCAAAGTTTTCCCTGGAACCCAACTTCAGAAGGTACCTGAACAAAAGGCCCAGTGCCTTCTTCACCCGAGATTCCTTATCATGGCAGTAGGGGGTGGATTAAAGAAACTGCAGGCAGATTTGACTGGGGGAGTTTATGAATATGTATAAAAGGTCTGTGTTTAATTCTGTGAGTGGAGGTCATAGAGGTGAAAGGGTGGCAGTCCTCATGGGGAAGAACCCATGCTAAAATGGTGTATCAGCTAGGGAATAGGGCTCATGCCAGGACAAGTCTACATGAAAAGGGCCTGAGAGAGTGCCCCTATCCCTTGTTTCCTAGGGTAGCAGGCATGAAGTAACACGTAAACGTTTTCTTCAGCCTTCATTCCAAAGGGCATGGTTGTAACACAGAGAAAAGGAGCCAGCCCAGGACAGCAACAGACATCTGTACAGACACAGCCCGGTTAAAGGCCAGTGCCCAAGTTCAGAGGAAATGAGCAAAAGACAATGGACAACGGAAAGTACCTGCAGACAAAATGCCCACATCACTTAATACCTGAGAGCCATGTAACTCTCCCAGCTCTATTTCCAGAAGCTAGCTGCCACTTCAGAGAGTGAGGGCAGAAGGAGCAAAACTCTAAATTGGCTTTAAAATATTGAAGTACCTCAGTTATTCTGAATGTCTAATATTACATTTTTGCCACTAGCTGTAATAGAGTTTCAGGGTAAAAAATAACTTTAATTTTAGTAAATTATATGAGAATGTCACAATTTGCACACTTCTAACTCTAAAGTTTGCTCCTGCTGCCTATGTCTGGGGAGATTGGATGGACCAGTGCTGGAAGGATCACTGTTCAAAATAAAGTGAATCTACTCATACATCATTGTGATATGTGTATAGGCCAGCATGGGGATTCTGGCCTGAACACAACCATTCTCTACTACTTTGCTGCTCTCATCCTTTCTAGAAGGATTCCTTGGTATATCTCATGTAGTGAAAAAGGCTTTGGTACAACCTTCATCATCCAAGAAATTTGGCAAGAATTATAGAGACAGGCATATGTGGGTCTGCAAAGCTGAAAAGAAGTGTCTCAGAAAGGAAAACGCTTAAGCAGTGACAAATCCTGATAAGGCTGCCTTGCCTGCAGACAGTGGTGCAGACCTGGCTTCCACTAAAGTGATTCTCGATCACCCTAATCCTAAATCAGGAGCCACAAAACAACTCAGGCACCACATTCCTAAATCAGTCACACTCCTTGGAAAAGCTTCAAGGACCACTTCTTGGAAAACCTGCCAACAACCAGCTCAACACTTACACACAGCCTAAGGAATTGGCCTAGACAATGCCAGACAATCAGAGGGTCTAGTGGGCTTTGCTTTCCCAATATGGGCCACAGAGACTGCAGTTTTCAGCTTTAAGAAAACCTATCCAGAATTTCTGCAAACAGGGACAATTTGACTTCCTCTTTTCCTAATTGAATACCCTTTATTTCCTTCTCCTGCCTAATTGCCCTGGCCAGAACTTCCAACACTATGTTGAATAGGAGTGGTGAGAGAGGGCATCCCTGTCTTGTGCCAGTTTTCAAAGGGAATGCTTCCAGTTTTTGCCCATTCAGTATGATATTGGCTGTGGGTTTGTCATAGATAGCTCTTATTATTTTGAAATACGTCCCATCAATACCTAATTTATTGAGAGTTTTCAGCATGAAGGGTTGTTGAATTTTGTCAAAGGCCTTTTCTGCATCTATTGAGATAATCATGTGGTTTTTGTCTTTGGTTCTGTTTATATGCTGGATTACATTTATTGATTTGCATATGTTGAACCAGCCTTGCATCCCAGGGATGAAGCCCACTTGATCACGGTGGATAAACTTTTTGATGTGCTGCTGGATTCAGTTTGCCAGTATTTTATTGAGGATTTTTGCATCAATGTTCATCAAGGGTATTGGTCTAAAATTCTCTTCTTTGGTTGTGTCTCTGCCCGGCTTTGGTATCAGGATGATGCTGACCTCATATAATGAGTTAGGGAGGATTCCCTCTTTTTCTATTGATTGGAATAGTTTCAGAAGGAATGGTACCAGTTCCTCCTTGTACCTCTGGTAGAATTCAGCTGTGAATCCATCTGGTCCTGGACTCTTTTTGGTTGGTAAGCTATTGATTATTGCCACAATTTCAGATCCTGTTATTGGTCTATTCAGAGATTCAACTTCTTCCTGGTTTAGTCTTGGGAGAGTGTATGTGTCGAGGAATTTATCCATTTCTTCTAGATTTTCTAGTTTATTTGCATAGAGGTGTTTGTAGTATTCTCTGATGGTAGTTTGTATTTCTGTGGGATCGGTGGTGATATCCCGTTTATCATTTTTTATTCCGTCTATTTGATTCGTCTCTCTTTTCTTCTTTATTAGTCTTGCTAGTGGTCTATCAATTTTGTTGATCCTTTCAAAAAACCAGCTCCTGGATTCATTAATTTTTTGAAGGGTTTTTTGTGTCTCTATTTCCTTCAGTTCTGCTCTGATTTTAGTTATTTCTTGCCTTCTGCTAGCTTTTGAATGTGTTTGCTCTTGCTTTTCTAGTTCTTTTAATTGTGATGTTAGGGTGTCAATTTTAGATCTATCCTGCTTTCTCTTGTGGGCATTTAGTGCTATAAATTTCCCTCTACACACTGCTTTGAATGTGTCCCAGAGATTCTGGTATGTTGTGTCTTTGTTCTCGTTGGTTTCAAAGAACATCTTTATTTCTGCCTTCATTTCGTTATGTACCCAGTAGTCATTCAGGAGCAGGTTGTTCAGTTTCCATGTAGTGAGTGGTTTTGAGTGAGTTTCTTAATCCTGAGTTCTAGTTTGATTGCACTGTGGTCTGAGAGATAGTTTGTTATAATTTCTGTTTTTTTACATTTGCTGAGGAGAGCTTTACTTCCAAGTATGTGGTCAATTTTGGAATAGGTGTGGTGTGGTGCTGAAAAAAATGTATATTCTGTTGATGTGGGGTGGAGAGTTCTGTAGATGTCTATTAGGTCCGCTTGGTACAGAGCTGAGTTCAATTCCTGGGTATCCTTGTTGACTTTCTGTCTCGCTGATCTGTCTAATATTGACAGTGGGGTGTTAAAGTCTCCCATTATTAATGTGTGGGAGTCTAAGTCTCTTTGTAGGTCACTCAGGACTTGCTTTATGAATCTGGGTGCTCCTGTATTGGATGCATATATATTTAGGATAGTTAGCTCTTCTTGTTGAATTGATCCCTTTACCATTATGTAATGGCCTTCTTTGTCTCTTTTGATCTTTGTTGGTTTAAAGTCTGTTTTATCAGAGACTAGGATTGCAACCCCTGCCTTTTTTTGTTTTCCATTTGCTTGGTAGATCTTCCTCCATCCTTTTATTTTGAGCCTATGTGTGTCTCTGCACGTGAGATGGGTTTCCTGAATACAGCATACTGATGGGTCTTGACTCTTTATCCAATTTGCCAGTCTGTGTCTTTTAATTGGAGCATTTAGTCCATTTACATTTAAAGTTAATATTGTCCTCCAAGCCTCTTGCCCCAGAACATAAACTCTGTGCCGAATCAGCTTCCCTGCTGGGCAGGAAAGCTTTCATTCAGGATTCAGTCTTTACTCCCAGAGTCTTTACTTTCTTTTGAACAATTCTTTTGGTTACCACTGTACTATTATCTACACAATATATTTGTTTTGATTTTATAAAATTTAACAAGAAGATATTTTATTCTCTTTGGTTGTATATTACAAATGATATGAGTGTCACCATTATTAAAAGTGCAGAGAGATCACCTTAGGAAGTATGTTGTCAGTATGAAGTTTTAAAAGGTTTTAAACTGCATCGTTGTTTGTAATTATAATTCTTAACCAAGTATGTCCTTTCCCCAAGCTTTTATGCTTACATCGATCTTTTTATTGATAAATAATATTTTATATATTTATGGGGTACATGTGATCTTTTGTTATATTCATAGAATGTGTAATGATCAAGTCACGGCATTAAGAGCGTCCATCACTTTGAGTATTTATCATTTCTATGGGTTAGAAAGAGTTCAAGTAATCTCTCTAGATACTTTTAAATATATAACACATTGTTGTTAACTAAAGTCACTCTACTCTGCTATGAAATGGTATGATTTATACCTTGTAGCTAACTATATGTTTGTACCCTATAACCAAACTTGTTATTCCACCTTCCCACCCACCCTTCTAGTCTCTAGTATCTGTCATTCTACTCTTTACCTTTACGAGAGCAACTTCTTAATCTCCCCATATGAGTAAGAACATGGGATATTTGTCTTTCTGTGTCTGGCTTATTTTATTTAATGACCTCCAGTTCTGTTCATGTTGCTGCAAATAACATGATTTTGTTCTTTTTTATGGCCAAATAGTATTCCACTGTGTATAAGTACCACATTTTAAAAATTCATTCATCCCTTGATAGACACTTAGGTTGATTTGATATCTTTACTATTATGAATAGTGCTATGATAAATATGCGAGTGAAGGTATCTCTTTGATATGTTGGTTTCTTTTCATTTGGATAAATACCCAGCAGTATGACAGCTGGATCGTATGGTAGGTCTATTTTCAAATTTTTGAGAAATCTCCATACTGTTGTCCATAATGGCTGCGCTAATTTGCATTCCCACCAATGCTGTATAAGCATTCCATTTTCTCTGCATTCTCACCAGCATCTGTTATCTTTTGTCTTTTTAATAGTAGCTATTCTAACTTGGTTGAGATGATATCTCATTGTGGCTTTAATTTCCGTTTCCCTGATGATTAGTGATGCTGAGTATTTTTTCATATACCTGTTAGCCATCTTTTGGGAAACGTCTGTGCATATCTTCTGTTCACTTTTTAATGGAATTATTTGGTTTTATGTTGTTGTTTGAATTCCTTTTATATTCTGCATATTAGTCTCTTATCAAGTGAACAGTTTGTATATATTTTCTCCCACTCAACAGGTTGTCTCTTCACTCTTTTGATTGTTTCTTTTGCTGTAAAGAAGCTTATTAGTTTAATATAGTCCTATTTGTCTATTTTTATCTTTGTTTCCTGTGCTTTTGTGGTCTTAGCCACAAAATGTTAACCTAGACCAAAGTCCTGAAGTGTTTCCTCTATGTTTTCTTCTAGTTTTATACTTTCAGGTCTTATGTTTAAGTCTTTAATCCATCTTGAGTTATTTTTCATATAAAGAGATAAGGTTCCAGTTTCATTCTTCTGCATAAGGATATCCAATTTTCCCAGCACCATTTATTGAAGACGGTATCCTTTCTTCATTGAATATGCTTGATGCCTTTGTCAAATATCAGTTGGCTGTAAGTATGTGGATTTCTTTCTGGATTCTTTGTTCTGTTCCATTGGTCTATGTGTCTGTTAACACCATGCTGTTTTGGTTATTGTAGCGCTGTAATATAGTTTTAAGTCAGGTAGTATGATGCCTTCAGCTTTGTTCTTTCAGCTCAGGATTGTTTAGCTATTTGAGCTCTTTTTGTTGTTGTTGTTTGTTTCATACGAATTCTAGGAGGTCTTTCACTTCCTTGGTTGTATTTATTCCTAGGTATTTTATTTTTTGTAGCTATTGTAAATGGATTTCTTTCTCAGCTATTTCATTGTTGGTATATAGAAATGCAACAGATTTTTATATGCTGATTTTGTATCCTGCAACTTTACTGAATTTATTTAGCAGTTCTAAGAGTCTTTTGCTGGGGTCTTCAGGGTTTTCTAGATATAAGATCGCATCATTTACAAAGAGTGACCATATATAATCTATTTTTAATGGACACTTTTTAAATACATAGCCTCATCCTAGTAAATATGTATTGTCACAGTTTTGACATGTTCGTTTTATTTTTCTAGTATCCCTTAAAATAAATACCAAGCAATTTAAAGTGTTTGTTCATGCATTAACTGGAATAATCACACACTGGGAAACATAAAATTATGGCACAAGTTGTAGTTTAGGGTATATTGAGGTAGAAAACTGATGCCTACCTCTAGTCCCTACCACTTTTGGCTTTACCTTTATTTCCCTATTTTTCAATTCACAAAGATATAAACCTTAAAAGGGAAAACCGTGTGGAGTATCTAGATATGAGACCAGGCTAACCCTTCGGTTATGAAAATTTTCACATTTTCCACTGTGATGGTTAATTTTGTTTGTCAACTTGGCTGGCCCATGGTGCCCAGATATGTGGTCAAACATTATTTGAGATGTTCTTTGAGGGTGTTTTGAGATGAAATTAAATCATTTAATATATTTAAATCATTTAACTTTGGGGAAAGCAGATTGCCCTTCGCAATGTAGGTGGGCCTCATCCAATCAGTTAAAGGTGTGAGTAGAACAAAAGACTACCCTCTGTGGAGCAAGAGATTACAAAGCAGCTTTCAGACTTGAACTGCAACATTAGCTCCTTCTGGGTCTCCAGTCTGGCAGCCTCTTCCATCAGATTCTTGACTCACTAAGCCTTCACAATTGCAAGAGCCAATTCCTTAGAATAAATCTTTAATATATATATATACACACACACACACATCCTCTTGGTTCTGTTTCTCTGTAGAATCCTAATACAGCTTACTTATGTGGAAAAGTTTATTCATTTTACATTATAGCAATCAGTTACCGAACAAACATTGCTTGGGGAACTACTTGTGCTTTGGATGATACCAAAAAGTCCATAAAATATAATATAGCTCCTGTCCTCAAGGGGTTGACAATCTGTTTGAGGGAACAGTATGCATGCAGTAAGATCGCCACTAACCCCAAACAGCAGAACTTGTGTCAATATGTCGCCATGGAACACAGAAGCTGTATTCAATTAAGAAGGAGAGTATCCCCCGGCTTGGTGGGGTTAAGGCTGTGGTTCTCTCAATGTGGTCACTAGACCCAGCATCATCAGCATCACCTGAGAATTCATTGCAAATGAAAATTCTCTGGCCTCACTTTCAATCTACTGATTCTGAAACTCTGGGGTGGAGCCAGCAATTTATGGTTTAACAAGCCCTCCAGGTGATTCTGATGCAGGCTGAAATGAGAACCGTTGGGTTTGAGAAAACCTCATGGAGGAGGCGACATTTTAACCAGGCCCTGAAGGCTGAGAAACATTCAGGGAAGGAGTAGAGAGGGAAGACAGTTCGGCTTGGAAAAACGTCTGGAAGAGACACGTGAGTAAAAGAAGCGTGTATAAATATTGGTCAAGATACAGGACAGTGACAAACGTGAGTCGAATGGTTTGAAAAGGAGCGTACAGTTAAAATTGGCTAGTTTGCAGGTAGATACATTCAGAATGGAGGGAGCTTTTTTGGACTTTCTGCTTAAGGGGACCAGACTGAGTTTCAAAGATAAAACATGACCTGTATTTTGTTTTCTTAGAAAAGTTTGCCTTCATCTTCCCGTCTAGTGCAGTGTTTCTTAAAGTGCAAGCCAAGGCCGGGCGCGGTGGCTCACGCCTGTAATCCCAGCACTTTGGGAGGCCGAGGCGGGCGGATCACGAGGTCAGGAGATCGAGACCATCCTGGCTAACACGGTGAAACCCCGTCTCTACTAAAAATACAAAAAATTAGCCGGGCGTGGTAGCGGGCGCCTGTAGTCCCAGCTACTCGGGAGGCTGAGGCAGGAGAATGGCGTGAACCCGGGAGGCGGAGCTTGCAGTGAGCCGAGATCGCGCCACTGCACTCCAGCCTGGGCGACAGAGCGAGACTCCGTCTCAAAAAAAAAAAAAAAAAAAAAAAGTGCAAGCCAAAGGCTCCCAGCATCTGAATCACTGGGAGTCTGCCTAAATAAGCAGATCACCTGGCCCCACCTTAACTCTGTCTACCAAATCAGAGCATCTGAGATATGGGTGATAAAATGACATTTTACAAAAGAGTACTCCAAGTAATCCTTATGACTCAGTTGAATACTGCCCCAGGGGTCCCCAAACTACTGTCTGCTGCCTATTTTATCTTGTCTCTGCAAGATAAGAATGTTCTTTACATTTTTAAAGGATTGAAAAAAATAGGACTCTTTTGTGACATGTGAAAGTTTTATGGTATCCAAATTATAGTGTCCGTAAATAAAGTTTCATTGGAACAGAGCCACAGCCATTCATTTTTGGCTATGGCTGCCTTCATGCTGCAGCAGCGGCAGAGTTGAATAATTGCAGCAGAAACCTTATGGTCTATAAAGCCTTAAGTATTTACTACCTAGCCTTTCATAGAAAAGGTTTGCTTTTCCCAGCCCTAGGTGAGCCACAAGATCTGTGTGATTTTAGATTCCTGATCTGCTCGTGCTGATAATGGGGATGGGTACAAATGCCCCCTTGGAGCTAAGAGAAGGTGACAATCCTAGAGCTTCCTTGGCGTCCAGATAGCAGACACTTAGAGTCTCTTGATGCCAAGAAATCTCAGGAAGACGCTTGGAGGGGCCCTGTGCAGATGAACATCTCCAGATTAGGAGTCTTACATTGGGAGGAACAAGCTGTTTTATCTCCTAGTGACAGGTCTGGTTATTATGGTGATGGGAGAGGGCTAAATTGGGAGACATTGAGAAATACTATAATGGAAGGCATTTTTCCTGTAAGTTATGAATGTGATCTGGACAGAGATGCCTTCGAATCGGACAAGTTCACGATTAGGTAGGCTGCATGACGTCAGTAAAATTTTCTAGGATTCTGTGAACCAAGCCTGTCTTTGAATTTTTTACATTAACCCTAGAGCAACAATATGTATGGCTGCTGATAAAGGAGCTCTAGATCAAGAAATAGGTAAAAGGAAAATTCTGGAAGGATTTAAATTCTGCAGTAAGAGGTCTTTTTATTATGTGACCAGGAAAAATGCAGATGGTTTAGGGTTGGACAAAGTCCATTTCAGAGTCTCTCTCACTCATACACACACACACACTGAGTGAGAGAGGACACAAGCAGACAAGAACACTGGAGTTCAGCTCAGACCCACAGATGCTAGGATGGTGGCTAAGATACCAGTGTTATATACAAAACTGTTACCTCATTCAACCCAGGCCATAGAGTAGATGGGGGCTCTGTAGTCTGTAATGGAGTGAGCAGAAAAACCTCTCTTGACAGGCACAGTGAGTCTCAGCTTTAAATTTTGTGGCATAGCTGTGAACTCCCCAGAGAAAAAGGCAGCCAATGAAACTGCCCCGCAAAGAGCAATTAGGATTTCTGAGACAGAACTCAGAGCTTCCTCTGAGGCAAAGAGACCTAAGCACAAACAGCACCAAATACCATAAGCTGTCTGCACAGAAGCAAAGCAAAGGTATTCTTTTCATGTGTCAGGGTGGGGCTCTCAGGCCTGTATTGGCCTTTCACCATCGTGATCAGAAACACGAGTTGCTGATGTAAAGGTCAGCAGCGTGCATTGCTTGTTTCTACCCTGGTGAGGAGAGTTTTCCCCGACCGAAGAATCTAATTGGTTGCTGATGACTCACAGATGCTGAAGTCCACAGGCAGAAGCACTTGATTGGCTGTCACTCTGTTTCAGCATTCCCGGCCTTGCAGGTCTGTAATGAATGGTACAGAGGGAGCAAAAGCTATCATTTGGGTCAATTAATATGATGAGAAGGGGTAGAGGGAGCTATCTTCTCCCACACACCTAACCTAATAGCTATTTCTGCTGCTTCGTTTAGTCATTGCTGCGTTAGAGGATGCCTTTAAGAAAAGTAGTTCAGTAGATAGGAAACTTTTGAATGCTACGTAAATGTCAACTGTTTTTATTGTTGTTTTTCCTCTGCTTACATCAGTGAGGTGAGGGTTACAAGCAGCGGGACAAATACAGAAACAGTCGTGACGAAAAGCTCAAGGATGACTCTGGCGGACAGAAAGGCTGGGGGATACGAAATAGAGCCTCTGGGACCCAGTTCTAATCTTAGCCTGGTTTTGACGCTTGTCTCAGAAACCTGCAAGAGACATCTACAAGATAGATTTTCTTTCTTTTTCTCTCTAATCTCAGTGCTGTTAATTTCCACAGGACTTTGAAGCTGGGGCTCTCAGATCACACAATGGAATCTTTCATACATACACTGCGTTTCAAATGCTTAATTGCTAGATCATAAGAAAATTTGTGTGTAGGGCTCAACATGCAATATTTTGTATTCATGGCAACATGCAAGTAAATGCTATTATCCATATATGATGAAGAGACTGAAAATCAGAATGGCTAGGAAAGTTGCACAAAGTTTTTGGGAAGGTGGGAAAACCCATGGGGACCCCAGCACCTGCCTACTGATAGTGGAAAAACAAGAAAGCGATAATTCCGCATGGTCAGAGAGCCTAGCACTCAGGGTTCTGATTTATGGACCCTTGAATCTGGACTTCTTTACTAAACACTTATGGAGCCTTCTGTGTGTCACATCTTGTATGTGCTGGAGTATAAAAATAATCGAGAAGTGGATTTTAGTTTCAATTTGCTCACAGTCCAGTGAGGGAAGGGACTCATATGTTAGGGCAAAGAGACGGCTTTTCCCAGGGTGACATGAGAGCATAGAGGAAGAGCAGCTTACCAGCTGTGGAGGTTAAAATGTTCAAACCTCTTAATCGTTGTGGATCCCAACTTTACGATCTTGATTTAACTTTGGCCTAGGCAGAGATCGTTGACATGGTGTCCATGGATAGTTATCAGGAATTCTTTGAAGCTCCTGAAAATGTCTATACATTTTGATCCATATGTGCATTTTAGATAAGAAAAGGACCATGTTCATACTGATGAAGACTCTAAGAGTTCTTCCACTTCTGACAACCTAGATATTTGTCTAAGTATCAAGCCAGGAGAGATAGAAATGAAATAATACTGTATTAATAACTCTGCCTAGAAAATATACAAAAGTGGTATATAGTTGAAATGACAATTTTTAACCAACTAGATATCCTTTTAGAAGACTTCAAATCAAAAGTCTCACTGTTACTGAGAGATCATTAAAACCAGAGTTTCTACAGAGAGGTTATGCCATTGAGAAGTTTTGCTGTAGAACTTCCAAAAAACAAAACAAACAACAAAAAAACTGAAGGGCATACCTGGGACTTCAGAATCACTTTATTTTCTGCAAAAGATATTAAAGGCTTTTATTTACTTTGGAGAGAGAGTTAACCCTATGGAACTATTAGGGGCCAATAAGCCATTGAATCCAGATGAATTACCTCTGTAAAAGTTAAAGAAGGTACTGAGGGAGGTTAAAGAGCATCTGGCTGAGAATCCTTTTATAACTCATAATCCCAGCCAGTCCAATTCTCGTTCCGGCAGTCTTCCAGGTCTCACAGCTGGAGCCTCCTAACCATGACCTACAGGCTCAGCCAAGCCTGGGCACTTGGAGGCTGGAAACAAAATGTTCTTAAGTTGGGAACAAATTAAGGTTCCTGGATCATGAGTTTGGGAGCTCCATGTTTTTTCAACTTTGTGTCCCGCTCTGACCTTGGACCAAAGTTCTGCAGTTGTAGCTTCGGGTTGCTCTTTAGTGATTTTAGGTTTTGCCATTTGATGTGTAGGGCTCTGCTTCGCTTCCAGATAATTATCTAGCAGAATTCTAGAGTCCCTTGTTGATTCACCACTTTTGTTCTTGAGATTAGGGTCTGTATGAGAGGCGCACTCAATCATTGCTCTATCTGCATTCACTGCTGTAAGACCACAGGCTATCAAACAGCCTTCCTAAACTAGCCTCTCTTTCTTCTTCCTCATTTTGACTCCAGGCTCTTCTAACCTCACAACTTGACTGCTCTTGGCTGTACGGTGATTTGTTTATTTAGTACCTTGGCCTTGGTCATGTCCTGTGTAGCCCCTCCCTATGATGCCTGATTGTTCTGCCCCAAAGAAGGCCAGATGTGGTGTCTGGGCTGTTAAACAGGGAACACAGTACAATGCCAAATTGTGTATTATAAAACAATGCATTATGAGAAAAGACAAGAATTTGCTATATTAACAAAAGATCAAAAGCAAATTTAGGAAGTTTAGAGATCAGAAGATCCATTTTAAACCATGAAGTGATGTGGAAGAGTGTTTAGGGAAAGGATTATGTAGCATTAGAAATGCATAATGGTTAACAAATCATTACTGATTTATAAAAAGTCTCACCTTGATAAGCATGTGTTATTTTAATAAGTGCTACTCTAGAAGGAAGATAAAAGCAAATTAAGGGACCCCATTTATTTCCTCTAAAAGCCTAATGCCATTCCACCGAAAAGATTAATATGTGATGACAATCATATACACATTTACATGGTATTAAATAAATGGCTTGAGAGCTATTATAGGGTTGAAAACCAAGAATGATGGACAGAAATCACTGTCAAATGATGCAAGCTGAGGACTTGGATGCTGAAAAGACTACTATTTGTTGGCAACTATTCATCTATTGGCTGGATAATAATAGAATATGTAACATTCTGAGTAGCTAAATATTTGCAGTTGGGAGGTGGGAGAGAGTGACTTGTGCCTGGAGTTCAATAAAAGCAATATTTGAAAGCTGACATCCTCTATTTAATCTCTTAAGAATGAAAACTAGAAGGAAGCATAGGCCCTCTGCAAGAGTGTGTTTTACTGGGATTAGTAAAGAGGGATGGATTTGCTTCCAAGAATTAATAGCATTCATTAAATAAAGGGCATATGAGACAGTATTAAATATTCAGAAGCAGACTGGGAGAATAAAAAAAATCAGATTCCGGAACGAAATCCACCATTAACCAGCTATGTGGTGCTGGATTACCTCATGCCTCAGTTCCCCTATGTGTAGAAAAAGGTGATTGGTCACTAAGCTCTATAAGAACCTCCTGCCTCTAAGACTTGTTTTGATGGAGTGCCCGTGGCATGCATGTGAATAATATTTAGTGACTCGTGCTCATCCCTGGGTTGCTGTTTCCCCCAACACCAGCACAAATTTCAATATTTATTGCCTGGTCTTCCCTCATCTCAATTCTGCACCTGTTTCCCCCATTTCAGTAACTACAATGTCACTGTGCCACCTCTGCTTTGTGTCTACTGGAAAAATAATTTACACTGAGGAGCTATTGGACAGATGAGTCACCCTTCCCACACGCATTGATTTTTCCAAAGAAGATCAGGAGGAAAGCAATGCATAACACCAAGAAGTGAGTGGTTAGTGCAAAGAATTCAGGCATCAGAGAGGAGGAGGAGGAGATATTTTTGAGAGCGAACCTTCCAGAAGACCATTCCACTACTGTAAATTCCCTTGCCCATCTTTCTTCTGCCTTCTATCCCAGAGCCTGAATCCTAGTACCTCCACTCGTTCAGCAGTGATCAATATTAACATAGACGTAATAATGTAAACAGCATTTTTATTTAAATAACAGAGGATGGGGATATGCAGAGGGCTATAAGTGAGTTCAAGCTTTACTATATTTAAAAAGTCATAGATTAAATTTGGTAAATACAAAGTAGCAGCATTCATAAATTAACAGATATTTGTTAAGTACTTGTCATGGACCTGGCATTATTCCAGTCACCAGTGCTACAATTGAATGATGCAGACAAAAATTCCTGCCCCCATAAAACTTACACATGGGTAGAGGAAAGAGATTAATCAAGAGAAATACATAAAATACAGGGTGTATTATATAGTAATAAGTGAAAGAAATAAGCCTTGCCACAATGAGTGCCAGATGCCACTTAAGAAAGTTCATTGAGATGGCGACTTGTGGGGAAAGACTTTGAGAAAGTAAGGGAGTGAGTCTTGCATATAGTACCCGGAAGAGCATTCCAGGCACAGGAAGCAGTTCGTGCAAAGGCTTCCTGGTGTGTTGAGGAAAGCGGCCTGCCAGATATGTTTGATGAACACATGCCTCCTTTGTTTGTGGAACAGCAAAGAAGCCACCGTGGCTGTAGAAGAATAAGTAAAGGGGAGGGGTGGGCACTGAGGTCAGAGAAGTAAGAGGTCATGTCAGTAAGGGGTCATAAATTCGAAATATTAAAGTAAATACCAAAAGAAATACCTGAGTTCAGTATGGTGGTATCTAGAGAACAGAATAGTTATATGGGGAAGGGACAGCAGTTTTGTGTTATAAGCCTCTCAGCACTGAAGTTATGTGCTTAAAGTCTTTGAGAAAAACAAATTATTTTTCTAACACATACAATTACGTGCAGACAATAGTGTGGTAGAAAATGCACTGTAGAAGTTTAAGCTACAAGTGATCTCTAGAAGCTGGGCTTGTGGGAATTCTTCTCAGAACATATGGAACTTTCATTGAGACTTGAAGGATGGCTATCATTTGGATAGATGGAAAGGAATTTAAGAATGTCACCACAGGACTCCAAAATACCTGGGAGAGAATGTAGCACAGCTCCCTTATTTACCTGGTTATGAGGACGAGAAGATTTAGAAGGGAATAAAATAATTTGCAAGGTCTCATAGCTGGTTACCGGCACAGCTAGGACAACAACCTCTGTCTTCTTTCTCCCCCATAAATGCTCTATCCCGTTAACCACAAAGGCTTTTCTTCAAACCTTCTCCACTCTCCTCAAACCTTTGATCTCATCACCTGCTCCCCTCACCCTCTGCAGCCTATCTAGCTTCTTCACAGAAAATGGAAACATCAGGCCGGAATTACCTCTACTTCTGACCATCAAGTCTGGATTCCCTCTAGTCCTTTCCTCCTCCCGTCCTTCAACAGAAGATGTCTGTCCTGTGTGACTGAGGGTTCTGATCTCACCTTTCCCTGTGGAAATTCTGGAAATTACTTATGTGGCTGCTGTTTCCCAATTTCCTTTATGGACTGCTGTTTTCTAGTAAATTTGTAATTGTTGATCTTTTCAGGGCTATAATTGGGCCTCTTTGTTTGTGTGTTGTTCATATGTCCTATGGGCAAGTTCACCCGTAAACATAGCCTTCTCCTCTTCATGCTGATTAACTCCTAAGTTCACAGCATCTGTTCCTTTTTCTTTCAGACTTGTGACCTACAACCTATCAGATATCTGCACTTGAATAATTCATGAGCACCTCAAATGAGTCTAATGAAATTATCAGTTCACCTGATTCTCCTCCTTTGTTCCTTATGATCACTTATTACTTAGTTCCTTAGTACTATCTACCTAATGGCTAAAGTCAGAAACCTGAAAATCATCTGAGATTTTTTTTTTCCTCATGCTTCCATCCATTCAACCAGCAAGCCCAGTCCATTCGACTTCCCAAACATCTCCAACTGTTGCCACTACCACTTATATTACCATTAAACTAATTCAGACTTCTCTCTTTTTGCCTGGATCACAGCTGTAACCTCCTAACAGGGCCCTCAACCTTCTTCTTTTTTTTTTTTTTTTTAACCTTTTCTTTATCAGATGAGGGTAAGGTTAGTGAAATGGAAGCCACTCTTTTTATGCAAGGTATAAGGGGTTTAATGTATGAAATAGTGCTCCGTAATTGTTGGAGGAACTGGAAGAGCAAAGGATAAGGAAGCTGACATTGAAGACCAAGGAATCTGATGCCTAAAGACAGCCTGAGGCACTTAAGTTGGTGGCTCTTAGTAGCTCACCAGGAAGCTGCTGCGAATGTCACATTTTCCTGTGGTTTTTACTGCAACTGCTTCCAGAGAATAATTGTTTTGCCTTCTTTTCTACCTTCAAAATCCTGGATAACTGCCTCTCATTAGTGAACTATAAGGTAAATAACATAATATTCTGGGAAATGTAGTCCTGTCTTCTGTGATGGAGAAAAGAACTCAGAAGGGGGTGCAGTGAAACAGAATAGTCAACAGAAAATCCATCTGACCCCTAAATTCTATTTTTCTGAAGTGCAGTCAGATCTTTCTATAAAAATAGGTGATCATATCATTCTGCTTAAAAACCTTCAACAGTTCATCATTCCTTTTAGGATAAAAAGAGATACTTTAATATCACTCACAAAACTCTTACATAATCTTGCCCCAGATTATTTCTCTTACTGATTTCTACTTCTTAGTTATCTTTAAAACCTCCCAAGCTAGTTTTAAATGAATGTCTGAATGAAGAATCCTAAATGGAAAAAGTTATTACATTATTGGTTAGAGGTGATCAAGTTTGGCCAGAGAGGGACAATCTTTTGAATAACATTTAAAACTAAACCAATAAATTTGGACTTGACGTGATGGGAAATAGGTCATTGAGTAAAAGGATGACTTTTAATGAAAGAAATATCTTTAAGTAATTTGGTCTTGGATATTACAGAGTAGAAATCAAAAGACATATAACTAGGGCTTTAATAGAGTAAAAATGATGTGTTATTACTCTTGTGTTATTACATTCCTAAGATGAGGGAAACCTCCTCATAATCCTTTTGATAGAATTAACTGGCCTTGATAGCAAAATACATGGAGAGGAGGAAATTGACAGGTTTCTGATTTGCGAAGATGCTAATATGACTGACTTAAGGAATTCTAAATTGGGGAGAAACGATAGATACTACAGATTTGAGGGGATGCTGCAAACAGATTCAGTTATTCAGCTAAGTAATGCCCAAAAGTTAGCTGCTAATTATGTGAAAACCATCCAGTTGATCTGAATTACCCATATAATTGTGTCACTTCATACTCTCACTTTGCCCACGTAAAAGAGCCTCAGAACTGAAAATGCTTGATTTTACTCTTTGCCAATTCCAAA
Organism: Homo sapiens; assembly: GCF_000001405.40. NCBI lineage: Eukaryota > Metazoa > Chordata > Mammalia > Primates > Hominidae > Homo > Homo sapiens. The sequence continues at coordinate 22,645,617 of NC_000023.11, read as the reverse complement.
GCATCTTGTTAAACAGAAAACATTCCCCAGCACAGCAGAGTTTAAGCTCAGTGCTCTCTCTCCTTTTATGGAATGTGCACTCTTAACTACTGGTGCTGTCAAAAGCTAAAGAGAAAGTCACCTGGATTTGTGTGACAGGACTTCCTTTTTTGAACTTTCTTTTTCATCTTCCAGAGAGAATCCACAAAATCATTTGAAATAGAATCAACAGTTCAAAATAAAAGGTGGAAGCTTAGGAAAATTGGCTTCTTAATTGACAGATAATTTATTTAAAAAAAACACAAATGCTAATTAAGTTTACAGCAATATTAAAAAGGAATGTTCAGAAGGGATAAAATTCTTTATAATATTTGTTAATAATATTGAATTAGCATATTAAAAATAACAGAATCATTCTTCTACATCCTTCCAGGATTTGGCGTCATTATCATTCAGTACTTCAAAGAGACATAAGTCATTTTCTTGCCATACAACCACCAGTGTATGAGGGGGAGGAAACACTAATGTCTGCCCTCATCAGAGAATAAACATCTACCTGGACTTCCTAGGGAAATCAGAGACGGGGAGAGGGCAAAGGAACTAATTCTGTCTTACCGATTGTTTATGTGTGGCTTCCTGGACTAATTGAAAGGGGGTAAAGCCAGAATGTGCTTAGGGCACCAGTGAACAGAGTCTCTCCAACCATGGAGCAGTGTTCACTCTCTCTGCATGGCTTGGGGAGAAACCAGCGGAGATGCCCCCTTGCATTAATGTGGTTATATCTTTGTTCAAGTCAGATGTTTGCTTTAACTTAGAGAGTCAGCTTAGGAGAAGGGTTCATACCCGTAATGACGCCCTCCTTCTTCCTGAGATGCCAGTAGGGCCACTAATGATTGAAAACACACACAAAATCCTTTCACATTGATCATTAAGGAGAGAACGATATTTTAAAATATGGTAGCTAAACTGATAGCCTTTTATTATTATTTAAGTGCCACTATTAAGTTGTTATATGACCCATTTCTTTGCATGACTTTTAACCGTATTGACCTTTGGGTTGCCATGCCATCTACACTCCCTACAGAAAAATAACTTAGGACTTAGAAACATATGATAAATATGGTGGTGTAAATCCATAGATCTGTATTCTTTACAGAACATAAATAATAAATTTCCCCTTATAAACAACAGTGGAGTTTGGATTGGTGATATAGCCTGTGGGCTCGCCAATCCCAGCAGTAAGCACATTGACATTGGCAGAAATGTTTTTTAAAAAGTTTTGTGAATGTCCCTGAAGTACAGGTGGATCTTTACCAAATTTCTGGAAACCTATTCTTAAATAGGCATAACAGTCTTTTAATGAAACAAAAATATACTCTTTAGTCAATAAAGCAATCAAAGACTTGTTTATTGCAATGTAGTTATAAACGGTGTGACTGACTTAATGTCACTTTTGAAAATAAAGGCTTTAAAACACCAAGCTAATACCAATGCATGACCATCACTACATGTTTTCAATATATACTGTTATATAAAATTGTTTATTTCCTGTTTCCTAATACAGAGCCTAACATGGTTAGTAGGCAACTGGAATGAAATATAATAGAAGTCAGTGTGCTGGAGTAGATCGTGCCTGGACTAGGCATCTAAAGACCTGGATTCAAGTCCTGGCTCCGCCACTTCATGGTGTATAGCAGATGTGCTCTCAATGCCCTGCCCATACCTCCTCACTCTTACTACATCAATGTACAAGGCCCCGCCTTCCATCTGCCAGCATCTGTACCGGTACCTTTGGAGAGAATTTGAACGCATTCTTGTGCTACTGGAGCTGACCCCACTGCCAGTGCAGCAGGCTGGAAGTTCTGAGGTGGTATTGCCTCCTGGGAGCAGCCCTCAAACAATGGTATACAAACTCCAGCTCCATCACTTTGAGGGGGATAACTCTGAGGCACCAGTTCTACATTGGCTCCCAGAGTTTCTCCAATAGAATTAAATTCAAACCCTCACAATTGCAGCTGCCTTGATTGTGTACCCTGAATTGGCTTTCTGCCCTTCCTTGTCTCACTTTTTGACACACAGTTGCCTACGGTGGAACTCAAGACCTAGTTATTGGACCTAGGAAGGTCATGCAACCACTCAGTATCTCATGTCGTAAATGACAAAATTTAACAAAGCTTCTTCCAATTATAAAATTCTCAGATTTTTATTATCCTCCCTGCTTCTTATCTGGACTTTGAGAGAAGTATCTGAAATTTATAACGAAAGACTATTTACTGACAATGGTGACCAATTTGTGATTGTCTTAACACCTTTCCAAACTGCAGAAAACAGGGGAGAGTCTCCGCTTAGACAGTGGAGATGCTCAAAAGGGATAGCAATGGGAAGTCACAGATGATGATCTTTCCCAGCATATAGTCCCAGTGTTTAGTTTCTGCATTGTTTGAAAGCAAAATTAAACCTTAACAAAAACAATTCATCACTCTGTATATATCATAAAAAGCCATTAAGAGACTGTTTTTAGAAAATATGATAAATATAGTCCCTCTATGACAACTCATACTTGACAACATGTATACTTTATATCCTTATCCTTTAGTTAGTGTCATCCTTGCAGCATTCCTGTGAGGTAGGGAGGGCAAAGATGAGTAACTCAGTTGTCAGATAAGAAAACTGAAGCTTAAAAATGTTTAGTGACCATTCAGGAGCTGAAGCCTTTTGTTTCTGTGATCTGTACATTTTCTGCCACATTCTATTTCTTCATGTTACCCGACAGTTTTATTATATACTAAAAGTGTCTCTATTCTCTTTGGCAGATTTTCTTTTTAGGATTCCTGTTTTGTGGGATGTAGTAATAATAACATTTGAAATCTATTTTATGGGAAAGATCATTTCCCACTTGGAAGACGAGCTGGAAATGAATGTTCCAGTGCAAATTGTTTTTGGTACTTGTTGGCACTTTATTATATTAAGTGTGTTCTTATCCACAGTATCTCATAGCATTACTATTTAGACATACTATGCCTAATATTGGACAACATACTCAGAGAAAGATGTAATAAATGAGATTTCAGGGATTCAAAGAAGAATCCTATTTACCTCCTTCACCTGTCCTACCTGCTAGTGGATTTCTGAAATGTTCCACCACTTTAGCTGAACAGTTTGATCCCTGCTAAAATAAAAATATCCTTGATATGTGTCACAGTGGAATCTGTTTCCAGTCATTTTCACTATGAATAATTTTAAGTCCATTTCTGAAAACAGATTTGATAGAGGAAAGGGAAGAACCACATAAGGACAAAAGGTAGAGGAACAATGGGGATGGGGGTGGGGATGGAGACCAAAAAGAACATGGAACAGCATACTGGCATATCTGACTTCACAATCTGCCTGAGTCCTAGACAGACACTCACAGAATAAATGTACTGGCCATGTTGTCATGGGAAAGTCATTTACTTTTGTGAATCAAAGTTTTCTCATTTGTAAATGATGGGTTAGGACTACATGATATGCATGTTCTTTCAGCTCTAGGATTCTATTCTTTGATACCATTTATCACATACTCTCATGGACATGGTAACAAAGATGAATGATAAAATCCAGTTGGCTTCTGTTTTCCTGCATATTAGCTAAGAATCAAAAAATGGTAGCGAGATTTTGTGTTTGAGCATGTAATCCACAAAAGAGTCTCCAAAATGAGAAATGAGCAAAGGCAAACTAGAGAGCTAACAGTATGCATTATTCACAAATAGTCTTGTGTACGTGCTTATAATGGGCCACCAGCAATTTGACAAGGTACAGAAAACTGAAGGGTATATCTGGTATGCTGTGCCTGATTTTTCAGCCAGTTTTAACTTAGAGGCAAGTAAAGGGCTGTATGAGATACCTAACCAGAAGGAAGCAATATGTTGCTTACTATCACTCATCATTCACTCACCGCTTTCTATTTTCCATGTGCCAAGTGCTGTGATCAGTGCTTGGGTTTTCCCAGACATGAGGCCTGAAACAAGGATTGAAGTGCTAGTGATTTCTGGAAGTTTCAGGGAGTGTTGGTAGAGGAGTAGGCACGTGGTACAGGAAAGGGATGGCAGCTGGTAAAAGGTACATTATGAAACCAGCTACCACTGCATGTGACTAGAGCTTAATCCTGCAAAGAAACTCAGGGAAACCATAAAACATATGCATCAGATTTATCCTATTGAAGGGTCAAGGGAGATGGGGTATTTATTCCACAGCTCCCACTAGTTACTAACTATAAGCTACTCTTGTGAGATGGTAATTCTCCAGCACTTCTGGCCTCCACGTGGCAGGCAAGGTAAGCACTGATGGGCAGACAAAGCATAGCTCTTCAGCAAAAAACGCAGGTAAGAAGTAAGTAAGAGTAGCCTTCACTGAAGCAATAAAGGTGAGGGGATGTGGGTAGGATACCAACAACATTGCTACACAAGAATCCTCTCAATACATCCTTACCACCATCCTACGAGACAGGTACTATCACTCCATCATACACATCAGAAGACTGAGCTTCAGAGGCTGTAAGTGCCTTGTAATTGTAAGATGTAGAGCTGAGATTGAAATCAAATATGTGACAAAAAACATATCATTAGACCCTTCTGTATGGTGCAAAAAGGAGAAAATATGTCATCTATGTCATTACTTGACCCAAATGCTCCTCCTTCTGTGAAGTACTCTTTGATTTTGTCATCATTCTTCCTGTGTTACCATAGACCTTTCTTAGTTCTGTAAGAACAGTTATCACAGCTCTCTGTAATTAACTGTTTCAATTTACTCTCCTTACTAAACAGGCGTTTCTTGGGGAGACAAATAACATTGATTTATTCATTTTTATATTCCCTTGTACGCAAAGAATTGGCATATAGAAGACCCTCAATTAATGCTGATAAAATGCCTATGCCAGATTTTTTTCATAGAGGCTCAAATTGACGGTAATTTGCCCATTCAAGGCAGCCAATATTGATAGAATCCCTACTATGTGTTAAGGAAGAAATAGACACAGAAATGAAAGAAAATAAATATTGCTGAAATGCAGAGTTATATGTGTAAAACTTGTTTGTCTCTTTTCCAAATATATCTACTCAGTCAACTCAGGTTTGATTAAATTTTTGTAGGTCTTCCCAATGTCAAGAAAAAGCAGCCTTTTTAATCTCATTTTACCCATGTGTGATAAACGCCAAGAAACATGTAAATGCTGAAGTCTATTTAATTTGTTTTATACAAGCTGGGGCTGTGTATGAATACCTGGTCCTAAGATTCTACGTTTTATGACCTATTCAAATATGCGCTAATGGTGTCGGAATGAACCTATTCAAATATACACTAAAATTCTGTTTGCAAACTGGGGCCCAGGCTTCTTTTGGCTGCTGATATACCTCACTGAGTATAGGGCAGGAGGGCAGTAATTTTCTACATATTTCTACTGCACAGCAAGACGTAGTTAATTTCCAGGTGCATATTGCTTTAATTTCAGTTAGTCCAATAATTTTTGGAATACAGTGCCAGGGTCCTCTCTGCCAGAGGCTATAATTTTATAAGAGCAGAACTCATGAAAGTGTGTGGGAGAGATTAGTGGGCGGGCCTGAAACGCTTTCTTTCTCACTTTGTACTGTGCAAAGCCTCAGGCAGAAGGTTTAGGAAGTAGTTTCATATGGAGACATTGATCGAATTTGGATGAACTCTGGAGAAAACTCAGATTTTCCTTGAAGTTTAGTCATTGGAATCAGGAAGGGAATCTCATGTGCGGGAGATGATGTGTGAAGAACATTCAGGCCCCACGTTGTACTTCTCTTGTACTGCTCTCTTGTACTTCCTTCTTTTTCAAAGGAATATTGATTCTTAATTTGATTGGGGTTAAAAATGAAGAGTAAGTTTATTCCACGCCAGTCAGAACCTCTCACAGAACACGTCAGAAGTAGCGAACCAGTGATAATCCTTGGAAATTTTTTTAAAAAGCCAAATGCATGCACAGAGGACAAAGTGCCCAGGACTGGCCCAGAACCCTAAGGGATTTATGTAACTGGCTGCAATGGCACAGTGGCAAATGCCAGCAGGAGGCCAGTCAGCGTGTCATGATACACACTGAAATTGTAAGTGGGCTGTCAGAGATCATAGCATATTTATGCTGTGTGGTTTATAGAAAAGGACACATCCCAAATACAGACTGACCCAGAGTCCAAGTTATCAAGTTGGAAATGTATATCTCATTTGTCTCATCTTTTTTGGCAGGGAGATTGCCAGGGAGACCGTGAAAAGACACCGTGAAAAACATTTCCATGTCACAAGTACTCATCCAGCAATTATGTGGTGCCCACAATGTGATATTTCAGTGTTTTCACTGATTAAAACTCACGGTCAAACCCATTAGAGAGTCATAAAATCAATTTCGTGTGTAGCAACTGGATTTTTAATGAAATATAGAATAGAATAGAATGAAAGAGAATAAAGTACAGCAGATTGCATCTTATACAGGAAAGGTATTATTTTATAAAGCTTTGAAAAATGTGTGTTTATATATGTGAATATATGTTTATATATTCATTTATATGTAGATACAGATACATATTTGTTATATGCATGAGATTGACAAGTGGGCCAAGACATGGTAGAAATGCATTTTTCTTACTATGGATTACTATTAAGATAGGATCTACCACAATGGCTTTTAAACTAACACAAATACAAGTAAATGTAACCCACACATAAATCCCTGCTCTTCAGAATATTACAATCTAGTTAGAAATAAGGCACATGAAGGAAAAGGAAACAACTATTTGTTTTATTCATCACTTACCAAAATCAAGGTGCATAAGTTATCCCATCTTGTTCTCTTGAAAATCTTAGATACAGGAGTTACTGTTATCATCTTATAGAAGAAATGAAATAATTTGATCAAGGCAAGGCAACCCAGCCCAAATAGGTAGAGCCTACAGCCTGGTCTAATGGTTAACATCACAATTTCCTCTGTATCTTACCACCTTCCTGAAAAGGTGGCAAACGTGTATGAAATGGGTAATGTGAACAGGAAGAAACTTGGAAATTTTAAGGAGATAGAGGATATTATGAACCGTCAAGACGAGGGAGGGGGAGGTTTCATGGACCAGGTAGGATTTGATTTTAACTGGAGTCAGGAGGAAAGAAAACAGAAATGAATTCCAAACAGTGGATAGGAGATAAACAAAGTCTTAGAGTAGGGAATAAGCATGGAATGCTTAGGGCCCAGGGAAGTAGACTGATCTGATACAGGGGAAGATACATGTTTGGAGAATGAAGGGAGAAAAGGCTGGACACAAATTGTCCCTGTGTGAGAATGATCACGTACCATGTGCCAGGCACTGTCCTAAGAGCTTTTTATACATTATTTAATTCTCATGACAAGTCCTGGCAGTAGATATTACAGTGCTCTTTGTAAAGAGGACTAAATGAGACTTAAGGAGTTCCATAAATTGTCCAAGATGTTGTTATGGTACTGGGATTCAAAGACACACATGTCTGAGTCTAAAGCCTAAGCTGCTAGTCACTCTGCCATACCTCATTCTGTGGAGGACACTGGAAATGATTCACAGATAAAGCTTATGATATAGCCTCCCCACCCCCAACAATACTACACAGCCCCAGCAATGTCATTCCCATGAAGTTGTGTTGTGGCAACACTTGCATGATTATACATGTGGGGACCCTCTTTAGTCGAATGGTGGAAATAGGAAAGGGAGGTGAGGAATAAACGAATGTGACATATTGAAGAAAGAACTGATGCAAAAAAAAAAAAAAAAAGCAGAGCAAAGGAATTGCCAGAGGTCATGTGGAAGTTCCAAGCCTGAGTAAATCAGATGATAACATTGGTGAGATGGAGAAATTAAGCCTTGCATTGAAATTATGGTCATACTGAAAGAATGCCATCTACATGCCTTTTAAGATAACTGTAAAGTAACCATATTTGTTGTGTGCTTACAACATGCCAGGCATGGCACCAAGCATGTTGTGTGAATTAGTGCACACAATAACTCAGATGAGGAAACTGAGGAGTGGGATAGCTCAGCAACTTGCCCAAGATCACACAGCCTGTAAAGGTCAGAGCCAGGTTTCAAACTGAAATGCTTAACTCCAACCCAGACTTCTCTTCTAAACTCCAGCCTGTATCCATCAACCTTCTTAACATCTCTACTTGAATTATGTTAAGTATCTCAAACTTCACATGTCCAAATAGAACTCCTGATCTCCCACTACCTGCCCCAGCCTCACCAGAACTGTACTTCCCACATTTTTCCCATCTTACATAATGGTAAGTGCATCCTTCTAGTTACTCAGACCAAAAACCTTGGAATTGTCCTTGACTCTTTTCTTTTGCTTGCACTCAATGGAAACATCAACACATCCTGTCTGATGTTCCTTCAAACCATATGCAGAATCTGTTACTTCTCACCACCTCCCTGAGCAAAACACTGCATCTCGTACCTAATGCAGTTGCTTCCTAACTAGACTCCCCAAGCCTTCCCTTGCCCCTCTTTGTCTACTCTCAAACTAGAAGCCAGAGTGATCCTTCTGAAACATAGATGAAGTAACTCTTCTGCTCAAAACCTTCCAATGACTTCCCATCTCAGAGTAAAAGCCAAAGTCTCTGGAATGGCCTTCATGGTCCTATAAAACCTCTAACCCTCAACCCTATGGTCTTATCTCCCACTTGTCCTTTCTCACTCAGCTCCAGCTACGTGAGACTCTTCACGGTTCCAGAAATGTTACGGATGCCTGCCTTGGAGCCTTTGCAATTGCTGTTCCTCTGCTTGGAATCCCTTTTTCAGTATGTGCACAGGGCTTAATCTTTCATTACCTTCAGGTCCCTACTCAAACATCCCCTTCTCGGTGGGACCTTGCCAGACCACCTATCTAAAATTACAGAAGTGAATTTTGCTATTCCTCATTGCTACTTTGTGTTTGTCCTTAGCTCATACTGTTCCTCAACACACTATGCATTTTACTTATCTCATTATTATTGTCTCCATCAATGGAATGTAAGCCCAATGAGGGCAGGGGTTTTCTGGCCTCTTTTGTTCCCATCCACAGTACCTATAACAGCACCCAACATATGTTAGGCACCCAACAGACATTTGCTGAATGAATAGATAAAACCGAAGCAATCTGATTCCAGAGACAACACTCTTAGCCCCTAAGCTGAACTACCACCTCTCAGAAGTTGAAGAATGTTTCTTGAATAGAGAAGTTCTGAATGTTTTTACCCAATATTAATTATTTGTCAAGTCTAGCGAGGGTTTAACTGTTTCTAGGTAATCAATGCAGCAAAACTATACCATCTATAATATGGTACATGTTTTTGTTTGGTAAGTAAAATGTCCCCTTCGGGGTTGTTAATAAATGGGCTGTTATCTGGTTTGTCTTATTACTGCAAATTTCTCAAGATGGTTTTATTTCTCTACATGCAGTAAATGTACTGCCAGAGAGTATATGCATAATAGTTAAGATAAACATAGAGTATTTTAATTAGAACATATACTTTACTTTTTATTTCATGATTTTTGTATTAAGTGTTTCATAGAGTTCCTTATTAACTCCCTGTTAGCCTCCTTTTACATTTAAAGAAATAGACTGAAGTTACTTTGGATTTTCTACCATGGTTCTGGCATGAGGAATGTACTTAATGATGAGTAAGAAGAGTTTATTCAATTCCTATCTTTAAAAAACCTATTTCTCAAGTATCTAAAATTATGAAATACTCTATCGTATTAAGTTTTCTGGAATTCTTTAATGTGTGTTAAAAACTCCACTCCCTTGGTGCTCATCCATAATGTGGGGTTTTCTTTTCACTTCCAACGTCCTGCCCAGTTTGGAAAACTTGCACTAACATTGGAAGTTTATTTGTATTTAGTACATCTTAAAAAGTGCCCCTATATGTAAAATCTACAGTTGCATTTAAACCTGGGTTCCTTTTTCCACATAACAAGATAAAGCATGAATAAAACTATGTCCTTATTAAGTACTTTTTTAGAAGGATAAGTTTTATCCTTCTAAACATGTTCATTAAATATTAGCCCAGGGCAAATTTATTAATCTAAGCCCTTACACAGGGAAGCAACAAACTTTTTAAAATACTTAACCAATCTGTTAGTAAAATGGTTCAAATGCCTCCTTTTCAGTTCCTCTATATGTAAAATGGTTGATTTAATTGCATTTGATCATTCCAAGTTTCTTGATAAATGTCGACTCACGTTCTGGCTTAGGTTAAACCAGTGTTCCCCAAGTGTTAATTGCTGACGTTCAGGGGGAAAAAGAAAATCTCTTTCCATGGTCACATGAATTCTGGAAATGCTCAGTTAGACTGAGAGCAAAGTTTAACATGTTTCTTATTGTGGAACTCTTCAGAACCTTTAATAGTATGAATTGTGAATCCCAAGAGGAAGGATAAAATTTACAGGGATTTTTCAAACTGCTTTCACCGTGGAAAATACTTTCTATGAGCTACCTAGCTATAGTAATGTTCCTTAAAACACAATGTGGGAAACATTGGGTTAAAGCCCCAGCAAGAAGTAGGATCATTTAATCATCAGGAGAGTATCTGCATAGAGTTTAAAATGCTTGTTGTTCAGAGACATTAAAATTTCTGTTATGTGTGTTACTGATAATACTTTCAACTTGCAATTTTAAATATTTGACTCTCTGTGGGAGGGAAGGGTGACCTAGCCATGATAAAATGAGAGAGAACACAGAGCAATTACAAAGCATTTTTCCATTCTGATTACTCTTTTTTAAACAACTTCTGATGTCTGTGCATTTTGTCTCTGTGAGATAAAGATTCTGAATTCCGGTGAGGCAGATCACAAAGGTGATGTATTTTTAATGAAATCTTCAGGTAGGAAATGTTCAATCCACTTCTTAAGATTAGTTGCCCTATTACCAGGGTGACCATATGTCATGGTATGTCCAGTATAATCCAGATTTTTACTTGTTATCTCTGTGTAATTACTAGCACCTCCTTTTAGTCTAAAAAACAGTACTATTTTGGATAACAAAGTATCCTGTCACTATTCCAATTACACATGTGTGGCAGATTATATTTTTCAAGGAGGTTGCAGCAGTATCTATCTCCTGTCCACATGCCACTCTCCCATCAATAAAAGGGGTCTAATTTCTCTCCTGGAATCCAGAAGGGCCTGTGGCATACTCGTAACCAACAGAATACAACACAAGGGACACTGCCTGACGTCCCAGCTGAAGACATAAAAAGCAATTCTGCTGCAGTCTCACTCAAACCCTGCGTTGGAGCCCTTAGTCACCATGTGAGCAGTCTGACTGCCCTAAAGCAGAGTCATACTGTGAGAAAACCCAAGCTAACCCATGTGGAGAGATCACGGGGAGAAGCCCTGAGATTACAAGGAGAGAGAGATGCCCAGCTAGCTCCCAGATTCTCTAGCTCTAGTCATCATCTGACTGCAACCACATGAGAGATCCTGAGCCAGAAGTGTCCAGCCACAGGCTTCCTGGAATCCTAATCTGCAGAAATCATTAAATAACAAAATGATTGTTGCCATTTAAAGCCACTGTTAGGGGGTGATTTGATTTGCAACGAAAGAGAAATGGAACACTGTGGAATTTGGATCAGACATAAAGTTAGAGTGCTAGGGGTCCGCTTACCTTGTTTTGAATTTGAAATTAGGCCGCAGATATTTAATTAACTTTCTGAAATTCAAGTTAAACTGGAGACTACATAGAAATGTTACGTCCAAGTACCCCCATCCAAATATGAATTTGCAAAATAACATAATTTGGTAAAATATAAAAGTACCAAAGAACAAGTCTATTGCCTTTCTTCAAGCTCTAATTATACCTCTTGTTTGTTTTTATTATGTATAGAAGAGAGAATATAAAACATACCTATTTAGCTTAAATACTGACAGCAAGATGAATATATGTGTACTTTTGCCACCCAACTATAAAAATGGAGCACGACTAGAGCCTTGGAAGTGCCCACCCCAAGTTTCTTTCTGAATTGCCCCCTTCTTCTCTTTCCCAGAGGTAAACACTATGCCACAATTTGAAAATTTTTTCCCTTAATTCTCTGTGTAGTTTTCCAGCTCACATACTTTTCCTGAGACAATCTATTTAATTTTTCTAGGTTTTTAACATGAAAGCATGCAGTTATTTTTTGCCACTTAGTTCTTTTGCCTAAATGTATGTTTTCTAGATGTATCCAGGTTAATGTATGTAGCTGTGGTTCTCTCCCTCACTTTTTACATAGCTCTTATTTCAGTTAACTAAATCGATGGGGAAAATGAGACATGCTCACTTGCTTCAGAAGTTTCTACAGAGTAAAATGAATGAAAGACAAAAGCAAGAAAATACAAAACTGATTTGAAACCCTTTACAATTCATACATAGAGGAAAAAATCATCTGTTCATCTCTCAGTTCTGAAGTACTCAAGTCAAACCACTTTGCCATCTGAGACAAGTTCGTATGGTGTCTAGCTGAGAAAGCAGCCTAATATTTGCATCGTGTTAACCCAGCAGTAATAAATTTCTTAACACACTTTCATCCTCTCCTCACTATGATCATCCTAGTGACATAGGCTTCCTAGATGTTCACCCATACTACTTCTTCCTCTTGGGTTCACAGTTATATATTGGTGCCATGTGACTGATTCTGGCAAGTGGAGAGTTAGCAGAAGTGGTATATCCCTATCCAAGGCCTCACCGTGCTTACCCCTCCATAAAAATTCATGCTTTCTATTCCCCACAAGGTGAGAAACTCAGAGATGGCCATATTATAGGTTGCAAGAAGCCTGGATCCCACAGTTGCACTAGGAGATCTGTCAAGGAGAGTCAATTGTCCAACTGACACTGGGCTATGAAAAACTGAGATTTTAGAATTCTTTGTTGCAGCAGCATAACATTGCCTTGTCCAGTCATTATTATGAATAAATGTTGTAGAACACAATGATGAGCTAGAGGACATTAAGGTTTTTTTTGTTTTCTGGTGGTTTTTTTTTTTTTTTTTTTTTTTTTTGACAGTCACGCTCTGTCACCCAGGCTGGCTCACTGCAACCTCTGCCTTCCAGGTTCAAGCAATTCTCCTGTCTCAGCCTCCTGAATAGCTGGGATTACAGTCACCGGCCACCACGCCCAGCTAATTTTTTGTATTTTTAGTATAGATGGGGTTTCGCCATGTTGGCCAGGCTGGTCTCGAACTCCTGACCTCAAGTCATCCGCCCACCTCAGCCTCCCAAAGTGCTGAGATTACAGGCATGAGCCACCACACTCAGCCTCTGTTTTTAAATTCTGCTTTCACAGAGGCCCAGCAGTTTTGGTGAGGTTGGAAGAGAGTGTAAGATAAAATTCTATTAAAAAATAGCAAATACCATTGATTGAACCCTCATCATTTGCCTGGCAATGTGCCACACAATTTATAAGCAATATTTACTTGGTTACTCATAGCAACCTATGAAAGAGGTACTATTTTAATCATCAGCATTCCATTTATGAGGAGCCTGAAGGCTAGATATGGGAAGAAACTTAAGGTTGTAGAGCAGGTGAATTCCAGGGTCACAACTTGAACTCAGGTCCTTTTTTCTCCCAATTTCATGCTATGAACAAGGATACTTAACTTTAAAGTTTCCAGGGACAGATTAGTTTAGTAAAATGTAATTCCAACTGGAGGCGGTGATTGGAAAGATTCCAGTGTTTCCCTGCCATAGTTTCCACATTTTTGATACTCTCACTCTGCCACAGCGAGTGGGCTTACTGAGGGAGTGTGGGATGGGAAATATCCCTAACTATGGCTACTTGCCTGCGGATGCCTCATTATTGTCACTGCCAGGAAAGCAAACTCGAAAGGGAGAAGAGGCAGAGAAGTCTAAGAACAGGCTCTGTGATGTGCATCAAATAGCCCTTGGGCTCCTCCGGAGCTGCTGGCAACCCAAAGATATATTGAGTTGCTTGTGTCTGTGTTGAGTTTGAAAGTCCAGTGTTATTTTACAGATGATGATTTGAAATGCCCGAAAAGTATGTCAGGGCACCATGGCTGTTTAGGTATTCCAAATTGTATGTGGAGCTTGATATGCGATTGTCGCTTAAGAGAGTTTGCAAGTGACATATTTATTAGACATTGATGAATCTCAAAATTTGGAGAGGTTCAGATAAGCATCCTGAGAATCAGAAACTCATCAGTTGCGCTTCTGACATGTTAAGGGTTTTCTTTTTTAGTTTAGAAGCAAGTTACTTTCATGATGCCTTATGAGTGTGAAAAATTTGTGTAAGGAAACTGCTTTTCATTAGCTAGAGGAAGGCAGGACTCTATAGTCTGTGTAGAAAATAAGGAACCTTTTAGGATAAGATAATGCAGTGAAAAGAAGCACAACAGAAAAGAGGTGAAATGGAGTTGGAAAGAGATAAGAAAAAATCATATATAGAAGCAGAGGGGAAGAATTACATCCAGAATGGGAGGAAGACATAAAGGAAGAATATTTTTTTGAAAGGAGTGTGCTTAACCATTGACAGTTTCCATGAAGAAATATCATGAGGGACGGATTAAGAACATTCTACATTGAAGAAGGCTTAAGGAAAGATAGTCAATCTGTAAATGTTTTTCTTACTAGAGGAAAAGGTAAATATTAATAATTCAAAACAATAGCTGACATCATTCACTTTGTACTTATCCTTGGGATGAAATTAGAGGCCACCGCCTCTTATACATATAAACACAAACACATACATTTTGTGCTCCCTACTAGTTTTTGCCAACTGTAGGCAAGCGGTACACATGGAGGAATCCACCCTCACTCACATCCCATATCAACACAGATAAACCACTTAAGAAGGATGGAATTAATATGGTTGCCTCATAATCCTCAGTAAGCTATAAAGGTTGTTTTTTATTTCCTTTTTGAAAAGAAGATGATATAATATGCCTATGGTATCAGGATAATGTTCCCTGTCAGCAGAGGGAGAAGGGAGAGAAGAGATAAAAGAGGAAGTCCCTTTAATCTGAATTGCTTTGTGGCTGGAAATTCACAAGTATAGCCTGGAAGGTCTGGACAGCTATTGCACTGCTGCTCACATGGTGCTGATAAGCAACGCAGTTTATTTCCATTATTTCACGATAACTATAAGGTGGCCACCCACAGGCATGGGTGAATGGAGCAGGAAGAGGAGAGGGAGCAGAAAGCCTCAGAGAATATCTCCTCTCATAGTCTGGCTGTACCAACTCTTTATTTTTGTTCTTATTCCCAGCCCTATCCCCGCCTGCCTCTTCACCCACCTTAGTGCACAAGTGCAAGAGTTAATAGTAAAGCCATGACTAGGAAAATGGAATGATGCACTTATAGCAGCAACTGAGTTTAATTCCAAAGTCTGCCCATAGATTGATGTCACGTATCTGGCTCAGCTCTAAGCACATAGTTAGCATACACAAAATGTTAGTTTTCTTCCCTTTTAATCACCCCTGTTCCTTCTCATCTTTAGTTTTCCGGATTGATTTATTTGGGGTTGGCATCTGGGAGTAGGTTGACTAGATGTCTTTATGGTCTTCTGTCTCAGCAAAGACTATAGACACCAAAAGTTTGAAAATCCCAATCCATGAAATGTGCGATAATTCATAAAAAATAAAATTAGTAATTTGGGCCTCTGCTCTTCTTAACGTTTGAAAAAATAATAAATAATAACTCTTTTCTCTTTCCTAACTTGTTTCTAGTAAAAGAATTTTGTTACTGAGATATTTTGTCTCAAAGTTATTATCTTGTATTTTTCTAGAAACAAATTGATATTAACAGAAACAAAAACAATGAATTTTGTACATCGAGAGCCAGCCAGTGGTCAGTAACTGAAGTAATTTACATATATTACCTCATTTGATCCTTACAACAACCTTCAAAGTGGTTATTTTTATCACTAACTTATAACTTTCTGATTTTAATTAAATTAACTGAACAAGAACCCTGGTAAATTATCAGAAAAAATTGCTAAATATGTTGCTAAACCCTACTAGGACTTCCATTAATCTTTACTGAAAAGCAAATTCAAGATTGCAATGTTGCTTTAATAAGCATGAGCTAACCATAATACAGCTGAGCTGGAAAATGTGGATGACTCACTTTACAATCACCCCCCTTTGCCTGCCTGTAGCTAACACTATCAAGCACTTCCTTATGTTAGCATTTAAACTCATCCAAATAAATTAATTGATGGAAAGATATTGGAGATTATGTAATTACTTCCTCTGGCTCTGGTGGTGTTGCCATCTGACTTGCAGGCAGCAAGATGAGATCTAAATTAAATGCAAATAATTGTTCACAATTAGAAAATGAAATGCCTGGAGAACCCCATGATATTTTAAACAAGCTGATGTA
The DNA here is from genome assembly GCF_000001405.40 of Homo sapiens. Taxonomy (NCBI): domain Eukaryota; kingdom Metazoa; phylum Chordata; class Mammalia; order Primates; family Hominidae; genus Homo; species Homo sapiens. Next base: position 22,629,277 of record NC_000023.11, on the reverse strand, counting down.
CTTGCCATTGATCAACAGTTGAGGCTTTCTAGCATGTACTTGGCTTGAGTCCCGATGATGACATTGTGCATAGCAACAAGATGCCCTTCTACATGATGAGACAAGAATTCCCAAGGATTCATCCTTCGGTAAGAAGTGAACTTTTAGGAAGGTGTATGCATGAAAAGTATTCTTAGTTCAAATTTCTGAGGGTTACTGGGTAGCTGATTTCAGGTCATACAGGGACTTGCAAAATAAAAGTACCTAAATATTTAAGTTAGGCATCTTGGATAGATTAGATATATCTAACCTTCACTCAGGGCAGTTAAATGGGTGAGTTTTGTATTGCTTTGATTTAATTTCCAGCTCCCCCACCCCCCAAAAAAGCCATTCTTTTCTTTTTCAAGATGTTTCTCAGGATCTTTGAGGATGACGTTGATATGAAGTGATCCATCCATACCTATAATGATGACATCTAACAAAAAAAAAAGACTTCATTGCCTTTGAATATGCTAAAAAAGATGCTATCTTTTCAATAGAGACAAGGGCAGAATGATGAAGGAAAGACATAGCCTGAAATAAGAAAATGAAAATGCCCTTAAGAGGCTAACAGCTTAGATGGATACAAAGGTTTTTATAAAACACCATTAGTATTCATTTAGTATAGGTAGCAGACAGCAACAAGAATTGGAAAATAACTTGGATGTGATCACTGAAGGGACAGAGGGAGGCAAAAAATATAAGCTGCTTTCTGAGCACAAATCTCTGTCACTGGAGAGCACAGTTGGAATGTCCTCCTTTCCTGATTAGCAACCATCTAATCAAGGACACCGAGTGCCTGCCAGGTCTATATACATGTCACACAGAGAAGAAACAGAAGGGTTCAGGCCGAGATGTTTTCTACCTATTATATGCACCAGGTTAAGAACAATTTTAAAAATAATTTTTTGTCATAAATTTAATGGGATGAAGTGAGGGTAGTTTTTTTTTTTTTTTTTTTAATGAAGACAAAGTCTTTCCAGAAATCTTTACTAAAGAAATCCAAAACCTCAACATTTGTCTATATATAGCTAAGGTAAGAGGGCATATGAATAAAGCAGAGAAAATCCAGAATACATATATACAAGTATAACTATGGATTTAAATGGAACAGTTGTCTAAAGAAAGTCTTCTCAGCCTGGAGAGGCAGAAACTACATTATACAAAGGCCTTCAAGTAGAATATTTGGTAAGATTTGCTCACAATGTTACTACATTATGGCTAAGTCTTTAAACTGCAATACTAACCTCTTTGATTGCAGTGTGAAATGTCACTGCTCAAGTCCCCCACCCCTGGTGGGTATGTAACTGGGGTCATAGGGTAAATGTGTTTTCTCCCTATTGTCATATTACACAGGAAAGCATATTAGTATAATCAGAATGCTTTGTGAGTAAGGAACCAGAGCAGGAGGAGAAGTTACTCAAAGATTTCTTATACCAGCATCAGATGGTCCAAAATAGGGATATACCTGCCAGATGCGCAAGAGTGTAGCATCTGCTTGCCTGGGCATCCTCTCTGTTGTTCGGCATTTGGAAAAGCTTGAATATTGCTGGCTTTTCAGTGTCTCCTTTTTCTCCTTGTATTCCCAGTGCCTGCCTAGCATACCCCAAGGCTCAAAGATAATCTCAACTGTGATTGAAGAGTAAATGAATTAATGAATGACCTTCTTGTCCGATGGATACTTTTTTCTTCATATTTCTTTGAGACAATCTTGTTCTGACCAAAAAACAATAGTCTGTGCCTTAAAGTGACTTTGCGTATCTCTGTTCTAATCCTGTCTGTGTTTTTGCGTGTGATACTCAAGCTGAATTCTGAGCTAAGTAATTCACATTTGAGAGAAAAACGGGATGGAAAGTCTGGTAGGCATTATAGTACACAAGAAAATGTCTACTATGCAAAATAAAGAAAAGAACACTCAAGGAGGCTGTCATGCTTCTCAGAATATCTTTGGGTTTATTGATACATTTCTTGATCTTTACAAGCTCACCCTTTATGTAGTTCCTTCTCCAGTTTGCAAAAATTTATTAAAATGACAGCAGTCTTGGAATGATCTTGGACTTTCAAAGATCACAGGATGGTTTTTATGTATAGTCATGACTTCCTCAAGTCAACTTTTAAATATGTTAAGGTCTGCACTTAACAGGAAAGAAATGTAGACTTCTGTTCAACCTAAAAGGATCACATAAGAATTAGGACTTACTTTGCAAACTCACTTTGCAAAATGAATTTGATTCCCCAGCAGCTCTCAACCAACTGCACTTTCAACTTACATCTCGATGTAAGACACTTGAAAAATTGTGATGCCTTTTGAGGTCATAATGCAGTGTTGGAAACAGAACTGCATTGTGGAAGAAGCCATGATGTTCAGGCGCTTTCATTCTTAAACCCTCTATTTCTTAATGGTCACTCTATTTAATGATGTTTCTTAAAAGATTCGTGGATGTTTACTGATACCCAACAGGGAAATTGTTGAGGGCTTTTTATTCTCTCCTTTAATTCAAAAATACTTATTTAAAAGGCAGCAGACACACATGATAGCAATGATAGCTAAAAGCGCCCTGAAGGAGATAAATTTGTGTTGAATGCTACTTGCTTGTCTTTTGTAAGATTCATAAGAGTACATTTCAAACTCTTTACAAGGATACAGTTGAGGTATTGATTATTTTAAAGCCTGGACAAGAAATGGTGATTAGAGTATTGAGAACCCTAAACTAGTGATGGACTATTTCCATGTATCTCTAATATCCAACCAAACCAATACTTCAAGATTTCTTATGTCTCAATGATTTATGCATTATTTATATCATTCTTTTCTGAGTTTCTGTTGGCTCTTCATTAAAATAAAACATAACCATAGATTATTTTCTTATACGGGCACGTATACTATGTTTTGCATGTATAAGAAATAACATACAACAAACATAAACACATCCAAAGATCTTTGATACTTGGCATTAAATGTTATCCCTTACAAATATCTCCCTAAAGGGCTCTTTGTCAGTTTTGAAAAGGGAGGCAAAACAATTTCAAGCAGCTATGTAAATATGTCAAGTAAAAATGAAGTTAATATTTATTTTAGAGGCATTTACCCTATTTAGGTGCACAAACATTTGACCATTTTTAGTCTTCCTTCAAATTGAATGACTTCCAAAGACCACAGAAATATTATTATGGGGAATGTTGTCAGTGGATATGTCTCAAAATGAAAAAGGGTATTGGAAGGGCATTTTAATTCTTGAGCAAATGCAGAGAAACTTTCAAATAATCTAAAGAAGAAGAAAAATCATCCCTGAACATAAATCAGTTAGGAAAAATTCATTCGAATTCCATCACTGGGTGATACTTTAATGGATCTCAGAGAGAAGCAAAACACAGTAATTAAAGATGAAAAGAAAGGCAAATTAAAGAATGCCAATAATATTAGTGTGGAAATGGGTACCTTGGATGAAGCAAGGCAAGAATTTAAATAAATTATTTTGTAATAGACCCATCTGTCTGCTCTGCAAAACTGCACTATAATCTGGCACAAATTTTTGTATGTTGGGCTGAGAAGAAGCTAAGAAATTGAAATTTTTCTCGTGAGCAGTAGGTAAACACTCTTTGTTCTCATTTGTCTTGAATTACAACTGATCATGATGGCTTGAGCATCTCAGTGAGTAATTTTCCAAGTCCAGGCTGCCAAATTCCAAAGGACAATACTTGTGATACATCCACTCATTTGCATCCTTTCATGACTCAAAACCAATCATCTGTAGTCGGTTATCCTAATGAGTCGAGAGTCTCAAATTCAATCATTATTACAGGTGATGTATGTAGCCTTACAGAATGTACGAAACATTTGCTTGGTGCAGATAAACTAGCATCATCTTATGTATTCAGATTTATAGGAATTACCTGCTCTACTAGTGCTTCTCCTTACCACCGTTTAGTCAACCACAGTCATAGAGCACCTATATCAGGCTCAGCTGTACCCAAGGCACAAGGGCCACAAAGATGAAAAGACAGGTTTGCCACCCTCAAGAAACTGCCTACATAGTGATAAAGATGGACATACAAACACATTACAACACAGTATTAACTGGTAGTAAAATAAAGGTAGATATAACAGCCTATGAATACAAGGAGGAGTTCTAAAGAAAGCTCCTCAAAGAGAATGATGTGCTAAATTTGTTTTAGGTCTCTAATATGACAATAATAATGACAGCAATAGCTGCAATTTATTGAGTGCCTCATACATTTTAGACACAGTGGTAAGCAGCTAGCTTGATTAATTTCATTTCATCCTTTTAATGACCCCAGGAGATAGTATTATTTTCTTCATTTACATAGGAGAAAACTTGAGCATGGAGAATTTAGGTAAGATTCCCACTGTCGCACAGCTAATGAGTGGAGCCAAGGCTCGAGTCAAAATCTGTCAATTGTCAAGCTGCTCTGTTCTTACAATATTTTTAACTTTTTATTTTGATATAATTTTGAAGAACTGCAAGAATAGTATAAAGAATTTCCATATGTCCTAATCTAGGTTCTTCAATTGTTAATATTTTTATCATATTTGCTGTATCAATATTCCTCTCAATAGATAGATAGATAGAAGATGGATACATCTATAATTTTGTAACTACATCTATAATTTTTCTTCTAAATCAGTTGAGAGTAAGTTTCCAGCGTGATGCCCCATTATCTCTAAATACTTCAGGGTTTATTTCTAGGAAGACAAGGATATTCTCTCATATGCTTGCACTATAATTACCAAAATCAGAAACTTAACAAAGATTATGTACACACACACACACACACACACACACACACACACATATATATACTTGTATGTATGTATTTTTTTCTTCTAGGAGTCAATAAATCAAGGATCGTGTGTTTCTTTTAGGTGTCATGTCTCTTTGGTCTCCTTTACTCTGGAAGAGTTCCTCAGTTCTTCTCTTTCATGACATTGACATTTTTAAAGAACACAGACCAGTTATTTTGATGCCTATTTTTTCAAATGGGAGCAGTCTGATGTTTCCTCATGATTAGATTCAGCTTGTGCATTTATTGGTAGGAATACCACAGAAGGGAGTTTGTGTACTCCAGAGCCTCATATCAGGAGGCTGTCGTGTCAGTTTGTTTCATTACTGGTAACATTAACTTTGATCATTTAGTGGAGGTGGTGTCCACCAGGTTTCTCCACTGTAAAGTTACTATTTTTCCTTTTATAATTAATAAGTGTTTTGTGGAGGGCATAAATACCCTATTCCCACAGCAAACGTTCACCCACTAGTTTTAGCATAATGACTGTTGACTGAATTAATTATTGGTTATGATATTTACCAAATGATAATTTCCTAATTCCATCATTTCTTCTGCATTCATTCATTGGAATTCTACTGTAACAAAGAGCCTTCCCTTCTCCCATTTTTTTCTATATCATTTATTCATATTTGTATGAACTCATGAGTTTGTATTCAGTGAGTTATAATTTGTTACTATCGTTATTTACTTTGCTGCTCCAATTGTCCTAAATTTGGGCAGAGTATCCCCTTCAAGCTTATTCCTGTGTTCTATGAACATGTCTCAATCATTCTTTGAGGCTACTTTCTGGCACCACCAAATTTTCCAGGTTCACTTGGACTTTCCCTGCCCCATCCCTGGAATCAACCATTTTTACAAAGTAAGTCTTTGTTCTTCACTGCTTCCCTTTTGTTTGTTTTTGTTTTTGTTTTTGAGACAGAGTCTCACTCTGTCACCCAGGCTGGAGTGCAGCGGTGTGATCTCGGCTCACTGCAACCTCCGCCTCCCAGGTTCAAGCAATTCTCTTGCTTCAGTCTCCCAAGTACCTGGGATTACTGGAAAGCGCCACCACGCCCAGCTAATTTTGTATTTTTAGTAGAGATGGGATTTCACCATGTTGGCCAGGCTGGTCTCGAACTACTGACCTCAGGTGATCCGTCTACCTCAGCCTCCCAAGGTGCTGGGATTACAAGCTTAACTGCTTCTCTTTTTGACCACTCACCGGTTTTTTGTTTTTATACATGGATAACACAGGTGTTTTAATATCCAGAAATATCTATTAAAGAGTCATTTTCACAACTACTACAATTATAATAAAAGCTGCACCAAGCTAGTTCGGAGTCAGTGTATAAGTCCTCAAATGCCTTTCAAATCCTCAAATAAAGGATGACTTGAGTCCTAGGAAAGATAAAAGGAAATATGAAGAAAAGGAGAGCAAGAAAAGGAAAAGAAAGATAAAATATATACAAGAAAAGTAATAAAAACAATTTGTTAGTACCTTCTCTGGGTCAGGCACTGAGATAAATACTTTCACATGTAACCTCTCACTATATTCCTGCAACAGCTTCTTGGAAAAGAAATTATGATCCTCACTTAATAGATAAGAAAATAGAGGTTCAGATATTTCTATGACTTTACCTAACCTACACAGTAGGTAAGAAAACTAGGAATTGAATCTATCCGTGTCATATTCTAAACCAATCTTGTACCTGGTGCTGCCTTTATACAATTTTAATGCTAATTCATGTCCTATATCCTATTTTTGTAGTCCTATATCCTATTTTTGTAATTGGCCAGCCCTCTACAACTTACATAGTAGCTCTTTATTTACCCATTTCCCAAATACCAGAACACCTTATGCTCAGACAGATGATAAAGACTTTCCTTAGCTCTAAGAACAACCTGTTACAGCATACATCTTTCCCTGAATTAGGATTCACCACCTGCTTTTTAGGTTGGCTTTATTTGCTGAACTGTGAGGCACAGTATTCTAGAAGCACTTGACATACCACAGACAGCCTTTATTCAGCAGGCTATTATTAATGCCTCTTGTAATAAACACTATACCTGGTGTCTCCATTTCTTAAGGGCTATAAATGTTGGGGGAGAAATGCAGTTCACTCATCAGTAGGCAATTTGAGACCATAAGGAATTTCCATTTCTCTAACAGGGCAAAAATAAAATGTCTGATTATATAGCAAAGCAAGGTGATGGTTATGGTGTTTACTCTGTGCATGAATCTATTACAGATCAAAACCAAGATGCATCCACAGATACGTACAAGTAAGTTAAAGCAGTCAGGATTCAGGCAGGCTAATGTGAACCTTATGGTAAAATATGAAGAAATACTCCCCAATAGAGCAACTGGGAATAGCTAATAGCTAATATTTGCACATTTTAAAAAGCCTATTCATGTACATTTGCATCTCACGTAACCCTCTGAAGGAGAATGGATGCATCATTTCATCTTCATTTTACAAGGGGAAATATTGGGATCAGAGAAATGAAGTAACTTCCCCAAGATCTCACAGCGAATCAACTGGCAGTTGATACTCAAACTCTGCCTAGTGCTCTTTATACTACACTATGATTAAACTTCTTCCAATTAGATTTTTGCTAGAACCTCACTAGGCTTAATCAAATCAATGTGAGCAGATGGGAAGTAAAGGAAATCCATTCCCACTTTATTCCTTGAAGCCTGTTAATAAAGTACAGAAGAAGCAACATGGGGCTCTTTCTTCTATCCTTTTAGTCAAAATTATGTTTTGTCCTTTAGTAGGTCACGATACGATATATGAAATATATTTTGACCAAATTAATCCTACTCTGTGTCAATTAGAAACAAGATGCATTCTTGCAACTTTACCATTTATTATTTTTAAATTTTTTTTAAGTTTTCTGGTATATAGTAGGTGTATATATTTGTGGTATACCTTAGATGTTTTGATACAGGCATGCAATGTGTAATGATCACACCATGGAGAATGGGGTATCTATCCCCTCAAGCATTTATTCTTTGTGTTACAAACAATCCAATTATACTGTTCTAGTTATTTTAAAATGTACAATTAAATTATTGACTGTAGTCACCCTGTTGTGCTATCAAATGGTAGATTTTATATATTCTTTGTAATTATTTTTATAACCATTAACCATCCCCACCTCCCCCCAACCCTCAACCCCCGACTAGAGGTTTCCCAGCCTCTGATAACCATCCTTCCACTCCATGGGTTCACTTGTTTTGATGTTTGGATACCACAAATAAGTGACAACATGCGGTGTTTGTCTTTCTCTGCCTGACTTATTTCACTTAACATAATGACCTCCAGTTCCATCCACGTTTTTGCAAATGACATCTATCATTTATTATTAAAACAAATCCATAGTGACAGATATATTGTTACTCCTATTTTTTAGATAAGAGTCCTGAAGCTCAGATGACACAGCTGATAACAGGGAAGCCAGGACAGAATCTCATTGTTTTGAACACCAAAACCCGTTCCCTTGACAACTTGGCTATACTACACTATTCGAATGTTGCAGATACTGTGGTAGGTATGAGTCTACCATTGATCCCCAATCCTTTCTCACAAAGGAAGTCAGGGAATTACCTCCAACCAGGAGGGCCTGGTCTCTTTTTCCATCATTCATTTGGATGTGCTGCCGTGGTCCCTCTCTCCTATCTTCTGCAGACTTCTGAGTGCAATTAAAACATGAATTTTCCTTTTGCGGGAACCTGTTAGTTCTCAACATTTAGTCCATATAAGTATCACCTGGAGGACTTGTAAATACACTAAATTTTGGGCCTTATCCCCCAGAGATTCTGATTTAATAGGTCTTGAAGGAAGGATGGAGCAGGTCTTGAGACAATGCTTTTCTTTCTTTTGTTTATTTTCAAACCAAGTTAGTTCTGTCTTATTGTTGAAAATTTATTCTTTTTTATTTTAAATTCAGGAGTACATGTGCATGTTTGTTACATGGGTATATTAGGTGATGATGCTGACGTTTGGGCTTCTAATTATCCTGTCACCCAATTAGTGAACACTGTATTTGATAAGAAGTTTTTCAACCCCCTGCCCTCAATCACTTTTGGAATCTCTAGTGTTTATTCCCATATTTGTGTCCGTGTGTACCCAGTGTTTAAGTCCCACCTATAAGTGAGAATAAGCGGTATTTGGCTTTCTGTTCCTGCATTAGTTCACTTAGGGTAATAGCCTCCGGCTTCATCCATGTTGCTGCAAAGAATATTATTCCATTCTTTTTTATGGCTATGTAGTATTCCAACTTATATACATACCACAATTTCCTTTTCCAGTCCACTGTTGATGGGTACTTGGGTTGATTCCATGTCTTTGCTATTGTGAATAGCAATGCAATAAACATATGAGTGCAAGTGTCTTTTTCGTAGAACAATTTATTTTCCTTTGGGTATATACCCAGTAATGGCATTGCTGGGACAAATGGTAGTTCTATTTTTAGTTATCTGAAAAATTTCCATACTGTTGTCCATAGAGGCTGCACTAATTTGCATTCCCATCAATAGTGTATAAGCATTCCCTCTTCTCTGCAACCTCACCAACATCCATTATTTTTTGACTTTTTAATAGCCATTCTGACTGGTGTGAGATGGTATCTCATTGTGGTTTTGATTTGCATTTCTCTGATGATTAGTGATGTTGAACATTTTTCATGTTTGTTGTCTGCTTGTATGTCTTCTTTTGAGAACTGTCTGTTCATATTCTTTGCTTACTTTTTAATGGGGTTATTTGTTTCTTTATTGTCAATTTGTTCAAGTTCCTTATAGGTTCTGGATACTAGTCCTTTGTCAGATGCATAGTTAGCAAATATTTTCTCCCATTCCGTAGGTTGTCTGCTTACTCTGTTGATAGTTTGTTTTGCTGGGCAGAAGCTCTTTAGTTTAATTAGGGTCCAGTGATCAATTTTTGTTTCTGTTGCATTTGATTTTCATAACTTGGTCATAAATTACTTGTCCAGGCAAAGAGATAGTGCTTTCTAACAGATTCTCAGATGATATTTATATTACAAGTCCAGAAACCACATTTTGCAATCCACTGCTTTAGATTGGGAGGAAAACAGAAAGTCAATTTACCTCATTCCCTATCTCATAGTACTCCTGTTGGGAACTGAAATCGTTTGACAATTTTTTTTTTTTTTTTTTTTTTTGAGACAGAGTCTTGCTCTTTCGCCCATGCTAAAGTGCAGTGGTGCGATTTCGGCTCACTGCAACCTCTGCCTCCCGGTTTCAAGCGATTCTCCTGCCTCAGCCTCCCAACTACAGGCACAGGCTACCACACCCAGCTTATTTTTGTATTTTTAGTATAGATGGGGTTTCATCATGTTGGCCAGGCTGGTCTTGAACTCCTAACCTCAGGTGATACGCCCACCTGGGCCTCCCAAAGTGCTGGGATTACAGGCGTGAGCCACGGCACCCAGCCTGTCTGACAATTTTTTAAAAAATCATCCATCGTATCTCAGCAAATTTTTAGGCACTGTGTATAAAAAGATAAGCTATTACCCATGATTTCAAGGAGGTCATAACTTGATAGGAGACAGGCATGTAAACAAATAAATGGAATAGAGTATGACAAGGCCTATGATGGGGTAAAACAAGATATAATCAGAGGACAAAGAAGTGGTGACTTCTCTCCTTAGAGGTTACATAAAGGTACGTAAACAGAAGGTAACAGTTAAAAAAGAGTCTTCAATGTAGGTACAAGAGGTACATTCTAGGTGATCGGAAGTATGTTCAAAGTCACAGAAATATAGTATTTGGGGAGTTAGAGGGAATTGATAGGTTTTTTTGTATGGTTTAAATGCTGAATATGCTGGTTAACAGCAAGAGAGATATTAAAGGAATATGATTGAACAAACAGTGAGATTGGGTCTTGTGTGTAACCTAACATACCCTTTTCCTAGGGTTGGGAAAGTAATGTTAGTGTTTCCATCAGTGGAGAGCATTATAAGACGTGAGCTTTAGAAATATCACTGTGGAAAGTGGTTGGGAAGATGAAAGAACATGGTGACAAAGGAGCACAAAGACTCTTGAACAAAAAGAGTGATACTGTGGACTGGGATACCAAATATTTTAATACTGGGTATATTTCTGCCTAATTTGGAAATGCCTGTACACATTGTATTGTAATTATTTCTTTATATGTCTCTCTTACACAGTAGACTGTAACTCCTTTGACATCTATTATCGGTACCCGTGATAGGGCCTGGCTTTAGTAAGAATTGAAGAAATGTGGACTGAATGAATATATAAATGAATGAAACCTGTATACAATTTATTTTCCTTTGGACTTCAATCTCATTCTATTTAAAATGAGGAGAATTCATTTTATTCTCCCCAGCATGTAACAAATGAATGAATGAATATTAATAAAGTGATACGTGATTATTAAGGAAGCAAGTCGAAATGAGTAGCATTCTGGTGATGGGATTTATCACACAAATGATAACCAGTTGAACCTTCATTTATTTGAATAAAATTTCTGAAATTATCTCCAAATTGCTTTGGTATAGATAGCTGGACTAAATTAAAAGTGTTACTACAGAAGTCTTCAAATGTCCATTAATTCTTCTGTGCAAGTAGGTTAATTTGCAGAAGATTTACCTATTCCTATATGAAACCAAGGCACTGCTGGTTCTGTCAGATAATTTTCTCAATTACATTTCTAGGCAATTAAATAAATTGCAGAAAATACACTTGATTTCTTCTGGAAACTCCCATTCTGAAGGGAGTGAGATCGTCACCCATAAGAGACTATGTGTCTGTGGTCTAAAAGGAAATTTTAAATAACTTTAAAAACAACTGATTTTAATCTTATGTACTTACTTTCCTGATCAATTCTTTTCCTAACACCATGGTGTTTTCAAAACCAAGACATCTTCATGCTTCCGTGGTTTTACTTGTTCCTCCTATTGACAATGAAAAAGTTCAAGGATGCAAATTCTAAATAACAAAAAGAAATAATAACATGAGAATTTGGCCAGGCATGGTGACTCATGCCTGTAATTCAGCACTTTGGGAGGCCGAGGGAGGCAGATCCCTTGAGGTCAGGAGTTCAAGACCAGCCTCTCCAACATGGTGAAACCCCTGTCTCTACTAAAAGATGTTGATATAATACTATACTATCAATTTGTGTGATTAACCATATTAAGAGTTAAAATAAGAAAACATAAATGTCTTGACACGGTAAAAGTTGATAAAATTGAATTCTGTGTTACAAAATAAAACATTGCAATCCTTGAATAAGTCAAAACTGGTCACAATACCAAGCTCTTCGTGCCCTTGGTAGCTGGTCACCATAAATTTCCATCCCTTGGTGACCTCAGACAGCAGAAAGAACAGCAAGCACCACTTCAGTGTGCTTTCACCCAGGCACAGAAAGATCCTGTCCTTCCAGTTTTTTAAAGAGCTGTGGCAGGGCTCTAATGACCACTCCATACCTATCCACAAGAGAAGTTCTAGGTGGTTTGAGGATACTAAAAGGGGAGATAATGGGCAAGTCTGGCTTACAGAAAGAATTTGTATCCACATAAAGAGGGTACAGCATGAGAATGTTAACAGGGTAACTGTCCATGTTATTCACCACAGCACAGGGCTAATATCAGAGGCTAAAGCAGCAAAGAAATTCTTGAACACAAAGCCAAATCTCAAGAAGTTAGAAAAGAGAAAGGCAAATACAAGAACTTAATGAGAAAATGCATAAAGGTAATCTTCTATGCAACCATGGTTAAACTGTGTATTTTTAGCCGATTGTGTGTTCCTTTGGAAATTGGCAATAATATTTCACTGGAGTGTTTCATTTACTCTCCCATTTGATAAAATGCAGAGAAAACCTTGGGGTTATCTGGAATATGACAAAGAGGTCATTATATTTCTTTTTTTATTCTGTATTTTAAAATATTTTCCACATTTTATTATCTTTCCAGATTTTATAAGTAATCATATGCCAGAGTCCAAATTACTACAATGAAATTTAGAATGCTTTGTATCATACTTTTAAAAATTCTATATATTAACTGATACTGTATTGAATTTATATTGATTCCTAAATACTTAAAATTGTTATAGTATCAAAACTAGCTATTAAAGATAAAATCCATTTATAATTTTTTATAATTAGTCCTTCAGTGGAATTTTAATTTTTCTTCCATCAGTTGCATATGTATATTATATATTTTATGTATAACAGATGACATATATGATAACCATATATAGAACATACATGTAACAAACATACCTATATATGTTACAGGTATTTTTCTCAATTTGCTGTCACTATAAATGGGATTTTCTTCCCCATTATGTACTCTAATTTGTTAATGTTTACGTACAGGAAAGTTAATACTTTTTTGTATTGAATTTTATACTTAGCCTCTTTATAATATTCCTGCCTCGATCTAACAGTTTTACAAATACAAAAGAATGCTACCTGGAGTGATTGTTTTACTTCTGCCTTTCCCATATGTATGCTTCTAATTTCTTCCTCTTATTTAATTACATTGGTGAATACTTTCAGAGCAACAGTTTGAAACATTGATGATAACTGCATCATTGTCTTATTTCTGATTTAATGTAACGTCTTCTAGTGCTTACTCTTGTGTTAGAGATATTTTTTTCATCATGCCAGGGAAGATTCCATGAACTCATGTTATATTATTATTTTTAGCTTGTTGTGTTGGTTTCATTTAAAAACGTATGTTGAAATTTGTCAGGTCAAGTAATTATTGATACCATAATAGATTTTATACGTGATGTACAATATGGTAATTGTATTAGCATGCTTAAATATCCCTGCATTTCATGCATAGTACGTTAATTTTTAATACACATTTTTATGATGTTTTGTATGTACATAAATGTGTATAAAAATATATTTGGGCGATTTCATTTCTTCATGAAACATCTTTTAAATATTTTCAAGATTCCTTTTTTTTTTATCCCTTAGAAAACAAATACTGCCAAATCATCTGTTCTCCATCCACTTGAATAGCCTTGATAAACTTCTTAATTTCTTCCATGAATATTGGTCTTTCCTGGTTCACAATTTCTGTGAATTAAATTTTGGTGATTTGTATTTTCTTTTTTTTGTTGTGTTTTTTTCAATTCTAAAAGTTGCATTGTCTTTTTTTTATCTAAGTTTTAGGGTACATGAGCACAACGTGCAGGTTTGTTACATATGTATACATGCGCCATGTTGGTGTGCTGCACCCATTAACTCCTCATTTAACATTAGGTGTATCTCCTAATGTTATCCCTCCACCCTCCCCCCACCCCACAACAGTCCCCGGTGTGTGATGTTCCCCATCCTGTGTCCATGTGTTCTCATTGTTCAATTCCCACCTATGAGTGAGAACATGTGGTGTTTGGTTTTTTGTCCTTGCGATAGTTTGCTGAGAATGATGGTTTCCAGCTTCATCCATGTCCCTACAAACGACAGGAACTCATCATTTTTTATGGCTGCATAGTATTCCATGGTGTATACGTGCCATATTTTCTTAATCCAGTCTATCATTGTTGGACATTTGGGTTGGTTCCAACTCTTTGCTATTGTGAATAGTGATGCAATAAATATACGTGTGCATGTGTCTTTATAGCACCATGATTTATAATCCTTTGGGTATATACCCAGTAATGGGATGGCTGGGTCAAATGGTATTTCTAGTTCTAGATCCCTGAGGAATCGTCACACCGACTTCCACAATGGTTGAACTAGTTTACAGTCCCACCAACAATGTAAAAGTGTTCCTATTTCTCCACATCCTCCAGCACCTTTTGTTTCCTGACTTTTCAATAATCACCATTCTAACTGGTGTGAGATGGTATCTCATTGTGGTTTTGATTTGCATTTCTCTGATGGCCAGTGATGATGAGCATTTTTTCATGTGTCTTTTGGCTGCATAAATGTCTTCTTTTGAGAAGTGTCTGTTCATATCCTTTGCCCACTTTTTGATGGGGTGGTTTGTTTTTTTCTTATAAATTTGTTTGAGTTCATTGTAGATTCTGGATATTAGCCATTTGTCAGATGAGTAGGTTGCAAAAATTTTCTCCCATTTTGTAGGTTGCCTTTTCAATCTGATAGTAGTTTCTTTTGCTGTGCAGAAAGTCTTTAGTTTAATTAGATCCGATTCGTCAATTTTGACTTTTGTTGCCATTGCTTTTGGTGTTTTAGACATGAAGTCCTTGCCCATGCCTTTGTCCTGAATGGTATTGCCTAGGTTAATAACATGGTATCTTCTAGGGTTTTTATGGTTTCAGGTCTAACATTTAAGTCTTTAATCCATCTTGAATTGATTTTTGTATAAGGTGTAAGGAAGGGATCCAGTTTCAGCTTTCTACATATGGCTAGCCAGTTTTCCTAGCACCATTTATTAAATAGGGAATCCTTTCCCCATTTCTTGTTTTTGTCAGGTTTGTCAAAGATCACATAGTTGTAGATATGCAGCATTATTTCTGAGGGCTCTGTTCTGTTCCATTGGTCTATATCTCTGTTTTGGTACCAGTACCATGCTGTTTTGGTTACTGTAGCCTTGTAGTATAGTTTGAAGTCAGGTAGTGTGATGCCTCCAGCTTTGTTCTTTTGGCTTAGGATTGACTTGGCCATGCGGGCTCTTTTTTGGTTCCATATGAACTTTAAAGTAGTTTTTTCCAATTCTGTGAAGAAAGTCATTGGTAGCTTGATGGGGATGGCATTGAATCTATAAATTACCTTGGGCAGTATAGCCATTTTCACGATATTGATTCTTCCTACCCATGAGCATGGAATGTTCTTCCATTTGTTTGTATCCTCTTTTATTTCCTTGAGCAGTGGTTTGTAGTTCTCCTTGAAGAGGTCCTTCACATCCCTTGTAAGTTGGATTCCTAGGTATTTTATTCTCTTTGAAGCAATTGTGAATGGGAGTTCACTCATGATTTGGCTCTCTGTTTGTCTGTTATTGGTGTATAAGAATGCTTGTGATTTTTGCACATTGATTTTGTATCCTGAGACTTTGCTGAAGTTGCTTATCAGCTTAAGGAGATTTTGGGCTGAGACGATGGGGTTTTCTAGATATACAATCATGTCATCTGCAAACGGGGACAGTTTGACTTCCTCTTTTCCTAATTGAATACCCTTTATTTCTTTCTCCTGCCTGATTGCCCTGGCCAGAACTTCCAACACTATGTTGACTAGGAGTGGTGAGAGAGGGCATCCCTGTCTTGTGCCAGTTTTCAAAGGGAATGCTTCCAGTTTTTGCCCATTCAGTACGATATTGGCTGTGGGTTTGTCATAGATAGCTCTTATTGTTTTGAGATACGTCCCATCACTTCCTAATTTATTGAGAGTTTTTAGCATGAAGGGTTGTTGAATTTCATCAAAGGCCTTTTCTGCATCTATTGAGATAATCATGTGGTTTTTGTCTTTGGTTCTGTTTATATGCTGGATTACATTTATTGATTTGCATATGTTGAACCAGCCTTGCATCCCAGGGATGAAGCCCACTTGATCACGGTGGATAAACTTTTTGATATGCTGCTGGATTCCGTTTGCCAGTATTTTACTGAGGATTTTTGCATCGATGTTCATCAGGGATATTGGTCTAAAATTCTCTTTTTTTGTTGTGTCTCTGCCCGGCTTTGGTATCAGGATGATGCTGGCCTCATAAAATGAGTTAGAGAGGATTCCCTCTTTTTCTACTGATTGGAATAGTTTCAGAAGGAATGGTACCAGCTCCTCCTTGTACCTCTGGTAGAATTTGGCTGTGAATCCATCTGGTCCTAGACTTTTTTTTGTTGCTAGGCTATTAATTATTGCCTCAATTTCAGAGCCTGTTATTGGTCTATTCAGAGATTCAACTTCTTCCTGGTTTAGTCTTGGGAGAGTGTGTGTGTCGAGGAATTTATCCATTTCTTCTAGATTTTCTAGTTTATTTGCATAGAGGTGTTTATAGTATTCTCTGATGGTAATTTGTATTTCTACGGTATCGGTGCTGATATCCCCTTTATCATTTTTTATTGCGTCTATTTGATTCTTCTCTCTTCTTTATTAGTCTTGCTAGCAGTCTATCAGTTTTGTTGATTTTTTCAAAAAACCAGCTCCTGGATTCATTGATTTTTTTGAAGGGTTTTTGTGTCTCTATCTCCTGCAGTTCTGCTCTGATCTTAGTTATTTCTTGCCTTCTGCTAGCTTTTGACTGTGTTTGCTCTTGCTTCTTTAGTTCTTTTAATTGTGATGTTAGGGTGTCAATTTTAGATCTTTCCTGCTTTCTCTTGTGGGCATTTAATGCTATAAATTTCCCTCTAAACACTGCTTTGAATGTGTCCCAGAGATTCTGGAATGTTGTGTCTTTGTTCTCATTGGTTTCAAAGAACATCTTTATTTCTGCCTTCTTTTCGTTATGTACCCAGTAGTCATTCAGGAGCAGGTTGTTCAGTTTCCATGTAGTTGAGCGGTTTTGAGTGAGTTTCTTAATCCTGAGTTCTAGTTTGATTGCACTGTGATCTGAGAGACAGTTTGTTATAATTTCTGTTCTTTTACATTTGCTGAGGAGTGCTTTACTTCCAACTATGTGGTCAATTTTGGAATAGGTGTGGTGTGGTGCTGAAAAGAATGTCTATTCTGTTGATTTGGGGTGGAGAGTTCTGTAGATGTCTATTAGGTCCACTTGGTGCAGAGCTGAGTTCAATTCCTGGATATCCTTGTTAACTTTCTGTCTCATTGATCTGTCTAATGTTGACAGTGGGGTGTTAAAGTCTCCCATTATTACTGTGTGGGAGTCTAAGTCTCTTTGTAGGTCTTTAAGCACTTGCCTTATGAATCTGCGTGCTCCTGTATTGGGTGCATATATATTTAGGATAGTTAGCTCTTCTTGTTGAATTGATCCCTTTACCATTATGTAATGGCCTTCTTTGTCTCTTTTGATCTTTGTTGGTTTAAAGTCTGTTTTATCAGAGACTAGGATTGCAACCCCTGCCTTTTTTTGTTTTCCATTTGCTTGGTAGATCTTCCTCCATCCCTTTATTTTGAGCCTATGTGTGTCTCTGCACGTGAGATGGGTTTCCTGAATACAGCACACTGATGGGTCTTGACTCTATCCAATTTGCCAGTCTGTGTCTTTTAATTGGAGCATTTAGCCCATTTACAATTAAGGTTAATATTGCTATGTGTGAATTTGATCCTGTCATTATGATGTTAGCTGGTTATTTTGCTCGTTAGTTGATGCCGTTTCTTCCTAACCTCCATGTTCTTTACAATTTGGCATGTGTTTGCAGTGGCTGGTACTGGTTGTTCCTTTCCATGTTTAGTGCTTCCTTCAGGAGCTCTTTTAGGGCAGGCCTGGTGGTGACAAAATCTCTCAGCATTTGCTTGTCTGTAAAGGATTTTATTTCTCCTTCACTTATGAAGCTTAGTTTGGCTGGATATGAAATTCTGGGTGGGAACTTCTTTTCTTTAAGAATGTTGAATATTGGCCCCCACTCTCTTCTGGCTTGTAGAGTTTCTGCTGAGAGATCCGCTGTTAGTCTCATGGGCTTCCCTTTGTGGGTAACCTGACCTTTTTCTCTGGCTGCCCTTAACCTTTTTTCCTTCATTTCAACTTTGGTGAATCTGACAGTTATGTGTCTTGGAGTTGCTCTTCTCGAGGAGTATCTCTGTGGCATTTCTCTGTATTTCCTGAATTTGAATGTTGGCCTGCCTTGCTAGGTTGGGGAAGTTCTCCTGGATAATATCCTGCAGAGTGTTTTCCAACTTGGTTCCATTCTTCCCGTCACTTTCAGGTACACCAGTTAGACGTAGATTTGGTCTTTTCACATAGTGCCATATTTTTTGGATGCTTTGTTCGTTTCTTTTTATTCTTTTTTCTGTATACTTCTCTTCTCACTTCATTTCATTCATTTCATCTTCCATCACTGATACCCTTTCTTCCAGTTGATCGAATCGGCTGCTGAGGCTTGTGCATGCTTAACATAGTTCTCATGCCGTGGTTTTCAGCTCTATCAGGTCCTTTAAGGACTTCTCTGCATTGGTTATTCTAGTTAGCCATTCATCTAATTTTTTTCTAAGGTTTTTAACTTCTTTGCCATGGGTTCGAACTTCCTCCTTTAGCTTGGAGTAGTTTGATCATCTGAAGCCTTCTTCTCTCAACTCGTCATAGTCATTCTCCATCCAGCTTTGTTCCATTGCTGGTGAGGAGCTGCGTTCCTTTGGAGGAGGAGAGGTGCTCTGATTTTTAGAGTTTCCAGTTTTTCTGCTCTGTTTTTTCCCCATCTTTGTTGTTTTATCTACCTTTTGTCTTTGATGATGGGACGTACAGATGGGGTTTTGGTGTGGATTTCCTTTCTGTTTGTTAGTTTTCCTTCTAACAGTCAGGACCCTCAGCTGCAGGTCTGTTGGAGTTTGCTGGAGGTCCACTCCAGACCCTGTTTGCCTGGGTATCAGCAGAGGCTACAGAACAGCAGTTATTGGTGAACAGCAGGTGTTGCTGCCTTATCGTTCCTCTGGAAGTTTTGTCTCAGAGGAGTACCTGGCCACGTGAGGTGTCAGTCTGCCCCTACTGGGTGGTGCCTCCTAGTTAGGCTACTCATGGGTCAGATACCCACTTGAGGAGGCAGTCTGTCCGTTCTCAGATCTCTGGCTGCGAGCTGGGAGAACCACTACTTTCTTCAAAGCTGTCAGATAGGGACATTTAAGTCTGTAGAGGTTTCTGCTGCCTTTTGTTTGTCTGTGTCCTGCCCCCAGAGGTGGAGCCTACAGAGGCAGGCAGGCAGGCCTCCTTGAGCTGCGGTGGGCTCCACCCAGTTTGAGCTTCCTGTTTACCTACTCAAGCCTCGGCAATGGCGGGCGCCCCTTCCCCAGCCTCGCTGCCGCCTTGCAGTTTGGTCTCAGACTGCTGTGCTAGCAATGAGCGAGGCTCCGTGGGCATAGGACACTCTGAGCCAGGCGCGGCATATAATCTCCTGGTGTGCCATTTGCTAAGACTGTTGGAAAAGCGCGGTATTAGGGTGGGAGTGACCCGATTTTCCAGGTGCTGTCTGTCACCCCTCTCTTTCACTAGGAAAGGGAATTCCCTGAACCTTGGTGCTTCCTGGGTGAGGTGATGCCTGGCCTTGCTTCGGCTCACGCTCGGTGCGCTGCACCCACTGTCCTGTACCCACTATCCAACACTCCCCGGTGAGATGAACCTGGTACCTCAGTTGGAAATGCAGAAGTCACCTGTCTTCTGTGTCACTCAGCTGGGAGCTGTAGATGAGCTGTTCCTGTTCACCCATCTTGGCTCTGCCTATATTTTCTTACAATCATCAGTTTTATCTAAGTTCTTTAATTTATTTTAATGGAGGTTGGCAAAATGCTGTAATTCTTTTTATTTTTCTCTAGTTCTATTTCCTCGTTATATCTTCTTTGTTTACATTCTCTTCTTTCTTCAATTAGGCTGTAGAGTAATTGATCTAATAAAGCTTATTGAGAGTCAACTTTATATTTTATTCATTCCTTCTGTGCTTTTCTGTTTCATTCATTTATATTTTCACATCCTTTCTGTTTTCTTCAGACTTATTTTATTGTTTGCTTCCTAGCTTCATGAGTTGAAGGCTTGTTTAATTAACTTAAATTTTATCCTCTTTATTAAAATAAGTACTTAAGGCAATAGGTGCTATCCTGACTTAATTTTAGATATACCTCATATATTTTGATAAAAAATTTTCCCTTGCAGGGCGCAGTGGCTCACGCCTGTAATCCCAGAACTTTGGGAGGCCGAGGTGGGTGGATCACGAGGCCAGGAGATCGGGACCATCCTGACTAACAGGGTGAAACCCCATCTGTGCTAAAAATACAAAATATTAGCGTGACGTGGTGGCAGGCGCCTGTAGTCCCAGCTACTCGGGAGGCTGAGGCAGGAGAATGGCCTGAACCCGGGAGGCAGAGCTTGCAGTGAGCCGAGATTGCACCACTGCACTCCAGCTTGGGCAACAGAGCGAGACTCTGTATCAAAAAAAAAAAAAATTCCTTTATGGTTATTGACTAAGGGTGTGACATTTTACCTTTGATTTATTCTTTAAACCAAAATTTAAGTGAGAGTTTAAAATTTTCCAGCTGGAGACTTAAGAAAACTTACAATAATCGAAATGAAACAATGCAACAACAAAAACAGAAGGATGGGATTTTTTTTTAATTTTACTTTAAGTTCCAGGATACAAGTGTAGAATGTGTAGGTTTGTTACATGTGTATATGTGTGCCGTGGTAGTTTCTGCACCTATCAACCCATCATCTAGGTTTTAAGCCCCACATGCATTAGCAGTTTGTCCTAATGCTCTCTCTCCCCTCATTGTCCCCCCCACCCCCGACTGGCCCCGCTGTGTGTTATTATCCTCCCTGTGTCCATGTGTTCTCACTGTTCAGCTCTCATTTATAAGTGAGAACATGGGATGTTTGGTTTTCTGTTCCTGTGTTAGTTTGCTGAGGATGATGGCTTCCAGCTTTATTCATATCCCTTCAGAGGACATGATCTCATTCCTTTTCATGGCTACGTAGTATTCCGTGGTGTATATGTACCACATTTTCTTTATCCAGTCTGTCACTGATGGGCATTTGGGTTGGTTCCAAGTCTTTGCTGTTGGAAATAGTGCTGCAATAAACATACATGTGTGCATGTGTCTTTATAGTAGCATGTGCCTTTGTAGTAGAATGATTTATAATCCTTTGGGTATATACCCAGTAATGGGATTGCTGGGTCAAATCGTATTTCTGGTTCTAGATCCTTGAGGAATCACCACACTGTCTTCCACAACGGTTGAACTAATTTATATTCAGACCAACAGTGTAAAAGCATTCCTATTTCTCCACATCCTTTCCAGCATCTGTTGTTTCCTGACTTTTTAATAATCGCCATTCTGACTGGCATGGGATGGTGTCTCGTTGTGGTTTTGATTTGTGTTTCTCTAATGATCAGTGATGTTGAGCTTTTTTCGTATGTTTTTTGGCCGCATAAATGTCTTCCTTTGAAAAGTTTCTGTTCGTATCCTTTGCCCACTTTTTGATGGGGTTGTTTTTTTTTTTCTTGTAAATTTGTTTAAGTTCCTTGTGGATTCTGGATGTTAGATGTTTGTCAGGTGAGTAGATTGCAAAAATTTTCTCCCATTCCATAGGTTCCCTGTTCAGTCTGATGATAATTTCTTTTGCTTTGCAGAAGTTCTTTAATTAGATCCCATTTCTCAATTTTGTCTTCTGTTGCAATTGCTTTGGGCATTTTTGTCATGAAGTCTTTGCCCATGCCTATGTCCTGAATGGTATTGCCTAGGTTTTCTTCTAGGGTTTTTATGGTTTTGGGTTTTACATGTAAGTCTTTAATCCATCTTGAGTTAATTTTTGTATAAGGTATAAGGAAGGGGTCCAGTTTCAGTTTTCTGCATATGGCTCGCCAGTTTTCTCAACACCATTTATTAAATGGGGAATCCTTCCTCCATTGCTTGTTTTTGTCTGGTTTGTCGAAGATCAGATGGTTGTAGATGTGTGGTGTTATTTCTGAGGTTTCTATTCTGTTCCATTGGTCTATATGTCTGTTTTGGTACCACTACCATGCTGTATTGTATACTGTAGCCTTGTAGTATAGTTTGAAGTGAGGTAGCATGATCCCTCCAGCTTTGTTCTTTTTGTTTAGGATTGTGTTGGCTATACAGGCTCTTTTTTGGTTCCATATGAAATTTATAGTGTTTTTCTCCAATTCTGTGAAGAATGTCAATGGTAGTTTGATGGGAATAGCAGTGAATCTATAAGTTACTTTGGGCAGTATGGCCGTTTTAATGGTATCGATTCTCCCTATCCATGAGGATGGAATGTTTTTTCTTTTGTTTGTGTCCTCTTTTATTTCCTTGAGCAGTGGTTTGTAGTTCTCCTTGAAGAGGTCCTTCACATCCACTGAGGGATTCTTATGCATTCAGCCTGTCAGCCTAAAATCTTTAGCATTGGCCATGTGGTGTGGCTTGCCCTGGGGTCCTGTACTCTCTAGGATTCTTTGGTTCCAGAAATTGATCATCTATATTCATGTTTGTGTCAGACATGGCTTGAGTCATTCAGAAACATGGGGTCACTCCTTCTACCTCATTCCATCACTAGAAAGTGACATTTCTTTAGTGAAAGAAGAAAAGCTGATTCAAGAATCCTTTTGTTGAGTTTCCCCAAGGCCTCTGCTAGTCTTCTTATAAAGACCACAATACATTTTCATGGGTTTGTACAGCAGAGTGGCATAGGGAGGGATGTATGAGGTTAAGAAAGAGTAACAGCTCAAACATCTCATTCTCCTGCCAATACTCTAAAATTCTCTTGCCTTCATTCCAGCGTTATTATGAGCAGTGGATGAAATGACAAGAGCCGTAAAAAGCCCCTATTGTGACTTCCTTGATTCTCCTCTTTGACTCTGTTTGACTCTCCCACTGACTTCCTAGGGAAGATGTCAGGAGTTGGGTTCTGGGATTAAAATTAGATTGGGTGGGGAGTTTTAGCCAAAGTTTCTGGGAATAGGAAATCCTGGAAGTTAAGGGGAGATAAAGTTGTTCAGAAAACAGAAAGACTTAAGGAAATTAAGATCAACTGTTAAATCCACATTTCAGAGCAAGGCTTTGAGGAACAAAATAGATAAAGGAGAGCAATAAAGCAGTATTTCCTGAACAGTTGACAGAAAATTGTCCTGGATTCCCCTTCTTGAACATCATTTTTAAAATTTTTTTAAATTTTATTTATTTATCTATTTATTTATTTATTTATTTAGGCTTCTGGCTTCATGGTGCCAGGGAGGATTTATTCTGAAGATGGTTATTAACTGAAGCAAATTGTCCTATAAGATTCAAATGAAATTAATTGCCTCCAATTCCAGCTCACATATTTTAGGAGACCTTCAGTCAATCTCAGATTTTCTAGGGATCCTTGGAAAGTACCATATTTTGTTTCTGAGGGACTCTGGCTTTCAAAATTTTTTTATTGCTATTTAAGGATTGTCTTTATTTTATACATATAGACTCTGCTCTGTATAACATCTCCCCAAAGGTGATATATAGCCCTTCTCCTTAATTTACCTCAAAACCTCTCACCCAGGGCTTTTGTATATATGGGAAGCTTTGTGGAGTGTTGGGTTGAAGAATTTTACATCACTTTGTTGTTCACCTCGTATGTCGTAGAGCAGCACTATCCAATACAATAGCTACTAGCTACCTATAGCTGTTGAACACTTGATATGGCTGGTGTGTGACTGAGGAACCAAATTTTAAATTAAAATTTATTTGAATTCAAATACCCAGTGTAGCAAGAGAATACCATATTAAACCGTGGAGGTCTAGGGTCTTTTATTCATCTTTTCTCAGCATTTTTCCTCTTTATCTCCTCCCTCTAAAACTCAGTTCCTCTCTTTGTTATGCAAAAAAACCTTGTTTTCCATCTATTATATTTAACTTGGGATCTACTTTTGCACTTCTAAAACTCATAAATATGTTCTCGTAAATGATGGTCCATCTGCCCCCAGATCCTACCTATAAGAAGCAGAGAACTAGCCAAAGATTTGAATTTTTTTCCTGAGCTTGTCTCTCCCTCATCATATCTGAAAGCAAATACGTCCAGTGTAGGAACTGTCTACCAATTTATATGAGTTAATAGCTCCCCTCTCCTTAGCAGAAAGGGCTACTCGGTTTTGGTTTTACGTAGTCAGTTCTCTTCTCCATTACACCCCTTACCTTTGTGTGCGTAAGTGTAATACATAGGTAAAATACTACTGCAGCCTGCTTCTGTTTAAACATTATAATATTCTTAATCCTGACATACAAGATTTGAAATAAACCTGAATTCAATTTATGAGAGAGCTTAAATTTGGAAAACATTGTCACTGGCTTATATGGATAAAGCCATAATACAGTGTTGTCATTAACCATCCATAGACAGTAATGAATACCCCAAAACACATGAGTAGGCTAATTATCACTATATTCTCTGGAATCAATTAACAAGCATTCTGAGTAGACTGATAAAAATTAATGCAGATTTTCCACACAGTCATGGAGAAATGTATATGAGTATTTCTGAAACAGAACAGTTTCATTCAGGTAGCCAAAACTATACCAGAGAACTGAACAAAGATTTATGTCAGATTTCAACTAAAACTCACCTCTTGGGATTTAAATTCTAGAGCTGTAAATTACAGCTTGACATCTGCTGGTCTCTTACCAACAGATTATACCTGAGAGTCCTATGGGGTGGAAAAGTGATTAGGTGCTTTCACACTTTTAAACAAATCTAATGGCACTTGTTCCCTTGAAAATTATTTAATCACATGTCACCTTTATCCACATTTTAACTTCAGTTTGTTGAGGTGCTTGTTCTCTTTTATTATGAACCAATTTTTGGCTACAAATATTTAACGAGAAATGTGGTAACTTCTGGTTTCCGATTCAGCACATAAGAGGCTTGAAAGTCATCACTCTGTCCTAACAAGTAAAAAGCTGCACAACTGAAATTCAACAACTCACAGAAAAAACCATTGCCCCTCAAACTGGAGAGACACACAGGCAGGTAGAATCACAGCTTATCAGATCAGAAACCTGTAAGCAGCAATCAGTACTATGGTAGGAAAACCTAAACTGTAATTGACAAATTTCTGGAGGCTCAATGTAAGCAAATATGAGATTTTAAAACTCCAGGGTGAGGGACATCAGCAAGATGGCACAACAGGAAATCTCAGCCTTCATACCTCCATAGAAACACTAATCTACCAACTATCTATGGACCAAAATACCTTTATGAGAACTCCAGAATCCACTTCAGAAGTTGCAGCACTCGGAAGAGCAACCCCCCTCCCAAAAAAAAAGTACATTAAAATTAGTAAAAGCAATTTCACTTTACCCACGTTACCCTATCCCTTCACTTGGCACAGCTCAACACCAAGAGTTACCCTTGGCCCACAATTTCCCCCATGGGAGAAAGGGAAGACTATCCATTCAACTTCCCCAGCCTTTTGGGTCATCATTTGGGAGACCTGCTTCTGTCTTGCCTCACCCAGAGTTCTGAGGAAACTGACTTACATAGAAGGCCTGGGAGCAGCTAACCTCAAAGAAAAGTTGGTGGAGTGGCGGTTCGGGGGGGCGGTGGCGGGGAGGGCAGTTCATGGTCTCAGCAGCCAATGCACAGATCTCAGAGCCAGCATGGCTCTTAGCAATCTTAGCAGCTGGTGCAGTTCTCAGCAGCCAGTGTGCAGACCTCAGCAGCCAGTGTATGTGGCCCTCAGCAGCTGGCACTCAGCTCTTTGCAGCCAGTGTGAATCTCGGCAGCCAGCTTGGTTCTGCAGAATTGGCAGAAGGTGAATAATCTTGAGACTTCTCCTTCATGAGGAAAAAAACAGTAGTTAAACTTGCACCCAAAGTCCCAGCATCTTATTCTCTTGCCCTAGGGAAAAGTATTGGGTGGCTGTCAACTGTAAGGATTATGCACCATGATCAAGTGGAATTTATCCCTGGATCATTCACCATGATCAAGTAGAATTCATCCCTGAAATGCAACTATAATTCAACATATTCAAATCAATAATGTGATACATCACATAAACAGAACGAAGGATTAACAGCATACAATCATCTCAATAGCTGTAAAAAAGCATTTGACAAAATTCAATATCCTATCATGATTAAAAAAAAATGCAACAAACTGGGTATGGAAGGATGTACCACAACATAATAAAGGTCATCTATGAAAGCCCACAGCTAACATACTCAAAAGTGAAAAGCTGAAAGCTTTTCTTCTAAGATCCAGTACAAGGCAAGGATGCCCACTATTGCCACTTCTATTCAACATAGTACTAGAAGTCCTAGCCAGAGCAATTAGCCAAGAAAAAAAAATAAAAAGCATTCAAAATGGAAAGGAAAAAGTGAATTTATCTGTTTGCAGATGTCATGATCTTATGTATAGAAAGCCCTAAAGACCCCAACAACAACAAGAACAAAAACTGTTAGAAGTAATAAATTCAGCCAGGCACAGTGGCTCACGCCTGTAATCCTAGCACTTTGGGAGGCCGAGGTGGGCGGATCACAAGGTCAGGAGTTCGAGATCAGCCTGGCCAACATGGTGAAACCCCATCTCTACTGGAAAAAAAAAAAAAAATTAGCCGGGCATGGTGGCATGCACCTGTAATCCCAGTTACTTGGGAAGGTGAGGAAGGAGAATTGCTTGAACCCGGGAGGCGGAGGTTGCAGTGAGCTGAGATCATGCCACTACACTCCAGTCTGGGTGACAGAGCAAGACTCCATATCAAAAAAAAAAAAGTAATAAATTCAGTAAAGTTGAAGGATACAAACCAACATATAGAAATCAGTTGAAATTTTTTTTTTTTTTTTTTTTGAGATGGGGTCTCACTCTGTCACCCAGGCTGGAGTGCAATGGTGTGATCTCGGCTCACTGCAACCTCCGCCTCCTGGATTCAAGTGATTCTCTTGCCTCAGCCTCCCAAGTAGCTGGGATTACAGGCACCCGCCACCACGCCCCGCTAATGTTTATATTTTTAGTGGAGACGGGGTTTCACCAGGTTGGCCGGGCTGGTCTCAAACTCCTGACCTCAGGCCTTGGTCACACCCAAGTGATCCACCTGCCTTAGCCTCCCAAAGTGCTGGGATTACAGGCATGAGCCACCACGCCCGACCCAATCAGTTGCATTTTTATACACATTTACAAAGAAATTTAAGAAGACAATCCCATTTTTAATAACATCAGAAAGAATAAAATACTTACAAATAAAGTTAAGGAAGTGAAATATTTGCATCTCTAAACATAGAAAAGGTACAGTAAAAATATGGTGTAAAAGATGAAAATGGTACACTTGTATAGGGCATTTACCATGAATGAAGCTTGCAAAACTAGAAGTTGCTCTGGGTGAGTCAGTGAGCAAGTGGTGAGTTAATGTGAAGGCCTAGGACATTACACTACTGCAGACTTTATAAATACTGTACACTTAGGATACAGTAAATTTATTTTAAAATGTTTTTCTTTTTTCAACAATAAATTAATCTTAGCTTACTGTAATGGCTTTTATTTTATAAACATTTTACTTTTTTAACTTTTTGACTCTTGTAGTAACCCTTAGCAGCTTAAAACACAAATACAGTGTACAGCTATCTGAAAATATTTTTTATATCCTTGTTCTATGAACTTTTTTCTATTTTTAAAGTTTTTATTTTTTAAAACTTTTTGTTAAAAACTAAGACACAAACACATATTACGCTAGGCCTACACAGAGTTAAGATCATCAATATCACTGTCTTCCACCTCCACATCTTGTCCCACTGGAAGGTCTTCAGGGGCAGTAATACCCTTGGAGTTGTCATCGCCTATGATAACAGTGCCTTCTTCTGGAATCCCTCCTGATGGACCTGCCTGAGGCTGTTTTACAGTTACCTTTTTTTTATAAGTAGAAAGCATACACTCTAGTGATAAAAAGTACAGTCGAATAAATACATAAACCAGTAACAGAGTTGTCTGTAATCATCAAATATTATATACTGTACATAATTATATGTGCTATACTTTTATAAAATTGGTAACACAGCAGGTTTGTTTATGACAGTTGCAATGTCACTAGATAAGAATTTTTCAGCTCCATTATAATCTTATGGGACCACTTTCATATGTGTGGCCTGTTGACCAAAATACCATTATGAGGTACATGACTATAATAAAATTTAGATCAGATATCAGTAAAACTAAAAAACCAATAGAGAAAAAAATTAAAACTGGTTATTTGAAAAGATCGATAAAATTAATAAGCCTTTAGCCAGACTAAGAAAAACAAGCGAGAAGACACAAATTACAAATATCAGAAATGAAAAAGGGCATCATTACCTTCCCCAAGGACATTAAAAAGATAACGTGAAATATTATGTGAAACATATGTGAAATAGACTAATTCTGAATATGTTGTATATGATAAAACAGAGAATCTGAATTAGTCTGTATCAGAGAAATTAAAAAATTAATAAATATTCCAAAACAAAACCATCAGGTCCAGATGGGTTCACTGGTGAATTCTACCACACATTGATGGAAGGAATTATATCAGTTCTCTACAATCTCTTCCAGAAGATAGAAGCAGATAGAATACTCTCTAACTCATCCTGTGGGACCAGCATTACCCTAAAACCCAAACCAGACAAAGGTATTACCACAAAACTACAGACCAATATCTCTAATGATTCTAGATGCAAAAAATTCTCAACGATTTGTGAAAAAATTCTTATACCACAACCAAGTGGGACTTATCTCAGGTACACAAGGCTGGTTCAACATTTGAAAGTCAGTGAATGAAATTCATTCACATCATTAGGCTAAAGAGGGAAAATTACACAATCATATTAATAGATACATAAAAAGCATTTCGCAAAATCGAAGTTTTTTATTCATAATAAGAACTCTCAGCAAACGGGAAATAGAGGGATATTTTCCTAACTTGATAAATAGCATTTACAAAAAAAAAAAAAAAAACTTCTAAGATCATACTAAATGATGAGAAACTAAAAGCTTTCCTGCTAAGATCAGGAACAAGGCAAGGATATCCCCTTTCACCACTCATTGTCAACAACGTTCAAATATAGACCCACGCAAATGTACTCAATATAGTTAACACTACCCTACTTCAAGCATTACTCTAAAGCCCCAGTAATCAAGACAGTTTGATATTGGCAAAACAGAAAAAAATGCATCAGTGAAACAATACAGAGCCCCAAAATAAAACCACACAAATATAGTCAACTGATCTTTTACAAAATAACACAGGCAATTCAATGGAGAAAAGATAGTATTTTCAACACGTGGTCCTGGACATCCACATGCAAGAAAAATTAATCTGGACACACACATTATACCCTTCACCAAAATTAACTCAAAATGGGTCACAGACCTAAATTTAACATGTAAAACTATAAAATTCCTATAAGATAACATGAGAGAAAATCTAGATGGCCTGTGTTCGGCCTTGACTTCTTCTGATACAATACCAAGGTAAGATGCATGAAAGAAATAAGTTTTTAATTTCAGTGAATTCCAACTTATCAGTTATCCGCAAACAAAAACTTAAGAGAATAAAAAGACAAGTTACAGATGGAATAAAATATTTGCAAAAGATATATCTGATAAAGGAGTTACCCAAATACACAAAGAACTCTTAAAAATCAACAATAAGAAAATAAGGCCAGGTGCAGTGGCTCACGCCCGTGATCCCAGCATTTTAGGAGGCCAAGGCAAGTGGATCACTTGAGCTCAGGAGTTCGAGACCAGCCTGAGCAACAAAGTGAGACCCTATCTCTACAAAAACTGCAAAAATTAGCTGGGCATGGTGGCGTGTGCCTGTAGTCCCAGCTACTTAGGAGGCTGAGGTGGGAGGATGGTTTGAGTCTGGGAGGCAGAGGTGGCAGTGAACTGAGATCGCACCACTGCACTCCAGCCTGGGTGACAGAGCCAAACCTTGTCACACACACACACACACAGACAAACAATATGATTAAAAGATGAGTAAAAGAGCTGAACAGACACCTCACCAGAGAAGATACAGATGGCAAATAAGCCTATGAGATGATGATCAAAATCATATGTCGTTAGGGAAATGCAAATTAAAGCAACGAGATACCGCTACCCACCTATTAGAATGGTAAAAATCCAAAACATTGACAACACCAAAAGTTGACAAGGATGTAGAGCAACAGGAACTTTGATTCATTGCTGATGAGAACAGAAAAAGGTACTGCTACTTTGGAAGACAATTTGACAGTTTCTTACAAAGCTAAATATACTCTTGCCATACAATCCGGCAATCGTGCTCCTTGGTATTTCCCCAAAAGAGCTGAAAACAGCCACACAAAAACCTACACATGGATGTTTATGGCAACTTTGTTAATACTTGCCAAAACTTGGAAGCCACCAGTAGATGAATGTATGAAATATATGTCTTATTTCATTCAGGCTGCTGTAGCAAACTACCAGAAACTGAATGGCTCATAAACAACAGAAATTTATTTCTCACAGTTCTAGAGGCTGGGAAGTCGAAGACTATAGTACCCAAAGATTCAGTGTCTGGTGAGAGCCTGTGTCCTTGTTCATAGTTGGTGCCTTCTTGCTGTACCTTCACATGGTGGAAGGGACAAGGCAGCTCTCTGGTACCCCTTTTCTATGTGCACTGATCCCAATTATGAGGGCTCTACCCTCATGGCCTAACCACCACTCAAAAGGTTTTACCTCCTAATGTTATCACCTTGGGTGTTAGAATTTCAGTATATAAAGGGGGAAACACAAACATTTAGACCATAGCACTGTGGTACATCCATACAATGGAATATTAATCAGCACTGAGAAGAAATGAGTTATCAAGTCATGAAAAGACATGGAGGAAACTTAAATGCACACTACTGAATACTACATAAGTTTCTGAAAAAAGGCAAAACTATGGAGACAGTCAAAAGATCAGTGTTTGCAGGGGAGGGCAGGAGAGATGAATAGGCAAAGAACAGAGGATTTTTGGGGCAGTGAAACTATTCTGTATGACACTGTAATATTTAATATATGCCTATATAGTTATGTCAAAACCCGTAGGATGTACAGCATCAAGCATGACCCCTCATGTAAACTGTGGACTTGGGTGATAATGATGCATCAGTGTGCTTTCACCAATTGGAATGAATGTACCCCTCTGGTGTGGGGTATTGATAGTAGAGCAGGCTGTGTTTGCTGGTGGATGAGAGGGGTGTTAAGTATATATGAAAACTCTCTGTACTTTCAGCTCAGTTTTTCTGAGATCCTAAAATTCCGTAAAAAATAGTCTATTTTTTAAAATTTAGTGAGAAATAATTTTCCTTTTACCAATGAAAAGTGGCCTAAAGGAGACATAGTTAAAATAT
Organism: Homo sapiens; assembly: GCF_000001405.40. Lineage (NCBI taxonomy): Eukaryota > Metazoa > Chordata > Mammalia > Primates > Hominidae > Homo > Homo sapiens. The sequence goes on along the minus strand of NC_000023.11, from coordinate 22,597,565 downwards.
TATTCTAATTAAACATGTTAATTAGAGAACGCCTGTATGGTGAGCCAACTGAACTTTCTGTCAGGATACTCATTCCTGCTGGGCCACATTTTTAATGTTCCCAAAAGTCACTGGAAGCAATTAATGGCAAAAGATATTGAATTTTCTCTGAGACTGTATATGTTTCTACAAGATTTGCATAGTGAGGCCCAATTCTTGCTATTGTAGCTGTAGATTACATTATTAATTTATTACAGATTTATTACAAACTTCTACAAAACGTAGCCACAGAGCTTGATAATATTGGAAAGAATGTCACCATAGCCCCTGCTTTCTGTATACTCCAAATCTAACATTATGCCACTTTATGTTCTTATAAGGGAGTGTCATGCAGGAGAGGTGTCCAGAGGATGACTTTTCTGAGATCTTTCTATCTAGAAACAAAGGGAATATAATTTTCTTGATAGCAGAAAAATGACTGGTAGGAATGATGCCTCTAGACTTGGGTGAGAAATCTGTTCTGCACACAACCCTGGAAAGATACATATCAGAGAAACGTGCCAATAGCTAACCTGGTGAAACCCACTTGTTCTAAAGGCTACTGGTATCTCTATGAAACTTGGAAGCCTCCTATATTTGTACTGCTGAATGTGAAGGCTAACATTTCTTCTATCACATTGCTGTCTAGGTGAATACAATTGTTTCTTTTCTTTTCTTTTTTTTTTTTTTTTTTTTTTTTGAGACGGAGTTTCACTCTTGTTGCCCAGGCTGGAGTGCAGTGGCACGATCTTGGCTCACCACAACCTCCACCTCCTGGGTTCAAGCAGTTCTCCTGCCTCAGCCTCCCCAGTAGCTGGGATTTCAGGCATGCACCACCATGCCTGGCTAATTTTGTATTTTTAATAGAGAGGGGGTATCTCTACGTTGGTCAGGCTGTTCTCAAACTCCCAACCTCAGGTGATCCACCCGCCTCAGCCTCCCAAAGTGCTAGGATTACAGGCATGAGCCACTGTGCTCGGCTAATGATTTCTTTCATCAGCAAAATAAATTCATATTTTACTAAATGTCTGCATCTGTGTTTTAATAGTAGAGCACAATTCATAATGTTTTTGGTTTGTGTTATAGTTCTAAAAGCAAAGCAAACTGTTTAAAATAAAATTTCCTTAATTCCCCAAAACTATAAGGCTAGTTTTAGTTTTAATGTCACTTCATTCATATGTTCATTCAACTGTAATTGCCACTTCATTCCTCCATTCAACTATTCAGAAATTGCTTTTAGCATCTACTATGTGGCTTATATTTTGCCTAGCCTTCAATGAATTTTGTGACCATCATTATCTTTGTTTTGGCACACAAAGAGAAAGACACCTGATAACCTCCTTGGAAAAGGAAGAATGTTGTGCCTCATCCACTTCCGTCTGTATATTTGATATGTCTTTCTATTCGTACCCACCTTATCTTTGAATAGCATGTTTAGATTATGTAAATACATGGGCCAGGCGTGGTGGCTCATGCCTGTAATCCCAGCACTTTGGGAGGCCCAGGCAGGCAGATCACTTGAGGTCAGGAGTTTGAGACCAGCCTGGCCAACATGGCAAAACCCTTTCTCTACTGAAAATACAAAAAGTAGCCAGGCGTGGTGGCGCATGCCTGTAATCCCAACTGCTTGGGAGGCTGAGGCACAAGAATCACTTGAACTCAGGAGGCAGAGGTTGCAGTGAGCCAAGATCTCGCCACACTCCAGCCTGGGCTACAGAGAGAAGCTCTGTGCCCAAAAAGAAAAAAAAAATTATATATATGCAAATATGTATATTTTCTTCAATGTGAAAGATTTTGGTTTAGTATAATGAAAATAAATATAGAAGCAAATCACTGTACTAACTCTGAGGGAAAATATAATTATTAATATTGAAACATATTTTCCTTGACAGGGCTTAAGTTTCGCAAAATCAAAGGGGAAAATTATCCAAAAAACCATAATTCGTGCTATTTTAAAATCTGCCACATCAGTGAAACATGGAATACTCATCTGTATCTCCTTTCCACATTTAGAAAATGTGATTGTACACATATATTGTCTTGGGAACTCTGTCCCTGCTTTTGTGATGATCGTCACCTTGTTTTCAGTGCAAGTTCGTCTTCTCCATATAGTCCCAGACTTTATTACCAGGTAGCCCTATTCATTCTGAGGGGAAAAAATTACAGAAGATTCTAAGACAGTTAATTCAGAATAATGTAATGATCTCCTATAGGTTTTCTCTTTTATATATTTTGAGCCAGAAGATTCTGCTTTTTTATACCATTTGTTACATTAGATACATGCACGCCTGACCAGATTATGTGTGAAACTGAGCGCCAAACATGGGTGACCTTGAATAATCACCCTTTTCCTGTTTCTCTCTCGTTTATTCATTGTGATTTGTTTCGTATCTCATCCATCTAATTATATTGATGTACTTCCCCAACAGAGGAAGTGTCTCATGGAGGGTGAGAGAAACAACTTCAGAGAAAAATAAAATACAAGGAAGGCCCAGAGTCGAAATAAATGGCAGCATAAAAGGCACTAGCAACAAATAACTGCTTGCCATATTGAGACACTGTGGGAGACTCCCAAGTTGCCCAGAGATGCTATTAAATTCACACTGCCTGACTTCATGCCATTCTCTTAGGATTTACAGCAACTGCCAGAAGCCAATTGAAGTTTTTCCAGGCTATTCTCCACCTCCTCTTCCATATTCTTAATGTTCTTAAAAGCCATTGAAAGAAGTTAATGAAAAAGGTTGTAGAATTTTTTTCTTTTAAACCTAGGGTGAAATAATGGTGTCTGAGGGACCATTTGGGTTCTATGTGAAGGCACAAATACCTAAGTAATCTCTTAAGGATTTTTTGTTTTATCAATTACACAAAGATATTTTTAATTAAAATATTACAATAGAAATAATGATAGATTTAGTGTGTGGAAGATAAAGCATACAATTTTTAAGTATGCAAATATAGCCAAACTAATATGCCAGCTATATTGGCAAGAGATGCTTTTGGCTGAAAGAAATGTAAATTTTACCCAAGAAGATGATCAGAGGAGATGATGGTAAGTAGTGTTGGGGCAGATGCCCCTTAACGTCACTAAAGATCCAGATTCTTGATCTTTTTGTGCTCCACTGTCTTGGGTGTGTTGGCCTTTGGTCTTCACGTTTTGGCATCATTATATTGAGGAGAGTTCTATAGCTGCAGTAATGAAGTCCATGTGAAGAAGGGAAAGGGCTGGTACTGCCACACTTGTCTGATTTATTAGAAAAGAAAAATTTTCCTAGAAGGGCACTGGCATACAACCCCTTACATCTCATTACTTGGACTTGGCTCATATGTCCACTTCTAGATTCAGGAAGGTTGGTAAGCTTATTTTGGGGGCTATTATTATCGTTTATAATGAGAAGAAAGAAAGGGGTGTGAAGGGTTGGGATGACCATTGGGCCAAACAACCAGGAGTATCTGCCACACAAACTAAATTCATTGGCTTTTATGAATCTTTGTTTCATGCACCATAAGTATGTGACTCTTGAAGATAAATAGGTATTATGACAGAAAACTTGCTATACAATTCCTTATCATGATAAACTATTCTTTCTGTATATAAATCCTTGGGTTGGTTAATAAGGGAAAAGTTGATGTAAATTAAAAGTGAGATTACAAATGTCAGTCATTTTATTAAAGATACAAAGAAAATGATAAAAAGATTATGAAAAAATATTGGATTTTTTTAATTTAAAAAATTAGCTGCATAAACTCTATCAAAAGTTTCAAGTTAAAAAAATGACTAAATGTCATTGTTCGAAAAACAATGTGGTAAATAGAGATTTGAAAAATTAAATGTCATTGGACTTTATAATCATTAGATTTCTAATGTGGATGCCTGTGACAAACAATTAAGCTTCAACAGTTGGATGAATCATTATCATTCTTTGACTTCGTCACATGGGGCATTCTCTTTTTTAATTGCAGACTGAATATATTTCAGATGATGTTGATAATAATTATTGATGAGTGAATTACACGGGATTGTGAAATTTGATTTCACTTGGATAAGAAAAGTCAAACAATTGAGCGATTAAATTCCTTCCAATAAACTGAGCTTCTGGAAAATCAGCTTGAAATGACATTGAGGAATCTAATTTAATTCCTACATATTGTGTGCTAATGTAACCATGGACCAAGGGTTTTGCATCACAGACTAATATTTGAAGTTAGAAAAGAGTTTAGAGATCATCTTCTGTCACCCCAGATCATACTTGGTGGAAGTAAATGAGGTTTAAATTAACTCCTTTAATTCTTTAGATAAAGAACTTTATCTTAGAGGCGATTTAGTGATTTGATCAAGATACAGTACTATAACTAGTTAAATCAAGAACTGGAAGCAAATTAGCTTCACTCTCGCATCAATATGCAATCTACTAGTTTTACATTTTTCTGTAAATTAGGGTCATGTCACTATTTCACTTTCTACTTTATATACTACATCAAAAAAGTGATAGGAATAAAAATTGCAGATCAGCCACAATTTCTAAATGATGCTAATGTATGAGAGGTACAAGGTAAGGGACCTGCATATACATATTAATGTAGCCAATTACTACAAATAATCAGTAATCCACCTAGCTAGAAATAAACAAAATGTTGGACTTAAAAGAAAAACGACAAGATAGCTGATCAAAGTCAGACAACAGGGTAAAGATGCTCTGTTGTATTTCCTCTACGTTGTGTTCTCCAAGAAATCAATTTGAGGGGAGGACAATGAAAATATGTGTTGCAGTCAGATGATTGAGTTCTCATCTGGGGAGTTATAAAGGTAGTTAGAGAAAGAAAGGTTTTCTGTGAACCCCGTCTGTATTCTCTTACATTTGCTGGGGTCAAAGTTTCCTTGGAAGTCTAAAAATAGTTTTCCATTTTTCCCAACAGGAGTGTTTTTTTGTGTGTGTAATTCAATACGGGATAATAACAATAGCTAATATTTAGTAAGCTCTTTATTTGTTTCTAGAGCTGTAACTCATGCTTTGGAGGCTTTTGCTTACTTGATTTTCACAAAAATTCTGTGAGATAATGTGGTAGTCATTAGAGCTGATCACGAATATTTCTTGCTCTTCTGGGCCATGGTAAGAGTGTTCTCCTTCCCCTCCCTTGGAGTTAAGTATGGTCATTTGTATTGCTTTTAGTCAATGACATGTAAGTGAAAGTGGTGATTGTCATATCTATGTGGCATCTTCAAGAACCAATATGCAATTCATCAGGATCTCTCTGTCCTCTGCTAGTGCTACTAGCAGTGTTCCAGAAAGTGTGCTCTATTAGCCTGTGTCTTACAGTGAGACCCACTGGAGCACAGTTCTTAGCTGCCTTGCAATATGAATGTAGAAGAAGTGAGAAATAAACTTTGGATTATTTGTTATTGCAACATAGCCTAATTCATTCTGACTGGTACATGTAATTATTATTTCTATTTTCTTTAAAGAGGAAGAAAATGAAAATAAGTGATCTGTCAATGATGACACCATTAGTTAAGTAGAACCAGGATGCAATCCAAGTAGTCTGACTCCACAGCTCACATTGTAATCACTATTTTATATAGCTATGGTAATACACTTTATTTTGAAGAAGATTGTCCACTAATATGGTGCAGAGCCCTTAATTTCTGAGCATAGAGAGGTGATAATTACTTTTAATTCACTTATGCTTGATATACTTTTAATATTTACAAATCACACATGTATAAAGCCCACTACTCATTCCATCAATAGTATATGGCTGAATGTTGTTGCCCTCAGGGAAGAAAAGAGTATGGAGAGATCATCAACACATATTTCTAGGGGTCTTTTGCAAATATTCTGGTATTAGTCTATTTGGGCTGCCATATCAGACTGAGTAGCTTAAATAACAGAAATGTATTTTTGCACAGTTCTGGAGAGAAGGAGTTCAAGATCAAGGCACTTGTCAGTTTGGTTCCTGGTAAGGGCTCTCTTCCTGGCCTGCAGACAGTCACCTTGTTGCTATGTTCTCATATGGCAGAGAGAGTGTGTGTGTGTGGGTGTCTCTTCCTCTTCTTATAAGGGCACCAGCCATATTGGATTTGGGCCCCACTCTTATGACCTCATTTATCATCTCACAGACCCTATCTCCAGATACATTCAAAGGAGGGTTAGGGCTTCAATGTATGAGTCTGGCAGGCAGTGGGGATTGGGGACACAAACATTCAGTCTATAACAATCTCCTAGGAACTATGAGCAATTTAGGACATTTTAGTAATAAAGACTTGTTCCCATCTATTGTCCAGTATATCCTGTCTCTGTACATGCAACTGGAAGGAAATTCCAATGAGAAGTATTCTATTAATTCATTTATTCACTTACTTAGTACATCTATTGAGCATCTATCATGTGCTGGATTATTCTAGACATTGGGGTATAGCAATGAACAAAACATTTTTTATCTTTCATTTAATTTATATTTTAATGGAGGGAAACAGATATGTGTGTGTGTGTGTGTATATATATATATATAAATTACACTACTCAAGAGAGTGATATATTAATAAAAATAAAGCAGAATAAAGATGTACAGAATGATAGAGTCCAGAAATGCTACTTTGTCAATTATACACAGATACATTCTCTCAGATCAGGTGACTTTTTTGCAGAGACCAAAATTTGTAACTTTAACATTTTAAATATTAAAATGGAAAAGATAATGAGAGAGCATATTCTTAGATTCTTTCATTTTACAGATAGATAAAGTGTTACCTAGAACAGGGGTTGGCAAACTCTTTAAAGGGCCAGTTAGTAAATATTTTCACTTTTGCAGGCTAGACAGTGTCTTTCATAACTAACCAATCCTGCTGTTGGAGCACAGAGATAATACATAAACAAAATGTGACTATGGTCTAATAAAACTTTATTTATGCACACAGGCAGTTGGTAAGATTGTCTTTCAGGCTATAGCTTGTCTAGCCCTGATCTAAAACAATGAAATGACTTTCTCAGGGTCACACATTTGATGGCTGATGACAGAAGAGATGACAAACATGTTTCTTCTATCATTGAAAACAACAAAGGCATCTTTAGAGCAAGTTATCACAAATAAAAAACAGGATTAAATAAAAAATATGTCAAGGTGAAAAAAATTACCCACTGAACCGTGGCACCTGAATTTATTTTAAAGAGGGACCGGTCTTTGTTTAGGAAAACAGGTGGATAAGTTATTTCTGGGAGAAGGTGATACCCTGAGGGCCTGGTTTAGCAGGAAGCAATAAAACAGAAGGGATAGCTCAATGGCTCTGCATTAGAAATGATCAGAAATTAAGGGAAAAGGAAGGGAGTAGACTAGAACAGACAAAGTAGAGAAAGGGAAAGAGTGAAGAGCCAATCAACAGAACAGTGAGCAAAGGCATTTTAAGCAAAAGATGTGTAATCGATTTTAATTGACTGAATTGCCGCAATGCAAACCTCCTGTTGTCCTTCAAAATTAAGTAAATTGGTGCACAAATCAAAAAGCTTTTATGAATGGGTTTTTGAGGATGTATGTGTGGGAGTAGGAAGAATTAAGGAAGCTGAGTGTCTTGTCTGGGCCAATTCTTTTATGTGTGTGGCATTTAATTAAATCCCAACCTTCTATAGCACAACCATCTGTTTTTGCTATTCCTGTAAACATTGCCAGAGAAAGTCCTTTTAATAGAGTGTATTGGTCCAGTCATAAATAGAAAAATCTCTCCAACCTCAAAGGGTCCCTCAACAGTGCCTGTAGACTCTCCTACCCTTTGCAACAGCTGTTTCAAACCTTCTTTGCTCAAAGCATCAAGTTTTCTCCTCCACCTCTCCAGTTTATCAGACTTAACCTGACATTTTAAAAGAAAGGAGAAGGCATCAGTTGATAACTCTTTTATCTTTCCCTCACCTACCAATCAAATCTCTACCCTTGCAGTATCCTCCTTCTCTTCTGTGAAAAGAGAGGGCTGGCTCTTCCCCTATATAAGTTCATGCCACCTCATGAACTATACATGATTTGTTATCCCTCATCACTGTCATATTCCACACTCTCTCATGGAACTGAATCCTTCACATCAGGACTTAAGTTACTACTATTTAAAAAAAAAAAAAAACCCTTCTCTGTCCTACATGCCACTACATCTACTACCCTGCCCCTTTTCTCTTCTCTACCACTTAGCTTCTTGGACAAGTTGCCGGAACAACTCTTTACCATCACCTTCGGCTTAAAATCTGTTTTTTTTGGATCACATAATAATAGTAATTTTTTTCAGGGATGCATCTCTAATCTCCTACACTAGATAAAATCTACTTATTTTATGTTTTTGTACCACCATACTCAGCCCCATCATAGCACTTATTCATAATGTTCTATTTATCGTGCAATCATTAATGTCTTCTTCCCACACTAACCTATTGTTTCCCCTACAACCAGCCCAGTTCCTCACACATAATGTAGCGTAACAAATAACAGGGTCTCAATAAATAATTGTTAAATGAATGAATGAATGATGCCATGCAGAATACACTGGATAAACACTTTGTAAACACTTTCTACTATGTACTAATTCAGAATAAGCAGGATGGTAAAGCCAGTGGTGTCCATGACATTATGACCTCTTTGTGAATATGCAGAAATTTAGGAAACGGCATTGAACTTCCTATGAGCCATGAAATTAAAGGTTAAACTTTTCTAAGCTATAGCTGACAACTGGATTGTAGTAAAATTTATCCAGTATGTGCAGAGTGCAATTCAAATGGAGAACTAAGAAAAGGTGAAAAATGTTTAACTTGGTGATATTACACGGGACCACTATTGGGGCACAGAATGAGATCTGGAGTAATCTCTGCACTTGCAAAACAAGGACTTCACCTGCCAAATGGCTCAACAATTTTGTGAATTTTTAATAGTGTTGACCTCACTCCAATATTTTATAAGGGTATATTGTTTTTCAATAGTATGTCTCATTAAAAAATAAAAAGTTAATTAGTATGTATTATAAAGTAAAGTCCAAATCGAATTTTCACTGGAGTTATCTCACAGAGGGACATCACACCTGCTACATTAAGAGCCAGTGATGCTGAGCAAAACCTACTTAATCAGATCTTAATACCCCTTTTTGGCTGGAAGGGATCATTGTAGTCATGGAACATGTCATATTTTACGTATTTTATGTCTTGAGTTTTGTAAGCATTAGATAAAGCTGTGATTCCCAGGTATGAATCCAAGTCTTTCATCAGTTCTCTGACAAGCACTCAATGTTCCATGAGTTGGTTCCCCCAATTTATCGTCTCCCTTTTTGACCCAAATTACTCACAGCTATGATCCAACATTGGCATAGCTCCTAAGAAGGAGGGGCATATAAGAGCTGTTATTGGGCAAATAATAGAAGCTGTCACACAACCTATGTTTAGTTACAAAAAGTTTGCAAACTTTGAAAATGCTGGCTGTCAGACTTGTGAAAGATTCTCATTGGGAAGGGAACCCCGTTATTTAGATTGGTATAGCATTCGTGCCCAAGATTGGGAATCATACCACTTGGGCTATTAATCATTTTTAGAGGTAAATACTTCATGAATGACTGTTTGAGGGCAAATCTAAATAGACAAAGTTGAAGAGATTTGACAAACAGAAACACATTCTTACATATAATGAATGTGCAAATGTATAAGGGCATTTGAAACAATATAGATATACTTGTCTGTCTTTTTATGATAATTAATCTTTAGGGACAAAAGTAAAAGTTGTTCTTCCTTCTGCTGACTTTATTTTCTCTGTATGAAGAAAAACATCACGACAAATTTATCTGTTGCCATACTAGAATCAAGGAAATTTAGGAAAGCACCCCTAGAAGATCACAACGTCTACCCAGTTCTCAATTGTACTTTATTTTCAAGTCGAAAACTTAAGAAATTCATAAATATTCCAGATCCCTGAGCATCAGAGAGATAATTGTCGCATGTTCATATAGCTAGTAGTGACAAATCTGGGATTCAAACTCAAGTGAATGGATTTCAGAAATCAGGCTTTTACCCGGTCTGTCAGTCACCATCTTATTTTGTTTCATATGTTGACAGAACTTAAATATGATTTAAACAAAGGCAAAACAGAAGTCAGCAGGAGTACAGATACTGACTATAGTAACATGCTTACTCACTCCATATGAAGCCAATTGTTTTATGGAATTATTCGGTTACTAAAGGGGAACTTCCTACAACCCCAAAGTTATTCAGAGCTTTAAATTCCATAGATTAGCATTTTACATCAAAGGCCTATTAGTTTTATCCAATAAGAAGATACAAGTTCTGTGTTTCCAAGTACGTGGAGAAGCAGGAATTCTCATCCTGAGCTGAAGAAAAGTGTTCCAATATTCTCAATAGGCACGTAAGAATAAAGTTAATTCTGACATTTGATGTACACAGTTGGCTTTTTCGTTTAAAAGTATTTTATGGGATTCACTGCCACAGTTTTTGAGTGCAACATAATCTTCAAGATTACAATTGTGTAATATTGTTAAAAACCAGGTAGGTAATATGCAGCAGTACTTTTTAACTCAAAGAAACTTCCACACTCACTAAAACTAGGCACTAGTGCAGAAGTCTCTTGAGAGCAGAGTGGTTTTATTTTTACCGCTGGAAAAAACTGACTTTGGAAATTTTCAGTATATTTCTGAAATTATTCTCCCAGGAATTGGAAGCTTAAAAGAAGGAGCTAATGTTATTCAATTTGTCTTAAGGTATTGATCCAGATCACGTTGAGGTCTACGCTTAATCCCTTTGGAATTTTTTTTCTTTTCTTTTCTTTTCTTTTTTTTTTTTTTGAAAAATAGGCCAGGGGCATAATAGATACCCAGAAAGATAATCTTCAGCAATAAAACAACCAAAACTGTAGATAAAACATATTTTTTAAATTTTTGAAAATGTGTGAATGAGTCAGCAGAAAAGTAAGGGAAATCCTAAGAGGTCAAAAATAAAGTAATAACTCTAGAGATGCAAGCAAGCTCCCAAACAGGTGCTTGCCCTACAACTTCAGCCAAATGGAGAGTGTAAGTAAAGCTGAGGGTTCAGAAAATATATGGAATCATATTTGATGTTGTTGAATAACATAGGGCCCCAAGGGTTACACCTCCAGTGAAAGATTACTAAAACGTACCTGACAAAGGGAGACAGTAAGGAAACTATTCTGTCTCTAAACCTTGCGTCTGTATCTCCCCTAATATGTGTTTGGGGCCTTAGTTTATATTTTTGGGGTGGTCCAAAAAGCCTCAAGCCAAAGAATTATATTAGCATTGTCTTGGATGGTAATGCTCATGAGTGCTTGGCAAAATAAAAATTTTTTAAATCATCCCTAGAAGATCACAACATTTACCCAGTTCTCAAAATATCTCCATAGAAAAAGTTCATACACATATGAACTTGCAAAAAAATAAAAAAAACACAAGACCTACACAAAAGTAAAACATCGTGAAGGAAAGAAAGAAACATCAGCTGGTGCCCAAAAGCAGAAGTGGAAATACACAAATGCTTTTTCAAGTTTATTATTGTCCCATTAGCAAAAACCAGTTTCATGACCTAGCCCAGGGTCACTGTGGGTGGGCACTACCATAAATGCTCAACTACATGAGCAATCAAGAAAAGAGACATTACAAAAAGTTATACTTTTTTATACTTTTAAATTTTTATCAAATTTATCATAAGTTCACATATGTTAGAGTCAAATGCTTGTATTCTAATTTTTATGCAACATAGTTTCTTACCATCACCCTACTTTCCCCTTCCAGAAGCAACATGCAACTCTTTCTGGCTGATTCTTTCAGTGTTTTGTTGTCGTCGTTGTTTTGTTTTGAAGGTAGATGGTGCAAGAGAGTATTATTTAGGATCAAATAAAAATTGTAAGTAAATCTGAAAGAGTAGCAATGAAAAATTCAGTCTCTTTAATGTAAAGAGTATTATTACATTTCTTCTTAATGTTGTTACCCCTTAGAATGAGATGGAGAGCAATATGCATCTGTTTCTTTATTTCTTTTTTAAAAAAAACACTTTGTTGAGGTACAATTGACAAAATAATAGCTGTCCATACTGAATGTATACAACTTGATGAATTTGGAAATAAGTAAACACTAGCGAAACCATCACCACATTTGATACCATAAACTTAACTATCACCTCCGAAAGTTTCCTCCTACCCTCTTTATTTATTTTATGATAAGAGCACTTAGCATAAGATCTACCCTCCTAGCAAATTTTTAAGTATACAATACAGAATTGTTAAGTAGGTGTTACGTTGTACAGTAGATCTCTAGAATTTATTCGTCTTGCATAACCGAGACTTCGTACCCTTTGACTAATACCTCTCAATTTTCCTCTACTCCAGCTCCTGGCAGCCACCATTCTACTCTCTGCTTCTATGAGTTTGATAATTTTAGATTTCTCGTATAACTGAAATCATGTAGTATTTCTCCTTCTGTTTCTGGCTTATATTATTTGGCATAATGTCCTCCAGGTTCATCTGTGTTGTCACAAGTGTCGAAAACTATAAAGCATTGATAAAACAAACAGAAGATATAAGTAAATGGAAAGACATACTGTATTAATGGATTGGAAGAATTAATATTGTTAAAATATCCATACTACCCCAAACAATCTACAGATTCAATACAATAACTATCAAAATTCTAATGACCTTTTTTACACAAATAGAAAAAAATACTAAAATCCATATGGGAACAACAAAATACCCTGAATTGCCAAAACAATTTTGAGCAAAAAGAACAAAGCTGGAACGTCACATTTCCTGATTCTTTCAGGATAGACTTGTTGATATAAGGTTACCTCCATACTTCTAAATAATGTGGTTTTGCTTTTTTTAACTTATTCTTCCATTTTATGGTATGCCATTCTCATGCTCTGTATCAACTACACGTGTATACTTCCTGTCCCCTCCTTTACTTTCCAATATAAAATGTTTCAATTTTCTTTTCATCACTATTCAATGTTTGAACCGTCATAACTATGAAAAGCTTTTTCACTACATAATTATAAAAAGATAATGTGCCATGCTTTTCCTGCCCATTTTTTTCCCTTGGAGATAATGATGGTCTAGTTTTTTGTTTGCTTTGGGCTTTTTCTGTATTATTAGTTATTCAACCTAAAACTCTCTAGCAGTTATGTAAATCATACCTCAATACATTCATATGATACCATTATTCTAAGAATTAAATCATTTTAAAGAAATCACCTCTGTCTTCTGACAACAAGCAGGAGTGGTTGCCCTCTACTCCTGGGGCATGGCTATTACCCTGGGATATCCCTTCGTTATTATTCTGATTCCCTTTACTTACTTCCATTTGAATAATCCATTTTGTGAGAGCCGTTTCCTCATTTCCCTCATGTTGTTGGACCATAGCCTAAATAGCTTCCTGAGAAATGGGGTATAGTAGATAAATTGTCGTGAGACTTTTCGTGTGGTAAAATTTTCTTTTTGTTCTATTATATAACTGGACATAGAATCTTAGGTTGTAAATATTTTTTCTCAAAAATTTGAGAAAATTAGAAATACTGCATCCATGGATTAGAAGACTCAACGTAGCAGAGATGTCAGTTCCCCCAAATCGATCTCTAGGTTTAAAGCAATTCCTACTAAAATCCAAGCAAAGCTTTTTGTGGACATATACAAACTTATTCTAAAATTGATATACAAAGACAAAATCACTGGATTAGCTAAACAACTCTTAAAAAAGAAGAATGAAGTGGAAGGAATCACTCTTCCTTCCTATAAGGCTTACCATATAGCTGCAGTAAGCAAAATGCTGCGTTATTTTTTGACAGGAGTAGAAACATAGATCAGTGGTATAGAAATAGAACCTAAAATAGGGCCACACAAATAAGCCTAATTATTTTACACAATGGGAAAACCAAATTCAATGTAGGAAGAAGATCCTTTTCAACAAATGGTGCTGGAAAAATCAGACATCTGGATGCAAAAAAAAAATGAATATAGACCTAAATGAGCATCACACATGCACCCATGACCCAGCCTAAGAAACTGATCATTACCAAAACAAGTGAAGCTCCCTACATGTCTATCTCTTTTCACAGGCATTCCCTTCCAGCTCTACTAGTAACCATCAACCTGAAAGAGGTATTATTTGTGAAATCAGTTGAACTAAACATAAGCAGCTTTAGAATATAGTTCTCTTGAAGCAGTGTTTCTGTACTTGAATGAGGAATGTTAAGTTCAAATACTTTTCAGAGTTTTTTTTTTAGTAGATGCGCATTTTGCATTACGTTTTACTTTATAATATATCAAATATAAATTTCAAGTTGGAAAAGAAACATCAAAGTGATTCTTTTGCCATCCTACAGAATAATCTTTAAGACTATTTTGGTGCAGATGGAGTGACAGGAAGGTTGAAGTTTTTTAATCCCCGAAGACTGACAAAATCTAGTCCATGTTTTTCACCCATTAAAGACATAGAACATTTCTGCAAGAGACTGCCTTAAGGAAAAATACCACTCTTCTTTCAAATACTGAAATGGAAGAGTTTCCTCTAAATCCCAAACTGTCCTCATTTATTTTATTTTATAGTTGCTTTGAATACTTAGAAAAGAGTAGCACAGTGATTCAAAAGACCAAAAGTGGCAACAATGTGTTGACCATTCTGGTCTTATTCTCCAAACCAAGTGTCAGATCATGCCCTTGTTAGTACCAAGAGGGAACAGTTCTGGTGCAAAGCTGGACTATGTGAATACTTCTAAATTATGTACAAAGTATTCACTAAGGCATTCTAAAAGCTCCAATTAAAGCCACAGTTAGTGCTTACCTTATATGAATGGAGAAATATAAAATATATTCTCAAGCATAAAAAGGTGTCTAGTTTTAGATAAATGATTTGTTATATCATTACAGTCTCCCCACAACCAAAAAGTAAAACTTGTTTGTGTTTCTTTCTTTCTCCAAATTAAAAAAATAAAATTTCATAAAACAGTTTCAGTAGTGCATAATAAATACATATTTGCTAGTTTGAAAGTAATGCTAGAAAATATTTTCTGTGTCAGTAAAGCGATATTACAATTTTCCAATTATAATTTTCCAACTGGTTCCCTTTTTTGTAGACACTTGAAAGGTTTTCATGTCTTTGAATTAGTATGCAAAGTCCTAAGCTATATCAGCTTAGAGTTTTGAATGATGGTATTTTAATTTCCTGTGAGAATTACATTTAATTCATACACACACACACACACACACACACACACACACACACACACCCCTCATAATCCTCTTCTGGAAAACAACTTCAATATGGGCTAAATAGAAATGTGTAATTCTAAAAGAGAATGAATCTGAGTTTGGGGCCAACATTTCTACTTCCAAGTAAAGAAGTAGAAATCACAACATAACAGGATCATACAATCTTCCTCCTCAGTAACAGAAATGCCATTAATAATATACTAGTACTATTAATAGATAACATCTATTCCGTTGCACTTCCTTCCATCATTTTATATGTATAATCTCATTTGAACATCATGAATGCTCTATGAAGAAAGTGGGCTGGATCATCTATTAAGCTGTCTTCATCATCGCTCCCGTCTGAGTTCTTCTAGAGCATTGCAGATGAGAAAATGGACACTCCATTTCGCAAAATGCTGCCTCTGTTTTGGGTTGTTAAATCGAGTCTGCCCAAAAGTGGCACCCAGGTAAGATTTCAGAGATTTGGGGGAGATGTATGAATAAACACTATATTCACAGAGCTTCTAGGGGAGTCCTTGAAAATGTCTCTACTCACTGCTGTAGATTAAGGTGGTCGTTGACATCTTCCAAAGATTCTTTGAGTTGCAGCGGTTTACAAGTTTGTTCTTTTATATATATACTTTAAGTTCTGGGTTACGTGTGCAGAATGTGCAGCTTTGTTACATAGGTATACACGTGCCATGGTGGTTTGCTACACCCATCAGCCCATCATCTACATTAGGTATGTCTCCTAATGCTATCCCTGCCCTTGCCCCCAACCCACCCACAGGCCCTGATGTGAGATATTCCCCTCCTTGTGTTCTCATTGTTCAACTCCCGCTTATGAGTGAGAACATGTGGTGTTTGGTTTTTTGTTCCTGTGATAGTTTGCTGAGAATGATGGTTTCCAGCTTCATCCATGTCCCTGCAAAGGACATGAACTCATCCTTTTTTGTGGCTGCATAGTATTCCATGGTGTATATGTGCCACATTTTCTTAATCCAGTCTGACTGATGGGCATTTGAGTTGTTTCCAAGTCTTTGCTATTGTGAATAGTGCCCCAGTAAACATACGTGTGCATGTGTCTTTATAGTAGAATGATTTATAATCCTTTGGGTATATACCCAGTAATGGGATGGCTGGGTCAAATGGTATTTTTGGTTCTAGATCCTTGAGGAATCGCCACAGTGTCTTCCACAATGGTTGAACTAATTTACAATCCCACCAGCAGTGTAAAAGCGTTCTTATTTCTCCACATCCTCTCCGGCATCAGTTGTTTCCTGACTTTTTAAGGATCGCCTTTCTAACTGGGGGTGAGGTGGTATCTCATTGTGGTCTTGATTTGCATTTTTCTAATGACCGATGATGATGAGCTTTTTTTCATATGTTTGTTGGCTGCATAAATTGATAAATTGATCTTTTACAAGTTTGTTCTTAACCATCTGCTTGGGTGCTTCATTCTGAAGTTTTTGCTGGCCACTTCCCTGAACTGTGCTCCCCAAGAACGTCCAAAGCTTTTATAAGCTTCTAGTTTCCTGTTTTAAAACCTTTCATACTTGATATAGACAGAGCAACTTCTGTTTTCTTGGCTGTAAGTGGAAAGAAAAGTGACGTTGGACTTGACATCTTTCAAGGCATACATGTGTGTCTGGAAAATAAGCCAAACCACGAGGAAGTGGAGTACACCTCTGAGCAGGTGGAAGAAGTCCTGAATATTTAATAAAATATAATTAAAAGAATACAGATCCTATGTCTTCCCCAAAATTAACCACAGCCTCTTGTACATAGGCTCTCCTCATCCTCTACTCCTAAGATCTCCAACTCATAAAAATGAATAGAAAAGAACATGTGGCCATCATATTATTGCCACAAGTGTGTGAATACCAACTTTTGTCTCTCAAGTAAAGAAGTGACCTGCAACATTTTCAAGCTAATAGAATTTCTAGACCAGTGATTCTCAAGGATGGGGTAGGTTCTACCACCTCTTAGGATACATTTGGGAAAATCCTTGTTGCTGTTGTAAGCAGCGTTGCCTTCTGTGACCTTACGCCAAAAATCATGCAGCTTCATGTTTATTGACTTATATTGATTACAAGTGAGTCATGAAGACCATTCCAGATTCAAGGATGGGACATAGGCCCTTCTCTCCATGGGAGGTGTGTCAAAGAATTTGCAGATGTGGCTGTATAGTATTCCATGGTGTATATTTGCCACATTTTCTTTCTTTTATTTTTTTTCTTTCTTAGTATTTCTTTTTTTATTATTATTATACTTCAAGTTTTAGGGTACATGTGCACAACGTGCAGGTTTGTTACATATGTATACATGTGCCATGTTGGTGTGCTGCACCCATGAACTCGTCATGTAGCATTAGGTATATCTCCTAATGCTATCCCTCCCCCCTCCCCCCACCCCACAACAGGCCCCGGTGTGTGATGTTCCCCTTCCTGTGTCCATGTGTTCTCATTGTTCAATTCCTACCTATGAGTGAGAACATGTGGTGTTTGGTTTTTTGTCTTTGCGATAGTTTGCTGAGAATGATGGTTTCCAGCTTCATCCATGTCCCTACAAAGGACACGACCTCATCATTTTTTATGGCTGCATAGTATTCCATGGTGTATATGGTGCCACATTTTCTTAATCCAGTCTATCATTGATGGACATTTGGATTGGTTCCAAGTCTTTGCTGTTGTGAACAGTGCCACAATAAACATATGTGTGCATGTGTCTTTATAGTAACATGATTTAAAATCCTGTTGGTATATACCCAGTAATGGGATTGCTGGGTCAAATGGTATTTCTAGTTCTAGGTCATTGAGGAATCGCCACACTGTCTTCCACAATGGTTGAACTAGTTTACACTCCCACCAACAGTGTAAAAGTGTTCCTATTTCTCCACATCCTCTCCAGCGCCTGTTGTTTCCTGACTTTTTAATGATCGCCATTCTAACTGGTGTGAGATGGTAGTTCCTGTCCTTTGTAGGGACATGGATGAAACTGGAAACCATCATTCTGAGCAAACTATCGCAAGGACAGAAAACCAAACACCGCATGTTGTCACTCATAGGTGGGAATTGAACAATGAGAACACCTGGACACAGGGTGGGGAACTTCACACACCAGGGCCTGTTGTGGTGTGTGGGGAGGGGGGAGGAAGAGCATTAGGAGAAATACCTAATGTAAATGATGAGTTAATGGGTGCAGCACACCAACATGGCACATGTATACATATGTAACAAACCTGCATGTTGTGCACATGTACCCTAGAACTTAAAGTATAATAAAAAAAAGGAAGAGAAAAAAAGAATTTGCAGACGTGTTTTAAAACTACCACACTACTCAATCTAAAATTACTCCTACCCTCAACCTTCATAATCGCTCTCTCCTGACTTATAATTTTTTTAACAAATCTCTTAATATTATCTAACATACCATTTGCCTAGGCTGGGCATTTTAAAAGACATTAAAACAGTATCTGGCACAAAGAAGGCATTCAACAATATTTGTTGAATGAATGAATGAATTTCACTACATTAACTTGTAATATCTCAGTGCTACTTTTGTAGTTGTTTCAAGTTTTCTGCTGATAGCTGCTCTAATAATGCTGCTGGCAGAATAAACAAACTTGGTAAATTTGATCAAAATAACTTAGTCATAAACTTGGATAATTAAATCCAAATTTTTTTCCTGTTAAATTGGAAATTATTTGCCTCTTAATCGAAGTAGGGCTTCATCCCTTATTGATTCATATTTGTGTCATCCACTGAGTCGTAAAATGCTGAGTTGACCCCTAATAAAAATACCTTATCCCCTTCCCTCTGTAAACCAGAGAAATAAACAAATTTAGAAACGTTTCAAAGAAGGAAAATAGAAGACAAGTTAGAGTTGTGCTCATTGTTTAGTTGAAGCAACATAAGTTACATTGTAAAAGATTAATGCAAAATGATCTTCAAAACTGAGACCATAGTATCACAAAAGTCAGTTGAACCACTTTGCCAGAGGTTATTTCCAGTCATTTCAATCAGTATTTCTGAATTTCAGTCGTGCTGCTACCACTGTCAAGCTATAGCAAGTAAGTTGTCCAGACCTGCATATTTTAACTTGACTAAGTTAGAACAAAAAGCACTTTCTATTATTGCACAGATGCCTATGTACTTGGGAAAATGTGAAGAATTTAGGTGACTAGGTGAATCTATAAAGTGAAGAATGTTTTGTGTGCAGACAAAGACACACATACCTGGGATTTAGTAAGATTCTGCCACTTTTTATCCGTAAAATATGTGATAATGAAACTTAACCTCTGTGAGCTTTTGTTTCCTCATCTGTAAGATGCCCGTCATGATACCTTCCTTTGTGATGGTTAGGTGAATAATGAACATAAAGCCTGTTAGTAAACAACTTGGCAAATGGTAACACTCAATACACAGTAACTGTCATGATTAATGATAGGAAGTTTCTTTTTTTTTTTTTTAAATAAAAAGATGGTATTATTTCCCAAAATATTCAGATAAATGAAGCAAAATTGGTTTTGATAATTTACATGTTCTTATAATGACCATCATCTCCTGCTTTCCTTTTACTATAGAGAAACAGTTGTGATTAAGAAATGTGGACATAAGCTGAGGACCCAGACTTCCCAAGTCTGATGTTACTATCACAACCTCACTAGGCCATTTTGTATCAGGAACAAGCTATAGGTTTGGGAAAATGAAAGGGGTTCCTGCTATTATTTCTTGACCAAAGATATCAGCACCGTCCTGCAGATATTTTCAAATTCATTTTCTCATCATTCTAACCACAGGGATAATGTGGATTGTTTCACTGAAAGAAAACTGTAGGGCTTTACCCTGCTGTGAGTACTTATGTTTTTTAGACTTTATGGGAATATGTACAGTCATGGAGTTTAAATCTCCCTTGAGTCATTTGTTTGTCTGCCTTGGCATACTCTGTGCTGGTATTTTCCAGCTGCATACTAGTGAGCTGAGTGATGAGGGAAGAAGCTTGCCCAGGGAAGACATAATGGCTCGACTCCACAGCTATGTGACACTAACACCTGAATCGATTATGTCTGGTTAATAAGTCCTTCCCTTCTTGCATGACTAAGTTTTGACACTAAACATATACCTACATTTAATCAAATCCCCTTTTTTAAATGCAAAGATAAAGAGGTTTAATCACTCCTTTGCTATAAAAAAGCATTTCAAGTTATTTTACTGCTCAAATAGAAATGAAACTGAAAAAAGCTTTATCCAGATTTAAATTTTCTAGTATTCCCCCCAAAAATGTGTGTGTCCTAGAATAACACAATTCTGATTTAGTTTTATAAACCTACCTTTTTTACATGGACCATGTGCAAGTTTGAAAGAACAAGGCTTGCAGGATAGCTCAGGAGTCTGGAGAACACAGGTTATTTTGTTTATTTGTTTGTTTTGAGACAGGTCTTGCTCTGTCACCCAGGCTGGAGTGCAGTAGTGCAATCATGGCTCACTGGAATCTCGACCTCCCTGCCTCAAGTGACCCTCCCGCCTCAGCTTCCTGAGTAGCTGGGACTACAGGCACGCACCACCACACCTGGCTTATTTTTACATTTTTGAACAGACGGGTCTCACTATGTTGCCCAGGCTGGTCTCGAACTCCCGGGCTCAAGCGATCCTTCCATCTCGGCCTCCCAAAGTGCCGGTATTACAGGCATGAGCCACCACACCTGGCCAAGAACACAGGTTAAAAGTGGATTTGAGGTCAAGGGCCATCAAGTTTATTTTACTCAAGTCACTTTCTCTACAAACATATCAATACTAAAAGAGCTAATATGAGAGAGTTTAAGACTATAAAAGAAGATTCTATTTTGTTTTCCTTAATGCTAGAAAAACCACAAATACAGAACGATGAGATAGTTCATCTCTAAAACCTGAGGATATAGTGCATTTTCTTTCCAGCTAGTTTTATGTGTTGCTCTGTATTAATCAGGTTTTCCTTATGGCCTTAAAATACAGAACCAAATTCTCAGAGTCTCACATTAGTACAACCTGATACTAAAGTATGGGTAACACATCAGCTCAAAATTAAACCATAGGCATTTATTATTTATTCATAATTCTGTTATGTAAATAAAAATCCACTACTGTTTTTGTTTCTTTCCGGCAGTAGTACTTTCTTACATGGTTTATAAGAAATATTAAAAAGAACAAGTTATTTCATTGAGAAATACCTTGACCATTTCATCCATGATCCAAGACCATCACACTTCCCTGTATTTCCACTGTTTAACTGAGCAGTAATTTAGCTTCTCATTAACGGATAACTTGACATTTTCTGTTTCTAAGAGTTGGTATTTTCAACTCTTCACATATCTGCATCTATCATTTGTACAGGCATATCTTGGAAATATTGTAGGTTAGGTTCCCCACTGCAGTAAAACAAATATAGCAAATAAGTCACACAAAGTTCTTGGTTTCCCAGTGCATATAAAAGTTATGTTTACAGTATACTACAGTGTTAAGTGTGCAATAGCATTATGTCATTAAAAATGTACAAACCTTAATTTAAAAATACTTTATTGCTAAAAAAAATACAATCATCTGAGCCTTCAGCAAGTGGTAATCTTTTTGGCGGTTGTGGATCTTGCCTCAGTGTTGATGACTGTTGACTCATAAGGGTGGTGGTTGCTGAAAGTTGGGGAAGCTGTGGGAATTTCTTAAAATAAGACAACAGTTAAGTGTGTCACATTGATTGACTCTTTCATAAAATATTTCCCTGTATATGATGCTGTTTGATAGCATTTTACCCACAGTAGAACTTCTTTCAAAATTATAGTTCTCTCCAACCTTGTGGCTGCCTTATCAACTAAGTTAATGTAATATTATAAATCCTTTGTTTTCATTTCAACAATATTCACAGCATCTTCACCAGGAGTAGATTCTTTCTCAATAAATCACTTTCTTTGCTCATCCATAAGAAGCAATTCCTCATCTGTTCAACTTCTTTCATGAGGTTGCAGCATTTCAGCCACATCTTCAGGCTCCACCTCTTGCTATTTCCATCACATCTGCAGTGACTTCCTCCACTGAAGTCTTCAACCCCTCAAAGTCATCCATGAGGGCTGGAATCAACTTCTTCCAAACTCCTGTTAATAGTGATACTTTGTCCTTCTCCCATGAATCATGAATGTTCTTTACGGCACCCGGAATGGTGAATCTTTTCCAGAAGATTTTCAATTTGCTTTGCCCAGATCCATCAGAGAAATCACTATTTATGGCAGCTATAGCTTTACAAAATATATTTATTAAATAAGACTTGAAAGTCGAAGTTACTTCTTGATCCATGTGCTGCAGAATAGATGTTGCATTAGCAGATGTGAAAACATCATTAATCTCCTTGTACATCTCCATCAGAGTTCTTGGGTGATCAAATGCATTGCCAGTGAGCAGTGACATTTTGAAAGGAATCTTTTTTTTTCTTTTTCCCAGAGCAGTAAGTCTCAACAGTGGGCTTAAAATACTCAGTAAATCATGCCATAAACAGATAGGCTATCATCTGGGCTTTTTTCTTCCATTTACAGAGCACAGACAGTGGAGTTAGCATAATTCTTAAGAGCTGTAGAATTTTGGAATGGTCAATGAGCATTGGCTTCAACTTAAAGTTACCAGCTGCCTTGGACTCTTACAAAAGAGTCAGCCTGTCCTCTGAAGCTTTGAAACCAGGCATTCTCAACTTCTCTATGAAAGTCTTAGATGGCATCTTCTTATATAAGTCTGTTTCATCTCCATTGAAAATCTGTTGTTTAGTGTAGCCACCTTCACCAATGATCTCAGCTAGATCTTCTGGATAACTTGCTGCAGCTTCTACAACAGCACGTGCTGCCTCACCTTGCACTTCTATGTTATGGAGAGGGCTCCTTTCCTTAAACGTCGCGAACAAACCTGTACTGACTTCCAACTCTTCTCCTGAAGCCTCCTCACCTCTCTGAGCCTTCAATGAATTGAAGAGAGTTAGGGCCTTGCTCTGGATTAGGCTTTGGCTTAAGGAAGTGTTGTGGCTGGTTTGATCTATGCAGACCACTCACAATTTCTCCATATTAGCAGTTAGGCTGCTTTGCTTTCTTATCACTGGTGTGTTCCCTGAAGTGGCACTTTCAATTTCCTTCAAGAACTTTTCCTTTGCATTCATAACTTGGCAAACTGTTTGGCACAAGAATCCCAGCTTTCAGCCTTCCTCGGCTTTCAACCTGCCTTCCTCATGAAGCTTAATCATTTCTAGTTTTTTATTTAAAGTGAGAGACGTGACTCTTCCTTTCACTTGAACATTTAGAGGTTGTTGTAGGGTTATTAATTGCTCTAATTTCAATGTTGCTTTATCTCCGGGAATAGAGAGGCCTGAGGAGAGGGAGAGAGACAAAGAGTGGTGGAGCAGAGAGAACATATATGACATTGATTAAGTTTGCCATCTTATATGGGTGCAGTTCATGGTACCCCAAAACAATTACAATAGTAACATCAAACATCACTTATTACAGATCATCGTAATAGATATAATGAAAAAGTTTGAAATATTATGAGAATTACCAAAATGTGACACAGAGACATGAAGTGAGTACATGTTATTGGAAAAATGGTGCCAATAAACTTGCTTGACACAGGGTTGTCACAGACCTTCAATTTGTGTAACATGCAATATCTACAAAGTACAATAAAGTGAAGTGCAGTAAAACGAGGTGTGTCTGTCTGTTTTTTTGGTTGACATATACATAACTGGATGAATAATTGATCACTTCTTTGGCTCATGTAATGCAGATTGGTTTTGTAGCTACATCATTGCACTACAAAGTAACTTTGGAAAATAATTTTACTAAAGAAACTTGTTTCAGAGTCTAATTACATCTATTATCTGCTTCTATAGATATGCTTTATTTTTCCTTAACCCACGTTATACACATAAGTCAGGAACAAAGTAAAACTACCTTTAGGTTTTGAAACCTTTTATGTGGGCTTGAATTTCAAGCAGAAATTAAAGTGTGGGGGCATAATCACTGAACCATTGAAAGAGTGGGTTTTCCCCCTCCTCCTTGACAAACATAGGTAATACTTTACCAGGGACAAAAAATATGCAGCAAAATTCAGTGGGGGATACATTTACATAATGCATCTTTTAACGAGGGACTGAATGAGGGCACATGTGACAATGCTAGCCTGATGTTCTCTCCCTCCTGTCAGTTATTCTGGAGCCACCCTGCAGTTTAAGCTTTAGGTCAATAAAATGAATTTCAAAGCAAAAGCCTTCAGCACCATGGAGGAATTAACTCTGTAGGGTTGCTTCAAAAAAAGCAATGAATTTTCTATTGCGTTTACCTAATGCAATAGTATGTTTTTTCAATTTTTGTCCTTTATCAGAAAGGCATTTTATTCACATTTAATTCCATTTCTTGATCAGAATTCATTTCTAGAAACAAATACTTCTTTTTTTAAATATAGTAAAAATTGGGAACTTAAATTGCAATTTTAAAAGTAAAGTATACATAATGAATCCTTATCAAATATTTTCAAGTAACTGTTTTGGGTTGAACATCCCAATATTTTGTATATTTATTTCCAATGTTCTATGTCATGCAATATGCTACTTCCCACACTGAAAGAAATAGAGTTAATTTTCCACACATAGGAATCGGGGTTTAAACTGACTCTTCAGTTGTTGAGAATAATCTGAAACCATCTTGTTATCTTTCTTCAACAAATTCATTTTTTAAATCATACCACAAAAAATGTGCAAACCAATCACTTCCATTTTTCTTTCACTTACAGTAGGGTCAGCAAAATTTTTCTTAACTTTTTTATTTTAGGCCAGGCATGGTGGCTATTTTAGAACAGTCTTTATATGTTTACAGAGAAATTGTGAAGAGAATACAGAAAGTTTCTATATATTAGGCACCCAGTTTCCCCTGTTATTAACATATTATGTTACTGTGGTACATTTGTTACAATTTTGAACCAATATTGATGCATTATTATAAACTGAAGTCCATAGTTCATTCAATTATTTATCATTTTTTTAGTTTTTATTTTTATTTTTTTGTAGAGACAGGGTCTCACTATGTTGCCCAGGCGCTGGTTCTTGAACTCCTGGGCTCAAGTGATCCTCCCATCTCGTCCTCCCAAAAAGCTGGGATTATAGATGGGAGCCACTGTGCCTAGATTCATTCAATTTTTTTAGTTTGTGCCTACTGTCTCTTTTTGGCTCCAGGATCCTATCCAGGATACCACATTACATTTAGTTGGCATTTATCTCCTTAAGATTCTCTTTTTTGTGACAGTTTCTCACATTCTCATGTTTTTGATGACCTTGAGAATATTGACAATTACTGACCAGGTATTTTGTATAATGTCCCTCAATTTGAGTTTGTTTAATGTTTTCTTATTATTTGACTGGGGTTGCAGGTTTTGGGGAAGAAGACCACAGAGGTAAAGTACCATTTTCACCATATCATATCATGAGTATATACTATTAATATGACTCATTTTTAATGTTGATTCTTTATTACCTGGCTAAGGCAGCGTTTGTTAGGTTTATCCACTCTAAAGTTACCCTTTTTTCCCTATTTCTATAATGTGATTTTTGGAAGGAAGTCAATATTTGTAGCCCACACCTATGGAGTGGGAGGTAAGCTACATAAATTGAGGGCAGAATATCTAGATAAATTATTTGGAATTCTTCTCCACTTAGTTACTTCTCTTTGTCTCTTCTCCACTTACTCCATTATTTATTTATATCAGTATGGACTCATGCATGTTTATATTATATCTAATACTACTTTATTATTTATTCATTTGCTGAAATTGTTCCGGTCTTGGCCATTGGAAGCTCTTTCAGTAGGCTCCTATGTCCCTTTGATATATTCAATTCTTGTGGGTTGTTTTTTTTTTCTTGAATACTTGCTTTCTTTCTGGAGCTATAAGATGCTCCAGTCTCATAATATTTACTTCCTAACCCAGTCCTAGCTAGAATCAGCCATTTCTCCAAGATGCTCTGGTTCCTTTTATTAGACAATGTATTAGAAACCAAGAGCTGGATGTTAGTGCTACTGAGGTATCATTGCTTGTATGCCCTCATAGCTGGAAGAGTAAGGAAATATTATGTGTGTATCCTAATCTGGGATTATACACATATCTATAACTTGTATATGTAATCCTATATATCTATATTAGCCTGAACATGAGTTTATACTTATGCTTCTAGCTCTATTACCATGAAAATCATTCTAGCCTCCTCTTCTTGCCTTGGCAGGAGTGAGCCACCGCACCCAGCTGCCTTTATTATCCCTTTCTTGTCCATAGTATCAGTAATGATGATTCTTCATTCATTTATAACATTGACGGTTTATTGAGTTCTCACTTTTTTTCTTGGTTAGCCTGAAGAGATTTATCAACATTTTCATCTTTTCAAAGAATTAGCTTTTGGTTTCCTTGATATTCTCTATTGTTTGCCTGTTTTTCAATTTAAGTTATTTCTGCTTTAATTTTTATTATTTTCCTCTGCTTGCTTCTGGCTTAAATTGCTCTTCTTTCTCCAATTTCTTAAAAGCTTACTTAAATTGTTGATTTTAAATATTCATTTTTTAAAATGTATTCAATTAGTGCCATAAATTTCTCTCTGAGCACTGCTTTTGTTTCATCCCACAAATTTTGGTAAGATGTATTTTCATTTTTTAGTTCAAAGTAGTTTTTAATTTCTTTCAAGTCTTCTTTCACCTATGTAGTATTGAGAAATGTCTTTAGTTTTCTGATAGTTGAAGATTTTACAGCTATCTTTTTGCTATTGATTTCTAGTTCAGTTCATGGTCTGTGTAATACAACCTAGAATGTGATCTCAATTTTAAGTTTGTTAATGTGTGTTTTATGGTCTCAGATGTGGTCTGTTTCGGTAAGGCTTTATAAAAATATGTGTTCTGCTGCTGTTGAGTATTTTATAAATACCAATTTGATCAAGTTGATTGATCGTGTTCTTTACATCAACCTATCCTTACCTATTTTCTGCCTGCTTGACTTAGCAATTTCTGACGGGAAGGTGTTGAGCTCTCCAACTATAAATTGGATTCCTCTATTTCTTTTTTAGTTTTTGCCACGTGTATTTCTACAGTCTCTTGCTAGGTGCACATGTGTTTAGTGTTACTACATCTTCAGGGAGAATTTACTCCTTTAGTGGTTCTCTTTACTCCTGATAATTATTTATACTGAAGTTGGCTTTATCTGAAGTTAATGTAGCCACTCCAGCTTATTAAAATTAGTGTTAGCATGATATATCTTTCTCCATCCCGTTATTTTTAATCTATGTGTCTACATTTAAAGTGAGGTTCTTGTAGACAACATATAGTTGAGTCTTTTAACAATATCTGTTTTGACAATTTCCTTTAATTTGTGTATTTATCTCATTTGCATAATATATCAATGATACATCATTACACAATTAATATCTACCATGTTTGTAACTGCTTTCTATTGATTACATTTGTTTTTTTTCTTTTTTTGCCTCTTATTCTTCTTTCCCTGGTTTTAACTGAGCATGAGAAGAAAGAACAGAGCAGAAGAAATATTTCAAGTAATAAGGTGAAGATAAAATTCCATTTTATCTACATTCTTAACACATAAATTATACTTATTTTTTATAATTTTTTAGTGGTCATTCTAGAGTTTTATATATGTGTGTGTGAATAATATATATATCTAATTAATATGAATCCACTTTCCTAAAACACTATACTGCTCCAGGTGTAGTACAATTATGTTATAACTGAGTTTTCTCAATTCTTCCCTCCCATCTCTTATAACGTTGCTGTCATTCAGTTGACTTATATACGTGCTTTAATCACCTAACACATTGTTACTATTATTACATTAAACAGAGTTACATTTCAGTTCAATAGTGACTAAGAACAATAAAATATTTTGTTTTGCTTTTATCTGTTCCTTCCCTGACCCTCTTCCTTTCCTTACAAATACCCAAGTTTCTGATCTCTATCATTTTCCTTCTCCCTGGTGAACTCGTTTTAACATTTCTTGCAAGACAGGTCTGCTGGTGATGAACCCTCTGAATCATTGTCTAAGAAAGTCTTTATTTCTCTTTCACTTTGAAGGATAATTTTACTGGATTTAAATACTGGTTTGATGTTCTTTCTCTTAACATTTTAAATATTTTACTCTACTCTTTTCTCGATTGCACAGTTTATGACAAGAAGTATGCTGTAATTCTCATCTTTGTTTCCTCTGTAGATAAGGTGTATTTTCCCTTTGTTTTTTTTTTTTAATTTCTTTGGTTTTCTGCAGTTTGAGTGTGACATAATGAGGTAATATTTTTGGTATTCGTCCTGCTTGGTGTTCTCTGAGCTCCCTGGATCCATGATTTGGTTTCTGCCATTAATTTTGGAAAGTTCTTGGCCTTATTACTTGAAATATTTCTTTTTCTCTGTTCTATCTTGTCATCTTAGTTTCTTAATTACACATATACTACACACTTAAATCGTCTCACAATTCTTGAATATTCTTTTATGTTTTTTCATTTGTTTTCTCTTTGAATTTCCATTTAGGAAATTTCTATTGACTTATCTTCAAGCTCATTGATTGTCTACTCAGCCATGTCAAAGAAAGACTTTCTTTATTCCCAGCACAGTCCTCTTTCTTTTTTTTATTTCTATTATTTTCCATTTATTCTTTCGTAGAGTTTCCAGCTCTTTGCTCATGTTACACATGTTTTTGCATGTTGTCTACTTTTTTCATTAAAACACTTCATATATTCTAGTTGTTTTAAATCCCCTGTCTGATAATTCCAACATCTATGTCATATCTGGATGTAGTTCTAGTATTTGCCTATATTCTTCAGATAATTTTTTTCTTGCTTTTGAGAATGCCTTCTAATTTTTTATTAAAAATTGTATATAATCTATTGAATAATAGAAACTGAGAGAAATAGGTCTTTGGTTCAATGTTTTATGTTAATCTCGCTAGGAGTGGGGCTGTGCTTAACATTTACTGCAGCTGTATGTGCCTGATGATTCAAAATCCTCTTGTGTCCTTGTTTTTGTCTCTCCTGTTGACTTTGGGCTTCCCTACCTACTCCTTCTCAGAGCGAGTCTGTGCCTTGCAGCTCTTTCAGCTGTGACCCACTGTTGTTACACTGAATTCCTGTTGTGAGTGGTGGTAAGGGGTGGGGAAAGGGAAGCATTCTATTGCCTTATGATTAAATTTCAATTTTTACTGAACCTACGTCCCTAGGTTGTGACTTTCAAAAGCATTTCTTAACTTACTTGTCTTGGGTGAGAAAGGAAGGCTAGAGATAGCTGGAGTGGGAGAATGGCCTTCCCCTTTTTGGGTCAGGGCTCTGGTACAGTCTTTTCTCCTGCACAGTCAATCTTTGTTGTGAAGAACACTCTGGGCATATTTAATTAAGGTTACTCTTCCTCTCCCCGTGCCGGAGCCTCAAGGGCATGTTTCTCAGCTCTTCACACTGGGAGAATTTCTGGAAGTAAAATTCGTGAAAATGTGGGGGTCCCCTAAAATCCAAGTATTTTCTTACTGTCATGCTAGTTCATACTAAGGCTCCAGCAATTAGTCAAGATTACCATTTAGCTGTTTCTACTACCAGTTAATGTCCCATTGGCTTCTGCTGTAGGTAAAGAAATCTTGACTGTGACTATTTCCATTCACCTGTCTCTCAAGATTTTGAAATGGTAGTTTGCATTTTGACCTCGGTTATCTGACGGGTTCATGAAAAATTGTTGACTTTCAGTATACTCAGCTAAAAGGACAGGAGTTGTAAGGACAGGTGTGACAACTTCCAAAATTTTTACATTTTAGATCTGAAACTAGAATTCTCCACATAGTTTTTCTGTAAATGGCTATATAGTAAATGTTTTCAGATTTGTATTCAGAGTCATATAGTCTATTTTGCAACTGCTCAACTCTGTTGTAGTGCCAAAGCAACCAGAGATAATATGTAAATAAATGACTGTGGTGGTGATGTTCTAATAGAACTCTATTGACAAAAACAGAGAATTGGCTGGATTTGGCCTGAGAGGCATACTTTGCTGATCTCTGGTTTAAAGCATAGATGAAAAATCCTGAAAGCCAGAAATCAGTTGAGTCTAATTTATTGAATGGATCAATAAGTGAATGAACCAGTCTGCATGTTAAAAATGTCTTGAAGAGATTTGATGATGCTGCAAATATGCTTCTCTCTTAAAACTATCAAATAAGAAAGTTTCAATCACTGTATACACTTTTGCTGTTACAGTCTTAGTCACAGAATTTACTATATGTACCCAATTTCAAATGGAAAGAGGAAAACGTTACTTCATTTTCTCTTGAAATTACATTTATTCTCTACTTTGCCAAAGAATAATATTTGGGTCTAAATAATATAAAGCAAACAATGAGCTATTTCTCTTCATTACAATTCAAAAGTGATAATTTTCCAATGCCTGAAGTAAGAAATGTAATAAAATCTTAAGCACTTGGGATTCAGCTAAGTGTATCCTTAAATAAATCAGCACCTAACAAAATAAGAGGCCTTCACGGTGTTAAAGAATTAAAGCTTCACAGGATAAAAGAAGAAAACAGCAGTATCTAACCTCATGAATTTAAACTGTTTGAAGTAGAAGAGTTATGGGAGTGAAAAGCATACATTTTAGTGACTATGATAACATAACAGGTTTAAAGAATGAGTTAACCAATTTAGAATTTTCATTACCTAAGTTAAAACTGTCTAATGCCTACAGTAAAAATGCAATATTTTCAGGAAATTATTCATGGAATACATTTTCTAAAAACCCATAAGGTGAAGATGCTGCCCCATGAAATATGTAAAACAGTATTCCCAAACATTTCCCATTCTGAATCTACAAATTTCTCCTCAAATTGCAAATTAGGAACAGACAGAACTGATCTCCTCAGGTGAATAGTATTTAACTAAAATATTTTATGGATGCAATGAGTTTGCTGTCTGCCAGCTTTTTAGACTTGGATCTCACTTTGATTTATTGTTCTCTGGCTTCTGGGAGCTAATCTATCTTTGCTGAGATTGCCTAAATCCTCTCTTACTTATTCATTACCTCAACAATTAGTTCTAGTTACTAACCTATATAAAGGTAGATGACAGTGTAAGTCAGCAAATGAATATCTGCTGTCTGTCTCGCTGAGGCTGGGTGGTTCACTTCAATGACTACTGTCACTTTTTATCCAAGTTAGGGTAATAGAGGCACACAGGATAGCAGTAACTGAGTTTCAGAATTCAGTGTCTAGCAGACCAAAATTAGATATTTTGCCCTTTTATTTCAATGGCTTATCATTTAAATTATGAAATTTTCAGTCTTGTACATTCTTGTTAAGAATAATCTTTATGGGCCACACGTGGTAGCTCACGCCTGTAATCCCAGCACTTTGGGAGGCCGAGGTGGGCAGGCGACATCAGGAGTTTGACACCAGCCTGACCAACATGGAGAAACCCTGTCTCTACTAAAAATACAAAATTAGCTGGACGTGGTGGCGCATGCCTGTAATCCTAGTTACTCAGGAGGCTGAGGCAGGAGAATCACTTGAACCTGGGAGGTGGAGGTTGCCATGAGCTGAGATCGTGCCATTGCACTCCAGCCTGGGCAACAAGAGCGAAATTCCGTCTCAAAAAACAAAGAATAATCTTTATTTAAATTATGTCTTTTTATTATTAATGTGAATGAGCTCTGCCTTCCCACTACTTTTTGTAATTGTTAATGCTGGTATGTAGGTAAGATTTTAAATGTATATCTAGAATTATTTTTATCATTAGTAAACTTTCATATTAATTTGTATTAGTTTCCTCCATAGACAATCATTATTGGTGTCAATGAAACATGGGATGTCTGGAGGAAGTGACAAGAGATGAAGTTGGACAGGATGTTGGATCCATAGCAGCCATGTTTTAATACATGACTCCATCTCCCTGGCTACAGTTGGCTAAGCCATGTATAGATACTTTACAAATGCTGAGTCAGTTACTCTCTTTCTTGGGATTTTAGAATTGGAGCAAACAGCAAAATATTCTCTGCCAGCATATACAGCTATAATATATAAACTACAGAGCCTTGTGGCAGTCATATTGAAAATAATATTCTGCAGAATGGAAAATAGAGACAGACCTTCCGAGAAAAGAAAGGAGAAATAGGAAGCTCTGCCTTCTGTCCAGGTCTTTCCAAAGCTGACTACATTCCTACCCTTGAGCTCCAGGAAACACCTCTGTACCCTTAAAACATATTCTTCCATTTTACTTACACCTGGTTTGATTTGGTTCTGTTACTTGTAACCAAAATAATCTAAGATAATATGCCTTATGATTATCACAGCATATTCACCAAACTCTATTATAATTATTTACCTCCCCATAGAAACTATTAAAAGATGTGACTATAATTTAATTTTTTACATAGCCCTAGTATTGAGTCAGCACTAAATAAATTAACTGCAAAGCAATGAAAGAGAAAAGCTTGTCTGAGTGGGAGACACAGCATGATAAAGCTTGCTACAACAGCCGTTCCTTCTCAAGTGGAAATGTTTATGAACTATTGTTTTCTTTTTATTATACTTTAAGTTCTGGGGTACATGTGCAGAACTTGCAGTTTTGTTACATAGGTATACACGTGCCATGGCAGTTTGCTGCACCCATCAACCCATCACCTACATTAGGTATTTCTCCTAATGCTATCCCTCCACTAGTCCCCCATCCCCTGACAGGCCCCGGTGTGTGATGTTCCCCTCCCTGTGTCCATGTGTTCTCATCGTTCAACTCCCATTTATGAGTGAGAACACGCATTGTTTGATTTTCTGTTCTTGTGTTAGTTTGCTGAGAATGATGGCTTCCAGCTTCATCCATGTCCCTGCAAAGGACGTGAACTCATCCTTTTTATGGCTGCATAGTATTCAATGGTGTATATGTGCCACATTTTCTTTATCCAGTCTGTCATTGATGGGCATTTGAGTTGATTCCAAGTCTTTGTCATTGTGAATAGTGCCACAGTAAACATACGTGTGCATGTGTCTTTATAGTAGAATGATTTATAATCCTTTGGGTATATACCCAGTAATGGGATTGCTGGGTCATATGGTATTTCTGGTTCTAGATCCTTGAGGAATCGCGACACTGTTTAAAAACAAAACAAAACAAACAAACACTTAGAAGAGGTTTTCACAAACTGCATTTGATGGTTGCCCACTGGCTCAAGATGGGAACAAGTGTTCAGTGCAAAACGGTTTCACAGTAGTTACATATTTTTAAATCCCTTTTTTTAATAGAGTTAGCAATTTTCTTTACAGTAATAGTACTCAGAGCATTTAATATGATATAGGTGCACTGCAGATCTTCAGGAAGGTGATAAAACAATCATGGTTTCCCAAACTCTTTGACCATGTGATTCTTTTACCACAAAACTTCACAAAACTCAAGTCAACAATGACAAAACCCCCCAAACAACCCAAGTTTTCTAATGGACAAAGAACTTGAATAGACATTTCTCAAAAAAATCAAAAGATATACACATGGCAAACAGACACATGAGAAAACGCTTAACATCACTAATCACAAAAATACAACAGTGAATACCACAACATACCCATTAGGATGGCTACTATTAAAAAGTAAATAGCAAAGAAGTGAATAAATTAGAATCGTTGCATACTGTTGGTAGGAAAGCAAAATGATGTAGCTGCTATGGAAAACAGTATGGAAGTACCTCAAAAAAATTAAACATAGAATTACCAAATGATCCAGCAATTTCACTTCAATGCAATATTATTCAGCCTTAAAAATGAAGTTCTGCGACATTCTATAGCATGGAAGCATGGATAAACCTTGAAGACATTACGCTAAGGGAAATGAGCTAGTCACAGAAATGCTAATATTGTATTATCCCACTTATATGAAGTATGTAGAGTAGTAAAATTCATGAAGTCAGGAAATAGAACATAGTTGCCAGAGGCTGGGGGGTAGGGGGAAATGGGGAGATGTTGTTTGATGTATACAGGATTTTTGTTTTACAAGATGAGACGAGTTCTGGAGATTGGTTACACAACGATGCGAATATATTTAACACTATTGAACTGTACATGTAAAAAAAGGTTACAATAGTAAATTTGATGTTATGTGTATTTTACCACAGTTGAAAATTAAAAAAAAAAAAAGATCAGTATCCTCGGAAAAAATACTTATAGAAACAATGCCAAGACAATTCCATGGTGTGCTGCTCCCAGAGTACATGCATGGAGGAGTAAAGCCACTCCTTCACTAAAAAAAAGTGATGGTTAAGTTATTTTCTGTGCAATTTCTAGCATAGCAAATTGCAGTAATCAGTGTTACTTCTTACTTGAGAGTGGGTAAAAATCACCCAGTTACCTTTTATTTCCTGATGAATAACTATTAATATTGTATTACTCTGTTGTCCTCTGCTTTCCATTTTAAATAGTGTCAGAGAATAAGGACATGGAGAGAAGGTTCAGGGCTGATAAAACAACCATCTACCTCTACCTACTCCCCCAATTTAGTAGCCTCAACACAAGATTAGTAGCCCCCAGAAGACCTCTAGGGGCAACTGTAGACTTCTAAGGATCTTTCTCCATAGTGGGTAAGGTACTAACTACCAAGGTTTAGTGGGATTTATCTAATCTGAGAAAAGTCTTCTAAATTTCCAAAGTTTCCCTTTCATTTCTGATCATATAGTGTAAGAGACAATAAAAACTTATAATCCTACCACTGCCACTTCCTAGCTTCCATTCCATCACATAATTTTTCAGTGTCTGTTGTCCTCTCTGAAACCTGGGGCCAGTATCAGAGCAGCCTTCTTGAAGCCATCCTGAAGAGTAATGAATAGAAATGAGTTATAAATATAAAATGCTGTATAAATCTTTTAGCACCAGAGACTTGAGATGTTTTAAATACACAAAGGACAGACTAATAAGACTATCAATCCTGTCTCCAATGTATAGACATTTAGAAAGTGGGATACCATCCATCTCTGACTCTTAAAGCCTCAGTTTAAAAAAATCTATGATTTCCATCAATGTAGAGAAACGTGCCCTTTTGCCTTCCTTTCTGGAGCTAATATAATGAATTTTCCTGTATATACAAAGTTCATGTGAGATTACATTTTATCTGCAATGTAGCTTTCTAGACGCATTATGAACAGTTTTCTTAATTCAGAGAGGGTTCGATTCTACATTCCTTTGCTAGCATTGGTCTATATTGGGGGCATCAAATTGAGTGAATATTAATGATGAGATTATTTGCATATTATATGGCTAACATACTGAAAAAAGAACAATTTTAAAAGAATCAAGGGTGGCAGTTTTAAAACCTTAATGGGCTGCTATTTTCAACTGTGGTTGTTTTGTTTGTTTTTTTTTAAGAGTTGAGGTCTTGCTCTGTTTCTCTGGCTGGAGTGCAGTGGTGCAATCATAGCTCAATGGAGCTTTGAATTCTTTGGCTGAAGCAATGCTTCCACCTCAGCCTCCCAAGGAGCTGGGACAACAGGCCGTGCCTGGCTAATGTTTTTATTCTTTGCAGAGACTGGGTCTTGCTATGTTGCCCAGGTGGTCTTGAACTACTAGCCTCGAGTGATCCTTCCACCTCAGCCTCCCAGAGCTCTGGGATTACAGGCGTGAGCCACCACACTCAGTTGTATTGAGTTTTAATATTAAATAAGTTGGTCTTCATTGAGGACCCAATATTTTAAATTACATTTCACTGGGGGTTCTGAAAATATCCATAAGTTTGACTGTCGATTTGTTGTTGAAGTAATAACTCTCAACGGTGCCCAATTCCATTTATGTGATTTTTCAAAACAATCTATTAGCTTTTATCCACCAAAATATGACTTGTAAATAAGAAATCCATGTTAAAGAGAAATGTGTGCTTATGTACACACATTAAGATTAAGATCCTTTGCACAGAACCTTCTGCCATAGAGTTATAAGAAAGAAAACCATTTAGTCAGAAGTCCTGAAACCAAAACAACCTGCATAGTCTATTAAAAGAAAGATGTGTTGGTCCGATCAGCTGGATCAACCATGCTGATGCAGTGCTTTGGTAATTTGTCTTCAATGTCCGGCACCATTTTTTTGAGGAAATAATGGAAAGAAGATGTATGTCCCTGCAAGCCTAGTCCCTCTAGCAACATTGGTCCCACTCCAAATAAATCTTCCTCTCCACCTGCCATTCTTATGCTGCTCTGGATTCCTAGAGGAAATGTTTCAGCAGTTTAGGAACATAGGACAGCATTAGAGACATTTTTCTCTTCATTTTCCTTTATGAGCCTGAGAAACAGTGTTCCTACAACCTTCTTAGGTGTAAAAGAAATAATAAAGTAGACCAGCCTTCTTTATTTTTTAAACTGTGTATCAAAATTGAGCTAATAAAACTCTTTCCAGAAGGATTAAATATTCCTGACTTTCACTTTCCTTTTCTTTCTCGCAGTCCCCCTTTCCCCTGGGACTACTTTACTCAACATGAGATATGCGCAAAGGTACATAATATAGACAGAACATTGGCTGCATTTAAGGAAAAGACTTCAGAGAAGCCATCATTTTACAGATTAGCAAACTTATCCTCAGTTATCAAGTAACTTCTCCAAGGCCAGGTTGAGCCACCTTCTCAATTGAATCAAATCCATTTGTTTCTGTATATTCATAAGCACATCCAACAAAGGCCACATAAAAACTTAAAACATTGTTAAATCCTCAGCTTCTTTATCAGAAAGACAGCTAGATACTCCTTTGTTGAACATTATCAGAGGCCATTTTGAGTGAAATATATCTTGTATTATTTCCCCATCTCAGCATTACCACCCAGGTTGATGAAACTATCCAATCCCCAATAATTTTTCTTCATCAGTGACTATTCTTCAAAACAGCAAGTCGTCTTGTTATAATTTCAAACCAAAGATCTTATGAAAAGACCAGCTCCTTCTCTACAGAGATGGATTACATCAGGAGCAATAGCAGATAAACTCTGACCTCTAGATCTGAAAGAAGAATTTCAGTGATAACTGTAAAAATATTTTCAGTTATTAATACATAAGAAAACACATCATTTGTATTTACGGATCATCACTGCCATTTATAGTTATGATGTTCTTCTCTCTAGTGATTTTTAACTGGAAAGGGGTAAATGGAAATGTGTAGACAAACACATTCAAAAGAAACCCTACTTCTGAGCCCTTCTAAAGATTTTACTGGGTAGTCTTTAAGACAAAAGTTTCTTTTATAAAAGGCAAAAAATCAACTTCAAAACTCAGGCTTCAAATCATCAAGGGTTACTTTCTCCTCTTCTAACTAGATTAAACTTTTGGAGTCCCAGCAAAAGGGACTTATCATATCCCATTTGGCAAGAACTAGTCCCCTATAATTACAGATTGAAAGTGTTTTCTAGGCTTCATACATTTGTCCAGAAAATGGGCAGTTTAAGGAATCATAATGAGGCATCATTCAATGGGAGAAAGGACTTCACCTGAAATTCAAGCCTTTGTGGCTTCTCTCAGACATCTGGCTCTTTCTCACTTTTTGTGGTCAGGGCAAAATCAATTATTCGATGACCTGGGCATAGATATGGTTCTCTCTAGTTTCAAGGAGGGAAGAATGCCAGAACCACAAGCACTCTCATGTGAAAGGCTGTGCTTGATGCGTTTATCATAGAAGTTTGATGATGTCTGAGGGCACGGATGCCAGGAGTTTTGTTTTGTTTTTTAATTTAATTATGCTGTTAAAAGCATTTTTCTTTCCATAAGCCCCTATACTGCCTTTGAAAATATTCATTCTCCGGAGTCATCCAAGAGGAGGGAGAACAGTATGAGCTTTGAGCTGAACAGAAGACTCTCCCTCCTCTGGCTGGTGGGAGGTGACTCTCTGAGTGCCTCATATGTTCAAACTTGAATTAATTCCACTCACACTATACCCCCACAGGTAATGAAGACAAATAGTGCTGCAGTCTTTGGGTACAGTTTCAATGTTTACTTCTGGTAACAACCAAGGATATATTGCTCAGACTCTGGAAACTACAAAAATCATTTTGGAGAAGAAAATTTTGACTCTCTACCTCCTCGTTCTTTGCCACGAAGGAGAAAGACCACAGTAATAGTTAAGGCAGCTGAAACAAGAAAGGGTGCACAAAACCCGGATTCCCCCTTCATCTAACTTCAGACACCCTATTATGTAGAGTTAATTGCAACTGTTACTTATCAAGCATAGCAGATCCCCACACCTCCTCCCCATTGGTATCCCCTCAGGCCTTACTATTTCAGTACCCTACTCACTCCAGCATCTGCCTCTCTTTGCCTTTGGGCTTTCTTCAGCCTTAGGATCCTCACTGCTTCTATTCCCCTACACAAGTAAGAGGCCAGGAATGCCAGGAAATAAATGCCTCCCCATGAGAACAGCCTTTGACCGATGACTGATGGAAGCTGGTATAAATACCTTAGTGCCCTTGTCCCTCAGGTGGGATAACTATTGTCCTACTCTGAGTCCCTCGGGTCCCCAGTGGAATTAAGCTCCAGTTGACCACAGTAATAACAACACAGTCTTTATTGGCTGGATTCCCTTTTTGCTTTTACTTCCCCACAACCTAAATAAAAGGCTCACACTTGAATCTATGGCTATGGGTCTGTTTTTAAGACACAAAGTGTTGAGGTGTGGACTTTAAAGGAAGAGGACAAGCTGTTTTGCTAGATGAGATTCAGATACATAAAGTCCATCCTTTTCTCTACACCTCTGATAGATGTTAGCCTTTTGTAATGGCTTTTCCCCTTGTGGTTACACATACATAAAAGCTCATGAAACTTTAACCCTTATCACTTCTCCTCACTTCCCCCATAAAGCAGTGGGGCTGATAATCAAATCATGATTTCACACAGTTCCTGACTTCCAGAGCTCTTCAGGCTCCCCATTGCCAAGATCAGAGTGAAGATTTGGGGTTCCAGAGGACAAGTCCTTATCCATGCTGCCCCTAATTTAATGTCTCTCTCCCATCTTTCCAAGGGAGGTCCTGCTCGCATTAGTGCCTCTTCCACGGACTGCTGAGTTGCCTGGCTGGCTTTCTGCCCTGACATGAGATTGTTCCCTACCTTGGATCTCTATTTGGTTGTGGTGACCTCAAATCTTTCAATATTTTGCCCAGCATGCCTCCTCATTATACCTCTAGCTCCTGGCTAAGGCCGTCTTCGTTATGAACAGAGATATTATTAATAATGTCTGTAACTTTTTCTGTTTTCTAAATTTATTTTTAATTGACAGATAAAATATTGTGTATTTACCATATCAGTGTGACATTTTGAAGTATATATACGTTGTGAAATGATTGACTCTAACTAATTAGCATGTGCATTACTTCATGTAGTTATTCTGTGGTAAGAACACTTTACATTCACCCTCTTAGCATTTTTCAAGAAAATAATATATTGTTAAATTTAGTCACCATGTTGCACAATAGATTTCTTGAATTTATTCCTCCTATTTGACTGAAATTTTGTATGCTTTGACCAACATCTCCCCTAACCACCATTCTGCTTTCTACTTCTATAAGATCAACTTTTTTAGATTCCATATATGAGTGAGATCATGTGGTGTTTGTCTTTCTGTGTCTGGCTTATTTCATTTAACATAATATCCTCGAGGCTCATCCCTCTTATTGCAAATGACAGGATTGCTTCCTTTTTTATGGCTGAATAGTATTCCACTGTGTCTATATACCATATTTTCTTTATCCATTCATCCAGGGATGGGCACTTAGGTTGTTTACATATCTTGGCTTTTGTGAATAGTGCTGTGATAAATGTAGAAATGCAGATATCTCTTCAGATGTCTGTAATCTTCTTTAAAATATTTCAGAATGGACTGTATAATACAGTATTAGTTTTACTAGAAGGAACAATCAGTGATCCTAATCAGGAATCCATATCCCAGGAATGAGGAGGTAACAACAAAAAAAAAGACGTAGCTGGGCATGGTGGCTCACACTTGTAATCCCTGTCCTTTGGGAGGCTGAGGCAGGTGGATTGAGTGAGCTCAGGATTTGAGACCAGCCTGGCCAACATTGCAAAACCTTATCTCTCCAAAAAAACAAAACAAAACAAACAAACAAAAAACAGGTATGGTGGTACACACCTATAGCCCCAACTACTTGGGAGGTAGGATGGCTTGAGCCTAGGAGACACAGGTTGCAGTGAGCCAAGATCACACCATTGTGCTCCAGCCTGGGCAGCAGAGTCAGACCCTGTCTCAAAAAAAATAAAAAAAAAAGGAAAGAAAAGACACTCCAGAGATGACTGTTACAAATGTCTCTACTTTCTTTCTCTCCCATCAACACTAGATATTTCTCTAATTAGCATAATTAATAGTAGAAGTAAAGTTTCATTGACAAAATTTATGGCTTGCTAGTTAGGGTAAGATATGTCAGAAATGAGATTGTATAGGTGAAATTAGTTATATTCAAGATGTATTT
Source organism: Homo sapiens (assembly GCF_000001405.40). Lineage (NCBI taxonomy): Eukaryota > Metazoa > Chordata > Mammalia > Primates > Hominidae > Homo > Homo sapiens. Next base: position 22,556,837 of record NC_000023.11, on the reverse strand, counting down.
ATTGGCTAAAATATTTTCAAGAAATCACCCATCTTTGAATAAACAGGGTATGAAAATCAAGCAAGTTGTCTGTATTTACCATTAGTTTTGGCACATTATGTTTAACCCTAAACCCAGAGCCCAGCAGTTGTTCTGAAATATTTTTGATCACCTCTATAGTGGATGGTTTGTGAAATCCCATCACTACAATACTACTACATTTGCCTCAGATAAACATTTTATGAAAATTCCTTGTGAAGCACCAGAAAAGACAGAATTCTAGGATTTCTTTGGTTTGGAATCACATGGCTCTTCTTGCCTGCTTGTGTGTATAGCAGAATTTGATCTGAGACTTGTTTTTATTACCAAGTTGCAGGGGATATGCCAACCCTCGCCTACCTCTACATATTTGGTGGTTTCTGAGATCTTTCAGAATGAGCCTATGAGTTGTGATGATCAAATTGCCTTACACCATCTCCCCCTACTCCCTGATCACAGAATAGTACAGATTTTCCATTATACATGAGACTATCATGTTGAATGCTCTGGTGCCAACCATTTTCTACAATGACAACTGATATTCTTTCATCTCATTGGGCTGACCTCTTTGGTCCCAACTCTGGTCTTGAGCGAGTCTTCCCTAACCCCAATCTTGTCCTGCATGATAGCTTTGGCACTGTTATGGCTAGTTCCTTACCATTATTGGTATCAGATTCATTCTTTGAATCATTTATTCGTTCAACAACTATTAAACATTTTCTATGTATCATACAGTGTTGTAAACCCAGGTGATATTTCAGTCAAAAAGGCATACAAGATCTTGTGAGTAAAGATGAGTAAAAGAGTGAACAAATTAATAAGATAATTTCAGATCGTAATAAGTACTGTGAAAAAAATGATAAAAAATGAAAAAAAAAGGGAATTACAGCAAGGAATTGGCTGTTTTGGAAAGGATGATCAAGAAAAGCCACTTAGAAGGATAATAAGAGGTATACTTAAGCCAAGATCTTATAGTGCTTTCCACTGAGACTTCCAGAGTTTTAATAGAATTAGTAATCAGTGTGATTTGCAATGAAGGGTGGCTCTGAGGTCTCTACAAGTTCATTTTTAACCTTTTAGGAACAGCCAGATTGTCATCAGTGTCTGTACCTCACCTCATGGCTAATCAAAATGTGAAAGAATCCCTTAAAGAACCAAGATCCATTTAGCTACCTTGAAGCAATATAATGCACGATTGGCACTTTGACTTTTTTCATTGAACTGATCAGTTGGATCAGTTTGTATAAACTGATTGGTTTAGCATTTTGTAGTCCACAAATAGACAAAGAAAATCATTCAAAACCTAGCTTCACTTGTTAGTACTGATGGAGCACCAAGAATAATAAAATCTGAGATTGTTTAATAGAAGGGCCTTTAGAGATCAGTGTACCCAAGAAGAAAACAAGTTCTGCAAAATTAACCCAAAAATGCACACCTTGCACACTGAACACTCTCATGTTTATTTTACTGCTCACTCATAAAGGTTTTTCAAAGACCCTTGGCGTTGATATTTCACTTACTGTAAGATGGTTTGTCATGAACTGTTTTTAATTTTTTATATATGAAAATATGCGAACATTAAAAATATGCATATAAATCACCCACCATATTTACAAATGGTCCCTGACTTAACGATGGTTCAACATAAGATTATTCAGCTTTACAATGGTGGGAAACTGATATGCATTCAGTAGAAACCATATTTTGAATTTTCATCTTTTCTCAGGCTAGCAATACATAGTACGATACTCTTTTTCCATGTTGGGCAGTAGCAACAAGCCACAGCCAGTCAGCCATGTGATCAGGATAAACAACCAATACTCTACAGTGTTCTGTGTTGCCAGCATTTTTGCATATTGTGTTTTGTATTTTCACATCTCAGATACCAAAAATACCCGTTTTTGACTTATGATATTTTAGACTAATGATGGGTTTATCAGAATGTAACACTGTCCTAAGTCAAGGAGTGTCTCTATTTACCTTTCATGTTTGGTGCATAAAAATATTTACATTGTTGTAACCATAGAATTCATAAAATGTAATATATTGCTCTGAAACCTAGCATTATATTTTATGCCTTTCCCATATTGCTATGTAGTGTCTTTGTTATATTTAATGGCTTTAAAATATTCCATTGAGCAGTTATACCCCAATTTAATTAGCTACTCTCCTATTTTAGCTATTTGAACTGTTTTTAATTTTCATTGTTATTTGAAAAATATGTAAATGCATAAGACTGTTTCAGCATTTGGATTACTTCCTTAGGCTAAAGTCCCAGAAGGAAAATTGCTATAGCAAAGTATGTGAATAGTTCTACATTTCTAAAAAACCAGCGCTGTTACTTTCTGTAAAGTTTTTGCTAATATTCAAAGTAGCAGTAATAAAAAGGAGTATCAGATTCAAAGTATTCTTATCACCATTCAATAGCTTTGCTTTTAAGGCTTTATTAAGGGGGTAAAAAACATTACCACTTTTTGAGAATAAATTTACTTGTTGAATTTCCTCTTTTGTGAATTGTCTGTTCACATCTTTTTCTTGTTTATTTATTGATCTTAGAATTGGTCCATTTGTTTGGACACTTTATAGAGATACTCACCCGCACACATTTTTGCTGCAAATATTTTCCCAGATGGCTTTTTGGCATTCTTTTCCTCTTATAGAGTATACACAAAATTATGTATCTTTTTCTTTATGACTATTGCTATCTCTCCAATGCTTGAAAGTCAGCATCTTCTGTGAAGGTTTTGATAAATGATCAACACAATTCAATTTCTTCCCTTTATTAGTTAGATTTTGTTCCTTTATTTATATTAGAAGTTTATTTATGCGAAACTCTTCATTCATAGTGTGATATATGTTCATTTTATTGTCCATTTACTAACGAATTATCACTACTATTATTATTATTATATGTCCTTCTTTTGCCATCTTAAAAAGGTAAAACGACTTTTCATTTATATTTAAATTTATATACAATGTTATATACATTTTAATAGCTTTATTGAGGTATAACTGGCATACAATAAATCAAGCATACTTTAAATGTACCACCATTATAATCAAAATGAATATATATTGAATAAATATATACACCACTCCCCCAAAGTTTCCCTGTACCTTCTTTAATTCTCTCCTCCTTGTCACTCTTCCCTTCCCAGCCTCTTTCTCCTGTCCCCAGCCAACCAGCAGCCACTCTAGATTAGATGGCATTTTGTTAGAGTTCTGGATAAATGGAATCATAGAATATTCCTTTTTGGTGGGGCTTATGTTACTCAGCGTAATTATTTTGGGATTTATCCATCATGTGGTACATATCAATAGTTCATTTATTTTATTGCTCAGTAGAATTCCCTTGGATGATTATACCCCTGTTTGTTTATCCATTCAGTTATCGATGGACATTTGATTTATTTAAAGTTGTTGGCTACTACAAATTAAGCTGTTGGGAATATCCAGGTGCATGTCTTTCTATGAATGTATGCTTTCTTTTCTCTTAGGTAAATATCTAAAAGTGGCATGGCTGAATTGTATTGTCAGTAGGTATTTGACTTTTTAAGAAACTGCCAAATTGTTTCCCACAATGGTTGTCTCATTTTACATTCCTACCAGCGGTGAAGGAGAGTTTTAGTTCTTCCACATCTTCACTAACACTTGGTGTGCTCAGTCTTTCTGATTTTTGCCATATTCTAATGAATGCGTAATGGTATCTCATTGTGGCTTTAGTTTGCATTTCTCCTAATAACTAATGATGTTGAGCATCTTTTCATCTGCTTATTTGCCATCTGTGTCTAAAAGTTGAGAATAATTATGTTCTCTTGATGAATTGACCCTGTTATCATTATGAAAGAATCATCTTTTTCTAGTAATATTCTTTTCTCTGAAATATTTTATCTTAATATAGCTACTAGGCTTTATTTGATTAGTGTTATCATGGTATATTTTCCCATTCTTTTACTGTGAACCTATTTGTGTCTTTGTACTTACAGTATGTTTCTTATAGGATCTTCAATTTTTATCGATTCTAACAACTCTAAATTTTAATTGAGGCAATTAGAATATTTTTTTATTCCTTGTTATCTCCTTTTTTGGATTTATTAACTTATAACTGTTTTCTTATTTTAGTGATTGCTTTAGGGTTCGTGTTATACATCTTTAACTTATCTGTACTTACCTTCAACTGTATATCATATCAAATATAAATGTATATACCACCTCACATGTAGTATAAACACCTTCCTATAGTTTATTTATATTTTTCCCCTCCTGGTCTGTGTGTGTGTGCACATGTGTGCACATGCTGCCACAATACATTGTTATGACTTTTAATATATTTAAGTCTTTTTTTATTGTGGGAAAATAGACATAATGTAAAATTACCATTTTAACCATCTCTAAGTGTACAATTCAATGGCATTAAGTACATTCGCATTGTTGTGCAACCACCACCACCATCCATCTCCAAAACTTTATCGCACCCCAAACTGAAATGCTATACCCATTAAACAATAACTCCCCATTCCCCTCACCCTCCAGCCCCTGGTAGCCACTATTTTACTTCTGTCTCCATGAATTTGACCACTCGAGGTACCTCATGTAAGCAGAAGCATACAATATTTGTTCTTTTGTGTCTGGCTTATTTCACTTAGCGCACTATTTTCAAGATTCGTTTATGTTTCGGCATGTATCAAAATTTCATTCATTTTTAAAGCTGAATAATATTCCACTGTATGTACATACCCATGCCACATGTTGTTCATCTACTCATCCATCAGTGTTCATTTGGGTTATTTCTACCTTTTGGCTATTGAGAATAACGCTGCTATGAACACTGGTGCACAAATATCTGCTCAAGTTCCTGCTGTCAACACTTTTGAGTAGATATCTAGAAGTAGAGTTGCTGGAGTTTGTAGTAATTTTCTGAAAAACAGTTAATGATCTTTTGAAAGGATTTAGATACAAATTTAAATTGTGATTTAAATGGTGATTTGAATTGAAGATCTTCTATATTTGCTCATGTAGTTCACATTTCTGGATCTCTGCATTGTTTTGTGAAAATCCTTATTTCCAAATGTGTATTTGTAAAGGTTAACTATTTGTTTTAACAGTTGAACTTTAGAATAAAATCATCAACTTTCAGAAAAAAAACTATTTGGGATTAAGGATTTAATTCCAGGTCATCTAAAACATAACTTAGAACAACTAGAAAATATTCAGTCTTTCCATCCCATAATATGTCACAGTTTTCCACTTATGCAGGTCGTCTTTTCAGTACACCAGTGCAATTTTGCAATTGTCTTTATTTAGCTTCTCTACATCTTTTGTTATGTTTATTCTTTATAGTTTTTAAGAGCATTATATTTCCATTGAATTGACCTTTTTGAAATTGTTCTATTTCTTTTCTGTGAATGTACAGAATACTATTGACTTCTGCGTATCATATACTGCTCCCTTAATTAAACTTTCATTAAGACTAAAGATTGTTATTTTTAGCTGAATGCCTTGGATGTCTACGTGTATAATCTTGCCATTTCATAATAATAGCGTGTATTATTTTCTTTTACATGGCTTGCTGTATTAATAAACATTTCCAAAATGCTACTATATAAAAACAGTAAACATAGATGTTTGTTATTGTTGTTCCTGAGCTTATTCTCTAGCAATGTGCTATTGACGATAATTATGACAGGTTTTTGATAAGGGCTGTCAAAATATATATATACATGTATATATGGAAAAATCTTCAATCCCTTTTTAAAAATGCCTTTAAATGTTCAATTTTAGCAAATGCCTTTCTGCTGTTAGAGTATTATCAACATAATTATATTACTGCATGTCCTTATATTTTATCATTCCTGCATTCCTGAGATAAGCCCTGCTTTACTGTAACAGGTTATTCTTGTGTTAAATCGTTATAATCTCTGTGTTAGTATCTTCTTTAAGGTGTTAGTTAATGTGCATTATTGGTTTTAAGGTAGCAAAGAAGCAGAGAATCTCCTGCTACTCCACAGCTAGTAATGAGTGAGAAAATCCATAAGAATTAAAAGGGTGATGGCCTCATTAAACAGCAAAGGAAAAGATATTCTTTCTAGTATTTTTCTTACCGTAAGGCCTTAGAGGCTGCATTCCTTAAAATCATGATTATTAGCATGATGGCTGGCAAATACGAAGTCCAACTTAAAAATTGGAAAATTAGGTAAAGTATTAATAAAAGAACATTAAATCCATTTTTAGGACTGCAACAGGCTCCTCTCCACCCTACCCACATCAACCTATCGATACAGTCTGGATAGAGTAGAAAGCAGTGGCAAGAACTTGTTTTAAGGCTTCACAATATACATTTTCAACTGTACTGTCTCAAAACTAAGGTTCATAAAATGACTTTATTGAGACGTTTCTCTAGAAGTGAAAAACTCTAAACAATCCCTCCTCTTAATTGATAAAGTGCACCTTTTCGTCCATGTTTTCCTATGACTCTGTGCCATTTTTCTTGGAAACAAGAAATGGGGGTGGGTTTGTGTTTTTTTTTTTCTTCATATCCTCAGGGCCAAGTAAAAATTAAGAATCATAGAAATACCTGAATAAATTAAGAGAAAAATTGAAGAATAATAGGTGTGTACTAGAGTTCAGCATAATGAGGCTCGAAACACAGCATGACAGCAGGGGAAGCGATTGGCAAGTAATTTTTTGTCCTATCAAATAAAATTAAATAGGGAAAAATACAGTTTTCTGTACCATAACTTTAACCAATTATATTTAGCCAGCACTTGTGTCCATTTTCTTATACTGATAATTCAGGGATGTTTTTTATAATCCAAACATCCCTTTGGCAATTGAAATTGCAGGGATAACATCTCTTTTGTTGACATAAACCATGGGAACTTGAGTTGCATGATCTCATTATCTGATTACAGCTGTGACTTTGAAGTAATCTCTCGGAATGAGTACCTCTTTTTGCTAATAGACTTTATTTTTTTTAGAGCAATTTTAGGTTCACAGCAAAATGGAGAGGAAAGTACGGAGATTTCCCATATACCTCCTGCCCCCACACTTGCAAACTCCACCATTATCAGCATCCCCCACCAGAAAGTACATTTCTTACAGTTGACGAACCTGCATTGATATATCATTATCACCCAAGTCCATAGTTTACATTGGGATTCACTCTTGGTGTTGTACATTCGATGGGTTTCGACGTATAATGACATGTATCTAGCATTATGGTATCATATGGAATAGCTTCGCTGTCCTAAAAATTCTCTGCGATCTATCTGTTCATTTCTCCCTTCCCCATAATCTCTGGCAACCACTGATCATTTTACTGTCTCCACAGTTTTGCCTTTTCCAGAATGTCACAGTTGGAATTGTACAGTAGGTAGCCTTTTCAGACTGGCTTCTTTCAGACAGTAATATGGAGTAAGTTTTCTCCATGTCTTTTCATAGCTTGATAGCAGAATGTGTGCTTTGGGAGGAGCTGTTGCTTACAGGCCAAGCCCAGGATTATAGAAGAGGATTTGCAATGATATTCATTAACACTGTTATTTTGCTGTTGGCTTTCTCCTGCTTTACCATTAGTGCTTCATTTAGTTTCTCACTGGACTAGAAACTACAGTGGGATTTATTTCAGGTGTACATGCAAACAGCACTCAGCCAATATTGCTTTCCTAGGTGGTCAGGGGTAGAACAGCAATGGACTGCACGGCACACTGTTCTACAAGGATCCCATGTGGAGTTCAATCCTATAAAGTAATCTTAAGAGGAATTCCAGAACAGTCGTGTGAAAATCACTGTTTCACTCACATCTTTGAAAGAGTAACTTTTTGGCTCTTATTAAGTAACAACGTTTGAAGCAATTATCCTAGGATCCATGGATTTTCACTCTTACTTTTAAACACTGGTCTATGAAACTTCATCAAAATCTCCCACAAAGCTATTTCTAGCATCAGCACTATGCAGGAAACGTGACCTAAAGTGCTCTCTGTTCCACAGCAAAGGAGAAGGCTAGAAGAACAAGCAGAACTGTCCCATGTTGGCAGGCTGGTACCCAGAAATTTCCCCAAGGGCACCAGTGCAAGAATATGACTAAGGGAGAAATGAACCACAGCTTTGCAGTACACGGGATGGCTTGTGACCTAAAACATCCCCCAAAACTCAGTGGGCAGACAGATTAGCGGCCAGACAGGCACTCATGGAATCAGTAAACTTCAGAGACGGAAGCCAAAAGTGACAGAAGTTTGCCAGTAATGGGGAAGGCTGACGGCTGGAAGGACAACTGGAGACATAGCACATAGGCAGGCTGATGGCCGGAAGGTTCTCTAGGGGGACAGGGCAAAGAAAAGACTCTGGCCAAAAGGAGTCACAGTTCTTCAGCATGTCTGCAGGTTTGTGCCCCAAGAAATAGATGAGGGAAGGCAGGCTAGTGACCAGATGGGTCCCAGAGCAGCAGCACACTGCAGGTGAGGTGGGCAAAACTTCACCCGTTTCCCCAGCAAGGGGGAAGGTCAGTGAGCTTAAGAACAAAAGAAATCCAGGCATGCAGGCAGGCTGATACCTGGAAAGTTCTCTGGAGGCACTAATTGGAATGTAACTGGCTCAAGTCCATGTGCTTGCCACTTAGAGGCTGAAAACATAAGAAGCCAGGTGTGGTAAGAAGCAAAAGCAACTTTCTTCAAATGTTAGCAGTTGAGGAATGGCCAGGTTCATGACTTTAAAAGATCATTCTAGCTTTCTGGGCTGAGTGAAGGGGTTTAAGAATGAAAACGTGGTCTAGGAAACTTGCAGGAGTGGTGTCAATGGCTATCTTGAGTAATCGCCCATCCATCTGGAGGTCTGGTTTGGTAGTGGTGGACTAACTGTTCATAACTCTCCCTAAGTGGGAGGATTTCACAGCTGGGTCTCCATGCCTGGTTTGTTTCAAAATTAGCCTCTGAAATTTCTTTTTTCTTTTCTTTTCTTTTGAGACAGGGTCTCGCTCTGTCACCTAGGCTGGAGTGCAGTGGCACGATCTCAGCTCTCTGCAACCTCCGCCTCCTGGGTTCAAGCAGTTCTGCCTCAGCCTCCCAAGTAGCTGGGATCACAGGCATGTGCCACCATGCCCAGCTAATTTTTGTATTTTCAGTAGAGATGGGGTTTCACCACATTGGCCAGACTGGTCTCCAACTCCTGGCCTCAGGTGATCTGCCAGTCTCGGACTCCCAAAGTGCTGGGATTACAGGTGTGAGCCAGTCCCCGAAACCTCTAAGCAAGTGCATAATTAGATAAATGAGCACTGTGCACGGATGTGCCTGGTGGGAGAGAGAGAGAAACAAAGAGTTTTAAAGTACAAGGCTACGTTATGCAATTAGGAAGGAAAGGAAAGAAAAAGGTTTCAAAATGCATTTCAAGGCTGAGATACTTGGTTACAGGAAGATGTGATGGTGGCTGAAAGAAATTAAGATTTTCCATCACGTGGTCAAGTTGTGGCAAAGGATGACAGCAACTTCTGCAAGTGGATAGGCTATAGACCAGATGGGCACCCCACATCACCCTTCTCCCCTCCAAATCAGCACACTGCAGCGAAGGTGATTGAAAGTCCCCTTCCCCAACAAGGGAGAAGGCTGGTGCTGGGAAGCTGACCAGAACCTTAGCAGCAGGGAAGGCTTATGCCCAGGGCACCCTCAATAAGGTATTATGGTTGCCAAGAAGAGCCATGTTTCCCAAAAACACCAGCATGGTTATGGCCTAAAGTATCTCCCACAACCTAAGCATACCGGTAGGCTGGTGACTGGTTGGCCCACGTGGCATCAGATCACTGGAAGAAAGGGATCTGAAAAGTTTCCATTTCCCCAGCTCAAGGGAAGCTTATGGCCTGAAGGACCACCGGAAACCAGAAGGTACCTCCAGGGCACTACCTTGAAGGAACTATGATGAGCAAAAAGAGTCATAGTTTCCCAGCACATGGGCTGGCCTGTGGAGCAAAGAGTGACAGGAATCCCAGCAGCCAGACTAGTGACAAGATGGGCTCCCCAGACAGCAGCGCTATGCAGGAAAGTGGCCTAAAATGCTCTCCTATTCAGCAGCAAAGGGGAAGCCTGATGGCAAGAAAAACACCCAGAACCATAGCACTTGTTCAGGTTGCTGCCTGGAAGTTTCCCCAGGTGGCTGGGGGAAGGATAAGGTGGTGGCTAAAAGGAGCCACAATTTCCCAGCGCGCAGGCAAGCTCGTGGCCCCAAAGAAACCCAAAACTGCATGGGGAGAGCAGGTTAGGGACTGGATGGATGCCAGTGTCAACAGTACCACAGAGATGAGGTGGCTGAAACTTCAGTTGGTTCCTCAGTAAGCGGAAAGGTTAGTAGCCTTAAGAAGACCAGAGCCCTAGTCCTAGAGCAAATTGGTGCTAGGAATGCCACCAAGGAACAATCATATATAAATGACAAAGGCTGAGAGGAATCTCCCTTCACCAGGAACCCAGACTAATTTGTGGCTGTAAGAATCCTCCCAACTCCAGCAGACGGGTATTCTAGTGATTCCGTGGGCCCCAAGTGCTTCAGCACAGTGAAGGAAAGGTAGCCAAAATGGTTTCAGTTCCACAGCAAGTTGGAAGGCTAGTGGGCAGGAGGAGCCTGGAACCCAAGTGCTAGGGAAGTCTAGTGGCCAGGAGGAACTTCAAGGCACTGATGGTGGCTGAAGGGGGCAGGTATTCCCCATACTAAAATCAGGCCGGTGCACACACTCCCATTTCCTGTGTGCCCGTGAATATAGAGTCCTGCATGTGGCCCTGATAACTGGCAAGTAGAGGGATGATGGCCAGAAAGCCCTCGAGACCTCGAAAGGGCAGTTGGTGTGTGAGCAGAAGATTCCACTGGTTTGCACCATGAGGGTCATACGGTAGCCAAAATGACTTTTGTTTCCCCAGCTTAGATAGAGGCTGCTGACGGTCTGAAGGAGTCCATAACCTAGTGTGCAGACAGGCAAGTTACTCAAAGGCCTCTGGGCACCCCCTCATTGGAGGGAAGGTAGCCAAAAATGCCCTTGGCTCCCCAACAAGCAGGATGGCATGTGGTCAGAAGGAATACCAAGACGCTAGCACATGGGCAGGTCAATTCCTGGAATGTTTCCTGGAGCACCCAACATGAGGCTATAATGGTGGACAAAAGGAGTCACAGTTCTCTAGCACTTGGGCAGACTTGTGGCCCAAAGGGTCCCGGAATCCCAGCAGGCAGGCAGGAAAGGATTCCAGGGCCACAGTGCATGGGGGGACAGATGACCTAAAGTGCTGTCAGTTCCTCAGTGAGTGGGAAGGCTGGAACCCTAGGGTGCACAGGCAGAGTGGTGCCTGGAAGGACCTTCAGAGCACCATCTGCAGGCACTGATGGTGACTAAAGGGAGCCAAATTTTCCCAACTTGTGGCCTGAAAGGTTCCCGGTTTCTCATTCTGCCATACAACCAGTGACCCAGAGAACTGACTCATGGCCAGAAGGTCCACCCTTAACTTAGTGGGAGCGGAGGCTAGTGGCTCAGAGGGACCTCAGCTCTCTGTGCTTGGTCTGGCAGGTGACTGAAAGGGCCCCTAGGTCTCTATCACAAATACTTAAGGTAGCTCAAAGGTCATAGGTCCTCAACATGATGGAAACGAAGGATTGGTGTCCTTGAGCAGAGCCTGGCTGGTAGCCAAAGGGGCCCTTGGTTCCCCAAAAGGCAGTTTTTTAGAGTTCCGTGCTCCAACATTTTCACTGATGTCACCCATGTCAATGTTTTTAAGGAAGCCTGCCAGAGAATTCTGACATGCAGCCTGGGTTTGAGAACTGGATTAAATCCTTTTGACTCCTGTCAAAAGGTGTGGCGAAAAGTGTATTCCAGTTTCTGCTACTCTCCCACATAAATTAAGCAGAGAACTCCAGGATCTCAAAAAAGGAAACTAAGCCACCTATTCAAGTAGAGGTATCAAAGAAGGAAGAAGTACATCCACAATGCAATTCCCCCAAAAGGTCCTCTCTTGAGCATTCTTTTGGGAGCTATTGTAGCTGGTGATGATTCTTCTTAGACTGGAGCTCCCATTGCAGATTCATGGAAGAAGCCAAGGTGGTGACTCAGATCTCTATTCCACTGGTCCATTTTCTTCAAGTTTCTTCCATCAAAAATAGAGACATCTTTCTCATTGAACTGTTTTACTCTGAATCCATTCAAAAAGAGTGGAGCAAGGTTTCTCAACCTGGACACTACTGAAATGTTGGGTCAGATAATTATTTGTTGGGGGTGGGGAGTGGGGGCATCCTGTGCATTGTAGGATGTTTAATAGCATCCTGATTTGTACGCATTCAGTGCCTGTAACACTTCTCCACAATGTGACAACCAAAAATGCATCCAGATGTTGTTGCCAAATATCCCCCTGGGATCCAAGATCACCCCCTCCTGAGAACTACTGGAATGCAAATATAGTTCTTCAGTTTAAATGCTTATCTTTTTGTTTGTTTGTTTTTCCTGAGGCAAAGCTTAGTAATAGTTTTTTTTGTTTTTTTTTTGAGAGGGAGAGTCTCGCTGTGTCACCCAGGTTGGAGTGCAGTGGCACGACCTCAGCTCACTGCAACCTCCACCTCCCTGGTTCAAGCGATTCTCCTGCCTCAGCCTCCCAAGCAGCTGAGACTACAGGTGTGCGCCACCATGCCCAGCTAAGTTTTATATTTTTAGTAGGGATGGGGTTTCACCATATTGGCCAAGCTGGTCTTGAACTCCTGACCTCATGATCCACCTGCCTTGGCCTCCCAATGTGCCGGGATTACAAGCGTGAGCCACTGTGCCCAGCCAAAACTTAGTAATATTAAGAATTAAAATGATACTGAAATCAGTGATTGTGGACCAATAGAAACTTTGCTTTTTTATAATACAGATTATTTAGACTTGAACACTTGCTCTCCTTTCCTCATCTGTGAGCTCCATATGGGCAAGGATTATGTCATACTCACTACTATATTTCCTGTCCCTAGAAGATTCCTGCCACATCACAGTTAATCAATATGTGTTTATTGAATCAACTGGGGCCAGGTCTCAAGGGAAGATCTTTATAATTATATATGCTGTATTCTTTGTTTGCTCAGAACTCTTCTCTTAGAAATGGCCACCTATTTTCCACATATATAATAGATTCTTTAAGTATACAGGCTATGTTTAATTCAACAAATAGTTACTTAGCTATCTGAATGTTTCCTCCCCTCTAGGTGCCTGTATTATAAAACTTGATATGAAATATGGTTTTTGAAAAGCCATAAACTACTGCTAACAAATGCCCTAGAGAAGTGTTTCTCATACTTCAATGTGCAGATGAATCACCTGGAGAACTTGTTACAAATTCTGATTTAGCAGGTCTGAGGTAGGGCCTGAGATTCAACATATCTACTAACTTCCCAGGTGATGCCAATGCAGATTGACCATTTTTGAATAGCAGAAATCTAGAGCTACAGATCCACTAGACCCATGCAGCTAATCACCTTTGAATTTAAGTAATTAAATTTAAATAACATTTAAAATTCAGTTCCTCAGTCCTACTAACCACGTTTCAAGTACTCAATAACCGCATGTGGCTAGTAGCTCCTAGGCTAGAAAACAAAGTTAGAGAATATTTCCATTTTTCACAGATAGTTCTGTAATGAATACATGACCATGTATTGAGTGATTCAAGAAAGTCTTTGTGGATTCTGGCTGCACCTGGAAATACGAGTAGGATTGTGATAGAATAAACATTCAATATGGAAATACTGGAAGGCGTTTTGTGCACCAGCAATAAATGGGGCTCTAGATTGAAAGAGAACAGGTATTTAAACCTGCCTCTTACATTATCAAGTTTGTAACTCTGGGAGACTTAAACTTTCCCAGACTTGGTTTACTCAGTGTAAAAATGTCTGTCACAATGTAGGCTTGGCAGCCCTCATTTTTCTTCTCACAACTGGGGTCGCTCGATCCCTACTTGTAGTCTCATTCCTGTCCTTCATTACCAAGCCCAGAGTTATGAGTCACTGAAGCAATTCTGGCCCCACATGTTCTTTATTTGGAACTATTTAGGAAACTTCCATCATGAGTGGTAAAATCCCAGAGTTTAGATGGAGAACCTTGAATTCCAAGGCTAAAAGGTCAGTCTCCATTCGATAGACAATAAGAAGATGATGCTTTTGAGCATATTAATGTAAAGAGTGAGCTATGCTTTGGGAAGATTAGCAAGAGCATTTAGCATAAATTAGTTTTTGAGTAATATAACTCGATAAGAGGTTAGAGATGAGAACAGAGAGGTTGATGGGGCCACATCAGCGACAAGCCTTGCTTGCCTTTTGTTAAGGAGTTTGCACTTTTATCCCATGGGCCGTGGTAAAGAGCTAAGGAACTCAAATTGGGGACATACTTATATCCAGGCCATCTGAAGTGGGAGGAGATATTTGAAGGGAATAAGGTTGGAGGCAGGAGGGCTACTCAGACACTATTGTAATAGTCAAAGAAAATGAAGATGAAGACCTAAATGGGGGCAGTAGGTAGTGGGCAATGGTGGAGTTGAAGGAAGAGGCTGAAGAAATTTTTATGAGGCAAAACCAGCAGGATGTGGTGATTAAACAATGTGGGGAAGTAAATGGAGGTAATGATCTAAATCTGATGGTTCTATCTTGGGTGTCTACCAACTGCCAAAGTAAATACAGTGGAAGAAAGACGTTTAGGCATAAGACAATGAGTTCACCTTTGAAAATCTTGAGTTTAAAGTACGTGAGGGATATTCAAGTAGGTGTAAGGATCCAGTGAACGGGTGGAATTTGGGAGAAAGGGCAAGACCACAGCCTGAGATAAACACGTCCCCTGTGTGCAGAAATATTTAAAGCCGTGGGAAAAGACTAAAGCATTCAGAGAAACCCATGAAGAGGAAGGTTGTAAGGATAGATGCTTGGGAAGCAATGACATTTAAGACCTGGTCAGAAGAGAAGCCTATAACTGAAATGTAAAAGGAGTCATCACAGAGATGAAGAGAATCAAGTTTTTAGAGGATAACAATGATAACTAGTGTTAGTACAGAAGAAAAATCTAGCATTATAAGGTTTAAAATATGTCCACTGTATGGGTTCCTGGTGTTTTTAGGAAGAGTGCGTCAGTGGAGTGATGACAGTGGATGTCTTAATCTCTCTAGCTGCAGATGACTGAGATCCAGTGAGGGACCAAGCAGAGGAATCAGAAATGGCAGAGGGAGAGTTACCCAGGAGATGGAGTAACAGGTAGTACTAGGTGATTGCATATGCTGAGGAGTAATTTTATTTTTCACAACACGGGAGTTTAATAGAAATAGATATATCACAAGGTGGGCCTGGATGTGAGGGAAAGAACATGGGTTTGGTTTTGTACACTGGAATTTTAATGTTTCAGAAGGACATCAGCAAAGGGATGCCCAATGAGCAATTGGACATGCAGAATTAGAAGTCGCTGAAAAGAGTCTGCCTGAATTTATTAATTTAGATATGCTTGACATGGAAGTGATAATGAAGCTCTAAGGATGAATGGCATTGACCAGTATATGAATATATTGTGAAAGAAAGAATACGAGGAGGAAGTTTGAATAATGATCCCTGAATCAGTCAAGATACACCAGGTTGCTTTAACTAAAAAGCTATGAAGTTTCAATGATTTAATACAACAAAATTTGTTTCTCACTTGTGCGATGTTCCATGGAGCCTCAACAATTCTCCAGGGTATCTTTCCTCCACAGGGGCCTCAGAGAACCAGGATGTGCTTCCATCTTATGGCTGCAACATCTCAACATCTCACCAAGAAAGGAGAAGAGAGAGTTAGAGGGTCTCACAGTGACTTTTAATTTCTTCAGCCTGTAAGTGACAGCCATCAGTTCCCCCTCACAATCTTTTGGGTAGAACTCATCATATGGCCTTGCCTAACTAAACTTTCTGCCTGCTTTTTGGATTTGGCCAAAGCTAAGCATTGGCAAGAAGTTCACACATATAATCCTTCAGAAACCTGGGATGAAGATGAAATCTGAACATGAGTGAGAAGTGGTAATGTCTAAGACATCCATTTAATAAATTAGAATAAGATCAAGAAAAATGGGAGAGGGTAGTATAGCGGCAGAAGAGTGTGGGCTCAAGAGTGCCAAGAAAGAGGGAATCACAAAAAGAGACTATTGGCAAAATGCTGCGAGGACTTCAGAGGAAGGCCTACAACTTTTGGTCAATGAATTTGGCACCTGTGAGGTTACTGATGAACTTTGAGACGGTAGTTTCTGTACACTGATGAACCCATGGATGACAAACCTCAAGCCTAAACCTTTTCTCCTTCACTTGATTTGGCCAAGATGAACATTCCCATTCCTGGCTTTTCCCCTCATGGAATGTTATTATAGGCTACTCAGTAAGAAGGAAATAAAAGCGAATTCAAGGATAAAATTGGGGGGGGGGGTGCTCAAGACTCAAGAATCAAGAAGATATGAAGGAAGGGTTACTGAGAGTGTTTTAGCTAAAACCACGGGACATACATGATTTCCAGTTTCAGTCAGCATTCTTTCATGATTTTTCTCTAGAAATATTCAGTTACCTATCAGTAGGAACTAGGAAAGTATACTGCCTACCAGAGGCTATTCCAGTGATTGAGATTGCGTTAGTTTTCTAATGCTGTGTTAACAAAAATATTTCACCTTAAAACACCGTATACTTACTGTATCAATGTTTCTGTGGATCAGGATTCCAGGCATGGCTTAACTGAGATTGCTGCTTCAGCGCCTCACTGGGTTTCAATCAAGATGTCTGCCAGGCTCAAATTCTCATCTGAAGCCTCTGCTGGGGAAAGGTCTGCTCCCAAGGCCACTCACATTTTTGGCATAATTCAATTCCTTATAGCTGTAGGATGGAGGCCCTCTGCTCCTACAGACTGCTCACAATTACCTGCCCTGCAGACCAGTTCATAGTTCATAGTTCATATAGCAGTTTACAACATGGCTGCTCATCTCTTCAAAGTGAAGGAGAGAGAGAGAAATAGAGAATGGGGAGGAGAAGGAGAAAGAGACTAGCAAGACAGAGTCTTATATAAAGTAACTGTATTAGTCCGTTCTTGCATTACTATAAAGAATACCTGAAACTGGGTAATTTATATAGAAAAGAGGTTTAATTGGCTCACGGTTCCATAGGCTCAACAGGAAGCATGGCTTGGAGGCCTCAGGAAACTTACAATCATGGTGGAAGGCAAAGGGGAAACAGGTACATCTTCACATGGCCAGAGCAGGAAGGAGAGAGAGTGGGGAATGGCGCTACACACTTTTAAGCAACCAGATCTCATGATAAGTCACTCACTATTGTGAGATCAGCACCAAAGGGGAAATCTGCCCCCATCATCCAATCACTTCCTACCACAGCCCACCTCTAACATTGGGGATGAAAATTCGACATGAGATTTGGGAAGGGACACAGACCCAAACCATATCAATAACATAATTACCAGATTCACATTCCCATCACCTTTGACATATTTTGTTAGTTAGAAGCAAGTCACAGGTTCTGCCCACACTCAAAGAAAAGGGATGATACAAAGACGTGAATACCAGAAGGCAGGGGTCATTGAGGGTTACATTAGGGTCTGTCTACCACAGGAATTGATAATGGCATTAAAGGAGCAAAGGATTTAGTGCTATATGGAGTTTGTCAATCATATTGCCAGCAGGAAACAGATGGGACCCTAAAACCCTGGAATTTAGAGTTTAATAAACGATTTACAAGGTTGTGAGCGGAGTTGAAGGAAATTGTAAAAGACAGTACAGTATACCAGGGCTCCCAATACTGGGGAGCAGCTGCTGTCCTTATTAAGGAATAACCAGACGGGGGAGAGCATGGTTACTGGATTCCACAGAGGATACTTGCGGGGCACCCGTTAGGAGATGTGCTCAAAGAACATAGCTAACTGTGGTGACCCGACAAAAATGGAAGTGAGAGAATAAATACTCCTTCTAGCTTCTTGCCAATGCTTCTCATTGACCGTACCCAACCAGAAGGCAGAAAATTCAGATCAGCCTTCAGTGGCAACAGAGCAGGGTGGAAAAGGGTGAGTCATGGATTTATGGAGGTATTTGAAAGACATTCAGCACACTGAGCAGTCACTGAAATCTCTGATAGAATGATGAATGAAATCAGAATGGAGGAGAGTGAGCTGGGGAAAGATAGAATAGGAGTCAGGAGAAGAATAAAGGAACAGGTTCAGAAGAAGTGAAAACAGAGCAAGAAAAGTTTCTAGTAAGAGGTGATTTCAGGTGTAGAGATTTTAAAATTAGATTGCTCTTCAATAATGACAAGAGTCCTGTGCTTGTCCAGGAATTAGAAAGGAGTGAAATCAATTTAAATATAAGCCTAGAGACCCCTTTATTTGAGAAGGCAGGTGAAATGTGCTTATTTTATTTTTTTTTAATTGTCAGGGAAAGACTCTTTCCAAGGAAATTTCTTATGTTAGGCTTAAGGTCCCTGAATTTCAAGCACTGTAATTTGAAGCACTGGATTTTTCTGAGATGAGATGTGAACGTATCATTCATGCTCTATCAGTGCTTCTCATCCATTATGATGATGAAAATCATTCCCAAAATTAGTTTTCTTAGTCACAGAAAGCTGAATGCCTTCACATTTGGGGAGGAGGCTTACTCATTTAATGGGTGCTACTGGAATATATATCATCAACGAGTTGACCTCCGAATATGTGTACACGGATGTGCGCCACTGGGAGTAATGATGGCAGATATTTAATTACTGTTGGCCATTTTCCTGCTCCCTGAGCTGTTTGGTTCCCTCCAATAACACCCTCAAATTTGTCCCCCTCCCTGTAATTGAATAATCCCTCATGCTAATATCAGCCTGAAAGAGGTACCACTGAGAAGGAAATACAAAACTGTAAAGAGCCTGCAATGTACTTCCAAGCAAATAAAAATGACTTGGGGATCTGTCTCTAGTGGCGTTATCTACCCCACATCTCTTCCACCACTGAAGAGTGACAAGGTGTTTCTTTCTGCCTTAGTCTTCTTTGCAATCTTCCCTTCTGTCTCATTTCTGAGCAGAGTCACGTCATGCTGTAATACACTATACCATTTAAACAAATGGGAAGAAATACAGTAGACTTACTGTCCCGATTTGTTTTTGTTGTTGTTGTTAGTAATGTAAAAACCAGTGACTAGTATTTTCATGATTACTTATGGCCTCAGCTTTAAAGTATACCACTACAGCATTTTTTCTGTCTCAAATTCTAATATTTCAGCCCTATTCCAATTTTATATCCAGGAGTATTATTTGGAATTAAGCAGAAAAATGGAGGTGTTAAGAATTTGAACACCAAAATAGTGATTTCCAACTACTGGTTTATATGAGTTTTTAAATAGCCAAGGAGATTTTCAACACTTTATCTTTCAACTTTTATGCTTTCAAAGTTGATTTCCAGCCTCTCTCCAACCCTTGACTATCACTTTCTCTGAATTATTAATGCCACACATACACTTAAATGAATATAGTTGTATTTTCTACACAGTGCAGAGAGGCTCCCAGGCTCATTTGTGTTCAGCTGCAAAAGAAAAAAAAAAAATCTGAAAAGCCACTTTTCTTCCTGGGTTTCCCACACAGAAGTCACTGCTCTGTGAAGATTACCATTTGTAAGCTAATTCTGAAGTTGTTAATGGCAAGAATCAGAGCAATTGGCATCTGTTGTAAAACACACATTTCAGACAATCTCTCCCACTCGTTTGTGAGAGCTGTGTGACATAGCAGTGTGTTCTCTCTCGGGGGTTCCTGCAAAGTCTTGCTTCATTTGCTTTAACTGGCTTTTGGAGAATTTTTAGAGAGAGTAGATTAACTCCCAAACACAAAGCAGATCTGTGACACTTGATTTGTTGTAAAACCATAACCTGTTTTCCATTGATTTCCAGCCTAGCCACAAACATTTTTCCGACTTGCCCTCATTACCTCATTCCTGAGCTCAGAAAAACAAACACACACACAAAAACACTCGAATGGTAAAGAAGCTGTGTTTTCTCTCTCTTCAAGAGATTCTGATTCCAAGTGCCTTTGGGACGAATGACAAGAAAAGGAGTTTGTTTTTAAAATAATAGGATTATTGAAGAGTCACAGAGGTTCTCAAATAATTTTCTACAAACTGCAATAATCTGTTAACAAGCAAAGATTTCCCATAGCCTACAAAATATCCTGAAACATTCCCACTCTTAACAGTATCTCAAGGCAAAAACCAATAATGGCAGTGAAAAGCTAAGAGTTAAAATATTGTAGAATACCAGAGGTTTTAATGTCTCTTTTAATTAGAACCTTACCTTTCTGTTACCTAAATTCCTTAGGATTTGCTCTGATTGTTGTTTCAAGCCCTGGCGAATCTTTGCTAGTTTGTTCAGCTCTTCTGCAGGGGAAAAGGATCTCACTAACATTGGTAAAGTTAGGAATAGCACATATACAAAAACAGGTTGTTTATTTCCTCAGTCTTCTCCCCTCTTTAATCAGATTGCAGAGATCTTAACTAGGCGTGCTTCCATGATGACATACATATCCAGATCTTACATATCAAGATTTCAAAGAGCAGAATGGGCAAAGATTTAAAGCTGAAAATGTCACACAGAAAGTATATGGCAAGTTCCAAAAAGCTTTGTCATTGTTGAGCCCTAGATTTGACAATCATTAATTTCCTATTAGTAAGTCTTACTGTCAAGAGGACTCATTTTACTAGCCGCAGGAAGAGTTTGTTCTTTGGACAATCATTGCTTTAAGCGGTATGTCAAAATCATTGCTTTAAGCGGTATGTCAAAATCATTGCTTTAAGCGGTATGTCAAATCCATGCAGACATTCAAGGTAAGAAAGAGATGTAATTAAATCTTTTCAGTAAACTGGCTAAGCACTCATCTGCTGCCACTGATAGATACAATTTGGGGGTTTCTAGGATTTCTTTACCCTCTCCCTTAATACATTTAAAAAAAATAATCTTTAATGCCCTAAACGCCTGTCATCCTATAGCAGAATTGGTATTACTTGGGAATGTTAAGCCATTTCTCAGATGAATAAAGAAAATTCACCTCAAAAAGCTAACTGGATTGTTTTTCCCAACATGAACAGTGTATGACATATATTACATGTATGTATTACTTATAATTACATGGTATATGTAAGTACATGTATGTATTACGTAATTATGTAATTGTATGTAATATATGTGAGGTACAACATGTATATATGTGATATATGAAGGTGAAGGTCGCCTTGCTCCCTGTCCTGCTTCATCTGTGCCCTGTTGTGAAACATAATAGCAAATATATCAGCCCTTAGCCTTTGGGCAGTTCTAAATACCAGATTCATGGAGAAATCCAATGGGAAAATAGTGCTCTCTTCATAAAAGCTTTTTCAGACCATGTGCTCCTGAAATCAGCAATTTTACCTTGAGAAAAATGGCCTTTTCAGTTATGTGCAATAACTGTTCTACCATGAATGGAAAAGTGTCTTAAAATGCCAGCAATGTCCCCAAATGAAGAATTCTCCACTTGCTCAATTTCACTGATTATTCTGTTGAGTTACTTAGCCTCTATGCTTCTAAAACATATTCTGAGATTGCTACTGAAATGCAGCATTTGTCGTTGAGGGCTATCAATGGTACAGCAAAGACTTACTCCAATGCACGGTACCAGGAAAACACTCGTGACTGCAACTAGAATATATTGAGTGGTTATAGTGGTGTGTACTTTGGGGTCCAAATAAGTTAAAACATGGATCAAGCTGCCCAGGTGTCTTTCAAACTGATTGGGAAGGTAAAATATAGAGAAATGGAAAATCAGCAAAGATTTACAAAGTAACAAATGGAATAACATATGGGACAACTATTGTATCAGTCAGCTACTGCTGCTGACAATCAGAAATTCTCAGTGGCATACAATAAGAAGAATTTCTTATGCGTGATTCAGCTGGAGTTTAGCTGACATAGGCTGAGCTCAGCTGGGCCTGGCTCCAAGCCACGGGGTTGATTCAGGCCTGTTCCACTTGTCTTTTATGCTTAAGCCAGGGGACTGCCTACATGTTTTTCTCATGGTGTCAGTGGTCAAAAGCTCCCAGAGAAGAGAACAAAACAAGTAACGCTGCTTAAGGCATAATCTTGACTTAGCACACAGTCAAATGCACCGACATGACATTGGCTACAGTAAATGACATGGCGAAGTCCAACATCAATGAGGCATGCAAATATAATAATATATATGGAAATATAAAATATAAATATTAAATATAAAATAAGGGAGGGGAGGAGGGAGTGAATATTTACTGAAAAATAAACTACCACAATTATTAATTTTTCAGGGCAAAGGTAACATGGAATACTAGAGGAAGCAGCATAGTTGGTAGTTAGGAGTTTTGAGAAACCTTGGAACTGCAGTTCCTTGGCAGTTACAGGTATCATCTATGACTCCGGGCCTATCTATAAACCATCTGTAAAATTTTTCATGACTTTTTGAGTCAGCGAGAAGGTAAGTTACAGTTTTTCTCATCTTCAATGAAAATGGGTAAAATACAGTAAGTTCCCTAAACTAGAACTTATTAGAAAAGAAAACCTATTTTGTCATCATCAAATTAGTGTTTAGGTATTCTTTTCCAGTGGTATTTTTGGGGAGAAGTTTGCCGATATTTTAATCTGTTCATGAATGCTTCCTTACGAGAACTTGCTAAATGTTGCAACCAGCCTCCAGGTTGCGCTGTCTCCGGGTTAAGATTTGTGTTCTGCTTACCACCACACTGGCTGTTTAAGTAAGCACTTCCTGAAATTTCTAATCACTTGATATAGTATGAATAACACCCATGGATGCTTATATAGGGGAATATTTCTCTGATATTGCCACACATTCGGCCTGTCTTCATTTAACCCTGTCAGTGGGGTATGCTTTATAAGTCTGCAGGATATAGTTTAGAATGGGCATGTGTGTAAGGAAGATAAAGAAATATGTGGAGAGAAACTCTCACCCTTCTCTTTAAACAGCTGAAGTGGGATTAATTCATCTGGATGACAAAAATTCATTAACAGGAGGAGGTCTAAATATGAAATTGGGACACCGATCGGTGAAATTTTATTGTAACAAACTATTTCTAACTGTGTGACCTTGGGGAAGACACATTTTTCTGGGCTACAGTTTCTTCATCTGTGAAAAAAAAAACTTTGAACTACATGGGACTTTAGAATTTTAGTGCTAACATCCTGGTTCCTTTAAGCAGTGACATTTTATTTTCCAGTATCAAGTTAACATACAATATAGGTAGCACAGAATCCAAGATGACAAAGGGAGAGAAAAATATGAACCAGGTTTCTGCCATCGAGGACAAACGTACTATACACAGAATAAGAGAGTTCAAGAAGCAGAGTCAGACATACAGGACCAGAGTTTCAAGATGAGCCCAGGGTTGCTCCTAGAAGGGCGCTAGCCTCAGTACCATTAGGCAACAACAGGTTGAATAATAGGGCTTCGCAAATAAAGTTATTTACCTCACACATTTTTGTTCGTAGCTTTAGATAATGCATGAAGTCCCTGGCTGCATATATCATAGGCAGTGTTTTTTTAAATCTGTTAGAAAAGCTTTCTTTTTCCTCATTGTAAGATTGGGTGGATTCAATCTTTGAGTCTCCCCAGAGTTAGGATTTCTTAAAGAAAGTAGACATTAGTGTCTCTGAATCCTTGAAATGCTATGGAAAATGTTTCCCATCAGGAACTCCTTACTTTGATTTTCAATATAAACCACCTGCATTTGGGTTTCTTTAACAATTGTAATAATTCCACTTTTATAAAGAAAATTATAAGAATATTCTGAAATTTGTATGCCGCTGTCTTCCTGCAGGAAAATGCAGGTGATGTGAAATATAGTATGGTATGGATTTTTCTTTTCTTTTTTAAATGTCCAGACTTTATTTATTGGCATTAATCTCTAAACAATACAGTATAAAAACTATTTATATAACATTTGCATTCTGTTAGGTATCATAAATAATCTAGAGATTATTTAAATTAAATGAGAACATGAGTGTAGTTTACATGCAAATATTAGACCATTTCATATAAGGAACTTGAACGTCTTCTGATTTGGGGCTGCATGGAAGGTTCTGGAACCATTCCCCTATGGATATGAAGGGTGAGTGTGTACAATACTTATTTATACTTTTGTTGTATATAGCTCCCCTGAATGTAAATTTCACAGAGGCAGGAGTTTTTGTCTGTTTTGTTCAAGGGTGTCCCTTCTCCACTTTATTTTTTTGTTTGCTTTGTAAAAGATCAGTTGGCTGTAAGTATTTGAGTTTATTTCTGGGTTCTTTATTCTGTGCCATTGGTCTATGTGCCTATTTTTATAGTAGTACCATGCTTTTTTGTATTTCCAGCACAGTAGTACCTGTACATATTAAGTGCTGTTAGATATTTACTGAACATGAATCAATATATATTTAGAAATGAATGAGTTTTCTAAGTATTTATGATTGTTTAACTTTTATTTTTAGTTTCAGGGGTATATGTGCAGGTTTGTTATATAGGTAAACTTGTGTCGTGGAGCTTTGGTGTACAGATTATTTCATCACTCAAGTACTATACTTTGTACCCATTCCCATTAGTTATTTTTTCTGATCATCTCCCTCCTCCCACCTTCTACCCTCAAGTAGACTCCAGTGTCTGTTTTTCCCCTTTTTTGTATCCATGTATTGTCATCATTTAGCTCCCACTTATACGTAAGAACATGTGGTATTTGGTTTTCTGTTCCTACATTAGTTTGCTTAGGATAATGGCCTCCAGCTCCATCCATGTTCCTGCAAAAGACATGAGCTCATTCATTTTCATGACTGCATAGTATTCCACAGTGTATATGTACATTTTCTTTATTCAGTCTACCATTGATGGGCATTTAGGTTGCTTCCATGTCTTTGCTATAATGAATAGGGCTGCAGTGAACATACATGTGCATGTCTTTATGGTAGAACAATTTATATTGCTTTGGGTATATACCCAGTAATGGGATTGCTGGGTTGAATGGTAGTTCTGTTTTCAGCTCTTTGAGGAACTCCTGTACTGCTTTCCACAATGGTTGAACTAATTTACACTTTCACCAATGGTGTATAAGCATTCTCCTGTTTCCACAACCTTGCCAACATCTGTTATTTTTTGATTTTTTGATAATTGCCATCTTGACTAGCGTGAGATTGTATCTCATTGTGGTTTTGATTTGCATTTCTCTAATGATCAGTGATGTTGTGCTTTTTTTTAAATTTAACTTCTGGGATACATGTGCAGAATGTGCAGGTTTGTTACATAGGTATACACATGCCATGGTGGTTTGCTGCACCCATCAACCTGTCATCTGCATTAGGTATTTCTCCTAATGCTATCCCTCCCCTAGCCCCCCACCCCCTGACAGGCCCCAGTGTGTGATGTTCCCCTCCCTATGTCCATGTGTTCTCATTGTTCAACTCCCATCTATGAGTGAGAACATGCGGTGTTTGGTTTTCTGTTCTTGTGTTAGTTCACTGAGAATGATGGTTTCCAGCTTCATCCGTGTCCCTGCAAAGGACATGAACTCATCCTTTTCTATGGCTGCATAGTGTTCCATGGTGTATATGTGCCACATTTTCTTTATCCACTCTATTATTGATGGGCATTCGGCTTGGTTCCAAGTCTTTGCTATTGTGAATAGTGCTGTAATAAACATGCGTGTGCATGTGTCTTTATAGTAGCATGATTTATAATCCTTTGGGTATATACCCAGTAATGGGATTGCTGGGTCAAATGGTATTTCTGGTTCTAGATCCTTGAGGAATCGCCACACTGTCTTCCACAATGGTTGAACTAATTTACAATACCACCAACAGTGTAAAAGTGTTCCTATTTCTCCACATCCTCTCCAGCATCTGTTGTTTCCTGACTTTTTAATGATCACCATTCCAACTGGCATGAGATGGTATCTCATTGTGGTTTTAATTTGCATTTCTCTAATGATCAGTGATGATGAGCTTTTTTTCATATGTTTATTGGCCACAAAAATGTCTTCTTTTGAGAAGTGTCTGTTCACATCCTTTGCCAACTTTTTGATGGGGTTGTTTTTTTTTTCTTGTAAATTTGTTTAAGTTCCTTGTAGATTCTGGATATTAGCCCTTTGCTACAAAGAGAATAAAATACCTAGGAATACAACGTAAAAGGGATGTGAAGGACCTCTTCAAGGAGAGCTACAAACCACTGCTCAACGAAATAAGAGAGGACAAAAACAATGGAAAAATATTCCATGCTCATGGATAGGAACAATCAATATCGTGAAAATGGCCATACTGCCCGAATTAATTTATAGATTCAATGCTATCACCATCAAGCTACCATTGACTTTCTTTACAGAATTAGAAAAAACTACTTTAAATTTCATGTGGAACCAAAAAAGAGCCTGTGTAGCCAAGACAATCCTAAGCAAAAAGAACAAAGCTGGAGGCATCACACTACCTGACTTCAAACTATGCTACAAGGGTGTTGCGCTTTTTTTCATGTGTTTGTTGGCCACATGTATGTCTTCTTTTGAAGAGTATCTGTTCATGTCCTTTGCCCACTTTTTAATGGGGTTGTTTGTTTTGGCTTGTAAATTTAAGTTCCTTATAGATGCTGGATATTAGACCTTGGCCAGAGGCATAGTTTGCAAAAATTTTCTCCCATTCTGTATATGTTGTCTATTTACTCTGTTGATAGTTTCTTTTGCTGTGCAGAAGTTAGTTTAATTGAATCCCATTTGCCAAGTTTTGCTTTTGTTGCGATTGCTTTTGTCATCTTTGTCATGAAATCTTTGCCAGTTCCTATATCCAGAATGATATTTCCTAGGTTATCGTCCAGGGTTTTTATAGTTTTGAGTTTTACATTTAAGTCTTAAATCCATCTTGAGTTGATTTTTGTATATGGTGTAAGGAAGGGTTCCAGTTTCAGTCTTCTGCGTATCGCTAGCCAGTTATGCCAGCACCATTTGTTTAATAGTGATTCTTTCCCCATTGCTTGTTTTTGTCAGTTTTGTGGAAGACCAGGTAGCTGTAAGTGTGCAGCCTTATTTCTGGGCTCTCTCTATTCTGTCCCCTTTGTCTGTGTGTCTGTTTCAGTGCCAGTACCCTGCTGTTTCGGTTACTGTAGCCCTGTAATATAGTTTGAAGTAGAGTCATATTATGCCCCCTCCTTTTTTGTTTTTGCTTAAGATTGCCTTTGCTATTTGGGCTCTTTTTTGGGTCCATGTGAATTTTAAAATAGTTTTTCTAGTTCTGTGAAGAATGTCATTGGTAGTTTGATAGGAACAGCGTTGAACCTGTAAATTGCTTTGGCAATGTGGCTGTTTTAATGATAGTGATTCTTCCTATCCATGAGCACGGAATGTTTTTCCATTTGTATGTGTCATCTCTGATTTCTTTGAGCAGTGTTTTGTAATTCTCATTGTGGAGATATTTTACCTCTCTGGTTAGCTGAATTGTTAAGTATTTTATTCTTTTTGTGGCAATTGTGAATGGGATTGTGTTCCTGATTTGTCTCTCGGGTTGGCTGTTGTTGGTGTATAGGAATGTTAGTGATTTTTGCACATCAATTTTGTATCCTGAAACTTCGCTGAAGTTGTTTATCAGTTCAAGGAGCTTTTGGGCCAAGACTGTGAAAACTTTTTAGATACAGAATCATGTTGTCTGCACACAGGGATGGTTTGACTTCCTCTCTTCCTGTTTCAATGATCTTTATTTCTTTCGCTTGCCTGATTGCTCTGGCCAGGACTTGCAATACTATGTTGAACAGGAATGGTGAGAAAGGGCATCCTTGTCTTTTGCTAGTTTTCAAGGGGAATACTTCCAGCTTTTGCCTGGTTAGTATGATGTTGGCTGTGGGTTTCTCCTAGATGGCTCTTATTATTTTGAGGTATATTCCTTCAATAACTAGTTTATTAAAAGTTTTTAACATGAAAGGATGTTGAATTTTACTGAAAGCCTTTTCTGCATCTATTGAGGTAATCATGTGGTTTTTATCTTTAGTTTGGTTTATGTGATGAATCACATTTATTGATTTGTGTGTGTTGAACCAGCCTTGCATCCCAGGATAAAGCCTACATCATTGTGGTGGATTAGCTTTTTGATGTGCTGCTGGATTCGGTTTACAAGTATTTTGTTGAGGATTTTTGCCTCTGTGTTCATCAAGGATGTTGGCCTGAAGTTTTCTCTTTTTTATTGTCTCTCTGACAGGTTTTGGTATCAGGATGATGCTGGAATCATAGAATGATTTGGGGAGGAGTCCCTCCTTATCAATTTTTTTGCAATAGTTTCAGTAGGAATGGTACTATCTCTTCGTATATCTGGTAGAATTTGGCTGTGAATCCTTCCGGTCCTGGGCATTTTTCGGTTGGTAGGCTGTTCATTACTGAATCAATTTTGGAACTTGCTATTGGTCTGTTCAGGGCTTCAGTTTCTTCTTGGTTCAGTCTTGGAAGGGTGTATGTGTCCAGGAATTTATCCATTTATTCTAGATTTTGTGGTTTGTGTGCATGGAGGCGTTGAGAGTAGTCTCTGATGGTTGTTTGTATTACTATGTGGTCAGTGGTAACATTCTCTTTGTCGTTTCTAATTGTGTTTATTTGGGTCTTCTCTCTTTTATCCCTTTAATAGTCTAGCTAGCAGTCTAGTCTATCAATTATATTAATATTTAAAAAAAAACAGCTCTTGGATTCCTTGATCTTTTGGATGGCTTTTTGTGTCTCGGTCTCCTTCAGTTCTGCTCTGATTTTGGTTATTTCTTGTCTTCTGCTAGATTTGGGGTTGGTTTGCTCTTGCTTCTCCAGTTCTTTTAGTTGTGATGTTAGGTTGTTAATTTGAGATCTTTCTAACTTGCCGATGGGGACATTTATTGAAAAATATGGAATGCTTCATGAATTTGTGTGTCATCCTTGCACAGGGATCATGCTAGTCTTCTCTGTATCATTCCAATTTTAGTATATATGCTGCTGAAGTGAGCATGGTATGGATTTTTCAAAGTGTATAATGAGTCACTATTAATTTTTATATTGAAGACAATATCATTATCATGCTCAAGATCATTTGTAGGGCTTTTATCCAGAGATGTGATGAAACAATGCTCCAAACTCTAGGACTCCTTATGCAGTGATAGGAGAAAAACAATGACCAAACACTTATGAAACATAGGTAGTTAGATTTCTTTGAATAAAATTACCATTTTTTAAATGTGAAACATGTCTTTAAGACTCCTGCATGTTAAGGTCAGCAGTGATTAATTTAGAAACTGTGAATGTTAATTGAAGGCACAGTTTCTTCTGGAACCTTTTAAACGTTTGACTCATGCTGGTTAATTAGAAGGGCAAAAATCACTCCATTGTGTAAATATAGGGAGAGCTTCTTTTCCCCACTAATGTGAATACATATTTGTTGGGTTGTATGAAAGGAGAGGAAGTAATTAGCCAGGTGAAATGGGTAAGGTGACAATGACTTTGAGATTTCAAATTATTTCCAATCTTAGGTTTTACTGAGCTGTGCCAGTATACCTGGTCCTAATCCAATAGAGAGTTAAAAACCAATGTTCTAATGCTTTAATAAGGTTGGAATTATACACCATGGTTTTGTATCCGTAGATAGGTAGCCAAAGCATTCTAAGATTTCCTCCTGCCATAATTTTTAATCTAACTAGTAAATTATATAATCTACAAAAGACTGCAATGGCCAAGTCTTGGAAGTATCAGTTACTCAGATGAAGCCATTTCTTTGTATTTATTGTTGGTTTGACCAAACCTAAAATTGAAGAATTTTTCGGAATTGTCCTTGCTTCTCTTTCAGATAGCCTTTATAAAATGGAAGACATTTATAGAGCATCTAAGATTTGGGATAAAGTTTTCACACCTTCTCCAAATCTTTCTCATGAGGTAGGTGCAACCTAAATAATCAAAGGGAAATAATATCAGGTTGAGAAATGTATAACATTAAATTATTACAGTGTTTGTGTATAAAGTGAGATACACTCACATAAGAGTTGTTACGCTTACATGGCAGACCCCTGGGGCCCTTCCTAGGAAAATTCACGGCAAATCACGGTAGTTCAGTATCCCTCCTCATCACTACCATCCTAAAGAGGTAAAATCTATTAAAATCAGCACTGAGGGCAATAGTGGCAGAGAGAAGGCTGAAAGAGATCATGGCTGTAATGCTATGGTAGTGGAGATCAGGGTGTGGTTATGAATTGATGAATTGTGTCTTCTTGCATCAGTGCTTTCTTCGTTCCTCTTTTCTCTTCTGTACACTCCCATCCTGAGTCACTGGAAGTCTTTGAATGCCTGGTTTCCGGAGGAGAAAATCATCTCATAGTGTCTCGATTTGTCATAACTAGACATAATGACTAAGAACCAATTTCAGTTTTCTAGCTTTTGTTTTTTGTTTGTTTTAATTCACAGTTATGTAGATATAGCCATTGAGTAGAAGTTATAGAGTCAACCCACTTCTATTTTGGATGTGTTTCCTCCTGATAAGTTGAGCATGAAATCTAAATCTCATGAATTTTGAGTAAGTTATTTTGAAGTCTATATACTGTTTAGAGTTTTGACCAAAATAGTTTGTTACAGTATGCTTTGTTTTACTTATTTAAGAGACTATATGGCCAAAATATAAATATACCTAAAACTATAATTTCTAAGTGCACCCATTAGGAAAAAAAGCATTTATCAAATATTTTCACATATATTTTAAAATCTCACTTGATACTAGAATAAAATTCCATGTATTTTATTCCCTCAATATGTCATTAAAGCAGAACATGCTGTGAGGAGGAAATAAAAAGAGTTAAGCACGTTTTCATTGTGGAGTTCCACTCTCTATGTATAGAACTCTATATGACGGTCATGGAAATTAAAATGAATTTGATGTTAGCAGTAATTAATTTGCTTATTCTAATAATATAATGAATTAACAGATTTTTGTTCTTATATCAAGTGGGAAATGATTTTATCGTTATGTAAATATAACAAAATGTAAAAATTTTAAGGAAGGACTGCATTTAATAATGATTTAGATAAAACAAGGGGGGTTTTTATTTGGTTTTGGGGGTAAAGATTTTTTTGTTTTGGGGTGTTTTTTGGTTTTTTTTTAGCATTTTAGGTTTGGGGGTACATGTGAAGGTTTGTTACATAGGAAAACTCATGTCATGGGGGTTTGTTATACAAATTATTTTATCACCCAGGGGTTAAGCCCAGTACCCGATAGTTACCTCTTCTGCTCCTCTCCCTCCTCCCTCCCTCCACTCTCAAGTAGACCCCCAGTGTCTGTTGTTTCCTTCTTTGTGTTCATAAGCTCTCATCATTTAGCTTCCACTTATAAGTGAGAACACGTAGTATTTGGTTTTCTTTTCCTGTATTAGTTTGCTGAGGATAATAGCATTCAGCTCCATCCATGTTCCTGCAAAAGACATGATCTCGTTCTTTTCTATGGCTGCACTGTTTGCTTTTTAATGTGGAAGGAAACTATTTTTTTGCCTGTCGAGTTCTGTTACATAGGTTCACAGGCTAAACACATCACCATCACAGTGAGTTGTGTACAAGCTGTGAGTAAAGGAAGGCACCAAATCTCTGTTCAATGTTCCTATTCCTCCCATGAGTTAGAGATGGAGGCATAAGAGTAGTCCTTGAGTAACGGAGAGGTTATGCTCCTCCGTTACTCCATCTAGGAGACCTTATGCTCTGAGAACCATACCACATTCATGTCTAGCCATCTATATATCTAGATTTTTAATGAATCATCTATGTGAGCAATAAGATAGAGGGCTGTAGTAAAGGAT
Organism: Homo sapiens; assembly: GCF_000001405.40. Classification (NCBI taxonomy): domain Eukaryota; kingdom Metazoa; phylum Chordata; class Mammalia; order Primates; family Hominidae; genus Homo; species Homo sapiens. The sequence goes on along the minus strand of NC_000023.11, from coordinate 22,525,016 downwards.
TCTTTCAGTCAATGTGAATAATTACACTGAAAGTATTTGCTTTGTCAAACATATTATTAATATATCATAAAAAGTTTTGGGCTAGGCACGGTGTCTCATGCCTGCAATCCTAGCACTATGGGAGGCCGAGGCGGGTGGATCACCTGAGGTCAGGTGTTCGAGACCAGCCTGGCCAACATGGTGAAACCCTGTCTCTACTAAAAACAAAAATTAGCCATGCGTGGTGGTGGGTGCTTGTAATCCCAGCTACTCGGGAGGCTGAGGCAGGATAATCTCTTGAACCCAGGAGGTGGAGGTTGCAGTGCACCGAGATCGCACCATTGCACTCCAGCCTGGGTGACAAGAGTGAAACTTCATCTCCAAAAAAAAAAGTTTTTGATAACATATGTGAATTTATAAGACCTGTCCGGGAAAATGTATGGTCATAAAAGGAAAAAGCATGTGCAATTATTGCTTAGTGTTTTTAGTGTTTCATGAGTAATGGAAAAATAACTGTACAAATATTAATGTGATCAAATGAAACACATTTAAGCAGATTTAAAAACCATAGCAAGTCATCTTTTTCATTAAATAACAGAAAAATTATGTCCTGACAGGGATCTCCAAACATTTTTCTACCCAAGTATTGTTTAACTTTATGTCATGTATGCTCAGTAGAATTCTTCAATTACACTCTAAATTTTCTAAGTGGGTTTCCCTTGGAATTTTATGGAAAAGGGGAAATATCTTTGGACTATTTTATTATTTCCAATAGAAAAATGCATATTTTAGCACTAATACTTTTTCCCCAGGAAAACTTCAGGTCCTGCGTAATAAAATATTGGGGAAAAATTGATGTGAGTTTATATAAAATACTAGGAAATCAAGATGGTGGGGCATAATTTAGGGGTTTTGAAATCCACATGGAGGAGTCAGTGTAGAGTCTCAAGTTGTGTCACAAAATGACGTTGTAATCCACAAAGCTAGTTGAAAATGATTATTTAGCTCATAGGCACACACAAAACTTCTCATTTGCCCTTCTGAATGACTGTGAGAACAAGCCCATGCTGCCCTCGGGACAGGAAAATGGTCCTGATTCTCATGGCAAAAAGGTATTGTGAACCTCTTTGGCACAGCTTTAAAGAGCACTCCCATTACCTTCTTAGTCTTCCAGGCAGGATCTTCTTTTCTCCCACCACCTCCTTAATTAAAGCAACTCTAAGTTTTCAAACTGTGCCTCCCACCAAGCTTTGGTTTAAAGGATTCTGACGACAAATATGTAAAACTATTAAACCAACTAATCACCAGCAGCTCATTCCCTTGCCTTCGTTTCTCCCAGAAATCTTTCCTCCATAAGGAAGTATTAACATATATATTTTTGACGAAGCATTGTATAAAGACATCCTTTTATTTCTTATTTAATTTTAATGTTGAAGTCTACACATCTTCAGAAGTGAATTGTAATATAAGTAAAAAATCTAAAAGATTGGAGATATTTTTACTAATTCAAGTGTGTTAGCCCACACAGATTATCCCTTTCTAAATGAGTATGTATGGGTGGGGAGGTAACTCATCTTTTCATCTTTCATATGTATTCATTTAAGTATTTCAGGTTCAAGCATAGCATAGCTATGAAAAACCAAGTCCTAATAATATTGTACATGGAAATTAAGCTTTAATATACCATATACTTTATAACTTTTACTAAGACTTTTACTTTCAAAATGTTTGGCCTATACTGTAAAGATAAAGACAAAGTGGAGAAAGTGGCAGAAAATTCAAATGGTGAGAAAGCATGAAACTTGTTAAGTGTTTATGAGTGTGCTTGGGTGTCTAAGGCAGAGGATTTGCATGAGGAAACAATAAGATATAATATTAGAAAGAGGGCTTAGAGCCAAATTGTGAAATCATTGACTGAAAATTAGAAAGACCTGAAAGGGTCATTTACTTACACCTTTTCTCTGATGCACAAACCTCCTCTCCAGCATCAGTAAGAAGCAGTCATCCAGTCTGTTACATATTTCCCATGTCATCCAACACATGACTTCAAAGGCAATCTATTTCATTGTTTGACAGCTCTAATAACTAAAACTTCCTTCTGTTAGAACTGTAACTCCCACCATTGCTTTTTGTTTTGGCTCTGGAATGCCAAATTTTTTTATCAATTATTTTGAATGTTAAAAATCATTAAAAATAACACTGTGATACACTTCTGTGTGATTTATGTCAAATTCCATAAGCTATAACAATTTGAATTCATTTTGCTTATTATCCAGAAGAGATGAATGTATTTCTTATTATGTGTCAAGCACTGTAAGTAATTTTCATATGCAAATGTATTCATCCTCATAACCTATGAGGTAGGTACAATTATTATCACCAATTTTTCCAAATAAGGAAACTGAGATACAGAGAGGTTAAGTAACTTACCCAAGGCTATATAGCCAGTGAGTGGCAGAAACAAACAGGGCTACAAGTTAGCATACCCTAGTAGGAATGACTTACTTACCAACTCATTTCCAGTGTCTTTGCATTTAAAGAGGGAACTAGAAGAGATAAAGTAAAATACTAAAAACGGAAACATACTTCACTGGATTGCCATAAGTTGAGCTTAATGCTTTTTTTCTCATTTCCAGGTAACTCATCAGTCAATCCAATTCTTCCATCTTATATATGACTCTCCATATCCTTGTTCTCTTTCAACTCATCTTTCCATTTAATTTCTTATTTTCACTTTCAAATAAAGAGTTGGGAGGGCTACTTTACTAGGTCTTAAGCATCTTGTATACTGGTGTATTCATTTTCTTTTCTTTTGAAATCAACAACTAAATATTTATATTATGTGTAACTCACAGATCTTGGTAGTGTAATTTTAGGAAATGGTAACATTTTGGAGTACAGAATGTGTTCTTTCTCCAGATACATCTGAGTTGCTTTAACAGTTTCATTTGACTTTTTATACCTGTCTTTATAGTTTCAGCAGTTGTTCAAAAGATTCCATCACCATAGATCACCATTTACTAATGTTACCAATATACAATGGACACAGCCTTGAAATTTGAATCTTCTAGATCCCAGTAGGTCTATACAGAGAGATAGGTTAAAAAAAGATGGAAAATCTGCTTCATAGAAGTAACTTGTCTAATTTTAAGTAAAACTCTACCATTTCAAACTCAAAATACAGGTACAATAGATGTACTAACCATGTTAGGGTGTGTGTATATGCAGGAGTATCTGTCAGAACTCTGCTCATATCGTTTTGGCATTCATAGTTCCAACAACCACAACTCCCTGTCTCAGGGAATTTTTGCCCAATGCAGTATGCATGACCAAAGCCCAGGGCTGGTTGGAAGTGTCAGGAAGTTACCATTGGTTAACCCAGTAATCAATGACGAAGTAGAACTGGTAGATGAATACTCAACGCTCCTTGCCCTTCAGGTAGAACAATGATGAGGCATGTTCTACCCAGTTTCCCAGAGGTTCTCAATAGGATTCAGTCCTAGTTTCCCACAGTGGTAACCAATCATTAACACACTTCATATTGACCACTTTTGCTTTTCTTTCTTGTTTCTCCACTCCCTGCTGGTAATTACCTCCTAAATGTGGGCTGAAACCTTAGTCTGAAGTTTTGGTTCTGGGGAACCTCGGTGGATATTCTCTTTACAGAAGGAAACTCTGTATAGGCATAGTCGTCTAGAGATAGACACTGCCCTTGGAGACCATGTTGTCTCAATTTTTCATGCTGGTACTTGGCAACTGTGTTTGCAGCTATGTGTACTATCTTTATAGATCCTTCCTTTTTCCTGCTGTCACCGTCATTAGCACCCAGATTTTTGTTTTCTTTACTTCTGTTTTCTCCTATTGTTACATTCTAAACACAGAAACACTCTGCTTAGTGGGGTGAGGTTCTGGGCATGCAATAGTAAGATAGGCATTAATCTTTCTTCTCCTCTGTAATTTACTATTATAATCAACTCAGTCCCCAAATTCATTCTTCCCTCACCCTCATATCTGTTAATATTGCTACGTTCTATCCATTAGGCCACACAAACATCTCCTAAACTCAGCCACCTACCCTCATAGACACACTCCCAGCTGCAGACCTTATTATTCCTTGAAAACCTCAGTTTCGACACCAGTCCTTCAAATCTCTAACTACCCTCACTCTCTTTACATTTCAGTCCGTCATCTACCCTACTTCCAGAGTGTTTTTCACGATTATAAATTTTACTGTGTTATACTCTTGTCTTAAAACCCTTCAGAGGTGCCATATTACCTTGATAACTGTTCAGTTCCTTCGCATGGAACACAATATCCTTCATTATCTGGCTCCTAATCACCTCTGCAGACATGTCATTGTTCACACACCCAACTAAGCACTACTATCCAGCCCCGGTGAGTCATTTTCAGTTTCCTGAACACATCATGACTTTTCAAAGGGCCTTCCAGGTATGCCTGAGTCTGAAGCCTGTTCTCTTTCACCCATACTATGGCACCTCCCATGTGCTATTTCACAAATGCTGCTTTAAGCAAAAATTTCCTGGGAGCGAGAATGAGAAGGAAGGGAATATTATTTCAAGACTTTTACAAAATAACTGTAGACATTTCACTTGGGAATTTCTAAGTGCAATAGAAATCTGAGTGAGTAGGTAAAATAGCTACATAAATAAAATGCACACCTTTTAGGTCACATGGGGAGATTGCCTTGAGGTTTAAATGGCTGAGATCATTTCCACATTCCTCACAGCTAGCCATCTATAATCAAACAGCAATACCAGTCGGCACACATTCATCATCTCCAAAGAAAAGGAAAGTCACCTCCATAAATCTCAAAATATGGGATATTAAAAGTTGGTTTTTATAATAGCTGGTGCAAAACAATTTGTGCAAACACCAATCAAAAGTAACTTCTACTTTAGTTGAATCCATGTCCCAAGATTCAGAATTTACTCCTGTAATAAAATCTACTACTACTCTTTTCCTTACTAAAAGCAAACATAAATAGACTGTAATAATTTAAATCATTTTTAAACAAAAAAGTTTGGGTTTGATTGGCATTAGTAAATTCACTATTTAATATATTGGGTACCAATCAGCTTCTTACAAACACTTCTAGAATGTTATGCCCTAGTTCACACCTTCACCTCAGGCAATTCTCCCTTTCATTACCTTGATTGACTGTGGAAGAACAATGCTTCTAAATATAACTCCCCTTCTGAAATGCTCTTGGAATTTCTTCTATCTACCTCCTATTTTCTTTACCAAAAAACACTATTTCTCCCTCAAATAACAACAGGTCCCAAGATGTCAAATTTCTAGAAAGAAACAGAAGACAACACACTCTGTATTGCTTGTTCCTTAGTCATTTTTCAGGGACTAATTATATATAATTAATTGTCTAGGCCTATGGTTGGTAAATTTTTTTTCTGTAAATGGTCAGATAGTAAATATTTTAAGCTTTTCAGGCTGTACATTTCTGTTAAAACCACCCAACTCTGCCACTGTAGTACAAACACAGACCTAGACAATGCATAAATGAGCATGGCTGTGTTCCAATAAAACTTTATTTACAAAAGTAGGCAGCAAGTAGATTTGGCCCATGGAACATAGCTTGCTGACACCTGATCCAGGCCACTTAAATCCTCTCTAACATCCCAGACGCCAACAACGAAAGGTCATTCAAATTATTTTAATACAATTTTGTTGAGCAAAGCTTATAACAATCGCCATCTTTCTTTGAAGACTTCTGATCTCAAGGTAGATATAATGATGATAGGTACATCCACAGCACATGAAATGATTAGAAACAAGACAATAGAGACATTGAAGTATACACTATCAATTGCATGTCAAAGGGAACATATGATTAGAGACAGAGCAGAGACTGGGAAAATTCATTCTGGCTATTCCCTGTCAAGACTGAATGGGGATATGTTAATCCAATCAATTTGGAAGAGTGGAAAAGGATGAGATTAGGTTACAAGGCTGGCTTCTTCCAGTTACCAATGACCGTCAGAATTTGAAAAAGTCGTAGCATCTCTCAGACCTCCATTTTTTCTTCTGTAAAATAGAGATAATACCTGCCTTGATGTCTTTATCCAGGCTGCTGGAAGATTATATATATGAAAACACTCTTTAAATAGTAATTGTCAACTACAAATGCTAGCTTTATAAACTCATTGGAGTGTGAAGGAATCTATAAGTTTGATGATTCTTTTGAAGACTTTTACTTGATTCCAATACACTGTGGAAGCCCCCTGATCATTTTAGTTGCTACTCTTTTGAACTTTTCTGTCTTTTTTACATCTTCCTCCAGGAACAATGAGCAGAACTAAACTACATAATACAAATGGACTTCCTATGCCAAATAGCAAAACCTTTTAGGGGTTATGGTTGTTGTTGTTTTTTTTTTTTTTTTAATGGTGGTGTCCTAACTCAATTTGTAGTCATTCCTGCTAAGTAAGAAAAGAGGGATGGAGTCACCTTAAAGCTAATACCCAGACACCTCCTTCTACATAAAGGAGAGCAAAAGAAAGGCAAGGCTATGAAATTGAACCTATGCTCTTCCTCAGCTCTCATTTTAAACCTTATTGGCCAGACCTTATTAATTAAAACTAATTTATTTATCTATAGAAAGATCAGCTACTGGCATGTAATAGTTCCTCAAACCGACTAGAAGATACGTGAGTCAACCAAAATACACAAATCAATCATTAGTGGGGATGTTAGGGCTTCAACCAAGCTCAGTCAGTTGAAAGTGTGGTTAATTCAACCATTCCTGGATGCCTCACAACATCTACCTTGGTAAAACCTTAAAAACATTTCAACAAATTTCTCTGCTATTTCTTTTTTAATCCTGAGTGCCTCTTGTTCAATGATTATCTCTGCATATCATTGAAAACATTGCATTATTGGTTTTAAGAGGCTCTTGAAATTATGTTTTTGGGCTTGTCTAATTTCTAATTTGCTCACACCTGCAACCATTTCTGAACTTCCATATTCCTCACTTGAGGAAATCTTTAAAAAATAAAAAAGTTAATCTTCTTCAGCTCAAAACAAGGTTCGATGTTTCACTCTTGTTTCTGTTATATAGGCAATCTCTTTAGTACAAGGCACTGAACTCAAATATAAACCAGAGGGGAGGTCTTAGAGAAAACTTCACTAGGGCCCTAGAGCCCTCTATATCTAGAAAAGGTAGGTTTAGTTAATAGAAATGGAAGATTACCAAAGTCCCTTTAACAAGAGACTATTGATTTTTGGCTTATAAATTATATTTCCCTCCTGTTTTATCATGCACATGAGTATTGCAAGAAAAGCCTAGGCAGTCTCTTTTAGAATATGCTAAATAAATCTAAGATAGATATATTTTAGGTATGCCAGCCTTCATACCTTATAGTAAAAGTCAAGTCCATCTTAAATTTTCCTCCAGGGGCTTAATTATTGAAGTACCAAAATGACATGGCTACAAAACAATACCATGTGTAAAACTGTAGCTTGAAATCTGAGGAAAAAGGCAACCTGAATTTCAATATCTCACATTCAGTAGGTTTGCATTTTCTCTCTTTGACATTTCACTGCATAGCCATGTTTTGTCTCACTGAATTAGAGATTTTCCTTACTGCTCTTACTCAAATATTCTTGCTAACCATCTTTTGTTTCTCTTGGGGCCTTGAAAGACCAGCAGTCTGAAAGTGCATCTTCTTCACATCTGTTCATCGTTCTGTGACAGCTGCAGCATAACCTGGGCGGCATACTCGTATACATCATATCCATGTTGATTGCAATGTGTTTCAGTAGCTTAAAAGCACATTAAAATTAAAATGATCTTTGTCAACCCCCAGAAATTGTGCTGCTCACCAAGGAACACTTTGCCAGTGACGAAAGGTTCATATTTTGCTCTTCCCCTCGTGATACACTGGGGAGTTTTTTTCTTGTAAGCTGAGTGAACGAGCTGCCAGACATATCTCCTGGAAATGCCTGGAAGAGAAATGAGCTAAGAGGAAAACAGCAGACTTTGAAAGAGAGATTTGCCAGCCTGCATCAAATCAACCACCCCAACCTGGGCTCCTCACAGGGACTCAGTAAGTTCAGTCTACTGGCAAATCATACACCATAATTAACTATCCTTAATTCAAATGAACATTTTTATGGGTCCACAGGGTCTAGAGAGAAAATCGTTAGCTTCACTCACTAATTTTCAGTTAATCAGCAACAGTTCACTCAGCAGAACACTATTAGGGCAGCCTTGATTAGAAGTATAGGGATATGATATTAATTGGCTTCTTCTAACAGGGATCAGGATGCTAAATGGCAAAGACCATCTGTAGCTCTGGAAAGGAAACACTTGAAAAGCACTTTTTGAAGGTAAATGATAAGACAGGAATGCTTTTTAATTTGTAACTCCGTCTACAAAATATTTTATGTTTCTTTTGTCATTATTGTTTTGATTCTTCTCTTTAGAGGCAAAAACTTCTTTTGAAACCTATGGTTTTAAGGGACATGCAAATGCTGAAGCCCGTTGCTGTTTGACTAAATATTTTAGATTTTGACTTGAGGGCACAGTTTAAGATTATTGAATATATGTATAAAGCTTATGCATATATACACATATTTACATATATGTGTGTGTGTTTGTGTATCCTAGCAGAACACCAGATACACAGAATTTCTTGAACAAAATCACTTGATAAAAAGATGAAGCAAAGGCATTCTTCATAGCTGCTTTTTATTAGATATGTCTTTGAAAAATTAAAAACACATGCTAAATAGCATTTATACCGAGCTTTGAATGAGAGCACAAGGAGAAATTTCCTATTCAGTAAAAATCCAGTCAGAATTTTATTTATTGCAGTAAAATCTCAATTCTCCAAAGTACTTTGAGAATGGAGGATTTAGTTAATTTAATTTTCCTACTAATTAAAATTTAAATCTAGTCTCCCCTTACTCTAATTCTAATTGTTAGATATTTTCTTAGTAAGTTGAGCAAAGGGAATGTAATTGAATCATTGATCATTTAGGATTTTCACTAGGGTCAGTAGGAAGATCTTTTTTCATACTATAATACAATAGAGGTAGGTAAAACCGGCAGATTTAAATGAGTAGTAACTTTCTTTTGACCCTGGGACTATTAGGTGAGCACATTCCCTCTGTCTCTCTGTGTCTGTCTTGTGCTATCTCTGTGCCTCTCTCCCTCTCTTAACTAAATCTCTGAAATAAACTTGCTTTATTCTCCTTCCCCTTTAGTTTTTTCTAATGGATTAAAAACGGACTATTATTTGAAAATGTCTTTATGGTATTTTACAATTAATAAAAATAGTAATTTTGTAGTTCCTAAGGAAAATATCTCTTTGTCTCAATATCTTGCATAAAAATAAGTCAAAGAGCCAAGGTTTGAATCTATTATTCATTTGAGGGGAGCAGTACTTTAACATAGAGAAATTAGAAGATAACTGGAAATTGAAGAATCTATAAGATCCTTTCCAACTGTAACAACTAGAGTCTAGGACCAAGTGTTAACCTCTCTCTTTTTACCTAACAGAATGTGTGATTTCTAAGGATTATTGAGATCTTCATTTCTGTATCTTCTGAAAGGATAAATGATCTTGTTCAGATTTGGCAACATGGCATTAAGCTAATATCCACCCCTCAACTAAAAACACACAGAAATTCTGAATAGAATGTGAAGCAAAATAAATCTACAATCATATCAGAATATTTAACATAACTATTAGAAATGAACAGATGAAAAACAAAATGAATAAACGTATAGCATATTTAAAAATTTCAAGCTCAATCTAATATATATGTATATATGTATATGTGTACATATATACATCGATGTAGATATGTATGTGTGTAGATATATACATCGATGTATATGTGTGTGTACATATATACATCGATGTATATGTGTGTGTACATATATACATCATGTATATATGTGTACTTATGTATATATATATATGTGTGTAGTTATGTATATATGTGTGTGTGTATATATGTGTATATATAACCCTGCATCCACTATAAAGGGCTATAAATTGTTTCTAAAACACATTAAACATCTGAAGACAAAATAAATCTTAAGAAATCCTCCCCCAAATTATATAAGACAAACAAAATTCTCTAACTACAAGTCACTTAAATTTAAACTAACAAGAAAATGGTAGTCACACAAAAGACATACAAATTTGGAAACTGAAATAGGCACTTCTAAGTAATACGTGAATTAAGAGTGAGTCCGAATTTTTAAAAAACTGTAAGTATACAAAAAGACAGTGAAAATCCTCCATAGTAACACTTGTGAAAGGCAAACAAAGCAATACTCAGAGGTAAATTTATAGCTTTATGTGCTATAAATATGTGCTTATTTTTTTTTTATTATACTTTAGGTTCTGGGATACATGTGCAGAACGTGCAGGTTTGTTACATAGGTATACATGTGCCATGGTGGTTTCCTGCACCTATCAAGCCATCATCTAGGTTTTAAGCCCTGCGTGCATTAGGTATTTGTCCTAATGCTCTCCCTCCTCTTGTCCCCCACCCCCCGACAGGCCCCGGTGTATGATGTTCCCCTCCCTGTGTCCATGTGCTCTCGTTGTTCAGCTCCCACTTATGAGTGAGAACACGCGGTGTTTGGTTTTCTGTTCCTGTGTTAGTTTGCTGAGAATGATGGTTTCCAGCTTCATCCACGTCCCTGCAAAGGACAGGAACTCATTCTTTTTTATGGCTGATTGTTTAGGTTTTTAAAAATAAGAATTCAGTTGGCATGATACGGAAAAAAAAATAGTGATGATGATGATGATGATATTAGTTAATACAATAAAGCTAATACTGTGCTATTATTAGGTACCAGAAAAAAAAAATAAGAATTCAAACTTAAGAGAAAAATATGTAGCAAACTTAAAGGAAGAAATAGGAAGGAAATGATGACAACAAAAGCAAAATATATATTTAAAATACAATAGGGATAAAAAGAGAAATAATATAACCCAGACTTGGTACTTTTAAAAACTGAATGAAATGGACAAGCCCATAGCAGGCTCATTCAATAAAAAAAAAAAGACTGAAATTTTTAAAAAGTAAGAAAGAATTTGTACAGATTCTTATAGGGGGATGCAACTATAGTTAGAGTGGGGATTTTAAAAATAAGAGAATCATAAACAATTTTATGCCAATACATTTTTAAACTTAGAACAAAATAATTTTCTTAAAAAGCATGTTACAAAATTGGTTAATGAAGACAAAACCTAATCAAATCAACAATTTTTTAAAAATTAAATAAGAAATCAAAACTATTCCTCATCCCCATGCAAGGTATCAGTTGCAGTTTCACAGGAAAAGATATTCATCTTATACAAGCACTTGCAAAAATATAAAAGGTAAATATATTCAATTATTTTTATAAAATATAATAAAATATATTAAACCAGAAATATATTAAAACAGAAAATTTCAGTACAATTTAAGGATATTATAAGCAAATATAACTGAACATAGATGCAAAAATACAGATAATTTATTACAAAATATAATTCAGCTATGTATTAAAATGTATAATGAACAAGTAAAGGAGTGTGTATTCCCCAAATTCAAGAATAGTTCAGGTTTTAAAATCTTGAATATAATGAAATATAATCTTTTAATAAAAAATTAAAGTAGAAAAGAATCATCCCAATAAAAGTAGGGAAAAATAATTCAATAATATTCAAAATCCTTTGTTGTAAACTTTAACTCTTATAGTAAATATTATAGCTAACATTAAAATTTTAGAGTTGTCATAACTATTTTTACTATGATCCTTAACACTTATCATTGTAATGAAGATCTTAGCCAATTCAATTGCTCTAGAAGTAAGAGGGATAAACTCTGAAAATAAAAAGGCAGAATTGTTTATCATAAATAATATGATTGGCTACATGAAAATTTAAGACATTTCTAAAACTCTTAACACCAACAGCAAGGCTTCTGTATATAAGATTAGCCACAAAAATCTATGGCATCGCCATAGTTCATTAAAATAGAAAATATCAATAAATATTTCATCCAAGATAACAATTACATTTTTAAAAAGACAAGAAATAGCTCCACCAAATTTTGTATAATAATGTTTCTAGAGTCTTTAAAATGTAATTCAACAATATAAAGGATGATATGATTGAATGGAAACCCATACCATGTTTTATGGTGGTAAAATTCAATATTGAATAGATTTTGTTTTTTTGCCTCAGAGTAATCTATAAATTCAGTGTAATTTTAACAAAGTCCTGAGAATTTGGCAAGTTAGCTGAAATTCATATGGAAAAGGAAAGGACCTAGAAAAAACAATTTGGAAAAATAAAAGAGTAAGAATAAGATCAGATTCCTTTCTCCCTTGCCATGTGTCAAGGCTGATTACATAAACATCTATTAATCAAAACTCGATGATAGTGACAAAGTGCTAGACAAACGTTAATGGAATAGAATAAAAGGCCTACACACACACACACACACACACACAGAGCGAGCGAGAGAGGTTAATGTTTTACGTAGATGACTTTCAAAGAAATGCTTATATAGAGTATGCTTTCATATCTTCATGAAAATAAAATCAAGTCACTATAGCTCCCATCATAAAATGTTTTCCAGTTGGATTCAAGTCCTAAATAAGAAAGGCAAAACATTATGACATGATAATGAAGAACTACTTAAGATACAAAATCCTATATTACATATCCTATAAATTAAAAAAGTGGATAAAATCCATGTTAAAATTAAAATTTGTAAAATGACAAAAGAAGTAATAAAATTTAAACCCAGGAGATATTTGCAGTACATATGACCAATAAATAAATATTTTCAAGAATATCTTTTTAAAATTCCTAACATCATTACAGAATAAGTTATAAACCTGGTAGAGGATTGGAGAGAAAATTCACAAGTGAGAAAATCTGTATGACCGTTTAATATGTGAAAAGATACTTAGCCTCACTGACCATCATGGAATTGCAAATAAAACAGAAATGAGATATAACTCCCTAATTACCAGATGAGCAGTTATAAAGGATAATCAAATAATACCGGGCATCTGAAATGTGGAGAATAGAAACTTTCATATACTTATGGGGGAAAGCGTAAGTTGGTATAAACACTTTGGAGGATAATATGGCAATAGCTAGTGAACTACAGGAGATTATCATATGTCTTAGCAATTATACATCTGTTTATGTACCTTGTGTATATTTAATCTACTTTGGAAAAGGCCTATTTCAACCTACTACAAAGAATTCCCATAAAGTTTCAAAGAAAAAAGAGGAACTCACAGTTAAAATAAATTACAAAATCCATGAGGAAACAAGGCATAATGGATGAGAACCAACAAAACACAAGCAATAGAAACAGATCTAAAAAACTTTCAGATATCGAAATTATCAATACAGAATATAAAAGAGCAATATTTAATCTTATTAAAGAAAAAAGCTCAGAAATATGAGCAATATACAAACTAAAAAAAAAAAAAATTAAGCAGTCAGGCACAGTGGCTCATGCCTCTAATCCCAGCACTTTGGGAGGCCAAGCCTGGAGGATCACTTGAACTTGGAGTTTGAGACCAGCCTGGGCAACATGGTGAGACCCCACCTCTACTAAAAATTTTTAAAATAAGCCTGGCGTGGTGGCATGCACCTGTGGTCCCAGATACTTGGGAGGCTGAGGTGGGAGGATTGCTTGAATCTGGGAGGTCGAGGCTGCAGTGAGCTATGATCAAGCCACTGCACTCCAGCCTGGATAACAGAGCAAGACCTTGTTTTTTTTGTTGTTTTTTTTTGTTGTTGTTGTTAAGCAAATTTGGCCAAGATTCAAATAGAACATTTTAAGTAAAATAATTAAAAATTGAAGTGAATTTTGTATCAACAACAGATATGAACTAAATGAAAATAAAAGATATTGAATAAAAACATAGACCTAAGTATAGCCATTGTGGAAGACAGCATGGAGTTTTGTCAAAAAAAACTAAAAATAGAACTACCATATGATCCAGCAATCTCACTGCTGGGTATATATGAAAAGAAAGGAAATCAGTATATCGAGGAGATATCTGTACTCCCATGTTTATTGCAACACTACACAATAGCTAAGATGTGAAATCAACCTAAATGCCCCCATCTACAGATGAGTGGATAAAGAAAATGTGTGTATACATAATGGAATATTATTCAGCCACAAAAATGAAGTCCTGACGTTTGCAGCAACATGGATGGAACAGGAGGACATTAATTTAAGTGAAATAAACCAGTCACAGAAAGACAAATATCACATGGATAGCACATGTTCTCACTCATATATGGGTGCTAAAACAGTGAATCTCATGGAGGTAAAGAATAGAATGGTAGTTGCCAAAGGCTGTGAAGGGAAAGGGGGAGAAAAGGATGAAGAGAAGTTAAGGGGTGCAAAAATACAGCTAGATAAAAGAACTAATTTGTTGTATATTTCAAAATAGCTAGAAGGTTTATGTTCCCAACACAAAAGACAAATATTTGAGGTGGTGCATATCCCAGTCACCCTGATGTGATCATTAGACAGTGTATACAGCTATCAAAATATCACATGTACCCCCAAAATATATACAACTATTATATATCAATAAAACATAAATGATATATGGATCTAAGCAAATGGCACAAAATGTGGCCTAAAATGATCAAAGTTGGAAAATGTGACAGGTTAAAATACATGAAAGAGTGAAAGTTTGAATAAGAGATCTAACTGGTAATCCAGAAGGAGATAGTAGAAAGTAGAAAAGGCAATATTCAAAAACACAATGGCTGAAAACGTTCAAAATGTGGTTAACAAGAGAACACCAGTTCTCTAATCTGGAAAGCCCAGTGAAGCTCTACAGAATATGTAAAATTAAACATATATCGAGACACATCATAGTGAAGCTGTAGAACACCGTAAAAGGGGGAAAATCTTAAAATCAACCAGACAGGAAAGACAGATAACCTACAAAGCCAGAGTAATTAGACAGATAGCTACCACCTGAGTAGCAACAATGTAAGCTAGAAGACACTGGAATAATATTGTCAATCTGCTAAGTGAAAAAACAACTATACCAAACAAACATGTATTTTGGGAGAAACAACCAAATGAAAACATTTTCAAACAGGACTGAGAGAGTTTACTTCAAAAAGACCCTATCTAAAATAAAATTCAAACCATATATTTTAGACAAATGGAAATGGTCCCATATTCAAGGTCCAAGATTGGAGATGGTATAACTATAACATCCAATTTGTGCTTGTGTGGGGAAATAGGTAAAATCAGAACACTTGACAGAAATAACATACCTTAGGAAAGATAATCACATTAGAGTTTTCTAAGGTCCTTGTCTTGTTTCAAAAGGATAAATTTTGATTGCTTCTATATTTTCTTAAGAAAGAATGTTAAGGCCGGGCGCAGTGGCTTACGCCTGCAATCCCACCACTTTGGGAGGCCAAGGTGGACGGATCACGAGGTTAGGAGTTCGAGACCAGCCCGACCAACATGGTGAAACCCCGTCTCTACTAAAAATACAAAAAAAAATTAACCGGGCATGGTGGTGGGTACCTGTAATCCCAGCTGCTCAGGAGGCTGAGGCAGGAGAATCGCTTGGACCCGGGAGGCGGAGGTTGCAGTGAGCCGACATTGCACCACTGCACTCCAGCCTGGGTGACAGAGTGAGACTCTGTCTCAAGAAAAAGAAAAGAAAAATAATGTTAAAATAATTGGGATAATAAGTAAAACAAACAAACAAAAAATTTAGCTTATTGTCTCCAAAAGGTAGGGACAATGGAATGAGAAAAACGGTACAAGAAGGTATGAAATAAAAAAGAAACAAAAAAGTAGAACAAAGTAAATAATTTACTTAATTTACCTATATAAATAAATATAAATATGTCAGTACTTATAAATATTGTTAAATGTTTCAATTAAGAAACAAACACTGCCAGTTGGATTTAAAACACATACATTTATAAAACTCTGCTCTATACTGTTGACAATAGACACATCTAAAACATAAGGACATGGTAAGGGAAAGAGGCAAATACTAAGGCAAATACTAAGTAAAAGAAAGCTGATTTCATTGTATTCACAAAAGGTGGGGTGGGAGAACAGTAAGTCTTTTGGTAATGACAGAAAGATCAATTCGCTAGAAAATTTAACAATTTGAAACTTGTACATACCTAAGAATGCCATCTCCAAATAACCGCAGCAAAAATGACCAAGCTTCAAGATAAATTGATAAATCTACCAGTATAGCAGTTTATCTAAACACTTCTCTATCAGTAATTGATAAATGAATGGGAAGAAAAATAGGGCCAACAGAAGCTCTCATTTACTTTTAGTGGAAATTTAAGTTGATGTAAATATTCTAGAAACCAATTTTCCGCATTATGTGCACATATCCCGTGACTCAGCTATTCTATATTTGGTTATATGTCCTAGAAAAAATTTTGTACATATAACCAGGTGATACATACAAATATGTTTATAGCTACGTTGTACACAATAGCAAAAACCTGTGGGAAAACAAATGTGCACAGAAGTAGAATGGGTGAATATATGATGATGTATTCATGCATTGGGATAACACGGGGCAATGAATTACTGCCACACATCAGCATCTCTAAATCTCAGAAACATAATGGGAGCAAAGGAAGCAAGTCACAGAAGAATAAAATATTGTATAATCCCATTTATATAAGGTTCAATACCAGGGAAGCAAAATAATGTATATTTTAGCTATGTGTATATAAAAAAATAGAAAATCCTCATAAGCCTCAAGTTTAGGATACCTGTTACCCCTGTTGGAAGTGACAGGAGAGGGAAATACAATTGGTGAGAGGCACACTGGAAGCATTTAAGATACTATAAATTATTTTAACTTTAGTAATAAGTACAACGCTATTTATTCTTACTCTTTAAATTATATAGATTTTTAATCTAAAATATTTAATTGAAATACAACATATACAGAAAAGTATTCAAACCATAAGTGTACAATATGGTGATTTGTCATATGGTGAACAAATGTATGCATGCATATGTACAAACGTGTGAAAATACCTACAAGATACATTTTATGCATTCTTTTAAGGTATAATATATCTCAAAATGTTTTAAAGGGCAGTGGTGTGCAAAGATATGGACACACACATAGGTAATTATAATAAGCATTTACTGAAAAAAATTAATAATGATTAATTTGAGACATGGTTAAAACAAAATGGCAGGCTAGCTAGCCTGTAAGTCCAATAGTACAAACAAGCAAAACTAGGAAAAAAAACAGTGTATAAAAATGTTTTAAGATCTGTTTAAAGGTATTAGAGAACTGCCAAGGCAGAAAGAAGTGAGGAATCAATAACCCAGAGAGAAAGGAAGCCCACAGAGAAGAGAAGTCTTATCATTGGTGCCGCTTTTCTTCTTGAGGTGTTTTCCAATTCTAAACTTGGACAGACTAAGAAGCTATGCATAACTCCTGTTATCTCATGAAGACGGGGAGGGAAAAAACGAGTTCGAAGCCCGCCAAGGTAAAGATGCCCTGGTAAATACGCAAGAATTTAGTTGAGGTTCTCAAAGGGTATACCCTAGGATTGAGAATAAAATGAAAATTAGAGGAGCTCTCGCAGCTGTACAAATTCAGCCTTGAATCAGCTCAACTCCTAATTGCATTAATGTGATCTGTTCCTGCCTAACTTACATGCCGGGGGGAGAAAAAGCATATCCTTTTTGAGGGACAATAACATCATCCCAAATGTCAAATTATATCTACAATTATTTGTATACAATACCTCGTATTTAATCAAAGCCAACTAGCCTGCAAAAGACCAGAATTCACCAAAATTCAAGGGAAAACAAGAACAATAAAAACAGACTAATCTGAGACCTAGCTAAGTTACTTAACACAAACTGTGTCATTACTTTGATAACTATATTCAAAAGATTAAATGAAAATAAAATATGAACAGACAACTAGTAGGTCTTAATTAAGATTCTAAAATTTAAAAATACAATAACTGAAATAAAAACTTGCTGGTTAGGCTTATTAGGAGATTAGACACAACTGAAGAGAGAATTTGTTAACTGTATGTAATACAGGGCAAGAGTAAATATCCAGACTGGATCACAAAGAGACAAAGGATGGAAAATACAAAAATAGCATAATAATGTAATAGTGAAAAGGTGGTGCATGAATTCAACTGGAATCCCAGGAGAGGAAAGAGTCAAATATGGAAAGCGCCATGCTTAAAGACACAAAGGCACAGAATTTTCCAAAATTGATTAAAGCTATGAAGTCACATTCAAAACAAGCATTACAAACTCCAAGCAAGTTATATGCAAAGATAACCATATTATTATTTAGAAATAAAACAACATCTGAGCATATCATAAAACTGCTAAAAATGAAACTCAAAAAGAAAATCTTAAATCTGAAGTAACCCTAGAAGGAAATTAGATGTGCTTCCTTCAAAGAGCAAAATAAGACTGATAGTTAACTGTGTAACAAAATATTTCCTCAAAGTGCCAAAGAAAAATAATTGCCAACCTAGAAATCAATATCTAATCAAGGTATTCTTCACAGTAAAACTAAATGCAGATATACACTATAGAGACTACAAAAGAGAAGGTAAATAAATCCCACAGAGAAGGATACAGATGCAATAAGGAACGAAAAACAGTGGAAAGAGTAAATATATGGGTAAACCTAAATAAATCTGACTGCATAACACAACAGTTATGTCTTAGACTGTTTTGAATATAAACAGATTTAAAATTCAAAAAAGAACAGCATAAAAGCAGGAGAGGAGTAAAAGGAGTTAAAGTTTTATAAGGTCCTTCCATTATTCAGGAAACTATAAAATTACTAATTTATTTTAGAGTTTGAAAAGTTACGAATGCAGGTTATAATTCCTGGAGTAAATTGTGAAGTGATACTAAAAGACAGCATACTAATAAATTAACAGAAGGTAAAAAAATGAAATATTAAAAAAAACCCACAGGAAGCATGAGAG
This sequence comes from Homo sapiens, assembly GCF_000001405.40. Classification (NCBI taxonomy): domain Eukaryota; kingdom Metazoa; phylum Chordata; class Mammalia; order Primates; family Hominidae; genus Homo; species Homo sapiens. The sequence continues at coordinate 22,506,009 of NC_000023.11, read as the reverse complement.
AAGAGCAAAGGGGACATACAACAATGACAGGTAGAATAAAATAGTAGATTTGATACTAAATATATCTGTAATCACATTAAGTTATATGTACCGCATGAGAGAAGAGCAAAGGGGACATACAACAATGACAGATAGAATAAAATAGTAGATTTGATACTAAATATATCTGTAATCACATTAAGTTATATGTACCAAATACTTCCATTATGTACGAAAAACTTCAACTAAAAGAAAACAATGACTAAGCTACTTACAAGAGAGTTTAAATTCAAAGATACAGATAGGTTGAACATAAAAGAGTGAGAGGGAACATTTCAAACACTAACCAAAAGAAAGGTGAAATAATTTTACTAAAATAACTAGAGAAAAGGAAGAACAATTCATAGTGGTAAAACATTTAGTTTACCATGAGGATTAAACAATTTCATATTTGTGAGCATCTAACATATTTTTTTAAAAGCACTGAGATAAACACTAGGAACAATAAACAAATCTACAATCACGGCAGAGAATTTAAACACATCTCTGTTAGTAACTGATAAACCAAAAGAAAATCGGGTAACATGGAAAGTTAGAACACATGATTCACAACTTGACTTAATTGATACATAGAGAATTTAGCACTCAACAATTACAGAATACACATTCTTTTCATGTGCAACACTAACCATATACTTGGGCAGAAAGTAAGTCTCAACAAATCTCAAGAGGCTGAAATGGCACAGAGTATATTTTCTGAACCTAACATAATTAAGCTAGAAATCTGTAACAGAAAGTATAACCAAAAAAGGGCCCATGTGTTTGGAAATTAAGCAATATAATTTTAAATAACACGTGGATCATTGAAGGAATTACAATGGATATTTAGAAAATGGTTTGAACTGAAAGATAATGAAAATACTACATATAAAACTAAAGCCATACATAGAGTAAAATGTATAGCCCATAAAGACGTTATTAGAAAAGAAGCAAAACTCTGCCGATCGACAATATAAGTATTCTTCTCCAGGTATTAGTAAAAGTAAACATCAGATTAAATTCAAAGGAAGTAAATAACAAAAAGCAGAAAGTACTGAAATGAAAGTAATTGTTCAGTAATGAAGAAAAAATGCATAAGGTGGCTCTTTGAAAAAACAAATGACATAGTTAAACCCCTGGCAAAGTGAATGAAGAAAAAAGTGTGAAATAATAAATATAACAAATATATAAGGGGACATGGCTACAGAAATTTCAGATAACGAGAGGGTATTTTGAACAACTTTTTGGCAATGAGTAGAAAATCTATATAAATACATGCTAAGAATTGAATTGCAATTTAAAACCTTCCCAAAGAGAAAATTCCAGGCCAAAGTGATCTGTTCAAAGATTTAAGGAATCAATGTAAAAACATGTCTTCCAGAGAATAAGGACAAAAAGATATTTCTCAACTAGTTTTATGAGACCAGCATAACCTTGTTACCAAAGTCTGACGAAGAACTTTCAAGAAAGAAAAGTTACGCAAATTTTCTGTCGTAAATATATATATAATATATGTAAATCTTAAGTAAGATATTGACATATCAGATTATGTGATATATAAAATGAATATCATAACCAAGTAGAGTTTCTTGTATGAGTGCAAGGTTGGCTAACGTTAGAGAAATCAGTCAATTCATTCACTAATGTAGCAGAATAAAGGAGAAGAAAAAGTCACGATTATCACAATAGATGCAGAAAAAAATTAAAGACCCAATAAAAGTCAAGACAATCTTGTATGAGAGAAACAAAGCTAGAAGCTTGTCACCACTAGTAATCAGACTTACTGTAAGACTACATTAAGACAGTGTGGTATCTCTGCAAGGATAGACAAATAGACCAATAGAAAATAATAGAGTTAGAAATCGACTGACAAATATATGGACATTTGATTTACAATAAAGGTTGTAATATAACAGTATGAGAAAAAGTCTGGTCCTTTTAATAAATGGAAAAAAAATCATCTTAATCACCTTATACCACACACCAATATCAATTCCAGGAGGATTGTAGATCTAATGATGAAAAGCTAAATAAATCATCCAGAAAAAGAATAGAATAGCTTCATGATATTGTAATAGACATGATACTGTAATGATTTCTTAAACAAGACACAAAAACACCAGAAAGAAAAAAGTGATAGTCATTTTTTTAGAGATGGGGTCTCGCTATGTTGTCCAGGCTGGACTGGAACTCCTGGGTTTAAGTGATTCCCCCACTTCAGCTTCCCGAGTACCTGGGACTACAGGTGTGTGCCACCACACCAGGCTATATTTTTTAAGGTAGTAATTTCATCACAAGAACCATTAAGAGAGTAAAAAGGCAAGCCACCGATTGTTAGAAGATATTTGGAATACATATAAGTGTCAAAGGGCTTGTTCATAAAATTCAGAAAGATCTCCTGCAAATCAATGAGAACAAGGGAGACAACTCAGGAAAAAAAACGCGAAAGTCTTGAACAGGCACTTAACTAACAAGAATAGCCAAATAGCCTATAAGCATATATAAAGATGCTTAATTTCATTAGACCTCAGGGAAATGCAAAGTAAAATCACAATGAATTCAGACTATCCAGAATAAGTAGAATTGAAACAATTAATAATACCAAATGCCGGTGAGAACGTGGAGTAACTGGAAGCCTCACACACTGTTGTTGGGAGTGTAAATTGATACACTTTGTTCCTTGGAGAACTGCTTGGCAGTATCTACTAAAGCTGAACATCTGCATATCGCATGCCCCATCAATTCCATTCCTAGCAACAAACCCAACAAAATGCCTACATTCGTGATGCACAAAATATGTACAATGTTCATTACATGATTGTTCACAATAGTAAGAAAAAGCAAGACAAAATGAAAATCCTGGGAGCAATCCAAAGATCCATTAATACTAGAACAGTTAAATAAGTTGAAGTAAATTCATTCAAGGGAATGAAAATGAAAAAATTAGGGCCACACACAATATCATGTGTTTTATTTGAATCTCACAAAGGCAATATTGAGAAAAGGAAGGCAGACCCAATGAGTACACACAATAAGATTTCATTTACAGTAAACTCAGGAACAGGCAAATTAATCTCTGGTGTTAGAAACTGGGAGAGTGCTTACCTTTGGGGAACTGAGGTTAGTGAATAGAAGGGAGCATGCAGACTTTATGGGGGTACTGCCAATTTTGTATCTAGTTAGTTACATGAGTGTGTTTACTTAGAGAAAATTCATTACACCTACCTGTGCTCTTTTCAATATGTACACTATTTCCAGAAATGTTAACAGAATGAAAATAAGAGATAATAACAGGGATTATATACCAGAGAATGACAGTTAGGTAGAAATATTAACTTTAGCGTTTTCAAGTCAATTATACATGTTTTTACATATATAAAAGCAAGAATCAATAATCTTCCTAGGTAGAAAGCCTGGAGCAAATGTATTTCCTATCTCTCTCTCTGTCTCGCTCACTCATTCTTTTTCTCTGTTATGGTGCTTGTTTCCGCTTTGTTTTTAGAGAGAGTTGAAATCAGCACAAAGAGCTTATTCTTGTCATAAAAATAAATACAGAAAATAAGCAGAACCCCTTCCCAAACCCTTCCCTCCACATATACACACCAAACTTTCCTGTAAAGAAACTTTCTGCATGGAACTAATGAAGTTCATAACTATAATGGTTTCAGAAGACCAAATAATTGAAGTTAATTTTCTTTCCAAACATACAGATTTTAATTCTTTGTGGCTCTTCAAGTCTATCTAATACCTCCCAGAGAAAATTCTCATAATCCAGACACTAAATTTCTGGTTTGGCAGGATGGCTGATTTGCTTCTCTTTGTAGTGTCTTCTATGTATACACAACACTGTGTCATGTGTCATGATCTCTTTGATTCCTTTGTGAAGGAATCGAGAACAGTAAGCAAAGCCTCATGTTGGACTTCAGGTTTGGGATGTGTTAGAATCACTTTTTCATTTTTCAAACAGCTTCAGGGGTAAGAAACTATAGATGTAGGAGCTGTTTCAGACAATGCAAGTCACACTAACCTTTTTTTTTTTTTTTTTTTTTTTACTGTATATACAGTCGGCCCTCTGCATCTGTGGATTCAACCAATCATGGTTAAAAAATATTTGGAAAAAGAAAACAATAAAAATAACAATACAGGCCGGGTGTTGTGGCTTATGCCTGTAATCCCAGCACTTTGGGAGGCCAAGGCGGGTGGATTACCTGGAGTCAGGAATTCCAGACTATCCTGGCCAACATGGTGGAACCCCATCTCTGCTAAAAATACAAAAAATTAGCTGGGTATGGTGGTGCATGCTTGTCATCCCAGCTACTTGGGAGGCTGAGGCAGGAGCATCGCTTGAACCTGGGAGGCAGAGGTTGCAGTGAAGCGAGATTGTGCCACTGCACTCCAGACAGGGTAACAGAGCAAGACTCCGTCTCAAATAAATAAATAAGTAATAACAATACAACAATTTAAAAATACAAATTTAAAAACCAACACAGCATAACAACTATTCAACTATTTACATGCAATTTACATTGTATTAGGTATAATAAGCAATCTAGAGATGCTTTAAAGTATACGGGAGGATATGTGTAGGTTATATACAAATATTACACCATTTTATATAAGGGACTTGGGAATCTTCAGATTTTGACATCCACTAGGGCAGGTTGGTGGTAAGGGGGCTGTCCTGGGACCAACTTCCCACAGATACCAAGGGACAACTGTATTACATATTTATGGGGCACGGTGTGATGTTTTGTCATATGTCTACACTGTGGAAGACAGTTACCTTTTTAGAGAGTTACTGGAATGAAGAATTCAGGTTGGGGCAGAAAAAAATCCTAAAATATAAGCAATAAGTTTGTCTTAGGTTTTAATACAGCCAATGTTTTTAAAAAGTAATTAATGACATTAACTATCGCTGTTTCCCACATTAACCATATTTTATGACAATTCCTAAATTATTTAAAACTTTTTCTCACCAACCATGATACCTACAGAATGATGCGTGTTTGAAGTTCAGATGGGTAAGACAGGTTCTCATTGCAAAACGGTTTGACAGCAAGAGAATCTCTTTACAAATAAAAGAAGAAAAGCTCAACAGAGAAGTTTGTGAATTAAAGCAGATAGCAGAGTACAGCGTAATATTCAGACATTTGCTTCATCCTGATTAGTTACCTTTTCAGAGCAACTTCTTAGTTTACCAGATTATAAATTCACCATTCTTAACATCACAGTCGAAGTTACTTGCAGACCCCATCTGAATAATTGAGGCTCTGTATTTTAAGTCAAAGTGATTAGCTTTATTTTCTTCTCTAATTAAAACTACTTATTTTATTAAAGAGAGACATTTCTATTTTCATATTTTTCTTAAAAGGGGCATTTCCACATGCCCTCCCCCCCCACACACACACACACCTCTTGGCTTTTAAATACCCTCTTGCTTTGAATTTGATTCTGCAGTGAACCTGCAGATAATTAAACCATGCATACTTTCTGCACTATTTGAAATGTATGCATAATTTTTTTCAATTAAAGTACCTTCTTTTTTAGAGCCCTGAATATTAAGGGCACACACCCAGTATTTAAAATCATTTGTATAATGAATACTGAGTAGAAAAAGGTATATCATTTTGATCTTAGTTAATCATTCTTTGACATTTACCTCCAATCCGGAATGACAAAATCTTGTACCTTAGAATTGAAAGGTAGTAATTATATTAGCAAATCCAGGGAGATCAACATAGTAACTTATGGTGATTTTTTTTTAGGTTTAATTACTTTAGTGGTTATTATTCCCTCTCCTCTCTCCTCTCTCTCTCTCCTCCCTTTCCTCTCTCTCTGTCCTCTTTCCTCTCTCTCTTTCCTCTCTTTCCTCTCTCTCTCTCTCCTCTTTCCTCTCCCTCTCTCCTCTTTCCTCTCTCTCTCTGTCCTCTCTTTCCTCTCTCTCTCTGTCCTCTCTTTCCTTTCTCTCTCTGTCCTCTCTTTCCTCTCTCTCTCTGTCCTCTCTTTCCTCTCTCTCTCTGTCCTCTCTTTCCTCTCTCTCTCTCTCCTCTCTTTCCTCTCTCTCCTTCTCAGCAGAAGACACTTACTTGTAGTGTATACTTTAAAGTTAACTCTTGATTTTGTTCTTGAAGTGGTCCAGGTCAAATCTTATTTGCGACGTCAGTGCCTTCTAGCCGAAGACCATCAGAGACATAGTTATGGTTGAAAAAATTGGGTTTATTGGCCCAAGGTAATGAGGAAGACAGTACATGATAGGAAACCGTGAGGCAGCTCAGGAAGAGGGTGTGAGAAGAGTCTTCTTATAGGATATGGGCTTTTTGGTGATTTTGTGGGGGAATTCAAGGAAGCATGGTTTTCCTGAGGGTCGGTTGTTCTCAAAAGGCAAGGAAAAGTCTATGATTATAATCTTAATTTTTATCTACAAGGTGAGCATTCTAAAGAGCAAATTTTGGGCTAGTAGAAAATACATACAATTTATTTTTATGGCTATAAGGTGATACATGAAACTACGAGTAAGGAGCTCTTAGTGAGTGCAGCAGACATCTTACAGGGGGAAAGAAGATTCAGGGCTGGAAAGCATGAGACCTTGTCATTTGGTGAGTGGTTAGAAGGACCACTGGATGGTCCCATCCAGTGCAATTGAAGTGATGTCCTTTCTGCTGAATTTTGAAATATTAATATATCCAGTCTCTAGGCTGTAGCCCAGTAACATCTATTTTTGCAGCCATGAATTGAATGCCTTGTTGCAGTCCATTAATATTTGTAATAGTGTACAAAATATCATCTAATTTATGAACATTTTCCACACAGATGGCCATTGCATTGCAGCAGAAAATCTTATGATCATACCTATTAATATTTCTCTATTGATCATAGATCTCATGCTCAGAAATAGTATTGACTACAATTGTTATTTTCTTTTCATTATCCAGTGCCACAATTTGACCACTGGGAGCCCCTTTAGGTTGGTTCCCTTTGATACTACTCCAGAACTTTTGAAAGCATCCTTGCATTCTCATAACAAAATAATCAAGACGCAGCTTTGTTCTTTCTAGTAGATTGCTAGAGTCTACTAAAGATTTTCATTTGCACTCTAGAAATGGGGCTGCCACATGTGATTCTAAGTATATATGCAGTTGGAATTCCACCAAATTCCAGAAAGGGCAATTTGTAATCAGTGAGTTTATCATCAGTGCTGTCTTCATTTGATTGTGGTTTTTAATTGCTGTAATCCTTGAATTTTAATTATAAATGCTGCCAATTTAGCTTCATCATTATTAATTTGGCTTGGGAATAGTTGTTTGTTCACCTTACAGTGAGTAGGGATACATTTTTGCATCAACAATATTTTTATGTATAATTTTCCAATAACTAGAAGTTAAGATGTATATGCATTGAAGTTCAAATATGAATTCATTGTTCCTTCATTTCTTGGGAAGTTGGATTCCTAAACTTCAAAAATGTACAAGGACTCTCAGAATCTTGTTTAAAGACTCATATTTCTGAAAGTTAATAATGAGATTCATATACATTGCCAACAAAAAATTTTTACTACAAGTTATTTATTTTGCTTCTCTATAATTCTTGGTAATCATAGAATTCTTTTTCATTGTGGAAAGTGGGATTTCATAGGAAAGATGGGCCATAGACTGAAAAAGTTGAAAAGACTGCTCTTAGTGAAGTCTTTCTCAACTGGAACCTCATAAGTACCAGAGTATGTTGGGTGATTTTATAAAATATGCATATGACTTCCCACCAGCAATTCTGGCAAGATAGGCATGTGTATTATAAAAACTGTCTCCCTTTATTACTCTTTCCAACCTCATCTTCCTTTCCTACTTACCTAACCTTGAGAGTCACCACTGTTCTTAGTGTCTAGTCCCTAAAGGTTATGAATAGCTGTTAAGAATAGTGCTCAGTAGAAGCAAAGATCAGCAATATGTGATATCTTTATAAAGAAGGGAGGACCCACTGGCTATTTATGCACCTTCAGGCTATAGGATATTTCAGAATAACATTCCTGGAGCCACAGATCAACCTTATGACTGTAAAGTTCTTTGTCTTCTCCCTCTGACTCGATGTCCTTTTTAACAAGTAGTGTGCTACAGATCAGTTACCATGGAGGAAAGAAATATCCCTGTGGCTCAGGATTACTTGACATTGTGTGACCAGGAGAGATAAACAACAGGGTGTTTTTTCCTCCCAGCAGTCATGTTGTACAGGTATTTGACTGTAGCACACGTAGACTGCCCTTGCGTGCTTTTATGTGTCCACATATTCAAAAGTACAGTGATATTAGCTCTCTCTTATCCTGTAATATGAGCTACTAGACATAAGAATCACAAAATCTCAGGGGGAGAGAGAGAGAGAGAGAGAGAGAGAGAGAGAGAGAGAGAGAGAGAGAGATAGATAGATAGATAGATAGATAGATAGATAGATAGATAGATATAGTATTTGATTCGCTTATACATCTGCAGTTCTACTGACTCCAGCTGGGCTTGCTCACAAATCACACATCTGTGGTTGGACTGGGTGGCTTACTGAACTCAGCTGGGCAATCTCACGTGTCTGAGATTGGTCAACAGGTCAGCTGGACTTTGATCAAAGATGTGGCTGGGGGTAGCTCTGCTTCACACTACAGGTCTGTGAGTTGGCTCCAAATACTTCTCATTCTCTTCCTTGGATCACTGAGGGTCTGACCTCTTTATGGCGTGGTGGAGGCACAAAAGACTTTTGCCTAGACTGGGAACTGGCACACCATCATTTTCATCTCATTCTGTTGGCCAAAACAAATCATATGGCCAAATTCAAACTCAAGAGTTGAGGAAATACAATACAACTTGATATTGTTAGGCTTTGTGTCCCCACCCAAATCTCATCTTGAATTGTAATCCCCATAATTCCCACGTGTCAAGGGAGAGACCAGGTGGAGATAATTAAATCATGGGGGAGGTTTCCCCCATGCTGTTCTCATGAAAGTGAGAGTCTCATGAGATCTAATAGTTTAAAAACGTCTGGCATTTCCCCTGCTTGCACTCACCTCCTTCTGCCGCCTTGTGAAGAAAGTGCCTGCTTTGCCTTCTGCCATGATTGTAAGTTTCCTGAGGCCTCCCCAGCCATGCGGAACTGTGAGTCAATTAAACCTTCTTCCTTTATAAATTACCCAGTCTCAGGTATTCTTCATAGCAGTGTGAGAATGGACTAATACACAACTCTATAGAGGGAAGAGTTGCAAAGTCACATGTCAAAGGGCATGGATACAGGAAGGGAACAGTGAAGAACTAGAACCAATGACAGCTAACACATACCTCTTGCATTTTTCTGTGCATGACACGTGTAATACAAATGGAGAAGTCCAGTTAGTAATAATTCCCACTCTGATTGAGAAGACAACAACTAAGTCGGAAAGGGAGGATACTGAAGTTATTAAAGTCACAGAGCCAGCTAGAAACCCTGACCAAGATTCAAATATCTTCTTATGAATCTGGCAACTTTGAACAAGTGGATTCCTCTGAGGATTAGTCTTTCCAACTAAATAATGACAAATATAATAGCACCTAGCTCGAGGGTTGTTTTAGCATTGAATGAGATAATGCTTGCAAATTGTAAGAGTTCAGAGTATCGAATCTGTTTTTTTCTCTTTCCCTTCCTCTCATTACTCATCTTTCCTTCTCATTTTCTTTCTTCTCCTTCCCTTTCTTTTTTTCTCCCTTCCCCACCTCTCTTTCTTTAGAGTATGCCTCTTGGTTGTTGTGCTCCATCTTGAACCAGCTCATTTTACATAAAGTACTATCGTCAAGGTCTTATTAAAGTATTTTTCTTTTAAAGAAAACTTTTCAAAAGAAAAATTAAAAATAATTTCCTAGGTTTGGCCCTTGAGTCTGAACAGTACCTCTGAAATGAAAGCAAACATAAAACAGGCCTCTCAAAGCTACTGAAAAAGTCACTGGGTCTTTGAGCTCAGCATAGCTCACATGTTACTGTGAAGGAAATACTGATTTTCTGTATTCCCAACCATGAACTTGCATTTGTGGTAACCATGGCAACTACCCAAATTGTGAGGTCTTGGTAAAGCCAACATGGCAAATTTATATTAAATTAAATTATATTAGACAAGGGGGTATATTGTCAGCATAACCATTTATGTCCTCTGACCATCCCGTACTTAATAATTAAAAGTCTTTCTTTATATCTTCCTCTGGTCCAGATGTTCTCAACCTTGGCTGCACATTAGAATCCCCCGGGAAACTTATAAAATACCAATGCCAAGGGCCCATCTATAGAGATGCTGATTTTACTAGGTTTGAGAGGAGACCCAGACATCAGTATTTTTTTAATCCCTCGTATGATTCTAATGCGCAGCCAAGATTGAGAACTACTGCTCTGACCTAATATATACCACCTTATTTGAGATATTCTAGGTAGAGACAGTCTACCCAAAGGTAAATATAACAATCTCCTCAAGTGGTTAATCAGTACAAATGCATCATACAACCCAAGAAAATTTTGAAATAGACACCACAGGGAAAGCAAAAGTGGTATTGTATAAGGAAGAGTAGGACCAATAGGAAACATGTCTAGATAAAGGTAGGCTGCAGTGTACTGTTCTAGAAGAATTAGACTTAGGAATCAGATCTTTAACTCTGGCCTTAGCTCAGGAACAAATAACTAACTACATGAGCCTGGACCAGTCGCTGCCCTTCTCTGGACCACATTTACCTCATCTGCAAAATAAGAGGAGTTGATTCATTGATTTCTAATTCCCCTCCTCTTCTAAAATCCTGTGATGTCTAAAATACAAAAATCTTAAAGCATGCTATTCCAGGGCTCCTCCTCAAACCAAATAAACTAGAGTCTCCAAGAGTGGAATGTGGATGTCAGTAGTTTTTAAATGTTCCCAGGTGATTCTAATATGCAGCCAGAGTTGCTAACAGTTAAACTTTAAGAACCTGCCATGGTGTGATTGTACATGGTATGGGAAAGAAGGAGAGAATAAAGACTAAAGTCTTTCAAGAAAAATGAATGGGATAAAAATCAGTAACATTTTTGTAGTTTAATTAAAATCTCATATTTTTCCATCTTTCTTTTGCTTCTTTTGTTTTTACCATATTCTTGGAACATGGTTCAGTATTTGTTTTCCCTCTTCTCTCTTAAACCTGCCTTACTAAGACATTTCACTACAATGAATATTTCATGTGAGGAATTGAGAAAGTGATCAAAAGCGGTATTGCTTGGGAAATACAGCTTACAAGATCTGCTAGGAGAGATGTCACCAAAATTGTAATGGAATATATTTTATTTTTATTTTCAGCTGTGAAGATGTGTGCTTTCAGTAAGTGTATATTAGAGGTAACTCACTGCAAAAAAGGCCAGCATCTATAAAAAAGAAAGAGAGAGAGAGAATCACAGGTCAACAGACTGAATTTAGTCAGAAGGTAAAGGCATCTGTTTTATTACATAAGGTTGTTGGAAGCGTGGTAGCTTAGTCCAGCAAAATACTGGGCATGTGGCCTGTTGTCTGGTGGGCAAAGAACAACAACAACAAAAACTTTTCCAGGTGCACTACATTAACTTCCAACATCTTCCTAATGTCTTCCTCATTCTTCCCATTGTTCACCCTGTTTCAGGAAACAGTTCTAAGAGCTTGCCCCCAAAAATTACGTCTCCCAAAAGTCCTGTCTAGAGCTATGATACCCCAAACAGTAGCCACTAGCCCCGTGTGCCTATATAAATTTAAATTTTAATCAACTAAAATTAGAAAAGTAATTCTTCTGTCACACTGGCCCCATTGCACATTCTCAATAACCACACAGAGTTATTAGCTATTAGCTATCTTTGATGTCACAGGCCATATCCATCATCACAGAAAGTTCTGTTGGACCGGGCTTCTCTAGGGTCTCAGCAGTACAAAAGCCAAGCTTACTTGCTAACCGGAGGTAATTCAGTGTTATTTTGGAAAGGTTGAGAATTGAAATTAATTCTCTGTGTCTCAGTTTTCTCCTCCAAAAAATGGATATAAGAATAATGATCAGTTCCAAAGGAAGGGTTATCAAATTATATTTAAGTTTCCTGAGTAGCATAATTCTGAATAAAAACATTTATACATGGAAAGCAACTATGTTTATAACTCATAATCTGGGAAAAACTAAAGCATAGTATATAGAAGGATTGCCAGTGTTTCTCAAAATATAGTCCATGTGCCACTTCCTTTGGTCTCCCCTGCATTGCTTGTTAAAAATATACATTTCTGTGCCTTACCCAGCATTGCTGAATCCGAAAATTCGGAGTGGAACCGATGACTGGGCATTTTAATGAATCCACTGACTATGCTTATGCATACTATTGTTTAAAAAAATGCCTTTTTGGAAAAATAATCATTTCTAGCCCATCCCAGAGCCTTGTACTTTGTGAGTACATCTTAATTTGACTAATTGAATTTATCACTCTTTTGGTCAGTTGGTGTTTTGCAAACACATTTGGGAAGTAAGCAGTTTCTCCAACAGTGAGATTACAGCCATGATCCTGTGGGGAGAGTTAAATTGCAGTGTATTTTACACTCACTTCTGTGACTGGGCAGTACCACTGAATTCCGGTAATATTATTTAGCGTAGCTGTCATAAATTGGTCATTTGGGGCTAGCCAAATGATTACCTAGGAAGTATTTCACACAGTTTCTTAAAGAAGCTGTTGCAATTGGAAACAGCAGGAAAACACAGCCATTAAAAGAGAAAAAATGCCTATGTTTTTACAACAAAATAATTAGAAGCCATTACTGGCGCTGCTTAGATTTCAGTATCCCATCTATCTTACTTTCAATTAGAAACATTGTGCCCAAATAGGAAAAGTCTGGCTAAACATGAGTGCATTTTGACTGCACTGTTTAATAAAGTGGGACCCCCATTGCTAATAAAGTCTGTTGAAATTTTCTTTTAAGTACAACTTTTTTTTAGGTAGTACTAGTTTTTGAGGTAGAGAGCTAGGTAGCAATTTCACTAATTTATATCTCTCTATCCATCATGATAATAGAAACTCAAAGATGGAATTTGTGAGTGTGTTAAACCCAGCTTCTACTCAATGTCTGAATCCCTCTCACAGTTTTCCCAGTGAATGATGGCCCCCATCCCCATTTGAACACTTCCAAAAATGAGATAATCATTTCTTCCAGAGGAAGCCATTCCCACGTGGGGATAGTCTTTGCTAGTCCAAAACCAAAATCATTTGGTTTTAGTTCTGCCCTCTTGGATCATATAGCGTAAACCCAATGCCTCTTTACATGACAACTTTTCCAGTAGTGGAAAATTACTAAGGTGTTCCCCTTGTGAACTCCATTGAGTGTTCAGAAATATTTTCTTTTAATTAACATATTCCAGCTTTCAGCTAATGGTGATGAAAATAGAACAAATCATTATACATTTCTTCTACTTCAGAGCACTTTCGTATATTACACATCTTAATTTAGACAAGACTTGACAATTCATAGTTGCTAATTCAAAAAGACTTAACCAAGAACAGAGATTGTCTTGACTAATGGATATTCTTAAGAAAATATATCCATCTCATCTAAACTCTAGTAGTCTATCTGTTGAAGCTAGCAAAATCTCAATTTTTATTTATTAATTTAGCATATTTATCAAATGTCCAACTGCTACATGTAGGGACTCAACCATGAACCGGGAGCTGAAAATTTAGGGAAATAAACATTTAGATGCCTGGATAATATAAGACTTAAGCATGTTCTCTTTCATTTATTAGCACTCACTTGAAGGAGTGGAAGGAAGGCAGTCAAAACAGCAGAAAGGGTACTAGACCAGTTGTCAGGGAAATCTAATTTTGTCACGCTACCCCTACCTTATAAATATACCAACTGGCCTTCAGCAAGTCACATAGCCTGACTTGTCTGCATTTTCTGTATTTTGCTTACCTCGTGAATTTGTGATTTTGTTTTGTTTTAATCGGTTGAGATGGTTCTTGTCAAATGGCTTTCTTATTAAAGAGGATGAAGCATAGTATGCTAGTATATATATGCTGTCAGTGTACAAAGTACTTCTCAAACATTAATCCTTAAATATTTTAAAAGATTTGTGAATAGTTATGCCATTCATGAGGTAAAGAAACTGCAACTAAAATGGGATAGGCAATCAATTTAAAAATCATTACAGTGAACTTTATCATTATCTTTTATGTAACCATTTCCAGGTGGTTTCGTTAATGTCTGAAAAAAATTTTGTTTTGGCTCAAAGTCAACTCCATTGTCTACTTTGTAGATACTAAAGCTAATTTGATTATAATATCGAAGAGGAAACTCTTTAACAGCTTTAATTTTTTTACAATAGTAAGCTGTTGTCAATTTCCATGGTCTTTGCCAAAGTGATCAAGTAAGTAATTTTATGGGTCATCTCATGAAACTTGTTTCCAATTTGACATTTTGCCTCCTACCATTTTAAAAATAGCTGCTGAAATACAAATATCAGAAAGAAAAAAAAACTCTTGAATTAGCAGTTTGATCCCCTTCTTTGCTAGTTCCCTTTTCCCAGAAATATACTTTGTAATGTTTTAGTTGAGTTTTAAGTGTCTCAATTGGTGGTAGATCTGGCACTTCCTTGGTAGCATATTTCACAGTCTAGTGATCTTAATAGCTTTAATACCTTGAAATGTGTTAAATCCAGTCTTATTTGTTTGTGTAATTTAAAATTTTCCATAGGCCTCGCATCACCCCAGCAAAAACAACTCTTTAATGGTCTCAACACTTTTTAATGGCTCAAATTTTACCTTTTGTTTTTAGTGTTTAAAAAGTTTGAAATGGGCATTTTAGTTTGTCCCACAAAGGCCTTCAGTGGTTATACCCAGGATCACTGTCAGCATGTTTGGCTCAACTTAATATTACAACTTTCTTCTCTTGTCTCTTCTGAGAAAAATTAAGTTGATTCTATATATTCTTATTCAAGTTCAATAATTAAACTAATACCTATAGATGGCTCTTGTTTACTACATACCAGGTAATGGCTATGCACTTCACAAGGGTTCTCCCAACCTTGATAAGGGGCTGTCCTATGCATTGTAGAATGCTTAGTATAATATTACAGCATCCCTGGCCTCTACTCACTAGATACCAGTAGTACTTACACCACAACCCCACCCCATTGCAACAACAACAAAAAAATGTCTTCAGACATTGCTAAATGTCCCCTAGGGGAAAAAAATCACCCCTTTGAGAACCACTGACTTACATTAGCTCATTTAACCCTTACAGCATCCTGTGAAACAAATGTTATTACCTCAGTTTCATACCTAAAGAAAAGTCTAAAATAAGATATATAATTAATCTACAGGTATGCAGCTAGAAAATGGAGGAGCCAAAATTTGAATCCCTCTTCTGACTTTAAAGTTAATGATTTTCCAACTATGTAAACAACCTTACTTCAATAATAATATGCACAAAGTTTCACTTTAATGTGTTTTAACACATTCAAGTTGAATAACATTATAGAATTTTTTGCACATTTATTTTTTATTCTATCTGAATTTTTAAAATCCCTTTACATAGAGGAGTCTTTGTATTATTTATTATTCAGTATTTTATCATTGTCTTCTTTGAAGTCAGAATGGCTTATCTGATTGATCAGGACTTCATTTTGTTTCAATTCTGACTTCTAAAATATCTGGGATCTCTCTCAGCTTTGCCTAATATGCAAATTTCATTAGTCTTTTCTCTGTTACATCAATAAAATATTTAGTATTCCAAATGGGCATACTCTTATTACATGTCTCTTTCCAAAATATCTTTCTATTTGGATTCTTGCTGGTATATAATGCATTCATTCCATCTAATTCGTAGAATCCTAATTTTCTAGAAAGATAGGAGCAGGTGCTGAGGAGAATCAGAGGAAAAGGATAGGTACACAGTGTGACAGTATCAGCAGCGGTCATAGAAAGAGCCTGGATTCCCTCATTTCCTAGAAGCACATGCCTTAGGAGAAGTCAAAATACCACAAAATGCAATTTGAATTCAATTTTAGTCACCATAAATGAAGAATATGAAATACATGGTTTATACCAAGGCTTGAGGCACTTGTTTATACTTACTTACCTATTAGCTGCAGTGATGATCTGATTTAGATTTCAGAAGTCCAGCAATGGTCATATGCTTTCAGGAGAAAAGAAGGGCAAAATTTGTTATTTTCTTTCTCATTTTTCTTTTCTTAGTCCATCGTTTTTTATTATTTTTTATTATACTTTAAGTTCTGGGATACATGTGCAGAACGTGCAGGTTTGTTACATAGGTATACATGTGCCATGGTGGTTTGCTGCACCCATCAACCCATCGTCTACATTAGGTATTTCTCCTAATGCTATCCCTCCCCTTACCCCCCACCCCCTAACAGGCCACAGTGTGTGATGTTCCCCTCCCTGTGTCCAAGTGTTCTCATTGTTCAATTACCACTTATGAGTGAGAACATGCAGTGTTTGGTTTTCTGTTCCTGTGTTAGTTTGCTGAGAATGATGGTTTCCAGCTTCATCCATGTCCCTGCAAAGGACATGAACTCATCCTTTTTTATGGCTGCATAGTATTCCATGGTGTATGTGTGCCACATTTTCTTAATCCAGTCTATCATTGATGGGCATTTGGGTTGGTTCGAAGTCTGCTTTTGTGAATAGTGCCACAATAAACATATGTGTGCATGTGTCTTCATAGTAGAATGATCTATAATCCTTTGGGTATATACCCAGTAATTGGATTGCTGGGTCAGATGGTATTTCTGCTTCTAGATTCTTGAGGAATTGCCACACTGTCTTCCACAATGGTTGAACTAATTTACACTCCTACCAACAGTGTAAAAGCGTTCCTGTTTCTCCACATCCTCTTCGGCATCTGTTGTTTGCTGACTTTTTAATGATCACCATTCTAACTGGTGTGAGATGGTACTTAGTCCATCTTTTAAAATCTGGCATTCAAAGCAACCCAGAAAAAGCCAAACAGGCCAAAAGAAATTGGACTCACTCTCAGCTTTCCCCCTGGTAGCCACAGTCATTCTTTCTGAGGTAAACACTCCAATTTGTAGCGGAATGAGAGTCAAAGGGTTTTGGAGAACGTTAAAAAAAGCAAGAGAACAAAACTACGACTGTGGACCACAAACTTCTGAGGGACATCTACTAAATTACTTCAGGATTATAAGGGTTTTCTTAAGGGTGATGAAAATAATGCACTTGTGTTTGGCTAAATTAATTGTGAAATCTGCAACTATAATATGGAACAAAATTCATTCAAATACTGGGAGGCTGAGTCTGTGGCATAAGTTTCATCAGCCCTTTTCTCTGACCAGCTGCAACTATTTAACAACTGGGTTAATATTTTGTAAATGACCTGTGAGTTTATTGAATTCAGTTTGTTTTCTTTATCTGGTTTGCATGTGTAGTCACATTCAAAGTAACCTCAACAACTGAATGGTTTGGGCTAAAAGGGTACATGTCCTTGTAGTATCCAGATAATCAGGACAAATTTGGGGAATGAGAGAGGTAGCTTGATTTGTGCTGTTAAAAGCTTCTGTTTTCTACTTTATTATGAATGTCAATAGAACATATGTGTGTTTAAAAGACTCAGGAGGGTCGAGGAAAGGGCCTTGTAGGCATTGTTTAATAACAATACAAAGCCCAATGTTGGAAAAGGCATGGCGAACACCTAGTTGAAAGCAGAAAAAAAAAAAAAAAAGGCCAGGTGTGGTGGCTCACGCCTGTAATCCCAGCACTTTGGGAGGCCAAGGCAGGTGGATCACGAGCTCAGGAGATCGAGACCATCCTGACTAACACGGTGAAACCCTGTCTCTACTAAAAATACAAAAAATTAGCCGGGCGTGGTGGCGGGTGCCTGTATCCCCAGCTACTCGGGAGGCTGAGGCAGGAGAATGGCATGAACCTGGGAGGCGGAGCTTGTAGTGAGCCGAGATCGCGCCACTGCACTCCAGCCTGGGCGACAGAGCCAGACTCTGTCTCAAAAAAAAAAAAAAAAAAAAAGTGGTAATTCCTCCAAATAGTTAAATATAGAATATGCATTATTTGAAGTGAATATACTAAATGTTTTACATTCAGATTTTCCATTTTCAACTGAAATATGTCATGGAGAGGAGACAGTGACTTGTGCTATGTTTAGTATTCAATGAACTAATCATGTTTCCAGTTAATAGGTGTCTAACCTAAATTCCTAGATATCCCTGTGACTGTATGACAGTATCACAAGTGATATGAAATGCTTGGAAGTGAGTTCTTTTAAAATTTGATTTGTTTACCAAAATCCCATGAACATTTATTAATGTTTTGGTATCAGATGTGTAATAATCCTTTGTATTGTTTAGGTGTTGCCAAGCTTTGCATATTTTACTGGGGCTCCTTTTTTTGGGTTGTGATTAAGGAAGTTAAGGAGATAAATAAAATGAGAAGTGATTTATCTGGATCCGTACAAGCTAGAATATCTCTGTAGCTCTATCTTAGCAATAGCACTTGTCTTGGGTTGCATTCTTGCAAAGCAGATCCTGAATCAAGGATTTGAGTGCACATAGCTTGTTTGGTAGGTGATCCCAACAATTACTGAAAGGAAAATGAGGAAACAGGACATAAAAAGGAAGGAAGCCAGTAGAAGTTGCATAATAGGTGGTTACCACCTGAGGGTAGCTGGGGTACAATCCCACTGGGAACTTCTGTGAGACAGTGGAGGGAACATCTCAGACCTGTTCCATCTAAGAGCCAAGGAGGCTTGTGGTATTTATCTATCCATTCCTGTTGTCATTTATGGATGGCTGCTCCAGGAAGCCTAATTTCCCAGAATGAGCCTGTCCTATGCACAACTTGAGCAATGGCTGGAGACTGACCTCTGGTAGAGAGGCATGGTGCTTGTAGTAAGATGCCCTTGGTTCATGAGTGGGACAGTGACAGTAGCTGTGATGGCACTAATATTCCCCAAAACATCAGAAGCCCCCTTTGTGAAAAATTTAAATGGCGGGTGAGAACTTTGTCCCATAAATGTGAAATCCAACTTCCATTAATTGCCCTTAAAAAAAAAGAAAAAAAAAACCAATATTTTCCCAATGTTCCTCAAAACAGGTTATCATACAAGAAAATCTAAAGAGCTCTTGTAAACAGATTCCCTCACCATTTTATTTTCCAGCTGAGCCTATTGTATGTTAGTTTAAAAAAAAAAAAAAAAAGCCTCAGTGGTTGTGACTTGCTTTTCTGAATTTGCAGATGCCTGGGGTGCTCCATTTACACATGCACTTTATAACTGAAAGAGTAGTCCTCAGAGAGGAGTCATAGCAATCATTTTAATTAGCAGCAACTTGAAGACTGTCCTTTCTTTCTCCCCGCCATTAACCCAAATGAACCAAGAGATAAGCTTATAAAGTTTTGCCACAAAGGTTTCTCAGCTGGCAGCTGGTCAAATTGCGCAGAGGCAATAATACTGGACAACTATTTCCTACTCAGGATAATTTTTAAACTGTTAATTACACACCAGCTAAGAGGTGAGGGAGGTGCCGTGGTTACTAGGATCATTACTAAGTTGTTGTCAATGCTGTTCGGTCTACCCTAAAACCACAAAGACTTCAGAATAAAAATATTAATGTGCTGTCAGAAGATAAACTTTGAAAAAATGTTCTTTAGTCTCCGAAGAGCTTATCTCTTCAAAACTACCCTTAATTTTTCTTGTCGCAGAGTTGAAGAAATCCTTAAATATGAAGCCCTTTTGGAATTAAATAGAAACAGAACCGACACTGAAATCATGCAGTGCAAGAAAGTAAGATAAAATATTAAAAACACATTTACTCCCATCTGTACACTTTTGAGATCAGATTTTCATTTTAGATGAAGTTATTAGGCCCATTCCATTTGGCCTAATTATGTGTATTTTGTTTCTTTTAGGATGAAGCTTTTTCATTTTTTTTGTTTTGTTCGTTTGTTTTTTTTTTTTTGAGATGGAATCTCACTCTTGTCGCCCAGGCTGGAGTGCAGTGGCGCGATCTCGGCTCACTGCAACCTCCACCTCCTGAGTTCAAGCGATTCTCCTGCCTCAGCCTCCCGAGTAGCTGGGACTATAGGCACGTGACACCACACCTGGCCAATTGTTGTATTTTTAGCAGAGACGAGGTTTCTCCACATTGGCCAAGGCTGGTCTCGAACTCCTGACCTCAGGTGATCCACCTGCCTCAGCCTCCCAAAATGCTGGGATTACAGGCCTGAGCCACCATGCCTGGACGCTTTCCTCTTACTTTCTTTGGATCAGTCTTAGACTGACTCTTAGAATGGATTCAGATGCTCCAAGAAAATGCCCATTGCATGTTGGTACATTCTCATTCTTCTCTAAAATGGCCTAAACACCTGTAACCTGGATCAGGCAGTACCAGAAGGAAGTGGTAAGGGGAAGGACTGATATAAGGAGCAGAACTCTAACAGCTGAGCCCTTTCTTGCAGGATAAGGCTTTCAAACGAGCTTTTGGTGATGGATTTTTGTAATCATCCTTTTGTTTCCCAGGAACAAGTTGTCTGCTGCTATATTTTCACAGTAACTAGTATCATTTTGGAGATGCTCTTTTTACTTGCAAGTCAGATGGCACACTTTAAATCTTCTCTCTTGTAAAATGCCATAATAGAGAGCATTATATAAATTCAAGGCATGTACAATACTATGCCTAATTTTTTAAAATTTTATTTATCTCACTCTGTCACCCAGCCTGGAGTGCAGTAGTGCGATCTCAGCTCAATGCAACCTCCTCCTCCCCGGTTCAAGCGATTCTCCTGCCTCAGCCTCCCAAGTAGATGGGATTATAAGAGCCCGCCACCACGCCCAGCTATTTTTTGTATTTTTGGTAGAGACAGGGCTTCACCATGTTGGCCAGGCTGGTCTCAAACTCCTGGCCTCAAGTGAGCGGCCCCTCAGCCTTTCAAAGTGCTGAGATTACAGGTGTGAGCCACTGTGCCCGGCTGCACAATTTTTATTTAGTAAAAATAGATCATAGGGTCTTCTGGTTAGTGTCTACACAACCCCATAAAAACCCATGAAATGTGAAACACTGAAGCAGTTAGGCAAGTTGTCCCAGCTTTATTAAACCAAGCATCCAGCATTCAGATAAATCATTTAAATGCTTGATTACATTGTTTTCACATTTGGTTTTGTGACTTGGCTTGGTGGCAGTAAAGCCCTGGAACCCCACTGATTCTCTTAAATTGTGGGATTTATTTCTGAGGAGCAATGTTCTCTTCAAGTTACTTTTCCAACATTTCCGGATTAATTGGCATAGATCTTGACTGTTACAGGTCTACATTTATTGATCATTAGGGAGATAATGCTAGGCTCATTTAAAGATGAAGAAATGTTAAAAACAAGGCTTTATGACTATTCTGAAATGATATTAAACACTGCAATACCATGCTGAACTTGGGTTTTCTGGAAATATAAAGTCTGTGTTATTTTTAGAAAATAATTTGAAAATTACTTTGGGCCATTAAATGAGATGCATTACCAGATATTACATTTTGTAAACTTGAAGAACTTGGATGATCTTTCTTTTTCTTGTCCACTCCAGTTCTTTTTAAGTGTTTCAAGCCTACATAGATTTCCTTGGCACCTCCACGTGGATGTGCCTATTTCAGGGCAGTCTGATGGTAGGGTTGTAAAATGTGATTAGGGAATTTGAAAGAGAAGGAAGTTGGCTGAAGGTCGTTATCAATTAGATTAAAATTCAGATGAAAACTAAAGGCTACTGAGCTATTCAAATAGAGTAATGAATAATTGTTCGTACTTTTTGAAAGACATTTAGAATGTAATTTCATTGTGAATTTTCATTTAATTGAAAAATGGCAGAAGGATCAAGTCTACCCAGACACCCAAATACACAAACCTCCAGGGCAATGCAATTTTCTAACCTAAGGAGGAGTGGGGAATCAGTTGAGGCAGGTGTAGGGTTAAAGTATAGTTTAAGCCATCATCATTGGATAACTCAGTGGGCCATAGAAACTCTTACCAAATTATGGCCCTTTAACTACCAATCCTAGTGGCCTCACAGGCCTGAGAATAACGGAGGGAAGTTCCCCCCTGTTTTCTTATTTACTAGGGAAAATAATGGAATAACCATCTCCTGAGACCAGCATTTGTCTCAACCTAATGGACGGCGATTAGGTTCTTTGCTTATTTTTCTAATGGGCTGATATAAAATACTAATTTTCCCCAGTTTAAAATTTTATTGCCAATATTCCCTGTGAGCATATAAGTGTATAACAACAATTTAATTGTTTTGAAAGGTAAAATGCAGAATAAACAGCTATCCACAAAATTGGATCATTTTCTCTTGTATTACTTTAATTACAGTCATTTTAACAGCTTCACCAATTGCATCTCTTATTTTTAAAAGCAAAATAATTGCATATAAATAATTCAAGCAACGATGTGACCGTGCAGGCCCAGAACCATCTGACTGGTTCTAGTGATCCCAGAATGAATGATACTTAATATCTCTTATTCAACTCCATAAGCACAGGTGGATGTATAGTAATATAAGTTTTCAGCATTGCCAATCCCACCAGAAGAAATTGTTTCACCTAGTAATAGACCACAAACAGTGGGAAAATAAAAGAGTCAAAGAATTGTAATAAAATTCCCCATTAGAAATTGGGAATCTGAAATTCAGACAATGTTCAGTGATTTTGCCCAAATTGCACATAAGAATATATGATGAAAGCATATTATATATATCTGTTTATATCCCTGTGCCTGAGTGATAGAATGCTTTGTAATTAGACTGTGTTGTGTCTCAGTCACAAGTGCATTGAAGTATCCAACCACATCTGAGCTGGAGCTTCTAAAGAAGATAAAGCAGTCAAATGCATTCATAGAAAATAGAAAAACTAAATTACAGATTCATTCTCTAAAAGGAACTCTTCAGCAGCTATGAGTCATGAACTGAGAATGCATTCTGTGTTTAATTGCAAGAAAACTAAAGCCAAATTAAACTAATTTGGCATTATTTTTAGACATTAAACAAATAATATTAAGGAAATAATCAACAGAGTGAAAAAGCAACCTACAGAGTAGAAAAAAAATGTACAAACCACGTATCTGATAAGTAGGTAATATCTAACTGCTAAGGATATCCTACAACTCAATAGCAGAAAAACCAAATAATCCACTTTTAAAATAGGCAAAGGACCTGAGTAGCCATTTCTCCAAAGAAGACGTACAAATGGTCAACTAGCATATGAAAAGATGTTCAACACCACTTATCAGGAAAATACAAATCAAAACCACAATGAGCTATCACCTCACATGGTAGGATGGCCATTTCTTTTCTTTGTTAAAATTCTTTTATTCTGGATTCAGGGGGTACATATGCATATTTGTTACATGGGTATACCATGTGATGCCGAGGTTTGGACTTCTAGTGATCCTGTTGCCCAAGTAGTAAACATAGTACTTGACAGGGAATTTTCAATCCTTGCCCCCTTACTTCCTTCCCACCTTTTGGAATCCCCAGTGTTTATTGTTTCCATCTTTATGTCCATATGTACCCAATGATTAGCTTTCACATATAAGTGAGAACATGCAGTATTTGGTTTTCTGTTTCTGCATTAATTCACTTTGAATAATGGCTTCCAGCTGCTTCCATGTTGCTGCGAAGGACGTAATTTCATTCTTTTATATAACTGCATCGTCTTCCATGGTGTATACGTACCACATTTTCTTTCTTTCTTTTTTTTAATAGCGTCTCGCTTTGTTGCCCAGGCTGGAGTGCAATGGCACGATCTTGGCTCACTGCAACCTCCGCCTCCCAGGTTCAAGTAATTCTCCTGTCTCAGGCTCCTGAGTAGCTGGGATTACAGGCACATGCCACCACGCCAGGCTAATTTTTGCATTTTAGTAGAGACAAGGTTTCACCATGCTGCCCTGGCTGGTCTTGAACTGATGAGCTCAGGCAACCACATTTTCTTTATTCAATCCACTGTTGATGGGTACCTGGGTTGATTCCATGTCTTTGCTATTGTCAGTAGTGCTATGATGAACATACAAGTGCAAGTGTCTTTTTGGTAGAACTTTGCTTTTCCTTTGGGTATGTACTCTGAAACTAGAAAAACTTTTCCTAATCAACATGGAGTGGATAATATATTCACTGTCTTATTTGCAGAAATTTGCTGTCAATAAATAACACAGCTGCAGTAGAAAGTGTATAGTGTTTTGTAATAAATTGCCTGATGTTAATATATAAATGGAAAAAAAAACAGTAATGGGATTGCTGAGTTGAATAGTAGTTCTATTTTTAGTTTTTTGAAAAATCTCCAAACTATTTTCACTAGGGCTGAACTACTTTGCATTCCCACCAGCAGTATATAAGCATTCCCCTTTCTCCACAGCCTTGGCAACATCTGTTATTTTTTTGACTTTAAAAATAGAGAATGAACATTATTTTCAAAAACAATAGTAGCGAGTGTTGGAGAGGATGTGGATAAATTGGAATCCTTGTGCACTGTTGGTGGGAATATAAAACGGTGCAGCCACTATGGAAAACAGTATCAAGATTTCTCAAAAAATTTTAAATGGAACTACCATATGATCCAGCAATCCAACTACTGAATATTTATCCAAAAGAATTGAAATCAGGATTTCAAAGAGATACTTGTACTCCCATGTTCATTGCAGCATTACACATAATAGTCAAGCTGTGGAAGCAACATAAAAGTCCCTCAATGGGTGAGTTGATAGACTGTGTTATATACATACATGCATATGAAGTCCAGTGTATCAGTTTGTTCTTTCATGGATCATGCTTTTATTGTCGATGTAAGAAGTCTTTGCCTAACCCAGGATCACAGAGCTTTTCTCCTATGTGTTCCTTTACAAGTTTTACAGTTTTAGGTTTGAGATTTAGGTCGATGATTTATGTTGAGTTAATATTTATATATAATGTAAGATATGTATAAAATTTTATATTTTTGCATACAGATATTCATTTGCTCCAACGTCTTTTATTGAAAAAACAATCCTTTCTACAATGAATTGCCTTGCAACTTTGTGAAAAATTAGTTCGAGTGTGGGGGTCTCTTTCTGGACTTTATTCCACTTACTTGTTTGTCTCTCTTTGCAGTAATGTTACACGGTCTGACATAATTATAGTATGACTAAGACTTTCTCATAAGTCTTGAAATCAGGTAGTTTTAGCTCTTCAACTTTGTTCTTCTTTTTGAAAACTGTTTTGCTCATTCAGGGTCTTTTGCATTTCTCTGTGACTTTTAGAATCTGCTCGTCAATTTGCACCAAAGAGCATGCTACAGTTTTGGATGGGGTTTTGTTAAATCTGTAGATCAATTGCAGAGAATTGGTATCATAACAATAATAAGTCTTATGACCCATAAAGGCAGTATCATGTCTCCATTTATTTAGATCTCCATTTATTTCTCTCAACAGTGTTTTGTAGTTTTCATTGTACTGATCTTTTACATATTTCATCACATGAATCCTAAAATATTTCATATTTTCATACTATTTTAAATGGTATTGTTTTTATTTTAATTTCTGACTTTTTATTATAAATACGTAAACATTTTGTATATTGATCTTGTACCAGCAAACTTGCTACTCTCACATTTTAGTTCTAATAACTTCTTTGTAAATTTCATCAGCTTTTCTACATTAACAATGACTTCTATGAATAAAGACAGTTTTACTTATTACTATTTTTTTTTACAATCTAGAGGCTGTTTATTTAATTTTCTTGCCTGATTGCATTGGCTGGAAACTCCAGTATAATATTGAATGCAGAATGGACATCCTTGTTTTGTTCCTGAACTTAGAATAAAATATTCAGGGTTTTGCAATTAACTATGATGCTAGCTGTAGTGTTTTTTAAATAGATGCCTTGTATAAGGTTGAGGAAGTTCTCTATTTCTATTTTGCGATGAGTTTTTTTTTTTTTTTTAAATAACCAGTAATGAATGGTAGATTTATTAAATGCTTTCTCTGCACCTACTAAGATCATCATATAGTTTTTGTTTTAAAGTTTGGTTTCTTACTTTGGATAATACAGAACAGTTTAATTCCCCTAAAAATTCCCCGTGTTTCACCTATTTGTCCCTCCCTCCCTCTACCCAAATTCCTGGCAACTATTGATATTTTTACTATCTCTATAGTTATGACTTTTCCAAGATGTCACAGAGTTGGAGTCATACAGTATGTAGCCTTTCGAGACGGACTTCTGTCACTTAGCAGCATGCATTTAAGATTCCTCTGTATCTTCTCATGGCTCATTTCATTTTAGTGCTGAATAACATTCCATCGTAAGGATGCACCACAGTTTGTTTATCCATACACCTATCGAAGGACATCTTGGGCTTCCAAATCTTGGCAATGATGAATAAAGCTGCTGTAAACATTCATTGCAGGTTTGTATGTAGACATGAGTTCTCATTTCATTTGGATAAATACTAGGGAGCATGATCACTGGATTGTCTGATAATACTATGTTTGGCTTTTAAGAAACTGTCAGACTGTCTTCCAAAGTGGGTGTATCATTTTGCATCCCCATTAGCAACGAATGAAGTTCTTTTTGCTTCACGTCCTCACCAACATTTGGTGGTGTTAGTGTTTTGGATTTTAGTCATTCTAATAAGTCTATAGTGGAGCACTAGCAGGGATTCAGATGGCAGATAGGAGGCAGGATTAGCTTGCAGCTCCCATTCAGAGGGACAAGAGCAGCATGTGGAGACTCACATCGTGAACTTATGCTCCAAGAAATACCACAGGAATATACCAGGAAAGCTGAGAGCATCCACAGATGCTTTGAAGGAACTGGATCATTGCGGCAGGCCGCTGTCTCATGGCCTGGGGCGAGATCTCAGCCCTGGTGACTAGCTGTCTAAAAATAGACTTGGTACTATTGCAGGGGCACAGTGGGAGTGAGACTGGCATTTAGGACTGCGGGCTCTGTGAGACCTGTGACTGCCAGCTTTCCCCCACTTCCCTGGAAACCTGTATGACTCAGCAGAGACAGCCATAATCCCCCTGGGAATATAAATCCATTCCACTGGGAACCACACCCCCATCCTCACAGCAGCCTCAGCAAGCCCCACGCTAGGAGAGGCTGAGCTCAGACACACCTAACCCCGCCCCACCCTGGTAGCCAAAGACAAAGGTCATAATCTCTTGGGAGCTCTGTGGCCCTGCCCACCGACTGAGAAACCTGAATACTAGGTTCTTTTGTCCCACGGGATGCTCCCTTGGGCACTAGGGCAAGTTTGCATCCTCCCTATATTATCACAACTGATGCGCTCTTGAAAGCATCACCTCCTGGCTGGAGATCAACCATCATAAAACCAGCACACTAAACAAAAACACAGCCAAGGACCCTCACAGAATCCACTTCACTCCCCTGCTACCTCCCCCAGAGCAGGTGCTGGTATCCATGGCAGCAAGACCTGAACACAGATCACATGACAGGACTCTTTGCAGACACTCCCCAGTACCAGCCTGAAGCTCGGTAGCTCTGCCGGGTGGCTAGATCCAGAAGAGCAAAAACAATCACTACAGTTAGGCTCTCGGGAAGCCCCATTCCTAGGGGAAAGGAGAGAACACAACATGAAGGGAGCACCCCGTGGGACAAAAGAATCTGAACAGCAGCCCCTGAATCCCCTATCTTCCCCCTGACATAATCTACCTAAATGAGAAGGAACCACAAAAACAATTCTGGTAATATGATAAAACAAGGTTCTTTAACACCCTCAAAAGATCATACCAGCTCATCAGCAATGGCTCCAAACCAAGACAAAATCTCTGAATTTCCAGAAAAAGAATTCAGAAAGTTGAATATTAAACAAATCAAGGAGGCACCAGAGAAAGGTGAAGTCAAGCTTAAAGAAATCAAAAACATTATATAGGATATGAAAGGATAATTCTTCAGTGAAATAGCATAAATAAAAAAAAATCCCAACTTCCGGAAATAAAAGACACACTTAGAGAAATGCAAAATGCACTGGAAAGTCTCAGCAATATAGTCAAACAAGCAGAAGAAAGAACTTCATAGCTCAAAGACAAGGCTTTCAAGTTAACCCAGGCCATCAAAGACAAAGCAAAAATAATTTTTAAAAAATGAACAAAGCCTCCACAAAGTTTGGGACTGTGTTAAACATCCAAACCTAAGAATAATTGGTGTTCCTGAGGAAGAAGAGAAATCTAAAAGTTTGGAAAACACATTTGAGGGAATAATTGGGGAAAACTTGTCTGGCCTTGCTAGAGATCTAGACATCCAAATACAAGAAGCTCAAAGAACACTTGGGAAATTCATCACAAAATGATCATCGCCTAGGCACACAGTCATCAGGTTATCTAAAGTCAAGATGAAGGAAAGAATCTTAAGAGCTGTGAGGCAAAAGCGTGAGGTAACCTATAAAGGAAAACCTGTCAGATTCATAGCAGATTTCTCAGCAGAAACCCTACAAACTAAGAAGGGATTGGGGTCCTATTTTTAGCCTCCTTAAAGAAAACAATTATCAGCCAAGAATTTTGTATCCAGCAAAACTAAGCTTCACAAATGAAGGAAAGATATAGTCTTTTCCAAACAAATGCTGAGAGAATTTGCCACTACCAAGCCAGCACTAAAGGAACTGCTAAAAGGAGCTCCAAATCTTAAAATGAATTATCAAAATTTACCAAAATAAAACCTCCTTATAGCATAAGTCGCACCGGACTTATTATAACAATCAACAAATAGCATGATGAATAGAATAGTACCTCACATCTCGATAGTAACATTGAATGTAAGTGGCCTACATGCTCCATTTAAAAGATACAGAAGAGAAGAATGGATAAGAATTCACCAATCAAGTTTCTGCTGTCTTCAGGAGATTCACCTAACACATAAGGATTCACATAAACTTAAGGTATGGGGTGGAAAAATATATCCCATGCAAATGGACACCAGAAGTGAGCAGGAGTATCTATTCATATAGCAGACAAAACAAACTTTAAAGCAATAGCAGTTAAAAAAGACAAAGAGGGGCATTATATAATGATAAAAGGATTAGTCCAACAGGAAAATATAATTCTAAATATATATGCATCTAACACTGGAGCTCCCAAATTTACAAAACGATTACTACTAGACCTAAGAAATGAAATAGATGGCAACACAATAATAGTGGTGGGCTTTAATACTCCATGACAGCACTAGACAGGTCATCAAGACAGGAAGCAACAAAGAAGCAATGGAGTTAAACTATATCCTACAACAAATAGACTTAACAGATATTTATAGAACATTCTACCCAACAACTGCAGAATATACATTCTATTCATCAGCACATGGAACATTCTCCAGGAT
Organism: Homo sapiens; assembly: GCF_000001405.40. Classification (NCBI taxonomy): domain Eukaryota; kingdom Metazoa; phylum Chordata; class Mammalia; order Primates; family Hominidae; genus Homo; species Homo sapiens. The sequence goes on along the minus strand of NC_000023.11, from coordinate 22,476,649 downwards.
AGACCATATGATAGGCCACAAACAAGTCTCAGTAAATTTAAGAAAATCGAAATTATATCAAGTACTCTCTCAGACCACAGTGGAATAAAATTGGAAATCAACTCCAAAAGGAACCGTCAAAACCATGCAAAAATATGGAAATTAAATAACCTGCTCCTGAATGATCATTGGGTCAACAATGAAATCAAGATGGAAATTTAAAAAATTCTTTGAACTGCACGATAATACTTACACAACCCTTCAAAACCTCTGGGATACAGCAAAAGCAGTGCTAAGAGGAAAGTTCATAGCATTAAATGACTACATCAAAAAGTCTGAAAGAGCACAAATAGACAATCTAAGGTCGTGCCTCATGGAACTGGAGACACAAGAGCAATCCAAACCCAAACCTAGCAGAAGAAAGGAAATAACGAAGATCAGAACAGAACTAAATGAAATTGAAACAACAACAACAAAAATAAAAAAGATAAAAGATAAATGAAACAAAAATCTGGTTCCTTGAAAAGATAAATAAAATTGATAGACCATTAGCGAGATTAGCCAAAAATATATACACATACATACCATGGAGTACTTCTCCGCCATAAAAAGAAATGTAAAGCAGTGTACACTGCTAGGGTGATGGGCGCATCAGAATCTCAGAAATCACCACTAAAGAATTTATTCTTGTAACCAGTCACCACTTGTTTCACAAAAAACCTATTGAAAAAAAAATAATCTTTTAAAATAAGTCTATAGGGATATATCATTTTTCTTTTAATTTCTACTTCCTTTTGTTAACTGTTGTAGTATAAAGTATTTAGTTATTGTTTTCTTGCTATGTATTCAGCTTGTGGAGTGATGTCTTTCATCACTTTTGGGAAATTTTAGTTCATTATCTCTGTAACAGTCTTTGACCATTCTTCCTCCCCTTTCTTTCTGGGAATCCTTTTTATTGTGTCCCTAAAGTCTCTAATGCTCTTTTCTGTATAATCCCACATTTTATTTTTCCCTGATTGATTCTGGATATTTTTATTCTGATCCAAGCTCCAGTTAAGTAATTATCTATCCGTTGCATCCAGTTTTCAGTTAAAACAATCCATTGAGCTTTTAATCTTAATTATTTCCATTTCTATAATTCCCATTTTAACTAGCTACCAAAATTACCCATATTTTCTTTAAATTCTTTGAATATATTAACAATCGTGTATTTGAAATCCTTTGAACAATTGTATATTTGAAATCCTTGAACAATATGCCCATTATATGGACCTCTGGTGAGTCTGTTTTTATTGTCTGCTTTCTCTGTTGGTTTTTGATCAAACCTTTCCTTCTTATACATCTGGTTGTTTTTAAACTGTGTGTTCAACGTTTTATATGAGAAAAATTAAGCGATAATTTGTGGATCTGGATGATGTATTCTTCCTCCAGAGTGCCTTTATTTTTATTTTGCCTCCATCAGGCAGGTACTTTAGGGGAACTAGGAATCCCAGAGTAACTTAATTCAATCAGAGAATATTATCCAAAACTAGGCTTCAGTGTCTCTGAGAGCTGGAACCTTCCATTTCCCAATTAGAGTGTAGTGCTTTAGAATTCTAACAGAAATCCTGGAGTATATTATATGGCAGGAACCATCCTTATTAGTGGTCTTGAGCTCAACCTCTTTTTTTTTTTTTTTTTTTTTTTTTTTTTTGAGACAGGGTCTTACTCTGTTGCCCAGGCTGGAGTGTAGTAGCACTATCATGGCTCACTGCAGCCTTGACTTCCCAGGCTTAAGTAATCCTCCCACCCCAGCCTCCCGTGTAGAACTCAAACTTTTGACTGAGGATCCCTCTGAGTCTATTGAAAGCTCAGTGCTATCTCTCAGTCTCTTAGCCACTGCTTTTGGAATTTTCAAAGGCCTCGAGGCAAAAAGCAGCACTAAACACCAGGCTCACTTCTCTGGCTTTTCCTCTCTATAGAATCTTAGTGCCACTAATACTTGCATCTTCATGGTTCTCCTATGCCTTCAAATAGAGCCTTTTAATATTTTTTCAGATTTTCTAATTGTTTTCAGTGAGTGTCATTAGTTTGCCAGAAATTGAACTCCCTTTCAGCCTATGAATAATAGGCATAATTTTAAACAACATTTATTGAGTGCTTCTCATGTGTTAGATGCTAAATAAAAGGCTCATACCTGTCTGGCTTCATATAATCCCCAAAGTAATTCTGGGTACAGGAATTCTCATTTTGCAGACAAAGGTAAATACATTGCCTAAGAATGTGTATCTGGCAAGCTCTAGATGTGAAATTTCTCCCATTTCATTCTATTTTTGTCCCCACAATTTATGCTGGATATCACCAATTATTTTCATGATAAACAAGTTCACCTGCTAGAAAATACAGGACTCGTCACAGTTACTGAAGCTGAAACTTTCCCCAATGTCTAGCATTCTAGTTGGGTAGTATAATAGTAGATCTGCTTCATTATTTACTGCAACCTGTTTCTTTTTTCCAGTTTTTATTGGGAAAGTTTCCAAATGCACTAAAGAATAGAGTACAATGAAATGAACTCTAAGAGACCTGTCATGTAGTTTCAGTTTCCTTTTTTTTTTTAATGCTGGATTCAGGGGATACATGTGCAGGTTTATTATATGAGTATATTGTGTGATACTGAGGTTTGGGGTGTGGATGGCCCCTTTATCCAGGTAGTGGGCATAGTACCCAATAGGTAGTCTTTCAGCCCACATCCCCCTCCCTCCCTGAGCCCTCAAGTAGTCCCCATTGACTGTTGTTCCCATCTTTATGTCCAATGTTTAGCTTCCAGTTATAAGTGAAAACTTGCGGTATTTGGTTTTCTGTTTCTGCTTTAATTTGCTTAGAATATTGGCCTCCAGCTGCATCCATGTTGCTGCAAAGGACATGATCTCCTTTTTGTATGGCTGCGTAGTATTCCATGGTGTATATGTACCACATTTTCTTTATCCAATCCAACACTGATTGGCACCTGGGTTGCCCAGTGATTCTATGTCTTTGCTTTTGTGAATGGCTCATAGATGAACATACAAGTGCATGTGTCTTTTTGGTAGAACAATTTATTTTCCTTTGAGTATATACTCAGTAATGGGATTGCTGGGTCAAATGGTAGCTCTGTTTTAAGTTCTTTGAGAAATCTCCAAACTGTTTTCCGCAGTGGCTGAGCTAGTTTGCATTCCCACCAACAGTGTATAAGCACTCCTTTTTCTCTGCAGCCTTCCCAGGATTTCTTGTTTTTTGACTTTTTAATCATCATCATTTCAACTGATGTGATATCGTATCTCATTGTGGTTTTGATTTGCATTTCTCTGATGAGTGGTGATGTTGAGCATTTTTTCTTGTTCATTGGCCACTTGTACATCTTCTTTTGAGAAGTATATGTTCGTGTCCTTGGCCCATTTTTTAAATTGGATTATTTATTTTTTGCTTATTTATTTGTTTCTTGTAGATTCTAGATAATTGCCATAGCCTTTTAAATGACACTCTACAAGTTATCCCCTAAATATTTTAGTATGCGTCTCCAAAAATGTTTTTGCTTTATATTTTTTAAAGGTTCTATGAGTGTACCTTGCTTGTAGCAAATTGTAGTTCTGTTTTTTTTTTAAAAAAGGATCAGCATCCTAGGAGCATCATTCTAGGAGTATACTTAAGAGAGCTGAGTATTTATAGTCACTAAAATACGTATACAAAAATGTTCATAGAAGCTGTATTCATAATAGCCCACAATTGAAAACTACCCAATATCCAACAAGAGTAGAATATATAGTACATTCATACAATAGAACAAACTACTGTCACGTACAACAACATGAATTTCATACACATAATGTTGAATAAATAAGCCAAACCAAAAAATACATTACTCCATTGATTTGAAATACTACATTACTCCATTGATTTACATTTCAGAAACAAATAGAATCAATTCATGAGTGATAGATCTTAGAAAAATGGATAACTTCAGCTTAGAGGAACACTTTTGGGATGCTGGAAATGTTCTTTATTTTGATTTGGGTGGGAGTCACACAGGTAAATACGTATGTAAAAATTCATAGAGTTTGTACCCTTTGCCCTTTCTTGAAGTATCACATTATACTTCCACAAAAAAGCAATTTTTTAAAAGGAGCCATAAGTATGCTTTAGATCAGGAGTTGGCAATTTTTTTCTGTAAAGGGCCAGAGAGTAAATATTTTTGGCTTTGACAGATAGGATCTCAATCACAGCTATTCATTTTTAGCGCAAAAGCAGCCATGAATGATACATAAACTCATGACCCTGACTGTGTTCCAGTAAAACATGATGCATGGGCATTGACGTTTAAATTTCATATAATTTTTACTTGTCATAATATATTATTTTTTGTACTTTTCAAAATCCATTTTAAAATATAGAAACCACTCTTAGCTCATGGGACATACAAAAACAGGCTGTAGTTTGCCAACCCCTACTCTAAATATGTGTGTATAAACATATCAGGAATGTATATAGGAATATGGGCATGAGAATTTGAGCAGTTCTAGAAAACCTGGAGGCTGAAAGTAGAACTGACATTCACATGAGAAATATTTATTTTAGGCTTTCTGTAATTATAGGAAGAGGATAAAAAGAGCCAGTGTTCCATGGTGTTTAGTGACAGTGGTCAGTAACAGGAATGTATACTGTTTTTTTTTTTTTCACACTATGATTTACCATGAAAGTAAATAATGCTCTGGGATTGTTTTCATTAGTCCACTGTAAAAGCATTTAATACTTTCTTCCCATTTTGCTTTTTATTTACCTGAAAGTTTTACTACACAAAGTGGTGACAGTAGTAATTTGGGATTTCAGGGAGATGGCATTAAATGCAGGCAGCTTGTGCGTGGAATATCTCAGATGAACTTCTCTCAACAGCCTATCTCCAAAGCAGACTCCTTTTATGAACGTTTTCCCGTGACTTGGAGGTATTCGCAGAAGTGGTGATAATAGTAAGATTTGACACTTATGTGGTGTTTTCTCCTTTCAAAGTGCTTCTCTCTAAGAAGAACCTAAAGGGTACATTTTAAATCCATCTTCTTTTCAGGGCAGTAGGAACCACAAATTTTAGTAACTCCAGAGAATAGCAGTAGCCTCTTTAAAAGCATATACTGAGTTTCCTACCAGAAAACTCTGCCTATGATCAGTGTTTTTCTTTCAAAAATGATGCATTGTACCTTTTAAATTCTGTGTTTTCCGTTCTTCGATTACACAAAATGCAACTAATTATATAAATGAAACTTTACTCACAGAACTTAATAATCTCTTTGTATAACTTGACTTAAGTGAATAGTTATATTAGCAGAAATACTGCATATCTGCTTAATCTCGACAATTATTTTTTTCGCGCTGCCAAAATTTATTTGGTTCCTATATGACATGTACTAGAGGCATAAGGAGGAATTAGGTAAGAGCTTCCTCAGGGGTCTCACAGCCTTGTGGGAGAGAGAGACTTGGGGGATAGGCCCTATCTCTGACCTTTGTAGCTGGCTCTTTTTGATAATACTCTCCTTTGGGCACATAGGTGCCAGCTTCTGACAACCATGCCTGTTCCAAGAATTGCCTGGGATAACACCTTGCTTTCTTGAAGTGGGTTTCTCTTCTCCCTGTCACTGAACCCCCACCATTACCTGCTCTGGCCTTTTGGCTTTAACCATCTGCTGTAATTTGACCTCTCTGGCTTACCAGACTCAGCTTCTTATTCAACTCAGCTATACATCTTCCCTTGATTTCAGCCCTGAGGCTTCAGGAGAAAGGATTACTTCATTAGTCCTAGACCCAAAGGACCATGATAGCCTGGCTGACCCCTGACCTGGCGAGAAGGTTCTAGACATATATTACAAGTAGCAATAATATAACTGAGTTGAATAATTGCAACAAGAGCACAGAGGAAGGAGCCAAACTTCCATGTGTGGCTATTGGTAATTGTCTGAGCCAATTTAATGCCTTCCTCAGAGAATATCCTCATACAAAATAGAGAAAATATAGGCAATAATGATGTTTTTGGCCCCTGTTGGCAGACTCAAACATATAGGAAGCAAGTTTTCCTGCATATATATAAGCAAGCAGAGTTTTAAATCTTACAGTCTATAGTTCACTGTCCCACTGATAATTTTGTTGATTGCTATATTAAATTTTTGAAATCTGGCTCCCTTAGTTTTTGAATAGGTGCCTGTTCTCATGCTTCAAGCTCAGGAAGTCTCTTAGATCTGAAAAACTGTTTTTCTTCCATCAACACAGTCTATTTTTCATTAAGCTGAGCAGGGTGGCTGAGCCAGCGAATAGAGCATCCGAAAGGATAATAACAGTGAGGTGTTCTCTTTGTGGGACTACATCAATTCAAGCAGGAAAATCAATGCACCTGGGGGAAGAGTAGACTAGTATTCCAGCATCATTAATGCTCAGAAGGTGGCAAAAATCACAACGAAAAAAAACCTGACTCAACTTTCTTCATGCAGAGAAACAACAGGTGAAATGGCTAAGCCTCAGTCACTTAGAAGAGAAGGTCCATCGGAGAGGCATTACCAGGTTTACTTTTAGCAACTCTAGCTACTGAAATTAAAGTCACATATTTAAAGTACTCTGGGCTTTTAAAAGACATTTCCATCTTTGTTTTTCATCACACTTACTTTGGAAGGAAAGCTAGATAGTGATATTTTATTTGCTTTCCCGCTAACAGCCTACAAGATGGGGAGTTCTAGAAGGAGAAAGTTGTGTCTTTGAAGCCAGAAATAGACCTTTTTTGAGAGAAGGGTTCCACTCAGTTGCTTTGCTCACTGAGCTGTGCAATTTCTGTTACACAAATCCTTAGACTTTGAAGGTCTCCCTGTTCTTACCACTACTGAAAAAAAACTGCTTTGAAAGCAAATAATCCCGTGTCAACTACCCCACGTTAAATGGAAAAACCACAGAGAGCTCGGAAGAATTACGGGAGCTAAGTCAGCCTCTTCTAGAAATGTGTAAAGTCCTCCTAGAAAGGAGAAATCCTTCTGATAGTGCCCATTGTATTAGTTAGCTATGCTACTGCAATGCTGAGTAACAAATTCAGCCAAAATTCTGTGGCTTAAAGTCTGCAAATTGGCTCTACCTCAGCTAGGCTAGGATGGACTCCATGCTCTAGGTATCAGTCTCCAGGTTTAATTCAGGTGTATTCCCATGTTGCCACATTTTCCTTGGACCAGAGGCTACCTGGGATAGGCTGTTCTACCCCTGTTCTACAAGAGGCTAAACACAGACATGTAAGCAAATTTAAAGCCCATGTGTCTGTCATAGCTGTTACTACTCCATTGGCCAAAACAAAGTCAGGAGCTAAGGAAATACACTCAGCCGATCTTGAAGACAGGGAAAGTATGTGGATATATACGGAAGGAAATGAAGTATTATGAGCAGTGTCCCAATCTACTTTTCCCTCCAAATGGAAGGAATATTCTCTGATTGGGACTAGATGATTGCTATAGTAATAGGGAGTATTTCTTTTTGGCCAGTGCAGGAAAACGTATCTAGTTGTTCACCTGACTAGCCTCATTCCATTTATTAAAGCTGATGGGTATTGGCTATTTTCATGGGTAGTCATGCAATTCAGCTAAGCTGAAAAGAGGGGAAATATTTTCTTGTGTGGCTTCAAAAAGCCTAAAGCTAGACTGTCCATTATGGTAACCACTTGTGGCTATCTGAATTTAAATCTAAATTAATTAAAATGAAATAAAAACTCAGTTCCTCAGTCACACTAGCTCCATTTAAAGAACTCAATAGCCTAGCCAGAGCAAATTAGGCAAGAGAAACAAAAGCCTTCTATATTGGAAAGGAAGAAGTTAAATTGTCCTTGTTTGCAGATAACATGATCTTATATATAGAAAACTCTAACAACTCCAGAAAAATCTGTTAAAATTGATAAATGAATTTAGTAAAATTGTAATATATAAAGTTAACATACAAAAATCAGTAGTGTGTCTATACTAACAGCAACCTATCTGAAGAAGAAATCAAGAAAACAATCTCATTTACAATCGCTAAAATAAGGAATAAATTTAATCAAGGAGGTGAAAGATCTCTACACTGAAAACTATAAACCTTTGATGAAAGAAATTGAAGAAGATACAAATAAATGGAAAGATATCTGTTTTCATGAATTTGAAGAATTAATATTGTTAAAATGTCCATACTACCCAAAGCAATCTACATATTCAATGTAATCCCTATCAAAATACCAATGACATCTTTCACAGAAATAGAAAAAACAATTTGAAAATTTATGTGGAACCATAAAAGACCCCAAAGAGCCAAAGCAATCTTGAGCAAAAAAAAACAAGATGCCAAATGTACTCACTGAGGAAAGGATAGTCCCTCAATAAATGGAGTTGGGAAAACCAGATACCCATATGCAGAAGAATGAAAATAGACCCTAAATCGTACCATATAGAAAAACAACTCAAAATATATTGAAGACTTAAATGTAAGATCCCAGACTATGAAAATTCTAGAAGAAAACATAGGGAAAAGCTTTATTATATTGGTCTGGGGAAACATTTTTTGGATATGACACCAAAAGCACAGGCAAAATATAGACAAATGGAATTACATCAAACTAAAAAGCTCTGCACAGCAAAAGAAACAATCAACAGAGTGAAGAGACAACCTACAGAATGGGAGAAAATACTTGCAAACTATATATCTGATAAGGCATTAATATCCAAAATATATCAGGAATCCAACTCAATAGCAAGTAAACAACCCAGTTGAAAGATGGGGAAATGAGCTGAATAGACATTTCTCAAAACAAGACGTGCAAATTGCCAACTGGTGTGTGAGAAAATGCTCAACATCTTGTGTGGCTTCAGGGAAGTGCAAATTAAAACCACAGTGAGATGTCACTTCCTTCCTGTTAGAATGGCTATGATCAAAAAGATAAAAGATAACAGATTTTGGCTAGGATGTAGAGAAAAGGGAACTCATGCGCACTGTTGGTGGGAATGTAAATTTGTACAACCATTATGGAAAACAATATGGAGTTTCCTCAAAGATTAAAAACAGAACCACCACATGATCCACCAATTCCATTACTGGATATATATCCAAATAAGTATGTCAAAGAGATATCTGCATTCCATTGTTTATTACAGCACTATTCACAATAGACAAGATATGGAATCAAGCTAAGTGTCCATCAACAGAAGAATGGATAAAGAAAATGTGTGTGTGTGTATATATATACACACACAATAGAATATTAATCAGCCTTTACAAAGGAGGAAACCTGTCACTTGCAACAACATAGATGAACCTGGAGGCCATTATGTTTAGTGAAATAAGCCAAGCACAGAAGACAAATACCACATGATCTCACTCATATGTAGAATCTTAAAAAGTAGATTTCATAGAGCTAGAGAGTAGAATGGGCTGGGGAGTGATATTGAGGAGTTGTTGGTCAAAGGATACAAAATTTCAGTTAAACAGGAGGAATAAGTTCAAAAGATCTATTGTATAACAATGTGACTATAGTTAATAACTATACTGTATTCTTGACAAATGATAAGAGAGTGGGTAAGTGTTCTCACTACGAAAGTGCTGACTATGTGGGGTAATGCATATGTTAATTAGCTAGATTCAGTCATTCCACAATATATATATACTTCAAGACATCACATTGCACTTTGGGAGGCTAAGGCAGGTGGATCACTTGAGGTCAGGAGTTCGAGACCAGCCTGACCAACATGGTGAAACCCCCATCTCTACTAAAAATACAAAACTAGCCGAGTGTGGTGGTGCACTCCTGTAATCCCAGCTACTTGGGAGGCTGAGGCAGGAGAATTGCTTGAACCTAGGAGGTGGAGGTTGCAGTGAACCGAGATTGCACCACTGCACTCCAGCCTGGGTGACAGAGCGAGACTCCGTCTCAAGAAAAAAAAAAATATATCATGTTGTTCATGTTAAATACATACAATTTTCTCTGTCAATTTCTTAAAATTAAAATTCATGCATAAAATCTGCCAAATATGCTCCACAACACTCTTTACATGCTTATCTTTAGTATGTTTTTTTTTTTTAACAACTTCTCGTTTTCCTTGATGGAACCTTCCTTGGAAGTAGAGGCTGTGTGTTTTCTCAGTTACCCCCAGCATATAGGAAGTGACCAAAGATTGCTTGTTTAATAAAACAAAATGATTAAGCAAAGAGATGGCTAGAATATTGAAGATGCTTACAAACTTTTATATCTTATTCAAAACATCAAGGAAATCTACAAATTTCACAAAACAATTAAGTACCCAATAGCCACGTGTTGCTTGTAGCTACCACACTGGATGGTGCAGCTGCTATTTATTGCCCTCACAGCACAAATCACACTCTAAATTCTTATCTGTTTGTATGCCTGTTTACTTTCTCTCTTTCCCTCGGGTGGACTAAATAATAACCACCTAGAATGTGTGCCTCCTAATCCCCAGAACTTGTGAATACTACCTTATATGAAAAAAAGGGACTTTGTACATGTGATTAAGTTAAGCATCTTGATCTGGGAAGATTACCCCAGATTATCTGAGTGCACCCAGTGTAGTCACAAAGTTTCCTGTAAGGGAGGCAGGGGGATCACAGTCAGACAGAGGGTGATGTGATGGTGGAAGCAGAGGAACGGAGAGAAAGAGATTTGAAGATGCCACATTCCTGGCTTTGAAGATAGAGGAAGAGGCCGTCGGTCAGGGAATTCAGGCAGCCTCTAGAAGCTGTAAAGGACAAGGGAACAGATTCTTCCCTAGAGCCTCCCAAATGAACACAGCCCTGTGGATCTGTTTTAGACTTCTCACCTCCAGAACTAAAAGATAATACATTTATGCTGTTTTAAGCCATTAATTTTATTGTGCTTTGTTGTAGCAGTCATAGAAAACTAATAATACTCCTCATTGGAGCTTAAGATCTATGAGAGAGGAACCTTGTCTGTCTCATTCACTACTATATCTACAGCACCAAATATAGTGCCTCTCTAAGAGCGGGTACTCATAATTATTGGAGAATTAATACATGTATGGATAAAAGGCTAACATAAGCCCTAAAAGGCCCTACTAACATAAGACACCTTCCATAATCATGTGCCACAGATCCTAAATCTCTACCATGTTGAGTGAGGTGGGTAGAGAGGTGGAGGAGAGGAACAGAGGAAGCAAGGAAGAAAGGAAGGAATGAAAGGAGGGAAGGATGGAGGGAGGGAGGGCAGGGGGGCCAGCCAGGGAGACCAAATCCTTTGTAATAGACACATCAGTAACAATTAGCAAGCGTCATACACTTTGAAGTTGCAGTTCACCTTTATATTCTTTATCTCATTTGAATTGCAACCACCCATGTTAAGTGAGCAGGCAGTTATTAATCCCATCGGCTTACAGAAGCCGAGGCTCAGACATATTAACTGTCATGCTCGTGGTACTGCAACTAGAAAGTGCCTTATGCTCAAATCTCGTGATTTGAAACCTAGGTTTCTTTCCCCTATGCTAGAAATGACATCATGTGCAAAATAATTGGGAAGGCACGGGAAAAATTCACCCTTTCTGTTTCAAATTCAATTTAGCACGTTTCTGCTCAGTTTGAGTCAAGGTATCTGGCAATTTTCAAGTCAAAGAAGACAACTGCAAAGAGAAGCAGGCCTCATACAGACTGGCTAAAATCAGATCATACAGTCCTTGTATACACAATCAAATATACTCCCATTTCAGAACTTAGAAACACGGTGTTTGTTGAAGAGCAAACTGCTTTTAGTGAGATATTGGAAAGCAAGGAAGTATGATTTTTAAAAAAAAAATACAAATTTTAGTATATATATTTGTCCAATACAAATAAATGGTTATATTTTAAATGGTGTATAAGTTGCTACGTTATAGTCTTGATTTTGCTTCTTATCCTGTGAAGCCTAAAAATATTTACCATCTTGCCCTTGAAGTAAAAGTTTGCTGAACCCTTTTCTAGGTAAAAAGTTGGGGACAAGTACTTCCTATTTTTTCCTCATCCCTACCGGAGAAGTAAAGAGTGAAGGCCCATATCAGCACTTTGTTCTAATGATTTTCTATCCACTTCTCTGTGATTCAGCTCCTCCCTCATTCATACAGAGAAAGTTTTTAATCTCCTCTCTATGGAGGAACAACAAGAAGCTAAAGAAGTGTTCAATTTTTTTTTTAATGAACCACCACAAAGTTTCATAGTTTTAGTTTCATGAAACAATCATTTTATCATCATCATCATCATCATCACCATCATTATCATCATCATCAATGTCTTATAGTTAAGATGGTTGATTGGGCTAAACTATGTGATTCCTACTTGGGGTTCTCTCAGTCTGATGGTGGCTGAGGCTACAGCCATATCAAAAGCTTCCTCTGAGATGTCTGGTACCTAAACTAGAAATGCAAACAGCTTAGGGGTAAAACAGCTGGGGTATCTCTATCTCTATGTGATCCTTCCACGTGGTTTCTCCAGTATGGTGGTTTTGGGTTAGCCATACTTATATGGTTGCTCAGGGCAGAGGAGAGAGGAAGGAGGGAGGAGAGAGAGACACTCCAGGTGGAAACTGTACTGCCTCTTATGATCTAGCCTTGGAAGTCATATTGCGTTACTGTAATCATTTTCTATTGTGACCATATCTAATTACCACAAGCTTAGTGACTTAAACAATTCAAACTTATTATTTCACAGTTCCATAGGTCAAAAGTCCAGATGGGTATGGCTGGTTCCTCGACTCCTTGTCCATAAAGCTTACATCAGGGTGTCAGCCAGCCTGAAGGCTGGAAATTCTGGGGGAAATCTACTTACGAGATCATGTAGGTTGTTGGCCAACTTTAGGTCCTTGCAGTTGTAGGGCTGGGGTTTCTGTTTCGTTGCTGGCTGTTAGCTAGAGGTTATTCTCAGCTTCTAAAGACCACACACATACCCTCACTCATGGTCCCCTTCATCTTCCAACCCAGTCATGGCAGGCCAAGTCCTTCTCATGCTTTGAATATCTCTGACCTCTCTCTCTCTGCCTTTTCTGTCCTACTCTAGCTGGAGAAAGTTCTCTGTTTTGAGGGCTCCTGTGATTGGATTGGCCTACTCAGATAATCAGGGTAACCTCTCTATTTCAAAGTATGTGACCTTAATTACATTTGCATAGACCTCTTTAAGATGTAACCTAAGATATCCGCAGGTCACAGAGATTAGGTGTGGGGATCTTCCAAGACATTATACCTACCGCAGTTAATTCTATTGCATTCTATTTATTAGAAGTGAGACAGTAAGATCAGTCTGTATTCAAAGGGAAGGCAGTTAGGCTCCACTTGAGTTGAGGAAAGCATCAAAGAATTTATAAACATATTTTAAATATCATCATATGGAGTGTTATTTCAAGCACATTATTTATACCAGGACTTTAGTTTTTGGAAGCGCAAAAGTCAGAAATTAACATCCATTGTTTGTTTATTTTTAGGTCCTAGTATTTAGCCACATTTTAAATTAAAACATGACGTCATGTACTTACAACTACATGTAGAGTCACATATAGTTGTAAGAAGCAAATATCTAATAAATACTTATGAGGTCATGTACTTACAACTACATGTAGATTCACATGTAGTTGTAAGAAATAATACCAAGAGGTCTCATGTGCCCTTCATTCAGTTTCCCCCAATGTTAATATCTTGGCAAAACTATAATGTATCACAAGAAGATATTGAAACTGATGCAGTCCACAGTCTTATTCAGAATTTTTCCCGCCTTTCACCTTTTTTTGCTTTACTGAATTGATCTTCTTTCCTTAGAACACAGAGGTGAAGATCTGGTTTGAAGGCTGGGGAATTGTGGTAAAACAAATAAAGGTAATGCAGGCACACAAAAAATAGTAACACGTTGATGAACATTTTACAAATTCTACTATATCTATGCTTTATGTGGCAGATGAATGAGACTATTAGGATGAATGAGGAATGCCTCCTACTTTCAAAGGTTCCATGTTTAATGGAAGAAATAGACTGACAGGATTGGCTAACTTTCCACCAAAATTCATACTCCTCCTTCCGTGGTAGAGAATTGTCCAACTCCCTTATATTAAGGTGAGATCATGTGACAAATGTTTGCCAATGCAAGGTAAGCAGAAGTGACTTGTATCACTTCTGGGCCAAGGTAGTTAAATGAAGGATATGTCTCCTTCTAACTCTCTTCCCTCTTAGCCAAACTGGATATTGACATCCTAGCAGATCTTTGCTTCAGAGATGACAGAGCATCCATTAGCCAGAGCATCCTTGAATGATTGCTTGGAACAGATGTCCCTAAACCCCACTAACTAGACCTGCATTAGACTGTTATATGAACAAATAATAAGTTTCATCTGCTGAAATGTTTAGGATTCTCTATTATAGTTGCAATACCCAAATTAATACACAGACCTAGGAACAAATAACAACAATACAATGCGAAGAGTACTGTGATGGGTGTAGGGCGTGATGGGAACACAGAGCTCACACTGGGTAGGAAGATGGCAGAGAAGTCACCAAAAGCATACTAGAGAAGAAATTGATTTTCTGGAGAGTGTGTAGGTGATAGGTAGCATTTTAAGCAGAGGGAACTAAATGTACACAAACACACGGATATTCAGTAACATATTAGGGAGTATTATATGGTTTAGTAGAGCTGAAATAGGGTGCATTGAGAGGTAATAGGGAGGGTGGGTAATTACAGAAAGAGTGATCTTGTGTGTTAGTTTGAAGTATATGTATTTCATCAGAGTGAATATGAGCTTCTTAACAGTGTTTAAGCAGGGGCTGATATGATTAAGCAATTTGAATATGTGAGACTCATAGGAGGAAAAATTTTTATCTTATGCAACCTAAGATAACGCAAACTCCAGAAGGGCAGTTATTTGTATAATATTTTACATTGTATCTAAGTAGTAGTACTACAGTATTTTGTCTACAACCATTCTAAGAATAATTTGGGGGAAGCACCTTGCTTCTGGATGACATTCAATTTAGGCTTTTAACAAAATCATCATTAGTTCAACTTCACTATAATGGATCTGAAGCAAATGTTATGAAGACACAGAGTGCATTAAGATCTTTATGTAATGGTCCTTTGCAAATGGGTATGCCATATTCACTAAATCTACTACGCATTATTCAAACTCACCTATTGTGTCAACACTTTGCAAAAGGGAGATTAGTATTGCAAATATGGAAATGTTTAGATATCCAGAATAAAACAGTAACACGAAAAAAGGCTTTTTAATTGAGATGTAATTCAAATATCATAAAATTCAGCATTTTAAGGTGTACAATCATTTGTTTTTAGTGTATTCGCAAAGTTACGCCGCTTTTACCACTATGTAATTCCAGAGCACTTTTATTACCCCAAAAAGAAACCCCATGCTCATTAGTAGTCACTTCCCATTCTCCTCCTCCTCCTGTCTATGGAAATCACTAAAGTATTTTCTGTTTCTACGGATTTGCCTATTCTGAACATTTTATAGAAATTAAATTATACAATATCTGGACTTTTGTGTCTGGATTCTTCCACTTAGTATAATGTTTTAAAGGCACATTCATGCTGTAGCATTTATCAGTACTTCATACCTTTTTATGGCCAAATAGTATTTCATTGTATTGATCTACATTTTTATTGATACATAATAGTCGTACATATTTATGGAGTACACGGCATAGTTTGATACATGCATACAATGTGTAATGATCAAATCAGGGTAATTGGGTATCCATTACCTCAAACATTTATTGCTTCCTTGTATTGGGAACATTCCAAATCTTCTCTTCTAGCTATTTTGAAATATACTATAAATTCTTAACTATGGTTGCCCTCCTGTGTTATTGCACATTAGAACTTATTCTTTCTACCTAACTGTATTTTTGTAGCCATTAATCATACTACATTTTGTTTATTCACTCAGTTAATCACATGTAGGTTGTTTCCACCTTTTGGCTGTTATGATTAGTAATGCTATAAATATTCACATAAAAGTTTTTGCATATATAATCACGTACCAGATAACGTTTCAGTCAATGACAGACCACATATATGGCGGTAGTCTCATAAGATTATGATACCATATTTTTACTGTGCCTTTCCTATGTTTAGATATATTTAGATACAAAAATAATTGCCATTGTATTAAAATTGCCTATGGTATTCAGTACAGTAACATGCTTTACAGGTTTGCAGCCTAGAAGTAATAGGGAGTTTGATCCCATCCTGTCTCATTTTAGGCTTTTACAAAAAGATAGTGTGCCCTTCAAATGTATGGTATGGTGATGGACACCCATGAAGTGATTCTAACTTTGTGGTTGAAAGTTCTACTACTGAGACTTCTTTTTTAATTTTTTTTTTTTTTTTTGAGGCGGAGTCTCACTCTGTCACCCAGGCTGGAGTGCAATGTTGTAATCTTGGCTCACTGCAACCTACACCTCCCAGGTTCAAGCAATTCTCACACGTCAGCCTCCCTAGTAGCTGGGATTAAAGGCAGATGCCATGATGCCGGGCTAATTTTTGTGTTTTTAGTAGAGACGGGGTTTCACCATGTTGGCTAGGCTGATCTCAAACTCGTGACCTTAGGTGATCCGCCCGCCTCAGCGTCCCAAAGTGCTGGGATTACAGGGGCGAGCCACTGTGCCCGGCCCACTACTGAGACTTCTTGTTTTGAAGCACAGGCCTCTCAGATCATGAAAATCATTAACATTACTGCTATTACATAGCAGCCTAGGTATGTAGTAGGCTGTATCATCTAGGTTTGTGTATGTATACTCTATGATGTTCACACAACAACAATATCTAATGACACATTTCTCAGAATGTATCTCAGCATTAAGCGATGCGTGACTGTATGTTTGAGATTCTTTTGGGTATGTACTTAGGAGTAGAACTTCTGGGTCATACGGTAACTCTGTATTTAACTTTTGGAGGTATTGCCAAACTGTTTTTCACAGAGGCTTCACCATTCTACATTCCCACTAGCACATATGAAGATTCACATTCCTTTACATTTTCACCAAGTGTATTTTCTGTTTTCTTTCTTTAATTACAAGTATTCTTGTGGGTGTGAAGTGGTATCACATTGTAGTTTTGATTTGCATTTCCCTAATGACTAATGATGTTGAGCATGTACCTATTTTCCATCTGTATATCTTTGGAGAAATGTCCATTCAAGTCCTTTGCCCATTTTCAAGCTGGTTATTTGTCCTTTTGTTGATGAGTCGTAAGGGCTCTTTATTCTGCTTAATAGACCCTTATCAGATAAATGATTTCCAAATATTTCCCCCCATTTTATAGGTTGTCGTTTCACTTCACTCATGGTGTCCTTTGAAGCACAAAAGTTTACAAAAGCTTAGTTTTGATGAAGTTCAATTTGTCTACTTTTCCTTTGGTTGCTTGGGTTTTGGTGTCGTATCTAAGAAACAATGCCTAATAAAAAAGTCAGAAAGATTTACTCCTATGTTTTCTTCTGAGAGTTTCATAGTTGTAGCGCTTACATTTATGTTTTTGTTACATTTTGAGTTAATTTTTTGTATGGTATTAAGTAGTGGTCTAACTTTTTTTTTTTTTAATGCCCATGGATATCCAGTTTTTCCAACACTGTTTGTTAAGACAACTTTTCTTTCCCTATTGAGTGGTCTTGGGATTCTTGTCAAAAATCAATTGAGTGTAGATGTATAGGTTTATTTCTATGTTCTTAGTTCTGTTCCATTGATCTGTGTCTGTCCTTATGCCAGTATTATACTGTCTTTACTGTAGGTTTGTAGTAAGATTTGAAATTTGGAAGTGTGACTCCTCCAATCTTGTTGTTCTCTTTCAAGATTGTTTTTGGCTCTATTGGGTCTCTTGCATTCTCATATGAATTTCAGGATTAGCTTGTCAATTTCTCCCCCAAATAGGCAGTTTGAATTTTGATGGACGTTTAATCTATAGGTCAATTTGAGGAGTATTGCCATTTTAACAGTGTTAACTCTTCCAGTCCATGAAATTATTTTAAGAAGTGGTGCTTAACTCTCTATTTAGGCCTCCAGAATCTTGGCTACCATCACAAGCTGGCGTCCATGTTTTCCATAGCTACCTCCATATCTTGTTCATTACTGTGAATCTGGAAGGACTTTATACTGTAGTGACTCCTTAATGAGTGAAGTAACAAAATTAAAATTAACTCTAATATAGTGGTGGTGAAAATGAAAAATAAAACAACCGCTAAGGGGGGAAATTTGGCATCACCTATTAAAATTACATATGCATGTATCCTTTCATCCAGCAATCCCCTTCTAGGAATTCATTTTTCCCATTTCATGTATTCCATAAATAATTATATGCCTACTATCTACCCACAAAAAATTTAAAAATTACAAAAAAATCAATGTGAAAAAATAAATTTGTAGCCCAAACAAGAAAACAAGAAAAAAGAAAGAAAAACATCTTAAACCTGAAAATGAGAAAGCAGAGGATGTCAGTCAGGAAGCAGAGCCATGAATAAAGACATTGCTAGATATTCACCAATGTTGGCACCTCTTTGCATTTGAGCCAAAGTTATCTTCAAAGTAGGAGACAAATAAAGCTGTAAAGTTATCCAATAGACAAATGAAAATGCAATAAGTATTTGATCTGATATTCCAGTTTTATTCCAGGTAATCAGTTGTAGCTTTCTACATTGGAGTCTTATATACTACTTCAGTGAATTAATATTATCAGTTGAATGAAGAAAGTGAGATAGAATTGATAGTCTGATGACAGACACTAGAAATTTTTTTTTTGTATTCAAGTGTTCCCACCCTATCAAGAGTTTCTGCTCAAAGATTACTTGTAGCCAAAGATATTTACACAGCTTCATTAAGAAAAAACCAAAATTAAACAAAACATCCCACCGTATACGTTCAATAATAAAAGGGATTTCTAAATAAATTATGGTACACCTGTAAGATGAAAGATTATGTGGCCATTAAAATTACTCATGTGAAGAGTGAGAAAATGTGTTTTATAATTTTATGAAAATGCAGACAATAAAATTAGATCTATGGGATGATCTCAATTAGGGAAAATACGCTTTAAAAAAGTGTGGAAGGAAATATAACGACATGTTAACAATGTTGCCTTTGGGTAGTAAGATTATGGATACTTTTCTTTTTGTACTAATATGTTTACTATTTTGTGGATAATTTTTTTGTAATCAGAAAACAGTAAACTATTTTTTAAGCCAAAGGCATCCCATCCGCACCTTTCCTTCTCTTGTGTACTATGGGAATATGCATTTTGATCTGACCATTGATTGTGGCTCTTTCGACAAAGTGCAGAGTTATTGTGACTTATGGTTAGTTCACAGAGGCTTATTATCTTTAGGCTGCCCAATTGGTTTAGCAGCTCTTCAACAATCATTTATTCTTCTAGCAAATGGCACCACTGGACAGAACAGTGAGATCCCATTGACTATCCTAATTTGAAAGCAATGGACGAAAAATACAAAGGTTGTTTTATTAATGAAAAGTGATGATTGATCTGCTGTAAAAGATAAAATGTTAAAATCCAAAATCTTACAGTGTTACTCACTGAGAATTCCCTAATGTCACTATTATTCCTAGAGAAAGTTTGGTCCAAGCTGGGGCACTGTGAACCCTGAGTTGGATAGTAGCTTTTTTCTAGAAGCCTTGCACCTCACCTTACCAGGTGTGCACAGAAATAGTGTGTTTAATGCTCTTTGATGTCATGAGCTCCTTATGAAAAATCTAGATCAATATATTGCAGTGATAATTATGATATGAATTCTGAAAAATTTTTCAGAATATTTTAAACAAGCCTTTCTACTTGAAACCTATCACAGTTGAGAGAGATTTTTGAAGACAACGTGTCTTCATTATTTTCTTGGCTTTTCTCAAGATGACAGAATTTTCTACTCATCCTTACATTTTCTTTTTTTTTTTTTTTTGAGACGGAGTCTCGCTCAGTCGCCCAGACTAGGGTGCAATGGCGCCATCTCGGCTAACTGCAAGCTCCGCCTCCCGGGTTCACGCCATTCTCCTGCCTCAGCCTCCCGAGTAGCTGGGACTACAGGCGCTCGCCACCACGCCCGGCTAACTTTTTTTTGTATTGTTAGTAACGGGGTTTCACCGTGTTAGCCAGGATGATCTCGATCTCCTGACGTCGTGATCCGCCCCTCTAGGCCTCCCAAAGTGCTGGGATTACAAGCATGAGCCACCGCGCCCGGCCTCATCCTTACATTTTCAAAAGGTTTCAAATTTCAAGCTGTTTTACATTTTCAACAATCTTACAAAAACATTTGGGGGTGTGGCTTTCATTGACTGAATGCGCAAATTGTGGTTTTGCTTTAGATAGGGTATTCAGATTCAACAGTGGGCACCAGGATGCTACTTAGGGTTGGAAATGTGTTTGTATTGTTTTGCTTTACTTTTGGCTCAGGCAGGGATGAATCGGGGGAGTCAGGTGGCATGGCCATGAATAGGACAGTTTCATTATTTTTTGAGATTCTTAAACACATCTATTTGGAACATAATCTTGAACCAACCAAATCTCCTGGGAAGTCCTACCAGAAATGAATTCATTTTGCATCCAAACTTCAAGGACATAAATTTATAAAATTGCAAACTGAACATTGCTTTTGGCCCGTTAGGCAACCTCAGTAAGAAATGTGAAAGGGAAACAATGAACCTTCACCATCCCTAAGCTATCTAATATGCTTTTTTTCTTTGGATGATTTGAATCAGAGAAGTGGTACATTGCAGATGATTGGATCACTTTGTAATCCCAAAATTTGATTTTCATTGAATTTACATACATTGAATAAACTTTGAGTGAAAGATTGTCCATCTGTGATGATTGTTCATAACCGAAGTATGCTTGCATTACAATGTCTTATTCACCATTGTATCACCTGCGGCTAGCACAGGACCTGGCATAAAGAAGTCAGTCCTTCAGTAAATACTTGCGAAGTAAAGGAACTTTAGTTGCCTTGGATTTTAAAAGGTAGCCTGAAGACACCACGACGGAGATAATCAGAACTGTGCTGACATAAAGCTTGAGAGAAAATCACAAAAGAAAACAATTCTAACATTGTATAGGAAAGTCATCACCTGAAATTGGAGAAATCCCACGAATGGTACTAGCTGCAGTATTATCAAGGACATTGTTCCTGGTAAGCCCTTTAACCCCTCTTAGTTCACTCACTTGAAAAATGACAATGTTCTAGATCTAAAATGCTGTGATTCTTTCTGAGTCTCCTTCTATAAACCTTGCAGCCTTCTCTATGGACCACAACTTACTTGAAACAACTGAAGAGGTTTCTCTTGTCACTTTCCTCTCCTAGGCTCAAGCTACTACACTGGATTTTTTGAAGATCACATCTGTGTTCTATTTTCACTGCCCCTTCATATGCAGAAAATATAAGACTCTCTTGAGCCATCCTAATTAGGTTATAATGCAAACCCTAAATTGGCTGCACTCTTCTGTTTTTTGCCCTTCATGCTTTATTAGTCTCTTTTCCACTCCCTACTTGCAAAGCAGTTTCCCAGGATTGAGTCTGGAGTGATGTTTAGAATAAAGCCTCAGTAAATTTGAATTCTCATCGTTGGCCTTACCAACATAGTTTTTAAAAAACAACTCACAGACCTTAAGCAATCTCAGTAAGTAGCTTAACCAAATCAGTTCTAATATAGCTTTTAAGGTGATTGCATCTTCTCAAACTCCAAGATCCAAATAGATGAGATTTTAGAAATCTCACAAAACGGTCTAGTGGCCTCTCAAGCTAAACCTGGAGTACCTATCACCTTATTTGTGACTAATCTAGTGCCTGATATATACAAGTATATTGAATACATTTATCACCTTCCAGAGAGAAATTCTCGGCAGCATTCATCTGCTGTTTCTGTTTCCTTATCTGTGAGGAGTTTTTCCCCCTCTCATTTGCTTTCATAACTCTTTTCCTCACACACTCATATAAATTTAGATACTGCATGAAACAACTAACTCTGACTACAACCATAAAAAATATAGAAGCAGAGAATACATCCCATAGAGATAGGAACTTTGTATGCATAAAAAATTATGTATGACTGCGAAGCTAATGGTTAAATTTGTTCAGAGATATGATGACACTGGAAGACCTTAACAGCAGGAACAAGATGAGTGGAATCAAATACCAATTAAACAGAATGACTCTGGAGTGAGATCTACCAAATAATTTACTTTACTGGTTAATTAGCAGCTAGAATTTGTAGATGTTTTTTGAGTCCATGTATTATTTATTTGGTCCTCACAACTACCTATGAAGGCAAGCCAAGCATTACTATTATCCCAGTTTCACAAATGACAAAGCTGGGGCCTAGAGGCTCAGTGTTTGCCTAAGATTGTACGACCAGAAACTGATAAAAACTCAGATCTTCTAACTGAAAAGTCCATCATCTTTCCAATACAGTACATTGAATATGATTAGCCAAAAGTTAAACTAAACCATTTTTTTTAAATCCTGCTAAAAATTCTTCTAAAGTATATTCATATACTTGCTTCAGAAAAATAGATATGCTAACCATATGTAAGTCCTTTTATCATATAGATATAAAAAAGCCAGAATCCTACTATGACAAAAAAGACCCCAGTTTGTTATTATTATATATGAGTTTCATTTTAGTAGAGATGTTAATTGAAAGGAACGTTGGGGTGGAGAAAGAGCGGTGAGTTTCAGTGCAGGTATAGCTCAAGTATGCCACTGACACAGCCCATATCCCAATCAGATAAATTTATTGCAGCCAGCACTGCAAATATGTCCTTTTCTTCCTGGTAACTATGCCTCCATGTGTAATGGAGTGAACTCTGTTTCTTTTTATGTCAAATTCCTGCTTACTCTTAATTTTCGACCCAAATGCTGCTTCCATCTAAATTCCCATAATTTTTATCTGTAACATCTTTTTGAACTTAACACATTGACTTTGAAGTTATTTGGTGTACATATCATAACTCCTTGATCAACAGAGGACAGAATTATTTCTTCTTTTTAATATCCTCGGGGGCTTTACACATAATGGTATTCCTTAGATTCTTGGAATCTACATTTAGGTAGATGTGGGATTTAACTAGGATGTGGTTTTACAGTGACACATAAAGCAATGAATAAATGGAATCCATAGAAGTGTATTTGAGGCTGAAAATTAAGAAAAAGAATTAAATGTGTATTCACTTGAAAATAATCCTCAGAAGTTGCACTTAGGAAATAGGGAAAGGTTGGTAATAACGGTAAGTTGGTGCAAAGTAACTGCAGTTTTTGCCATTTGTTCTGTTGTAAGATTGCTCGGGTTTGAATGCTATCTCTAGCATTTACTAGTGGGATTGTATTGGGCAAGTTGCTTAACAACTCTGAACCTCAGTTTCTTCATCTGTAAATTGGACATAATATCTATCTCATCGGATTATTGACAGGATTATATAAATAACATATGTGAAGCAACTGACACTATGCCTGACATATAGTAAGCATTCATTACACATTTGTTAGTTAGTAGTATTAAGAGTAGTAATAATAGTAGTAAATACTGCCTGGTGCCTTTTTAAAATCTCAAAAGTTGTAAATAAAATGAAAGAATAAACTAATGTTAAAGGAAATAGGGGAAATTGGAAGGGGAAGTAGATGATGATTTCTAATAATCAAAAACACAGGATTTTATTGCAATCTAGACCTTAAGCTGAATTTTTATTGATATATAATATTGGTACATTTTATAGGGTGTATAAGGTTTTTTGTTACATGCATAGAATGCGCAATGATAAAGTCAGGGTATTTGGGGTATCTATCACCTTGAGTATTTACTATTTATATGTGTTGGAACATTTCAAGTCCTCTCTTCTAGCTGTTTTGAAACATACAATACATTGATGTTAACTGTAGTCACCCAACTCTGCTATCAAACATTAGAACTTATTCCTTCTATCTAACTGAATGTTTGTACACATTAGCCAACTTTTCTTCATTCTCTATGCATACACACCCTTGCCAGCCTCAGATATCTATCATTCCACTCTCCACCTCGATGAGATCAACTTCTATACTTCCCACACATGAGTGAGAACATATGAGAACATATGTTCTGGCTGGCTGATTTCACTAAACATAATGACCTCCAGTTCTATCCATGTTGCTGCAAAAGACAAGATTTTGTTTTTTATGGCCAAGTAGTATTCCATTGTGTATATATACCACATTTTCTTTATCCCCATTAATCTGTTGATTGTCACTCAGGTTGATTCCACGGCTTTGCTATTGTAAATAGTGCTGCAGTAAACATGGGGTTGCAGGTATCCCTTTAACATACTGATTTCCTTTCCTTTGGATGCATACCTAGTAGTAGGATTGCCGGATCATATGGGTAGTTCTATTTTTAGTTTTTTATGAAATCTTCATATTGTTTTCCATAATGGCTGTACTAATTTACATTCCCACCAATAGTGTATCATAAGAGTTCCTTTTTCTCTGAATCCTTGCCAGCATCTATTATTTTTTGTCTTTTTAATAATAGCCACTCTAACTGGCATGAAATGATATCTCATTATGGTTTTGATTTGCATTTTCCTGATGATTAGTGATATTGAGCATTTTTCACATGCCTGTTGGCCATTTGCATGTCATCTTTTAAGAAATGTCTATATCCTTTGCCCATGTTTTAATGGGTTTATTACTTTTTTGCTATTGAGTTGTTTGAGCTTCTTGTATATTCTGGATATTACTCCTTTGTCAGATGAATAGTTTGAAAATATTTTCTCCCATTCCACAGGTTGTCTTTTCACTCTGTTTCCCTTGCTGTGCAGGAGCTTTTTAGTTTAATATCCCATTTGTCCATTTTTGTTTTCGTTGCCTGTGCTTTTGAGATTTAGCCATAAAATCTTTGCCTAGACCAATGTCCTGTAGTGTTTCCCTTACATTTTCTTCCAGTAGTTTTATAGTTTCATGTCTTATATTAAGCTTTTTAATCAATTTTGAGGGGTCTTCTTGTGTGTGTATGGTGAGAGATAGGGGTCTAGTTTCATTCTTCTGCATATAGACATCCAGTTTTCCCAGCACCATTTATTAACGAGGGTATCCATTCCCCATGTATGTTCTCGGTGCCTTTGTCAAAAATCAGTTGGCTGCAAATACGTGGATTTATTTCGGGGTTCTCTATTCTGTTCTATTGGTCCATGTGTGCCTATTTTATACTAGTACCATGCTGTGTTGGTTACGGTAGCCTTGTAATACATTTTGAAGCCAAGTAGTGTGATGCCTCCAGCATCGTTCCTTTTGCTCAAGAGTGCTTTGGTATTCAGGCACTTTTTGGGTTCCACATAAATTTTAGTATTGTTTTTTATTTTCTGTGAAAAATGATGTTGGTATTTTGATGGTGATTGCATTGACTCTGTAGATTGCTTTGGGTAGTATAGTCATTTTAACAATATTAATTATTCTAATATGTGAGCATGGGATGTCTTTCCATTTGTGTCCTCTTCAATATCTTTCATCAGTGCTTTGTCATTTTCCTTGTAGAGGTCTTTCACCCCCCTTGGTTAAATTTATTCCTAGGCGTTTTTTTTTTTTTTTGGCCGTTGCAGATGAGATTGTCTTCTTGTTTTTTTCAGCTATTTCATTACTGGTGTATAGAAATGCTACTAATTTTTTCATATTGATTTTGTATTCTGCAGCTTTACTGAATTTGCTTATAAGATCTAAGAGTGTTTTGGTGGAGTCATCATGTTCTTCTAAATGTAAGATCATGTCATTTGCAAAGAGGAACAATTGGACTTCCTCTTTTCCAATTTGGATGTAGTTTTCTTTTTCTTTCTTTCTCTTGCCTGATTGCCCTGGCTACAACTCCCAGTACTATGTTGAATATGAATGGTGAGAGTGGGCATCCTTGTCTTATTCCAGTTCTTAGAGGAAAGGCTTTTAGCTTTCCCTCATTCAGTGTGATGTTAGCTGTGAGACTGTCATATATGACCTTTATTATGTTGAGATATTTTCCTTCTTTGCATAGTTTGTTGAGAGTTTTTTTTTTTTATCATGAGGCAGTGTTGATTTTATCAAATGCTTTTTCTGCATCTATGAGATGATATGGTTTTTGGCTTCATTCTCCTGATGTGATGTATTGTGTTTCTTGGTTTATGTATACTGAACTACCCTTGTATGGGATGCAATCTCACTTGATCCTGTTACATTATCTTTTAGTTAATTTTATTATTTTAATTTTTTTAGAGACAGGATCTTGCTCTTTTGCCCAGGTTAGAGTGCAGTGGCATGATCATAGTTCACTGTAACCTTGAAATCCTGGGCTTAAGCAATCCTCCCACCTCAACCTCCTGAGTAGCTAGGACTATAGGTGTGTACCAAAATTTTTTAAAATTTTGTTTTGTAAAGACAGAGTCTCACTATGTTGCCTAGGCTGGTCTTGAAGTCTTGGCCTCAAGCGATCCTCTCACCCCAGCTTGGATTACAGGCATGAGCCACCATGGCCAGCTTGTATTATCTTTTTGATGTGCTATTGATTTCAATTTGCGGTAGTTCGTTGAGTATTTTTGCCTCTGTTTTCATCAGGAATATTGGCCTGTGGTTTTCTTTTTATGTCATGTTCTTGTTTGGTTTTGGTATCGGGTTAATGCTGGCCATGAGCAATGAGTTGGGGAGAATTCTATTCAATTTTTTGGAATAGTTGGAGAAGAATTGGTGTTGGTTCTTCTCTATAAGCTTGGTAGAATTCAGCAGTGAAGCCATCTGGTCCTGGGCATTATTTTGTTAGGAGACTTTTTATTACTCATTCAATCTTGTTACTGATTATTATTGATTATTGATCTGTTCAGGTTTTCTAGTTCTTCCTGATTCAGTCTTTATAGGTTGTATGTGTCCAGGAATTTATCCTTTTCCCCTAGGTTTTCCAGTTTGTTAGTGTATAGTCATTCCTAATATTCTCTGATGATCTTTTGTATTTCTGTGGTATCATTTATATTTCCTTTTTTTTGTTTCTGACTTTGTTAAACTGAACTTTAAGAATCCTAGTCTCCTCTCCTTTGTCCCACTTTTTATTTACCAAATAAATCAATCATTCCCCCATATCCTACTTCACAACTCTCAGGGAGTGCCCTATTGTAGAGTATCAAATCCACGTCATGTTTCCAGTAAAAAAAAAAAAAAAAAAAAAAAAATCATTTAAAATCAGTTTGTTGAAACCTTTTCTAAGTCTGCAGCATTCACTTGTCTACGGCACAGATGGCCCCAACTCACATCAGCCTCAACAGATTTATTTACTGTCCCCCTCCCCCAAGTGCCAGACAGATAAACCTCAAAGGACATGGGACTACTGACCTTTTAAATGGATAGCATTTTAAAAGGATTCTGAGTTATCCACTTACTCTACATCAAATAAATATGCTGCCTTCATCCTAACTCCTGATGGATACAAGGAAATGAGTAAAAGAAAAAAAATCTTTGCCCACAGCCAAGAAAGAAGAGAAAATGTCCAAGATCTTTTATCTAAAGGGAGTGAATCTGACTTTTTGGTTCACTTTGGAGATTGCTAAAAGATACTAAAGGAAGAAATTAACAACTAATTGTCCCTCAGGAGAAAGGTAAAAAAGCATGAAAGAATCTAGGGCAAATCTTTGTAAAGAAGTATAGGAGAAATTGGGCATTTTGGATAATTAGCTTGAGATTATACTCCTACTATGAGCTTTCAGACTTTTCACATGAATAATTCCCATCTTGGTAGGGCATCAAATCTATCACTAGAATATATAATCTTGATAAGTAGCAATGTTTGATTGTATTGAAAACTCTTTGCTTAGAAGCATCAATCAACTGGCTTTTCAAAGGCATGGCCAATGGTACACAAGTTCAAACTTGAACTCAGAATGTCCTGAGTGCATACACTAAGCCCAGCCTTGCTCTTTGCTTATTAGACTTTTTTCATCTGGAGGAGCCAACTACTACATTGTTACTTCTTCTTCCTTGTGTTCCTGTCCCCACCCTGGAGCCCCAGGAGTTATTTGATCTATTGATCATAGTTTGTTGATTATGTGCTTTCATATCTGTCTATTTCCAAAGTAACATTGATAACAAAATACGTAATGGAGCTTATATGTTGTAGGTACTTTGATCAGTGAAATGGATTAAGGCCTGATTTTTGGATCAGGTACTTTGATCAGTGAAATGGATTAAGGTCTACTTTTCCTTAATTTATGAGGACATTCTGGGATCCTCTGAAATATCCACAAAACAGTCTGGTAGCTTCTTTTGAGCGCCACACTCTCCAGCATTTCCAGTAGTTACCATGGTCACAGGTGGAAAGAGGTTAAAACATCTTATATCATTCTGTTGTGATACTTTCTAGCATATAAACTCTTTCTCCACAGAGACATCATCAGCATTTATTTGGTCTAAGAAGACAGAACGGAAATTCCTATGCTAGTTTAAAAAAATCATTTGAAAAGTTAAACTGCTCTACAGCAATGAGAATAAGAAATTATAGTTCCTCCACAATAACATATGTGAATCTCAAAACATAATTTGAAAGAAGCCAAACCGCAAACAATATATACAATATGATTCCACTTATTTAAAGTTTAGATACAGGTGATGCAAATATATAGTGTTAGAAGTCTGCAGAGTGGTCACTCTTGAGGGGGAGGTGAGTAAATGGAATGGGGCATGGAGGGGGATTCTGGGAAGCTTGTTAAATTGTTTCTTGATCTGGGTTATAATTAAGTGGGATTTACTTGGTGGCAATTCAACCCTATGCTTATTATTACTTTTCTGCGTATATGTTACATTTCAACAAAAATTCACTAACATAATATAACTAAAGGAAATTTTAGTTTACTAAAAATATTTTGAATGTTCTATACAAAAAGTGATACATTAATAAATCATAGATAAAAATAAAAAGGTTTTAACAAGTTAAATGGGAAGCTATCGTACCCAAAAAGTAAGACAATTAGGATAATAGGAAAAAGACTGGGAAATAATACAGTGAGGACTACAGTTTGGAAATGCAATCTATTTTATAAGCGAGGAAAATAAATTCCATGCAGAAATTTAAGAGAAAGAATAATTCCAAACTGTATAGAATTTGATCAAACATCAAACCACTTCATTTTACAGACTGAGAGACAGAGAAAAGCTGTTTGTTCAAGCTCACAGAGCTGGTCACTGGAAACTATAACCCAAGGCTCCTCAGGCCTCTCTCCCTCTTTGTACAAGATGAGGACAACAGTTGAGCTCCATATCACAATACGACTTTTCAACACGACGACAGATCTGATAACATGGAAGGTTGGAGTGCAGGTGGATGGCTGCTGCTGTGTACCTTTTCAGATTCCAGCGCTCCAGACTTTGGGGATGTTCCAGGAGTGACTTTCCCAAGACTGTAATGAGTTATGAGAAGGCATGGGAAAGCAATGTCAGCTCCTGCTGAAACTTCAATGGCAGAGACTGAGTCAATCGAAGAATAGCAACACTTGAACATCTGGAAACACCAGATCCCAAGAATGAGTTAGCCTCATTTTAAATATAAAGAAATTTCCAGAGTTGACTAGAGTTGGCTACGAGGAATAATTTTAAAGATTAAATGTCAGGGGGCAGACCTCGTACACGTCTGTGAATACTGTATACTTCTGAATAGGCCAAAGCTCCCTCTCAGAAGTCTCCCACGGGAGAAAAAAAATGAAATAAATATAAGAAGCCATTCCATTTCCTTTGTTCCCCAAGCAATAACTGACACTAGGGAATTCAAATAGATGAGGTTAAGTAAAGAGAGGAGTTAGCAGTAGGAGACTTAAGTCATATGGCAGAAGAATTAATTTAGAAGGCAGAATCAACAGAGATGAGGTGACAAATGGGAACAAAGTAAAATAAGAAGTCCAACTCAATGGAAAGGATGCCTCCAGCCAATCAGTAGAAGGGCACTGCTTTCATAATTGTGTTTTGGTTTTCACCAAGTATCAGGGAATCACTCGACCAAAGGTGGGAACTTAGAACAACCATGAGATGGTAATGGCAGAGAAGAAAACCTTGGCAACAATGGTGATACAACTGAGAAAAGCAAAGGCCTCCATTCCCATCTATTTTTTGAGATTCTTATTTATTTATTTATTTATTTATTTATTTATTTATTATACTTTAAGTTTTAGGGTACATGTGCACAATGTGCAGGTTAGTTACATATGTATACATGTGCCATGCTGGTGCGCTGCACCCACTAACTCGTCATCTAGCATTAGGTATATCTCCCAATGCTATCCCTCCCCCCTCCCCCCACCCCACAACAGTCCCCAGAGTGTGATGTTCCCCTTCCTGTGTCCATGTGTTCTCATTGTTCAATTCCCACCTATGAGTGAGAATATGTGGTGTTTGGTTTTTTGTTCTTGCGATAGAGATTCTTTTTTAAGAAAGAGATTTAAGACCCATGCATTGTTCATTTCACAGGTTCTATTTTGCATTACAACACAGGCAGTAATCCCAGGCCCTGTGTAGAATAATGTCTTCCTAGTGTTCCCCTTGAGAACCTACATTTGCTGCTAATGTGGGGCTGCATGTGATGACAGCCTGCTAGTTTCCTGCTGGTGGACTAATGGCTGCAACTAAGCACTCCTTTCAAACTGTGCTCAAACCCTTGATGTGGAGATCTCTTCCTTTGAAAGCTTGTCACAATTCAAGGACTGTGGAGATTAAGAGCCCATTTAAGGATTCAGCCACAAAAGCTGAAAATTATGTACTTTTAAGGACATCAGACATCTGGCAATGAATGTACAAAATGGTTGTAGGTTGGTGTTTGGGTAGAATCTCTCGAGGCTGGGAGACCAGGACCTGAGGATGTGTGGGTCTCTCTCACAGCCCAAAGTCCTTGAGGGAGTGGGCCAAGTGCTTGGGTAGATCACAGCTTGGAAGTGTCAATAGTCTTTTATATAAATCATGGGAATTCCTAGAAGTTCTGCCTGCTAGTAGGTACATGATTCATTACATAGAATTATACATCCTTGATAAGCTGCAAGGTAGAGTGCCCTCCAAAAATGTCCTAGTCAAATAATTGGCCAATTTTTTGATCCTTCTTCAGGTCATCTGACATGGTTACCCTATCCTAATGCAGCCCCTGGAGTCCTGGGGTACAGAGTGAGGTGTTTTTGCTTTGTCATCAGCAGCTTCCCAAAGAGTGGAAGAGTGCTCCACTCTTGAGTGCTCAGACTGCAGTTATCATGCCCCTATAAAGTTCTAGAACCGAAATAATTCCTGTAATTATCTGGCAAAACTCTACAACAGTGACATATACATGTGTGTGTATGCACAAATACATGTGGTATAAATCTATCAATTAGATTATTGTGATCTGCAAAATACCAACCAAAGTATATAACACGAGGCTGCTTCTTCCAAAACTCACCTCTCTTGGACAGACATCCTCTGTAAACAACATTAAAAGAGAGAAACACGCCACCTGGAAACCATGCTTCATCCTTCCCTTATCAGTGTAGCCTTAAACCAAAACATTGTCTTATCTGGCCTGTTTCCCAACCTTCTGTCCACCCACTGTGTGGTTCCATCACTCTGGGAATGTCCCTTTTGCATGCATTTGGCTTTCACTGGGAGTCTCACTTCAAGGATGCCAGCTTCTCATCTCCCCAAACCCTTCCCCAATAACAAGAATATCGAGGTTAGGTAGACAAGTGAAGGGATAAAGGTGAGAGCCTGCTATAAAGATATTTAACTGATGAAGCCCATATCAGTGTGGCTAAATGTAGCCATATACCAAAATTCAATTTGTATATGTCTACATAGCTAGGATACCTGGCAAGGATCTGAAATATCAGTCTGTGACTTACGTGTCAGT
This sequence comes from Homo sapiens, assembly GCF_000001405.40. NCBI lineage: Eukaryota > Metazoa > Chordata > Mammalia > Primates > Hominidae > Homo > Homo sapiens. The sequence continues at coordinate 22,444,811 of NC_000023.11, read as the reverse complement.
AAAACTACCCTGGAGAAACTGTACCAACTAAGTTCATATAGTCCTGAATTAAATTTTTTCCAATCCAAAAAGAACAATACACAATGTTCAAGACACTAAACATGAGTGCTTTGTTTTCCTACTTTTTATCATTTATCATGAATAAAACTCACATTAAAAAAAAACTCTCTTCACACAGACTCATCCAGAGAAGTGCCCACGTATGCCCTTCCTTCCAGTCCAGTTCTCTCTTCATCACCAGATGTTCTTGATGCTCCCTTCACAGGCATCTCCAACCCCGGCGTTAGTAGTCTCTGCTGTGAAATTTTATGAAGGCCTTTTGAAAAGTTAGCAGCCAAGGATCTAGTTGTATGATTTGGGCAAGCAACTTAAACGCTGTTGTCCTCAGTTTCCCAATCAGTTAAGGAGGGACCTAGGGCAAATTGTTATCAAAGTTTCTTCAAGTTTTGAAAAAAAAAAAATCGAAGATGTTAGAAGAAAGGAGGGAGATGTTAGAAGAAAGGAGGGAGAAAGAAAGAGAGAGAAATAATTAGCTTATCTATCTTGGGAGCTACAAGCTTCTTCCCCCTTAATATTTTTCCAAATTCCCTAAGCTTCTCTCTGTCATCAAAAGACCAAAGCCTTCCTGTTTCTCTAGCAAAACATATAATCAAGAATTTATTATTTTTATTTTTTTAATTTTATTTTTCCAGAAGTTATTGGGATTCAGGAGGTATCTGGTTACATGAATAAGTTCTTTAGTGGTGATTTGTGAGAGTTTGGGGCACCCATCACCTGAGCTGTATACGCTACACCATATTTGTTGTCTTTTACCCCTCCCACTCTTCCCCCTACGTCCCCGAAGTCCATTGTATCATTCTTATGCCTTTGCAGCGTCCTCATAGCTTAGCTCCCACATATCAGTGAGAACATAGGATGTTTGATTTTCCATTCCTGAGTTCCTTCACTTAGAATAATAGTCTCCAGTCTCATCCAGGTCACTGCAAATGCTGTTAATGCATTCCTTTTTATGGCTGCATAGTATTCCACCATGTATATACACCACAGTTTTTTAATCCACTCATTGATTGATGGGCATTTGGGCTGGTTCCATGATTTTGCAATTGTGAATTGTGCTGCTATAAACATGCGTGTGCAAGTATCTTTTTCAAATAATGACTTCTTTTCTGCTAGGTAGATACCCAGTAGAGGCATTGCTGAATCAAATGGTAGTTCTACTTTTAGTTCTTTAAGGAATCTCCACACTGTTTTCCATAGTGGTTGTACTAGTTTACATTCCCCCCAGCAACGTAGAAGTGTTCCGTGATTGTTGCATCCATGCCAACGTCTACTGTTATGGGATTTTTTTTTTTATGGCCATTCTTGAAGGAGTAAGGTGGCATCATATTGTAGTTTTGATTTGCATTTCCCTGATCATTAGTGATGTTGAGCATTTTTTCATATGTTTGTTGACCATTTATATATCTTCTTTTCAGAATTCTGTATTCATGTCCGTAGCCCACTTTGTGATGGGACTATTTGATTTTTTCTTACTGATTTGTTTGTGTTCATTGTAGATTCTGGATATTAGTCCTCTGTCAGGTGTATAGATTGTGAAGATTTTCTCCCACTCTGTGGGTTGTATGTTTACTCTGCTGACTGTTCCTTTTGCCATGCAAAAGCTCTTTAGTTTAATTAGGTCCCAGATATTTATCTTTGTTTTTATTGCATTTGCTTTGGGTTCTTGGTCATGAAATCCTTGCCTAAGCCAATGTCTAGAAGGGTTTTTCCAATGTTATCTTCTAGAATTTTTATAGTTTCAGGTCTTAGGTTTAAGTCCTTAATTCACCTTGAGTTAAATTTGTATAAAGTGAGAGATGAGGATCCAGTTTCATTCTCCTACATGGGGCTAGCCAATTATCTCAGCACCATTTGTTGAAAAGGGTATCCTTTCCCCACTTTATATTTTTGTTTGCTTTGTCAAAGGTCAACTGGCTGTAAGTATTTGGGTTTATTTCTGCATTCTCTATTCTGTTCCATTGGTCTATGTGCCTTTTTTTTTTTTATGCCAGTCACATGCTGTTTTGGTGACTATGGCCTTATAGTATAGTTTGAAATCAGTAGTGTGATGCCTCTAGATTTGTTCTTTTTGTTTAGTCTTGCTTTGGCTATGTGGGCTCTTTTATGATTCCATATGCATTTTAGAATTTTTTTTTCTAATTCTGTGAAGAATGATGGTGGTATTCTGATGGGGATTCCATTGAATTTGTAGATTGCTTTTGGCAGTATGGTCATTTTCACAATATTGATCCTACCCATCCACGAGCGTGGGATGTGTTTCCATTTGTTTGTGTCATCTATGATTTCTTTCAGCAGTGTTTTGTAGTTTTCCTTGTAGAGGTCTTTCAACTCCTTTGTTAGGTATATTACTGAGTATTTTTTTTTTTTTTGCAGCTATTGTGAAATGGATTGATTTCTTGATTGGATTCTCCACTTGGTCACTGTTAGTGTACAGAAGAGCTACTGATTGTGTACATTAATCTTGTATCCGGAGACTTTGCTGAATTCTTTTATTAGTTCTAAGAGCTTTCTAGAGGAGTCTTTAGGGTTTTCAAGATAAATGATCATATTGTCAGCAAACAGTGCCAGTTTGACTTCCTCTTTACTGATTTGGATGCCCTTTATTTCTTTATCTTGTCTGATTGCTCTGGCTAGGACTTCCAGTACTATGTTAAAGAGGAGTGGTGAGAGTGGGCATCCTTGTGTTTTTCCATTTCTCAGAGGGAATGCTTTCAACTTTTCCCCATTCAGTATTATGTTGGCTGTGGGCTTGTCATAGATGGCTTTTATTACATTAAGGTATGTCCCTTGTATGTGGGTTTTGCTGAGAGTTTTAATCATAAAGTGATGCTGGATTTTGTCTAACGCTTTTTCTGCATCTATTGAAATGATCATGTGATTTTTGTTTTTAATTCTGTTTATGTGGTGTATCACATTATTGATTTGCGTGTGTTAAACCATCCCTGCATCCCTGATATTTATCTTTTTGATATGTTGTTGGATTTGGTTAGCTACTATTTTGTTAAGGATTTTACCATCTATGTTGATCAAGGATATCGGTCTGTAGTTTTCTTTTTGGTTATGTCCTTTCCTGGTTTTGGTATTAGGGTGATGCTAGCTTCATAGAATGAATTAGGGAGGGTTCCTTCTTTCTCTGTCTTGTGGAATAGTGTCAAGAGGATTGGTACCAATTCTTCTTTGAATGTCTGGTAGAATTCTGCTGTGAATCCGTCTGGTCCTGGGCTTTTTTTTTTGTTGGTAGTTTTTTTTTTTTAATTAGCCAACTGATATATTTAAGGACAAAATTACATGAATACAATAATTGTTCATTATTTGATCTTTAAATTTAAAATTTTACATATTCTTTTTTTAAATTTTATTATTATACTTTAAGTTTTAGGGTACATGTGCACAATGTGCAGGTTTGTTACATATGTACACATGTGCCATGTTGGTGTGCTGCACCCATTAACTCGTCATTTAGCATTAGGTATATGTCCTAATGCTATCCCTCCCCCCTCCCCCGACCCCACAACAGTCCCTGGTGTGTGATGTTCCCCTTCCTGTGTCCATGTGTTCTCATTGTTCCGTTCCCACCTATGAGTGAGAACATGTGGTGTTTGGTTTTTTGTCCTTGCGATAGTTTGCTGAGAATGATGGTTTCCAGCTTCATCCATGTCCCTACAAAGGACATGAACTCATCGTTTTTTATGGCTGCATAGTATTCCATGGTGTATATGTGCCACATTTTCTTAATCCAGTCTGTCATTGTTGGACATTTGGGTTGGTTCCAAGTCTTTGCTATTATGAATAGTGCTGCAATAAACTTATGTGTGCATGTGTTTTAATTGCCATTTCAATCTTGCTGTTTGTTATTGGTCTGTTCAGGGTATCTAATTCTTCCTGATTTAAGCTAGGAGGGTTGTATTTTTCCAGGAATTTATCCACCTCTTCTAGATTTTCTAGTTTATGTGAGTAAAGGTGTTCATAGTAGCCTTGAATGATCTTTTGTATTTCAGTGGTGTCAGTTGTAATATCTCCTGTTTCATTTCTTAGTGAGGTTATTTGGATTTTCTCTCTTCTTTTCTCAGTTAATCTTGCTAATGGTCTATCAATTTTATTTACCTTTTCAAATAACCAGCTTTTTGTTTCATTTATTGTTTGTATTTTTTTTTTGTTTCAATTTCATTCAGTTCTGCTCTAATCTTGGTTATTTCCTTTCTTCTGCTGGGTTTGGGTTTGGTCTTTTCTTGTTTCTCTAGTTCTTTAAGTTCTCTAGTTCTCTAGCCTTAGATTGTCTGTTTGTGCTCTTTCAGACTTTTTGATGTAGGCATTTAGGGCTATGAACTTTCCTTTTAGCACCACCTTTTCTGTATCGCAGAGGTTTTGATAGGTTGTGTCATTTTTGTCATTCAGTTCGAATAATTTTTAAATTTCCATCTTGATTTCGTTTTTGACCCAATGCTCATTCAGGAGCAGATTATTTAATTTCCATGTATTTGCATGGTTTTGAAGGTTCGTTTTGAAGTTGATTTCCGGTTTTTTTTCACTGTGGTCTGAGAGAGTGCTTGTTATAATTTCAGTTTTCTTAAATTTACTGAGGCTCATTTTATGGCCCATCATATGCTGTGTCTTGGAGAACGTTCCATGCACTGTTGAATAGAATGTGTATTCTGTGGTTGTTGGATGAAATATTCTGTATATACCTGTTAAGTCCATTTGTTCCAAGGTATAGTTTAAATCCATTGTTTCTTTGTTGACTGTCTGTCTTGATGACCTGTCTAGTGCTGTCAGTGGAGTATTAAAGCCCACCACTATTATTGTGTTGCTATCTATCTCATTTCTTAGGTCTATTAGTAATTGTTTTATAACTTTGGGAGCTCTGATGTTAGGTGCATATATGTTTAGGATTATGATATTTTCCTGTTGGACAAGGCCTTTTACCATTATATACTGTCCCTCTTTGTCTCTTTTAACCACTATTGCTTTAAAGTTTGGTGTGTTGTTTTTTTTTTTTTGAATATTTCAGAAATATTTTATTAGAAAAGTAATGTACATTCATTGTAACATCAGCTTTTATTTCTGTGTACTGTATGAGCTTCCCAAAACCTTTCTCCAAAGTTAACCATTTAAAACTCATTCATGTATTTTATTATGCATCCTACAACAAAGACTAAGAAGTAGGCAAGAATGACTATAAAACACAGCCTAATTACAGAAAAGTTAATCTATTTTTACATGAAAACATTTTGATACCAATTTTGTGTTTATTGAAAGATTTTTCTCATGCATATTATCCGAGATTTTTTTCTGTCAGAGTATTAGTTGCCTAGGATTGCTATAACAAATTACCACAAACTGGATACCTTAAAACAGCAGAAATATATTCTCTCACCATTCTGGAGGCTAGAAGTGCAAAATCACGTTAGCAGGGTTGGCAACTTCTGGAACTCTGAGGGAGAATCTGTTCCATGCATTTTTCCTGTCTTCTGATGGTTGCCATGATGTATCACCCCAATCTGTGCTCCAGCTTCATGTGGCATTCTCTCCTGTGTCTCTATCTTCTCTTCTTTTTATTTTCCTTTTTTTTTTTTTTTTTTTTTTTCAGACAGAGTCTCGCTCTGTTGCTCAGACTGGAGTGCAGTGGCGCCATCTCAGGTCACTGCAACTTCCACCTCCCGGGTTCTAGTGATTCTTGTGCCTCAGCCTCCTGGGTAGCTGAGATTACAGGCACACACCACCATGCCTGGCTAATTTTTTGTATTTTTGGTAGAGATGAGTTTTCGCCATATTGGCCAGGCTGGTCTTGAACTCCTGTACCTGAAGCTATTCACCCGGCTTGGCCTCCCAAAGTGCTGGGATTACAGGTGTGAGCCACCACACCAGCCCTATCTTCTCTTACAAGGAACACCAGTCATGTTGGATTAAGGGCCTGCCCTACTCCAGTATGACCTCATCTTAGCTACTTACAACCCCAATGACGGTATTTCCAAATAAGGTCACATTCTCGGACTCTAGGAAGTACATGAATTTTGAGGGGACACTGTTCAACCCAGAGCATTCAGTTTCTATTTAACATAAAAAATAATTCCCATACTATAAAGGATGAAAAAATGACTTACGAAATAGGTGAATGGTTGTTGAATATACAAATGTGATCTTTTATTTTCCAATTACGTACAGGGATAAGAATTTTTGGGGAATATGTCTCATTCACAAATATGTGTTGCAGGCAAAGAGAACTTTATACATTCTTCAAGTAGGATTCAGAGAATTAACCTAGTTGCATTCTCTTGTTTCTATTTGAAGCATATTGTTCTCCAGATTTTTTTTTTTCTAATTCTGATTTCCCTGTAGGATTGTTCAGATTTAAATAAAGCCTGTAAAGCAGAAGTAGTAAACAAGCCTGGGTACTAAAGTTAAATATTACAGAGGTAGATAAAATAAGTCTGAGGTAAATTCATGTATTTAATTCTTATCTATTTTGCCCATACAGTTATGCTGATATTTCATTCACTTGGATCCACCAACTTAAAATTTGTAACCATAATGGAGAACCTTTTTTCTGTATTTGAAAAATGTTTACTGAGCAAATCAATGGTATAAATATGATTTCAAGGATATCTATTTAAGAGAATATTTATTTATGTGTACCGTTAATCAACATGTCCCCTTCCATACCCCAAGTGCCCTTTGACTAATTATCTCCAACTCATCCTTCAGGTCACAATTCAAGTATTATGTTCTCATACCTGGTTTCTGACAACAGATAAAATCCTTACTAGATGCTCTTACAGTACCAAGTACGACTTGTTTGTAGTATTTGCCACTATGTCCATTTTATATTGATTTTTGTGATTATAATTAACATAATTTTCCTCTACTAAACTCTATAGGACATGTACTGTGGGCCATGTATATTGTACTTACCTTTGCTTTTCTAATGACAAGTTCAGTACTTGCTTGATTTTACCTTTTTACTTTGCTTTCAGTTATTGATGAATAACTGAATAAATTAGAAGTACATATTACATATAAAAAGTTGACATGTGAATTATGAATCAATCTCATCAATTTGTTAAAGAATCTTCTACCAAGTACTCTTTTCTTGAATAAACTTTTACCCTTATTACAGTTACCATATCTTTGTAACACCGTTAAGGGAGCATTGATTTTACTATATTAAATAGTTTTCTATTTCGAATAGACTTGGCTGAATTATTTTGATTAGCTCAATTAAAACATATAAGATTCTAATAAAAGACTTTATTATGTACTAAAGGCATTGTGAGCTATTATTAAATAAATTGACATGAAATATAAGTTTTGTCAAACAATTCGCTGTAAGGATTTTACATTTTTACTTTGCTATATATGAACAAAATGGCCCATATCGTACTGAAAAATCTCTTTGAAATAATAGACTATAATTTGAAAAATGAAATTTTATCAGTATAACACGTAAACTAATATTTTAAAATTTAAAATTTGTAAAAAGCCTACATTTGACAAAGCTATAGTAATTATTCACAAGTAGGGACGTTAAAATTCATCCATAATCATCATCATTTGAGCCAGAGAAAGACTGTTGCAAATATCTAAGTTCAAAATTTAGGACATGCAGGTATGATTTGACAGCTTGGGTTTACATATTTAGATAAACACAACATAGTATTATTTAAATAAAATTTCCTGGCCAGAGGAAGGACTGCATTTCAAGAGTCCAATGTAAAGATTAACACATTTTTCCAGTCTTGAGATGCTGCTGCTCCCTGAGTGGAACTTTCATGGTAATATTTCCTACAGTTTCTTTTTGAGGGGAAAAAAATGCTAAATGCTATCACTTTTCAGACTGTCCCACACTTAAACCTATATCAAGGTGTTCAGGAACATAACACGAGTGAAGGTTAGAGAAATTGTGAGAAAAAAATTTGAAGAATAAGATGATGGTGACTTATAATTTGATAGCTCCTCTAAGCTTGGCTGAGCACCCTCTAGGGTTATCTTGTACATCCTGATCTTGTGGACTAAGTACCTTCTTGTGTATCAATTCTCACATTAAAGGAGCTCTTCTCATAGAGACTTCTTCCGTGTTTTCGTGATCTGAACCCAGTTGCAGTGTTTTCATCACTTGCTGTCTAACACTTAGGTTAAACCTTTCTGTCGTGCTTATTCTAAGCAAACATCTTTTGACGATGCAATCCTGTAGTGAATGGAAGGAGAGGGCAACAAGGCAACCACCAGGTCTCAGAAACTTCTGAGCTGTCTTCAGTCCTGTGTAGAGTTCATTGAGCTCATTGTTCACAAATATGCAAAGAGCCTGGAAAGTCTTGGTGGCAATATGAGTAGATCATTGTAGCAAGTCTTTTCGTGCATAAATAGCAGAGGGAGGAAATGCTCCTGTGATGATGCTGGCAAGCTGCTTGGTTCTGGTGATGGGGTAGATGCTGTGTGCTGAAGCGATTTTCTTGGCATGCTTCTCTTCCCCATATGTTCTTAGGATAGATGCAAGTACCTGTTGATCTAAAGCATTCACAACATTAGCAGCAGTGGGCATGTCAGGGTACCTGCCACCATCCATCATCATGATCCTCATGTCTAAGGGGCCATCTTTCTGAAGAGAAAACCCTCTTTCGGGAGTATCAAGTTGTATGGAGGAACACCCAAGATCCATAAGAACTCCGTCAGTAGTCCCTGGCTGCACTCCAGCCTTCATTAATAAGGCTTCAGCCTGGCTGAACTAGCCCAGCATAGCTCGGATTTGTTTAGGATACAGCTCTGAAAGATGTTCAGCTAATGCAGAAGCTGTTGCGTCTCTGTCCAAGGCATACAGAACAACATCTGACTCCTTCTGTAGAATAGCTTTTGTGTGCCCTCCTGAACCAAATATCATATCTAGAAAAACCTGTCCTTTTTGTGGTGACAAACAATGAACAACTTCATCCACCATTGCTGGAATATGTAATTTACCAATAGTTTCAAAATCTCTATCTTGAGATCTGTTTAACTCCTGGGCTTGAGTTTGATCTGTTTGCTCCTGGGCTTCATATTCTTTATATTTTTCTGCTGTAGTATGTATTCTTTTTGGCCAGACACCTAAATTAGGTATGCCAGATTCCAAACAACATGAAAGACATTCTTTATACATTCTACAAAAATATGGATATTGAAGCATTCTGTAGGTCAACAAATCTAAGGCACGAAGACTTCTCAGTTGGCCTCTAACTTGGGCCAGCGACTACCACTACGGTGCCGGAGAACCTGAATTTGCCCACTTTAAAGTTTGTTTTGTCTGATATAAGAATAGCTACCCCTGCTTCCTTTTGGCGTCCATTTGCATGAAATCCCTTTTTCTACCCCTTTACTTTAAGTTTATGTGAGTCCTTATGTGTTGGGCGAGTCTCCTGAGGCAGCAGATGGTTGGTGAGTTCTTATCTATTCTGCAGTTCTGTATCTTTTAAATGGAGCATTTAGGCCATTTACATTCAATGATGCTATTGAAATGTGAAGTACCATTGCTTTCGTTGTGTTCTTTGTTGCCTGTGTACTTTGGTTTTTTGTTTGTTTTTTGTTTTTGCTTTTATATTTTTGTTGTATAGGTCCTGTGTGATTTATGCTTTAAAGAGGTTCTGTCTTGATGTGTTTCCAGGATTTGTTTCAAGACTTAGGACTCCTTTTAGCAGTGCTTGTAGTGGTGGTTTGGTAATGGTGAATTCTCTCAGCATTTGTTTGTCTGAAAACGACTGTATCTTTCCTTCATATATGTTTCTTAGTTTCACTGGATACAAAATTTTTGGCTGATACTTGTTTTGTTTGAGGAAGCTGAAAATAGGTCCCCAATCCCTTCTAGCTTGTAGGGTTTCTGCTGTGAAATCTGCTGTTAATCTGATAGGATTTCCTTTATAGGTTACATGGTTCTTCTGTCTCACAGCTCTTAAGATTCTTTCCTTCGTCTTAAATTTGGATAACCTGAAGACAGTGTGCCTAGGCGAAGATCTTTTTGTGATGAAGTTCCCAGATCTTCTTTGTGCTTCTTGTATTTGGGTGTCTAGGTCTCTTGCAAGGCCAGGGAAGTTTTCCTTGATTATTCCCCCAAATAGGTTTTTCAGGCTTTCAGAATTCTCTTCTTTCTCAGGTACATCAATTATTCTTAGGTTTGGTCATTTAACATAATCCCAGGCTTCTTGGAGGTTTTGTTCATATTTTCTTACTCTTTTTTCTTTGTTGGATTGGGTTAATTAGAAGATCTTGTCTTCGAGCTCTGAATTTATTTGTTCTCTTGTTCAGTTCTATTGCTGAGACTTTCCAGAGCATTTCGCATTTCTAAAAGTGTGTCAAAAGTTTCCTGAGTTTTTTATTGTTTTTTTCTTTAAGCTGTCTATTTCCATGAATATTTCTCCCTTCACTTTTGTATCATTTTTTGGATTTCCTTGCTTTGGGCTTCACCTTTCTCTGTTCCCTCCCTGATTAGCTTAATAACTAACCTCCTGAATTCTTTCTGGAATTCAGGAACCATGTTTTCTGGCTCCTTCTCATTTGGGTAGGCTCTGTCAGAGGGAAGGTCTAGGGCTGAAGGTTGTTGTTCAGATTCTTTTGTCCCACAGGGTGTTCCCTTGATGTAGTACTCTCCCTCTTTTCCTATAGATGTGGCTTCCTGTGAACCGAACTGCAGTGATTGTTGTCTCTCTTCTGGGTCTAGCCACCCAGCAAGTCTACCTGGCTCTGGGCTGGTACTGGGGGTTGTCCACACAGAGTCCTGTGATGTGAACCGTCTATGGATCTCTCAGCCACGGATACCAGCACCTGCTCCAGTGGAGGTGGCAGAGGGTGCAATGGACTCTGCAAGGTTCCTTAGCTTTAGTGGTTTAACGCTCTATTTTTGTGCTGGTTGGCCTCCTGCCAGGAGGTGACGCTTTCCAGAAAGCATCAGCTGTAGTAGTGTGGAGACGGACCGGCAGTGGGTGGGGCCCTAGAACTCCCAAGATTATGTGCCCTTTGCTTTCTACTACCAGGGTAGATAGGGAAGGAGCATCAGGTGGGGGTGGGGCTAGGTGTGTCTGAGCTCAGACTCTCCTTGGGTGGGTCTTGCTGCGGCTGCTGTGGGGGATAGGGGTGAGATTCCCAAGTCACTGGAGTTGTGTACCTAGGAGGACTATGGCTGCCTCTGCTGAGTCATGCAGGTTGTCAGCGAAGTGGGGGAAAGCCAGCAGTCACAGGCCTCACGCAGCTCCCATGCAAACTGAAGGACCAGTCTCGCTCCCACTGTGCCCCCCACCAACAGCCCCAAGTCTTTTTCCAGGTGGAGGGCAAGATTGACTTGAAAACTTGCCCCAGGCTATGTGCCTCCCAGCTGTGAGAGAAAAGGGCTTTAGTTCTTCCTCTGCCTGTGAAGTCTGCATACCCAATTTGTGCCCTCCCCCAAGTTCTGGCTAGGAGGCTTCTCTCCTCGCTCAAATTGTTACGAAGTTCAGCTAGAGAATTCCTTCTCCCTGTGGAGTTTTACCCCCTGTTCCTCTGGCCACCCTCCCAATGGATCCCTGTGGTGCCAGGCAGGAATGGGCTGCTTGGGGACCCAGCGAGCTCCCAGGGCCTTTCTGCTGCTTCCTCTGCCCTTGTATTTCACTCCTCTCTCTAACTTGACTCAGCTCCAGGTAAAGTTGGAAACTTCTCCTGCAAACAGACCTTCAGCTTCTCTAGTGATTCGGGAGAGGCAGTCTCCCTTTCCCACCTTCACAATTGGGGCACTCACAGTATTTGGGGTGTCTCTCGGGCCCTGCAGGAGCAGTCCGTTTCCTTCAGAGGGTCTGTGGGTTCTCTTGGGATTGCTGGTTTCTTCCTGCAGTGGATCTGGAGCTAAAATTCACAATGCAAGCCTCCGCTTCACAATGTAAGCCTCCGCGTGCTGCTCTATCTGGAGCTGCAATCTAGTCCTGCCTCCCATCTGCTATGATCCCCTGAATCCTCAAGAAAGAATTTAGTATCAATTATTGGCCTACAGTATAAACTCCTTGAGATCAGGGACAACCTTTTTGTTCTCAATATCTAGAACCTAATGTTAATCCTCTCAATTATTCTTAAACTATTGAATGGGATATGATGCCTCTCCTAAGGATCTTTGCAATTAAAACCTTATCTCTAAATAGAATGAAAGATTTAATCTCCTAATAAAGACATTACAAGGGAAGTGGGGCATAGAAGGTATTTTTTGCAGAACATCCTTCCAGTATTCCTGAAAAAAATACCACATTGGTTGACTTTTTTGTCTGAACATGAAGCAGGTTAGAGTGCTGGAAGCAGATATGGCGAGAGGAAGCCATCAATCCTCCTCCCCTGAGAGGTGAGCATTATTCCTACTTGCATAGCAGGAGCCTGGCAGTAAAGAGACGGGCACATTCAAATGGTGTGAGCTTAACAAAGGACTATTAAAAGGAACCCAACAATGGATAATCCAGTACTCTGGGAATAGCGTATAAAGAAGCTGTTACGACTCTTATGCCTGAGAAGGCAAGGGCACAGGCAATCTAACAGGAGTTGTAGCCTTCAGTAGAAGCAGCCAACCGGCAATGACTGGGCAGGGAAGGAGATGAGGGAATAAAAACCCTGATCTCATTCTCCTCTCCTCCTACCTACCTAGCTCTTCCTGGGGCTTCATTGGCCAAAATCAACTAGGGGCTAAAAAGCCAGGGAACCCATAGGAGCAGACAATAAGAATCAACCTGCTAGGACAGAGCAGGATGGGAAAAAAGCAGAAGGTGGACCTGGAGTGGCAGATGGAAAGGATCCAGGCTTCTACTCAAACAGCTTGCTAACAAGCATGACAACTTCCATGCAAGCTTTGGCAGGACAAGCCCAGTTCTGACCCCTGATTCACAAAATCTTGTATTCACCTCTGGTCTCCACGGGTCTGCCCTCATGAGAGTAAGAGCAAGAGTCATCATACCTAGGAGAAAATTGTCAGGGTTTATTGTTCCTTTCAAAGCCACAAAAAAGCATCTCTACTTTGTCCAAGCTTTGCCTGAGGTAGAAGATGTTGTATTTTAAAGCCTTGATTTAAGTGAGAAAGTCTCTCCACTCCCAAAACTGAATGATGTGCATGGCTGATTCCATGGTCCTGCCCACAGCCCAGTCACATCTTAACCCACCTGAAAGTTTCCAAGCTCTTTAAAATGACCACATCTGCCGGGTTCTAGGCCTATAGGCTCCTTTCTGTGAAGACAAAAGAACTTGGCTGTCTTGTAAGATTGGATTCATCTTTTGCAGCAGCAGCATTCTGGTAGAGAACAATAACTTCCCATAGCTTCTTGCAAGTGCAGCTTGCTGGAAAGAAATAGTGTTTCCTCCCGCCCCCCAACCCAGAGGGCTTTAAGAGAAAACCAACTGGAAAGATCTGTTGGAGCCACAAAAGCGGATTCTCTTTCTCCTTCTTTTCTCCTTTATATCTTATTTTACTTTAGCCATAAAACATGCATCGGATTGTAGAAATTAAAGCCCATCTCAGCTTTAATGAGGCCAATTTCTGTGCTGATATAATAGTTGACAGCAATGCAGGCTTGTTTATTCTTCACTGAAATGGATGTCCCACCAAAATTCACAGGAATATACCAAGAATATAATGAAATAAAAGTTTTTAGAAATCCGTTTGAAAAATATACCAGAATAATCAAAGATTCTATATTAGTAAAAGGCCTTAATAGTACCCTTTTGTATATAAATGTAGTCCTCCATGCTTGGGAACCAACTGTCAGAAGACTGTAAGTTTCAAAAGAATGGGTTTAAGATAAGCCAATATGATGTCAAATTTTGTGGAGTCCAGATGGTTCTGTTGAACTTGTCTTTGGCTGCTTGGTTTGTGGGGATTTTTCTTCTGAGAGCTAAATAAACGTGGGTGGTAGAAACATAGCTAGCAACCCAAGAAATACACATGAGTCACTGTAGTAAATGTTTCAGAGTATGTGCCCATCCTGAGCTCCACTTCATCAATCCTCCTCCCTCTGAGAAGTGAGACCCCGAAGCCACGTCGTTGCCGTGTCTCCACCACTTGTTGACCACAGCTAATTGGACCAAAAGTAGACACTTAACTCAGGGAAACCAATTCAGAACCTATATTGGCAGAAAAAAAAAAAAAAAAAAAAAACTCTTTCGCCATTCGGTATTGGGACACAGAAAGGTCAGTAAAACTACCTATAGGCAGTCATCTTATAAACTGATAGAAACTTGACTAAAGGCCACCATTTAGAGGCAGCTATGACATTCCATGCATAAACATGGCAGAAGAATCAGCCTTGAGGAATAATAAAAAAGAAGCCACTAATAGAGATGAGAAGATATAAAAGACCATATACTCCAAAGAGAGATATGAATACAGATAGGAGAGGTCTGCCTTGAATTATGTTGACTTTCCAGGTCCTGTTTCCAGTCCCTACTGAGGCCTGATTGTAGGTATTGCCCTTAAGATCTTGGAGATATCCTTGTATCTATTCAAGAAATATCTCCTTTTGCTTAACCCACTTTGGATTTTACCATCAAAATTATGTGTGGACATAATTAACTCCGGAAAGAGCAAATCAGGCATCTCAGGGCTTTAGCTTCCAGAAGCAGTATCATGTAGGCACAGGGATTCCCAAAAAAGTGTTGAGCCTGGTTCTCTAACATCAGGATGGAGTATGTCAAAGGGAATCTTTCTACAGCATTGAAGGAGACAGGATGATTGGCAGTCCATCCACAGAAGATGGAGTTACATGAGGCAGCTATTAATTCCTTGGCACTGATAGGTGGGTAGGGTATGCTAGGGGCAGGGATTCTTCAAGGGACTTGCTTCCTTACTCTGTTCTTTTTCAACGCTTTACACTCAGCAGAACCCCAAGACGTGTGTTTACATTTTGCTGTCACCCGTAGCATTGCCTGTTTTATGCATCAGCCTGATCTTCATTTTAACCATACCAAGCTTATGATGTTGTTACTGACCCTACCAAATCACACTTGTTTAATTCAGCAAAGATAAAAA
Source organism: Homo sapiens (assembly GCF_000001405.40). Taxonomy (NCBI): domain Eukaryota; kingdom Metazoa; phylum Chordata; class Mammalia; order Primates; family Hominidae; genus Homo; species Homo sapiens. The sequence goes on along the minus strand of NC_000023.11, from coordinate 22,429,768 downwards.
CATTGAAGTTAAATGTAAAGCAGTGCCTTATAAAATATGTAACATTTCCTAAAAAATGACACAATGTACTTTTATTTTTCAAAGCTCTTGCTTGTTGTTGACGTAACATCTCCAGGTAGTGATAAAGTTTGGGTTATGTGCCCTGTTTCAAAAGGCTTTTTACGTATTCTGTTAGTGCTCCCTATAGAAATCCCATGAGTCTGGAACCGCAGGTGCTAATAAACTTATTTAAATGGAAGAAGTGAGGCTCAGTAAGTCAAATGCAGCCACCCAATGTTTTTCAGCTGATATGTGAATGAGTAGGGACACAAATTTGGAAGTTGTAACTCTGAAACCTATACTCTTTCCACTCTAGAAGAAATGTAGAATTCTGCAGAATGTCTAAAATGCAGTCTTTATCGTGGGAACCTATTTAACATGGGTTCTCACTACAGTGTTTCTAGTTAATAAAACATGAGAGTAAGACTATATCTGACTCGTTCATACATTCCTAGCACATAGAAGAATATGGAATATGTGAAAGGTGTGTGACTTGGGGTGGGCTTGCCAGAAACAAACTCTGAAATAAGAATTCATGTGAAAATGGATTATTAGGAGGTGTTCTCAGGAAACCAGTAGGGATCTAGGGAAATGGGACTAGGAAGGGAAGGAAATCAAGCAAGGATAGTACATTAATTCCCAAGGATAGTAACTTTGACTCAATCCCATAGGCAAGTTCTGGAGTCTAGGTCACACCTCAGAGTGGTCCCCATAAGGGGAAACTGTGACTGGAGCATTTATTTCTTCCCACCTATCAATCATTTTTTAAGGGATGCCCACAGAGGGATGTAAATTTCTAGGCACTTTTAGTTATTCAGGCAAAATGGGCCTTTGTCAGTTTGAGGGCAAACCTTTGACAATGCAACACAGACGCTGGCTTCTGAGAGTAACAGCACACCAGGAGTCATGTGCACAGAAATGAAAAAGGGATCCAAGGAAATATGGACAGCACAATGATGGCATCTGGCACAGTGTTCAATAAATAGTTGTTGAATGAAAGAAATCGAGGAAGAAAGGATGAAAAAAGGCAGGAAGGAAGGAGGAAGGGAGGAAAGATGTAATATTATCTAAATATCGTAGCAACATTTGGAGATAGATACATTTTTCTCCATTTTTCTGATGAAGGAACTGAAGCTCAGAACGATTACAAAGTTTGCTTAGGTAACACAGCTTGTAATAGTAGAGTCAAAATTCAGGCATGTCTACCTAGCTCCAAAGCCTCTGTACTTTCACTACTCTATCACATCGAGCTGTCATTCACATGCTGCCTGACCTCCATGGAAACTGCCTTACCACCTTTTTCAACCCACCAAGAGTCGGCTGTCATGGGTGAAAATCTGGATCACGTTGTAGCATCCACATACCTTTGTCCCAAGCACACATCTTCTCTTGTGTCCTAAGATCTTGTCCATTTGAAACAGGATTAGAAAAAAAGAGTTGGACATACAGATGTTCAGATAAGAAGTGTTGACACCATTCCCTATGCAAAAACAATGAAACATGCCAAGGCCTAATGAAGAGTCCAGTCTCCTGAACTCTCCTGGCATTTTCAGCAGACTGCAGTTTTCTGAGAATGTCTGTGTTTTCCAGAGCATGTCTGCTCAGAATGTATGAGCCAAAACCTCCTAGGGATTTTCCATCAGTTGTTTATATTGTGACTGGATCTACTCGAATGAGTTTATTATAAATAAGATAGAGTGATGGGGGTTTTTTTCATGAATTGAGACTGAAAATTGGTTTTAAATATTGTTTTCAGCTCTAGACTAACTATAAATGGCATTTAGACTGATTGCACTATTAGCAGGTAAAGGGTGCTGAGTTTTAAGGGATTACAACCTGATTTAATATAATTATGAAACCAAATTATAACTAGAGGGGTTTGGTAGGCAGTTATAAGAAGCAGCTATTTCCTTTTTTGTATAATACTAACACATATCCTATTAAACATACAATTTTCTTTTAAAAGAGGAGAAAGGAAATAGAATTTTAAATGTTCCCAAGCTTAGTGCTCTAGTTGTGGCATTAGCCAGCCTCTGCTTTCCTCTAGGATTCTTCTATCTTTCTCCACCAGTCTCCATCACATCCATCCAATCTGTCTCATTAAACGTCCTAACTACCCTCTTAACTTTAATTTCAAAACAAGACTAAACTGAGGCTGATAAGAGGTCGTTGGGTCTATTAAGGGTATTCCTTAGGGCCAAACTGTGAAATCAGATTGAATTTCATCTTTACCTTCCTGTCTTGTGCCTTCTTAACCTTTCAGTGCCCCCCTCGTTCCCCACCAAGTTTCCAGAGTGGTCATACCATGAAGAATTGATGATTGATAATCACTTAAGTTGTGGAGCTGTTTCAAAGGCACTGTCTTTTATGGTAGACCAAAATTAATAAATAAATAAAGTAATGATGAACCTAAAAGGGGCTTCCTGAAGCTTCACAAAGCAGTCCACATAAAGTATGATCTAGTTCACTGCATGGGCTATGTAAACTAAGATAATGCCTGCTTTTACAACTCCTTTTAATAAGAAATTTAACCTCCCTGTAATGGAGAAGATATAACCTTAGCCCAGATGATTACTCCACAGAACTATATCTCTGTTAATCTCCCCTCTGGACATCAAAGTAACCTCAGCTTTGTCCTAGATGATACACAGCTGACCACAGAAATATAAATCCCAGACAGCCCAGCATAGTTCAGAAAAACCATTCAACAGACCTGTAGACTCATGAGGAGTCTACCTGAGTCTCCTCACGGTTCAACAAATGGAGGTTGTTTTAAACAACTTAGCTTTAGAGTGGTTTGTTATGTGGCAGTAGCTAACTGATTCAGGACTAGTAGCTCATCATGTGTAAGCTAACATTATACAGAGCATATACACAAAAAGAAGTACCCTGGAAGAAAGACAGATGGTGTTAGGCTATAACTACATGAACACACACACACACACACCCGTGATACAGTGTATTCCTTTACTATTTGATCCATCAAACATGAAAAGGATGGGTTTAGACACTGCTCATAATTTATGAAAAATTAGTGCCATGGTTTGGATAGTTTGGCCCTGCCAAGTCTCACGTTGAAATTTGATCCCCAGTGTTGCTGGTAGAGCCTGGTGGGAGGTATTTGGATCCTAGGAACAGATCCCTCATGAACGGCTTGGTGCCATTCCCTCAGAGGAGTGAGTTCTCACTCTTAGTTCCTGTGAGAACCAGTTGTTGAAAAGAGCCTGGCATCTCTCTCTCTCTCCCTCTCTCTGTCTCTCCCTCTCCCCATCTCCATCTCTCCCTGCTATGTGATCTCCACATGCCACCTCCCCTTTGCCTTCCATCATGAGTGGAAGCAACTTAAGCCCCTCATCAGATGCAGATACTGGTGCCATGCTTCTTGTACAACCTTCAGAACTGTGAGCCAAATAAACCTCTTTTACTTATAAATTGCCCAGCCTCAGGCATTTCCTTATAGCAACAGAAACAGACTAATACAGAACTAAGACAAAGTTTTAAATCATTATTCGCCATTATCTGGAGACTGCAAAACAGCCTGCTTTAGCTCCCCCCATCTTTGCATTTTTTTATTATTAAGACATTCTCTTCACCGTGACATCCTTGCCTCATGTGGCCCGGGGACATATTTCTGCACCTTTTTTCCTATCAATTATCCTGAGTGATAAAAAAGAAGATAAAATGGTAGATCTGAATTTATCCTGAAAAATGTATATTTTGTGAGTTAGATCCCAAGCACAGCCCTTCCCAGTAGCTGATGCCCAAGACCATTTGTAAGGCATGCCGTTTACTACTCTATGCTAGTATGGATTTCCATCCCTGATTGGCAGGCAGTTTTCCTAGGAATTACCTGAGTCTTGCTTAGAGGCTTATCTGTGTGTTATAGAAAAGTGATAACTACCCATATCAGCTGCAGTAAGGACTATGGATTTTTCAAACAATAGCATCAAAGCTTGTTTTTTTTTTTTTTTTCTAGAAATAGTGCATGCATCCTGTTTTTTTAATGGACCAGGCCTCATCTCTTATCCTTAGGATCCATAGTTCTTGAAACTACTTCTTATAATGTCATCTGCAGGTTTTCAAAGTGTTTTTCAAATCTCATTTCATCTTCATAACAATCTTGAGACAGACAGGGAACTAAGTATCAGAAAATTAAATTGGTTTTCCTGGGGTCATGCCAGATAGTTAAATGGCAAAGACCATTTCACCACAAACTCCTATTTATTTTTCAAGTTTGATTTTAAATGCTGCCCCCTCTGTGAAGCCTCCCAGACTCCACAGGCAGAATTAAAGGCTCTGTCCTCATAGCACTTTATGATATTACCAGGTGTTGTAGTTTAGTCCCTGCTGGAAGGTGGTTTCTCCAAACCTCAGGAAAACCATGTCTTCTTCATCTTATCCACAGTGCTCAGCATTATACAAAGAGCTCTTCAATACCTGTTTAGTAGATGCATTAATTAATTCACAGATGATGACTTTTTTAGTACAAACCATATAAATATCCTCTGGCAGTGGTGTAGGGAAGAAGAAAAATAACAAGTCTAGAATGTAGAACTCAGGTAGAATCCTGACTCTGACACTTATTAAATGAGTCACCTTGGATTCACCTCACTGAGTCTCCATTTCCTTACCTGCCAAGGATTTTCTTTTACAACCACATGGTTAAGGCTAGTTTCCAACAGTGTGATTACACTATAGTCAGTGAATACAAAAAAAAAAATGAGTGGGAAAAAAGAAAAGAGGCAATAAAAAGAAATGGCAGAAATAGACCATGACAAGTTTAATCATGTAACAAGAACGACAATTCAGAGGCCCCATAATTACCTTTCTAACTTTATTTAATCATTCAGAGTATAACTTTCAAACTCCTACAATGTATCAAATGCTTAGCTCTGTGCATGTAGTTGAGTGAAAGCATAATCTCTCCAGTCTTCAATATAGCATAGCAGCTTTTTGTGGAGAGGGGATAATCCCGAATGTCTCATCTTTTGTTACTGCTAGGACTTCAGTGGAGAAAACCATTTTTCCTAGTAACAATACTTGCTCAGACTTGACTAGTATTTTGCAACTTCAGTGGTGGTAGTGATGATTTTGCAAAATATACAGCATTCTCCATATCAGAGACTGTAATATACAAGCAAACCCCCATCCAATCACCCTTCCACCTTGTATACATATGTTACTTGGTAACCACAGATTTAGACAGATTCATTTTTGCTCCAACCTAAGGATGCTCCTATTCTTGTGCTCTACATCTCAGAGAGGATGAATGCTGACCATGCCCTGGGAAGAATAGGAACCTGGGTAAATAATCCACCCACTCCTACACATCAAGCAAGATATTAAAGAGTTTCAGTATGACTGTCATTTCCTCTACTGGCAGGGAGCGATAAAGGAAACATACATTCCTATTGTCTGTCCACCCTTCAGAGTGATGGATTACCTGGATGGGAAGGGATATTGCTCCTGGGCTCCAGAGAATTATAGATAGCTCTTCATGAATGTTAATATCAAATGGTGGGGCAAAACTGTCACAGCAGAGGCAAGAAGTCTCTGATAATCCATTCTTCCTTTAGTTTGTGCTCCAAAAATAAATCAGCAATGTCTTTTACCTTCTCCCATTTCCCACATATTATTTCCTTTAGAAAGTAAGTAATAACATCATCCTTCCTTCACTAATGGCTGGGTTGGCCATAATTTGAGGCTTAAAAGCAGGATAATGTGTTTCAAACAGAGGTTCTAGGAGGCTGGACATCAACACTCTGTTACAAGAGAATATTGGTAATAGTCTGCCAACCAGAAGGTTGACCTGGTTTGTTATAGTGGAAAGTTTTAACAAGTAGAATATCATAAATAAAGCCTATGATTATTAATACTAACGTCAAGGCTCTAATTAAAATTCTCTGGGAATGGGGTGTTTCCAGAAAATAATTAAGGATTTACCTGAAAACCCACTTTATTTCACCATTTGCAGTAAAAAGTTTTAAAACTCGTTTCCCCCTTTTTAACCTTCATAAATGTGAGTTACTTTTTATCAACTGAAGGCTGTGTAGTCCCCTAAAGTCCTCATTGTAAAGGTGACTATACTTCAGATGGAGATGGAAAGGCATAAAACATGTGAACAATCAGCCTTAATGGATCTGACCCAGGACCATTCCCTGGAAGTTGTTTTACTAGCTAAATCCCTGATGTCAATTGGTTTTCTGACCATTGGCCTCTATATCTTATAAGTCTAAGCAAAGCAATTCCCAGCATTTGGCTTCACTAAGCTAGAGTTTACAGTAGGAGGAGGCAATTATACTGTTTTGTGATGAATGTTAGCATTATATTAGAGCTCAACCTTTAAAAAAAAAAACTTTTAAAAGAGGTTTTTGAAGGGGAACATAGAGTGATTTTCAGATAAGGACACACATCTCATTACCTTCTGTTCATCTCTCCCCACCCCAGCAGTCTTTGCTTAAGGACAAGCACGCATGGCTGTGAATTTTCAGTCATCAAGGCTGGCTGCTTTTTTGGTGGACAAAATATTGGTATAGATGTCAGACTCTGCAGGAATCATTAAGACCATAGACCAAAAGTCCACAAAAACATATTTCCTCAGAAAATAATCCTAAACCATTTTGGTTCAACTTGATTTATAAGAGAAATGAAAATATTCTAACAAGCAAATATGAAAATTTGTCTTTACCCTAAAGCAGTGCTATTTACTTGCTATGAACTAAAATTCCCAAGATTTGTTGCACATGATTCAGTCAGAGACCAGTCTGCTGTGGAGTCATTTAAAATCCCTGCTCAGGGAGCATCAGAGGTGCCCATGACAGCTGAGCTGGATGTATGCTCAGGAAGGGGAAAATAAAAACAATAGGACTGCATTCCCTACTGCATTATCAACTTTAGACTCCTTCATGTGAAAGATCAACTTGTGCCTCTGTAAATGTTTCACTTTTCAGATTTCACCTCTGAGACTGTGAGGGAGAATATACTTTCATTATTTGAAACAGTCAGTGACTTTTTCAACTTTCTAGACACAAAGTGTCAAGCCAATGTGACTGTGTCAAGCCTTATAGGTGACCTCATGAGAAGCCAGAGGTGGAAAAGAGAAAGTTCTACTTTCAACCATATTACCAATGGAGAGATGGAAAAAAAAAACAAAACATATATATATAATACATGCACATATGTATATCTATATATACACATAAATATCCATATCTATGTCCATAACCATATATATATATATATATATATATATATATATATATATATATGTTTGTGTGTATGTGTGTATGTATCTCCATGGTGTCCACATCTGTGGATTCAACCAACCATAAATCAAAAATTTCCACAAGGTTCCAAAAGCAAAATTTTGAATTTGCCGTGCACCAAGTACTATGTTGAATTCACACAAACATGTAGGCATTGTGTTAGGTATTATAAGTTACCTAGAGATGATTCGAAGTATAAAGGAGGATATGTGTAAGTTATATGCAAATACTACACCATTTTGTATAAGGGACTTGGCATCCATGAATTTAGGTATCCAAATGAGGTACTGGAACAAATCCCTCATGGATACCAAGGTATGACTGTATGGTGTATTGGGGTGTGTGTGTGTGTGTGTGTGTGTGTGTGTGTGTGCAACCTGTATACCCTGAATCCAGTTTATATTGACAGATGAGCTACTACTTAAATAACCATTCACCACTGACTGTCTTCAAGAATTGGAAGCTGCTGTTTCCATGATGAAAGATCTAATTCATAATAGTATACTACATTAAAAGGGAAACATACCAGTCTAGTGCATCAACCTAAATTAAGCTTTAGTAAATTTTCAGACTTACGTAAATCATTTCTGTTGGACCTGAAGAAAAATTCTTTAATATCTGATGAAGACCAAATTTGAGTTGACTATCTTATTGCATATGCAAAGTGAACTAATACTTATTACCTTAAGGAGTTTATCATTTCACATCATATATTAGAACTTGAAAATGTATAATTAACAGTGGTTACGCGATGGCTACATGACATCACATTTTTTCTGCTTACTCCGAATCTCTCTGTACCATCACCATCTGGGTCCACAGACGCTTGCTCCACCTCAGCCACTTTCATGGCCTACCATCTCCCCTTAGGCTAGTGTGGTTTCACCACCTGAAATCAATCAGTTACTTGTCTCAGGAGTGCTTGTGCTTTGCTTTAGCCTCTGCTGTGCAGCCAGGTTACCAGGCACTTGCCTGGCATTTCAGACTCCTACACTGAATTCGAATGGAACACTACTCCACAGGAGATGGGATGGAACATTCTCTTGGATACCAAAGCGTCAGGGTGATACAACTTAGAAGTGTAGGGAGTTCATGGGCCGGGCGCAGTGGCTCATGCCTGTAATCCCAGCACTTTGGGAGGCCGAGGCGGGCAGATCACGAGGTCAGGAGATCGAGACCATCCTGGCTAACACGGTGAAACCCCGTCTCTACTAAAAATACAAAAAAAATTAGCCGGGTGTGGTGGCGGGTGCCTGTAATCTCAGCTGCTCGGGAGGCTGAGGCAGGAGAACGGTGTGAACCCGGGAGGCAGAGCTTGCAGTGAGCCGAGATCGCACCACTGCAGTCCAGCCTGGGTGGCAAAGAGAGACTCCGTCTCAAAAAAAAAAAAAAAAAAAAAAAAAAAAAAAAAGGAGTGTAGGGAGTTCACTCCCTTTTGGACAAACTCTTAACCAGTGGCAAACAGGATATGAGACAGCCAGGCACATAAATTCTCTCTCCATCCTTCCTTCCGTGGATTGTTTGTAGGCACGGTTTATCCAAATAGCTTGTATGCAGACATCCACAGATATCCTGACTAAGTGGACACATCTGTCAAGCAATCTGCTTTGTCTTTTTCTGGCTCATTGTGATGCACCATCACACATGACTTTGCACGGCTCCCCTTTCTTCCTCAGTGGCCTGGGTTTGCACCTCCCCAATGAAGTACCAGTGCTTAATCCTTGCCTCAGGTTCTGGGGAACCTGATCAAAGACAGTTGGTTAGAAACCATCCCTACATTTTCAAATGTATGTATTTCTCAGCCAAATAGTGGGGCACGGTCCACTGTATACATCATTATGATGTTCTGAGTCCCTAAAGCATTAACAGCCAAGTTGTTGACATGTGTTTTAAGTTTTTGTATTTATATGCAACGAGAAAACAATGCCACTCCATTTAAATCCAAAACTGCCAATGTGGAAATAGGTACTGACTTATTGTTATGCTGTGTTAAAAGGGAAGAGCATGATAAGGTCCTATTTCGTCTTTTACTTAAATTCTATGATCACAATAAAATTTATGTGAAATTTGGAGTCACAAAGAATGTGAATGTTTTCTCAGCTCTGCCACCTACTTAGCTGAGCAATCTTAATCAAATTACTTAAACTCTCTGAGCTCCCTCCTCTATAATGTGGCACAATAATACATATTTCATAATGCTATTATAAAACGACCAGCCCCGTGCTTAGAATGTTGAGTGTTCAATATTTGGTAGTAATATATGTTATTATTGTAGCTTTCCAATTAAGCAAGAAAGAAAAAGTTGAGTTTTTTTATTGAACTTTTGGAAGCACTGTGATGAATTTGAATTACAAAAAGGTATTTTGCTTACAACTGATAGAATTACAACCCAAATAAGTTTAAACAACAAAGGGAAATTCCTGACTCAGATAACACAGAGAGAAGAATGGATCTGGCCTCAAACATCAGGTCTCAGATACCATGGTCTGTGCCTTCTTACCCTCCATCGATCAGGCCCTCTTTCTTCTGTGTGTTGGCCCTAATCTCTCCTTCTGCAGATCTCTTCTATGATGTTCAACAACATGTCCAGGCTTACCTCATGTCAGTTTAGCAACTTCAGTGAAAAGAGAAGGAACTTTTTCCCAATATTTACATATCAATTCTATGGGAAGGGCACTAGGCCTCTGATTGTTTCACATGCTCGCCTCTTGGACCAACCATAGTTGTTAGGGGGCTTGCATCCTAGGACTGGCCTGGTCTGATCACTTGTCGAACACAGTAGTCAAGGGGACAAAATCTATCATTTAAAGAAGGGAGCTGAGAAGGCTTCCTTAAGCATAGTCGTGTAAATGTGTGTGCACATGCACACACCCCCAGGAGCCACTGCGCAGGGATCAGCAAACTTTTTTCTGTAAAGGACAAGAGAGGGAATAGTTCAGGTTTTGCAGGCCACATAAGGTGTCAGCTGGATATTCTTCTTTGTTTTTTCATTTGTTTTGCTTTGACAACCCTATACAAGTGTAAAAAGTGTTCTTGGCTTGCTGGCTGTACAAAAACAGGCCACACAAGGTTTGTACAGTGGCATGGATGAGAAATTTTGAAACTATCTTCTGTATATTTTCAGCTTCAGCAAATGAGTAAATATGTTGAGGATGATAGAAGCTAAATGTCTCACTATTGGGGGACTTACACGTATAGAAACAGAGGATACAAAAATACACCCTGTGGAGCTGAGTTGGAATTGAGAGTATAAGTATGAACTAATATGAGATGGATTGAGAGATTATATATAATCTGTGGGGGTGGCTGAGCGTATATGTGTTTGTGTATACAGTCGTCCCTCGGTACCCACAGAGGATGGGTTCCAGGGACCTCCCACATAAACCAAAATCTGCAGATGCTCAAGTCGCTTATATAAAATGGCATATTTGTATATAACCTATGCACATCCTCCCATATACTTTAAATAATCTCTATTACTTATAATACCTAATATAACATAAATGCTATGGAAAAAGTTGTTATACTGTATTGTTTGGGGAAGAATGAGAAGGAAAAACTCTGTACGTGTTCAGTACAGATGCAACCATCCTTTCTTTTTTTCGAATATTTTTTATCCACAGCTGGTTGAATCCAGAGATGGTGAGCCCATGGATATGAAGGCCCAACTCTCTGTGTGTGTGTGTGTGTGTGTGTGTGTGTGTGTGTGTGTGTGTGTGTGTGGAAAGAGAGAGAGAGAAGCACAATATAAACAACTGGTGAATCTGGGAAAAGAGTATATGGGAGTTCCTTGTACTGTGCTTACAAGTTTTCTTTTTCATGTATTTCATTTATTTATTTATTTTTCATTTATAAATATTTTTTAAAAAGAAAAACAGGCCACCTGCCAGTTTTGCCAACCCCTGCACTATAATGCAACCCCAATATAACCCTCGCACACATGCAAGCAAAACGACTATGAAAGTTTGTTCATCATGGAATTGATGTGTTGAATACAGGTATAAATATTTAGACTTTTAGAACTCTAGTGAAAAGGTATGAGGAGGAGCAGGGAATTAAGTACACTATTTCTATCTAGCAGTCAACAAACAAATTTTTTTTCTTTTTTGAGACGGAGTCTCGCTCTTTCGCCCAGGCTGGAGTGCAGTGGCGAGATTTCGGCTCACTGCAAGCTCCGCCTCCCGGGTTCACGCCATTCTCCTGCCTCAGGCTCTGGAGCAGCTGGGACTACAGGCGCCCACCGCCACGCCCGGCTAATTTTTTGTATTTTTAGTAGAGACGGAGTTTCACCGCGTTAGCCAGGATGGTCTCGATCTCCTGACCTCGTGATCCGCCCGTCTCAGCCTCCCAAAGTGCTGGGATTACAGGTGTGAGCCACCGCGCCAGGCCCAAACAAATATTTTTGAGCATCAATCTGCCTTTGAAATTTGAAAATTAACAGCATATTCATAAATTGGGCATTGTGTTTTAAAGAGTCCAAGTTATGTATATTTTGTATATCAGTGTATAATTAAAGGGAAAGAGGAATATAATAGATATTCTAGAACTTTCTTTCTTTTTTTTTTTTTTTTTTTTGAGACAGAGTCTCACTTTGTCACCCAGGCTAGAGTGCAGTGGTGTGATCTCGGCTCACTGCAATCTCCACCTCCTGGGTTCAAGCGATTCTCCTGCCTCAGTCTCCTGAGTAGCTGGGATTACAGGCGTGTGCCATCATGCCCAGCCAATTTTTGTATTTTTAGTAGAGACGGGGTTTCACCATGTTGGTCAGGCTGGTCTTGAACTCCCGACCTTGTGATCTACGCGCCTCAGCCTCCCAAAGTGCCGGGATTACAGGCATGAGCCACCGTGCCTGGCCAATATTCTAGAACTTTCAAGGAGGCAATAGACAGAAAAAAAGAACAAAGGGAGAACCTTTATGGGAGTGTCTATCCTTCCCTATAAAGTATTCTGAATATCAAACAACGGGAGTAGAGACAGATTTAAATGTTTTCTGCCCTAATGAATTCATTTCCAAATCTGTTTTAATATTAGACATCTTTATGAATATTAATGTTCTTGAACATAAGTAACTACAGAAAAGAATATTCAGCATTCCCCTCCCCACTCCACCCACTCCCTCTGTCATTGCTCCTATGCCCTTTTAATGTCATTGTCTAACAGTAAGAGGTAGAACATTGACGAGCCTAAGGTTATTGCTCAAGCTTAAGCAAGTACAGCAAAATAAGTCACCATTTAGGAGAATCCATATCACTGAGTCCCATTTCTAAAGATTTACCTCTTAACATTAAACCAGTGGTTTTGAAATCAGAGAATCTGAACTTGCATAGGAAAAATATATCTCTGTTTTCACTAATCACTAACTGCAAGTTAGCATTTCCTTGAGTTTTAAACATAGTCAACAAATCACAGTGGCTCTGTCACAAATCATACGTATTTTCATATTATATTATACATATTACTTTTTCATAGTACATCATATATATTATATTGAAGATGTTGCAGATATCTCATATCTCAAAATGTCATTTCTGCTCATCACTACTTAGAGAGTTCAATAGTTCAGATCTGCTGCTAGGTCTGGACTATTTTTTATATATTTTATATATTAATAAAATATATTTAATATATATTATATATTAATAAAAAGCACAAATACTAGCATCAAATTTGTGTGTTAATATTTTGACATTTGTAACTGCAATGTAATTAGTTTCCTGTGTAATCCTATGTATTTTATTTTATTCATTTAAAAACATTTTTTGAGAAGTGGTCCATAGGATTCCACAGCCTATGAAAGATGCTACAATACAAAAATGTTTAAAAACGGGTGCTTTAGATAAAGTTGACTATGCCCTCCTACTTGAAATCTTTTTCTCTCTTGGTTTTCTCAGGATTACACTCTCCCAATTGTCCCTTGTATTAGTCTGTTCCGTGCAGCTATAGAGGAATACTTGAAGCTGGTTACCTTATAAAGAAAGGAGGTTTGTTTGGCTGTTGGTTCTGCAGGCCTTACAAAATGCATGCACGAGCATCTGCTTCTGGTGAGGGCTTCATTGAGCCTCCAATCATGGCAGAAGGGGAAGGAAAAAGGGGGTTGGCATCACATGGAAAGAGAGGGAGCAAGAGAGAGGAGGAGGTACCAGGCTCTTTTCAAAAACAAAATCTTGTGGGAACTAAGAATGAGAACTCACTTCCTCATACGAATGACACCAAGCCCTTCGTGAGGGATCTGCCCCCATGATCCAGTCATCTCTCACCAGACCCCACCTCCAACATCGGGGATCAAATTTCAACATGAGCTTTGGAGGGGACAAATATCCAAAGTATATCATCTCTCTATCTCACTGGCCAGTCTCCTTTGCTAGTTTTTCCTCTTCTCTTTGACTTCCATATTGGAGCATTCTGTGCCTCGCTCTTGGGCTCCTTTCCCTTCTCTATCTGTCCTCTAACTAGGTGATCCCATCCCACCCATGGTCTTAAAGACTATTGATAAGCTGATGACTGCAGAGCTTCATTTCCAGCCTATTTTTCTGACTCTTACATCTTCACTTGAAGATCTGATAGGCATCTCATGTTTAAGATGGCCAAAAGAGCACTTTTCGTCACCCTACCACTACAAAAACCTGCCCCACCTCCCAAATTTTTCCCATTTCGGGAAATGACACCATTTTTTTCAACCAATTTCTTAAACAAAGTTTATCTTTGATTCCTATTTTTCTCTCATGCTCTCTATTCAAACATCGGCAAGTTTCATCAACTCAACCTTCAAAACACAACCTGAGCCTGTCTGCTTCTATCTTTCTCACGTGCTGTCACACTAGTTCTAACCACCTTTATCTCTCACCTGATATACAATGGCCTCCTGTCTCATTCCTCTACCTCCATTCTTGTCCTCTAACAATTAATTTTGGATGCAGTAATAACAATTGTCTTTAAAACTTTGAAATATTTCAGAACTGCAAGCAGAAAAAAGCTTAATATAAACATATATGTTTATCACCCAGTAATACTTCTTTGTAATAATGAGACCATTATCATTCATCTACTTAAAACCATTTCATTCCTCTCTTTGGTATTTAGAGTAACGTACCAACTCTTTACCATGGCTTACAAGGCCCTACATGATCTGCTTCTTGCCCATATCTATAACCTCCTGCTCCATCATAGTTATGGTGACCTCACTGCTGTCCCTTAAACCCACAAAGCTTATTCCCACCTTGGAAGCTTTGCATTAACTATTTTCTCTGCCTGCAGTTCTCCACCACATCAGCACTGCTGAGTCTTTCTTGTCCTAGCTTAAAATCTCATGAAAAGACCTTTTCTGTTCACTCAACCCATGGAATTCACTCACTAATCTCTATCGTGTCACCCTACTTTCTCTTTATTACATTATTTAAAATTGGATATTTTTGTTTATTACTTTATTTTCCTAATTAATTCTGTAAATTCCCCCTACATACTTTATAAGCTCCATGAGATACGGCATATTGCAAGCCTTGTGTAACTCTTTAACCCCAGCACCTAGTAGGTGCTCAGTAAGTATCTGGAGAAGGAAAGAAAGGAAGAGGGAGGGAATCAAGAAGGAAAGGAATGGGAAAAAAGGAAGAAGGGAGGAAATAAGGAGGAAAAGGAGGAAAGAAGAAAAGGAAAAAGGAATTTAATATTTTTAAGCACTCCATTTAAAAATTTGTCATAAAATGATTTCAAGCAGCAGCTCAATAGACATTTCCAGAGGGTGAAATCATTCCACAACACCCAGTAACGTAAAAAATAATGTCATCCTCATATCTTAAAGGGCAGAGGCAATTGTGAAAGATTATGATGGCTGATAACCGGTTTTCCAGCTTAAGAGGCCTAATTGCAAAGTGTGCTGTCCAGCCATCTTTCCCCCACTCTTGTCTCCATTCACATTACCAAGCTAATCATGAAGAGCTCAGTGTGGTCACTCACTCAGAGAACAGTGCACTAGATGAGCAGATCATCTTCTCGAGAAAAATGAGCATTAACAAGAAAATGTTTAACTGGATACTGAGAACAGAAATTACTCCTATAGGTGGAAATTATTTTTTTCCCTTCCAACTTTTATTTTAGGTTCAGGGGATACATGTGCAGGTTTGTTACATGGGTAAATTGCATGTCATGGGGGTTTGGTGTACACATTATTTTGTTACCCAGGAAATAAGCCTAGTACCAGATATGTAGTTTTTGAATCCTTATCCTCCTCCCACCCTCCACCCTCAAGTAGGCCCTGGTGTTTACTGTTCCCATCTTTACGTCTGTGAGTACTCAATGTTTAGCTCCCACTTATAAGTGAGAACATGCAGCATTTGGTTTTCTGTTCCTGCATTAATTCACTTAGGATAATGGCCTCCAGCTACATTCATGTTGCTGCAAAGGACATAGTTTTGTTCTTTTCTATGGCAGCATAGTATTCCATGGTGTATACGTGCACATTTTATTCATCCAATCCACCGTTGATGGACATCTAGGTTGATTCTATGTCTTTGCGCTTGTGAATAGTGCCCTACAGGTGAAAGTTCTAAGGCCATTCTCTCTCATGTTTTCCAAATGTTTGGTATCAGTGGATTAGTAGGCCACCAGACCTCAAAGCAAGGCGCTTCCTGCTGCATAACCAGAGTTAGGCTTCCTATTGTAATCCCCCAAACAAAGAAGCTTGCTTTAGAAAACACTGGTGGATTCCGAAATGTTGAAGTTAGGACATTCCCCCTAGTTGGTCTCAGCCTGGGCTTTACACAGTGACTTCAGAGGCACTTTTGGATACCTACCTAGTGCTAGTCATTGCACTACATGCTGGGGATACAGAGATCCTGGTTCTACCAATTATTGACAGTGTGACTTGAAACTTAGCTTTTTCAACCTCAAATTCCCATCTGTAAAATGAGAACAAGAATAGGACCTACCTCATGGGTGTGTTGTAAAGAGAAGATGAAATGATACAAGTAAAGCACCTAGTACTATGCCTGAGGAAAAGGCAATGCTCAAGGAATGTTTGTTTGCATAATTATAAAAAAAAAGTCAAGACCCTGCTCTCTTGGAGTTTCCAATTTAGTAGAAGAAAATGACATATAAATAATATGTATGATGTGAAAATTCATGGTAGAGATCTGTCCACAGGAAATTGGAATCACTAGAAGACCAGCAAATCTGCAGATAGAAAGGGTCATGGAGAAGTAGTATTGGTCTTCAGAATATGCTTTATTTTTCCTCTCCTCATCCCAAACTTCCACATCCCCATTTGTTACCCAGGTAATAAGCATAGTACCAGATAAAGGCATCCAATACTTTTAGGCATCCAGCACTTTTAGGATGTCACTTAACAATTACAGACTTACCCTCACCACACCAATGTAGCTGATCAGCATCTTTTGCTGAAGTTATTTCTCCATCTCTTTTCACCCAAAGAGAAATATTCTGTTCTCTATCCTATATCCTATTCTAAGATATCTTCCTTTGATATTTGAGGTGCTAGGGAGTGAAGGGAGAAGGGCAAATTAAGTTAAAAATTGAAATTAAAATTGTCCTAGATCATAGGATGACATGTCCAGAAGCCCCAGAAGCTGAGCTGGCAAGAAGAAAAATCAAGTGAGCCCTAAAGTAATGAGAAGTGTCTAATGCCAAAGCACAGAGGCAAACCCACCCAGAAGAGACTCCTACTCTCTAATGCGAAGAACAGACTTTATTTTGGCACACAAAAATTATTTTATATATATATATATATATATATATATATATATATGTGTGTGTGTGTATATATATATGTATATATATATATATGTATATATATATGTATATATATATATATGTATATATATATGTACATTTTTCTGTTTTTTGAAACAGGGTCTTGTTCACACAGGCTGGAGTGCAGTGGCATGATGATAGCTCACTGCAGCCTCCATTTCCCAGAGTCAAGCGATCCTCCCACCACAGCCTCCATTTCCCAGAGTCAAGTGATTCTCCCACCTCAGCCTCCTGAGTAGCTGGGACTACACATGTGGGCCAACATGCCTGGCTAATTTTTTGTATTTTTAGTACAGATGAGGTCTCACCATGTTTCCCAGGCTGGTCTGAAACTCCTGAGCTCAAGAAGTCCTCCTGCCTCAGCTTCCCAAAGTGCTACAATTACAGGTGTGAGCCGCTGTGCCCAACCCAATAATTATTTTTAACATATATTTATATATTAAACAAATTTTTATAATATATTCAACAGATATTTACCAACAAGGTACCAGTCACTGTGCTAGGCCTTGGAGGTCATGACCTCAAAAAACCCAGATATTTTCCCTATTCTTAATGACTTTGTTCATTAATTGGTGTGTTAGTTTTCTATTCTGCAGAACAAATTACCACAAACTCAGTGGCTTAAAACAAGATTCATTTGCTATCTCACAGTTTCTGTGGGTCAGGAGTGCAGGCACAATTTAACTTGGTCTTTTCCTTATTGTCTCACAAGGCTGCAATCAAGCTGTCAGCCAGAGCTGAATTCTCATCTGTAGGCTCAACTGAGAGTCCACATCCAAGCTCACTCAGGCCATTGGCAGAATTCATTTTCTTTTCTTTTTTTTTTTTCTTTTTTGAGACGGAGTCGAGCTTCATCGCGCAGGCTGGAGTGCAGTGGCGCAATCTTGCTCACTGCTGCATGCTGCAAGCTCTGCCTCCTGGGTTCACGCCATTCTCCTGCCTCAGCCTTCCGAGTAGCTGGGACTCCAGGCGCCCGCCACCACGCCTGGCTAATTTTTTGTATTTATTTTTATTTTTATTTTTTTTAGTAGAGATGGGGTTTCACCGTGTTAGCCAGGATGGTCTTGATCTCCTGACCTCGTGATCCGCCCGCCTCAGCCTCCTAAAGTGCTGGGATTACAGGCGTGAGCCGCTGCGCCCGGCCCAGGATTCATTTTCTTGCAGCTTTAGGAGTCATGGCATCTGGGTTCTTCAAAACCAGCAAGGAGAGTCCCTAGAGTGAGTCTAGTATTAAGACAGTGTTTTACATTATGCAACCCAGTCATTGGAGTGACATCCCATCATGTTTTTCATATTCCATCAGTAGGAACCAAGTCACAGATCCCAAGATCAAGAAGAAAAAAATATATAGGAGTGTCAACACCGGGAGATGGGGATCGTGGGGGGGGGGGGGCGCATTAAAGTCTGTCTGACACAGTTGGGGATAAAGACAAGTAAAGAGGCACTTACCAAAGGGTACGGTAAATGCTTTGATGATCTAGTACTGAATGCTATGTACGTAACCTTTACTGGGTGGGTGGGTGATAGTGGTTAAAGATTTCCTGGAGGAAGAACGATAAGATGAGATGTGTACAAGTTTGCCATGTGTGCTTTGGGGTGTGGTGAGTGTTCCAGGCAGAGAGCCTGAGAAAATGAAAAACACTCCATAAGTTAAAAAACAGGTGCATATGGCCAAACCACATTTCACTTTCTTTTGTATCCTATGAATTGTTGATATCTCACCAAGAGAAAATTCTCCATCATGAGCACAGGGTCAGACTCAATAAATGTAAGTACTTTCTCAATATTTAAAGGGGAAGTCTTTTAATATTATGTTCCTCAGTTTTAGGGAAAAATGCATACAGTGTATCTTGAAGAGAAAATACTTTCATTTTATAAACTCCCATCATTATTTAAAATAGTGATACGCTAAGACTGTGGTACATTCTTGGCACTTAATGATCCCAGCTCAGATCTCAGTTCTTTGTCAGTCTCTGAAATAATTATCTTCTGAAAAGAAAGGCCCCATGGGTGAGGGAGCACCAGCTGTTGAATGCTCACTGCTACATGCCAAGAGAACAGCCAGTTGCCCAACTAAAATAGGTATCTAAGCCAGGTGGAATTGTTTATTCTAATTTGTTTATTCAAATTGGAATGTGGCCAATTAGTTTTGTGAAATGTGATTGCAAGACCACATCCTCTTCTATGGTACTTATACTGAACCTCCACTTTAAGAAGGCCCCTGTAACATGAGGACTATAGCTAATGATAGTGTATTATAATCAGAATTTTTGCTGAGTAGATTGTAGCAGTCTTGCCTCACACAGACAAAAATAATGGGTAAACGTGAGATGATGGGTATGTTAATTTGCTTTACTATAGTAATCATTTGACTATCTATATCTCATAACATCATGCTGCATACATTAAAAATACACAATAGGCCAAACGCGGTGGCTCACGCCTGTAATCCCAGGACTTTGGGAGGCCGAGGTGGACGGATTACGAGGTCAGGAGATCAAGACCATCCTGGCTAACACGGTGAAACCCCGTCTCTACTAAAAATACAAAAAATTAGCCGGGCGTGGTGGCGGGTGCCTGTAATCCCAGCTACTTGGGAGACCGGGGCAGGAGAATGGTGTGAACCTGTGAGGCGGAGCTGGCGGTGAGCCAAGATCGCGCCACTGCACTCCATCTTGGGTGACAGAGCGAGACTAACACTTATTTGTTGTAAAAAGGAAGACCCCTGGATTTTATCCTCTGCTCAATTCCTAATGGTGCTCAGAATTCTCAGCCATACTTAACATCAACTCTAGACAAATCTATAAAATGGAGCCTGAGAGCACAGTTTATTGAGCTAGATTATAGTTAAAGCAAAATTTATATTAAATCATTTTTAAAGAATAAATTCTAGTATTCACATTCCTATAATATCTAAATGGATCCATAAGGATGCCTTCTGGTAAGAGAAATAAATTCTTACCTAAACAGGCTAAAACACTAAGGAGAATTTGGTGGCTTGTGTAACTGAGAAGACCATAGATAGTGTCAGTTTCAGATACAGTTTGATCACGCCTGTGGCTCTACTTCTCTCCTAAATTTAAGGTAAATGTTTCAGGTCTGCCTGTCCTCTTTTTCAGGCTGAGTCAAAGGGTGATTTCCAGTAACAATCAAAATCACATGTTTCTTTGTTTACATCTGACAGAAAGCTACCTTCAACCACTCCACAAAAACTTTGACCACTGAGCTAAAAAGATCACATGTAAACTAATCCCTGTGGCCAGGGGAGTATCATTTGTTAGCTGATTTCATCCTAGGTTTTGCAAAGGAATATAGTTGTATACTTCCATCTGTGGTGTGAGGACCCAAGTCCTTTAGCTCGCGTCTGGGTCTAACAGACTACTCAGCACCTGCATCTCAACATGGTTGTCTTTTCTTTACTCAACATTGTATTCATATTTATGAATGCTAGGGGTGCCAGAAAGTGTGCTGAGATGCATAGGGAATGTCAAGGGCTCACTCTTTGGGCATCACTATTGGACAACTCAGTCCCAAAGCACCCCAAATCAAAATTGCAGGTCATTTGCCAAACCCCAGAACTCTGGTGACTCAACCCCACAGATATAGCCCCCAAATTTCCCGGAAAATTAAACTCCTACTTATAGCAATTCCAGGGCAGGAGGAATGCTCTCACTTAGACCAACAGACTATAACTGACCAGCTTATAGAATAATCTTGGAATTTTATTTAATCATGGCATTTCAAGATTCCTTTACACAATATTCTTTTTGCCCCTCAAATTTTTCAGGCCTTCACATCTCTCAAGATATCAAACATGATACTTTTAGGAGCCAACCAAGTTATACATAATGCATTTTTATGTTCCTAAATTAACAAAGTGACTTTAGATCTGTGAAGGGTGTTAAAAATTATATAAGCTATGTAAGTATTTTTATTTGTTCAAACATTTCCAGTTTCCTTCAGGGTTTAAAAGTTTCAGAGAACTTTATATTTCTAAGTAGGCCCAGATTGTTATGTATGGAAAAAAGGTACCCTAAAAACATGTCCATTTTTTCTAAGGAGACTCACAGCTGGCTTATTTTTTGCGTCTTCCAGAATACTAAACAATAATTTGGGTGTGTCTATCCCCAAATCAGAGAGTACCTAGATCTTTTGCTTAGTTCTAATCATCATTCACTGAGGTCAAGCAGACCCTGAGATGAGGATTTGAGTGTATGTAGTTTACTTGAGAGGTGATCCCAGGAAACACCAGTAGAAGAGAAGGGCAGTGAAACTAAAAGAAGCAGCTGCCAATCCAAGGCGTGTTATCAGTAAGCAAGTGTCTGCCATGAGCTCTTGAAGCTTGATCCTGCTGGGGACTTCGGAAAGAGTGCATAGAATAATCCTCAGTGTTGTATCATATGAGGGACAAGAAGACGGGGTGTTTACTCTTCAAATCCCTTCCATCATTGTTTGGGGGGGGGCCTGTCCCAAAGGGAGCATTAACTCCTGAATATTTCTGCTTTGTGCACACAAAGCCCCCGCTCTGGGAAAAAAAAAAAAAACCATGAGCAGAAAGTCACAAGTGCCCACAGAAGGATGCTCATAGCAAGCACTGATCCAGTGAGCAGTGAAATACAGGGGCACCAATATATTTGCAACAATGCCTAAGGCCGAAGAATTAATATATACTTCTTGACAATAGTCATAAGTATCACTGATTATTTTTGGGTTTTACCCTAAAAAATACTGCATTCAATGAAATTCCAATTCCTTGGGACTTACTGAAATTGTTTATTTCCATAGCAAGGCATCATGACAGAGCAAAAAGCCCTGAGTTTGGAATGAGCAGAGCTGACTTCTGGCCCACACTCTGTGGCCTTACATACAGTCATTCAGAAGTCTCAGATTCTTCAATGTAAACTGAGGTCTTGAGGTAATGATAATAGAAAAGACATATATGGCCTTATTACACATAAGGCACCATTCTGAGTGCTTTACAGATATTAACTCATATAAACTTCATGACACTCAATGAGATGAGGACTATTATTCCTCTTACCATTTTACAGAGAAGAAAACTCAGGCACAAGGTGGTTGGATAATTTGAATGAGGTGACACAGGTAGTAAGTGGTAGAACCAGGATAGGAACTGAAGTAGTCTGGTTCCAAAGCTGCGACCCTAAACCACTACCAGCCTTCCTCATAATGCAGTAATCTCTAGGTCCCTTTCATTACTAGTGATCTGTAATCTTTGACCTCTAATAAAGTCAGGCAAGATAATGGTATATTGATCTGTCATATGTTTTGACTTCTGTTGCTTGACACAAGCCCAGCTTGTGTCATTCATCTTGTAAAATAATTTACAAGATGTGTTTATACAAGCTAGGAATAAGCAGAAAACATCATGTACCCAACAGGTCCTAATATGTCCCCTCCTGAAGTGGCAGTCTATGTCTGCCCTAAGGAAAGATGTGACTTAAATTCTTTCCTTAAGAAAATTAATTGTCATGTATTTCCAGTACCCTTGCAAATATTTCACCAACTGTGGAAGCTTTAGACCATCAAAAGCTGGTCTTCTGACAGTTTTATTACTAGAGTGTATCCTTTCCAAATTTAACCTACATTTGTTCAAGTAAGATGCCAATGAACTAGTCATCGTCGGTATCAAGCTGGAATTTTCAATTTCTCCTGAAGAGTAGCATGGATCAGCTGAGGTAATCATGAAAGGCCAATTTTTATCATGTCTAAAAGCCTGATCCAAAAATAACTCAAAATATCACTTTTAGGTACCTGAAAGTTCCCCTTAGAAATCATATTATTGTGATGAAAGTGATTTAATTCATTTATAAAACAGATCACATACTCTTTTGAGCCTTTAGAGGAAAATTTGTCATTAGACATGGATTTTTCTCTTACATAAGAGAAAAAGAAAAAAAAATCATGGGGCGGGAAGGAGGTGAGAGAGGAAGAAAGGGACCAATGTTGCTATAAAATGTAAGTGATAGTCATTATAAATAGTAAGAGGAATATGAAGTGGAATATGCCTTTGACATTCTTTAAAGCTTCTAGACATTCTGCCCACCCTTTTGAGCAAGAATTCACTTGGTTCTTTGCTAACTTTACACTGAGATTTGTCACTATGAACAGCAACTAAGGATGTGACTCCGGCTGTGATAATATATGACTCAAGCACACCCCTTGGCACGTACATTGGTCTCTTATCGGATGACCTGCCTGACTTTGACAGCCTTCTCTGTTTCAGGACAATTTGCAGGATGGAATTTAAGCATAACCGGTCCTAATTCCTTTTATCCCTAGAGGCTCCTAAGCCAGCAGTCTTGGAATGGACCATGCCTGGCAATTCTCACATTTCTCTTATCACTGAGACTACTTTTCATGTTCCCTTTGATACTACTTGAAAATATTCTCACCTTGACCCGCAATAGAAATGAAATCCCCATATATATCTTGACCTCTTCTTGTGTCAACCCTTGCAGTACTCCCTCTTAAGACCTTTCTAAATCCCTCTTGAACATAGAATTCTATTTATTGTAGCCACCGAAAACTCTCACTCCTCCTCTCAACTACAGTTATCCTGATCATTTTTTAAAAACCCAGTTGTTGGTTTTTTTCATAAATTCAGTATGTATTTCTCCCTGTAGCTCAGAATCAAATCTGGCTAACGAAGAACCTAACTTTGATCCCCCTCTTTCCCATACCACTAATTGAGCATGTTTTGTATATGACTTTTGCTTGGAAGATGCCTTGAAAGGAGTCTTTTTGCAAATTGAAAAAAGCATGAATGTTGGGATTGGATAAACTTGGACTCTAATCCCAGCTGTATCACTTACTTGCTATATAACTTTAAGCAAGTTACTTACCCTTCCCTAAACTGTATCCTTATTTACAGAATGAGGATAAGTACCTCCTCGTAGGATTGTTGTGAGAATTAAATGAGATAACCTACAGAAAGTATCTGTCAATGGAACATACTTAATATAAGGTAGCTTCCTTTCATTACCCTTGACTAAATGATTTAAATAATTCTGTTGAATAGCGAAGGAACTGATTCAACATCGCACTGAGATGCCAAATTGCAAATCCCGCAAGACAACAATCCCCACTAATCAAGTCAAGTGCAAATAGGTGGGCCTTAAAACAGTTGTTACCAAGTATTTACTGATGGTTCACTATCTACTCAACATTGTACTGATGCTACAGGGAAAACCAAATCAATATAAAACATGGCCTACTTGTAGCAGAAGGAGCTAATAATCTAGGCAGATTAAATGTCATTCAGGCATGCCTTTTAGATAGCATTTCTCAAACCTGGAAGATCTTCAGACTGATCTGGTTTGCATATTAAATATATATTTCAGAAGGATAGGTTCCAGAAACCTATATTTATGACAAGCATCTAGGTAATTCTAATATTCACCCAGGTTTGAGAGGCTCACTTCTTTTAAAGATGCCTCATTACTGCACAAATTAATTCATGTCAAGTCGCATCACAACTGTGTTAAAAAGTCCAGAGAGGCGTACTTGTCTGAACATTAATAAATATGCTCATTTCTCAGCATCACTGTTTTCTGAGGGTTCCACTGTATCTGAATTAACTTTTGAATTTTTGTTTTAAATTTTAAAGTAATTTTGCAGGTTCTGGACAACGGATCTGAAGCAAATTATTCTAAATAAAGTAAAATTAAACATAATAGAATCTTTGCAGAAGGCTCTCAATGACAGAACTAAATTTATCAATGAAAGAATAATTTACAACTAACATAAACAATGATGCATCAGGAAATGTATTAATGCAAACTGTGCCAAAATCTTCATACAGTTCCCCATCCAATGCAACTTGCCCAAATTCCTGAAACCTCTTCCTGTAGGTTAGATGGATCCCATTTGTCAAGCGCGTCCTTATGAAGAGACCACCAACAGGCTTTGTGTGAGCAACAAGGCTGTTTATTTCACTTGGGTGCAAGTGGGCTGAGTCCAAAGAGAGAGTCAGCGAAGGGAGATGGGGAAGGGGTTGCTTTATAGGAGTTGGGTAGGTAATGGAAAATTACAGTAAAAGGCGGTTATCTATTGTTGGCAGAGGAGGAGGTCACAAGGTGCGCGGTGGGGAGATCATAAGACTCATTGTCCAGAAGAAGGATGTCACCAAGTCACTGATCAAAGTATGGCAGGGTCAAGCCACAATAGTAGAATGGTGTAATGTTGGTTCATTAGTTAAGGCAGAAACTGGCTGTTTTACTTCTTTGTGGTTTTTGGCTGCCCCAGACTTCTTGGTTCCTGCAGGCCATCTGGACACATACATGCAGGTCACAGGGGTTACAATGGCTGAGCTTCAACTCAGAGGCCTGACACCATTTTATACACAGTATGTTCAAAAGCAAAGCATTGCAATTAGATACTGCATAATGTTCTCGTAATGTATGGGATATTTTTACCAGGAACAATGAAAGTATTCAGAAGAGGACAATAATAAAAGAATATTAAATATATTAGTAGATATCACAAATTCTTTTTTTTTTTTTTCCTTGAGACAGAGTCTCACTCTGTCGCCCAGGCTGGAGTGGGCGATCTCAGCTCACTGCAACCTCTGCCTCCTGGGTTCAAACAATTCTTGTGCCTCAGCCTCCTGAGTAGCTGGGATTACAGGTATGCGCGCCACCACACCCAGCTATTTTTTTTTTTTTTTGTATTTTTGTATTTTTAATAGAGATGGGGTGTCACTATGTTGGCCAGGCTGGTCTCGAACTCCTGGCTTCAAGTAACCCACCCGCCTTAGCCTCCCAAAGCGCTGGGATTACAGGCATGAGCCAGCGCACCTGGCCTGGGTATCATAAATTCTGATTCGTAAAGACATACATTCTAATGAATTTTTTTTAATTTCAAAAAAGGCATTTCTATTTTTTATTATTTGTGCCTTATCCACAAATACAAAAACAAAATATCTACAAGCTTCACTCATTCACTGGTGTCATTAAACCAACATTTATTGATTAAATATTGGCAGGGCATGGTGGCTTATGTCTGTAATCCAGGCATTTGGGGCGGCAGAGGTGTGCAGATTGCTTGAGCTCAGGAGTTTGAGACCAGCCTAGGCAGCGTGGTGACACTCCATCTCTACCAAAAATACAAATATATATATATAAGCTGGGTGTGGTGGCATGCATCTGTGATCCCAGCTACTTGGGAGCCTGAGGTGGGACGATCGTTTGAGCCTGAGAGGCAGAGGTTGCACTGAGCCGAGACCGTGCCACTGCACTCCAGCCTGAATGACAGAGTAAGGCTCCATCTCAAAAAAAAAAAAAAAACTGTGGACACTGGTTGTTACAGATGCTTTAAGTGTCCCCATCCGCCCCCTCCTTTGTTCTTGTCACAGCCTTCCTTACACAATATTGGCTTTCTTCGGAAACTACTTGACTTTCCACCTTAGGGTTTTTTTCAGGCTACGCTGGAGTACAGGGCAGGCCCACATGCCAGGAACTAATGCTCCAGGGAGCAGCCCTCAATCCCTTCAATAAATGAAGGATGGGAGTTGGTAGGTAAACATTCCAGCTTCCTCACCCTGTGGTAGAACAAGTCTGAGAAAAGTTCTAGTTTCCCAGAATTATAGTTTCCCAGAAGTCCCCAGGAGAAGTGAACCCCAGTTGCCCACAGCAGTAACATGCTTATTAACACATTTTGCACTGTCTTCCTTCCCTTCCTTGTCTCAGTTCCCACTTCCTCATAGAGCTTCTTGGAACCCCCTTCTAAATAACAGACTTGCATTCAAAGCCTTGCCTCTGTGTTTGCTATGGGGAGAACCCAGACTAAGACACTGAATATAGGACAATAAAAAAGTCAGTCATGCCTTTAAGATGCTCAGATAAAGTCTGAGAGAAAGATTCGAACAATATAGGGACTGATAAGGGCTGTGTGCTAATATAAAATATATCCAGACAAGTAGAAGGAATGAGTCTTTGTGGGAGTTAAGGAGGGCCTCACAAATGAGGTAAACATTTTAGCTGTCTGATATGGCTTGGCTGTGTTCTCACTCAAATCTCATCTTGAATTCTACATGTTGTGGAAGGGACCTGGTGGGAGGTAACTGAATCATAGGGGCAGGTCTTTCCCTTGCTGTTCTTGTGATAGTGAATAAGTCTCATGAGATCTGATGGTTCTATAAGAGGGAATTTCCCTGCACAAGCTCTCTTTTTGCCTGTTGCCATCCATGTAAGACGTGACTTGCTCCTCCTTCTGCCATGATTATGAGGCTTCCCCAGCCACATGGAACTGTAAGTCCATAAAACCTCTTTCTTTTATAAATTGCCCAGTCACAGGTATGTCTTTATCAGCAGCATGAAAACGGACTAATACACTGTCAAAAAGTATGAGGAGAAGTTTTATATCTATATAAGAAGAGAATTAGCATTTCAGACAATGGGATGTGCAAAGCACAGTACCCCTACAACTTTTCTCTCCCACCTCACCTCGTAACACACACACACGCACACACATACACACACACACACACACACACACACACAATCCTTGGTTTTGTATACTTGGAGTGAAGAATACACTGAAAAGAAATGTGGAAGATGAAACTATAAAAGGAATTTGTCACTTGGTAACTGGTCTCCCAAGATGGCCTCCAGTCAGTCCTGCCTCCCCATAACCCATCTTTTGTGTAGTCCTCTCCCACAGTGAATCTAGGCTAGCTTAATTATTCCTTTGTAGCCAGTAAAATGCAATGGAAGTGACCTGTGCAGCTCAGGCTTTCAGCTTTAAGAAGACCTAGATTCTTGGGTTTTACACTTTTGGCAGCCCTAAAATACTACATAAGGAGTTTTGTTAACCTGCTGAAGATACCACATAGAGAGGTTGAGTAAGGAGAGACCCTAAAGTCCTAGGGTCTCTGCTGAGTGTAACCATCCAAGCCAAGATGCCAAATATATGAGTTCAGTCATATTGGTTATTCCAGCCCCAGTTGCCATATGACTTGAGAGATCCCAGGAGAAACCGGTAGAATCATCCAACCCACAGAATTGTGAGAAATAATTAAAAGGTTGTTATTTAAAGCCACTAAGGTTTGGATTTGCTTCCTATACCACAATAGAGAACCAAAACAGTTGCCAAAATGTAAAGGATCTTGAAAGCCATAATGAGAAGTCAGCTCTTAATTATGAACAAAAGAAATTAACAAAGCAGCAATCCTGATAAGGGTTTAATGAAATAGCCTTGGAGACAGAGAATGAGGATCTGAAGAGGGAAACCAACATTTATCAAGGATTCATTATGTTCTAAATACTTTGACACTCTTATCTCATTCATCACAAAGACACTATGAATCCCCAATTTATAGATATAGAAATTGAGAATCAATTTCACCCCAGGTCAAGCTCACCCCAGGTCACAGTGTTAGACCCAAGACTAAGCCCAAGGCTAACTGGTCCCAAAAGCCTTGTTATTTTCATTACTACACCATGATACCTCCAACAAAAGTAGGAGGGAGAGATATTTAGGAAGTAGGATTCACAAATGTGATGAATGCCTGGGATGTGTCCGGGTCGTGGAGACCATTCAGCAGTGATACTGGCTTCTACTCTAGAGGATGGATTATTATAAAAAGGTACATGGTTGCATGGTATAGAATTAAAAGTAAAGAATCAGGTAGAAAGTAATTGATTTTTCATATAAAGGAGTAAAATGAATATGGTGACATATTTGAGTTTTGCATTTGAATAGTTTTTGCAAAACTGATGGTAATATAAAGACATGAAAATAAGAAATTCCAAAACATCACACATGGGAAGGACTCGAAATATTCTCAACTCAGCCCTCCAGATTTCAGGTCAGAGGCTGCCTTATTACAAGCTCTCTGAAGTTGTATCCTTCAGCCTTTATCCTAGGGCTAGGAGAACTTACTTACCTCAAGAACCATTGAAAGAAAATATTTATCTCCTTCACTTTCCAAAGGGCAGGTTTTTTAGTCTATCAGAATTAGAAAGGAAGAGTTCAGCAACATATTTTTAAGAAATACAACACCACCATAGTATATTAATACCATTTTTCAAGGGCTGAAAAATAAAGTTATAAAAATGAAAACTATATTCACCAGGAAATCATTATCCACACATTCATCCGTTCTGAAGCACCAGAGGCAGGATAGAGAATATTCCTGTGAGGGCCATGGACACTCAGAAGGCAAAAAAATAAAAGCTTTCGTTAGAAGCAGTAACTTTATTTTTATTGTGTTTTAGAATGAAATGAAGATTACATATTCCACTCCTGTGCTTTAAAAATTAGCAAAAGGGAGCACAAAATACTATCCAAATATAAAATTCTATCTCTCTTGTATATTACAGCAGGTTAAGAAATAAAAGGCAAGAAATTATAAGAGAAATTAGAGAACTAAAGACAGGCAGGAAGAAGAAGAAAAAAGGATCAGAGATATAGATGGAAAAGAGTTAGACAATAAAATACAGGGATCAAGATGGAGAAAGGCATACAGAGAGAATCAGAAAATGTATGTCATCTACTTCTGCACAACAAATCATGCCAAAATGTAGTGGTACAGATCAACTGCAATCATTTATTTTACTCATGAATTTGCAGTTTGGGAAGGGCTCAGCAAGGACAACTCATCTCTCCTCTATTCACTGTTGCTTGGGAAAGTTCAAAGTATGATGATGACTCAGTAGCTGGGGGCTGGAATCATCTGAAGTCTTGCTCACTCACATGTCTGGTTGTTGATGCTGGCTATCAGCTGGAACCCTTACACATGACCTCTCCACGTGAGCTGGGATTCTTCACAGCATTGTGACTGGCTCCCAAGAGCACATGCCCCAAGAAGGCCAGATGGGCATATCACCTTTAATAACGTAGCTTAAAAAGTCATATAATATCACTTTTACCATAGTAACAAGTCCATTAAGATTTGAAAAAAGGGACCATAAACCTCATCTCTCCGTGGAAGAAACGCAAACATTACATTGTAGATAAGTGTGCAGGATGGGAGATATTTTTTGGTCATCTTAGAAAATTCAATCTGCCACAGAGCATATGAGGGACACACCCACAAAATGACTCATAGAAATACATAGAAACCTTTGTAAAGACTCAAACACAACCATTTACATATAACTGACATAAAAAGATGTGAAGAAACACACACCAAGAGAAAAGTAAGAGGAACACACCAAGTAAGATGAATACCTAAAGAGGCCCAGCCTTGCCTAGATCACTGTCATCAACTTTGGGCTTTTTACTCCATTGTTACCAAAGATTTTCAAAACACTTTTACCTTTTTTCTAACTGTAGACACAAATGTACCTCTCTCCACTAGGTGTTTTTACTAAAGGATAATGGACTCCAGTCAAGCCAAGGATTGAATGCAACCCATAAGCTCGTTGTTATTCTCTGCATAAATATGTTAAAAACAACATTTGAAGGAACAATAAATAGTTGTGCAATGAATACAGAAAATAAAGTAAGTTAACCCAGGGGTTTTTTTTTTTTTAATTCCACAGCCCATGAACTCTCTAATACACCAGGTTGCCTATTATAGAATCAAAGGAATGTCGTTCCCTAGAATATAGCCCCTGGAAAAGTAAGTGTAAAATAAAGTCTTTCAGGGTGACATTATGCTCCAGTCAGAATTAACTTTCTGTTACCCAAACACACCACACTCTGTTAGTATGATGTGATGGGCTGAATTTTCCAAAGATGGCTACAACATCTTCCATCCTACACATTCTTCTGATATATGACCTTGCCACTACCCCATTGAGGGATGGAATCTAATTCCCACCTTGAATATGGGCTGTCTTTAGTGACTTTCTTCCAATAATAGAAGTAGATGAAGTAATGCTATGTGACTTCCAAGGGTAGATCAGAGGAAGCCTTGCAGTTTCTTCCTTAAATTTGTGAAATGATCACTCACTGAATGCTCTTTCTTGGGATGCTCTCTCTTGGATGTTCTCTCTTGGAACCCCAGTCACTTTTCTCTGGGAAGTACAAGCCACATGAAGAAGCCATTTGTAAGATCTCTATTCAACAGTCCTGCTGAGCCCAGCCATTGAGTCATCACAGATATGTAAGGCAAGAATCTACCAGATGATTCCAGCCACCAGTTCTTAAGCCAGTTGAGTCTTTCCTGATGAAAACCCAGACATTTTAGAAAAATATAACATTCTCCCTATAATGCCCTGCCCCAATTCCTGACCCATAGAATCCATAACTGTAAATAGAAGAGTGTTGTTTTGTACCACGGAATATTGGGGAGGTGAGGTTTGTTATATGGTAATAGATAATCAAAACATGTACTTAGCAAATACTCTTCCCCCTTCCCTGCCTAGCTGCCTCCTATTCATATTTTATGTCTTATTTTACCCACTATTTCATCCAGCTCCAATACAAGTAAAAACCAATGGGCTTGCAATGCTAATACAATTTTAAAATAAGTCTCTACCCATTCTCTTCTGATCAGATGACCCTCTCTTTAGCAACTCTGGAGCCACTGCTGTTCCTACACCTACCCATAAGGAAAATCGAGGGTTTAATAACTATGATTAACATGAAAGGACTCCAATGGAAAAAGTAGACCACATTCAAGAACACTTGAGTAATATAAACAGAGATGGACATTCTAAGAAAAAATTTAAAAATACTAGAAATCAAAAACACTGTAATATAAATAAATAATGCCTTTGATGGGCTCATCAGTAGACTGGACACAGCCAAGAAAAAAATCAGTGAGTTTGATGATATGTCAATAGAAACTTCTAAAACTGAAATGCAAGCAGAAAAAAGACTGAAAAAATAGAGCATAATATCAAGAACTATGGAACAATTACGTTACACTTTGGATATAATAGCATTCTTTCTCACCCATTATCCATATTTGTCAAGAAGTTAATTACAGATGACTAATCTAATGCTTATATGTATATTCATCCATGTAGGAGGAGGCCTACATTATGAATCACATATACACACAGAAATCTGAAATGTTGACAAAAATCTCAATATTTTGAGTAATAGAAGTTGTATTTATAGTGTATATACTTCCATGAGAAAGAAAATCTTTCTAAGGATATTTTTGTGATGTATAATTACAGTTTTTTTCAGCTATCCCTAAACTGGTGCAACTTTAGCAGCATGAATTTGAGATTCATGCTCAAAGAATTCTCAATAGATTCTCAATAGATAACACTACCTTCATATATTCGTATTTAAGAGTACCAGAGGAGTGTCTACAGCCACATTGTCCAATAAAAATATAATGTGACCACATATATAATTTTAGATTTTCTAGTAGCTTCGATTAACAATGTAAAAAGAAACAGATGAAATTAAATGTGATACTATGTTTTATTTAACCCAATGTATTCAAAATATTATCCATGCAACATATAATCAATATTTAAACTTATTAATGAGATATTTTATATTCTTTCTTCCACACTTAGTCTTTGAAATCCCGTGTGTCATGTGCTCAATCCCTCCATGTGGCTAGGGCTACCATATCAGGCAGCATAGTTTTAGAGCCTGAAATCTAAAGGTGTAAGCACCATTCACAATCACCAGAATAACCTGGGAACTTATTAAAATACAGAATCTTGGGTCTCGTCTAGACCTACTGAATCAGAATCTTCATTTTAACAGGATTCCCCCCAGATAATTCATGCACATTAAAGTTTAAGAGGCACTGGTTTAATATGATGGGCCTTTAGGAGAAATGGGAGAATTGTGGAAGAAAGAGAGGGAGAACAGTGCAAATTTTGATGTGCTTTAACAAGCTTCCAAGTGATGCTGATGCTGCTGGACTTTTGGTCACACTTTGAATGGCACGGTCCTAGGAGATGTAGTCCAGAAGTGCTCACCGAGTACCTTTTATTTTCTCAGCACTACGGACAGATAAAAGTGAGCTGGATTTCAATCTAGCACCAGAACAACTTAGATCTTCTTTGAAAGACAGGATCACTGCAGATGAAAACACCAGAAAGCAATATAAGGCAGTATTACTAACATAGCAAAATATTTGAATCAGACAGGGAGTGCTATAAGCTGTCAGGGATATGAAAAATCTGAGGATGAATCAGTGTTATCAGAGAAGGTAGTTTCTCTGGTTACGAGAGAGGAATCTAAGCTAGGCTATGAAAGAGATGCCCTAATGAAAATGTGAGAGTGGGATTGGAGAGTTTGGGCTCTGCTTACTCTGTGCAGTGATCCCTGGCTATCCTTTGCTTACTTTAAGCAAGTGATCTCCAAACTTGATTGTGCACACCTATCAGTAAAAATATCGACATATCCCCAGATGACGTAGATTTATTTACAAATTGTCTACACATACTATGCCAATTCATAAATATTAATAAAGATTAATTATCTTTTAGATTAAAACTAAATATGCATACATATTGCAGTATCATCTTGCTCTCTAATAGATTTGGAAGCCACTGCTCTAAGTCAGCATTTTTATCTTCAGGAAGACATCATAGTATTCTCCCAGCAGCATGCAGCACAGTGTGATTCAATAAACAGAGGCACCAAGTAGTAAAAACAAATATATGCTAGGAGACTCAGTTGTCACAACTTGACCTTGCAGTGGTAGATCTCACCAATAGAAAGAGTTTAGCCATTCACGAGAGGGTAGCTGTGACAGAGTTGAGCAAGCCTCAGCACAGCTTTGACAAGCACTCTTTCCCTGGCAAATTTTTCAATTTTCCTTCAGGTTTCAGTTTAAATATTCCTGAAAGAGGCCTTCCCAGACCTTGCAATCTGACTTATGACCTCTTGTTGATCCCACTCATCACATCATGCTCTTTTCCTACATAAAGCTCATCACAATTTGTAATTCTTAGTATATTTGGGGGACCATGCCTTTAACAGCTGTCTCCCTACTGGACTGTACTCCCTGTGAGAATAGTAGTTTGTTAACACTGTGTATTCAGCAATGAGACCTCAATGTAACACACAGTAGGTACTAAACATTTTGTAGAATGAATGGACAAAGGAAATTAAATATCGCCATCATAGTCCTTTTAGTTCATACATTACTACCTTTTTCTATCATGTAATGATATGCTGCATGAACTAACACTTCCTTCTCTAAGTGAGTCAGAGAGAATTAACTGGACCTTAAACACTAGAGCTCAAGTGGTGACTAATACGGACTGCTATATAGATTGGAGGGAAAATAGGACACACAGTGCGAGGGCTGTTCAAATTTTTGTCGTCATTTTAGTTCCTAATCTTGATTCTCCCTTTATAAATGCCTTTTTCTTTTCTTTCTTTTCTTTCTTTCTTGCTCTTTCTTTCTTTCTTTCTTTCTTTTTCTTTCTTTCTTTTCTTTCTTTCCTTTCTTTCTTTCTCCTTCCCTCCCTCCCTCCCTCCCTTCTTTCCTTCTTTCTTTCTATATATATATATTTTTTTTGGGGGGGGGCACGGGTGACAGGTGGTGTTTGGTCTCATGAATAAGTTCTTTAGTGGTGATTTCTGAGATTTTGGTGCACCCATCACCTGAGCAGTGTACACTGTACCCAACGTGTAGTCTTTTATCTCTCACTCTCCTCCCACACTTTCCCACACATCCTCAAATTTCATTGTATCATTCTATGCCTTTGCATCCTCATAGCTTAGCTCCCACTTGAGTGAGAACATAACGATGTTTGGTTTTGCATTCCTGAGTGACTTCACTTAGAATGATAGTCTCCAATTCCATTCACGTTGCTGCAAATGCCATTATTTTCTTCCTTCTTATAGCTGAGTAGTGTCCCATGGTATATATACATACCACAATTTCTTTATCCACTCATTGATTGATAGGCATTTGGGCTGGTTCCATATTTTTGCAATTGCAAATTGTGCTGTTATAAACATGCATGTGCAAGTATCTTTTTTGTATAATGACTTCTTTTCCTCTGGGTAGATACCCAGTAGTGGGATTGCTGGATCAAATGGTAGATCTACTTTTAGTTCTTTAAGGAATCTCCACACGGTTTTCCACAGTGGTTGTACTAGTTTACATTCCCACCACCGGTGTAAAAGTGTTTCCTTTTCACTATATCCCTGCCAACGTCTATCACTTTTTGATTTTTTTGATTATGGCCATTCTTGTGGGAGTAAGGTGGTATCATATTGTGGTTTTGATTTGCATTTCCCTGATCATTAGTTGTGTTGAACATTTTTTTCATATGTTTGTTGGCCATTTGTATATCTTGTTTTGAGATTTGTCTGTTCATGTCCTTAGCCCACCTTTTGATGGGATTGGTTTTTTCTTGCTGATTTGTTTGAGTTCCTTGTAGAGTCTAGATATTAGTCCTTTGTTGGAGATATAGATTGAGAAGATTTTCTCCGACTCTGTGGGTTGTTTACTCTGTTGATTTTTTGTTTGTTTGAGACAGAGTCTTGCTCTGTCGCCCAGGCTGGACTGCAATGGTGCAATCTTGGCTCACTGCCCCCTCTACCTCCGTGGTTCAAGCGATTCTCCTGCCTCAGCTTCCCGAGTAGCTGGGATTACAGGTGCCCACCATCATGCCTGGCTAATTTTTGTATTTTTAGTAGAGAGGGGTTTTTGCCATGTTGGCCAGGCTGGTCTCAAACTCCTGACTTGAGGTGATCCGCCTGCCTTTGCCTCCCAAAGTGCTGGGATTACAGGTGTGAGCCACTGTGCCCAGCCTGCTGATTGTTTCTTTTGCTGCACAGAAGCTTTTGAGTTTAATTAAGTCTCATCTATTTATCTTTGTTTTTGTTGCATTTGCTTTTGGGTTCTTGGTCACGAAGTCTTTGCCTAAGCCAATGTCTAGAAGGGTTTTCCCAATGTTATCTTCTAGAATCTTAATGGTTTCAGGTCTCAGATTTAAGTCTTTGACCCATCTTGAGTTGATTTTTATATAAGGTGAGAGATGAGGATCCAGTTTCATTCTTCTACATGTGTCTTGCCAATTATCCCAGCACCATGTGTTGAATAGAGCGTCCTTTACCCACTTTATGTTTTTGTTTGCTTTGTGGAAGAACAGTTGTCTGTAGGTATTTGGGTTTATTTCTGGGTTGTCTATTCTGTCCCATTGGTCTATGTGCCTATTTTTCTCATATGCCATGCAGATATATATTGTTCAGGCCTATTATGCACATTAGGCTTAATGGGGAAATGTCAGTGACTGTCAAAATGACAACTTCCTGCTGATGTTAAAGGAATCTGATCAAGCAACAGATGGTCAGCAGCAGCAGATTTGCTCTCTACTTTCTCTGGGTTTTTATTCTGTTGTTTATAAAATTGTTGGTCATAGGTTGTTGGATTCAGTGAAAGCAGCCCATATGAGCTGAGATATCTATTTCATTTACTATGTCCGTACAAGAAGAAAACATGTCCCAACCTTAAATATTGATTATGCCTGACATGCAAAACATGCCAATGTCCCAGATCCCCAGTTACCATTAGACTGAACATTTTGTTATATCCTTTTGCATTCACATATGTATGGACTTGCCTGTGATGTCATCATTAAAGCACTTTCATATTCTACAATAGTCAGGTTGCTTTTCTGCGTTGACGTTAGGAAGCATTATCTAATTTTAGCTGAGTGCAAGTCTGTATCATGCTATTGTGTGAGTGTGTTTTAAATGCACTTTGTATAGCCACATTTTGATGGGTAAGTTTCACAAATATGCAATTGATCCTTGTATAGCTGCCTTTAATCGGTTTCAGTATTTTCTTCAATAGATTCTATGCATGTATCATTTTGTCATTTCTCAGTTGAGGGAATGCTCAGAACTTGCCAGAAGCAGCAAAAATTCACATTTATAGAATACCTTTTCACTGTATTGAGATGCTTCATCTTTCATAATCTTTCTGGAAGACATTTCTGAGGAATTTCTCCGAAGACAGATGCATTGGTTTCTGTGACTGATGACAGTCTGACTTCACAAGTGGCCTTCTTGAGAGGTTACTAAGACTTGACACATTAACATCCCATAAATCTCCCATGTTCCAAGTCTTAAACATACATTTCCTTTCCCCTAGCCACAGCACAGAGAAATGCTTGTGCTCCTTTGACAGTCATGCCTAAGAAAGGAAAACAGGGAGCCACTTTTGCACAGACATAAACCTGCTCAATGTCTCAGATATTTTATGTACCTACCCCACTTCTCTCTTGAAGTCTCCAAGAAAACACACATGACCTTTGATAGTTCAGAAAAATCTTGTAAACCTCTCTGTGATGTTTAATAATTTCACTCTTCTTACGGGAATGATGCACCAGCCGGTACAGACAGCTTGTGGAACTCGGCTCATGGGTAAAATGTTCAGTCTCACGCTGTTTTAACAACATTGGCTCTATCATCAGTGCAAATAGAAACGGTGGAAAGAATCTGAGGAGTGAGGTATTTATTTGGAATTTCAGCTGAGATTATGTTTTTCTAGGCACTGCAGTGAAGGTGCACTTTCCGAGAGACGAAGAACTAGCAGAGTGCCACAGAGTCCCCCGTGAGGGCTTACTCAATATTTGCTGGTAATAATTATGATGTCATTCCCTGAGGCAGGCGTCAGTTAACAAACTCTTTGAATCTAAATCAGCCCTGATTTAATTTGCCCTTCAGTAAAGGTTAAAACAGAGAGAAATTCAAAGTATACATCTTGTAGAAGAAATAGACTGCAGTTTTTAAATGTTCAATTTTTCCACTCTTTCTTTCCAATTATGAGTGTCTCCTCTCACCCTAAGCAAAAAAAGTCAGTATAATTATGCCCAAATAAGAAGATTAAGTCTAGAAAGTAACACAATTTTCCTTATCCTCACAAAATGTGTCTTGTATTGTGTGCATGTGTTTTTAATTTGCATAATTGCTATTTTCTTGGTCTTTTTTTTTTTTTTTTTTTTTTTGAGACAGAGTCTCGCTTTGTCACCTAGGCTGGAGTGCAGTGGTGCAAACATGGTTCACTGCAGCCTTAACATCTCTTTTTATTATATATTTTATTCAGTTTATTTCTTTTTATCCTTAGCACTGGGGAATATTTCTTGCATTGGGCTCACCAACTCATAACATGTTTACAATGGGCCCCTGTTTCTAATGAGTTATTTGTCCCTTTTTTCTTCCTTCCTTTTTTTTCTTTCTTTCTTTTTTTTTTTTTTTCCCCCAGATGGAATCTTACCCTGTCGTGCCCAGGCTGAAGTGCAGTGGTGCAATTTTGGCTCACTGCAACCTCTGCCTCCCGGGCTCAAGTGATTCTCATGCCTCAACCTCCTGAGTAGTTGGGAGTACAGGCATGTGCCACCATGCCTGGCTAATTTTTGTATTTTAAGTAGAGGTGGGGTTTCACCATGTTGCCCAGGCTGGTCTCGAACTCCTGGCCTCAAGTGATCCACCTGCCTCAGCCTCCCAAAGTGCTGGGATTACAGGCGTGAGCCACCACACCCGGCCTCTTCCTTCGTTTTGTATTGATTGTTGACTCACTAGGAAAGACTTCTCATATCTTTTAGGGTGAGACTTACGATTGTCTGTTCTAGTAGTTCTCAATTCTGGCTGTACAACAGAATCTCTCGATGCTTTTGAAAAAGCATCATACCCAGACCGTATCCCAAACCAATGAAATCATGACATGGAAGCAATGGGACCTAGTGGCAGTACCTTTAGAGTTCCTCAAGTGACGCCACTGTGTAGCTGAGGGTAAGAACTGCTAGTCTACACAAATGATTCAAACGATTACTAGGTAGTTCTGAGTTTTAAAAAGTTAAAAATCCCACAAATGTTTAATTAAAAAAATTAAAAGTCCCACAAAGCCATTAGACAATGGACAATTGTCTGGAAAGATTTCATAAAGCCAAACCCTGTGAGGATTTAAAGAAATAGGACAGACACGGTAATGTGGCAGGTTTAGCAATTACTGCATTCTCTGAGTAACTATCCGAGGCAGTATGTCATAGACCTGCTGGCTTCTGACGCAGTCTCTGCACCTCATACTAGCTGTAAGACTTTGGGCATTTTATTTATCATCTCAGTGTATCTATTTCCTCTTCTGTAAACTGGTGTTGATATTACCAAAGCCTATGTCATTTCATGAAGATTAAGGGTCAGAAAATATTTTCTGAAAAGGGCTTATAATTTTGGCTTTATAGGTCATACAGTCTCTCTGCAACTACTCAGCTCTGCCATTGCAGCACGAAGGCAGCCATAGACATTAGGTAAATGAACGGATGTGGCTGTGTTCCAATAAAACTTTATTTACATAAACAGGTAGTAGCCCAAATTTGGCCCACAGGATATAATTTGCCAATGCCTGTACTAATACATGCCTCGTGGCTGGCACAGTGGGTTGCTATATTTGTTGTCATTGTTATGAAGCCTAAAAAGTAGCCCATCTCCCTAAGATGTGTGCATTTACCCTTCTCTCTCAGCTCCACCCTTGGCCTCTTTCAAACGGACCAGCCTCCAGCACGTAGCACAAAGCTACAATAGCTGCAGGTCTTAGGACAGGAGAAAACATCAGGTTTCCCCCGTTCATGAATGTGCTCTCCCCTTCCAGTCAACACAGTCACGGAGCAAGGAGAAAAGAAAACCGGGGCCAGAGTGCAGGGCCAGAAGTACACATCTCCCAGTGGTGCATCACTTTATAGGAGCAAACACCACAGACACTAAAGCCATCAGGGAAAACTGTGAATTAAACCATGAGTGGTAAGGAGCTGCCAAAATCCCAGAGATGTAATAAATCATTACTGTCAACTGCTCAGCACGAGTAATAAAAAATCAATCCACTAAGCTAGAAATGAATTTGAAAATTGTGATTTAAACAATAGTAATGTGTGAGCAAAATAAACAGAGAAGCAGTTGTGCTATTTCATCTTTCAAATAAGGACAGAGGAGAGTGATACCAGGGGTTTGTTTTCTTTTACATCAACGGAGCAGTAATCAGTGAGGAATGGCTGTGTGAGTCAGCAGTTAGAAACAAAACTGAATGTGATGGTGTACTCTTTCCTGAGGATATTAAACCCATTATTTTTGTTTTGCAGGTCACATTTCAAAGGCCAGATCTTTCCCAGGGCTTAAGCTGTTCCTTGGATACTTTTGGTAAGTCATTTATCCACTAATCATTTAGTAATCGTCTCTGACATGCCAAACACCCTGCTCAGGGCTGGAAATGCAGAACCTGGGAAGCCACTGGCCTTGTCCTCAAGATCTCTCTCTGGCTCCCTTTGAATTTGCTAATTCAGACTTTCACATTTCCCCCAGGAAAAATCATAAGGACCAAATCATATCCGTTTTCTCAAATGGCTTCAAAGACCCATGTCATCGTTTGGCATCATGTAATTCTTTACTGATGTACTTTAAGAGTCACGTTTTATTCTCTTTATGCAGCTGTCAAGGACAGACACAAAGAGTGGGGGTGTCTTCCTCACTAAATACTTTCCCACAACACTCCAGAGTAGATTCATCATTTAAATAAACACTAACAGCTATCTGACCTGTTTTAAATGTATGGAAAGACTTGTGAGGAGAGGGAAAGAAAGGGACCGTAATAACTGGTAGGAATTTATCACAGTTCCTGTCTGCAAACACATACAAAAGTCAGGTAGGGAGAGCCAAATGCCTGGATGCTATTCAAGGTCTTACTCAGGAGCAAATCTGTGGTAGGCACAATAATGTACCCCTCCAAGGATGTCCATGTCTTAATCCCCTGAAGCTGTGAACATGTAACCTTACATTACAAAAGGGACTTCGCAAGTGTGATTAAGTTAAGCATCTTGAACTGGAAACATTACCCTGGATTATCTGCTTGGGCCAATGTAATCACAAGGGTCCTTATAAAGGAAAGAAGGAGGCAGAAGAGTCAGAGAGAGATTTGAAGATGCTATGCTGCTGGCTTTGATGACAGAGGAAGGAAGTCGTGGGGCAAGGAATGAAGGAGGCTTCTAGAAGTTAGAAAAGGCAAGGAAACAGATTCTCCTCAAAAGCCTCCAAAAAGGAACACAGCCCTATGGCCTCCAGAACTGGAAGATAATAAATAACATAAGACTATCATAATGGTTTGTTGGGGGTTTGAGAATATTTTATTGGCACAGCATGTTTTTCACATCAGATTATTTGTTGAACTAATGACTGGAAAACACAGGAAAATACAAAATAGTACATGGGGATCTACAGAAAATGTTCTCTAAGAGATAGGAACAATTTGATGTTTGTGGGTACATGTGTGCATGAATGAAACTATATTCTAGCCCATGAGATCTTCAAGACTCTTAGAAACACACTGACCAATAACTTTTAAATAAATTTATCTTGACAATCAAATGGCAAAATTTTTACAGAATATATTGTACAAATGTATAAGTACAGAATATATTGTATTTACGTATTCCTAATTTTAATATACAGTCCCTTTTATATATCCATTTAAAAGACCCTTATAGGTGATCAAATTAGTGTTCCAAAATAGGGATATTTTAGAATAAAATGTATTAGTTATGCTTAAGCAATCAAGGTCACAGTGGGGTGTGACCATAGAACAGAATTCCAGCTTTGATAATTCTGAGATCTCAGAATTTTAGTGGTATGTCTAATTCTAACCCTTCATATGCTCCTTCCTACCACCAAGGCACTGCTCTAAGTGCTTTACAAATATGAACTTAGTTAATCCTCACAGCAACCCCTTGAGGTGTTTGCTTTCATTATCTCCGTTATACAAACTAAGAAACTGAGGCACACAGAGGCTAAGTAACCTGCCCAAGGTCCTAGAGAATTTTAACCCCCTAGTCATGAAGAGGATTTGAGAACTATTGGCCTGTTCCAGGGATATCATGGTGAGGAACTCTCCAGCAGGGATGTAGGAAACTGGCCCTGATACAGGAACAGCAGAGAACATATATCCTGCCTTACTTGGATTAGGGTGTGATGGAGTTCTGACACACCCATAACCATGGCAACCCAGTCCCAGAGGAAGGTGGTATAAGGCCCTTGATGGAGGAAAACTACCAAACTGAAAGAGCAAGGCTAATGTTTGTGATCAAAAAGAAGAGTGATCATTATGCAGATTATGCAACTTTGACTCAAGAAGCTTCCCACTGGAAGGGTAAATCTCCTTCCCCCAAGTTACCTCTGAGCTGAGCAGAAGCTCAGTCTACGATGGGAGCAGAAGACCTCCCCAAGCAGGCCTGATCATAGTGGGGAAGTGGAGCAGTCACCTAAGAAGAGGGAGGGAGGAGAGGAGGAAAAATGATGCTGGTCCAGTTTGAGTCCCATAATAACAGCATAAACATAACTTCATCACGTGGACCCAGGAGAAAAATAAACTATTGTAGTAAATAGCAAAATCAGTAGTGTTCCAACTGTTAATTAGTTTATTCTAGAGTAGTAATAACACTAAAATATTTAATTGACTCTTTTAAAAAATTGAAGCTTAATTATTTCCATGTAATATTGGAAGTCAAATTGGCTAATAAAAGCCTACAGCAAATCGCCATAACAAAATGCTTTTCTCACTTACACCTTAGTTACAGGTAAGGAGCTGTTTTTATTTCAACATCTCATGCTCACCCCCACCATGATCAAAAAAAATTCTCTATAATAAACACACAGAATTTAATAGTGGAGGCCACTTTAGCCCTTGAGTCTTTGGGCAACATAGAAGCAAGGCAGTTTTTGTTTAAACAGTCAGAAGGCTCTTTGCTAAGGCATTAAACAGAAGCGTTGTTTCCCACCCGTCCCAAAAAAAACATTGATTTATCAGAACTCTGAATTAGATTTCCATAAACTATATAGGAAAACCAAACATGTTAAAAATTGAAACAAGGAAACATTTGGTTTATTTAAGAACATGCACCCAAACATATGTGTCTAGATTTTTTGAGTTTTCAAATCTCGGCCCAAAATATCTTGGGAAAACAGATACACCAAAGAGGATTCTTGGCATACATCTTTCTGAGTTGTAAATACTGGGAGAATAATGTTCCTGTAAATAATTCTGGCACATTTCATGTCAAGATCAACAATACTTAGAAGAGAATCTGATTCCATCAAAGTTAGTGTTGAACTCTAATTTTAATCAAATTATATAAACTACTAATTTCTGACAGCCGATTTATTTGCATTTATTCTGCCACAAAGTGAAAAAGGTCCTGCTTACTGGAGCAGAGCTGAAAAGAGGGCCTCTTTGTTTTGTGACTTCTTCCCCCACTGCCAATGTTCATACACGTATAAACTCACAGAATTTAATAGCTGAAGCCACTTCAGTCCTTGAGTCTTTGGGCAACATAAAGCAGTAGAAAAAGCATGAATTTTGTGGATGGCACGAAACCCAGCTCAACTCATGTGGTGGGCAAAAAGTATTCAACTTTGAAGAGATAATTGCACAAGTGGGAGAAGGTATCTGCAGAAGGCTGTTTGCTGAGGCAGGCACTGTTTATAATAATAAATAAAAATAAATGTAAGCAAAATGCCCAGAAATGGAACTATTTAAGTGTGGTGCAACCATACAACAGAGTACTGAGCGATCTTTAAAAGCCATGTTGTGGATCTATATTTGTTGCATGAGATGTTATCCATGAAATAGTGATGAATGAGAGGGGCCAGTCAAAAAATAACATGTGCAGGGCAGTCCTATGTAAGTAAAATTGAATACATTTAATGCATTTATACATAAGTGCAAAGAGGTATCTTACAGGAGGTTCACCAAAATAACAACTATGGTTCTCTCATGATACAATTTCTAGTGATCATTATTTTCTAGTTCTCACTTTTTGGCCCTTAGTGGTTCTACAATGAATATGTAATATTTCTGTAGAAATAATAAAGCTGAAGTACTATGCAGTAGTTTGAACCAACGATGCATACACAGAGCAGTATAGATGTATTTTAAAAGCACAGTGCTAGGAATAAAAAATAACCTGAATGAAATAGATAATAAGAAAAGAGGTCGAGGCTGCAGTGAACCATGTTTGCACCACTACACTCCAGCCTGGGTGACAAAGCGAGACCCTGTCTTACAAAAAAAATAAGAAAGAAAAGAAAATAGCAATTATGCGCATTAAAAACACATGCACATAATACAAGACACATTTTGCAAGAGCCTATTGCAGTAAAAAATAAACATTAACCAGTACGTTCATCAGTTGTAACAAATATACCGCTGTGGTAGGGGATGTTGATAATTCGGGACTCTATGTATGCGTGTGTGTGGATGTTGGGGGTAGATGGAAATTCTCTGTACCTTCCTCTCAATTTTGCTATGAACCTAAAACTGCTCTAAAAATAAGATCTTTAAAACGAAATGAAATAAAATAAGATACTTATTGAAGATTTTCCAATGATTGTCCCTGGTAGAGGCTAGGAAAGGGGCAATGGGAGAGCAGAGTGGAGGAAAAAGGAATAAACTGATAAATTAATTGCCTGAACTAATGATAATAAATTGCCCTGTACTATTACTCAACCGCACTGCCCCCCCGCCTCTGAGGGTCTCAAAATGTAGGCACAAACTTGAAAGCAAGAAATATTTCAGTGTATAAACATCTGTACACATGAAAATATTGATAGTGTTT
This sequence comes from Homo sapiens, assembly GCF_000001405.40. Taxonomy (NCBI): domain Eukaryota; kingdom Metazoa; phylum Chordata; class Mammalia; order Primates; family Hominidae; genus Homo; species Homo sapiens. The sequence goes on along the minus strand of NC_000023.11, from coordinate 22,385,199 downwards.
TTAGCTATTTTCTTTCTTTTTTTTTTTTTTTTTGAGACGGAGTCTGGCTCTGTCGCCCAGGCTGGAGTGCAGTGGCGCAATCTCGGCTCACTGTAAGCTCCGCCTCCCGGGTTCACGCCATTCTCCTGCCTCAGCCTCCCGAGTAGCTGGGACTACGGGCGCCCGCCACCACGCCCGGCTAAGTTTTTTGTATTTTTAGTAGAGACGGGGTTTCACCGTGTTAGCCAGGATGGTCTGGATCTCCTGACCTCGTGATCCGCCTGCCTCGGCCTCCCAAAGTGCTGGGATTACAGGCGTGAGCCACCGCGCCCGGCCGTTTTTAGCTATTTTCAAAGAAACTAAGGTGCATAGGATTTAGAACCATTTAGACTTGCAGACAAATGGTCTTGGACACACAATTTCACTAAAGCCCCACTGGTTTATGTGTAAAATAAAGAGAATAATAACTACCATTCCGAGGTGTTATAAAAAGTTGTGTAATCTTATCTTCAAAAATCACTGTGATTCCCGGTTACAGCTCAGACATGTAAAGAGCTTAGAAATTGTCACTCCCATTCTTATAGCAAGCAAAAGCTGGATAAGCTAAAACTCAACAAGTTGTTTTGGACTTATCAGAGAACTAAATTTGCAAGTCAAATCACCATGCTGAAATCTGGTAACAGGCAAATCCGGAGTCACGGACACAATCTGCTTACCTAAAATAGAAGTCACTGGAGCCATAAACTGGTAGGAACACTTAGTAATTTTGACAAGTTTCTGGAGGCTGAGTGTAGACTGGCTTGAGACTGAGAAACTCCTTGGGGCCACCATATTTTCATTGACTTTATCTCCAGGATCCCCACTAGGTTCTCACCGCGAAGAGTCAACAAAGGTACCCTTGTGGCTTAGGTAGGGAGAGTAGACGGATAATCTTGGTAAAATATGTCCAGAACCTTCTCCATAGCAAAGGCCTTGTCTTCAGAGGAAAGTACTTTACCAGAGCCTTGTCCCAGAGATCTCACCATAGCCCCCTCTAGCGTTCCTCACCTAATTGGGAGGGGAGAAACTATACAAGAAGAAACACTTCCCTTTTGATTCTCGGTGATCACAGGTCAAAGATGCAAGTCAGGTAAAAGGCTGAGACTTAATTGGAAGGTTGTAGAATGCTTCACCGCCTCCACAGTTTCTCATCATACCAACGGGGCTCCAGTATAACAAGAGGATATTACAGCTGAAAGAACTGAAAGACATGGATCTTCTCTAAGAAGAAGTACTTTGGGAATTTGAAGCCTCTGGTACCTATAGCTACAGCAAACATAAAACAAAGCCCAACTCCTAGCCCGATTAACATAAACCTCACACCATAGGCATATTTACCTTAGTTCCTATTACGCAGTACATGTCTAACTTTCAATTAAAAGATATAAGCCATGCCAGAAGGCAAAGAAAAAAAAAAAGTCTCAAGAGACAAAGCAAGCATCAGAACCAGATTCAGGTGTGACACAGATGTTGGACTTAACAGACAGGGCATATAAAATTACAATAAATAATATGATAAGGGCTCTAATGGAAAAAATAGACAACATACAAGAACACATGAGTAAAGTAAGCAGAGATATGGAAACTCTAAGAAAGAATCAAAAGGAAATACTAGAAATCAGAAGCACTTTAACACTAATGAAGAATGCCTTCAGTGGACTCATCAGTAGATTCAATAGTTAAGGAAAGAATCAATGAGTCTAAAGGTAAGTTAATTAAAAAAAAAAAAAAAACCCTAAAATGTAAAGAGGAAAAAGGCAATGAAAAAAACTTAACATTTAAGAACTGGGGGACAATTTCAGAAGATATAACATGTGCAATTGGAATACCAAAAAGAGGAAAAAAAAAAAAAAAGAGAGAACAGAGCAGGAGAAATTTTTGAAGTAATAATGACTGAGAACTTTCAAAAATGAATGACAGACAGCAAACCACATCCAGGAAGCTCAGAGAATGCCAACCATAATAAATCCCAAAAAATATACCTAGGCATGTCATATTCAAACTGCAGAAAATCACAAAGAGAAAAATCTTAAAAGAAGCCAGAGAATAAAAACACCTTACCTGTAGAGGAATGAGAATATGAATTACATCTGACTTTTAATCAGAAACCATGCAAGAGACTAGAGTGAAATATGTAAAGTGCTGAAAGACAAAAATCACCAACCTGGTATTCTATATAGAAAGAAATTATTCGTGAATGTTTCTCGGACAAAAAAAAGAGTAGGCCGGGTGCAGTGTCTCACGCCTGTAATCCCAGCACTTTGGGAGGCCGAGGCAGGCGGATCACGAGGTCAGGAGATCGAGACCATCCTGGCTAACATGGTGAAACCCCGTCTCTACTAAAAATACAAAAAATTAGCCGGGCGTGGTGATGGGCGCTTGTAGTCCCAGCTCCTCGGGAGGCGGAGGCAGGAGAATGGCGTGAACCCGGGAGGCGGAGCTTGCAGTGAGCCGAGATCGTGCCACTGCATTCCGGCCTGGGCGACAGAGCAAGACTCCGTCTCAAAAAAAAAAAAAAAAAAAAAAAGAGTAGAGTGAAATATTTAAAGTACTGAAAGACAAAAATCACCAACTTGGTATTCTATATAAAAATTATTCGTCAAATGTCTGTTTCTCAGACAAACAAGTGAGATAACTCATTGCTAGCAGAACTGCCCTGCAAGAAATGTTAAAAGATTTTCTTCAGGCAGAAAGACAACTGTAAAAGTCAGACGCTTGGACCTACATAAAGAAAGGATCTACGTCAGAGAAGGAATGAATGAATGTAAAATAAAATATTTTATTTTTCTTAATTATTATATACAGTTATATACTTGTTATATGTAACAAGTAACAATAGGAACAATGTATTATATGATTATAGCATATGGATAAACAGTGTCCCAAGGGAAGGGAGGAAGAAGTTGGGAATACACTGTTATCAGGTACCTGCACTACACATGAAATGCAGTAATGTTGTCTGAAGGTGGACCTACATTAGTTTAAAATATATTTTGTAAACTTCAGGGCAACCACTAAAAAGCTTTTTTAAATAAGTATAATTTCTATGCTAAAAGAAGACATAAAAGCTGAATGAAATAAAATGCTCAACTGAAACCAGGAAAGACAGAAAAGGAAGCTTCCGGTAATATATAAGAAAAAAGTTACAAGCATGGTTGATATTAACCCAAATATATTAATAATTACTTTAAATGTGAATGGTCTAAATACAGCAATTAAAAGACAGTGATTGTCATAGTGGCTGCAAAACAAGACCTAATTATATATTGTCTACAAGAACATCACTTTAAATGTGAGGACTGATAGGTTAAAAGTAAAGTGATAGAGAAAATATACCATGCTACCACTAATCAAAAGAAAGTTGAAGTAGCTTTATTAATTTCAGACAAAGCAGATTTCAGAGCAAGGAAATTTATCAGGGATAAAGGAGACATTACATAATAATAAAAGGGTCAGTTCTCTAAGAAGACATAGCATCCCTAAACATGAATGCCTCTAAAGATACATGAAACAAAAACAGATAGAACTAAAAGGATGAAATGAGGAATCCACTATTATAGTTGGAGACTTCATCCCCTGTCACCCCTATCAGTAATTGTTAGATGAAGCAGGCAGAAAATCAGTTAAGGCTGCATGCAGTTGACCTGAATGGCACTATCAATCAACTTAATGTAATTGACATTTATGAAGGACTCCATCCAACAGCAGCAGAATACACATTCTTCTCCATTTTGCATGGAACATGCACCAAGGCAGACCACCTCCTGTACCATAAAACATACCTTAACAAATTTAAAAGAGTAAAAATTATAAAAAATATGTTCTCAGACAGCAGTGAAATTGAACTAGAAACTAATAACACAAAGATGGCTGGAAAATTCCCAAATATTTATAAATTAACACACTTGTAAAGACCACACGACTTAAAGAAGTATCAAAAAAGTTTAAAATATTTTGAACTAAAAGAAAATGAAACTAAAACTTGTCAAAATTTGTCGAATGCAGCAAAAGCAATGCTTAGAGGGAAATTTATAGCATTAAATGCATATAATAGAAAAAAATAAAGGTTGAAAAATCAGTTACCTAAGTTTCCACCTTAGGAAACTAGAGAAATAAGAACAATTTAAGCCTAAATCAAGCAGAAGAAAAGAAATAAAAATTAGAGCCTAAATCAATGAAATTGAAAACAGGTAAACAATAGAGAAAATTAACAGACCAAAAGCGATTTATTTTTTAAAAAATCAGTAAAATTAACAAAACCCTAACCAAGCTAATAGAGAAAGAGAGAAATTATCAATATTAAAAATGAAAGAAGGGTCATCTCTACTGTTCCATGAATATGAAAAGATACTATAGGAATATGGTATTCTGAACAACTCTATGTCCACAAATTTGATGATTTAGATGAAATGGACTAATTTCTTGAAAGATGCAAACTACTAAAACTTACACAAAAAGAAATAGATATAGAACTCTTAAGATTATCAATTAAAAAAAAAACAAATCAATAAAATAGCCTTACAAAAAAGGAAATTATCAAGCCCAGATAGTTTCACTGGTAAATTCTATCAAACATTTAAGGAAAAAATGATACCAATACTCCACAATCTCTCCCAGAAAGCGGAAGAGCAGAAAGGAACACTTCCTAACTCATTCTATCAGGGTACCTTCACCCTAATACTAAAACAAGATGACACTGCAAGAAAGGAAGACTACAGACCAGTATCTCTCATCAGCATACATGCCAACTTGTAGTTAAGATAAATAAGTTCTGGAGACCTAATGTACAGCCTGGACTGTAAGTAATAATAATGTATTCTATACTTGAACTGTTAAGAGAGTAAATCTTAAGTATTTTTACCACAAAAAAAGTAACTGTGTGAGGTAATGGACATGTTAATTAGCCTGATTGTGATAATGTTTTCACAACGTATATGTGTGTGAAAACATGACATTGTACGCCTTGAATATATGAAATTTTTATTTGTTGATTACACCTCAAAGCTGAAAAAAGTTCTTAAATTAATTAGAATAAAATTAGGCAGCTGGATGCGGTGGCTGGCGCCTGTAATCCTAGCACTTTGGGAGGCTGAGGCGGGTGAATCACGTGAGGTCAGGAGTTTGAGACCAGCCTGGCCAACATGCTGAAATCCCATTAACCAGATGTGGTGGCACCTGCCTGTAATCTTAGTTACTTGGGAGACTGAGGCAGGAGAATTATTTGAACCCAGGAAGCAGAGGTTGCAGTGGTCTGAGATCGCACCACTGCATTCCAGACTGGGCAACAGAGCAAGACTGTCTCAAAAAATAAATAAAACAAAATAAAATTAGTTAACTACTGACATACATACAAAAATCTTCAACAAGATATTAGCAGATCCAATAATGTTAAATAAGAACGATATACTATAATCAAGTGGGATTTATTCCAGGTATGCAAGGGTGGTTCAATATAAAAAATCAATCAGTGTAATCTACCACATTAAGATGAGCCTGGAGCATGTCATAGTTCCAGAAAGTAGAAAATGCAAAAGAAAACAACAGATAATGATGGAGGTATGACAAGGGGGTACAGGAGCCAATTAAAAGAGCTGGAACAATTTGAGCAATAAAGTAGTATTGGATTATAACCCAACCCAAGTTATAATATAAATATCCATGAATCCAAACTGATATAAGTGATTAAATAATTAAATAAATGGGGCATAATAAACACATCTTCCAAGTAGAAGAGTTCCAAATAATTTACAGAGATACTCTGCCCTTAAGGAGGTGGAGCACAGCTCCTCACTCCTCACTCCTTTAGTGTATGTTACATACACATAGTAACTTTCTTCCAAAGAGTATAATATGGAAAGGGAGGCGGGGGAAAAAAAAGAGTAAGTTGACAGTGGAGAAACTTGACAAACATACCAGTCAGATGATCATTAATATTGACAGTGGAAAGTCGTATCGATAGCCTGTATTTATGTGATAATGTGTTGAGAATAACCTTTTACTTCTGTGTCTTCCTTCCACAAACCCATAACCCCAGTTTAATCATGAGAAAACAGCAGACAAATCCCAACTGAGGGACATTCTACAAAATACCTGACCAGTAATCCTCAAAACTGTCAAGATAGTTAAAAAAAAAAAAAAAAAAAAAAAAAAAGGAAAGTTGGAGAAACTTTCACAACCTAGAGGTGCCTAAGGAGACACTTCTATTAAATGTAATGTGGCATCCTAGAAGGGATCCTGGAACAGAAAGCAGACATTAGGGAAGATTTGAGGAAATCTGAATAATGTATGAACTTCAGTTAATAATCATGTATCAGTATTGGTTTACTAATGATGACAAATGTACCATGCTAAAGATGTTAATAATAGGTGAAACTGGATATGGGGCATACGGGAACTCTCTGTACTGTGTTTGCAATAGTCCTGTAAATCTAACACTGCTCTAAAGTTGAAAAAGGTTACTTTTAAAGTGATTATTATTATTTTAAAATTAACATAGCATGCCAAAAGTTTTTTTTAGGGTAAGTGACATGGGCAGAATGATTCATCTAGTCCTTCATCGTGATGTCCACATCTACAAATACATTTGTCCAACTGAGCAATTTGTGTATCAGCCCACATTGATAGGTTCTGCTTTACCAGCTGTCCCTATTTCTGAGAAAATAGGTCAATTTAAGTTTTGCTGACTTCTCACACTAGCTCCCTGCCCACGCCTGCACACCCACGTGCCACAGTTGCATTCCAGATTGACAAATCATTAAATGATCGTTATCTGGTTTTGAAAAAAAAATGAAATACAAAGATAAAAAGTAAAACTTGATTATTTGCTCTGCCTTTGAATTGCATTGCTTTGGGTGAACCACTGTTGTAAGACAGACTTAGTATAGTTCCCCTTTTCCTTTCCCCAGGCTCATTCAAATGGGCTGTTTAATGGTTAAAAGGCAGGCCAAAGGAAGGAAGAGAGAAAAGCTTCAGGAGAGGGAAAATCTAGAAGCTGAACTCAAGCCCCTAAATAATTAACTTGGCTATAGAGGCTCCATTTTGTTTCTCTTATCTTCTTTTGACTTTTAAGTGGCAATCCTATTCTTCTTCATAAATATCCTTCTGTCTTGGCTTCTGGCTTTACAGATGACTGGCACTTTTAAATTGTGAGAATGGTTTACCTTTCTGGCTGAGCAGTCTCTCAAAAATCATTTTATTATGGGGGAGAAAACAAGGCTAGCAGCTCAATGAGTTGTCTCTTGGCAGCGTATCTTTTTATTTCTGAACTTCACTGTGACCTGTTTGCCTTGTCCCGCTGCCACTGTCTAATCTAACATCCTAATAACAGCCCATACCTTGTAATTTGGATTTTCAAAGCTGTATTTTTCAACCATGTTCTTTCTGTCCAAATCAAAGGCACTGTTTCAATGTCAGTAGGAGAGACAATAAGAGAAAACATATTGAGGCACACGTGTGGACGCACATGCGTACACAGGTACACATGCACACGCACGCACACTCAAACAGCTTCAAGTCAGGGATTTATCTGAATTTTAGCTCAAATATTTTCTGTTTCTCTTTCCTCTGTTTTCGAGCATCTAGTTTCCTGAACTGTAAAGGAAGTTTGGGGTTTGAGTTATTTTTATTTTTCAGTGACCTAAATATTAAGTGTCTCAGCCATTATATTTTCAGATCAATATTAAACATTTTCCTACTTAAGATATGGAGATATTTGTAAATAAAAGTATTCTGACCTTCAAGAACATGTAATTTAAGTACACAGGCATCTTGTATTGTTGCCTGAACTTATATTTTGAACTTTATTCATCTGTTCCATGGTCCATGCCAGTAGTGATTAAATTAGTAAAACTTCCTGTGGTCAGAGGGTCTTTGAATAAGAGGAATATTTTTTTCCATCTCTCCACCCAGTTACTTCTTCCCACAAATGTACTAACCTTTTAGATAGAAATGCTGTTTACAAACACCTCCAGGGGAAATTTAGTCTATCTTTTTAGCCGTTGAGAATTTTAGGACTATAAGTGTCTGAAAATAATCAGTTCAACACTTCGTTTTACATACAAATAATAATTTGTAAAAACAAGAAACTAATATTATTAGCACACACATACCATAATATAAATTATCTGATTTATCCCCTTAAGTCTGGGAGTCTGCTAAAATTTAGATAATTAGAGGAGGCAAAGTAATCGATAAGCTCCCTGCTAAGCATCGAGTTATACTCTTTAATGTATGCGGATTATGTACCAAGAAACCACAATTAGCAAATTAAACAATTGTGCTGTTATAATAATTAAATTCTCTAATTTAGCTCTTCTTCTATAAAGTTTTACTTTCATTTCCAACTGTTGTTACTGTAGAGAAAGTAAAATTACTTGGCTGTCACAAATACGCTTACATTTACATCCCCCAAATTTCACAGTCCAAGAACTCTATGAATATATGTGAATATGTGCACACATTGTTATCTTACCTTGATTCATAAAGAACTTCAAGCCGTTTACAAAATCCCTGTAACATAGCAAAATAAAAGCCCATTAAAATATGAAAAATGTGAGTCAAAGGACAAATAATGTCAGTAAACTAATAGGGAACCAGAAGTAAGGTTGGAACACAATAGTGTTCATGCCAGAGGTGGATCAACACTTTAGGCTCTCAGGTTTCCAAATGCCCATAGGAAAGTGGACACTTTCAAACTATGCGAAATCTATATGGGGAAAAGTAAACTAGTTACTCAGGAAAAGCACCACTGCTACTGAGACCAGGGTACAAAGTATCTCCCAATTCTGTCTCAGAAAGGTCAGTTTAATTGTGCTGACAAAAGTATCTTTATGGTAAACATAGTGAAAAGTTTCTTAGAGTTATGACTGAGAAAGTTTATTTATTTATTATTTGTTTGTTTGGTGGACAAGATCTTTAATTCTTCACTGCACTTGAAAAAAAAATCGTAATGACATCCAGATAAACAAGGGATAAAGGTAACCACTTCCAACTTCAGGCCCTGAGCAGACAGCGGTGCTCAGGTTATATTTCAGGGATGCCGAAAAGGCCTTCTGGGCTGGGCGCGGTGGCTCGTGCCTGTAATCCCAGCACTTTGGGAGGCCGAGGCGGGTGGACCACTTGAGGTAAGGAATTCAAGACCAGCCTAACCAACATGGCAAAAGGCCGTCTTTACTAAAAATACAAAAAATTAGCCAAGTGTGGTGGCACGCGCCTGTAATCTCACTTACTCAGGAGGCTGAGGCAGGAGAATCACTTGAACCCAGGAGGCGAAGGTTGCAGTGAGCTGAGATCGCGCCACTGCACTCTAGTCTGGGTGACAAAGTGAGACTCCGTCTCAAAAAGAAAAAAAGGCCAGGCACGGTGGTTCACGCCTGTAATCTCAACACTTTGGGAGGCCGAGGCAGGTGGATCACCTGAGGTCAGGAGCTTGCGACCAGCCTGGCCAGCATGGTGAAACTCTGTCTCTACTAAAAATACAAAAAATTAGCTGGGCGTGATGACGTGTGCCTGTGATCCCAGCTACCTGGGAGGCTGAGGCAGAAGAACCGCTTTGCTTGAACCCGGGAGGCTGAGGATGCAGTGAGCCGAGATCACACGATTGCACTCCAGCCTGGGCAACAAGAGTGAAACTCTCTCTCTCTCTCTTTCGTTCTCTCTCTCTCTCTCTCACACACACACACACACACACACACACACACACACACAAAGGCCTTCTGCTCTTAAATATAACTCTCTTTCCCAGTCGCATCCCCACACTATTTACTTAGGATGGAAACTCTCTTAAGGAGGGTAAGCCATTCATTCCTCAATTATAGAAAAGTTCAAAATTGGTAATTAAAATTATTTAAATGCCCATAAAAAGTTTCATGAACTGAAGAAGGCCAAGATGATCATCAAAGAGAGCGAGGGCACAAGCAAGACTACCAAGACCACCTATCACTAGCTATAGTTTTGTACATTTATTATTATTATTATTATTATTATTATTATTATTATTATTTTGAGACGGAGTCTTGCTCTGTCACCAAGCTGGAGTGCAGTGGCACAATCTTGGCTCACTGCAACCTCTGCCTCCAGGATTCAAGCGATTCTCCTGCCTTAACCTCCCGAGTAGCTGGGACCACAGGCGCGCGCCACCATGCCTGGCTAATTTTTGTATTTTTAGTAGAGATGGGGTTTCACCATGTTGGCCAAGATGGTCTCGATCTCTTGACCTCATGATCCACCACCTCGGCCTCCCAAAGTGCTGGGATTACAGGCATGAGCCACCACGCCCGGCTGAGTTGTGACTCAGAAAGTATAATACCAGCTAGGAGTCTATTGGGTTGCCTATATAATTGATTCAAGTACTCAGTTCTCTGGTTTATCAGTTAATATATTTTATGTTGTCTAGCAGTGGTACCTAAGCAGGGGTGCTTTGGCTTTGGAACTGTAGGAGGGAAATTGTTACTCGTCACAGTGATGCGAGGTGAGCATCACTGGTGTTTAGTGGGAAAGTTCTGGGAATTTTAAAGATACTAAAATGCATAGGATAGTCCCACACAATAAAGATTTCTTTTTTTGTTGGTTTTGTTTGTTTGTTTGTTTTTTCATGTACTTATTTTTTTTTATTATACTTTAAGTTCTGGGATACATGTGCAGAATGTGTAGGTTTGCTACATAGGTATACATGTGCCATGGTGGTTTGCTGCGCCCATCAACCCATCATCTACATTAGGTATTTCTCCTAATGTTGTCCCTCCCCTTTCCCCCAACCCCCTGACAGGCCCTGGTGTGTGACGTTCCCTTCCCTGTGCCCATATGCAGAAAACTGAAACTGGACCCCTTCCTTACACCTTACACAATAAAGATGTCTAATATCCCAAACGACCATCACAGCTTCATTGAGAATTTCTGAGAGAAATGAATGGATTCCATGTCCTTCAGACAATGCTTCTGCAGATACTGTTTCTCTCAGACAAGCTATTGACAAGAATTGCCTGGCATAGACTCATAAGTTTAGTCCTTGGCAAATTACTCACAACATTTCTTAGGCTAATAGCTCTGTTCATTGCAGGGCTTTACTTAAATAACAAATATCCTGTGGAAGGAAATTTATCCACAAAGAGACAAGACAATAAAATAGATTTGTTTCTCTCTCCTCCTACTGTAGCCACTGGCTAATGTCTGTGAAAAGCCATTATATTGTCTACCTGTTGTATATACATATTATGAATACATTTGTCTATATACACATAGTTGATACATTAGTAATAGTTCTTTCCTGTTCTTGAGTAAACATGGAACTGTTTTTTTCATATGTGGCCTTCCTTATTAGTTTGACACCCGAACCTGCCATGATGACTCTGGCCTTACCCTTCAACCCATCCAAAGTTTTGTTCATGAAATGACTCTTCATTTCAAATTCCTCCACAATAGGGCACACTCTTTTGTTTCTGTAATTTTATTACTGGATTTAAAAAATGGTATTTACTGCATTTTCAGCACATTTCTTCTGTCTTAAATATTGGACCCCTATCACAACAATAGGGTAATATTTTGAGAAATTAACCAATATGTTATTTAGAAACTCCTTTCTTGTTTACATAATTACCATTCCTCACTCACCCCCAATGAAAATATACCATGGCCACTTGAAGTCCAAGATGTTTGATAAACAAGAGTTAGGAATTTTGGAATCCAAAAGGCCAAACCTTGAAGGAACAAGACATAAAGTTTATGCCTTAATCAAAGGAGAATGGAGGAAAGGGCAGACCATTCATCACAGGTCCGGACAAGGGCTTCCCAAGCAGAGGGGGGGGAAATAAAGAGAAACATTACCCAGAAGAGAGGCTGTTGGGAGAAGAGATGAGAGGACTAAATGAAGTAACCACAAAGAGAGGAGCTGAGTCAGCACTCGAGAAACACCATGGTCTTTGCTCAAGTGAGAGCCAGCAATTGCCAGAACCAGGGAGGCATAAGGAAGCTAAGCCAGTTCCCAAAACTATCCAGCCAGGTGCTGGTGAGTCCCACACTTCATCCGTGCAGCAAGGAGCTATAATAATTAGCCTGCTTGTCACCAAGCAGCAAGGACCTCCTGTTAACAGCAGCCTCTACATCACTCATGGATGCCTAGCAAGAATGGCATGGTGCCTATATCCCAATAACTTTTTTGGACCCAACCACGGACAACTCTCCTGTCAAGAGCTTAGTTTAATTATCAGGCCCTTCCAGCAGAGATCAGAGCTTTGGACAACAAGGAGGAAAATGTTGATGTGGAAATGAGGGCCCACAAACCGTTTGTTTGCACAGAATTAAAACAAATCCAGCCTGAGATCTCTCCCTGTGTCAGGCCCTGCTTTACAATATCCTACAGCTTCTCTGCTATCATCTGTCCTCCACACAACATGTCTGGGTGCATATTACTTTAATGCTACTAAGTACAAGACCGGAATATTTCAACATGAAATAAAAACATTAAAACAGATAAAAATGAATTTGCTTTGTGAAGTAGGGCCAGGGCTTCAAAGCCCTGTCTGTTTGGCCTCCCTCTTACCACTGCCATCTCCATTGCCAACTCAGGTGACCCCATCATCCTTCTATGGAAACACAACTTGCAAGCTATTCTAGAATTCTCTTTTCTGGATTTGGTTTTGTCTCTTAACATACAAAGATGGTTTCTGAAAATAAACCTGCTCCCTGTGCATGCATCACAATCACCTGGAAAGCATTTCTTTATTTTTTTTTATTGGCCCTACTCTCAAGATTGTTACTTACAGGTCTGAGATAAGGCCCAGAAATCTTCCCAGGTAACACAGATGCACAGGCAGGTCTCCAGTCCCCTGAAATAAAGCTTACAGGGTGGTGCTGTTCAAACCCCTCATAGACTCTCAAACAGCACCAATACTTCACTGACCCTCTGTATGATACATTGCTTTATCTGATAGATTCCCAAGTGGCTCTTCAACCTTCTTGTTGTGATTTACTTGGATGCCAAGTTACACACTCTGTAAGGAGCAGACATGATTCCCAGTTATACCCCATCCGTGTTCTCAAAATGGCTCTACAATGTGTTTTTCATATCTTATTTTTCGTTTTACTCTGTAGGCAATGCATATATATTTTGTACTGAAATAAAAGGCTTTTACCTACATAAACCACTATAGAATTAGTATCCACTGATATTTTTGTTAGAGTGAAGATTAGCACAAGAAAGTATGGTAAATGAAATAATGCTGATGAGCTTTTCTGAAGCATCTTTTCAATATTTTTTTCAAAGACATTATAGTTTCAAGCAGGCTTTGGAGTAAATAAACCCATTAATCAGGCACTAAAATGCTGCTACAGCATTTTAAAACTATATCAATGAAAGTGTACTCTGGAAACGTTTTGCCAAAAATGTCCAACTTGATTGATTGTTTTGTATATATATATATATATATATATATATATCTTCCCATGGCGCTGCTGTGTTTCTGAATATAGCCAATACTTAATATTTATATAGCAGAAGAGGGAAAAATAGCACATAAACATCCAGTCTTTATATGAATGATCACACATAAACCAAACATACCACAATGAAAAGAAATACATTTAGGCTAGGCAACCCTCAACCACAATAGCAAAGCTAATGAATATTGTCTTTGGCCACTGCTTTTGGTTCTTGTCTCACCCCAGCAATATTTTTCTGCCCCATGGCTTAGAACTACCCCTCCCAACAAAGGCCATCTCCTGAGCTCAGTGTCTTCACCTCCAGAAGCTTTGTCTAACCACCTTATCTAAGATAGCAGTCTGCTGCCCCAGTACTATAGCACTGTCTATTCTGACACCCAGTTCTATTTTCTTCATAGGGGTTATCACCTTTTATGTATTGCTGATCTCTTCCACTGGAATGGGAAATGAACAAACAGGGCCCTGTCTGTCTAGTCCTCTTACTATGATCAGAACCAAAGATGGCACATTATAGGCACTCAAGAAATATGTGTTGAACTTAATAGAAGCAGCACAATGTGTTGAAAATAGATTTGCCAAGTATCTGGCTCTCCAAATGGCCAAATAGAAGTTGATTTCCTACTTGAGACTGTGATGAAAAAAATCCTAAAAATGGTAAAAGCAGAGTAAAACAGAAAATGACACTCCAGAAGATCCAAAGGAATTCTACATAAACTAAAAAAAATCCCACATGAACTTCTAAAATGTTGTAGAACTTCTAAAATGTTGTATAATAGAAAAATACATTTTCTGGTTACTAAATGTGTTTGTACAAATATTAAAGCACCCTACCAATCTTAGTTGTAACAAATTGAATATTCCTTAAAAATGCTGCTATAAAGACAGGATGAAAACTAGTCAAGTAAAACTTCACAGAAATCTTCTAAAGCTGTTAGAACCATCCCATTCAATATTAAATGCAGTGTGTCTGAGAGATAATGAGGAAGCAAGTTTTTGACAAATTGATGAATTTCATAAATGAGGCTAATAGGTCACTTGAAAAATGCTGTTATTCAACAAATCAGCTGTTCAGCCGATTGATTTTAGTGATTTAACTAGAACATGATATTAAACCTAGAAGTTTTTTCTTATTCCCACTTTATAGTGGATGAACCTGAAGTTTACTAGCTTGCCCAAGGATACCTAGGTAGTAAGTGCAGAGCCACCTTTCAGATTCAGGTATTTAAATTTAGAGTCTGAGCCTTTCATACTGCCCAAAAGACCTTCAGCCACCTAGGATTTAGTATCTAAGGCTCTGACACTGCTAGAATGCTTCTGCACATCCAGGATACTTAGTAACTTATAATTTGTATAAGACAGGAATTTGAATCAAGGCTGCCTAGCGAGCAAGGAAGGCAGGCTGAGGAAGTACCTGAACGCTTACAAGGCTATTATTTTGTTTTCAGGATTCCTCAGGCAATAACTCTTTTGAGGAATCTGAATTTTACGGAAGAAAGTACATGCTGTAGAAGAGTGGTATTGGCAAAAGTGGGATATGAGACAATCTCATCATGTATGTTCAGCATCTAGTGCAGGTCAACTTCAAGGTCCTCATAAGTAGGAATAGAATAGTCCTTACAGTGGTACCCTTGGGTATTCATGAATTCTCTATACTGGCTCATATTGGCCTTTATATTTTTCTGAGCAACCTGGTAAGTAGGACCACTTGCTAAGGTAAAGAAAGAGCAAGTGAGTGTTACATAGCTGAGATGAGATTAGACAAATGAGATGAGATTAATGTGAGACAAAGATCATTCCTCCACGTTTGTCACCTACTAGACATTTCTTTGCACCAACCAGCTTCTTTTTAAACATTCATATATCTCCTGGGATTCTCAGTCCTCATTGTATTAGTCTGTTCTCACATGGCTCTATGGCTCTAAAGAAATACCTGAGTCTGGGTAATTTATAAAGAAAAGAGGTTTAATTGGCTCACAGTTCTGCATGCTGTACAGGAAGCATGGCTGAGGAGGCATCGGGAAACTTACAAACATTGTGGAAAGCGAAGGAGAAGCAGGCATGTTTTACATGGTTGAAGAAGGAAGAGAGCGAAGTGGGAAGTGCTACACACTTTTAAACAACCAGGTCTCATGAGAACTCACTATCACCAGAACAGCAAGGGGGAAATCTGCCCCCATGATCCAATCACCTCTCACCAGGCCCATCCTCCAACATTGGGGATTACAATTTGACATGAGATTTGGGCAGGGACACAAATCCAAACCATATTACTCATATACGTTATTTTTATTTGTTTTCTAAAAAGGATGCTAACACAGTTCTCTCTTGTGTCATACATGTAAACTGAAGCCCAAAACTTTTAAATGATTTACTCAGGGTCACCTAGCTAGTTACTAGTAGTTTATGGATATGAAACGGTCTTCATTTTCCAAGTCCACAGTTCTCTTCTTTATACTGTCAGTGGTTCTTAAGCATTTATTAACAATGAAACCATTTTCCCCTGAATCCAATCTTATGTAACCTCAATATATATAACTAATGAAAGCTGCATTATTTCTGGAAATTTTTGAAATTGGTGGCTATGGATGTCAACACATCAGTTTCAACATCCAATTTTTCTTCATTTTTTATTACACAGTAATGAGAAAATCCTTATTCACTCAGAAAAGTAATTCCAAGTGGTAACATATTTTAAGACCTCTCCTCGCAACCCCAGAATGCTCCTGAATCAAATTCTGCTCTTGAATCAAACTCTGGAAGAGGCTTTGGGAAATGCTACTTGGGACATAGTCTGGAAACTGCTGCAATCAAGCCGTGTTCCTTTTTTCTATCTTCTACACATTCCTGCCAACTGCTTTATTCAGTTCAATACCGAAGTCATCATCAGCAAATTGAACATTGACTGAAGATGGTGGGAAAAAAAAAGAGGAGGTGGTTGGAGGACGGAAAGAAGGAAAGAGAAGAGCAAAAATAAGACCAGTTTTGGCTCTAGTGCAATTCATTTAAAATTGATTCAGCAAATGAGCAGTTTGCCAATTAGCTAAACTTATTGGTTTATTTAAAAATGTATTTCTAAGAGGACTGTATAGCTCAGGCCATTTTATATTGAATGTGATGATTTTAACAGCCTTTTGAAGACTTTTAAATTTTAGTTGAGTGGTTTTCATTTTGCCTTTAAAACAGCATTTTAAGCAAAGTATAATTGACTTTGCTCCATCAAGGGCAGGAGAGAGATGTCAAGCCTGCAAAAAGCACCCCTGGGCTGCCCACCTCAGAGAGGAGGCTGCTAAAGGGCAAAGAGTGAGGAGACTAAGGGACAAAAGAAGGGGATCGAGAAAGGATGAGGGGCAGAAAGCATGTCACTTTAGAATGAGTGACAGAGTGAGGAAAGGGCAAAAGTCAGAGAAAGGGAAAACTGGAGGGCGGGGGACCCAAAGGCCCCAGAACCAGGAAAGTTGTGGCTGTTCATAACCCTCCGTGTTTAAATGGATGGAAACCATAAGAAATCAGATAATGAAAATGCATAAATTTGCTGAATATGAGACATGCATTCCTAAAATATTTACAGAAAAATAAAGATATTGTCAAATGCCAAAATACAGACGGTAAATATGACAAGTAAGTGTGGAAATTAGGCATGAAATGTGAAAGCAACTTTTCTACAATTCAGGCTAGAGGCAAACATCGGATTAAAACTCAGATCCTCTGATTCTTAGACTACTGCCTTTTCTATTGTTTTATGTGCTTTTTAAGGTGAATAATGCCTGTCTGGACATTTACCTTTTTTGCTTTTAGACATTTCTCCCAAAGACAATACAAAGCAAAAGAAAACAGAATTACATTATCCAAGTTAATAAAGTGTGCTTTCAAATTACTAAATAAATAAATAGGCTAGAGCTTAAATTATCCTAGAAGAAGTTGCCCTTACAAAAATGAAGCCTTTCTAACACATTAATTTAGTCATCAGGTTTTGTAACACATTTGTTTAAACATGCCTCATTTTTAGAGGTTTTAGAGGTGTTTATGCTTTTTCTCATTCTTTGAAGAGTTTCCACAAATGAGACATGCAGCCATTTTATAAAAATGATAAATTGGCCTGTTAGAAGTAGCCCAGAATCCTATTCCTCATGTCTATTTCTCCTCTCACACTGTATCACTTCCTGGAAGTATTAATAGTTGTATTTCATTTTCCTATATAAATATTTAAGGACTGTAATTCTGCCCAGTTGACATTGGCAGTGCCTGTGCACGGAGATGTTTCATTATCTGCTCCTCATATCAACATAATCTTGTCAAACTTTGTTTCCAATAAATAGGGCAGGCTGTATTTGGAATATTTTAATAACCAAGCACAGTCATATTGCTTTCAATCATGGCCTGCTTACAAATCCCCAGCTAAGAGGTGCAGTTACATGGAACAATAACCCATGAGCAGTGTGCCAATATATTTTCATTAGTCAATGACACCCAGCTGCAGAGAGAAATTAGGTTGTGTCCTTTAAAACCCATCGTTCCCTTGTGGCAGAACCACAGCGGGCCAGATTGGCTTCACCAAACCCTCCTGCCATTGTTCATTGAATGCTCCAGCTGGGTTGTATTCATCATAAACCCTAAGTCTGCAATTTTTCAATTCCATATTAGGCTTGGATTCAAAGCCTATTGTTCTGATGTTACAGGGAAGGCACACGAGGAAAATGTCATTGAATCACTCTTGTTTAAAGCCCTTCTTCTCACCCTATTATTCTGGGTCGTTTGGAGAAATAATTTATCTATGGAAACTTTGGAAACAATGATTAATTTGGCATTACTTTGGATTTTTCCCTGGTCTTTTAAATTTTTAACAACACTCCAAGAGGGAAGTCATTTTTCAGATGTTCTAGATCAAAGTAACCCAAATGGGGACACTTGGAAGAAAACAAACACTTCAAATAGAAGCAACTTCTTCTTAACTTATATTTTTGTCTGTCTTACCACCAGTTTATTTTTCACTCTTTCCTCAATCATCTTAAAAGCTAAGATCTTGAAACCATTTTTTTTTTTCATAATAGATGAAATGCCATTTGGATTGTAAGTCACCAGCCCTCCATCTCCCCCTTCTCTTTTTCACCTGTCAACACTAGATTTAGGCCTTTTTCCCACCCCTACTCCACCCTACATTTTTCACATAAATGAAAGGAGGTAGTGCTGGTTAAATGGCCCATGCTGGAAGTGCATCTCTCCAGCACTGCCAGGTGTGATGGAAACCCCAGCCAGATGGGCATTCCAGTTTGTGAGGAGGAGGCTATTCTTAGGTACAGTTTCTACTGACACCATAAAGGCTGCAAAACCAGCCACAAATAACTCCCCAGACTTTTTGAGGATTTCTCTAGGCTGATGATGTCAGTACTTGTGGATTTGGAGCTTCTATAGTGGTGTTTCTCAACCCTGGCTGCACATTAGAACATCTGATTAAAAAAAAAAAAATACTCATGCTTGGGCCTCTCCCCCAGAGATTCTGATCTAGTTGTTCTGGGGTAAAACTTAAACATATATATATATACACATTTTTTTTTTTTTAACGGAGTCTCACTCTATTGCTAGGCTAGAGTGCAGTGGCGCAATCTTGGCTCACTGCAAGCTCTGCCTCCCGGGTTTACGCCATTCTCCCGCCTCATCCTCCCAAATAGCTGGGACTACAGGCGCCCGCCACCACGCCCGGCTGAGTTTTTTGTATTTTTAGTAGAGACGGGGTTTCACCATGTTGGCCAGGATGGTCTCGATCTCTTGACCTCATGATCTGCCCACCTCGGCTTCCCAAGGTGCTGGGATTACAGGCGTGAGCCACCGCGCCCGGCCAAACATGAGTATTTTTTTTTTCAAACTTCCTCACATGACTCCAGCACATAGCCAGGGCTGAGAAACACTGATCTGAGGCATTTGTGAAAACCATGACTAAACACAGCGAAGTCCTGTTCCCTTAATTTGCTTACTATTTTTAGATAATACTTTGACCAATGGTACGTGACTCTTGGAGGTCTCAGCAAAAAGAGATGAGAAACTGAGCTGCATACCTGGACAGGGTTCATATTGCACTGATGTTTCGTCATTGAGGTGCCTTTCCAACTTGGGTCATCCTGTGTGGATCAAATCCAAATATCTACAATGACTGGGAAAGTGAGTCAATGTGGGAGAAGTGCAGGGCACAAAAAGCAGCACAGAATGGTGAGTCATGAACCAGAGAGTGAACTTCCAGTCCAAAAGGGGGGCCACTGCTACTCAGACCCAGCCAGTTTTTGCCCTAAAAGAATGCCAACCCCATGTGGCCAAAGATCTTGAGTTTTTAAAGAAACTAAAAATCTAAATTTTTGTGTGAAATCTCCCAATTTTATAGCATTGGTTCACATTAAAAACTACTTGATGGGATAAACAAAGCATGTTGACATTGGCCTCAGGTCCTGGTCAGAAGGTAGCTAGTTTAGAACTTCTATAAGACAAAACATCAATGGGATGCATCATGATCTATCTTGGCTGGACACTCTGAGAAGGCAACAAAGGAGTCTTTCAGGGGAACCAAGCCACTAGGAGGGGGTCTAGGGAGAATGAAGCCAGCCCAGGAACACTGACTAGCCACTGGGCTTTCTTTAGGCTGAGCAAAAAACTCCAAAACAAAGAAACTAATATTCTATCTGAATGTTAAATCATTAATAGAAGCATAAAATGTTAGAGCTAAAAGAAAACCAAAAGAAATCGTTCAGTTCAATCTAGTTATTTTTAAAAGAATGAAAACCAAAAAAGTAAAGAAATTGAAGCTTCCAGAGGTAATGTGAACTTGCTCATGATGCAGCGAACAGATGCCAGGATTCTGAACTCCTCGTCCAATGTCTGTGTTGACATCATAGTGAAACCAGCCTTGACTCTGTAACTCAGGACACTTCTATACTCAAATGGCAAAAGTCATGGTTTAGATAATAAGAACAATGATAGGTAAGCTGAAGATGTCATATAATTTATATGGTGAAGGTTAAATGTCGATAATATTTTAAAATATTAGAGAAAATACTTTCAGACTGGGCTTGTGCTGCACATTGAGGAAAGAACCTCTTTGGCCTATAAAAAATATCAAATTCCTGCTATGAACTACACACTAGGCAAAGGGCTGTGGGTGAAAACAGAAATGGGTTCACTAGTTTACAGTCAAATGAAACAAAACCTATTCAGATCTTGTCACTCTCTGCTTAAAATGTTTCGATGGCTTCCCCAGTCTTTAGAACAAAAGCCAAGTAAATAAACATTTACCAAAAGAAGGTAGGCAAAAACAAAATAGACAGAGAGATGTTGGAGAGAAGACATTACAATTGTGATTACAGGTGTTCCTCACTTAATGGAAGAGATGGCCCCCTGAAATATATACTTTTCAAGCAAACTGTGTATTATGTTGACCCATACAAAGTTGCCAATATTTGACCACTTTTTAATACAAAAACAGCAGTTTAACAGGATTCAATCTAATACATATAATCTTAATGCAGATTATTGTCATGTATTCCCCTCTGGAGAATTCTACACTGTTAACCGCTTCTCCTCCTTCCTGAAATGGTCTTGATTGCTTCCAGGATGCCTTGCTTTTCTGACTTTGCCCCCTCATTTATTGGACATAGTTCTTCTACCTCCTTTGCTGGGCCTTTCTTCTCTACCAAAACTCTAAATGTTGAATTCTTGAGGCCTGTGTTCTGCTTCTCTTTTCCAAGCACTTGCCTATAGCTATTTTAAAAATGTTTATTTGCGGACAGTGCCCAAATTTACATCTCTAACCGGAATCTCCTTTCTAACCTCCAACCTGATGCATCTAATTGATAACTTGATATTTCCACTTGGCTATCTTCTCCTAGGTATCCCAACTGCATCATGCTCAAACTCAAGCCCTGGTCTTTTCTCAAATCTGCTCCCCCTTCCGTCCTCATTTCAAGAAATGCTACTTCTAGCTACCAAATTTTTCAAGCTAGAAAACTAGAAGTCATCCTCAATACCTTCCATCCTCTGACCAAGTTCTGATGGTTCTCTGTACAGGATACTTCTGAAATATATCTACTTCCTTCCTTTGTTAATGTTTCCACCACAGACTAAGACCCATCTGGCTGGAATACTGTAATATCTCCCTAATAGCACCCCTCCCATGCTTCTGACTTATTCTTCACATTACAGCTACATTGATTGTTTTATTCTTCTATTTACTTATTTAGTCCTCAAATGTGTTGAGGGCCTACTATGTACCAGACAGTGTGGCATCTATTGGAGATTAAATATTGGACATAAAGCCCTGATGAAGCTTAGGTGAAGCAAATACCAGATCATGACACTTTTCTTCTTGGAACCTTTTAGTGGCTTCTCATTCCACTTTGAAAAGAATCCAAACTCATTAACATTACCAAAAGGTCATATATGACATGGCCCCTGGCCACCTCTCCACCCTCGTCTCTTACTCTATCCTTCTCAGTCTCTACACTCCAGTCATGCTGACTCTCTGTTAGTTCATCAAATAAGCCAACATCTGTCCTGCATTTAGGTATTTCTTCATGATAATCTCTCTACCCAGAAAGTTCTTCTCCACCACTCACCTCATCATCCTCATCTCTCCTCTACTACCCCCTTTAAATAACACGACTTAAAGTCACTCATTTTTGTGAGAATGAAGTATTAGAAATGAGACTTGAAACCCTGGACCTGAAGTCAAGCACCTTAGGTTCATGTCCTAGGTCTGTGGGAGGTTGGTCATCAGTTGTCTCTTTGATAAGGGTGAACTGCATGCCCTACCAGGACTGAACATTAAGATTATCTATTCCAAACTTCTGTCTTAGTGATGAGAACATTGAGACCCAGAATTGTTAAACTAGTTTGCCATAGCACAATAAATAGCTTATAGGCCGAGCACGGTGGCTCACGCCTATAATTCTAGCACTTTGGGAGGCCGAGGTGGGTGGATCACGAGGTCAAGAGATAGAGACCATCCCGGCCAACATGGTGAAACGCTGTCTCTACTAAAAATACAAAAATTAGCTGGGCGTGGTTGCCTGCGCCTCTAATCCCAGCTACTCGGGAGGCTGAGGCAGGAGAATCACTGGAACCCGGGAGGCGGAGGTTGCAGTGAGCAGAGATCGCGTCACTGCATTCCAGCCGGGCGACAGAGTGAGACTCCGTCTCAAATAAATAAATAGATAGCTTATAGCTCTTCGGTTGGGCAAACTCTTTTTCTAACACTATGTGGAAGCTGTTGGCCTCTGGATTTGAACAAGTTGTTTTGTACTGAAGAGAAAAAGACAGGCATATTTAGCTACGATAGAAATCCAAAATGCGTACATTAGTAGGCGGGCAGAAAATAACAGTAAATGAAGACCTGAGTACAGGAAAACATGTTTTGTAAGGATATGAACATTCTGTATAGCAGATGGACAGATACCATTTATAAAATCATTCCCCTGGTCTATAAATCCTGATCCTTCTAATGTCATAGCATCTTCTTTAGTAAAGTGGTTTAATGACCAATAGAAGGAACAAAACTGCCATCTCTGTAGGAGACAGTAAAGCAGATGACCTGACATGAATACCTCAAACCAAGGAATTTGTCTAATTCATATCAAGCTATTATACTGAATTAAGAAAGGAAAACACGTTAGGAAAAGAAACAGCTAGCTGAGATTGGTGGCTAAGATTTCTTCTAAATGAACCACTTCCCAAGAGACCTAAAAAATTAACGTTTGCAAGTCTGGGGATAGGGGATAATATGAAAAGTGCCTCAGTGAGCATGTTCACTTAATTTCTGGGACCAGAGTCTGAGTATTTCCCAAATGTCTCAAAAGAAGTAGTAACAAAGAAAGCCAAATATTTATTTTATTAACACACCCTGTGTGGTATCTTCCCCATAAATAGATACAGAGCTAGTTCAGTGAAAACAATTAAAAGCCATGAAGGTTTTTTTCTATATTGTTTATAAAGAAAAATAGGAAATATTTATATGTCCAACAATAGGAAAATTGAAATTATGGTATATCAACAATTGCCATTTTAATAATTTTCTTCTCTCCAGTTTTCATGCTTTAAAAATTTTATATGCTATATTACTTCTATAATGCTATTTACTTTTTTACAATGCTGCATTTCTTTTATATTGCTGAGTTACTTGTTTCTTTAAGTCGTGTCTTTATAGGGAAGTTTTGGTTCTGGTTGATATTTTAGATAGATCTTTAAAGCTATATTCTCACAATTGGAGACCACATGGATTATGACTGTGGGTACTGTCACCAAGTCAAAATGATGTGAGACCATTCTTGAAGGAAATTGACCAGTATCCTTTGAAGATTTGGTGGATCTCAAAAATTGCTGAGCTCTTACCCAGGACTTTGATAAGTGCTGCTTCTAATGTCAGAAGGAAAAGGTTTAAATATTTGTTGCATCCTGCCAAGAAGAAGAAGAAGTAGAGAATATGAGCAGATTTCAACTCAGAGGTTTCCAAAAAAAAGATTTTTAGGTCTAGCAGGTGCATCGAAAAATGAGTTGCTACCGATACACGAACAGCTGTATCGCTATGGATGCACCTTAAGAATGCATGCGATTTCCAGGCAAGATAAGTTAGGGACAGGTATTCTAGGGAGGGGATCAACATATTTAAAGGCACAGAGATGTGAAAACGCATGGTATTTAGCCCTGCTAGAGTGTAAAGGGCAAATGAAACACGAGAGATGAGGCATAAAAGAGGAGAAGGAGCCAATCATGGAAGACCTTTTGTGCCATGTTGAGGAGCTGGAAGTGAAGTGCCACCCACGATTTTTAGTCATGGGAGCGACATGATCAGATGTACTGCTTGGAAGTATGTCGGTGTAGAGGAGGGGGATAAAACCAGAGGCCAAGAGACCAGGTAAAGATTATTCAAATAGTCCTTTAAAGAAATGTTAAAGATTATTGTAGGTTGAATATATCTTCACATTCTGAATGTACATAAAGATTCTGAAAAAAATTATTTAGGGAGCAAAGCCTTGTGAGTAATAAAAGCAAAGGCAAATACGTATTTATATTTCCACCAACAAGGATCAGGAATTGAAGAGCAATGACCATGGAAATAAAAATGTTTGTTAGAATTTGTAAACATGTGATACTTTCCTATGTTTGGCCATTTAAATCTGTGGTGGTTGTCCCTGAGTTCTTTGATCCTCCTTTAAAAAGACGGAGCCTAATTCCCCTCCCGACAAATTTTACCAGTCTTGGTAATTCTCTTCTAACAAATAAAATGCAGCAGAAGTGACAATTTCCAAGGCTAGAACATAAAAGGCAATGCAGCTTCTAACTCACTCTCTTTCTTGGGATGCGCTCTCTTGGAACCCAGCCACAAGGCTGAGAGGAAGCCCAGGCTAAATAGAGAGACCACTTGTTCCAGGCATGTGTTCTAACCATAGCCCAGCTGAGGTTTCAACAGACATCCAGCGTCAACCTGAAGCATGTGAGTGAAGAAACCTTTGAGATGACTCCAACCCCAGTCACTACAACTGTGTGAAAAACTGCCCAGCTCAACTCAGCCAACCCCTTAGAACCGCAAAAGATAACAATAAATAATATAAAATAAAATGTAATCATAAAGTGATTGTTTTTTGAAGCCATAAAGTTTTGGATTGATTTTTTATATGGCAAAGATAACCAGGATATATCCCCTATCTGTTTCCTTTTAAAATAACGAGGGCCTATCTACTTGTTTTTAGAAACAGGACAGAATGTAGGGAATGAGGCAGTACCAACCTCACCCTTAAGGAAAAAAGAACTCTAAGAAATAGAATTGCGGTGGAGGCTTCCAAGAAAGCTTAACACTAGAAATGCTAAGACCCTAGCGATAGATATAAATAACATCCTTAGCAATTTTCAGACAACATAAACTAGAAATAACTAACTCCTTAATGGTTAGCTTAGAATTCAGTAGCACTATGATATTGGTTTAACAGAACAGATAATATTGTGGAAAAATACTCCCAGTACAGAATACCTAAAAAGGTTGGAATGTACATAAAAATGCAACAGATAGAAAGACGGACAGATAGATGAGTTAGCAAGAAAATGGAAGAAGTCCTCAGTGGCCAAAAGGAAACAAAAGCGTAAGTCCAGGGAGATAACAAAATGCTACTGCTCAGCTGCAGCTGAGGTTATCTGCAGATCCTTGGCTGCCCTAGAGTTTTGTTTTGGGTTTTAAAGGGACAATGATTGGGCCTAAGCAAAGAGAAAAGGTGGAGAGATTTCTTTTCTTTCTTTCTTTTTTTTTTTTTATTTTAAGTTCTAGGATACATGTGTACAACGTGCAGGTTTTACATATGTATACATGCGCCGTGTTGGTGTGCTGCACCCATTAACTCGTCATTTACATTAGGTGTATCGAGGAGATTTCTTTATAGTGCCTAGTCTTTTAGAAGCTGTACTCACTCACTGTGAAAAGGGGGGAAAACCTCAATTCACAGAGAGTTATGATAAGGACATTTGGCTTTCTCAGTCTTTCGTCTTGGTTCGTAGAAGTGGCAGGGTCTCTCCTGAAAATGTCTAGCTGCAAGCTTGTAGTCATGCAAAATTAGATCTAGAAATCACAAAACTTCTGAGAATTGAAAAAAAAATCATAGAGATTAACTTTAAGAGGTCTAGAAATCTCACAGAAGTAAACACAATTGCTTTCTGGAGGAAAGCACATTAAATCCAGGTTTCAAAGGATTCTCACAGACACATTTTCTGCAAATACTACTCACCAAAAGAGAAAGAGAAGGGAGAAAATCACAAAACACACAATGAATAGGCCACTTAATTTGCACCACTTCATATCTTCTCAGCTGTACCCGATTCTTGTACAAGCTACTAGTATGGTGACCAGCTCTACATAGATTTCAAGAAATTTGAAGTCTGTGCTCCTGATAGTAGGAGCAACTTGATAGCACCTTACTTCATACCCGAGCACTACACCTCTTGTCTCCCTCCTGAGCTTCCCTGGTAACATCACTCAGTGACCCCATTGGACACAACCTAGTCGTGTGAGAGAGAGAACACCTTGCGGGTTAAACTGAGACCAATGGGAAGCGGAAACCAGGTGATAAATCGGTCTCCTTTATTCCCACCAATGGCATTCTTGAGAGGCAGTTAATTTGGTTCATGGGAAACAGTCCCTCAGGACAAACACACTGAGAGTATGCAAGCAATGGACCTTCAGTAAAGAAATTCTAAAGGACACACTTCATGAAGAAGGAAGATGATTACAGAAGGCATGTCTGAGATGCAAGAAAGAATGGCGAGTCAAGACTAGGTAAACTATGGGTAAATGTAGACAAACACTATATAAACCCAAACTGGTTTCTAATTTGTGACATTAGAAAAGAGGATGTCATTAAAATAGTGGGTAACAATAGGATAGTCAGGATTGGGTAAGGAAAGTTAAAGCTTTCTAAAGTACTCATATTGGCTGGGCGCAGTGGCTCATGCCTGTAATCTCAGCACTTTGGGAGGCCGAGGTGAGTGGATCACTTGAGGTCAGGAGTTCGAGACCAGCCTGGCCAAGGTGGTGAAACTCCTTCTCTACCAAAAATACAAAAATTAGCCGGGCATGGTGGTGCTCGCCTATCCAGCTTCTTGGGAGGCTGAGAAACGAGAATTGCTTGAACCCAGGAGGCGGAGGTTGCAGTGAGTCAAGGAGGTCACGCCACTGCACTCCAGCCTGGGCAACAGAGAAAGACTATCTCAAAAAATAAATAAATAAAATAAATAAAGTACTCATATTCTTCAGGAACAAGATGACTGTTGCTGAACTTTAGGCTTCATAAAGCTGAATACAGACCTGTAACCAGTGTACAGTTGGTCTCTTCCCATCTTGTTTTTAATTGAGATACAAATAAAGGGATATCAGATAACAAAGTGAGTACAAGATTGAGTCTCTGGCTGAATGTTTAAGAACCATTCTCATGACTCATCTAGCCCCAGCCAGATCAAGGATATAAAGAGAAGTCAAAATGGAGAAATGCGACCAGATTCAGTGAAGATATTTCATATGAAAAAGCTGTTGGATGATGAGGTGGTGCTACCTTCCTACTTTAAGTGTAATCAGAGGAACTTCCATGGTTTCACCCAAAGCGCTTAAATAGACTTTCTGTAACTGGAAGACACAGAAGATTTGTGAGTTTCTCATGCCTGAAAAAGTTAAAGCAACCTGTCATGGAAATGGCCACCTAGAGATTCCAGCTACAAGAAGCTGGCAGAAAGTGCTGGGCTCCTAAGTGGCACGAAAGACAAAGAAACCTGACAGCAAACACCACACTGTGAAAGTTAAAAGAATACCCTTTGAGAGTGGGAACAAGAATGCTCACTGTCACCATTTCAATTTAATATTGTCCTGGATGTCCTAGTCAGACAATTAGACAAGAAAAATAAAAGATATCATAACTCAAAAGGAAGAAATAAACCTGATAGATACTTTGATTGTCTGTATAGAAAAACTAAAATCATCTACAAGCAAATAATTTGCCTTAATAAGAGATTTTGGCAAGATTATAGCCACACTACAATATACTAGTAATGAACAACACATGTAGATTTTCAAGACACCATTTAAAATAGCAACAAAAGAATATGAGGAACATAGGAATAAATCAAACAGAAGTTATGTATTAGTCTGTTTTCACGCTGCTGATAAAGACATACCCGAGACTGTGCAACTTACTAAAGAAAGAGGTTTAATGGACTTACAGTTCCACATGGCTGGGGAGGCCTCATGATGATGGCAGAAGGTGAAAGGCATGTCTCACATGGCAGCAGACAAGAGAGCTTGTGCAGGGAAACTCCCGTTTTTAAAACCATGAGATCAGGTCTCATGAGACTCATTCACTATCACGAGAATGATAGCACGGGAAAGGCCCACCCCCATAATTCAATTTCCTCCCACCAGGTTCCTCCCACAACACATGGTAATTGTGGGAGTTACAATTCAAGATGAGATTTGGATGGGGACACAGCCCAAACATATCAAGTTGCATTAGATCCTAATAGAGAAAATTATAAAATAAAACTATCTGAAGACATTAACAAAGAGCTAAATAAATGGAGAAGTATATTGATGGATAAGAAGAATATGACTTCATGAGGCTGTCTTTCCTCACCAAATTCATCTGTAGATTCAATGCAATTTTAGTAAAAAAATCTAACAAATTTTTAAGATGTTTAACAAGCTGATTCTAACGTTTATATCAAAGAATAACAGACCAAGAATAGTCAAGACACTTCTGAAGAAAAACAAGATACAGGAACTCATATGAGTTATCAAAACTCTTTACAAATTTTAGCAATGAAAATATTATAGTTTTGGCATAGGGATAGCCCAATTGACCCTAGTAACAGAACAGAGAGCCTAAAAACAGACTCACAACTAACTGGAAACTTGGAACATGACCAAAGGGTCACTAAAAATTAGGAGAAAGGTTGGAGGCTTTCAGCAAATATGCTGAAACAACTGGTTATCCATACAGAAGAAAATAAAATTGGATTCCTTCCTTGATGTAAAAATCGACTCCACATAATGTAGGATTTAAATATGAGAGGTAATACCTTAAAATATGTTTTTAAATATGAGAGGTAATACGTTAAAATATTTTTTTAAATATGAGAGATTATCTTTAGGTCGTTTGGGTAAGAAAAGACTCATTAAACAAGATCAAAAGTTACCAAAGTTGTCTGAAAATAAAAATATAAAGAAAACAAAGGAAATGCCTCTCCCCACACCCCTTCGGAACATCATACCTTAAGAGGAATAATAAAGTGATTCATGACCAGATAAGAATAACCAGCATGGCGAAGGGTCTGGATATCTTGGGGTTTTACTTTTTTTTTTTTTCTTTTTGAGACGGAGTCTCACTCTCTCGCCCGGGTTGGATTGTAGTGGCGTGATCTCAGCTCACTGCAACCTCTGCCCTCCAACTTCAAGTGATTCTCCTGCCTCGGCCTCCTGAGTAGCTGGGATTACAGGCGCCTGCTGCCGCGCCCGGCTAATTTTTTGTATTTTTTTTAGTAGATATGGGGTTTTACCATCTTCGCCAGGCTGGTCTCGAACTCCTGACCTCGTGATCCACCCGCCTCGGCCTCCAAAAGTGCTGGGATTATAGGCGTGAGCCCCTGCACCCGGCCGGGATTTTAAATTTTTTAAAAGGTGAAAAAGATGATTTACAGGGCACATGATAATTGCCTTCAAATATTTGAAATACAAAAAAGTTCAGAAGGATTAAAGTGTTTGGGGGAATGAGAATTTCTAACCACACACTTCCAGTTTCCTGTCTTCTTCCAGTATGGAAGGAACTCTTTGGGTTTCTCTCTTCAACATCCATACCCAGTGCCTTCCTCCAGCGCTGCATCCCCTGCAATAGAAGAGATGAGGATGAGGAGACTTGGGCTTGTGTAGACCTGACTTTGCTGGCTCTTTCTTTTAGAGCTTGTGAGGAGTTCTGTCTACCATGGTAGGACATGATAGATAAACTCATAGAGATGATGGCTCTGCCCTGTAACAGAGTCCGGTTCAGAAGGAAGTAGTTGAAGTCAGATGATGGTTTCAGGTGGAAGCCCCAGCTTTATCCACAGTAACATTGATCTTGCCGTGATATCTAAGCTCTATGGGTATTTCCAGTTGGTTCAGAACCAAAGGGGAAAATGGTATGAATAATTATCCACATGATTACAGTCCTCAAAACCTACATCAGACTTTTGAGTTATACATCTTTCCTCGGTCTGAGAAGGATTTTAAAGAACCTGCTTCTTTTTGTCATTTGTATTTTATTTTAAGTTCCAGGATACATGTGCAGGATGTGCAGGTTAAACAAACTGCTTCTTAGAAATGCTTCTCCAAGGCAGAACTGAGATGAATAGGTGGAACTTATAAGCAGAAATATTTCACTTTGAACTTTTTAATATCTAAGAACTTTCTAACAATTGGTTGGTGCAAGTGTAATGCAATAAGTTTCCCAGGAAATTTCAGTAGAGGCCGCCAACCCACAGAAACAGAAGAGGGTATTCCTGTGGTATCTGTGGCCTCCAATGTCCCTTCTGACTATAAGATTCAATGAAATAAAACAGATGGAAACTTAAAATGTAACTTTGCCATTTTAAGGCCTCAAAGAAAAGGGCAATGCTGATGGTTTTTGACCAATATTCTTGTGTTCCAAAGTAACGTTTTTCAAATTTTTTATGCTATTTTTTATATTATTTGCCTTCAAAATCCCATGGGAAACTCTTTCTGACATAAACTTTGAAGTGTGACAACCACAAAGGCAAGACTATTCCTCACACAGAGAAGAATATTCTTACCTGGCAAACTGATCATCATTTGAAAAGGTTCTGGAGACTGACTCCGATTCCTCCAGATAGAGCAGAAAACATTCTGTATGTATAACTCACTTTCTCTCTTTCCCCCAAACTCCTATTTTTGCTTTGTTTTTCTGACAATGCTGTCTGCTGTTTTTCTTTTTTTGAAAATTGCTCCTTAATAAGAGAGTAGGTTGAAGTTAGTGAGTCCCAAACTTGTCTGAATATTGGAATCACATAGAGAGGTTGTGAAACTCTCAGTGATCAGCTCTTACCTCAAACCAATCAAATTAGAATCCCCGAGGGTGGGAATCAGACATGAGTATTTTTTAACATCTCCAGAGGATTATCCTGTTCAGACAACTATTAGCAAACATCCACAGTGCCTAAACTGGACCATGCATCGGAATCACCTGGAGCGCTTGATAAAAACAGCTTACTGGGCTCTACTCTCAGAGTTTCTGATTCAGCAGGTCTGCGGTGCGGTTGAGAATTTGCATTTTTAACAAAAATTCCCAAGTGATAGTAATCACTGTGCCCTCACCCCGCCCCCTGCCCCCGAACAAATTGTGAAAAACAAATACGCAAATGTGCGTATGTTAGCCCATTTGGTTCTCAAAGAGGGAGGCTTTAGGATTTAAAACACACAAGAACAAAAACCAAGCAGCTTGATGATGTTTCCATTCTTAGGTGCCCCCCCGCCCCGCGCACACACACCAAATCAATTAAGAAATGGTTCCTTCCTTCTACTTTGTTTTAGGCCTACTTTTAAATAGGGTCGGTGCTTTTTAAGATCCCCCAGACAGTCTGAGCCTCAGAGCTCACTTTCAAGACCTTTAAAATATTATTGTAGCCAAAGGAAATCCATAAGGCTTTTCAAAGTTCCAACAGCCTTGACAGAAACAGATTAAAATAAGACAAAGCAAATCCAAAACCTAAATCACCACCACTTTAAGGGGGATAAAAATATATACATATACATATATATGTGTATATATACACATGCATAAGTATGTACATATACACTTTGTGTTTGTAATGATTATAACAGAAATCACGTAACCGGGTTTTTTAAGTGCAATCAGTAATCTTGCCATTGGTTGGGCAAGCCAGATCCCTGTTTTTGAGATGGACAAATCTCACATCGGCAGTGATCCCCAAAATACATCCCTCTTCACCCATCTCCCAGGGTGTGCAGGAGCTCTGCCTGAAGGAAGACTCAAGGTGCATCTGCTTTTCCCATCTGTTTTGAGCCCTGATAGTCTTTTAGTGTTTTGGAGGTTTCGTTATTGAAGAACAGTAGGAAAAAAACAATTAAGTTACCACTGCTAAATTTGTACAATCCATCTTAGCAACCTGGCCACATCCTTGAATCTATTTTTTTTCAAGCAGTTCTGGCCTTATGTTTCAGATTCATGCAATTTCCCTGGTTTTGACAATCTGCAGGCTGTTTCAATACCCAAACCCAATGATTAGAGTGCCAAGACCATTATTTTTTTTTCAATTCCAAGGGAAGCCTTCCATTTTTTTTCAACTTTACATTCAGCATTTGCTGCCACATTCTCAGTGTCTTCATTGCCTTTCAACTTGAACAGTCTTCTTTCAAGTTGGAAGTGAGAAGCTAATGAAATGCAGGAAGAACAACGTAAGTGCAATCTCATCCCTGAGGAAAAATGCAGCCCTTCATTTTGCCTAAGATTGAAAACCTCAACTCGTGTTCCTTGAAAATGTGCTTCCAGACCATCTTCATCATCACCCCTGTTCTATTCTGGGTAAAATGAGAAAACATATGTGAAATACTTAGAAAAGCTGAAAGCACTATACAGGTATAATGGTTGGTTGTTATTATATCCAGACACAGGCTGCTGTTCGGACATGTGATTCTCTTCCACAGTGATTCAAGGGCTAAGTCTTATTACAAGCAATCCAAGAGCAGTAATTAGTAATTTATCGGACCCTCACTCTGGTACTGCTTGGAGTTGGGGGGTTAGATGGAGACATAAAAGTAATTACTGTTTTATGATCTTTACAGTATCAAACCAGAGGTGAGTCTTATTATGTCGGCCTGATACCCACCTGACTAGACCAGGGGAGTTTTTTATTTAAGGGCTGGACCTAGCTGGCCTCGTATTATACCCACATTTCAAGGTGAGAGGCATCTAATTCAACTCTCTTATTTGACACATGGGCCAAATATAATCCAAAGACATAAAGTGACTTGCCCAGTGTTTCACAGTGACTCATCACCAAGCAGGAACTCTGTCACAGTCTCGATGCAGCAGCATATTCAGAATCATACTGTTTTTAGCTGAAACACACTGACGATGGGCACAATGATTAGTAAATAGGTAAACAGACAGATGGATTTCTTACATAGTATTTACAGATGGGTATAAGAAGCTGGTATGAACATTGAGGATTTTGTTGACAAATCTTGTGAAAACCAGAATTTGCAAAGTATTTCCATCTGGCTGGGTGCAGTGGCTCATGCCGGTAATCCCAGCACTTTAGGAGGCCGAGACGGATGGATCACCTGAGGTCAGGAGTTCAAGACTAGCCTGGCCAACCTGGCGAAACACTCTCTTTACTAAAAGTACAAAAATTAGCCAGGCATGGTGGTGCATGCCTGTAATCCCAGCTACTCGGAAGGCTGAGGCAGGAGAATCACTTGAACCCAGGAGGCAGAGGTTGCAGTGAGCCGAGATTGCGCCACTGCACTCCAGCCTGGGAGACATAGTTAGACTCTTGTCTCAAAAAAAAAAAAAAAAAAAAAAAAAAAAGTATTTCCATCTGTGGTAAAGTAGCACTCATACCCAATAATAATTTACAACTTAGTAAATGGATCAGAGAACAAACCTGATCATTACAGGAAACTACAGTTGTCAGCACTAATAAAGGTAATTAACATTGATGTTTAAGTGTTTTTGCTTACCGAGTAACTGGCAAGGGATTTAAAAGAAATAACTTTATGAGGAAGTTAACCAGCCGTCCCATAACTCTGTACTTGCGCTCCATTGTTTTAAACATCTTAATTGCCAGGAAAACTTAAGCACACAAAATGAAAGAAATAGGTTGGGAACTCAGGGAGTGTGGTTCATCATTTTCCACAGCTTCCTTTTTTCATTGTAATACAGTTTCCATTTTTAATTAAATGAATAAAATAGCTGTGTTGCCTGTGAGATTATATACAATTGCCAAATAAAGCTGCAGACATCTCTCTCCTTAATGTGCTTAGAGAAGACTGCTATGCTGTCTTTT
Source organism: Homo sapiens (assembly GCF_000001405.40). Taxonomy (NCBI): domain Eukaryota; kingdom Metazoa; phylum Chordata; class Mammalia; order Primates; family Hominidae; genus Homo; species Homo sapiens. Next base: position 22,351,164 of record NC_000023.11, on the reverse strand, counting down.
AAATAGACACATTTTCTTTACTTATCTTGTTTTGAATTTGTACAGGCTTATAAAATCACAACAGATGTTTCCTTTGGGTACCGGGTAGCAAATAAATTATACATTAGTTTCCCATTGGTTTTTCTTTCTTAGCAGTCATCAGATTCTTTTGAGCTCAAAATTGGCTAAGAAAAAAATCAAGTCTACTTTCCATATTCTGTATACTCCTATACGGAGAATGTAGGCCAAGCCAATGACAGTAGCCTGGGCATTCAGAATTTTTATTTTTATTTTTTTAAAAGAAAAGATAGTTTGATTACCTGTCCATCTCCCATTGCATCAAAGTTTAAAAATTGCACCAACACACCCACAGGGATTTACTCTGTACCAGGCAGAAGGTGAGGCACAATGGAGGATAGAGAGTGATAAGACATGGTCTCTAAGTTCAGAAGACTACCATCAAAGAAACTAACTTAAATACAGTAGCAATACATTGAGGGGAAGCGTGAAATTCCTCTCTCCAGAGTTCTGAAAGCATTTTCATAGGTAGGGACTTAGTTATAAAGAAGATGGCCACCCAAGCTTCCTTAAGTTCTATGAGTCAAATTATATCCAGTTAAAATTTGTGGAGATTTGAAATATTAGACAAAATTACCAAACTTCAGCAACGACACACAAGCTAAGAGAGATGACTTTGAAATAGGCTCTCCCATCCCACCTACCATTCAAATTATCTGGTGTAATAATCACATTTGGATAGAATGGAAAAAGGTGAGAAAGAGCCAAGGGCAAGGTCCTCAGTGACTCTCCAAGAAGCTGTAGATGACAGTGCAAAGAAAGAGGTCTCAGGAATGACTGGTTTATGTGAGCCCTATAGAAAGAGTGGTTTCCTAATAAGAGCAAAATAGCAATGGCCTGGCTTCTCTGGGAGAATGCGAAGTCATCCCTAGGTCCCAGGTCTCTGAGGAGTGGTTGTAATGAACAGCATCCACGTGGTTGTAGTTTCAAGGCGGGGAGGAGAGGGGGCAATTGTGTAACTATATTAAAAGCATTCATTTACAGTGAAACTCTGTCCAAGAAGGAAGTCTGGGAAATGTTAAAAGGTAAACTAGCAAGGGAATGAGGGAATGGTAACTGAGGGCCGGGACAGTCTCAGACTGGATAAAGATAATACCAAAGAGGATGGAGGAGTAGGGAGTGCACCTTTGCTTAGTGAGAAGCAAGGTTTCTGGAGATGGAACCATGAGGCTACCAAATGGCCTTTCCTCTGGTTTCATTAACTACCCAGGTCTGGAAAGGCTTGTGTTTTCCCATTTATAGAGAGGTTAGGATATTCCAGAAAGACTGACAAGCTAAGAATTGAAAGCTTGTCTCAAATATGCCTTTATTATCCAGGAAGCTTCAGTGTTTACAATGTAAATTGTATCTTCAAAACTGTTCACATCTTGGCCCAAGGAATACATACCCCTATTATTTTTCCACTTCACTGTTTGGGCAATTCCCATCCCTAAGTCTAAAAAGCCATCATCGTTGTTATTTATTACAATAAACATGGTGATGATGTGAGAGTCTAGAAATTATCATTGTTAAGTCTGACCCAGGTTTTGCAAGCATGGCTATGGTCTATCCTTGTCACTTCTGAAATTGCTTGTCACTACTCAATGCAATGAGTAAATTGTGGCAGCTGTAATTGGAGGAAAGAATCTATTGCTGCTGATCATGAAAAATTGTTTGTTCTGAAGCATCTTCTGCCAGGCAGCTCTTTTCTAAAAGTGGCCCATTATTTCCTGAATTCTAACCGTTTGTTCTAACTAACAAGTCAAACAAGTCCTCTGACTAACAAGTCAAAGGAGCAGTAGGCCAAGGAGCGGGTGTATACAGAGCTGATGACAGCCTGGCTCCCTTCCCATGTCCTTACTTGCTCTCCATAGCTCAACTGAGTCAACTAGCAGCCCAGGTTGAGGCCTCTTCTAGTTCCTGACATATGCACAAGTTTGGAATATATTGTTCCAAACACAATAGCTGGGTTCCTGTGTTGCACCTGGGATTTCCTTTCCCACCAGGCTCATCTGAAATCTGGTATCTTCCCCAACAGCCCCAACTCAAGACAATAAGTGAGAACACCTATAACCTGATGCATAGCTTCCCTGCCATCACTCTTATTCTCTGTGGTCCAGTCTGCCTTACTTGCCTTCCTTAGCTCTCACTCTCAACACTGCCCATCTAGAACAGAAGAAAAAGGCCGGACAAAGTATAGCATCAGCACCTGAAAGTGGTGATTCTTTAACTTCTGTGCCTGAGCACCTCACTCTTAAAGAGGCACTCACTCTCAGGTGCACAAAAGTGCCAACCTGCTCTTGCATGACCCCGAGAGTGAGTGCCACCTTAAATGTTCCCTGGGCACCCCCTTACCTTACCCTAGCCTTGGACTTGAGAAATTCCATCCTTATCCACAGCCCATTTAGCAGGAGATTGATACCCTGTGTAATGTTAGTTGTTGCCGTTTAACAAATCACCTCCAAAACTAGTGGCTTAAAATAACAACTATTTATATCATAATTCTGAGGATTGGCAACTTGGGCTGGGCTCAGATGGACAATTATTCTGGTCTCAGCCGGGCTGTCTCATGGAATCTTGGTTAGCTGTGGGTGGACTAGTTGGCTCTGCTTGCGGAGGTTGACTGGTTGTTGACTGGGGTGCCTCAGATCACTTCCACAAAGTCTCCTAGCCTCCAACAGGGGCTTGTTCTCGTGGAAGGTAGTCAAGGTTGTAAGACAAAGAAAGCAGAAGTGAACAAAGCGTCTTGATGCCTAGGCTTGGAGGTAGCACAGAGTCATTTCTGCTGCATTCTATTGGCCAAAGAGAATCATGAGGCCAGCCCAGATTTAAAGTATGAGAAATTAGCTTTACCTCTTGATGGAAGGAGCTCACATTGCAGAAGTCACATTGCAAAAGGCCTTGTATACATGAAGGAGTGAAGAAGTGTAGCCATTTTAATCATCAGTCTACCATACCTTGCCTTGCCTAGCCTAGCCTCACTCTGGGTACGCCTCTTCCCCAAGACTGATCCCTATTTTCAGACCCTTAGCCAATTAAGTACGGTTCTGCTGCATATGGTAGCTATCCAATTAACTGGATAATAGCTAACCGTTTGCCAAGTTTTCAACAGCCATCTGGATTCCTAATGGATCGATACATGCCTATTAATTCATTGATAACGAAAATTCTAGAAGTTAGAAATTATCACATTCCTTTGGCAATATTCCTAGACTGCTATAATCTCTCCAAGAGGCCAACTTCCATGTCAATTTTACTTCAATTCTCCCCACTTGTCCCTGTTTTTGCTCTCTCTTTTTGTAACAGAACCTCTCCTCCTTCCAATGAAGGACTCAGTACAAAGAGTCTTACACTCAAAGTCTTACACTCGAGTCTCCCTGAGTGACAACTGTGAGAATTTCTTATCAAAATCAGTGATTCTCAAAGAATAGTCTCTTCAGCAAATGATGCTAGGCCAACTGGATATCCATATGCAAAAGAATGAAGTTGGACCCTTATCTCATACCATCTGCAAAAATCAACTCAAATGGATCAAAGACCTAAATATAAAACTTAAAGCTATAAAAACTCTTAAAAGAACACATAGGGGTAAATATTCATGGCCTTGAATTTGACAGTGGATTCTTAGATATGACCAAAAACACAAGCAACAACAATGAAAAGTAGATAAATTTGACCTCATCTAAATTAAACACTTTTGTGAATCAAAGGATACCATCAAGAAAGTGAAAAGACAACCCACAAAATGGTGGAAAAATTTTGCACATCACTTAGCTGATAAGGGTCTAGTATCCAGAGTATTTTTTTTTACTCTCACAATTATGATATGACTATAAGAATTTTTTTTAAAGAAACAAGTGTTGGCCAGGATGTGGAGAAATTAGAACCCTTATACTTTGCTAGGGAAAACGTAAAATGGTATATCTGCTGTGAAAAATAGTTTGGTGATTCCTCAAAAAATTTAACGTAGAATTATCGTATGACCCAGCAATTCCACCCCTAGGAACATACCCAAAAGAACTGAAAACAGGTGTTCAAACAACTACTTATACACAAATATTCATAGCAACTAGCCAAAAGGTAGAAACAACCTATGTCCATCATTGAATGAATGGATAAACAAAATGTTGTGTATCCGTAAAATGGAATATTATTCATCCATAAAAAGAAAGGAAGCATTGGCCCATACTACAATGTAGATGAACGTGGAGAACATTATGCTTAATGAGAGAAGCCAGGCACAAAAGTTCACATTTTGTATGATTCCATTTATATGAAATGTCCAGAGTAGGCTAATCCATAGAGACAGAAATCAATTTAATGGTTCCCAGGGGTAACCTATAGTGGGAATTCAGAGATAGAATCTTGAGAGCTGGTATCCTTCTGGGTGGAATGGTAGTTTGTAAGAGCATCTCAGAGCAAGGAGAGCCACAGGCTCTAAATAAAAATTGTTCAGGAAAAAGCAATAAGAGTCCAAAAGGAAGACACTACTTTATTATCACATTGAAAAGTCAAATCTAAACCTCAGAATAGGTGAGCCAGAGGTCAGGAGTAAACAGATACAGGGGGATAGGGAGAATTGGAGGACGGCTGCTTACTGGATACAGGGTCTCCTTTGTGGGTGGTGAAAATGTCTGGGGACTAAATAAAGGTGATAATTGCACAACATTATGAATCTACTAACTGCACTTAATTGTTTACTTTAAACATGGTTAATTATATGTTTTTGAATTTCACCTAAATTGAAAAAGAAATTTGTGCTCTGAAAAAAAAATCAGTTTTTCTCAACCTTGCCTGTACATTGCTTTTACTTGGAGAATTTTTTAAACACATCCTATGTGCTACCTACTGCCTAAAATTCTCATCCAGTAGGTCAGGAGTGGAACCCAAGCAGCAACATTTTTTAGAAACTCTTGTGGTAATTCTAATTAGTAATAATGTTTGAGAATTGCTGGTATACACAGAAAAGAATGGTTGCGGTTGAAACATAACCAACTTAAAGCAATTGGTCATTTATCAGGTACCTACAAAACACTGCAGTGGTTTGCTTAGCACAGTGGGAGGATGTAAGGATGATTTCCAGTTTTCACAATTACTCATCTTCTGCATATGCACTCTGCTTGTGGAGTTGTGCCACAGAGCTCAGACATGACCCCAGGTATCTCTGGAGGCCCAAGACAAGACACATGAGGTTACCTTGGGTTCTTGCAGGGTTATCTGAACTATTGGGCTTCTAACTATTCCGAATGTAACAGTTAGATATGATCACAATAACACTATATAAAAAAATCACTCCAAGCCTTAGGAGCTTCCAAAAAATGTTGACAAATCTATGAGCTATAAGAGATGGCTCTGCTTCAGGCTGCATTGGCTGAAGCTGCTCTGTTCCACATGTCTCTCATCCTCCTCATGGGGTTGGAAGGCTAGCCATAATCTGTGTTTCTAATGGAAATAGCAGAGGTATAAAAGATTAGACCCTACTTAGCACATTGTATTTATTTATTTATTATTGACAAATTATAGTTGTATGTATGTATGGGGTACAAAGTGGTGTTATAATTTTTTAATACACGTGAAGTGATTAAAAGTCCCTACATGCATCACAGCTTGGCCAAAGGAAGTTACATGGCCAAGCCCAAGTCAAGGGCCAAGAGAAAATACTTCACTCAAAATGAGGTAATCAGAGAAGGACTTTAAAGTTACATGGCAAAGAGCATAGTTACAAAAAGAAGTGGCCAGGTGCAGTGGCTCACACCTGTAATCCCGGCACTTTGGGAGGCTGAGGCAGGTGGATCACTCGAGGTCAGGAGTTCAAGACCAGCCTGGGCAACCTGGCAAAATCCCATCTCTACTAAAAATACAAAAATTAGCCAGGCATGGTGGCACACACCTGTTATCCCAGCTACTCGGGAGGCTGAGGCTGGAGAATCGCTTGAACCCAGGAGGCAGAGATTGGAGTAAGCCGAGCTCATGCCACTATACTCCAGTCTGGGTAACAGAGCAAGACTCCATCTCAGAAAAAAAAAAAAAAAAAAAAAAAAAAAGGACTGAAAATTCAGGACAATCAGTCTATCACATATAGTAATAATAATTATAAAGATGGTACTAAAATTAATGTTACTTGTTGGGTACCATGTGCTAAAAATAATAAATTCATTATCTCATTTGATCCTTAAGACCAACTTTATAAGGTAGGTATTATTACCTCCATTTCCAAAAGAAGATATGGAGGCCCAGAGAAGCTAAACATTGAGCTCAAAATCACACCACTGGTAAGTACCAGGGCCATGATTCAAACTCAGGCATGTTCTACCTTAAATCCTGTTATGTTCTTTCCACACCAGTATGGTCCTCATGACAGATGTTTAGTTTGGGGACAAAATGTCTGATCCCTTGTTGTGAAGGACAAGCAGCAGGGATAAACTATGCTAGATAATTCAGAGATAGAATCATGGGAGCTGGCATGGTTCTGGATGGAATAGTAGTTTTTAAGAGCATCCCAGAGCAACTAGAGAGCCACAGGCTCTAAAAAAAAAAAAAAAAAAAAAAAAAAAAAAAAAAAAAAAGTCCAGGAAGAAGGAATAAGAGTCTGAAAGGAAGACATTATTTTATTATCATGTTGAAAAGTCAAATCTAAAGCTGAGAATAAGTGAGCCAGAGGTCAGGAGTAAACAGGTACAGGAGGTAAGGAGCAAGATGGAGATATGACAGATGTATTAGTTAGGGCGGTCTAAGCAAGCTGTTAAATGATCCAAAACTATAATGGTTCAACACAATGAAAGTTCATTTCTCTCACCATATAATAGTCCAAAGTAAGTACAGGCTTAGGGCAGAATGAGGTGGAGTTGCTCTATTTCCAGACAATCATCTGGGAAACTAGGTTGACAACATCTGTGCCGCCTTCAACATATGGCTCTGAGATAACCTGAGGTATCGTCATCTTTGTCAGATGGAAGAGAAAAAGCTCATAGAGACACATGAATAGGAAAGTTTATTGGGCCAGACATGAAATTTTCACTCACATTTCATTGGCTATAACTCAGTCACATGACCTCACATGAAAGGCAGCAAAGCTGTGTTCCCAAGAAGTGGCTATGAATTTTAGTGAATGGCTAACAGCTTCTACCACAGAAGGAGAGTCAAGAACTTGTACCCTGCTTGGGGCTGAGTCACCTAGAGTTTTCCTAGGTAACTTGGATTAAACAAAAGATCAAAGTGGACAGGTCTAATTTGTTCCTCTGGTAAACTGCCTATTTTGCTTCAATTCATCACAACTGTCTGCATCCACATCCTTGCCATGGCCGCTTGATGGGCAGAATATACTGCTCTGACTCTTGACTGTCATTTTGGCCATGTGACTTGCTTTGGCCAAGTAAATGAGGCAGAAGTGACAGTATGTCATTTCCAAGCCTTGGCCTTAAAAGAACTTGTGTTTCTGCTTTCTCTCGTGTCTTTGCTATCACAAGATGGCAAATGAGAGGAACGTACCTAGACTATCCCACTGATCCCAGGAGGAAGATGAAAAACACATAGAACAAAACCAAATTGCCCCAGCTGAACCCAGCCCAGATCAGCTGACCCCATGCAACCCCCAGATTTGTGAGCCAAATACTCACTTTTTGTTGTTTGCTGATACGTTTTTTGCCGTTTTGTTGTTTGATGCTGTGGTTGTTTGTTATACACATTATTGTGGCCACAGTTAACTGTTACGCCACCCCAGCCCCATCTTACCACAGTTAATTGGCACGCAGCCAGCAGCACCCTCTGACATGCCAGGTTGGGGATAGCACTTTCAATCGGCTTCTTTAAGCTAAGTGCCATGCTGATTTTCAGGTAAATCCAAACGCGAGCGGCATTCTAGAATCTGTGGAGGCCCCAAAAGGAAGGCAAGCATTCATCCATGCCAGCTTATTAAGTACATGATGCTGCTAACTGCATCATATTCAAAACCTCATGACTCCTAACATGTTCCACAGAAGAAGCAGATGTCATCTTGACAGGATTTCTTTGTTTTCTCAATAGATGCTACAAGAGCTGCCCATGCTCTGCAGAGCGGGCAATTTATCAAGAGATCGAGATTATTCACTATGTTTTATTAATATATTTTATGCAGTCATACTGATTTCAAACAAAAGTGTCTTCTGTCTAATTGTTTTTGCCTCTTATTTGACAGCAGCATTATTTTAGAACAATTGTATCAGTCCAAAAGTTATCTTGAGTATAAAATGTAAAGAGACTACACAAAGTGCTTCTACCTATAATGAAGTGTCAAAAACTTCCTGAATCTGACAACTTTTCCTAGAAATTGAAAATAACATTTTACCTTTTCCCTCTCTGTAAAATCACTTCTCTTTTTAAGCAAGAAGACATTAGATGCCATGGAGTTTTCAGAATATATTAAAATGAGCTGCAAATCAGCCTAGTCTACTTAAGCAGTCAAGTGGCATGTTCATATGTTACCGACCTGACCATCTCTGAATTGCCCTCATCCTCCCATTTCTAAACACAAGTCTCTCCTTCTTTGTGAAACTCTCCCTCTGAATGCAACAAGTAGAAGTACAGTCTCAGGGGAAGCTTGAATCATATAGATTGTTGCAGCCAATAGAATGCACCTTTCTGACTTCCAGCTACTGGGGACCTGGGCTCTAGCTGCTGGACTTTGAAATTCATTACTGTATTTGTGCAGGGCACACCTCCCACAGGCTGCTCCTCACCAATGACTGAGCCTAGTATGGGTACTAAGTAAGGCAGTCACATTCCTAAGAGACATAGAATACCTCTGATGGCCAAGGTTGGCTGGGGGACATCCTGACAACCTTGTCAAACCTTTTTTTTGACTGCACGCCAGTCTAAAATTTTTTCACCAAATCTCTTGTCCTCCCCTTCGCTCAGGTCACACTTGCATTGTGGCCTAATGGCTCTCTCAGCCTTTCTCAGCTCCAAAAGCCGTGTATATTTAATCCTGTCTTGACATCTGCTTCTTAGAGGATTGGACTTACACACCCATGCATAGTATATGTGTGGAATTAAAGGCCATCAGACAGCCCAATTTATCTTCAGGGTCACCAGCCCAGGAGAGAATGGTCTCTCTGCTCTTAAGAAAACCTACTCTTAAGTAAACCCAACAAAATTTCTGGCTGGCCTAATATTAAATTTTCTGCATTTGCTTATTGTGCATTATAATTGATTATAACAATAATAACCTACCTCTTGGTTATTACTATAATCAAAGAAAATACATATAGTAATCTCATTTACTTACCATGTTTAAACATGACCTAAGACTCACTAAATATGATTACCTATCTTATTTACTTCTTTCTCCGTATGGCCCAGGCTATTTCCCAGAGAAGAGGGTCCTTCATTTGGTGGGAATGATAGGGTGAGGGCAATGCAAGAGTGGTTAAATACCTGAGCAGGTTCAGGTATTTAACCAATAATGCCACAATCCAACTTCAAAACTTTGCCGGCCCCTCATTTCCAGACAACAAAATCCAAACAAACAGAAACCCCACAGACAACATCCAAACAAAATTCCAGACAACAAAAAACTCATGACATGAGGTATAACTCTCTAATGAGAGCCAAAGTCCTCCTCTTAGTTCTTCCCCACGTGGGAAATTGATAATTGCTCTAGGATTCCACACTTCTGGTAATTCAATTTGGCCACAGTAACCTTGAGAAACTTACAAACCTACCTCATAACTGGCCCCAATTTACCCTCTTAGTCCCCCCCACTCGGCCTCCTGTCACTTTCCAATACTATCCTCCAGGTGCCTCCCTTCTTATCTAATTCCAAAAGAGTTAAAATAGCATTTAGAGAACAAGAGCTCCTGCTTCGCTCGAGCAAGGTAGAGATCTGTATGTTTGGAGAGAGGACATCATTGATTGGCTAGGAGAAAGGAGGGAAGGAGAATTAGCATCTGAACGTGACCCAACATCTATGCATTCTCACCCTATCTTTTTTATTAAGACAGCTGATCATTTCAACGTAGTGTTTTTTCCTATAAAAAAATAAGTTTCTGCTGGTTATTGGTCTCTATCTCAGACACCTGTTTTCCAAGTAGTTTTCAGTTAGCAACTTTCAAAGCAGCATTTTTATCACAGCCTGTAAGACAATGACTAAAACATGCTATTGCTGACTTGCCTAACCAATGTACAAGAGCAACCTGAATGAAACCTCTTGGTGGGATTTCATCTTGAACCCTGCCCTTGCCCTGAAACCTTACCTGGGATGCCCCATGACAGTCTATTAAGGTTTGGTCTACGTAAAATTCTTACTGCTCTGTCTGAATGACATATTTCTTGTCTCCCCATTTTCTGTAGTCCCCTGAATTTCCAGAGCCATACTCTTCTGCACCACAGTGCTAAACTCCTGTTAGTTCTTGTCCCATTGGTTCTTGGCTCCTCCTTGGTGCTTGGTCTGTACCAGATTTGCTATTTGATCTGTGATTGTTCATTGCCTCAGTGCCCAGCACACAGCACACTGTGCCATCATTCCAAGTAAATGTCCCCATATCACAGTGTATAATAAACCAGAGCTAGGCAGGTATGGGAAGGAGATTGGAGCACAAGGCTATGGCATTGCTCCTGGGTCATTTTCCAACACCATTTCATTCCTCCCATAGAACCTTAGCTTTCAGCACTGAGAGTATCTGCTGCATCTCAAAGGCTCAAACACCACCCAAGTCATCTGTGAATGAGGCCTCAATACAGAGGGTGCGCCCAGCAATATCAAAGAACAAAAGGTAATTTAGAGCAGCATTTCCTCCCCAGAGCTTTTATCGAAGAAATATATTTCCCCGTTGATCCACTGAAAAGCAGTTCTATAAATCATTAAAAGTTGCTGTATAAAGAAAGCTTCACTTCCATGGTCAAGTAAGTGTGGGGGACTGTGTACTAAGCAAACTTAGGTAATCTTCACTACAGGGCTTCTCAGAGCTTTAACTGCACTAATAGGAATTATGAATCACCAAGGAGTGGTTACAGCATGAAGCAGTTCTCAAACTTATTTGGCCACGGGAGGCTTTTCTTCTTTGTGAAGGTCTATTGGTGTCTTGCATATCCCAGTGTTCAGAGGATCGTGGTTTGGGAAAAGCTAACCAAAGACAATGTCTCTCAGTCACAGATGACATAGAGGAGTAAAAATGATAGAAGACAGTTTCTGAAAAGCCATGTTCCTCGCCAACCCCATGTGACACACACATTCCTCCCCCAACATGGGAAATTGATACTACTCTGGATTTCCACGCTTCTGGTAATTCAGTTTGGCTAGTGACCTTGAGAAAGTTACAAATCTACCTCAGGCATGGTTTCTTCATTTATGACAACTGCCCATAAAGATATATCTTTCCACTCTAGTTCCCTAAGCTATAAGAATTAATGGAGCCATTCCTAAGAAGTGATGTGAATTCCTTGGAGAAAGTCTCTATGTAAATACAAGGTCTTGTCATCTTAAATGCTGTGGATTTATGTCCTGGGCTCGACAGTGACAACCATGCAGAGGGAGATTGCCTCCATTATTTTCCAAAGCTGTAGAAGTCTGATCAACACATTAGCTTTTCAGCCATTGTCATTTATAAATAGCATCCTCCCAAACCCTGCCTTTTCACATGAAATTCACATTTCTTCCTTTGTGAACTGATAAGATGTGGCAGCAATGTACCCATGAAAGCCAGAACTCTTTAGTATTTCAGTGTTAATATTTGTAAGTGCTAGAAAAGGTAAAGGACTTGCAATGAAGGCTGCATGTATATTACAACATTTATTTACACAATAGAGGGAAAAGCCAACATGGAAAGCATAAATCAACTTCATTATTTATGTAAATCGGCCTGTGAGACCTAATTCTTAAGTGCCTAATCACATGAAGGGAAAATTGAAGCAAGATTTCAAATTAACTTGGCATAAAGATATATTAATTACATCAAGAAATAAGGAATGCTTTGGTGGTGTGGATGTGTGGTATTTGAAACACTGGGTTGAAACTGACTCAGATAAATTTTACTGCAGACCAGGTTTGTTTTGTTTTGTTTTGTTTTGGATTTTTTTGGATACTAAGAAGCAAACCAGAGAAAAGAACTACAGACAGTAGGGTAAACAGAAGCATGAACAAGAAGCCTTTATTTATTTTTTTTAAGTATCAGTAACAGAGATAGAAAACACACGGTGTTGACTGACTAATGTAAACTTGGCCAGTGTCATGGTAATTATGGGTGATCATGAGCTAAGTGGATGTGGAATGTCTAGCTCAGAGAAAACAGGTGGTTACATTCACATTACAATTTTTCAGGGATTCTTGTACTTTGTACCTAATTTATTCTTCTGTCTTACCTGCCCTGGGGAATTCTTTGTTAGAGCTGGGTTTTTCCTTCTATATAAATGTATCCTTCCCACCTTGAGATCTGCTGGCTCCATTACCACAGTCTTTCCTCTGCCCAAAAGGCTTTTTATCTCCTAACCTATAATTTTCCTTTTGCTCCCACTCTACCTCAAGAAAAGTTCCTCAGTCCTTTAGAGAAAAAATGACAACTGAGAAGTACAAAAAAAAAATATCTTGCTGTTCCTTCAGTTTTTCTTAAAAACTGAAGTCTCACCCAGTTTAGACTCCAGGGCAGTTCTTAGATTCTACTTTGTCACCTCTGCATGTACCTCCAAGTATTGATCTTAATCTAAAATTCCATATCACCCTTTAGGAATGAATGGCAGCTTAAAACAGCCATTCTACCTCTTTCAATTCTCTGAAATATCTCCCTTTAAATAGTCCCATAGCCTACAAGAATTTGTGAGATAATGCAGATGAACATGAGTGGTGCTTAGGTAATTTTTAATCTTAAGGAAATATCTCTCTGCCATTCACCAAACCAAACTAGGTATATTACATGGCAAAAAAGTAAATATTCGGCCAGGCGTGGTGGCTCATGCTTGTAATCCCAGCACTTTGGAAGGCTGAGGTGGGCAGATCACGAGGTCAGGAGATCGAGACCATCCTGGCTAACGTGGTGAAACCCCGTCTCTACTAAAAATACAAAAAAATTAGCTAGGCGTGGTGGTGGGCGCCTGTAGTCCCAGCTACTTGGGAGGCTGAGGCAGGAGAATGGTGTGAACCTGGGAGGCGGAGCTTGCAGTGGGCCAAGTTGGCACCAGTGCACTCCAGCCTGGGCGACAGAGTGAGACTCCATCTCAAAAAATAAAAATAAAAATAAAAAAGTAAATCTTCCTATGTCATCATTTGACTCAACAACTGATGTAAAAATAGTCCATGTGCTACTTTAGGAAATTGAGCCTCATCCTTTATTATTTCAATTATTTTAATTTTATTTCAATTTTGGTTCCTCATGACATGTAGATGTAGAAACTGTCAAAACCTGTGATGGGACAAGAAGTTCCATAAGATATTAAAAAAAGCCACTGGGGTTCCCAAAGATTATAAGAAAAGAAAACAATCTGTTTTAATCTAATTGTTATTGCTTTGGATCTCCTGCCAGATTCTGTGACATTCACTCATTCACTCAATAAATGTCAAACAAACACCTGCTAGGTGTTGCTGCTGGCACTATGCTGACCACTGCTTACAGAATCTACAGCCACACACCACACAGATTGAATTGGGGACCATAAGCTCCATTTCACACACACATATGAGTTTTAATTTTAACTACCTTAAAGTAGGGCATAGCATGCACTGACTCCACTCCTCCCGTTGTGTTATGTTTGGCAAGATCTATTTACATAATCTCTATGATCTCATAAGAATTCAAATATACAACCTGTGATTAACTAATAATGATAAAGCAGTGTAATATCAGCACCGTAAATTATAGGCAAAGTTGTCTGGGAACATCTGGAAGAGAGCTAGTCACTTGGCATGAAAAAAATTAAAGGAGACTACTCAAAGAAAGTGATGTGTTTATCTCCATTAATCTCCCTGTACATTGTGTCTCTATACAATGCAGCTCTGTTTATTCCAGAATAATGTAAGTATATCCTTTTGACCTTAATTTCCCAGTTAAACTTGTGTTACCTCCTTAAACTTAAAATCAAAGTTTTTCCACTTCTGGCTTCTAGTTGTGATGTAGAGTTTAAAAGAGCATTCCTCCCATTCTTAGGATGAAAAAATAATCAAAGTCACTTCAAATTTATGACTTTTCCTGAACCCCCTGTAGAGCTGAAATTGCAGAGTAACCAAATGACAGTGGCAAGGACACAGAGAGACCAGAACTCTCATATATTGCTAGTGGGAATGGAAACTGGTGCAGCCCCTTTGGAAACGAGTTTGACAGTTTCCAATGAAGTTAAACACGTACCTACCATATGTACCAGTAATCACACTCCTTGATATCTACTTGAGAGAAACAAAAACTGATGTTCACACAAAAATCTGTACATGAATGTTTATAGCAGATTTAAGCATAACGGCCAAAACTGGGAACAGCACAAATGTCTTCCAGCTGTTGAAGGGGTAGACAAACTGTGGTACATCCATACAATGGAATACTACCCAGCAGTAAAAATGAATGAACTATTGATTTGTGTAAAAACATGGATGAGTCTTAAGTGCGTTTTGCCGAGTACAGAAGCCGGACCCAAAAGGCTGCATTTTACATGATTCCATTGGTCTGATACTCTGGAAAAGACAAAAACTATAGGGATGGAAAACAGGAGCAGTGGTTACCAAGGATTGAGGCATGAGGTAGGGATGACTATGAAGGGGCAGCAAAAGGGAATTTCTCTAATGATGAGGCTATTTTGTAAGGGACTTTGGTGGTGGATACACAACTCTATGAATTTGTCTAAATCAATAGAACTGTATACCATAAAGAGTGAATTTTAATATATGTAATTTTTTTAAATCAGCAAGGATGTGGGAGAAAGGAAGGAATGCAGCCTGGGACAAATCTAACCGTATTATAAATGAATCATATAACCACCGTGAAGGTAGTGAGGAAAAAAAAGAACTGACCTAAATCACTTTGGAAAGCATTGTTTTGACTGGGTACTAGTAAGACTAAAAGAAAAAAGCACAGTGGTAAATTTGTTTCTCACAGGGTTGTGGGTTAACAATTCTAAAATTATTTGTGTTCCAGGAGGAAAGTAAGTAAATTTATTGCAGATAATGAGAGCTGGGCTCTCACCTTCAGAGAAGGAAGTTACAGATACAGAAAGTGAGAAAGCTAGAATAAACCCTTTGGTGCTGCATTAGAGTCAGAGGTCTCAACAGTGACACACAATTTTTAAAATCCATGTATATGCAGATAAATAGATACAGGTAGAAATATAGATGTGTGTTTATATGTGATATCTTAGTAACAATGTTTACATATAAGCACTCAAATCTTGGTTTCTAAGTACCATTTTTCAATAAAAGGAACCAAGGAAAATACAAGATAAACCCAAAGCACGTTTTGGTGCCGGAAAGTAAAGAAGTGGTCAAAAAAAAATTTTTTTTTGAACAAAGAAAGAATGGGGCCTGTTTAAAGGGCATATGAGCCAGTCTGGAAGAGCTTCCAATGGCCAAAGTTGAAATAACTTGAGCAACAAAAATTTTTCAAATGATAGTATTGGATTATAAACCTAAGAATAAATAAATATTTAAGAGTCTATGCTGATATAAATGAATAACTGAATAAACAAACAGGGGAGGAGGGACAGCTCTCCCTTAGAGAAAAACTCTAAATAACTAATATAGAAGGAATGAGGAAAACAGAGGATCACCAGAACCCCACAGTAGTAATTGCTGCAAGCAAGATCCACCAATGGATGCTAAAATTTGTTTGCAAAAGTTTAAATGAAACTGTTTGAGGTATTTGTGTAGTCTCAAAAGTATCACTCCAAATTATTCAGCAATTACAAGGAGAAAAATAGAAAAGTCATAGTCAAGAATATGGTAGACACAACTTGGCAGATTAACCAAACGATCGAGATGAATATCATCAGCAATACATATCAACATCCTGAACCCCTTGATATGATGGACTAAAAAGGACACCACACCTCTGTGGTGTCCTTCCCAAAAGTGCATAACCCCTATCCAATCATGGAAAAAACATCAGACAACCAAATGGAAGGACATTCTACAAAACAACTGACCAGTAGTCTTCAAAAGTGTCAAGAACATGAAAGGCAAGGAAACACTGAGGAAGTGTCACAGACTGGAGGAGACTGAGGTGACATGACTAAATGTAATATGCGATCCTGGATTCAGCCTTGAAACAGAATAAGAGTATTAGGGGAAAATTGGTGAAATCTACATAAATTCTGTAACTTTGTTAATAGTACTGTACCAAAGTTAATTGTTCACTTTTTATAACTGTCATACTGTTGTTATGTGTGACGTAACATAAGGGAAAACCGGATAGAAGATATATGAAAACTATACAATTTTTGCGACTCAACTGTAAAATTATTTCAAAATAAGAATTTTGAATTAAATTCTAAATATTTTGAAATAAACTACATCAAAATAAAAAGTTAAAAACAATTTAAAAATCAGAGGTATAATTCTTTTTTTTTTTTTTTTTTTTTTTTGAGACAGAGTCTCGCCCAGGCTGGAGTGGAGTGTGGTGGTGCGATCTCGGCTCACTGCAAGCTCTGCCTCCCGGGTTCAGGCCATTCTCCTACCTCAGCCTCCCGTGTAGCTGGGACTACAGGCGCCCGCCACCACACCCGGCTAATTTTGTGTATTTTTAGTAGAGACGGGGTTTCACCGTGTTAGCCAGGATGGTCTTGATCTCCTGACCTGGTGATCCGCCCGCCTCGGCCTCCCAAAGTGCTGGGATTACAGGCGTGAGCCACCGTACCCGGCCAATCAGAGGTATAATTCTTAAGCTCCTGTGGCTGACTGCATTTTCCAACAATAGCCCCATTTGCTCTTCTCAGAACCTTGTCACTGCCCTATCAAGAAGTGTGCTCTATTTCCTCTCCCTTTAAACCTGGGCAAGACTTTATGACAACTTCAATGGATAGATCAGACACTGCATGACTTCCAGATCTAGGTTATAAAAGGTGATCCAGCTTCTACCTGGCTCTCTCTGCCTCTCTGTGGATACTTACCCTTAGAACCCAGTCGTGATTTTGTGAATCACAGGTCACAGGAAGAAATCACATGTACATGTTTCAACTGAAAACGCCAACTAATATCTGACCCAAGCCTGGTGTGGTGGCTCACACCTGTAATCCCAGCACTTTGGGAGGCCGAGGTGGGTGGATCACATGAGCTCAGGAGTTCGAGACCAGCCTGGGCAACGTGATGAAACCCTGTCTCTACAAAAAATACAGAAAATTAGCCAGGTGTGGTGGCACACACCTGTGGTCCCAGCTACTCAGGAGGCTGAGACTGCAGGATCGCTTGAGCCTGGGAGGCAGAGGTTGCAGTGAGCTATGATCGCAACACCGCCCTCCAGCCTGGGTGACAGAGCAAGACCCTGTGTCAAAAAAAAAAAAAAAAATCTGATGCAACAGCCAGACCTGTGAGTGCTCACGCCTTCAGATAATTCTGGCTCACAGCCTTCAAGCAGTCTCAACAGTCACTGAGTAGAGTTAAGACATGCTGTCCCACTGAGCCCTGCCCAAATTGCAGATTTGTGAGCATAATTATTGTTGTTATTGTTTTAAGGCACTAAGTGTTGAGGTGATTTGTTATGCAGCAGAAGATAACTGCAACAGCTGCCCTAAACTGATATGATTAATTGCTATTAGAAGTTACTGGATTATATTCATTTCATCCCTTAGAACAAAGTTTTACTCACCATGGTAAAAAGAGAATTCAAAGGCAGTGTGAGTCTTGTACCATTTCTTACCATTTTGTTTCTACAGTGATTTATTTTCCTACACAGTATTCCTTTTTGAAGGAGATCAATATGACACTGAGTTATTGGGACATATCCTAAGGGACTATTAGGTTTGTATTTTGCTAGGTCTCATTCTAAGCACATCCATATTGATGGCTACCTGCTCACTTTCAGAACTAAATCATCCTGTTTGACAGTGAATAAGAAGCAAAATGATCAGTGTCCTCAATTTCCCCCTTTCCTCTGGGTCTTTACTTACCTTTTAAGTAAAAACCTGTAGTCTCCTAATTGATATGGACTCTTGCCTTCCCAGTAGAGCTGGAACCACACAAATAACCATTGTTTACTGGCAAAAGGATATTGTAATGGTTTTCAATTGGATTTTTTTCTTAAATTTGTCAACATGTACACTAAGAATTATGCTAAAGTAGAAAGCAAGGCATGTGAAGTTATCAGGAAAATACATATCTTTGATACAAATCAAAGATACCAAATAATAGATCAATAACCATCTTAGGAATATTTGAGAACCTCTTTTCCTTCCACAGCTTCTAACTCTTAATTTTCACAATTAAGCTAAATTACTACCTTCATCTTAGAGAAATAGCAAAATAAATTGTACCATCTTCTAGATGTTAACATGGAGGAAATAAAACAGGGACTTTACAATGCAAATTTTTTCCTGCTATAAATAAGACAGACTAATTTTCTAGGGGTGTATATTATAAAAATTATTTTGTTCTTATCTATTAGATTAAAGTGAAGTATATATAATTAAGAGACAGAATAGTTTTCTAGGAGTGTCTATTACAAAATTATTTTGTTCTTATCTATTAGATTAAAGTGAAGTATATTTCAACATACCTTCTTTAAAGTCACCATTATCATCTGAGCTTACATCAATCTCTTGCTTCATTCTACTTTGAGAGCAAGGGAAACAGCATCAAAAACCCATTCAGTTTTGAGTCAGAAATACCTGAATTTGACTCCTGGTTCTCCGTCCCCTACTTGTTATATAAATGGTTCTCAGCAGAAAAGGGTAGCTACGCGAGAGGATGGATATATGAATTTGCTTTACTATAGTCACTATCTCACTATGCATATATATGACGAAGCATCATACTGTATACCTTATATATACACAATAAAAAAATTGTTAGTGTGCATCAGAATTCACTGTTAAAACACAGGTTACTGGAACCCAACCCATAGATTTTTCACTCAAGTAGGTCTGGGGTAGACCCTGATATTTGCATTTCCTACAAGTTTCCAGATGATGCTGAGTTGCTACTTGTTTTGAGTCTCAGATTCTATGGCTGAAAACAAATGGGAAGTTTCTACCTATACCATAAATACTCATTTCCTTTCCCTGTATCAGTTAATACCCAGGAAAAAAGTCCACGATGCCTTCCCACAATCCTGAAACCCAAACATCTCATAAAAACAGAACTTTTGTTTTTCCTCTTAAGTTCAGTTCAAATTAATTTGGCAGCAAACCTATTGTATTTACAGTCTTCGTTTATTATATTTAGATTTTATTTTATATGTATTTTAATATATATAGAGTTTGATTATTGGGAGCTGTGGCCTTGTCCCACTGGCATTGATTCATATTACACAGTTTTCAAACCATATTACTTCTCTAAAATGGAAAAAATTCTCAATCCTGAAGGTCATCTGGCTCTAAATGTTTTGGATAAGAAACTGGGGACCTGTTTTTAGCACTTCAACATATTTATACATTTTCTTTGATTTCTTTAACTGCTTTCAGCTTTCTCAACTTGATTATAAACACCTCAAGAGCAGAATCATGTACTATGTGGCAACTCCCCATGTCACTTACTACATATTGAACATGAAGTATATACTAAATTAATAACCATGGGATTGAATTTATTGACCCCTATGAGATTTGAGTAAAAGATTGACATGATTCTATAGTATGAGATTCGAGAAGGAAAGATGAATCAAATATATTGTGAGTTTCTCAAAATTGCAATTCCGACTATAATCCCCATAATCCCAAATGATTCTGACAAGACGAAAATATGACAATGAAACTCTTCCTCTTCTTTGCACTTGTCACACATTATACCTAAAGTGATGAAACTGGACCTCATTCCCTCTCACCTTCTCAAGGACCTGTGCCACTATTACTCCTGGATTTGTCTGCCCTTGACCTCATGCTTTTCCAATAGCTACTTTCCATCAGCCTTTATATATCCTCAAATCTTTTACATCTTAAAAAAAATTAAAGATACTTTTTAATAAACTGTACTGAAGCAATTGGACATTTATAGGTTTTTCTAAAAAGCTTTTACCTAAACTTTATATATTATACAAAAATTAACTAAATGGCTCATGGAGTTAAGTATAAAACATAAAACTATAAAAACTTTTACAAAGTATATAGGATAAAATAGACCTAGGGCTAGAGTGAAGAATTATTATAATTGATGCCAAAAGCATGATCCAGGCTGGGCACGGTGGCTCACGCCTATAATCCTAGCACTTTGGGAGGCCAAGGCATGAGGATCACTTGAGCCCAGGAGTTCGAGAACAGCCTGGGCAACATAGTGAGACCCTGTCTCTACAAAAAACCAACAAACAAAAAATTAGCCAGGTGTGATGGCACCCACCTGTGGAACTAGCTACTCAGGAGGCTGAGGCAGGAGGATCACTTGAGCCCATGATTTTGGAATTTGAGTGCATTTTGGCTGGAGTGCGGTGAGCTCTGATCATGCCACTGCACTCCAGCCTGGAGACAGAGCAAGTCTCTGTCTGAAAAACACAATGATAACAAAAACAAAATGATGAGTCATAAAAGAAAAAAAGTGATAACCTGAACCTCATTGAAATTAAAACTTTCACTCGTCGAAGAACCTGTGAAAAGAAAAGCTATAGGCTGCTGAGGTAAAATACTTGCAAATAACATATCCAAGAAGTATATAGAATACAGAACTCTCGAGGGCAAGTATATAGAATCCAGAACTCTCAAAAGTCAACAGAAAAAAAAAGAAAATGGGCAAAAGACATACACAGCTGTTTCACTGAAGATGGCAGGTAATCATAGGAAAGATGTTCAACATCGTTAGTCATTAGAAAAATGCAAATAAAAACCGCAATGTAATATTACTATGTATCTCTCAGAATGACTAAAAAAAAAAAAAAAAGAGACTACATCAAATCCTGATGAAGATGCAGAGAAACTGAATCACTCCTACACTGCTAGTGAGAACGTAAAATGGTACAGCCACTCTAGAAAACATTTTGGCAGTTTCTCATAAAACTGAAAGTGCAAATACTATATGGCCCAGCAATTGCACTCTTGGGCATTTACCCCAGATAAAGGAAAACGTGTGCAAACACAAAACCCTGTGAGCTAGTGTTTATAGCAACTGGAAACAACCTGGATGTTCTTCAATGGGGTGAATGTTTTAACAAACTATAATACATCTATACCATGGACTACTATTCAGTAATAAAAAGGAATGAACTATTGATACAAACAATAACTTGGGTGAATCTCCAGGAACTTTGGTGAGTGTAAAAAGCCCATTCCATGAGGCTATGTATTCTATGATTCCATTTATATAACATTTTAAATGATGGAATTATAGAGAACAGCAGTGTTTGCTAGGGGTTAAGGTTGGAGTGGGAGTGTGGGAGGGAGGCACATGTGGTTATAAGGGGCAATATGAGGTAAATGTTTTTTGTTGTTGTTGTTCTTTGTTGTTTTTTGAGACAGAGTCTCACTCTGTCGCCCTGGCTGGAGTGCAGTGGCACGATCTCGGCTTACTGCAACCTCCGCCTCCCGGGTTCAAGCGATTCTCCTGCCTCAGCCTCCTGAGTAGCTGGGACTACAGGCATGTGCCACCACACCCAGCTAATTTTCATATTTTCAGTAGAGATGGGGTTTCACCATGTTGGCCAGGATGGTCTCAATGTCTTGATCTTGTGATCCGCCCGCCTCAGCCTCCCAAAGTGCTGGGATTACAGGCTTGAGCCACCGCGCCTGGCCTTTGTATCTTGACTGGTGGTGGATACCCAACTCTACACATGATAAAACTACATAGAACTAAATAGAGTATACACACACACACACACACACACACACACACACACACAAGTACAGGTTAATTTGGGAAGTTTTGAATAAGTTTGGTGGATTATATCAATGTCAATATCCTGGTTCTGATATTTCTACTATAGTTTTGAAAGCTGTTATCATTGGGAGAAATTGAGTACAGGGTACATGGATCTCTCAGTATTATTTCTTAAAACTACATGTGAATCTACCACCATTATGTCAAAATTACAAGTTTAATTTTAAAAATTAAAATTAACACCATCCTGGCTAACACAGTGAAACCCCGTCTCTACTAAAAATATAAAAAATTAGCCGGGCGTGGTGGTGGGTGCCTGTAGTCCCAGCTACTAGGGAGGCTGAGGCAGGAGAATGGCATGAACTCGGGAGGTGGAGCTTGCAGTGAGCCGAGATCGCACCACTGCACTCCAGCCTGGGCGACAGAGCAAGACTCCATCTCAAAAAAAAAAAAAAAAAAAAAAAAAAAAAAAAAAAAAATTAACAAATCTTCCCTCAGCCCCACTTAGTTCTCTAGCTACTGAATAGAAAATTTTGTCAACAAATCTTCCTAAAGAATAGTTCATCTCTCTGCTTTTACTTCTTGACCTCCCAGAGACCACTTGACCAACTTCAGTCTGGCTTCCTACCCCAATACTCAATTGAAATGGCTGTTGCCAAGATGATTAAGAGTTTCCTGCCCACTAGCTCCAGTGAATTCCTTATTGTAATTGACTTCTCGCAGCACGTGACACAATAAGAGGCTTCTGCTACTTCTACGTCTCTTACCTTGCTCTCCATGACACCTCACTCTTCTAGTTTTCCACCTGCCTCTCTGATAACCCCTTATGAGTTCCCTTGATATATTTTTCTTCTTTCTTAAATGTTGAGAACCTTCCATGTTCTTTCTACCCTAAGCCCAGTTCCCTTCTCACTTTACTCATTCCCATTGATCATCATCTGTATGCCAAAGGCTCAGAAGCTATCACCAGGCCAGATCTTCAGAGCCCATACTATTATAATTGCCTACTACTGTCTTTCCTACAATTAATTCAAAATCAACATGTCCAAAACTGTATGTGAATCACCGCTTTCCTCTCCACTGAAATCTGCTCCCCTCTCCATGTTCCCTTTCTGGGTTACCCAAGCCCACATCTTGGAAATCATCATTGACTGGTCCAGTAGTTCTCAGCCAGAGCCCATTTTGGCATCCAGAAACATTTGTCGATGTCTAGAGAAAGTTTTGGTTGTCACCCTGGGGAAAGAGGTGATATTTGCATCTAGCAGGCGGAAGCTAGGGATGTTGCTAAACATCCTACACGGCACAGGACGTTCCCTTACAACAAAGAATGATCCAGCCTCAAATATCAATAGTGCCAGCGTTGAGAAACTGTGGTCCAGTACCTCACCCTGATGACCTATGTCTAAAAAATCCCATATATTCTACCTCCTGGATATCTTTTGAACCATTCAGTTTCCTCCAGTCCCATTACTATCACTCTAGGGCAGGTCGCCATCATCTCTTACCAAGATCACTACCAGTCTCCTGACTTATTTCCCTGTTTGTAATCTGATCGATTCTCTTTACTATTATCAAAATGAGCTTTTGAAAATACTAATCTAGTTACTCCCCGAGTTAAAAATGTTTAGTGTCTTCCCTTTGCCTTTAAGATAAAGTCCAGACATGGACAATTCACAAAGAAATACAAAGGGCAAGTAATATGAGAGTCCAGTCGTAGAAATCAACAATGTGCAAATTTAAATAACATATATTCTCCCAATCAAAGTGGGAAAAATACAGAGAAACAAGGGCCTCTTTATGCTGATGGTAAAAATGTAAATTGATACAAACTTTTTGGGATGTAAATTGGAAATATATATCAAGAGCTTTGACAAAGGTCATAACTTCTAACCCAGTAATACAATTTCCATAAATTTATTTTAATAAAATAGTGAAGGGTATAATAAATGGTATATACAACAAAGTCCACTAATGCATCATATTTAATAAATTACAAACTATTAAAAATAAATGATTAATAACACAAGAGCAGACACACCATATAAAAGTAATACTATGCATATATTAAAAAGCATCCTTTGAAATAATAGTAAATGAGAAAATGCTCTGAAGATTAAGTGAATAGATGTTGTAATATTGCATACGGTATGACCCCAATGTAACATATATGCATTAAAACCTGAGAACATGAACTAAAATGTTACCAGTGTTTATTTTGGAGTAGGAGCAATTATTATTTTCTTCTCTATGCTTTCCTGTATTGTCCAAATCACAACAGGAAAACATAATATTTGACATGTAAATTACTAAGAATGTGGCTATGTGAACCATGTGTGAATGCACACATGCATGTGTATAAGGGATGAAGAGAAAGTAAGCATGTGATGCACAGAGGAACAAAGGAATTGTGACTTGAAGTGTAACATCCATGAGAAGGTGACAGATCCCATTTGTGATCCAGGAGACAGAAGTGGGGTTGGCAAGCAGAGTGAGGACAGTCAACAAGGTCCACTTATAGAAGCTCACAAAGATGCTGCAAAAGCCTGAGCTCTAACCCGGAAAGTAAGCTTTGACAGGAAACTGTATACCAGGCAGTACAACATAGCTTGTTTGTCTGGCTTTGTTTATTGGTCAGTACATATATAGAGATTTTTGCCCCACAGAGTCTTAATTCCTCTAGTACTACATCCCCACACCTGGAGAAATTCCTTGGAATCTGAGAGCTCAATAAGAAAGAAAAAAGCAATACTATGCAAAGGCGGGAATGGTGACACAAACACATTAACGTTCTCTTCAGGACCGTTCCATTTGGTAGGATCAAGAATTTCACACGTCTTTGGCTATGCTGGACCAGAGGACCTCCCCTCCAGATATATGAAGTGCATCAGTGGGTTTTCAAATTAACAGTTATTGAAATTTGGAAACCTCTTCTTTTTCTTAATTTTTCCCAGTAACATCTATTGACCTTCACAGCTGGTATTCTGGGTAGTACACATGTGCTTGCAAAGGCAGGAAAATAGAGGATAGAGCCATGAAGAGACATAGAGAGAGAGAGACAGAGAGAGAAAGGGGGTCAGGGGAAGAAGGAGACATAGGAAAGATTAAGATTATCTACATAAAATGTCAATATTCTATCATTTTTTTAAATGTCCAAAAATGGCAGTTTCCTATGGTTCAACCTAAATGTAAATAGTATCCACATGTGTACAAGAAAAGAAAAGACAGAGAGAGAAAAAAAGAGATGCGTTATACACAAGGATGCTGTAGATGTATGTGGTCTCTCCATCTCCATAATGCTATCTCTGATTATCCACTTTGGAGGCAAAAAATAAGTGGCACTGCGTGCCAGGTCACGATTTAGAGAGCTGCAGGAATGGAAAGAAGGCCTTAAAAACAGCCACATCAAAATTAATGGCTAAGAGGTCAAATGTTAGAGCCACGTCTTCTGAGTTGCCGTTTTCCTTTTAGATTCTTAACTCCATGGACTGTTGATTATCTGCTTTGTCAGGGACTGCTCTAAACTCCATCACTATGACACTGAGCAAAAGTCCCGGGTCTCCTCATGGTATCAGTCAGAGTGCCCGGGTGTCTACGGACTGTTAAAAGCACACACTTCCATTTCTATTTATTTCTTCGTTTCATGTGTGAGACAACACTGCTTCCGATTTTGTCACTTGACAATTTAGTTTGTGTCAGAGTCAGTGTCTCTCACTTCACGGAGAGGGAAAAGTGGAAGGGAAATAGCAATACCTTCCTTTCCTCTATTTTTTTCTTGGATGTATATTTTTCTGACATTCCACTTTCAGTTAGTTGAAAACTGGATCCTTGCCAGGACCTTAGAATGAGGAACATGCTGTCATCACCAAGGAGAATAAATTGGGCAGTTGTTCTCAACTCAAGCAGATTATCACATTTAACTGGGGGAACTGTTTTAAAGCACATATTCCCAGGCCCCATCCCAGGCCTACTGACTCAGAAGTCCTGAGAGTCTGTCTTCTTCGTTTAACTCAGTGATTTTCAGCTGGGGGTGATTTTGACCCATCCCCCGAAGGATATTTGGCAGTGTCTGGAGACAGTTTGGGTTGTCATAACTAAGAGGAAGATATTAGTGGCTTCTAGTGGGTAGATGCCAGGGGTGCTGCTGAACATTCCAAATGTACAATAACACCCACAATAAGGAATGATTTGTCCCTGTACCGTATATATATTTTCATATATTATAAATACACGCACATGTAATCCTGTTCTTTAGTTGCCGTGTGTGGAAAAGTGGCGTTATCAAAAAGATGCATGCATTTGAGTGTGGCATATTCTGCAGGAAATAATGTTAATAATGGAGGCCAAGAATACATGTGTTTAGTTTTATATCTTGCCCAATCTTCCTTGTTTGATAGTGAATCCTGAGATTCAAATATTGGTTCAGTAGGCAGAAACAGACAGCGTCTGCTATGCCTGCTTGATCTGAAGTTTTCTACCAATGAAAGTGAAAGGATTCTTCTCTGTTATTATTTGTTTGAAGCCTCCCATGGTTTCTGGTCACAGCAGTTGCTAGTGAAGAGAAACCATCAGCACAGGCTTAGAGGTAGGTGGAAGGCCCATCTTTATCAGACTCCTGTAGCTCATGACTTCTCTCCTTACATGCATGTTCGTTCTGGGAAGAATTTATATACAAAGAAGAGAGTCGTTTGGGCCTCATTTCTACATCCGTTTATTCATTCATTCACACATCCAGTACTGCTTGAGTGTCTACTATATGCCAGGCACTGGTGTCGGTGCTGAGACTACAGCATTGAACAGACAAGACCCTGCCCTCAGGGAATTTGCCTTATGGTGGGGGAAATGCACACAGAGAACTGTACGGAATTTGTCATGTGTGGGGAGAACTAAAGCAGGGAAAGGAGAAGAGGGAGCACCATGGGATGGATGGTTAGAGAAGGCCTCCATGAAGAAGGAACATTTGGGCAGAGAGCTGCAGGAAGCAAATGAGCAGGGCTAGCCCAGTGAATATCTGATGAAGAGCATAGGAAGCTGGGAAGAGCAAGTGCAAAGGTCCTGGGGTAAGGAAGCAGACAAACAGCAGAGAATAAGGGACTAGCTAGTGGATCTGATTGATCTCAAAATTTGGAAATTTGTTTTAGAGGAGTTTGTAGGACTCAGTTGGGTACTGTCACCCTTCACTTTTCTCTCCGCTCCAAAATTTAAAAAATAAAGCAACGATCACCTAAGGTCAGATAATTACACAGCTTATATGCACAAAGCAGCAGAATTTGTGTTCTGCATCTCTTTCTGAAAGGAAAAGGGAACATGGTCTATGCTTAGGGAAGCGTTGTGCTTATTGGATAGTGGGGTAACAAAAGAGCATGACAGCTTCCATTCTGCAAGTGGCTAAGGGTTTTGGAAAGAGGAAAAGGAGGAGGGCTGTGTTTAAAACTTGGTCCAACAAAATACAAGTAAATAAACAGAAGCGCCAACCCAGGAAATGTGGCTAGCTGCATAGATGAAGAGTCATCGCCCCTGGAAAGTGATTCATGCTTAGGGGAAAGTAAAAAAACCAAGGAGCATTACTGTTGAAATGAGGAACGTGGTCAACGCCTGTGAGTATTCTTAATTAAAACATGTAGATATCTATTCAAGGTAGATCAGTGAGCAGGCACCTTCAGGGCCCTTGGAGAGGTAGGTAATAAGCAGCCCCCAAGGAAAACTTTCTCTTTACTCACAGGTCTCCTCAAAGGGTGTCCAAAGGTGCCAAGAGAGCAAAAGAAGGTCAGTTCCAACTCTTTCAAAACTTTAAAAGGAGCAAAGCCTGATGCTTTGTGGCCTTTACATCTTCAAAGCTCCAAGCCAACTCAGCCACCTTATGACCATAATATCTGACCAAAAGAGCCAGGTTTTTTTGTTTTTCTTTTTTAGTAGCAGGTTTTCTCTCTGAGATTCACGCATTGTCCAAAAGCTTCTGACTTTGTGGAATTGTTTCAGGGAGAAAAAGCTTTATTATTCAAGAGTCTGGGTCAGTGGTTCTTAAACTTACAACTACAGAAGGATGCCCTGGCAGCTTAATAATACTTTCAGTGTTTGCCTCCCCCCGCTCAGAACTAGTAAATGTCGATCTAGGAAGGGCTGGGAATATGCATTTTTACACCTATCCCAAGCCATTCTGAGGCCTCTAGGTCAAAGGACCTTACTTGGAAAAACATTAGTCCAGCCCTTCTCCCTCTCCTCCAAAAACACTTTGGCTCACTGATAAAATGTGGTTGTTTGGGGAGAGGTGAAGGAGAGAATACACGGAAGTTGCCCCAGTTTGCCTTGTAATCGTCTCAAATTGTGGCTCTTTATTGCAGAAGATTTGGGTTTACGCTCCTTTCCACCCCAGATTCAGGTACTTCTCGACCTAGTGCACAGCTGACTACATGGCCTGAGATAAAGAGAAGTGGCAGTTCTGCCTTCCCCAAATTTTCATTTCTAATGACCTGCTTAGAATTGTGTTTTACCTGGTCAAGTCACCGCATCCCCTCTAAGAGGACAGTAAGGTACATCGGCCATAACTTGCAGCCAGCAGTGACCCTTGAGAAAGCCCCAAAGGATGAAATTCTGAAAAACGTGTTTTCATAGCAACCCAGCAAACTGAGAAGTGCACAATTACATCCCTGTTTGGACGAGACCAGTCAATCTGATTCTTGCCCTTGTCCAAGCTGTTAGCTTGTATTTCCCTTTTTGACCAAAAGCAGTGAGTATAAACAGAAGAGGGCTGGGAAAAGGGCCACCAGGGCCATAGCCCCCAGACCAGCCTGGGGGTAGCTGTGTGATCTTAGCAAAGTCACTTCTCTTTACTCTGAAGAGTCAGAAGGCAGATTATAAAAGCTTGTAAAGGCCCTTCCTGCTCCCACTAGCCAGGATTCCACAAACTGAAGAATGTTCATGGTTAGCTTTCACTGTGGAGGTTAAAACCAGGCATGGGGTGCTCTCTAGGCAGTGGGCAAACACAGCAATTAGGGCCACGAGACACAGTGACACGATTAGGTTGCGAGGACCCAGGGCATCAAGAGACAGGGCAGAAAGGTCCCGAGAAAGGAAGAGAAGGTATAAGCCAAGGTTTATCAACCCGGACACTATTGACATATTGGCCCCAAAAAGCCTTTGTAGTGGAGGCTGTCCTGTGTACCTTAGGATGTTTAGTAGCATCCCTGGCCTCTACCCACTAGATGCCAGTAGCATCCTTCTGTATCCCTGCTCCTAGCCCCCAGTTGTGACAACTAAAAATGTCTCTACACATTGCCAAATGTCCCCTTGGCAGCAAAATTGTCCCTAGTTGAGACCAGTAGTTTAAATCAAACAAAATACTATGATGTTTTTCAGCTAGCCCTCTTAATAATTATCCCACATATTCAAAGGGAACATATGCAATTTCTACCATTGTACCCATTAAAGCACCATTGTTGGCGTATTTCACTGGTTAGCAATATAAATCTAAAAGGTAAAGACCACCCCTTTTCGATTCCAACCTTCAGCAAGTTAAGAAATATGTAAATAAAAGGAAGTTGCCAGAGGATGAAGGGGTAAAACCCATCAAAAGCATAGGATGGGGACTAAGAAAAGGTGGAAATCAAAGCAGAACCTGGGATGAATGAGGATCATTTTGGGTTGAAAGAATGGGGAAACCCTTGAGGGTGAAGGGGAAGATGTGGTGTGAGGGTGGAGGAGAAGGAAATTAGAACCTACAAAAAAGTAACCTACAAAAGAATGAGGAGATGTGTGTCTGTGTGTGTATGTGTGTGTGTGTGTGTGTGTAGCAGATTACTTAGGTTGGAGACAGAGAAGTCTATAAGGATGGGAAGTCATCATATTTTGATGGAAAGAAGGAGAACTAACAACTGGAGACAGGAGAGAAAAGCAATTGCAGGCTGGAGCCAAAAGAAATGGGAGCACATGCCGAGGTAACACCTGAGCACCAACATCAGCAAGGCAGCAGCAATGCTTGCTACGTAAACAGAATCAGCACAGCCACTGCTAGCCCCATCAGCCATCCGACATCCGCCGAGTATACACTGAGGGTCTACTAAGTGCCGGCCTCTGTGTTAGCTACTGGAGATATAAAAATAAAAATCGCTGGCCCTGCCCTCAAGAAGATTAAGTCTATCTGGTCAAGTTCATGAAAAGTAAAAGTCTGTGATTGCCTCTCCAGGAAGAAACGCTTTGAGACTCTCAGTTCATGTTGCGTAGAGGATGAAACAGCATAATCAGGAAAGAAAAGCAGCTCCCAGCACGCACCCTACCATCTTCAGTTGGCTTTAAAACAGCAATAGGGATAAAAGTCTTATATAAGGTTATACGAGAGGTGCCAGAAAACCTCTAGCCACCCCTTCCCTCAGAGAACAAAGCTCTGATTTACAGTACCGATTTTCAGGGAGACCCTCTTCCTGTCAAGTCGGCTGAATTTCTGTGAATTTTAGATGCCCAAGGGTTGGGTTAGCTGTTTTGAATTAGCTCCTCTTGCCAAGGGATATAAGAAAAGGCTCCCGAAGGAAGCCTGCAAAAACAGCTCATTACTGTGCAATCCATTCCCCCGCCACCTCGCAGAAGATTCAGGCGGAAAAGCTTTGTTGCCACCGTCTGATAACAGAGGTGCTGGCCTGAATACTAACCAGAAAGCCGCAGAGAAGGAAATGTTTTCTGAGAAAATGTGTCTCTTCTGCAGGTAGGAAAACAACAAGACCAAAAACATATTTATACAGGTCTCTTCACAAATCTCAAGTGTGTAACGCTGCAGGTATCTTGGGAAGGATGGGGAAGGTTAGGTCTGGGGGTCTGGTTTCGTATGAGCTGTTTTCAGTGCCTTCCTTTTGCGAAATCACACACAGTGCAGTTGGTTTGCCCAAATGAGCGCAAACAAAGGAATCCATTTGTTTGAAAGGGCAGGCTTCATTATACTCTAATTAATGTAAATCTCACCCACAGAGAGGGACCAAAATAAATAGCTATAGTAATTAAAGTTTAGGGGATTTGGGGTTTTTTGGTGGGGGAGGGGAGAGTTCAGGAATGCCCGAAAAGGGTTCAGATTTGATGGGGTTTCAGGAATGAAATTTTATATAATAATATTTCAGAGCAAACTACCTAAAACAGTTGGGGGATTGTCCCTAAATCCAGGTCAGTAAAATCCTTCCTTTCTCAGAAGAGAATTTACCATGTTTCCACAAAGGGACTCAGGAAAACAAAGAGACCAACCAGTAAATACTGAAACTCCTAAAAAAATGTTTTGAAGGCCTAAAACAGTAAAGGGGAAGAAAATGAAATCATTAAGGTACTGTCATATTGAAATAACCGGAGCAGCAGAGCTGAAAAACCAAAGCTGAATGTATTGCTCACCAGACAAAGGAAAATCGTGTCATGCCAAAGTGAGTTCAGTAAGTCTCCCCAAGTCTTCCCAAGCAGAAGACCCAGACAGAGTCAAAAAAGAAGTGTTGTCAAATGAGGTAGGATTCTGAAAGGCATTATTTAATTGGTGACGGACGGGATTACAAAGTCTCTTTTGAGATTAGTCATTGATTTGTGCCACAAAAGCACAGGCAGAGTTCTCAAAATGTCCCAAGAGGTGTTGCATTGAGATTCTGTCAGGTGCAGGGTCCTGTAGCAGCCACTTGAATTATAAAATCTCTAGCAATGGCTGGTGACTTATAAGTTGTATTTTTCAAGGTGCCCTCGTGATCTAATTATCAGTAAAGCAAGTTCAATGGACACAAACATTTCTTTGACTGGCATGATAACTGATGCCGTGCTTGCTTCCATTCATGTCACGTGCACAGTGGCTGGTGAGGGGGCCAAACATGTCCAAAGCACAGGCGATGGGGTATCAGCAAGAGCAAAGACCAAGGAGCTGAAAGGAGCCATGTGTGCTTGATAAACAGCAAGAAGGCCAGTGTGGCCAGGGCAAAGTGAGGGGGGAGGAGAGCAATAAGCAAAAATGAGACTTGGTAGTGAATTAGTCAGGGTTTGCACAGAAACAGAACCAATGGGAGATAGATAGGTAGGTAGGTAGGTAGGTAGATAGACAGACAGACAGACAGACAGACAGACAGATAGATAGATAGAGTCACGTGCTGCATAACAACGTTTCAGTCAATGACGGACTAAATATATGAAAGTGGTCCCATAAGATTACAATACTGTATTTCTACTGTGCAGGTATGTTTAGATATGTTTCCGTGTTTAGATAGGTTTTGGTATGCAAATACTTGCCAGTGTGCTATGATAGTGTTCAGTACAGTCGCATGCTGTACAGGTTTGTAGCCTAGGAGCAACAAGTTAGACCATATAGCCTAGTTGTATAGTAGGCTGTACCATCTAGGTTAGCGTAAGTACGCCCTAAGATGTATGGACAATGATGAAATTGTCTAACAATACATTTCTCAGAATGTAACCTTCTTATTAAATGACACATGATTCTTGTGTGCGTGTGTGTGTGGTGTGTGTGTGTATCAGCTGAGTTGACACATAAAATTAACCATCACAGGTAGAGTCCAGATCTGCCCAGGACACAGTAGGACATGGACTTTTATACCAAATGTGATAGAACTCTGGTGAACAATTTTGAGCAGAGAAGTGACAAAATCTGATTTACAAGTTTTAAAAGAGTACTGTATCAGATGTGTGAAGAAGATTCTCTAGGGGAGTAAAAGTGGAAGCAGAGAAACCAGTTAGGAGACTTACTGTGGTAGCCCGGGAGATAATGGTGGCTTAGACTAGGAAATAATAGTGGATGGAGTTCAAATTTGTGACTTGTTTTGAAGGTAGAGCTGACAAGACTTGATGAGGGATATGGGGTGGGAAGAAGAGAAGACACAATCAACATGACTTCTGGATTTTCAGCCAGAGCATCTTTTTCAAGTTACAGGAAGTGTTAACACTAGAAAAGTAAAGGTTTTAGGGGGTAATCAGAAGTTCACATTTGGACATGTGAAGTTGAAAGTGCTGGTGAGGCATCCAATTAAATGGCAGCTGGATATATAAACTTGGAGCTAAAAATAAAAAGTAGAGGTATCAATTGCAATCATTAGCATATAAATTTTATTAAAGGCTGCAGAACTCATTTAGACCATTTAGAGAGTAAATATTGATAGAGAAGGCAAAAAGAGGACGAGAGGGGAAGGGAGAAGAGGAGAGGAGAGGGGAAAAAAAGCATAGGATTGAGTCATGCCAATATGTAGAGATCAGGTTGTGGTTGTTTCGATGGAAGATAGTACAGCGTGTGTATATGTTGATGGTAGAGAGGGGTGTATGAATGATGCGCAAGCAAAGGGGAAAAGTAAAGGGACAAGGTCGTTGGGTCATTGAAAACAGATGAAGGGAGATATGCAAGGGCACAGGGTGACCCTAGAGAGGAGTGGGAACAGAATCATTGTGACAGGAAGGAAGGGAAAAAATACAAAGTTGCGGATGCCTACAAGTAAGTTAGTCAAGTTAGTGGTAGTAGAATACAATAGCCCTCTTCTCAGTACTTCTATTTTTCTCAATGAATTAAGAAACAAAGTCGTTAAGAAGAGCAAGAGAAGAGGCAGTACTGGAGTTTTTGAGAAAAAAAGAGGTATGAAATAGTCTCAGAGAGAGGGGGAGAGCAAACTGACTCCAGGAATATTATAGGATAGTCAAGTAAGGTGAAATTTCCAGTCGTCAATTTGAGGTGAGGCCAATAGAAGGGTTGCATGTTTTTTTTTTTTTTTCCAATGACGTTCTGCTCCTCATATGTAAAATGGGCCGATATTTGGGTTTAACTTGGATCAGGAGGATCAAGTAACTTAGAGGCCAGAGGTTTTAGTAGATCTTTTTGGATATGAAAGTTACAGGACAGCAATCAGCAGAGTAATATTTGAGAGGGAGGGACGGAGAGACAGAGCCATGGGCTAAAATCTCCATCAAAAGAAAAGAGGTGACCAGGAGCTCAGTAGATATAACAAAAGGCCACTAGTAGAACAAAAGGTTAGTAGGATGGTGGCATATGTTTAAAGGAGCTTTAGTTTTTTGAGGGGGAAGGGGCAGAGCAAGAAGGACACAATCCCAACAGTGGTTAAATCAGTGGTTCTCAGCTGGGGGTGATACCCCCTTCCCCCTGGGTCAGAAGACATTTGGCAATGTCTGGAAGCAGTTTGGGCTGTCACAGCTGGTGGGAGTCTGGGGGTGCTCTAGTGGATTCTAGTAGGTAGAGACCAGGGATACTGCTAAATATCCCACAACACACAGGTCAGCCCACAACAAATGATCCGACCCAGAATGTCAGTAGTGCCAAGGTTGAGTAAATCCTAAGTTAGATCAGGAAGGTAAAGGAGATGTTCATAGGAAGAGGTTTTTTTCCAGTGGGCAGAGTGAAGGGGCTTGCGGAATAAAGAAGTTTTTGGGAGCTGCGTCAACATAGGAGACAAACAAACGCTTTATGGGTAAAAAGCAGTAAGGGGGACCTCGGCAGATTACCTATTTGGTGGTAACTTAAGGATATCAGATATCACGGGTTTGGTCCTGAGGAGGAAATGGAAGAGCAGTTTTATTCACAGCTTTCTTCTTTGGACTGGTCTCTTTGGCGCGTTGTGGTGAGGAGGGCGAGATGGAAGGTGGATGGAGCACCTCTAGTGTGCAGGCCAAGAAGAGAATCCCAAGGGCCTCTCTTTGGTCGTCTTGGCAGCCAGGGAAGGGGCAACCTTAACACAAACTTAACCCAGGCTTCAAATCTAGTCCAGGAAAAGAAGACAGAAGTTTATTGTACAGTATCAAGATAGGTGTCTATAAATGGGCAAAATCTCAAAGTCATAAAATCCTATATTAAAATGTCACGTTTTGAAAATGATGGAAACTGAATATGTGAGGTGTGATAAAAAAAAATTGTAAGGTGTTACTGTGCCAGATGAATGTACCTTAAATGTGTCATTTACATTTTGACAGTTTCAAATGCTCCTTTTTTACTCCCTCCTTTGTGCTAGAGCACTGCAAATTCTGGGGAATTTGTGGCTTTTGGTGTTGAAAGACTTCCCCTCCACAGCACACACCATTTTCATGGACAGAGTTATCAAGTTGAACAGAAAGCTAAAGATTTCTTAGAAATACTTTTCCCCAAAACAAATCAATAATTTTACTGGGTTTTTTTAAAATAAAAATAATGTTAATAAACAACCACTCTGTACCAAGAATCGTGACCCAAATGAATGTAGTACCTTAATCATAGCATTTCTACCTATTTCTTTAAAACACGTTTTTAATTCTCTCAGGGAAAATCAAAAGGCCCAAAGGTTTAAGATGATTATTCAAATTCAGTGGTAATATTTTAAATTTTACAAGGATTTAAATATTTGACCATAAAGGAAATTTCATATTTTAAAATGTACTACTTTAAATTAAAATATATATCTGTGTTTAAAACCATTGAATAAGATTCCAGTAATGGATATATTTAAATTTAGTTGACAGTCAAAATATTGTTTACAACCCTGGATTATTTTCTTTTGAGCGCTGACCTATTAAATCATGCATTATAAATCCAAGTTGTTCAGGGATATTTTCATGGTAAGCAAGTGACCAAATAGTATCAATATAGCTGTTTGACTGAATCAGTTAAAAATCTACAAGTTTTAAGTGATTTTTAAGTGGTCCTCTTAGCTTCTATCTTTACCACCTTGTCAGAATGTATCCTTGGTCTCAAGGGGAACGCAGTTGCAACTGTGTGGATAGATCAGCACAAATTCTGCAATAGTACTGAGAAAATATCCTAACATTGATAATGAGTGTAAGGAAAACAGTTTAAATCTTGCTTTAAAATATCGTTTAAATGTCAGCGAAGTGTTTTTGCTCTGTGTGACTCATACAGGGTCTGTAAAAAAAACTGCTTCTGAATAACTCTATTATTGAGGTTATAAATTTTTGTGTTGGTAACCTCTTGCTAGAACTACCAAGAAAAGTATTACCCGTTAGTGAAGCTATATCCAGCTCTGCTTCTTCCACCCCAACAGGTAAATCAAGATGAAAGGGATTGAGGTGGGTGAGCTAAAAGAAATAAAGTCATTTATTCTTTTAGAAGAGAAAGAGAGAAGGGTGTGGGAAGGAATGAGAAAATTACTCTATCCATCTAAAACACCTTGTGTGAGATACTTTTCCTCCTCTTCTTATTTTTCTGCCTAGTAGAAAAATAAGCAAGAAAGAAGAAAGACAGAGGAGGAAGAAGGAGGGGGAGGAAAGGTGCGAGAGGGAGGGAGAAAGAAGAGGGAGGAGAGGTGGGAGGAGAGGGAGAGGGAGAAGTGGATGCAAGGAAAGGAAATGAGGAGGAGATGCTGTGTCATTCTCTCCCCTCCCCATCCCGCACAGGACTCCTCCTCTGGCAGCTGATGGAGGCAGAAACTGAGAGAGAAGCTGCAGTCTTGTTGTGAATGAAGAAGCTATGAGCACTTTAAATCAAAGCAAAGTCACAGAACAGTAAAGCCAGGATGAACTCAGGGAGTTCAGCACCAAGGCAAGCAGATGAGAAAAAGGAGCCAAAGGTTTCCTTCTCTAAAGATGTAAAAGTTAAGAGAGAGGAAGACCAGGCATTACCATAGTTATCAAATGGGGAACAAAGGGAGCCTTTTAACTTAGGCTGGTTTACCTTACAAGTTGCAAATTAAATAGCCTTTTTAAATGTTGTGTCTGTTGTATACCACAAGCTTAATAAAGAGACACACATTTGATAATTATCGTGTAACAAATATACAGTTATTCATCTTTGGAAGAAAATTTAGGTGGAAAATACTATCCAAGCTTCAGGAAAACTGTTGGCCCAGTCACACGGAAACATGACTAAGAGATTTGGCACTTAGTTGGCATTACAACAAATACTTGCTGAAAGAACCAATACAGAAATGAATGGATGCATGCACGGAGGCATAAATGAATGGATGCATGCAAGTAAGCTGGCTACAGAATCCTGAAAATTGCAGGAAAAGTATGTTACGATTGAAAAAGCAAACTCTGGAAAAGACGAAACCTAAGTTAGAAACTCACAGAAAAATGCCTCCTCCTCCTCCTCCTCCTCCTCCTCCTCCTCCTCCTCCCTCCTCTCCTCCTCCCTCCTCCTCCTCCTCTGGTGGTCAAGAGCATCACTGAGCTTTTAATGACAGAGTATATGCGTATTTACGTTAAGCTAAGCACATGGACTTGACAGCTTAATTTACAGTGTTTTCTTCTCACCACTTTGTGTCTTCAGAAATCTGCTCCACAAGAGCTAAATGCCCAAATGTAGGCATTGTGGCATTTCCCATGTTGAATGACAATGAACAACCTCTGTTGCATAGTATGACAGGCATTTCCTCCCAAGAAAGCTTTCCAGAATGTAAAACTTGCATCCATTTGTGTTGCCTGTGACTGACTGATTTGCCCTCCATTAAACACGCTTTGCAGTTAATCCTCTCAAAAGTGTGTTCATAAGCCAACTGAAGAGCTCTGTGCCTTAAGGGTTTTGGTCAATGACCATGTTTTAATGACCATCAGATTACCAGGAAGTGGAGTTCTTCTACCTACAATTTCCCTTCTGACAGGGACAGCTTTAAATATGCAGGCACTGAGAGATGGGCTAGGGAACCAAGCCAAAAGGGGAGAGTGTGAATTATCAGCAAATCAGAGCCTTGGAAACTAACTGGCAAGCCTGTTTCATTGGTAGAAATATCCCTTAGTAGAGACCATCTGTGTCACATTCCATGTTGAGTCTTTTACCAGTTCTTTTAGGTTAGAAAATATAGCAAAGCAGGAACTTACCACACGAAGCACATGTCCTCGGGCGTAATTTAATGGCTCAATATAAAAGTACTCAAAATATTGGATATGAATCAGGGGAACAAGTGAGGTTGGTCTTACCATACCCTTCCAACTTGACTTAGCACTTCCCTCACTACACATGTCCCCACCACTACGAAATATCTGGCCTCATCTTTATCTCCTATGGGGTTATTTTTATAATTTTTATATATAGTTTGTCAAACTATCAAAGATCTTGAGTCAGATAGATGACTTCCAAGTTTGAACCTAAAACCTTCCCTTTCTGGCAATGTAATCTTTGGAGAAATAACTTCAACCTCTCTGTGACTCAGTTTCTGCACCTGAAAAATGGAATAAGACTGGTACTTTTGTCACGGGGTGGTTGTGAGAAATGGGATAATTCATGTAAAATGTTTAGTAAGGTAGCATATAATACTCACTGAATGTCCACCAATAATAATAACAGCTATATATTATTATAATTATAGCTAT
Source organism: Homo sapiens (assembly GCF_000001405.40). Lineage (NCBI taxonomy): Eukaryota > Metazoa > Chordata > Mammalia > Primates > Hominidae > Homo > Homo sapiens. Next base: position 22,312,985 of record NC_000023.11, on the reverse strand, counting down.
CCTATGGAATTATCAAACCTTAAAGGTAGCAGAAGTTTTAAAGAGCACTAAAAACAATGGCTCCCTATTTGAATCCCCTGTTATTATTTTGTTTTGTTCTGTTTTGAGTACTGATTCTCCAAGTCCCACCCCCAGACATTGTGATTGAATTGATCTGGATGGGGCTTGGGCGTTGAGATCTTTTTTAAGCTTGCCCAATGACCCTGATGAGCAGCCAGGCATAAAAACCACAGATATATCACAACTCCCTCGTTTTACATATGAGGATAGTGAGCCCAAGAAAGCTGAATTAACCTCCTCAAGGTCATATGGCTATCTTGTATGTCTAAGATTCAACTCCAACCCCAATAGAGTACTCTCGTCTTCAGCTTATAACCCTAAAGTGTCTCCTCAGTAAAGTTCTACCTGACAAGACATTACTTATTTTCTAAAGTGTGTATTAATATTTTTCACCTAGAAGGGGACTTTGGAAAGAGGTTGCCCGGTCCTGTAGTGATCAGTAGCCCCCAGGAGACAGCATGGATCAGGGATCTAGGAGTCAAAGATGATTTCTGGGTCCTAGACAGTGAAAGGGTTTCTGGAGAGTGAAACACGGCAGTGGCACTGGGAACCTATGGGAATGAGTACTATTATTATCAAGTGACTTTAATGTTGTCTCCAGAGGCACATGTGACTGAGAGCTGCCCTGGTGCAGGCTTCACTGCCTGGTGGTCAGCACCCTGGCAGTTAAGAAGTGGACGATAAAGTCATATTTACTAGAGCCCGTTCATGATCTAAGCCATGCCTTTGCCTTCTTCCATTTGTCTTCCCTCTGGATTGGGGATTTCGAAGTATGAAATCTGAAACCTTAAACAACATGGATTCTATAATAGAGCAGTCTTAGCCCACTCCAGGCCTACTTCTGCCCCCAGGTCTTTGATTATGCTGCTTCACCCTCCAGTAACACCCTTCCTTCTCCTCCTCCTTTCCCTCTATGCAAAATTCTACCCATTCATCAAGGTCCACCTTTGTCTTAACTATCTCTACCTTGAAAAATTGCTCTTACCTGTGAACTGTCACACCAAGTCCATATCACAGAGTTCAATATGTAATCCAATTTAGATACTCAGTTATGAGTTCCCAAGGATAAGAACTCACAGGAACACTTTTCTGTATCTAATATACCGAATATGGCTAAGCATGTATCAGATTCTTGATAAACAACTCTAGTTGGTTTATGGTTTATTTCTTACTTAAAGGGGAGGTAATGGGTGGAATAGTGAAGGAAAAAATATTCAGACAAGCTAGGAATTAAAAAAAACTTAATGAGTAGACAAACATTATAAGAATAGATTGAGGAGGGACTTACCAGCATGTAAAGAACTAAAACCTCTATTCCAGAGAGCAAAAGTGGGCCTCCCGGGGTCAAGCAATAGAAGATGTTCCTTTAAACACCTAGTTCTCAATTCACACAGAAAATGTACAAAGGAGGGTAGAGAAAGTTGTTTACTCCATTTGAAGTCCAGAGGGAAAGTTGATGTGATAGTTTGGATTATTGTTCAGCAAATATTTATTCTCTTCCCCCCTCACTGTGGGCACACTATATTTCCTTGCCCCTTTGATGTTGCACTTCACCGTGTGACTTGTTTTGAACAATGGCATGTTAGAAGACGTGATGCAAGCAAAGTCTTAAATGTGGTTGTGTAATTGGGCTTGGCTCTTTCATTCCAAAATTCATCCATGAGAAGACCATGCCCCAGTAGCCACTGCCACCTCGGCCTGGTCCCCATGATGAGAAATGTGGAGTACACCTGAACCCAAACCACAACCTGAAGCCAGGTCTAGCCAACCAACAGCTTGAAGAACAGTCACTCAGCTGTATCCAGCTGAACCCCAATCAGTGTACAGACCTGTGAGCGGGATAGATGCTTGTTATTGTAAGCCACTGAGGTTAGGGGTTGTTTCTTATGCAGCATTATTGGGCAATCACTTACTGAGGAAACAGCTGATTAATACACCCTACGTAGTCTGAAGGGGAACATTGGGTTGAATGTGTTGAAAAGTAATCACCCAGATAAATTCATTATCTGAGTCTCACACAGCTGGTCTTATAGCTTATGTGACTCATGGTCCTCTAAACTAGTGCCAACTGGAAAGAAACGTTCTATGAGGGAGAAAATATCCCCCTGCCTGTGACAGTATTTTCTTCAATGGTAGCTCCAGACTCTAGAACTCCTGCATAAAAAGAGCTTTAGGAAGACAATAAGCACAGGAGAGGAGGGTGCTGAGCTACGGAGAGTTTAAATTTCTATTTGTACAACACTTAATTGAGAAATGTCAGCTGTCTTCCATGTCAACAATGGGAGATGGCCAGTGAAAATTAGGAGGGGATCCAAAAAAGCCCTTATGTTGCCTCTTGGTGTCATGCCTTTTTTCATCCATATGAATCCATGAAGGGAGGGAAAGTGAGCAATTAATGTAATCCGTTACATTAATAGGCTAAAAAAGAAAAAAAAATTGCATGATCATATAAATGATGCAGAAAAAGAATTTAACAAAATTCAATACCCATTCATCATTTAAAAAAAAAAAAGAAAACCTCTTAGTAAACTAGGAATGAAGGAGAACTTCCTCAATCTGATTAAAAAAAAAAACTACAAAAAAATCTACAGCTAACATCGTACTCAATGGTGAGAAACTAGAAGCTTTCTTGCTAAGATCAGGAATATGGCAAAGATGTCCCCTCTGACCACTCTTTTTAACATTGTACTGAAAGTCCTAGTTAACACAATAAGACAAGAAAAGGAATAAAAGTTATACAGATTGGGAAGGAAGAAATGAAATGATCTCTGTTTGTAAATGACATGATAGTCTTTGTAAAAAATCCAAAAGAATCCACACCAAAAAAAAAAAAAAAATCCTGGAACTAATAAGCAATTAAAGCAAGGTTGCAGGACATAAGGTTAATACACAAAAGTCAATCGCTTTTCTGTATAACAGCAATGAACAAGTGGGATTTGAAATTAAAACATAATACCACTTACATTAGCACCCCAAAATAAAGTACTTAGGTATAAATCTAGCAGAGTATGTACAAGATCTATCTGAGAAAAACTATCAAACTCTGATAAAAGAAATCAAAGAACTAAATGGATAGTCCATGTCCATGAGTAGGAAGACCCAATTTTGTCAATATGTAATGCAATTCCAATGGAAATTCCAGCAAGTTATTTTGTGAATATCAACAATCTGACTCTAAAGTTTATATGGAGAGGCAAAGGGCTCACAGTATTGAAGAAGAACAAAGTGGAGGATTGATACTACCTAACTTCAAAACTTACTACAGAGCTATAGTAATTAAGACAGTGTAGTATTGGTGAAAGAATAGGCAAATAGATCAATGGAACAGAATAGAGCCACGTAAATGTAGTCAACTCATCTTTGACAAAGAAGCAAAGTCAATACAATGGAGCAAAGATCATCTTTTTCAACAAACGGTGCTGGAACAACTGGATATCCACATGCAAAAAACTGAATCTAGGTATAGACCATACGGCTTTCACGAAAATTAAATCAAAATGAGTCATAGACCTGAATGTAACATGCAAAACTATACAAATCCTAGAAGATAATATAGGACAAAATCTAGATGACCTTGGGTATGATAGTGACTTTTTAGATACAACACCAAAGGCACAATCCATGAAAGAATCGATACACTGCACTTCATTAAAATTAAAAACTTACGTCCTGTAAAAGACAACATCAAGAGAATTAGAAGAAAAACCACAGATTAGGAAAAATATTTGCAAAAGACATACTTGATAAAGGACTGTTATCCAAAATATACAAAGAACCTCTTAAAACTCAACAATAAGAAAACAACCTGAAAAAAGGGGCCAAAGATCTCAGCAGACACCTCACCAAAGATATACAAGTGGCAAGTAAGCATATGAAAAGATGTTCCACATCACATATCATCAGGGAAAAAAGCACAACAACAGTGAGATACCACTACCTACCCATTAGAATGGACAAAATCCAGAAAACTGACATCATATACTGACGAGGATACGGAGCAACAGAAATTCTCATTCATTGCCAGTGGGAATGCCAAACGGTACAGCCACTTTTTAAGACAGCTTGGCAGTTTCCTCCAAAACTAGATATACTCTTACCATACAATCCAGCAATTGCACTCCTTGGTATTTACCCAAAGGAGCTGAAAACTTATGTTCACACAAACACCTGCCCACAGATATTTATAACAGCTTTATTCATAATTGTCAAAACTTGAAAGCAACCAAGAAGTCCTTCAGTAGGTAGATACATAAACTGGTACATCCAGACAATGCAATATTATTCATCACTAAAAAAAGAGCTATCAAGCCAAGAAAATACATGGAGGAACTTTAAATGCATATTAATAAGTGAAATCAATCTGAAAATGCTACATACTGTATGATTCCAACTATATGACATTCTGGAAATGGCAAAACTGTGGAGACAGTAAAAAAAACTCATGGTTGCCAGGGTTGGGGTGGGGTGAGAAGAGATAAACTGGCGAGCACAGAGGATTTTTACAGCAGTGAAAAATATTCTATATGATACTCTGATGATAGATACATGTTATTATACATTTGTTCCAAACCATAAAATGTACAACACTTAGAGTGAATCCTAATGTAAACTATGGACTTCAGATTATTTTTAAAAAGATAATGCATTCCTATGATTGAACATTTACATATGCCTATATGTAATATGTATTCACATATGCCTATAGGTAATATGTATTTACATATACATGTAAAGTAAAAGGTCTCACTCCCACCCTGTCCCAAGTCAGTCTGCTTCCTCATCCCCCCAGATCCATAGGTAATTACTTTTATTAGTTTCTTGAATATAATTCCAGAATATTTTTGTGTGGATAGAAATATGGCACCATAATTTTCTCATTTTAACACAAAAGATAGCATACTATACCCATTCGGTATATATCGTGAAGCTTTAAAAAAGAAAAGTGTAGAGATCTTTCCATTTCATGTCACAGAGAACTTATATTCTTAATAGCGGCATAATATTCCCTTTTATGTTGTTATTGTGGCCTTTTAAACTGCCAGTGAGGCTGTATTATTGTGTGAATGATTCAAGTTTTATATTTCTTACATTTCTTACAGATAAATGGTTTATTAGCACATTTATTATAAATGGGATAATAAAGATTCAAAGTGAAAATGTGGTAATTACAGGATGAGTTTTATGGTGTCTGAAGACAATTTCTGAGATGTCGGGAATCTCAAATTTAAAAAAAAAATCAAGAATCCCAAAGTCCTCTTGGCAGAAAATGTGAATTTAGGAGTAAGAAACTCCTCTGGGGGAACCATCACTACAAAACAGAAGTAGAGTGGACCTATATTAACGAAATACCCACAAAACGTGTAACAATGACATCCCGTCCTTATGTTTCCATATGTTAAGTCTTTTCCTGGAGAGCAAACTAAATTGGGCAAAACATAGTCCAGCCCCTTTTTGTGTTAGAAATCTAGGAATATAGCTTCTGTTTCCACAGGTTTTGGGGGGCTATGTTTTCTCTTGTTTCTATGCTCTCCCAGGATACCATCTGGCATTGGATTAATGACTATTCAATCTCTCACTTTTGTAAGATCAAATTTCTTGCTTTTCAGTTTCTCTGGGGTTAAATCTTGTACAGATAAAGCTCTTCTACCTTTTGCTGATCAACTCCTAAGCTTAGTTTGGTCTTAAATAAATTATAGCCATCATAATGGATGTTTTAGTTATCAATTGCTACATAACACTCTTTCCCAAAACATAGCAGCTCGAAACAAAGATTTTATTTTCCTCACAATTTTATAGGTCAAGAATTCCAGAAAGGCTCAGCAGAGCAGTTCGTCTCTGATCCATGTATTATCAAGAGAGGAGGGCCAGAGGATGGGCTTCCAAGATAACTTTTTACTCACATGTCTGAAGCTGTGTGGTCTCTGCCTCTTTGTCAATCTCCCTTTCTCTCTTTCCACATAGTGTATTATTATCCAAGTTTTCCTGTGTGGCTGTGTTTCTCAAAGTATGGCAGTCTACAGGTGACCAGACTTCTTACCTGGCAGCTCAGGGCTCTAAGAGTGGGTATTCCAAGGGACAGGATGTGGAACTTGCCATTCTTTTCTGGCCTAAGCCCAGAAACTGTCATAGTGTCACTTCCATGATATTCTTTTGGTCAAAATAGTCACATAGCATGCTCATATTCAAGGAGATGGAACATAGAGCTTGCCTCTTAATGGGGAAAACATCAAATAATTTATAACCATATTTAAGTTGTCACAATAGAGATGATATAATCCATTTCATCTCCTAAAAATTTGTCGCCTTTTAAAGTTTCACTCAGAAATTAAAGTCTTCATCACATTCATTTGAATTGTGAGATGGTTTTTGTAATTTGTATCATCTGCTTTGAGACCCTTCATTGTCTCAAAATAAAATCCTCACTTAGTGTTCCAACATCCCAGAGAGGGGAAAAATTATAACCATATGGAATATAAAACAGAATGACACGTGAACTCACCTTATGATGTTAAGAAACCTGAGTGGCAGCTGGACTTCTACTGGGACAGTAGTATAGAATGCCAAGAAGCAGAAGTTCTAGAGATTTACCCCTTGGGTTTGAATTTAAGTTCAGCCATTTATTTACTGAGTGACATTAGGAAAACTGCAACATTTCTCTATGTCTTGGGTCCTATCTATAAATTGAGAACAATATATATATTTACCTCATAAGGATGTTATAAGAATTAAAACAGATAAGCGTACAAAAAACTTTGTGTGTTTTCAGCCAGAGAACCAGAAAAAAAAAAAAACTGAGTGTGTAGCATATGTTAAGTGCTTCATTTAGTTGAAATAATACTAGTTGCTCTTACAGAGCAAAGTCCCAAAGTCTCAGAAGCTTTACACAAGAGAAATTTATTTCTCATTCATGAGAAGGCTGATCAGAGGTTGAAGGTGGGAAAGGATGATGCTCTGCTCCATGTAGTCATTAAAGGTTCAAAGATAAAGGATATTCTTCTGCCTTCTTCAAAAACTGGCTTCCAAGGCCACCTTGGATGTCGACATCTAGCTGTCAGATGGAAGAAGAAAGAGAGTGTAGGATCTGGTGAGAGGCTTCTAAGGATTAGTCTCAGATGTAGTATAAATCAATTCAATTTCCACTCCACTGGCCAGTGGTCCTTTCTAGATGCAAAGGGATCTGAGAAATGTACTGGCTGTCTGGGCAGCTGCTATCCGGCAACACTACTACTCTATGGAAAGAAAAGCACAAATAGTTGGTGGACAACTAGCATATCTACCATGGTGCTCAATAAGTGTTAGCTTTTATAACTTATTACCACAATGGCTAAAACTGTGACTTTTTTTTCCCTTGAGCCAGAAACTAAAAAATAACCATCTCATGAAGACATTTACACTATGTCAGATTGTTGTTGGGTGTCCATCCTCCCATGGCCCTACACCTCCACGCATCACGATCTTTGGACCCCAAATTTCAAATATTTAACTTAATTCTCAATAGTTTGTTAAAAGTTTAATAAAGTAAATTCTTTTAAGCCACTTCAGAATAAATCAGTTATCTTCCTTGGCAAGGCCAGAAATGGTGATAATAGAAGCCTATGGTGATAATAGGAAGGAAGGGCAGGAGAATGATTTAACACTGAGACAGGCTTTTGATGACAGGTGATTCAGGGCAGGCCAGGTGTTTTCTTTTGGGAGAAAGATGTTTTCCCAAGCGGCATTAAAATTAAAACTGTCAAAGGAGATTAGCACCTCCTCCTTGAGTGGAACACTATCCAGGGATTCAAAATCCAGATGTTTATACTTATTTGAATAAGTGGAACAAACAGACTATTTTTGTGATCCAAGTCTATTATTAAGTATTCTTAGGGGAAAAAAAAAACTCTACCTACGCGTGCATTATTAACCTGGGATTTGTGGACTCTACTAGGTCCATGCATGGTCTTCAGGGGGTCTGTGCATCTCCTGAGGCTGTATGCAAATGTGCGTGCGTGTGTGTGTGTGTGTGTGTGCATGTGTGTGTGTGTATGTGTGTATATGTGTGTATGTATATATATGTGTGTGTGCCTATGTGTGTATATATATGCATATAAGGTGTGTGTGTGTGCACATGTGTGTATATATATATATATATATTAGGTTGGTGCAAAAGTACACGTACACATCCCTTCATGGTCACCACTTTCGTATCAGCTGTTGAAACCACTGTCCGAACCACTGTCAGTCACGTGCCAGAGTTCAGTATATATTCCACAATGTGCCATGGTATGAAGGATAGGCTTTATTGGGAACGGGAAATTTACAAGCCGGCATCAGGATAAAAGGAAGCCATAAGACTCCCATCCTCCCATTATCCCATAGAAAGACATGCTGAGATTTGAACAATCTGTTGAACATGCAGCATGAGTTTGTGTTCCCTTAAAGCAGTGGTTCTCAACCAGGAGTGAATTGCCCCTCAAAGACATTTAGCAGTGTTTGGAAATGGTCTTGATTATTACAGCTTAGGGGTGGAGTGCCATTAGCATCTGGTCAGTAGAGGCTGGAGATGCAACTAAACGTTCTACAATGGTCAGATCATTGCCCCACAACAAAGAATTATCACATCCAAAACGTCAGTGCTTTAGGTTAAGAAATCTTGCACTAGAGGGACTTCCCAACATGGCAGTCTCTCTCCAACTGGGTTCAGAATTTCCGAAGTTCTGCTCTGTTCCCTTGTATCCAATTCTACAGTAGTGTAGGCATATTGCCTTGTTCTGGTTTTATTCCCCTCAAAAGCAGAGCCTGAGACAAGGCTGTCATGACACGGCGTGCATATAGGTTGTTTAATTTGGAAAGTGATCCCAAGGAACAGAAAAGGGGGTACTAGGAAGAGTGAAACAGGGAGGATGAAAAGCCAGTCTAAAGGGCACGTTAGTAAGCTGTCCATACTGCAGACGATTGGAGCTCAATCCTTCTGGAGATCCCCCTGAGCGCCATGTAGCATGTTCCTCAGAGTTCTCTGCCCTAGGGACGAATACTTATCTTCTGACTGCCATCTCCTAGTGGTCAAGGATTTTCCCATGGGGGTTAACTCCCTTCGGGTTTGTGCATACCCTCAGAACACAGAGGCTACAGGAAGTCTTGGATCAGATAACTAGTGTAGCCAGGGTAGGATGGTGTTACTTGCCACCTGCATATGGCTGGCTGCCACCACAGAAAGTTAGGTGGGCCAAGAGGATATGAGGCAAGGTATTAGATATATCCAACACACTCAGTCTAGCATTTTATTTTGTAGTAGAGGGTCCCGCGTTACACCCTCCCTACCGACCACCATTCAGATTTACAGATGAAAACAAGCAGTCAAGCTTTTGGGAATTTTTCTGGCCAAGAGTGAGGTGCTAGCCTGGAGGGAGCCTGCTTCTCTCTCTTGGTAATGTTCCATTTCTATCTGTACTGAAGTTTTTCCCAAACAGCTGCTAGGTGATACATTCAAGGTGCCCTAGCTGCCCAGATAGTATCCTGGGATGGGGCCTTTCCATCCTCTGTCTTTAGGATTCAGGGATTCCCGACTCTTGAGGAAGAGGGTGGGCTGCTTCAGTCACCTGCTGCCACCCTTCAGCACCCAGGATTCTGCTGTCACAGTGAGCCACCACTCAAGGACTTCCAAATGACCAGCTACCCCAAGTCCTAGTAGTCTTTTTTTTTAATGTTTAATTTTTGTTTGTACATACTAGGTGTATATATTTATGGGTTATATGGGATATTTTGATACAGGCATACAATATGTAATAATCACATTAAAGTAAATGGGGCATCCATCAGCTCAAGTATTTGTCCTTTGTGTTACAAACAACGCAGTTATACTCCTTTAGTTATTTTTAAATGTACAATTACATTATTATTGACTATAGTCACCCTGTTGTGTTATCAAATACGAGATCTTATTTGTTCATTATAATTATTTTTTGTACCCATTAACCATCCCTACTTCCTCCCCACCCCTCTTCACACTGCCCTTCCCAGCCTTTGGTAACCATCATTCTACTCTCTATCTCCATGAGTTCAATTGTTTTTCATTTTAGTACCCACAGATAAGTGAGAACATGGAGTTTGTCTTTCTGTGCCTGGCTTATTTCACTTAACATAATGACGTCCAGTTCCATCCATGTTGTTGCAAATGACAGGAGCTCGTTCTTTTTTATGGCTGAATAATATTCCATTGTGCGGATGTACCACATTTTCTTTAACTATTCACCCATCGACGGACACTTGGGTTGCTTCCAAATCCTGGCTATTGTGAACAGTACTGCAATAAACATGGAAGTGCAGATATCTCTTTGATATCCTGATTTCCTTTGTTTGGGGTACATACCCAGCAGTGGGATTGCTGGATCATATGCTAGTAGTCTTTTGATAGAGAATGAAGCCACTCACTGGACTACTGGCCATTCCAGGGCTGAGTGGCCTGGCCTGCCCTCTCAGGGGCTGTGGTGATCGACATCACCATGGTCATCCAGTGGACCTCCTTCATCCCAAATGATCCTGCTCACCACCTCTCCAGATACCTTGTATTCGCTCTCAGGAGGGATGTCTCCTACTTCCAGGGTGGCCTACTGGACCCTTGCTGGCTGGACAATTGGGATTCTCCTCACCTGATGTGCCAGGTGGGTCAGTTTGTGGTTATCACCTCCTTTGTTAAAGGACTTAAATCCCACAATGTCACGCCATATAGAGAAAGTAGAAACTTACAAGGCCATGGTCATAAAACAAGCAAGGGCATAAATGCCTCACCTTCCCATTAGACACACAGAGAGGCATCCCAGGGCCAAGGCATGGATTTGCATCTAGAAAAAACTCCCCTGTTCACTCTAAATTTTACAGCAAATATGACAGAAAATGTCCACAAACATACTCCTAGGCACCAAGCTATCTGGATTTGGGTCCCATCTGTTTGCAGGAGTTGCCTGGGACCACCAACTCACCAGCACCTGGGGCCCATGGGGTCTATGAGAAGCTAAGCTTAGGTACAGAAATACTCGCACTGGAAGAAATTGCACTGACTTGGCTGAATCAAGTATTATGTTTAGTAATGTAATATTCCGTTGAAGATTTCTCTCTCTCTCTCTCTCTCCACACCCCCCCACCATTTCTGAGAAATATAATGACTTATATATTATACCACATATTTCCATATTTATGTAAATTGTGCTATTGAGAAACAGATAAGTTGCTTTTTATTTAGTTGCCATTTAGTTATCATTATTTAAGGACTGTTATAGCTAATTTGCTTTTTAACAAATGAGATGACATGATTAGATTTATGTCTCTAAAAATAATTTTATGAACAAGAATAGAGATTTGATTAGCAAGTTAAGATTGGGTACCCAGTCACTCCTGCTGGGAGAAAGTGGGGGCCCCACTCCAGCCAGCTCATTAACCAGGACACCCACAGTGAGCTGCCTGGATCACTGTTGTACAATCTAGATCCTTGCCTCCCAGAACCACTGCAAAATACTAATGTTTTAGCAATATCTTGGTGGACTATTTCAGTGAGCACTTTTAATTTTTCTGCTAGGAATGCCCTGATGCTCATGTGCACCATTCACTTCTTACAACTTTCTCCTTGCTCGGCACATATACACTAGCTAAAACCCTCAGCTACCTACACTGATTACAGAAAAAAAAAAAAAAAAAACGTAACTCTAAGTAGACAGATTTACTAGGCAACTAGCCATATGACCATCCAGTCTCTTAAAAAGTAATTATAAATCAAAATAAGTGACATTTGCCATCACTGTATCAAAATTCCAACAAGGTAGATGTGCTTGATTGCTAAAATACAACCTAGAAGAATCAGAAGGGGCTAATGCGGACTTTTGATGTTGGGCTGGGAAACAAGAGGAATACACTGACAAGCAAAACATTGCCTCTATCCAGATTCTCTCTCTGGCCACCACTGCATTCATTAATGTTCTGCCTAGATGACAGCATGCCTCCTAATGTTTGCCTTGCCACTTTTATTTTTCCCAATCAGCTGCAGCAGTCCCCTTGCAAAAGAAAGTAAAAACAAATGCCTGGCAAAGAAAACACAAACAAAGCTTCACTGGTCTAGATAGACATATGCCATCATCAGCTCTGACAGCAGCCTTAGAATAGGAGCAGCCAAAACGTTTTCCTTCCACTCCTAAAAGAAAGAGAGAGCGAGAGAGAAAGGATAAAATTACAGTACATATTGGGGAGATTTTCCCCAAATGAAGGAGGTAGTAAAAAATATCACCTCGTGTTTCAACACAATTGATTTTCAGTGTGTTTATAGCACAGACAAAATAAACATGAAGGACTGCAGGTAAACAAAACTGGAAATGTCATTTGGTACTGAGGGATGCTGCACCCGAACAGGGAGAGAATCAGTAATCACGTTTTCTTTCAGCCTGTGCTTAACAAATCAGATAGAAGCACAGGGCTCTCTAGGTATAATGGCGTGCTAAAAATAACTTCCTCGCTTCCTTATGTAACCCAGAGGCAATCTCATTCAGTTTCTAAATTTAGAGCCCTCAGCAAAGGCCAGTCTGGTGGGGAGGTGGTTTGTGGTGCCAGTTAGCAGAATGACTCATAGGGCTCAGCTAATAAAAATTAAATTTCTCTCTCTCTGGAATATATGAAGGGATACAGGTATAGCAAGCATTTTTAAGAGCCTCAAATGAGATAAAGTTAAGCTTTGTTATTGCAGTCAGGGAAGGAGAGGATGAAAGGGGACCATTAGGACTCCAATTACCTTGTAATAGAAACAAAAATCATATTATGTTTATCTGGTAATCTTATGAGGAGGAATTTTGAAAGCATCTACACAGCCACAGCTTACAGACCATTTCTAAGTGTGGGTCAGAAACTGGGTACACGGTGACAATTTCCGAAGCAAAAACAAGATTTACTGACTTTGAAGTTTTCCCTTAAACAGACATGTGATTTCCTTCTGGGACCCATTCTGCTGTACATCTCCTGTATCAGTTCTAACATCAAGTTTACAAGCAGAACTCCACACACACATGCACATATACATTACACAATCATTTCTCCCTCATAACTTACTAGGATGGTTAAATAATAAAATCAGCATTGTTTCTAGTCTCTAATCACAAATTATTATTTACCTTGGTAAAGTTTCCCTTTATCCAGCATGTACACTACCAGAAAATTCTAATGGCCAGAACCGTTTTGCAGTAATGTTCCACAATAATAAATGCTCACAACAGTTTTCAGTATCCTGAGGTATCCTTTGAATCATGATAGATAGTTTTCTGGTATGAAGGAAATATGTTAGGGTTCTTTGAAAATTGTTTACCTGTGGTTGGAGAAGAGGAACTTTCCATGGGCTTCAGGGACTGAAAACCTGGATTTCAGTCCAGATTCATTGGCAGTTTATTTCAGGACAATTCATTTCAACATTCTGAACCTCAAAATCCTTACCTGTAAAATGGGGCTAATGACAATATCTTAGTAAAGTGCTGTAAGCATACAATGAAATATTATATGCAAGAGTACTCTGGAAATTATAAATCCTATAACCTTGATTAGTTTTGTTTTTAATCTCTAAAAGCTAGGTAGGATAGGAAATTTATCACCGTAACACTTTTTTTCAAGTAGTCAAATATATTAGGCAAAATGTTATCATAACAAAGACTCTGAGCAGTCCTGCAATTTTTAAAAGTCTGCTTGTTTTTTAAGACTGTTCCAATATCTTTAGCATACATATAAACCACTATGGATTCAATACTGAGAAATTCTGGACTAGGTAATTCCGTTTTCTCCTTCTAAAATTATTTCCTGTATATTATAAATAAAAGTGATCGGTACACCATAGGAATAAGTATAATAATCTTTTTTTATTTTTTTAGAAAAGGAAGTCCCAGTTTCAAATAGTCCGACTTATTGCTATCAAATGTTCATTCACATGTGATACTTTTTAGTTTAAAAGGCATGTTAACCAATGATAACACTTTGTAGATATTCAATGGCTGACTCATTCAAATATACTCTGATAAAAGAAAAAGAGTAAATTATTAGATGGTGTGTACTAAAATATATATTTGCAACCACATTGGACTGCCCAGATTTATTTTTCATTTATCTGAATGCCATCAAGGAGACAGACTTTCCAACACTATCTCCTACATCTTTGCTATTTCTTTCTTTGTATGTGTGTGTGTTAAGAGCATTTTACATGAGATACAGCCTCTTAACAACATTTTTAAGTGCATGATAGCATATTGTTAACTATAGGCACAATGTTGTACAGCAGATCTCCAGAACTTACTCATCTTGTATTACTGAGACTTTATAGACGTTGAACAGCAACTCCCCATTTTCCCTTCCCCCATCCCTGGTATTAAGCATTCTACTCTCTGCTTCTATGAGTTGGACTATTTTAGAAACCTCACGTAAGTGGAATCGAGAAATATATTTATTGTACTTGATTTATGTATTTGTTCGGAAACAAAATTGGAGATATATCCACAATGGAAGAAAACATTAATCAACTTCATAACTTGCACTTTTATTTACATATCCATTCCCAAAGCTAATTATTTATTCAAATATGAGCATCTTCCCTGAGTAGAGCCTGTTAAGGAAATGAGATGCTGGACAAGATGGAAATATGATAATAATAGCTAACATTTATATGGCCCTTACGTTATGCTAAGCGTCATTCTGTACTGTTTGAAGTACTTTACAATATTGACCTGTTTAGTTCTCCTAACAACCTTCTTAGTAGATACTATTATTATCTTCATTTTGTAGATGGGGAAACTGAGGTGCTGAAAGGTTAAAAATAACTTTCTCCAGGTTTCTCAGTGTCTGAGTGGCAGATGAGAAACAAACTCAGAGAGTCTAGCCTCCAACTCTATGTGCTTTACCACAATGCTATATGGCCTGGACCCTGAATCTGCTTTCTCTTCATGTTGAGGATGCAGCCTGCTGACCTTGAGTTTGATTCAAGATCCAGGAAGGGCTCAGATACTTGTCACTGTTTCCTGTTAAGGATATGCGTTGTTTTTGGAAATTCTTCCTGGATGGTCACATTAGCCAGTTATAAAAGACTCAGGGACAGCACAAAAGGAAGCACTCCAAGGCTAGCAGGACCAAACGTGTCTCGGGATCAGGGGTATCAAAGGCTGCTCTGCTGTGGTCCCCTGCACCTGCTCTTCTTTCTATAGCTGCAGCCCCCTCTCTTCTGTGAAGTTCCCAATCCTCGATTAAATCAATCTGGAATTTGCAGTGTAGTGAGTGTGGGCACTCTCACCATTCCATAGCTAATGAAGAACACTCATCACAATAAAGCCAGTATGCACTTTGCAAGTATGTTTCTACCTCCAAGACGTTTAAAATTCACAAGGAAGGGTCAGTGTGACTAAAATGCTAAGTAAATTAAAATAAACTAGATAACAAAACTAATCAGGGGTCCCAGTTCTGTCTTGTCACTGTCACTAATTAACTAGGGGATGGAACTTGATTGGATCATTTAACCTCAGAACTCCTGTGTCATCATCTACAAACCATGCTCACTGGGGAAGAAGAACTCCAAAGCCTTTTACATAAAATTCTACAGATCTAAAGATAGACTTGACTTAAATGAACAAAGACACTTAGAAGTAGAAATATAGACATAAGAACGAGTATGGAGTTTGGCTTTTTCTTTGTTCGACAAAATAATAAGCCTAATCCTTGCCCAAGAAATCCCAAAGAAGTCTTGGGCCCTCAAGGCAAATGAGGTTCTAAAACCTGACCAGAAAGTTCATAACATTCCCACTTTCAAGTGTATCTGCCAATGCAACCAAAACATCTGCAAAGTATTAGCCTGCCTTGGTATACAATACTCTGTCAGCCACACCCTCTAAACATCCAATCAGAACCATAGAAGCCTCCCATTTAGTGAACCGGATGTGGAGGACTTGGTGAGCATTAATGCTTGAGAGAGAAAGAAATGCAAAGGAGAGCCAATTACTGAAGCACTGGAAGGAAATGGTATCATGGTCTCTAAATTCATAGTAAATAATCTATGAGGGATATCCTGGGAAAAAAAGCACACACAAAGAATATGGTCACAGTCCTCTGGTGTATAATTACCTATTTAGGTAATTTATACACAGAACCTAGTCACTAAATTACAACAATACAAATTTCTGAGCAAACAAAATGTGTCAAGTTCATGCACAAAGCTAATACACTTTACTCATAGAAAGGGGCCTCAGGTCCTTAAGAGTATATGTGTTGTAACTTTACCTGCTGCTCCAACAAACTTAGTTGTCTCATTGCCATATTAAAAAAAAGATTAACAGCTGTAAGTTTGAAATGGCGTGGGGGTGGAGATAATTGGCAGAAACAGGCACACTGACTAGGGGAATAGAGAGAAAAGACACAGAAACTTCAAAAGAGAAACCCAAGTATAATAGTATTCAAAAGATACGGTAGTGGCAGGGCCATTTAGAGAATCAAAGCCCCTTGATTACATCAGTAGGGCCTGAAAACTTAGCACAACCATCGTTGCGTGATGCATGATGATCCTAAATCATCCAAAACATTTAGACCACATTCAGAATTCTGGGGTGAAGGAATAGAAGAAGATGGAAATACATTATTAAAGATTTCCATCAAGTGGTTAAAATAAAATGCTGACATGCGTAGATTTCTTTCTCTCAACGGAATTTTTTTTTTATTTGAACCAAACCGTTTTCTTATAATGCCAGCATGTTTGTTGGTGATCATCCTGAATAATCCTTGCAATGCACCATACTAAAACCTTGAAGCAATGGCATGCAAATTAAGACATTAGGAGAAAATACCAAAATAGGGTTTAGGGTTTACTCTCCAGGCAAGGTTAATGGAGAGGCTGAATGTGATGAAGAAGGTCACCAATGATGAGACGGGAGAGGGAAGAGCATTTACGGTTGGAATGACATTATCATTTTAGATACAAAAACCCTGAAGTGATGCTAACATTATCCAAGCTCTGATCATCAACATTCTTATCAGATGTTAAGAGATGCTATCTTTGAAATTTTAATCCCCGATCCTGTTTGCTTATGATATCTTCAGATTGCAGCACCAACACCTCAGATTTCGAGGGATGCTTTTAAGGCTCTGGGAAACAGCAATATTCTACAAAATCCGGTTCCACTGTGTTTCAGTGCCATGGAATCCCATGTAAGGTACTTGCTGTTATATTAGTACCTTTAAAGGCAAACGAGCAAATGACACAGCCAGGAGCTTTTTGGGGGTGTGGAGCCTGGCTGGACAAATCTTCGTTGCATTTCAAGCTAGCCATGAAGCACTAAGTAATATGGTGCTTCTTTTGTGCCACCAGGGCCAGGAAGCTCAACAAATCCTGATATATATACACATTTAGCTGAATTCACAGCATAAATGCTCTTTATTTCCTCCTAGAAGTGCAGACTGTTGATTCAACTGCTATTCCTGGGCAGAAAGACAGAATTAAGGTTTCATCTATGTGCCTTTGTATAGAAATCTTTTCTATCCAATGGGACATGGAGGAACGACCTACATGGGCAGGCACTGGTATGTTTTTCTTTCTTTCTCAGTATTTTCCCTATATATGTGCGTGTATGTACATGATTGCTTCCCCTACGACTACATTGAACTGGAAGAAGTTGGAATAAGGTGACAGAAAATTCCCTTACAGAAATCCCAACTGTCAAACAGCATCTCTTACTGAGTCATTTACTCCTCTAACTGCCTAGAAAATGGCCTCTTCCAGTGAACTAAATGGCATCTCAAGTTACTTGAGAAATCTAATGCACCTCCTTCTACCAGGCAATCTGTTCTCTTTTCATATGTAGCATTAGGCCTATTATCCTTAATTCCTCACCCACCCAGGCCGTTACCTAGGCAACAGTATCCCCAGATTGCACTGGTCAAACCAAAAATTTTATCCATCTTTATGAATCAAATGGGTGGCTAATATAATCAAATAGACCCAAATTTACTTTCAAAAGCGTTATAAAAGGAAATTTGTAAAAACAGCTAGAACCTCAGTGGTCAAAAGGAAGGTTGGTGTGTGCAGGGAGGTGTTTAGTTGGTAGTCAAAGCAGAAGGAGAAGGTGTCTGCAGGCCAGATTAGTTTGCCTGATTTAAGTAGCAACTGAGAAGGTGCTGATGGTGGATTGGGGAATTTTGTTTTCTGCTCCTTAGAGGAAAAATCAAAATGTATATTGTGTCAGTCTGGGATCTTCCAGAAGCAGACTCTGAGTCAAGGATTTGGGTACCAATAGTTTATTTGAGAAGTGATCCCTGGAAGCATTCTGAGGAGGTAGAGGGGAGTGAAACAGAAAAGGCGGAAAAGCCAGCAATACATTAATAAGCTGGTTAGTGCTGTGGGCGATTGGTCACTGGAGACGATCTAAAAATAATGTGGAACACATCTCAGAATTGTCTGACAGCAAGGAAGCTGGGGCACTTATCTACCTATTCCTTTCCCTGGTAGGTTGAGAATGGTTCCCATGCATTAACCCCCAGGCACTTGCAGCCTGCCCTGCACAGAGGCCTAGGAGACACCTACTGCCAGAGAATACCTCCGCCTCCAACAGAGACACGGAAACCTGGTGGTAGATACCAGAACCGTCTGCAGTGACCTCCACAGCCTCTACTGCAGTACTGAAAGCAACTGGAAACAAAATTAAATTCCAAACCAATTTCAAAAGCTGATCAATAAAATTTGCAAGAGTTTCAAATATGTAGCCAAAATACCATGATTTGAAATGAGGCAAAAAATGAAAAGTCCAAATATTAATCAGGATCAGTATTAATTACACCGTCACGATTTTTCTGCCAACACACCTCAGAAAGAAGGTGGCCTCAGAAGGTGGTGTTGTGATAAGGGCATATGCGCATCTGAGGTCCTCACACCACACAGAAAGGAACTGGTATGTTGAAAAGGAATCCACACTAAGGAGAAAGTCAAAAAAAGCTGCCCCTTATCAAATGCATATGTAAGAAAGCCAGAAGCCTCCACTCTGCTCCCTTGGGATCAGCTCTGACGTTTGGATGTTTGGTGGTTGCCCAGAACGTCAAGGAGAAAGCCAACAAGTCATGGGTTGGGAAGACATGAAGACCAAGGCATTGTGGGGTGTTGCCTCAAACCAGAGGACATGGTGGCAGCAAAGCATCTCAAGGAGTAATGAAAGAGTCTAGGAGCCATGTCTGACCTACCAGATTAGTTAACAACTCTCCCCTCACCCACCTTACCCCCTTGCATGATTGGTCTAGACACTGAAGGGCCCTTGGACAATGAGGTGAAGGGAAGGGAGAAGAACAGCCATATATCTAGCCAGAAGGAGTCCTGGAGAGCAGCCTGCAGGTCAAATGAAGCTGGGACTGACAAAGGAGAGGCCAGGTGTAGAAACCATAAAGAACACAGTGATTGCGAGCGCAGGATTTGAAGTGAGACACATCTTGCTTTCACCAAGTTTCCTAACTTCTCTGGGCCTCAGTTTCTTCATCTGTAAAATGAGGATATATTAGTCAGCTCTTACATTGCTATAAGTAAATACCTGAGACTGGGTAATTTATAAAGAAAAGAGGTTTAAGTGGCGTATGGTTCTGCAGGTTATACAGGAAGCGTGGTGCTGGCATCTGCTTGGCTTCGGGGAGGCCTCAGGAAACCTATAGTCATAGCAGAAGTCAAAGGGGGTGCATTCACTTCACATGTCCAGAACAGGGGGCCAGAAAGCAGGGAGGTGACACTCACTTTTAAACAACCAGATCTCAGCAGAGCTCACTCACTACCATGGGGACAGTATCAAGGGGATAGTGCTAAACCATTCGTGAGAAATCTGCCCCCGTGATCCAATTACCTCCCACTAGGCCCTACCTCCAACATTGGGAATTACATTTCAATATGACATTTGGGTGGGTACAGACATTCATACTGTATCAGGGGATAATACTGATATCTACCCCAGAATTGTTGTGAGTTAAATGAGATGATGTCCATAATGTACTTAATACAATGCCTAGCATACTCACTAAATGGTAGCTTTTGAGGGGCGTCGGAGAGAGAAGGGCTTGATTGGGTTTGCAGATGGAGGCTGTGGAGAGCAAAATGTTTAAAGGTATAGTTGGGAAACAACATCCTAGAGGGAGGGGAAGGGGTGGAATCAGGAATCAAAAGCTTTCTAGTCTCTAGGGAATTCTGTTTAAAACTTTGTAATTATGATATACCTTGTTGTATTACAATTAACTGTTTATGGGTCTAAATTTCCCCCTAGACTCTGAACTCCTTCATGAACCTATACTTGCTGAGCTCAACCTATATACCAGGCACTGTACATAGGCACTAAATTAGTGAACTAAACAAAGTACTCTGCTTCCATAGGGCTTACACTAGAGTGTGGGGAGACAGACATAAATAAAGACACAAATATACAACAGGAAAAGTCATCTTGAGAACTATGGGTAATAATTAAGCAGAAAGAGAGAGAATGGGGCACCAGCGTGAAGGGCAAGGAAGATCTGGAAAGGCTTTGCTGGTAAAGTAACGTTTGAGCAGAGACCCCATGAATGTGGAGGGAGGGGCCCTGTAGCTATTCTGAAAGTAGCATTCCAGGCAACAGCACCACTGAAGAGTGTTGGGGAAGAGTGTGGGGCCAGCGGGGCTGCAGTGGAGAGAGCCGGTGGGGAGCTCCCAGAGCTGGGGCTGGGGAGGGAGAAGGAGTATGAGGTCATGTGAGGCAGAGGGTCTCAAACTCCAGTACAGTATGGAATCACCTGGGAAACTGAAAAAGCCTGAATTCCATCCTGCAGCACAAGCAAGTTTAATCAGAATCTGGAAGTGGGATCCAGGCGTGGAATGTTTTAAAGAACTCCAGATAGTGGATGTATATGAGTGCCACTGACCTAGGTCTTTGAAGTCCATTTTAAGGACTCCAGCTTTTACTCTGAGACAGGAAGCCATTGTGGGTTTTGAGCAGAGAAGGTACATGATTTGTATTTTCAAAGGCTCACTCTAACTGCTGTATGTAGAAACGGACTAGAGGAGAGAGAGGAGTGACCCAGCAAGACCAGTTAGGAGACAAAACACCATTGTATTGATTTTCTGTATCCACAGTGCCTAACACAATTGCAGACATAAAATTAATATCCCCAAAACGTTCCCTCTGCCTGAAACCTCATCCTCTGGATCTATGAATGGTTTATCACCATAGTTCCTTCAGAGGATTGCCAGATAAAATTCAGGACATCCAGTGAAATTCAAATTGCAGATAAACAATGAGTAATTTTTCAGTATTGCATGAGACATATTTATACTAAAAATTATTGGTTACCTGGTATTCAAATTTAACTGGACTTTTTATATTTATTTTTTATTTTAACTGGATCCCATCTTTTTATTTGCTAAATCTGGCTGCCTAACCTTCAAGGCTTACTCATAGGAGGCTTTCCCTGACTATCAAATATAGAAATAAAGCACTCTCCCCCAGGATTCTCTATCTCCTTTATCCTACTTCATTTATTTTCAAAGCTCTGATCTCTGCCTGAGATGATATACATTGATTTGTTTCTCAGTTGTCTGCCCTGCTAGACTGTGAGCTACAGGAGAGCAGGAGTTCTGTTATATTCACTGTGGTGTCCACAGAACCTAGACCTATGCTTTGCATATACTCAACAAATATTCATGGAGGGAAGGAAGGAAGAGAGGGAAAAGAGAGCAAGCATGGGAGGAAGGGAGGAAATTGAAAAATGTGGGAGAAAAGAAGGAAAAAATGACACAACAGATAGGTTTTCTGGAGGAGAAATGGGAATTTAGAAAGCTCAATTCAGACGTTCTTTTCCTTAGGGTATAGGAATTGGGGTTATCTGCTAAGTCTGTAGGAGGCAGGATTAGGCAGAAATTTTAATGAGAGAGACGAATGTTTAGAAAGGTCAACAGAGGGGAAATGGGAAAGTGAGTAAACAGTGGAAAACAAATAATTGTCAGAGTAAGGAGGATCTACATGAGGTTGACAGGTATCATCTGTAAGGAGGCTCATCTTGGTAGGCTTGTGATTGTCTCCAGTGGGGCTTAGCTGGCTAGGATTAATACACATAAAGGCGGTTTGGACAAAGAGCTGAGGTTTGAGAGGGCCAAATGATCAAGAAACCCAGAAAATTAATTTTGAACTTAAGATAGCCTCAGATTCAGGCTAGGTTAGGAGGTGAGAAGATCTTGAAGGAAGTTACTAGACTTATACCTGAGGAAGGGGCTGAAAACCCAATTTTGGTGCAGTGGGGTGTACCAGTCGATTCTCACACTGCTATGAAGACATCCCTGAGACTGGGCAATTTATAAAGGGAAGAGATTTAATTGACTCACAGTTCCACATGGCTGGGGAGGTCTCAGGAAACTTATGGCAGAAGGAGAAGCAGGCATGCCTGACATGGCAGCAGGTAGGAGGGAGAGAGAGAGAGATCATGTGAAGGGGCAAGAGCCCCTTGTAAAACCATCATATCTTGTGAAAGCTCACTTACTACCATGACGGCACCATAGGGAAAACTTCCCCCATGATTCAATCACTTTCCTCCCTTGACATGTGGGGGTTACAGGTCCCTCCCTTGACACGCGGGGATTACAATTCTAGATGAGATTTGGGTGGGGACACAGAGCCAAACCATATTGTTCTGCCCCTGGCTCCTCCTAAATCTCACGTCTTTTCACAGTTAAAAGCCAATCATGCTTTCCCAACAGTCCCCCAAAGTCTTAACCCATTTCAGAATTAATTCAGAAGTCCACAGTCCAAAGTCTCATCTGAGACAAGGCAAGTGCCTTCTGCCTATGAGCCTGTAAAATCAAAAGCAAGTTAGTTACTTCCTAGATACAATGGGGGTACAAGCATTGGGTAAATACACTCATTCCAAATGGGAGAAATTGGCCAAAACAAAGGGACTACAGGCCCCATGTAAGTCCAAAATCCAGCAAGGCAGTCATTAAATCTTAAAGCTCCAAAATGTTCTCCTTTGACTCCATGTCTTATATCTGCGGCACACTGATGCAAGGAGTAGGCTCCCACAGCCTTGGGCAGCTCCTTCACGGCCTGGCATTGAATGCCTGCAGCTTTTCCAGGCACAGGGTGCAAGCTGTTGGTGGATCTACCATCCTGGGGTCTGGAGGATGGGGGCCTTCTTCTCACAGATCCACTTGGCAGTGCCCCAGTGGGAACTCTGTGTGGGGGCTCCAACCCCACATTTCCCTACCACGCTGCCCTAGCAGAAGTTCTCCATGAGAGCTCAACCCCTGCAGCAGACTTCTGCCTGGACATCCAGGTGTTTCCATACATCCTCTGAAATCGAGGTGGAGGTTCCCAAACCTCATTTCTTGTCTGTGCACCCACAGACCCAACACCATGTGGAAAGCTTGGGGTGTGCACCGTCTGAAGCAATGGCCTGCGATGTACTTTGGCCCCTTTTAGCCATGGCTGGAGCTGGAGCAGCTAGGACACAGGGCAGCAAGTCCCAAGGCTGCACAGAGCAAGGGTGTCCCTGGGCCGGGCCCACAAAATCATTTTTCTGTCCTAGGCCTCTGGGCCTGTGATGGGAGGAGCTGCTCTGAAGGTCTCTGACATGCCCTGGAGACATTTTCCCCATTGTCTTGGCTATTAACATTTGGTTCCTTATTACTTATGCAAATTTCTGCAGCCAGCTTGAATTCCTCCCCAGAAAATGGGCTTTTCTTTTCTACCTCATGGTCAGGCTGCAAATTTTCCAAACTTTAATGCTCTGCATCCTCCTGAATGCTTTGCCACTTAGAAATTTCTTCCACCAGATACCCTAAATCATCTCTCTCAAGTTCAAAGTTCCACAGATCTCTAGGGCAGGGGCAAAATGCCTCCAGTCTCTTCACTAAAGCATAGCAAGAGTGACCTTTGCCCCAGTTCTCAATAAGTTCCTCATCTCCATCTGAGACCACCTCAGCCTGGACTTCATTGTCCGCATCGCTATGAACATTTTAGTTAAAACCATTCAACAAGTATGTAGGAAATTCCAAACTTTCCCACATCTTCCTGTGTTCTTCTGAGGCTTCCAAAGTGTTGCAACCTCTGCCTGTTACCCAGTTCCAAAGTTGCTTCTACGTTTCGGGTACCTTTATAGCAGTACCTCACTACCTCAGTACCAATTTACTGTCTTTACTTTATAAAGACATACCTGAGACTGAGTAATTTATAAAGGAAAGAGGTTTAATTGACGCACAGTTACACATCACTGGGGAGGCCTCAGGAAATTTACAATCATGGCAGAAGGAGAAGCAGGCACTTCTTACATGGTGGCAGGTGTGTGAGAGAGAGACAGAGGGGGAGGGGGACGGGGAGGGGGAGAGGCAGAGGGAGAGGGGCCCCTTATAAAACCATCAGATCTCATGAGAGCTCACTCACTATCATGAGAACACCAGGGGGGAAACCCCCATAATCCAATCATCTACCTCCTTCGACAGGTGGGGATTACAGTTTGAAATGAGATTTGGGTGGGGGACACAGAGCCAAACCATATCAGGGGATGTATAAGTGAAGACATTGTGCTCAGAGAGGAAAATTTGAGAATCTGAATCATTGGAAGGGGTAAGGTGATATCAGAGCAGTTAATGCCTCACCCTCTGAAGCCAGACTGTCAGAGGTTGAATCCCAACCCTGCTACTTATTAGCTATGTAACTTTGAGTAAGTTAGTTACTTTCTATGCCTCAGTTCCCTTATCTCTAAAATGGAGTTGATAATTATACTTACATAAAAAATTGTGCTATGGTAATTAATTGAGTTAATGTATGTAAAGCACCTAGAATAGTTCACAGTGGGTAGTTTGTAAGTGTTAGCTATTATCACCATGGGTACTGGTTGTTACCATTTATTAGAAATGAGAGTGACTGTAATATAGGAAGCCCACACTGAGACAAATCAATCAAACTAGCCAGATTGGTTGCATCATAAGAAAAAGGCAAAAATAACTCCAATGAAATCCAAAGATTGGAAACGTAAAAATAAATGTATAGAGAACAATCTTGAAAACAGCATTAACAACAGAACTGATTAATTCAAAACTTAGTTTTTGGAAAAGCAATATATTGGGAAAATGCTTTAAAGTAAAATAATACTTTTGAAGGTCTAATTTTTATAAGTGGCCAATTAAATGTAATCCTTTTACTATAACTATGGGTGTGTCTATTTCTGCCCTCAGTTCTGCCAATTTTTACTTTAAATATTTTGAAGCAACGTTATTGGCTTTTTTTTTAATACTTTCCTGATATATTAGCTCTTTTATTGTTATAAAATATCTTTCTTGGTTTGAAATATTGCTTTTGCCTTAATATCTACTTTGTTTGATATTAGAATAAGAGAAGGGGCTTTCTTTTGGTTATTGTTTGCATGGTATATCTTTTTTGCATAATTTTAATTTTAACTTTTTGTGTCCTTAAATTCATGTTTCTCTTATAGAAAATGTCACGGGTGTGACTATATAGGCTGGTGTCGTAGGCAGTAAAGGAATTTACCAAGACCGTCGTACATAAAAAAAGGCAGATTTATTAGAGAAGGTATGAAAATACGTTGCAAGGTTGCAACAGGCAGCACAGTAGAGAAGGGGCTGTCTGCAAAGAGGCATTTTTCCCAATATATTTTCTTTTACTCCATATATGTATTACTTACATTCTGTCCTTTTCTTTTCTCTTTTTTTTTTTTTTTTTTTTTTTTTTTTTTTGAGACAGAGTCTCACTCTGTCACCCAGGCTGGATTGCAATGGGATGATCTTGTCTCACTGCTACCTCCGCCTCCCACGTTCAAGTGGTTCTCCTGCCTCAGTCTCCTGAGTAGCTGGGATTACAGGTGCTCACCACCATGCCTGGCTGATTTTTGTATTTTTAGTAGAGACAGAGTTTCGGCATGTTGGCCAGGCTGTTCTCGAACTCCTGACCTCAAGTGATCCGCCTGCCTTGGCCTCCTAAAGTGTTGGGATTACAGGTATCAGCCACCGTGCCGAGCCCAATCTGTCGTTTTCAATAGCTGTATGTCAAATACTGTTTTAAACCGACAAAAGAAATAATAGAAATACATTTAACAGTGTCACTATAAATATTAAGAAATTAAATACAGTCAGGTTGAATCAAGTGGTAGAGTGGGGGTAAGAAAGAAGCATACTGATTGTATCATTTCTCAAAATAAGAGATTAATAGATACTTTCTGAAGAAATAGAAGATTAAAAGCATTATATGAAATTATAATTATAAAGCTAGCCACAAAAACAAATACATGAACATTTCTAATTAGCAGAATAGACTCACAAACAGGAAATAAAATGGACCAATGGACAATGAAGAATGTTTTCAAGATCTATATATATAAGAACTATAATAAAAATTAAGATGAGTGGACTTCTAATAACAGATTAGGTAATTTGGTTACACCTTCTCACTCAGAACAACTAGAAAAGTATTACAAAATATTTTTAAATTTGCTTAAGGGCCTTATAATAAGATAGAGAAGTATTACCTGGACAAAACACAGGGGAGAATGGATGCCCTGAGAAATGAACCCTGTGTTTACACTCTACTTCTAGGGGTGTTTAATGGTCCTGGAGGGGGCATCTGAGAGGCTAAGCAGTAATTCAGTCAACCTGGTGAAGCTAAAGGAACAGACAGTGGCCAGTGGCATTGGAAGCTACCAAGACGTGGGTGGTGGAGGGGCGCTGGTTAACCTTCCTCATTTTGACTTGGATCTCAAAAAGTCTGCATCCTAATAAGATTAGTGTGAACTGGAAGTACATGAGCTGTTTCAGGGATTGTAGGTCTAATCCTCTCAATCCCTGAAATTGAACAGAGGTGATCAAGATTGCTAGTGCCTTTGGGCATCTGGCAGAAGCAAATGAGAATCCTCTTAGGAGGAAAATAGCATCACCTTGGGCTCAGATTATTTGTACTAACAGTTTTTCAAATCCCAGGTCCAACATGCCAACAGAAGCAGACAGGCCAGAGATAAGATAACATGAATTAAGACCAGTAGGGGGAAAAACAATAGAAATAGAATAACAAGGAAGGATACTGGAGATATCAGACAAACACTTTAAAATAAACATGCTCACCAAATTCAAAGAGATAAAAATCAGTTTTCAGAATCTCAGTAGAAAAATGGAAACTGTACAAAAGAATCAAGATCCTTCTCCCAGCACCAAAAATCTACACGTCAAGTCCAAAAACAAGTGGACATTTTTATAGCATTGGTGTGTGAAGTGATTGATTCATTTATTTAATAGGCATATATTGAGCTTTTCTGTGAAAGCCACAGTTAGATTCTGAGGAAGATGGGAAGATAAATAAAACATTGGTACTCTGTTATAAAGGACTTTGCAGCTAATTACCATATTTATTACACATATTATTTAGTCAAGCACTGACTGAGATTCTCCCTATGTTGCTTTTTTAAAAGGTGAAGGAAACAAAATACATTTTGATGTTTAAATGGTCTGATCCTAAATTTATTCTATAGGGGAGTTTCTAAATATGGGTGGATGAGAGACCATCATTACTGTGTGGTGTGCACAAGGGTTGGTCACTTTAATCTGGAATGGCAAGGGAAGAGTCACAGTCATTCATACCACAGAGTACAATGGCTGAAGTCTAAGTATTATGATCGCACAGGACTTCAGGTCAGCAGCATTCTTCAGTCCACATAAGAAGTGTAAGAAACTTGGTCCCATCTATATTTGAAGGGGTATTGATTTGGGGGCTGTTGAAAGCAATATATTTCTTTTCAATTTCTTTAAAACAGGAACCTGCTGGGGCCTCCTGGAGAAAATAACCTGTTCTCAATGCTGAAAGGACACTTGAATTAAATCATAAGTTACTTAACTTCCATGATAAATATCTCTCACAGCAAATATGGCCTTGAAAAGTTTCCATTTGGAGCCTGGTGAGGGGAACAAAGTCATTTCTTAGAAGCGTGAACTTCTTCTCTGAGACAGATTCGTGAACAAAGGGAATGAAAGCTGGTCTGTCAAAAGAAAACATGTCCTACACATTCCCTTTGTGAAAGGACTATAGGAATGTAAAAAAAAATCAATGTCCTCTTACACCCCTCTCCTCATCTATGTTCCGGTTTAGCCAAGTGGTCCATGCGTTGAACCCAAGGTAACATTTCTTAGCTTCATATGTCACTGTTGCATTGTGTTATTACAGATGCATTATCCTTCCAGAGTGAATCCACAACCCCAATGGCCCCTAAACTTCTGCAGTTATAACAATCTGGGTGATCATGTTTGGCTCTAATAACACATGCAAAATGAAGCCAAAAAGTTACCCTCAAGATCAGAACATAACAATGTATTGCCCTAAAATAAAAGCCATATAAGGTAAATAATTTGACATTGTGTGCTTAGATTGCCAGGTAATTTTCTCACAACTTCTCTTCCTTCAACTAAAACCACAGTCTTTATTACCTTCAACACACTTAAACTGAAAGAAATTTTGTTCTGGCCTCTGCTTCAGTGGCTAAAGGTACTGTTTGCCAGGGCTTTCTATTTTGATGTAAGATAGTAAGTAAAAATGTCAGATATATTCTACCTAGTACACATTGTTCTCCTTAACAATACCCGAAGGGAGCTTTCAATTCAGGATTAGTAAATATGTTTTTAAAAATTAACTATTGAATTCACAGTACAGAATAAACTCAGCTTGAGGTAAGTAGTCTTGCACTTAATTTGAAAATTATGTATTGAATTCACAGCGCAGAGTAAACTTAAGCATATTCTACAAACAGGGCAACTGTAAATATTAGGCATGCATAGTCACAAACAGATTTAGAGGGATTCTAGTTTAACTACTCTTCCTTTCTCACCAGAAAATTGATGAAACCGTTGCTTAAGGATAATAAATGATAGCAAGCTTGTTCGGTTGCAATTTACTTTCTCTCATCGTGTCACTGGTACACCATCCACAAATACATTTCGGTACTGACCAGTGTAGGTCCAAACTTGTCCATGTTGGACTGGTCCTTCTCTCCTATTAGCCACTACTGTAAGTTCTGGGGGCAGGGATCCCCTTTTCAATAAAACGTACTAAATCACCACAAAGTTTTCAAACCATTTTCTTCACAAGGAAAGACAATGAAAAAAGGGAATCCTAGATTTCTCCAAAGAGCTTGAGAGTTAAGGCAAAAGGCAATATCAATTTTAATCAAATCTCCAAAAGTCAAGAATAAATTTTGTGGTTGGCAGAATAATATCCCTTTCTACCCTCCATAAAAGTCCACATCCTGATCTCTGGAATCTGTGTATATATGATTTACACAGCAAGACGAAATTAAGTTTGCTAGTCAGCTGACTTAAAATAAGGAGATTAGCTTGGATTATCCAGGTGGATCCAATGGAATCACACAGGTCCTTAAAAATAGAGAAGAGGAAGCAGAAAAGTCAGAAACAGAGAGATGGCACCATGAAAAAGATTCAACCAGCCATTGCCGGCTTTGAAGATAGAGGAAGAGGCCATGAGCCAAGGAATGTAGGCAGCCTCTAGAAGCTGGAAAAAGCTCAGAAACGGGTCCTCCCCTCAAGTCTCCAGGAGGAACTCAGCCTTGCTAACACCTTGATGTTAGCCCAGTGAGACCTACTTCAGACTTCTGACCTCCAAAGTTGTAGGATAATGAACTTTTATTGTTTTAAGCCACTAAATTTGTGGTAATTTGCTATAGCAGCAAATGAATACAAGTGTTGAAATGCTTCTGGGCATTCTGGACTTCTTTAGTGTTGTTGGTCTATTTAAGAAAAGCTGGCACAGAGGACAGTGTTCATGTAGCATTCATGCATCTTCTTCCAAATCATTCCCAGGCATGCCACCATGGCCTGCCAGTCTTTTCCTATCACAAAATATTGAATGCTGTATTCTTGACACAAATTGCTGGGTCTCACCCTCAGAGCTTATGATCTGGGGTGTGGCCTGGGAATTTGCATTTCTAACAAATTCCCCGATGATGCTGCTGATATTGCTGGTCATTTTGAGGCCCACTGGTCTAGTGGAAGAGAAAGGCGTGTAAACAACTAAAATACAGTGTGCTAACTGGCACGATGTAAGCACACGAATAGTCCAGCAATCACAGTGAAGAGGCATCAAAATCATGTGCTTGTCTGGAGAAAGATTTTTAAAAGAAGTGAATAAGAAAAAAGACAAGACACGGAAAAGTGAGAGGGGGAAACAAAGGAAAAGAATATGTCTGGCAGAGGGCAACCCCATATAAGAAGACATAAAGGAGAAACTGCTTTTGTTTTTAGGACAGTGAAAAGGTATAACCGGAGAAAAGAATGCCCAAGGGCAGGTGGTGGGAAATGAAGCCAGAGAGGGAAACAGGCCGGATATGAGGGCCTTTCTGTGCTAAGCAAAGGAGTCTGACATTATCCCAAATGCTACAGCGATCCACTGATGTCTAAAAACAGACTTCCACATTAGAAGGCATACTTGGCAGCTGTGTTGGATGAGTGGGGCTGGTGATAAGACCAGAAGCAGAGAAAGCAATAAGAAGGCTCTTCCAGGAGTCCACCTGAGGAGCAACGAGTGCCAGCACCATGGTAAAGGCAATGGTTTGGATGGCATGGCCATGAGAGAAGCATAAAGATAGAGTCTGTAGACCATGGTTACCAGTTAAATATGGGAAGTGAAAATGGAGTGTGGAAGAAAAGAGAATGACTGCCAAGGTTCGGGCTTATACATTTGGTTGGCTATTGGAACCATTCACCAAGAGAGGAATGCCTAGAGGAGGAGCCTACTGTCTGGGAGAGGTGATGATTGAGTTAGGATTCACAGGGCATAAAGTGCCTACATTATACCCAAGGGAATATGGCCAGATGAGGGTTTTAATTAGCTATAAGTTACCAGGATATCAAAGCACAAAATAAAATAGTGTTCAAATCAAATAAAAATGTTTACTTAAAGACTTCTTAAAAATAAAAAATGGTTTTGTTTTGTCAGATGCTTTTTGTAAAACAGTGTGCAATGTCCTCTCATTCTTCCCCATGCCTAATGTGTGGCCGGTCTCTTTCAGAGTCAAAAGCATGGGAAAGGGAAAGCAGAGTAAGTAAGGATTTAGTGATGACTCATTTGTGATAGAATGCACCTACTAGTAATCATAGTGACTGAGATGGATGCTCCTTCTCAAAGCACGTTTTAGAGTTGGCTACCATTTTGTTCCATTCCCGGGGATTGTGGATATGTTCTGTCTTTACACTGAAGACAGAACCAGGCATACTGATTGCAGTACAACATAGGGCAAGGTATGGACTAAATTAGAGTCAATGTTTTTAATTTTAAGAGACCATATAGGCCGGGCGCGGTGGCTCACGCCTGTAATCCCAGCACTTTGGGAGGCCGAGGCGGGTGGATCATGAGGTCAGGAGATCGAGACCATCCTGGCTAACATGGTGAAACCCCGTCTCTACTAAAAATACAAAAAATTAGCCAGGCGCGGTGGCGGGCGCCTGTAGTCCCAGCTACTCGGGAGGCTGAGGCAGGAGAATGGCGTGAACCCGGGAAGCGGAGCTTGCAGTGAGCCGAGATTGCGCCACTGCAGTCCGCAGTCCGGCCTGGGCGACAGAGGGAGACTCCGTCTCAAAAAAAAAAAAAAAAAAAAAAAAAAAAAGAGAGACCATATAGACATAGCAGTAAGAAATTAAATAATTTGTGTATATTGAGCCCCAACTAAAGCATATCAAATGGCATTATGTACTAAAATGCAAATAAGTCATTTGCTTTCAGAAGTTGAAACTCAAAAGTTGACCCTGTAATTTAATTTAAATAATAATTAATAATAGATTACAGAAAAGGTGCATTCTGGGAACTTTTGCAGAGCACCATATAAATGCATGTAAAAATATATACAGAAAAAAATCACCTATAGAATCACAGATTGCTTTAATTTGCATTTATCCTTTCCTATATTGTGTTTGTATTTAATAATGTGCATGTAGTGCTCTTATAAACTAAAACATGAAAAATATTTTAAAGCTAATTTTCTTAATTAAAAATACAAGTATTTTTAAGTATATTCTAATGGAAACCTGAGATTATGCTGATATTGGTTCCTAAAACAGATGTTTGCCCAACTGCCTCCTCACTGTCTAATATGGAGTCAAGTGGCATCCAAAGTGATGTCAGCCTTGGTGTCAGACATCTAGGCTTATGCACAACTAGGGGACTAATAGCTTTCTCATATGTGTTAAAATATAACAGAGAGAGGTGGAAAGGCTGGACTAAACAGGGAAGAGAAAGTTTGAGGACATCAATTTGGAAAGCTGTTTCAAATTGTTGGGAACCATGAAAGGATGAGGTTAAAAGGTTTTTCCTCTAAGGTAGCCCATGCTGACTTGAACCTCCTTAAATGCAAAGATAAAGACTGTGCTCCACAGTGACTATGGCTGTATGTACTACGTGAATGCAGCCCTGTCACAAAACTTAGGGCTAAATCTTCAAAGTAAGATCAGGCCACCAGAGCTTGGCTATTATATAAAGGGCTCCCACAAATACAGGAGATCCAAAGACACCTATTCAGAAGATAAAATTAGGAATAAGAATTTATGCTTATAAGCATGGTACTTCACATGTATACCAAGACTGTAGGTAACACCAGCTACATATGCAATGCCTGCTTAAGCTAAATCCTCTGCAATTTGCTCAAGGTTACTGTGCAGTTTACTGAAGATTAATCCTCCTTATAACTTGACTATTAATGAGAAAATTGAAAAATAGGTGAAGATGACAAAACCTGAAGAAAATGTTTACTACTTAAAAACCCTTTCAAAGGTGAATTCTTTTCATGTCTAAACATCAAATATTTATAATTCATATCTTGAAAACATCTCACATTAGTGCTAATTTTATTGTAAAACTGGACAGTGTGTAATTCTCTAACTACGGGGGGAAATGGGAGTAAAAATGGCTTGTATCAGTTAGCTACTGCTGTGTAACCCATCATCCCAAAACTCAGTTACTTAAAACAATAAGCATTTATATTATTGCTCATAAAACTACAGATAATCTGGGTAGTTCTTCTGGTCTCAGCTGGGCTCCTGCATGGGTCTGCAGTCATCTTTGGGTTGGGTTGGGTTGGTAGCTATGCTAATCTTGGTTGGGCATTCTCACATGTTTTGGAGTTAGCTGACTGCAAGTTGGTCTAGGATGGCTTTGAATGGGGGGAAAATGAGTTTTCAGTGTGTTTTGTCATCTTTCAGCAAGGTGGGCCAAGTTTGCTCTCATGGAGGCAGTGCTCTAAAAGGAGGTGGGAGGACAGAAGCCCTCTATGCTCAGACCTGGTACGCTGACACTTCTACCACATTCTATTGGCCAAAGTAAATCATATTCAAAGAGGTGAGAAAATAGACACTACCTCTTGATAGGAGGAACTGTGAAGACACATGGGAAGGGGTAAAGAATTGCGGCCAATTTTGCAATCAGTCTGCCATATGCATAAACCAAACAGAATACCCAAGTCAATTATTAGGGGAAAAGTTTAAACACAAATGAGCGATGGTCAGCAAAATAAGCAGACCATCTGTTTCTTATTGTGTGATGATATGTGATGAGAAATGCTAGTTTTATTCAGTAGAGGGAAAAAGTTTTATACCTCTACTTTATCCCATCCAAATAGAACTCCATCTATACCACATTTTTACCTAGGGCTGACCTTGAAAGATACTTAAAAAAATGACTTAGTTCTTTCTATTGGAAATGAAATATATCTATTGACTATTTTGTCAAAGAAAAAAATGTATAATTTTACTCAGCATAATGTTACTGGAACCGTTAGGAGATGTGCCAAATTCTGACACTTTTTAGAATGATTCAGATACTAAAATTTTGCCAAGAACATTTCAATACCTGAGGCATTTTTTTCTGAATTATCCATTTAATTGTGCACTTCTCCTTCCTTTGTTTTTGTAGACGCAATTCAAACAGATTGCATTTTCCCATCTGGGGTTTCTGAGCCATGTGAAAATAAAGCATAGTTGGATCTAGAGTAATAATAAAATTATTTAACAAACAGTAGGTCATGAGCACCGGCCAATAAGAACACAGTCTGACTCTAAATTTTGCTATGCTGTGAGTTCTACCACCACCATTCCTCTTAGAAAAGGGATGAAGGATGCCTCCCACATCACCTCCCAGGAGAGAGGTGCTTTAATGAGACCCACTCCAAGGGCTAAATATTTGTTCTCTGGAACATTAGGGACACTGTGGACTGGTGTCTGGAAAATCAAAGGTGCAGGAGACAGGCTAATTTCTTTGACAGCTGAGGGAAAGGAAGCTGGCAACACTGAGATTGGCCAGCACACGCAGAGTTTATCCGGGAAAAGGAGATGTGTTTCTCATGGGCCAGGTATGGCCCCTCACTAGAGGGAGCTGGAGGGATAAACACAACTCAGCTAAGAGAAGTTGTAGGTATTGCCAGATTCTCAGGGGCTGAGGAAGAACTAGGGAACTAACTGGAAGAGAGAAGCATTCATATTCATCACGGGAACTACAAGTAGAGATCTGGATCAATGAGAGCAATTCTTTCTTACCAACCATGAAAGTGTCAATGAAAGAAAAAATTAATTCTTAAAACCTGAAGTTGGGCCCAGAAACTACTAACCCAGTTTCATATAGTACCAACCAAGTTAAGACTTTTCCTACTTCCCTCACCTCTCCTGCCCCAATCCTTTGCATTCCAACTCTGAAGGACCAAGACCTCCACCTGATGAAATAGGGGAGAAGAAATCAAAGCAAAGGTGGTTAAGGCAAGAAGTTGACCACAACATTCTTCCTAACTGCTGGTCTTCCACCAGCCACAGCTAGGGAAGTAAGGAAAGGACTCACCCTTAAATCAGTTCTAAAGTTTGACTGTCCCATCAGACTGGACATTTTAATAACTGATCAGAGAGCTTTCCATTTAAGACTGTAGAGGAAAGTTATGAGATGGCCCCAATTTTCACCTCGGAAAGAATAAAATGTAAAAAGAAGAAAACAGCAAGAACGAAAAATAAAACTGCTTTGTTATATATCACTCTTCATCCTTCTTCAATGGACTAGTACAAAGACCCACCTCTCCTGGAGATAACATTTTTTTGGAGGAAACAAAAAAAAAGCAATTAGTAATTAGTTATGTAATAACAGGTAGTGATAGAGAATGAAGGAAAATAAAGCAGGGTTAGGAGATGGGTGTGTGGAGGGCAGTGCTATTTTCCACAGGGTAGCCAGGGAAGGCATTTGAACAGAAACATGAAGTGAGAGAGCCAGCCTTAAGAAGATTTGTAGGAAGATGGTCCAGGCAGGGGGAAAAAAAAAAAAAAAGAAAAAAAAAAAGCAATAACTGTAAAACGTGAGGCAGGAAGGAATTTGGTGGTCCAAGGATTTTTTTTTTTAAGTTTGTATGGCTGGAACAGGGGGAACGGAGAGAGAAGGGTAGGTTATGAGTTTTGAAAATTCACTAGGAGTTTAACCATATACAGTCATGAAAAAGGAATTGGACTTGAAGTGCAACACAAAACTATTTGAGGGCTGAGTTCCATTCTTTTTTTTTTTTTTTTTTTTTTTTTTTTCTGAGACAGAGTCTCGCTCTGTTGCCCAGGTTGGAGTGCCGTGGCGCGATCTCAGCTCATTGCAACCTCCACCTCCCGGGTTCAAGCAATTCTCCTGCCTCAGCCTCCCGAGTAGCTGAGATTACAGGCGCCTAGCTAATTTTTTGTATCTTTAGTAGAGACCATGTTGGCCAGGCTGGTCTCAAACTCCTGACCTCGTGATCCACCTGCCTCGGCCTGCCAAAGTGCTGGGATTACAGGTGTGAGCCACCGTGCCTGGCCGAGTTCCATTCTTAAACGATTACCTTGGTTGCTGGGTACAGAATGGATGGTAGACCACTGAGACTAGAGACTGGGTGTCCAGTGACGAAATTTTTGAGTCAGCTGTTTCTGAATCACCTAGGATACTTACTGAAAGAACAGATTACTAAACCCTATCCATTGCCAAAACCTACTGATTCAGAATCTTTTGAAAATAAGTAAAGCAAAGGATGCTAATTTGTGGTGATGCTCCAGGAGATGCATGCTGTCAGAATCAGGAATCACAACCCTATATTAATGACCATTTTATGAGCACCACAAGAGAACTTTTGCTCAGTATCACACTTATGCTTCCCGTGAAATGTGCGTGCTTTTATCTTGCCTGTTTGCTTTAGACACTTTTCATCCATCATTAACAACAGTGCAGGAAGCAATTGTGCAAATTTTTTGCTTCCAACTTTAACTTGGACTCAATTTTACTATTTATCCGACCTTCATTTTCCCTTTCCCTGGTATTTCTGTTTATTTTTTAGTATTTATGGATCCATATTGTTTTTCAGACTTAAACTGCCACCTCAGTAGTCTTCAGAGCAATGTAATGTAGCATACATAAATTTAATTTAGACTTATACTCATTATAGCTTCAAAGCCTTCTCTGAGTAAAAGGAAAGGATTCATATTATTTTTCCCTTAAAGAAACACTAATGGTAATTTTGTGATTCTTTTACCCATCACTATCATTCAAACATAACTGGATGAGTTCATAACCAATATCATTTAAAAATTTTATCTCCTACAACACATTCATCTGTTCTGCTTTGCTGAATAACATATTGCCTAAACCTAACTGAAAATAAATAATTTTTAAAGGCTTCTTTTAACATGTAAAATTTCATAAGGATACTTTTTTTTGTCTAATGCATCATTTAAGTGGTTTCATACTGCCTTCAATCCTGGAGAATGTCAATAAACATAGAAGAGCTCTTCATAGATAGTTGAGAAGACTTAAATTGAATTTGGCTTTTATTACATGAAACAAAAAATTATATTGGATTTTAACAGTAATATTTTAACAGCTTCTAAGTAGAGGTAAGAAAGGAAATCAAGTGTGTACCAGTCCAAGTACCTATAATAATATAATAGAAGCATTTACCAACCAACATTTCGCATAATCACATGCCATGCTCCTAATAACAAGGCTTTTTCACTAGAAATAGTGCATTAACATTAGACTCTCAAATTGCTAGGTATGAAAAATCACTCACTTAAAAAAGAGTCTATTACTTATTTTAGGCTGGTCAAGGTTAAAATGGCCATTTATATATTTCTAACTTCAGCTCTAAGCTCAGAGAGCATCTGATCAGCCAAGACAAGAATTTATTTTGCCTGTACCCAACAGAGTAAAATGATAAGTTAGCCGTCAGTTCATCCTTTGCTAAAAAGAAATATCTCCCAAATTTATGTACTATAAACCATCTAGTAAATAATATCTGCATACTATACATTTCATATTTATATTATGCACTACTGAAAGGGGAGAAAAATCTTCATGAGGGTTTATTCAAACGATATAAAATACCCTAAGAACCTCAGCTCATCCATATGAATTCTATACAAAGTACAGAAGTATAAGTGTAAGTGGTCATCATAGCTGGACTGCAATAAGCCCCTAAAATGCAAAAGCTCATTCTAAAGACACTTAATAAAGCAGTGAAATTCATATGTCATTACTTTTCTCCAATACAAAGTCATCTAGTAGTCTTTACTGTTAACTTCGTGCTAAAATGTCCCAAGTTTAGACTGTTTACCAAGAAAAGAAATAGGAAAGAATTAGTAGTTTTTAATTTCAAGTTAGAGGAAAAACCCTTATCACACAATAATGCAACCCAAGCAAGTCCAAGTCTGTAACTGTAACAATGCCTCTCATTAATAGATTATCCAAATTCCTCCATGGCATTCAAACTGTAGTTTAAAACCTAATAAACAAAAAAAACCACATAAGAACAGGATCAAACTCTACCATGAAATGAAGAATTATAATAAAGTTTATTCAGTCCTGAATATTTAATTTAGGAGCATGAGCAAAGTAGAACACACTTCATGTAAATGACGCCATTTAAACAGTGCTATAAAATAATGCTACTTAAGAGTAGTGTGGTACATTATGTGATTTGAACGATTCTGTAAAAAAAAAAAAAAAAGCATTAACAAGTAACATTGTCCCCACTAGCTTGGAGCCTACAGATACAATTACTTTGGCCATATCTTTCCAAATGATTTAGTAATGCTTTTTAACATTGCAAACTTAAATCTATCATAGTACTGGAATTCTGATATATTTTGGTGCTTCTGCGGCTGCCTAAAAATGAAAAGGCATCCAAACGAAATGCACTATACACTTATTGTACCTTAAAATTTCAGTTCCTAAAATGTGAAATAATTATCTACCATTTAGCTGTCTGCTTTAACTGTACATTGTAGTAGATTTTTACCTCTAGGATTTGTATTGTACTTTGGGAAATCAGTGGTAAAATATGTTTAAGAAACAGCATGTGACTATGCTTGAGTTCACATAAAATAGCATTTTTACAGCTGTATTGAAATTTAACCCTTTTACACAGGTTAACATATCACCAAAAAATAAAAAAATAAAAACCACAATACTTTTGAAAATGTAACATTGCATATTTATTTCAGGAAATCGTCAGAGGTCACCTTTAGGTCAATTTACCACACCAGAGGAACAAAGTTGTTCAACTCCAGCTCTGCTGAACTGAGCCGCTTATCCACAGTACAGTATAGAACTTGAAGGTTTTTTTCCCATCAGGTCTTCAGTTCCAAATACTGTTATCATCCTTAATACCGTCTATGTCTTCTCTGGTGTGAATGATGTGATCGACCATGTAGGGTTGAAGGAGGTGGACTCCGCGTTGGTGGACAAGGTGACAGTCGTTTCCATGCAGGCCACCTTCTATGATCCATTGCATCTGTTTGTGTAAACTGAGGGCTCAAGGTTTCTTGATTTTCGGTGAACTGAGGTAAAATGTTAAGGTTATAATGGTGAGAAGCAAATTCACTTGCAGATGGATTACCATTTTGAGACTGGGGAGCACGTAGTGGAGGAGAATTCATATCAGGTGGCACCTTTACAATAATATATCCAGATGATGGATCGTAGGTCGTGGTTAGAGCTGGCACTTGGCTACGAACCGAGTTAGGAGTAACTACATCCTGAGGAGGATATGGCATTTGATGGTTTACTGGTGATGATGGAGATGGAGGTGGCGCATAATGCTGTTTCTGAGGTATAATATGATGAGGGGACGATACCGCTGGTTGACTTTGACACTCAGGATAATAGTCGGGAGGTGTTGGCTTCTTAGCACCAGAATCTGAGTTATTCTGAATATGATCAACTGTTAAATTGCCATGTTTTCTCGTAAAAATACTAACGGTTTCCCACTGGATGGGAAAAGGCAGACTTAGAGATAGTTCTGGGGGAGGAGCCTGGATATCCTTATGTGGCTGATTATGTTGCTCTTGTAGCATATGTTGCACAGACGGTAGTGACACCATGGTGTGCTGTTCTGGTGGAATATAGCTTAGATGGTCCCTGTCTTGCAGTCTTTTAGGGATGTCAGAGATTTCAGTTTGTGGCGGAGCAATATGAGGACGAACTTTTTCAAGCGAAGCGCTGGTAACTTGTTTTCGAGCTCTCTTATGGCGGCGTTTGATATGAGCCTGTAAGCTTTTCTGAGACAAGTATGTTCTCTTGCACTGCTGAACAATACTACACATGAAGACAGAACCTCGTTTATGCGCCTCAATTCTCAGCACAGGATAACGACAGCGCGGACATACTTTATATCCGACTTTGTCATATAAATTAGCACAGTGATAGCAAAAAGCATGCTTGCACGGAATTATTCGCCCATAGATTTTAATAGGCAAATCACATTTGTCACAGAAATGAATTGGTAAATCATCCTTTTCACCTATGATGTTTATCTTAATGTCCCCCCAACGGTAACCAGGAATTTTTTTCTTTTTTCTCACCAGTTTAACTCCTTTAGAGTAGTACTTCCCTTCTTTGTTATATTCACATTCTTGTTCACCAGCAGGCATCTTGTTCATATTCCTTGGAGTTCAGACACATATTTAGGTTTGTCTACTTCCTCAAAAATGACGTTTAAAGGAATTCTTCTGCTAACGTGAAGGCCACCCAACGATCCAGAACTATGAGTGCCTAGTAACCCATTATCAACGTCATTAGGATCCAAGTTTCGGCTCACAAGGGACCGGGAGTCATGTGCCAGTAACACGTGCGCATTACAACGCATGTGCACCATCTTCCCCAGCCTAGGAGGCGAAAGTGCGATCCGATGCCTCCCCAACCCTCCACTGCTTTGACGTTTAAGGGCTTCCTTCTCTCCTCACCTACCCTGTCCCACCACTCTAGTGAGGGAATTTGGGCAGAGAAAGAAAAAGCTTCAGTGTTGAGGTTGCTGATGCTGCTCTTCAGTACTCAAAGAGAAAGGGGTCTTCATGGAAACAGAAACTGATGGGCGTGGGGAATAAATTCCCAGCAGGCCCTGCAGAGCTTTGCCTTCTAGGACTGACTTATTTTTATCCTATTGCATTTTTGTGAACTACCTTAAATCACTCATTGGAATAAGATAGGATGATATGTCTGTGTGTGTGCATGTATATATACATACACACAAAATACACATACCTTTTAAGATTTTGTGATTTCACGATACAGTAAGTTTAAAATCACCTTTGTCTGGAAGAAGGGAGCATTACATTTATCTCGTCAAGGAAAAATCATGTAAAAGGCAGTGAATAGTGTCAGGCGCCTTGGCTCACTCCTGTAATCCCAGCACTTTGGAAGGCCGAGGCAGGCAGATCGTTTGAGGCCAGGAGTTCCAGACCAGCCTGGCCAACATGGTGAAAACCCATCTCCACTAAAAATACAAGAATTAGCTAGGCATGGTGGCACGCGCCTGTAATCTCAGCTACTCAGGAGGCAGGAGAATCGCTTGAGCGTGGGAGGCAGAGGTTGCAGTGAGCTGAGATCGCGTCACTGCACTCCAGCCTGGGCGACAGAGTGAGACTCTGTCTCAAAAAAAAAAAAAAAAAAAAAAAAAAAAAAAAAAAAAAAACAGGAGTGAATAGATGGTAACTTCACTGGGCTAGACATTTTTTAGACATTTGCTGTTCTTGCTTAATTTTAAAAAGGGTTATGGGTATTTAGCCCACATTTCCTCACATCTTACCTTGCCTCTAAGTACAAACTGGATCGTAAAAACAGCAACACACCATATTTTTCTGCCTCCACTCCACCCATAATTGTGGCACCTCTATTCTCCTGAATGTGCAGACATTCACCCTTTTAGCTTCGTTGGCTGTCAACCCCTACTCCGTGCCCTCCCCTAAAATACTAGAAAAACATCACTGATCCATCAAAGTGAAGTATCTTATGAGACTTACTGCAGTATGAGAGAACTCTGCCTTAATGGTGTCTAGGCAGTGTCTCAGAGGGGAAATGACAGGATAGGTTATTAGGGACTAAGTTGGGTGGTTTCAGGGCGGGTCTTGCAAGGCAGGCCTCTAATTGGGATTGGGTAGATTTTGTGACGTAATAGCTGTAGATTGGTGGGCATAGCAGGAGGAGAATATTGAAGCAAGTTTTGATGGGGAAGGTGGTATTCTTGTTAAGTAAACTCTTTTAGTTGGTTTACAATTTTAATTTTCAGGAAAAAGTATTTCCTGGAGCAAGTAGCTAAGTTTGCTTATTCTCAACATGGATTAATATGGGAACAGAAAACTATTCCCACGTCTGTTATTGTTTTACACAGCGACAGAGAATTATGTTGGTTTCAGTACTCAGTTACCACATAGCAGTGATCATTTTCCTTTTCCCTGGCTCTGGCTTGTTGGGTTGTTGACTCTTTTTTTTTTTTTTTTTTTTTTTTTTTTCCTTCCAAGTAGATGGGACTATAGGCATGTGCCACCACACCTGGCTAATTTTTGTATTTTTAGTAGAGACGGGGTTTCACCACGTTGGCCGGGCTGGTCTCAAACTCCTGACTTCAGGTGATCCACCCACCTCGGCCTTCCAAAGTGGTGAGATTACAGGCGTGAGCCACCGCGCCTGGCCAAGTTGTTGACTCTTGACTTCACTAATGGTGAAAACGCAACAATGCCCCAATAACCACCAAAGGCACCAGTGTCCATCAATATGCAAAGTCACAATTGCCCCAGCAAAGACACAATACTCACTGAAGGGGCCACTGAGTCCAAGAAGGTAAATGGACTTCTGTGCTCCCTTTCATTTCACTCTATTACATGGCCTACAAAACATTTCAGGTTTATTCTCCCCAGTGTCTTAAAGAGATTATTCTGAAATCATTCCTTCGCTTGCTCTTAGTTATTGCTCCTCTACCAAGGACTCGGGTTATAAGCTCATGGTGGCTAGTTTAAATTTAAATGAACAGTGCCCCTTGCCTCTGATACTGTCCCCTAGTTCTTGACCTTCTCAATATCCCATCAATGCTACTCTGTCTTAGGGTTCGTTCATTCACAGGAAGCAACTTCATCCCTCGTGCAAACAAATTCCTTATGGGCTCCTCTCATGGAGTCTCCAAACATACCTAACCTACCTAAACACTAAGGCCAATGCATGTTTTTCTCTCAAACCATTATATGTTGATTTAAGTTTTAGATCATTTGAATTTCTGTTGGCTTAGAAACTTTTAAAGCGGTACTGTATTTTTTTTTTTTTTTTTTGGAGATGAAGTTTTGCTCTTGTTGCCCAGGCTGGAGTGCAATGGCGCGATCTCAGCTCACCGCAACCTCCACTTCCCGGGTTCAAGCGATTCTTCTGCCTCAGCCTCCCGATTAGCTGGGATTACGGGCATGTGCCACCACTCCCGGCTAATTTTGTATTTTTAGTAGAGACAGAGTTTCTCCTTGTTGGTTGGTCAGGCTGGTCTCGAACTCCCGACCTCAGGCGATCTGCCAGCCTCGGCCTCCCAAAGTGCTGGGATTACAGACGTGAGCTAGCATGCCTGGCCGGTACTGTATTTTCTATAAGCCAAAGTGGTTCTTACAAAAGCATGGATGTTCTGCCCTATTATAAATAGTGAACCAGAATTCTGAGCAAAAACTAAAACAGCTTTAAAACATATGCGAATGTTCCTGTTTTAAAATTACAGTTACTCACTTGCCAGGCTCTTTATGAGGGTTCAATATTTTTTTAGTGATGTGCATATAATTCAAATGCCATGAATACAAAGGGAAAAATCTGTCAGATATAACGTCCATAACTTATTTTCTCTTTCCTTGAAGCAGTGTTAATTTTTTTTTGTCAAAACTGAGACATTTTTCACGTGGCAGAATTCTATCCTTACCCATGACCCTGAGTGAAAAAAGTCAGCTTCTTTTCCCAGTTGACTACATTTGCATTTCTCGCTCATTGGGTCTGCTTCAAATTGATTTAGAAATAAATTAAAAGTTCAGCTTTTGAGTAATGAAAGCATGCTTTTCCATAGACAAGCGATGTTAGCTTCTAGCTCCATACCCAGCAACTGTCCTGGTTCAGCACTTCCAATATCTCTGCTTGGAGTGTTTGCTTGTTTATAGCTGAGAAACCCGATGTGAAAGTTCTTAGTAAATATTATTTGGTGAAATTGTTGATAAGAAAAAGGATATTGACCTCCCATTTATCCCTATCAGATTTAAGAAACTATCTTGCTACACTCAGAGAGCCGTCTTTACAAATTGATCCTTATTTAGTACCTTTAAACAAAAAATTAAATGGGCTTCCATTCAGCCACCTCCTTTAGGGCAAAGAGGTGAAAGAAGGCCCTTTCCTTCAATCTCATTGCTCTTAAAAGTTGCTAGACTTACATTCAATTGACAGAAGGGAGATTCAGTGTCTGTCAGCCTATAACAGTGATTGGATAGAAAAAGGTTTGGGTTTGGAGCTTTTGAAATAGCTTGAATTCGTGGAGGCCTGCTTGAGCTCAGCTTCCCCTCAAAAAAAAATCCAAATGAGGTTGACGATGAAGAATTATGGACTACACAATGGAGGAGTATCAATGTGCACAATTAATACAAGGAAACAGGTTGAGACATCTCCGTTTAAGCTACATGCCATCTGGCCTAGAAGCAGTCATTCTACCCGAGTGACATCAAAGGTCAGCAGGAGTGAGAGCCGTATGTCCCGCTGCCAGGCTCCTGGATTTTATTTCTCATTTAAGAGAAACTGATCTGTCATTCCTCTGGCTCCTGTGGGCTTTAAATTCACATAATCAACATATCACTGCCAGAGACTTAGTAATAGCTGAGGCAGTTTAAAGGTGAGTGGAGAATAATCGTGCTCCCAAGCCAGATGCCTTCAGTTCTGCAAGGAAATAAAAAGTCCATCTCGGGTTCCAAAAAGGAAGGCAAATTGCCCTGTTTGAAGGAGACCTCACCTCTCCTCCCAAATGTGGGAGTAGCTACATTCTGCGTCCTGGGAGGGCTGGCCCTTTGCAAAAGTTTAAGAGCAGTGGTCCTCAAAACATGGTCCACAGACCCTTGGGGATTCTCAGGGACTTTTCTGAGGGTCATTGAGGTCAAAACTATTTCCATAATAATAGAAAGATGTTATTTGCCTTTTTCACCATTTGACATTTGTGACGATGGTGCAAAAGCAATGATGGGTAAAACTGCTGGCACCTTAGCATGAATCAAGGTAATGGGACCAAACTATACTAGTAGTCGGTGTATTTTCTTACTGCTACATAGTAAAAAGAAAATGTCAGTTTCATTTTAAAATGTCCTTGGTGAAGTGCTAACAATTATTGTTATTAAATGTCAACTCATGAGTATAGATCTTTTTCATATCTTGTGTGACAAAATGGAAAGTACACATAAAGCACTTTCGCTGCACACTGAAGTACAATGGCTGTCTCAAGGAAAAGCACTAA
This sequence comes from Homo sapiens, assembly GCF_000001405.40. NCBI lineage: Eukaryota > Metazoa > Chordata > Mammalia > Primates > Hominidae > Homo > Homo sapiens. The sequence goes on along the minus strand of NC_000023.11, from coordinate 22,268,147 downwards.
TGCCATCATTTGAGTTGGAAGGTGAACTATCTGTTTTTTTTTTTTTTTTTTGAGATGGAGACTCTCTCTGTCACCCAGGCTGGAGTGTGGTGGCACGATCTCGGCTCACTGCACCCTCCACCTCCCTAGCTCAAGCAATTTCCCTGCCTCAGCCTCCTGAGTAGCTGGGATTACAGGTGCACACCACCACGCCCGGCTAATTTTTTTTTTTTTTTTTTTTCCCAGTAGAGATGGGGTTTCACCATGTTGGCCAGACTGGTCTTGAACTCCTGACCTCAGGCAATCCACCCGCCTTGGCCTCCCAAAGTGCTGTGATTATAGGCGTGAGCCACCGCACCTGGCCTATCTGCTTTTTTTTGAGGAACACTATTTTTATTTGGAAGAACAACTGACAGACTGTGGTTATTCGAAATTGGGTATTTGGCAGATACTTTCTCAAAAAAATGAACTAAATTGGCCAGTAACTTCAAAGAAAATAACTGGCAGTATTTATTGCCAATGATAACATTCAAGCTTTTGAATGAAAATTGGAATTTGGAAAATCTTGTATTTGCCACCGTGAGCCTAACAGCTTCCCAGCACTAAAAACTTATCTGATAAGATCAGTGGTGATTAATAATCAAGACAATGTTTTAAAATTGTATAATGAAATGTGCTTATATTTGGAAGATCTGCATAATTTGGTGCACTCAATATTTTCCAAGTGCCCAAGGTTTGGTGTTACAAAATCATAAATGATTAAAAGACACATTGAAATAAAGATAGCAATGGATTTTGTTGTAACAGAGCATGAAAACTTCATTGATATGTTTTAGATTCTGCATTGCAAGTAATCTTTAACTGTTAATAGTGTATTGCACCTTTTAATATCGCTGAGTAAATTTCAAGTGTTCTCACTACAGAAACTGTTAATTATTTTGACTTCATTATTCCCCATTTTATTCATAAATCATGACATCACATTGTACCCCATAAATATATACAACTATAATTTATCAAGTTACAATTGAAAACATTTCTTAAACTACCACTTGTTGAGTTTTGGTTTCATTTCAAAGAAGAATATCCACAATTATCTGAAAACCTATTCAAATACTCTTATGCCCTTTCCCTTTTTCAACAATATATCTGTATGAACCTATATTTTCTTCCTATATTTCACCAAAACCAAATACAGATGCTCCTTGACTTACGATGGGGTTATGTCCTGATAAACCTATCATAAGTTGAAAATATCATAAGTCAAAAATGCATTTACTACACCTAACCTACTGGACGTCATAGCTTAGCCCACCTTAAACATGTTCAGAACACTTACATTAGCTTACAGTTGGGCGAAATCATCTAATACAAAGTGTATTTTATTATAAAGGGTTGAATATCTCATGGACTTTACTGTACTGAAAGTGAAAAACAGAATGGTTGTATGGGCCCTTGAAGTATGGTTTCTAGTGAATATGTATCGCTTTCACACCGTTGTAAAATCAAAAATCCTAAGTTGTACCATTTTAAGTTGGGGTCCATCTGTGTTAAAGGAGATTGAATGCAGAAACAGAATCAAGAATCAGCTGTCTTCTATTAAACCAGACATTAAGGAGATTTGCAAAAATTTAAAACAATCCCACTCTTCTCACTAATGTTTTGAAAGATATAGTTATTTTTCATAAAAATGTGTTATATACATTAATGTATAATGGGTTTGTTATTGTTACTTTTAAATTTAAACATATTTTTTAAAGTTTCTTGATAGACATACTCCACATAAACAAAAGCTCTTTGGGGTCCTCAATAATATTTAAGAGGGTAGGGTAGAGGAGTCCTGCAAGTAAAACGTTTGAGAACTGCTGCTCTAGGTGATCTTTAATGCCCTTCTCTTCCAGAGACAGCACCATGCCTTCCCACATCCACTGCCCTAAGCTCTGTCCCAGAGGTCCCAGAACATTCCCATCTTCTAAATTAGCTGATGGTGGCATGAGGAAGGGAAAGAAAGATCAAAATCACTTTCAGCCAAGCACTGTGCCATGTACCTAATATATATCTCATTTAACCCTCACAACAGCCCTGTGAGGTAATAATAATAATAATATGCCCAAATAGTGGGGCAGCAGGACACATAAAGAGCCAACATCATTGTAAGGGTGAGCAAAGCCACATGCTGGCTAAGTATTAGACCAAATAAATAAAGACATCTTAAATACAGTTACAGCACTACTAATTTTCGAGTACATGGTGGTGATGCTATACCTAAATAAAACTTCATTGTAAAGCATTAGCAAATTCATGAAAGCATCTCATCATTAAGGTACTTTTAAAAATGTTAATCAGTGAACCACAACACACTCGTTTATTGACAATGGAAAGGGAACAAAGAGATCTTCATCTTGAAGAATATTGAGAATCACCGCACTGTAGCATTGTGAACTACGCTGAAGCCACAGCAAACTCAGTACCTCCAGAACAATGCTAAGCTCTTTGGAATGATTTCCTTAACTCCAAAAGTCCACCTTTGCCATCAAAGTATTTAAGACACTAGCCAGGGAAGACAACAGACACATATTAAAGCCAACTAACAGCCCGGTATAGTATAAGATTAGATGAGGGAAACTGACAGAAAGTGCTGTAAGAAATCTGGGGACATAAAGAAATTTTGGTCAAGATGATCTTGGATAAACTAAAATCAGATCTTCATCTTTCAAGATAGGATTTACATGCACACAGAGCAGAGCCACTCGCCTTCCAAGTCAGGGAACAACATGGACAAAGACAGGCATAGAAAGGGCAATATGCTTGACTCAATAGAGGACTCATAAAGAAGCAATGGGAGATATGGTCGGGAAAGCTAGTTTAGGGCCAAATGTTGGAGGGTCTGGATGCACTAAGGAGCAATATAAACTTATCCCTATAGGTAATTCAAAATCCTCAAGTAAAAGTATAAAAGAAAGACAGCAGAATGTGGCATAGATTGGCAAACAGGAATAGGAATCGAAAGTCCTATTAGGAAGCAATTTACTGTTCAGGACCGAGATTGTTCAGGTTTGACTGGGGAAAATAGAAGCAAAAAGGAATGAGCATGAGAAACATTGAAGAGTCACAGTTTGGTGATTAAGGCAATGGAGAGGAGGGAAAGAGAGGACTGAAGTTTTCAAGCCCAAGAGACTATCACATGGTCCAACTAGGGAGGGACCATTTGGGTTGGGGCCCATCTGCTTGCTCTACACCCTCTTAAGTTTGGTCCTGGTCCACTAGAAGGTCTGAGGCACATGTTTAGTGACATGGAGGAGTTTTGACTTAGTCTCACAAGGTAATCCGAACAGTCTCCTGAACTTACTGCTGGTCGGTTCTTCAGCTGTTTGTGAGATGCCTGCCCCTTCCCAGCCCAGGACTGTAAGATCTAGATTTGCTTCAAAGAAGGCTGCAGCTGTCCACTCACTACTCAGCCCACATCCAGGCCTGCTCCCCTTACAGAACAATTCCTCTGGATTCTCCCTGGGCCTTTGAACCAGCAAGGACTTCGGGCTTGGCTTTCTTTTTACTTTTCTCTCTTTTTTTTTTTTTTTTTTTTTTTACGACGCGGCCTTGGATTGGGGCCTTGGTTTTGGACTCAGTTGTAATCAGCTTTATTCCACAGCTGTGCGCAAGCAGCACCTACCTCTACTCTCCCTGTTGCTTTCTCAGACATTTTTTTAACCTGCCTTGTCCCCATCAGTTGGAGAACAAGATCAGATAGACTTTTTGCATAGTACTAGGTTCAGTTCTGAAAAGTGTTTGGCAACAGTTAAAGGGGATCATAGAAATGATAAGAAGGAGAAGGAAAGGAAAAAGCTAAAGATGAAAATTTTCAGTCTGGAGAATGGGAGGGAGGATGGCACGATGATAAGATAATCATCTTTGGGTACAGAAAGGGCTCTGCTGGAGAGAGGAAGCCTGGCTGCCCTCCCATCTGGCCAAGGGCAGACCAAGGGCTTAGTTACAGCATGGGGGATTTACATAAGATAAAAGAATTTCTTGAACAAATGTGGAAATGGGTTTCAGAGGGGGTTTGTGTAATTGCCTTCACGGGAGATGGCTAAGAATAGCATAGCTCCTCCAGCAGCCGGAAGGCAAAGAGGTGTTCTGTGGACAAGCAGGAGGTGCACTTGGGTCATTTCTTTTGCCCCTTCCATAACTCCTACCCTCTTCTTTTTCTATAGGAATATACATTTCTGCACTCTGTTAGGCCCCTGTGGAAGAACTCTGAACCCTTCCCCAGAACAAGGGCTCTTGGCCAATTCCTGGTATTTTTAGAAAATCAGCCTGTGAAGACATTGCCCCTGTGGCTACCAGAGCACTGTAGTGGTGATCATTTCCAAAGCCATAGAGACAATTTCTGACTAAATGATATCCTAGGCAGACTCAAAAATTGTTTATTTAACTGAAGGGTTGCATGGCTGGGTTTTAATTAGAATGGATTAACACAGTGTTCCCGCTTATAAAAACCAAAATCGAAAAGAAGGAAATGCAATGAGGTAATTAAAGTGAGGAAAAAATCCTCTGGATCCTCCCCCACCCAAATGGAACCATTAAAAAGACAGGGAAAATTAAGTAAAAATTTATGTTATTTTTTGTATACCCTGGTAAAGTCTGTATATAAAAATCTCAAGTGTCACATAGCTGTTTAAGCTTCTAGTGTGTATATACATATATGTATGTTTGTTCATGTGTGTACATAGTTTTGTACTGTATAATCATATAAACCTATATACGGATTGTTTTTTGTTTACAATAGTATATGACAGTATATATAGGTAACACTTTTTTCCTTTTTCCTCTCAACTGACTGATTTGGCAAAATCAAGAAGTTTGCATGGTAGTGCAATAAGATGACCTACATGATTTACCACTGCAAAATTTTGAAATGTGTCATTGGGTTTTCATTCCAAGCAGCAATGGGAAATCATTGGTAAGCGTTCTCTCGTTCGTCATGGCAACATCCTTTGATGTATACACCTGTAAAAAGGTGTTAAAGGGGGGAATAAGGACAAAGGCACATGTGTTTTATCATTTATCATAATTAAGGTTCTACCAATTTTTTTTTACTAGAAAAAAAAGTACCATGCCTACATGTCAATTTCAAACCCATCAATTACTGAGTCCTGTCAGAACAACTGTCTCCTCAATAGCTCTCATGTCTATCCCTACTTCTCCATCCCATACCACCAGCCTGCCGTATCTCCCATGGATTACTGCAATGGCCTCCTAACTGGTCCCCCAGGCTCCAGTCTTCTTAACCCTCTTCAAGTATTTCTCACACCATCACCATCTTACTCTTTATTAAGTAGAAACTTAATTGTGTCACCTGTTTGATTTAAATTGGTCAGTGGTTCCCAGATGCCTACAAGATTAAGTCCAAGCTCAGTATCATGACCCTTTAAGATCTTTCTCTGTCTGACCTTTGCCAAACTCTCTTGCTTATCAATCATTAACCCCTCCTCAGCTACTCTTCAAGCTCTAGCTCCAGCAAGCTCTGTCCACTCCCTCTCAGTGGGTTCTCTTTCTTTCCCTACCATACCTTTTCGCTTTCGAGTAGCCTGGCCTCTCTCCCTGGAACTGTCTGCCATCCACTTGCTTCCCTGGCTGTCTCTGATGGATGCTACAAAACTCAGGTCCAGCTTCATCTCTTCCAGGAAAGCTTCCCAGCCAGGACCCCACACCCAGTTTAGTCTCTTACCTGTGTTCCTACAACAAGTACAGGATTACCTACCATTGCCAGCAAAAAAAGGGCTCCAAAAATGAGGGGAGAAAAGCTTTTTAAAAGAATTTGATATTCAGTATTTCCCTAGAAAAGCATCAAAGTGATTGTTGTGGGGAAAAAATGAGGACTTACTTGGACTTTCTTATATTTATTTTAATGTTATTTTTTTAAAACTTTTTGATGCAATACACATACATATACAAAAGTGCACAAATCATTAATGTAAAAAGCATCCAGATCAAGAAACCCAACATTACCAGAACTTCAAAAGCCCCACCTTGTGAACCCTTCCAGTTCCTAACCCCCAAGGAGTAACCACTCCTCTGACTTCTAACAGATTCGTTTTGCATATTTTTATATTTTATGTAAGTAGAATCATGAAGTATGTTCTCTCTTGTGTTTGGCTTTTTTCATCCAACTTATGTTTGTGAGAAACACTCATCTTGTTGCATGTAGTTGCAGTTTGTTTGTTCTTGTTATTGTAGATCAGTATTCGATTATTTACCTTCTCTGTTGTTGATGGGCATTTGGATACTTTCTATTTTGGGACTCTTATAGTGCTTCTATGAAATTCTTCCACATCTTTTGGTGAACATAGGTGTGCATTTCTGCTGGGTATACGTTAGGTTAAGCAATATAAAATTGCCAATATTCAACCATTGTTTACCTACTAAGATGACAACTTAATACCTAGGAGTGGATTGCTGGGTCATTGGATACAAGTATATTCAGCTTTAGAAGATACTGTTAAATAGTTTTCCAAGGTGGCCATACAAATGTATACTCCCTCCAGCAGTCTATGAGAGTTCTGCTTGTCTAAATGCTTTTTGATTTTAGCCATTCTAGAGGGGAGGGGGTAAATAGTTGAATCATGTTGTGGCTTAAATTTGCATTTCCTTCATGACTAGTGAAGTTAAGCACCTTTCCATCTATTTGTTGGCAATTTGGAATATCCTCTTTTGTGGTTAGTTCAAGTCGTCTGCCCAATTTTCTATTGAGTTGTCTGCCTTATTCATTTTGTATTATTTTTATTTCACAGCTGAGGCCATTAGAATTTTTTCATTGCTTAGCTCTATAAATACTTTTATCCAGTTTTATTTCCAAAGAACTCTGTGTTCACCTCTATTCAATTATATATTACACTGCTGAAATTTATTTATATATCTACTATTCCTTATGAGTAATTTTCAAATTGTTAAACAATTGGAAACTACAACCTTATTCATCATATTCCCAACCCTAGAATAATATCTATTAAGTGCTTCAATAAATATTTGTTCGGTTAACTGATGTACACTTAACATTGTATACCTCCTAAATTTGTGTTAACTCTTTTGTACTTCTCTGTATAAAGTTTATTTCAGTAAGACAAATTATGTGAACTATTTTGCCCATCTACATTACCTTACAAAGGAACGCCACTACTTACAAATGTACAAAGATGAGGATCAGAGAGTAGCAGAATTGTTTTCTAGCTAAGTAAGTGTCTATGAATAATAAGCAACAAAAACTTACCTAATTGATAAGAAAAAAATCAAAATCTTTTTTATTATTATACTTTAAGTTCTGGGATACATGTGCAGAACTTGCAGGTTTGTTACATAGGTATACACGTGCCATGGTGGTTTGCTACACCCATCAACCCGTCATCTACATTAGCTCTTTCTCCTAATGTTATCCCTCCCCTAGCCCCCCACCCCCGACAGGCCCTGGTGCACGATGTTTCCCTGCCTGTGCCTGTGCCCCTGTGTTCTCATCGTTCACCTCCCACCTATGAGTGAGAACATGTGGCGTTTGATTTTCTGTTCTTGTGTTAGTTTGCTGAGAATGATGGTTTCCAGTTTCATCCATGTCCCTGCAAAGGACATTAATTCATCCTTTTTATGGCTGCATAGTGTTCCATGGTGTATATGTGCCACATTTTCTTTATCCAGTCTATCACTGATGGACATTTGGGTTGCTTCCAAGTCTTTGCTGTTGCGAGTAGTGCTGCAATAAACATACGTGTGCATGTGTCTTTTTAGGAGAATGAGAAAAAATCAAAATCTTAATAGCCTAATGGGTGAAGGGCCTTGATATGTGGGTAATTTATATCAAGAGAGGTAAAAACAAAAAAGCAAATTGGTAAAATTAAACAACCAGTCACGCTTTATTTATTTACTTATTTACTTACTTACTTCAGGTTCTCACTGTCACTCAGGATGGAGTGCAGTTGCGCAATCATGGCTCACTGCAGTCTCAACCCCCCGGGCTCAAGTAATCCTCCCTCCTCAGCCTCTCCAGTAGCTGGGACTACAGGTGCACATTCTATGCCCTGCTAATTTGTATGTTTTTTGGTAGAGATGGGGTTTCACCATGTTGCCCAGGCTGGTCTTGAACTCCTGGGATCAAGCAATCCACCTGCCTCGGCCTCTCAAAGTGCTGGGATTACAGGCGTGAGCCATTGCATTCAGCCTTACTTATTTAATGAATGCAAAAGTTACTAAAAATGAAATTAATAACACCTAAAGCTGATAAGGTTTTTCTAAATGTGGTACCTTCTTACACTGTTCTTCATTGTGCTTTTTATTACAGCTGATGGTTTACACATCTTCTTCCCACATTATATTGTAACTTTCTTACGAGCAGGACCTACTTCTGATCCAGTTCTATTGTAAAACCGGTAGGTACCCGCATGCATACAACCTTGTTAGAACGCAATTTGTTAGTGCATTTCAAAAGCCACAACAGCATATACCTGCATCCTTTGATGAAGTAAATTTACTCTTAAGTATTTATTTTAAGGAAACAACCTATAGGAAAGAAAATAAATCTACATATCAAGATTTTAATCTCTATTATTTACAATAGTGATAAATGAAATCAATAATAAATTTCTAAATAGAAATAATTGAACAAATTATGTCACAGAAACTCTAAAGAATATCATTCTGCCATTAAAAATGGAAGATTTTGCCAGGTGTGGTGGCTCATGCCTGTAATCCCAGCACCTTGGGAGGCCCAGGTGGGTGGATCACTTGAGGTCAGGAGTTCCAGACCAGCCTGGCCAACATGGTGAAACCCCATCTCTACTAAAAATACAAAAATTAGCCGGGCGTGGTGGCTTGCGCCCATAATCCCAGCTACTCAGGAGGGTGAGGCAAGAGAATCACTTGAACCCGGAAGGCGAAGGTTGCAGTGAGACGAGATCGCACCACTGTATCCAGCCTGGGCAACAGAGTGAGACTCCATCTCAAAAAAAAAAAAAAAAAGATTTTGAAGCACCTATGGACGCAGGCCGATGCTATTAGATGAAAAAGATTCAAAATCATATTATCCTCTGAATAAAAATTATGCCATATATTTATACATGGGGCTATGGAAAAACACAAATACAAAAGAAATAGGCGGAAATTTCAAAGTAACAGGATGATGGAGCGTTTCTTTCTTAAATTTTATTATCGTTCATTCACTCATTTCCTCCCCTGCTCCTCTCCTCGACACGGCCACCATCATTTCTTGCTGGGATGATGGCAACCACTTCCTAACTGGTCTTCATGCTTCTTCCCCTGTTCAGCCACGGTCTATTCTCAACACAGCCAGAGTCATCATGGAAATCATAGGTTGGATCTTGTCACTTTTCTGCTCAAAATTCTCCAGTGGCTTCCCATCTCACACAGAGTGAGAAGAAGAGTTCTTGCAGCAGCCTATATGACCATAGACAAGCTGAATGTTGTTGTTTTCATCCTGACATCATCTCATTCTGCACTCTTCCTTGCTCGCTCTGCTCCAGCCACACTAGTTTCCTTGCTCTTCTACAAATGTCCTGGGATGCTCCTACCACTAAGTCTTTGGACTCACTCCTGCCTCTGCCAAGAAGGCTCTTCTCCAAGATAGGTTCTTGCTCAAACATCTTCATGACCGTGCTATTTAAATTTGCAACACTCTGACATCCACATATTATATCCTCTTCTCTCCTCCATAACAAGTATTACCATCTACTATATCATGTTTCACTTATTTATTTTATTGTCTGTCTCCTAGAGTATAAGCTCTATGGAAGCAAGACCTTCTATCTGTTTGGTTTACTGCAATATCCTCAGCAGCCCCTAAAGAGTGCCAAGCACGTAGTAAATGATCAATATTTATGGGTGAAATGAAAGAACACATTTACTAAATGTGTATTCAAGGGCCTATTATTTTTCAGACCCTGTTCTGAGTGCTGGAAATATAGTGGTGATGCTAGAAATATAGTAATAAACAAAAGAAAGGCTTATTTTTTTTGTTTTGTTTTGGTTTAGAGACGGGGTCTCACTGTGTCATCCAGGCTGGAGTGCAGTGGCACAATCATACCTCACTGCAGCTTCAACCTCCTGATCTCAAGCTATCCTCCAGCTTCAGCTTCCTGAGTAGCTAGGACTACAGGTATGCTCCACAATGCCAAGCTAATTTTTTTTTTTTTTTTTTTTTTTAGAAGCTGGGTCTCAGTATATTGCCCAGTCTGGTCTCAAACTCCTGGCCTCAAGCAATTCTCCCACCTCGGCCTCCCAAAGTGCTGGGATTACAGGTACGGGTCAACATGCCTAGCCCCGGAGAAAGTTTTAATATCATGGGACTTACAAGACAGTGGAGGAAGACAAACAATAGGAAAGAAGAGAGAGAGGGAAGGAGGGAGGGAGGAAGGAAGGAGAAAACTAGCAACAGTGGTAAGATCTATGAAGGTGTGAGGCAGGTGAGGTGATAGACTACATAGTTAAGGGGCCTAATTTCAATGAAGTTATGTGAAAGACATACAAAAAGCATTTCAGGCAAAGCAGCAAAGGCCCTGAGACTGAGAAGGTAGGAGAAAGTTTAGTAAATTTACAGAAACAGAAAGACCACCAATGGAGCTAGAAAAAGGCTATGAAGAAGTGACAGCAGAAACAGAGAGCCAGGTCCTGTAGGCCCTTTAAGTCAGGGAAAGTTGTTTCGATGTTATTGTAAACACCATGAAAAACATCGCTAAAGGTTTCTTAAGCGTAGGAATGACAAGGCTGTTATAATACTGTTCGTGAAGTTTTGGGCTAAAGTCACCAGAGTCCTGGATTACTCAAATTGCAATATGACAACTAGCACTCTGCCTCATGTGTTGTAGGCAGACATTAAATGACAGTTGATTTTTTTCCTTATTCTAAATATCACTTAGTACATATCACCAACTGACCTAGGTGAGGGAATACCTTTATTATTAGCGCCTTTTGTAGTTTTAATATGCTGCATGTTTTAAAATGGTTTTTATTCAATGCTTATAATAAAATTGAGATACTGAACTTTCTGTTCCTAAAGAACCATTTATCCTTAAAAAGGTTTTTGATTGATTTCTTCCCAACAAGCTATGTGCATTAACTCAAACTCAATCTGCACCAGAGACTCTATGTGTGTGCAAATGAGAGTTGAAATGTGAATCTCCAAGGAGCGAGCTTAGCCCTTGTTGATATGTAAAAATTTCCTCCACAGCATTTGTGACAAATCCACTCTAGGCAACTTCGGAAGGTACACAGAGATAGGTTCCTTCAATCTCTGATGAATTCTCCAAAGGCTAAGTTCTATGTCTTTAGGAGAAATGAAAAATACCAAATGTTCGTGTGTGTTTATTTTATTAAATTAACTAAGAAAAAATAGGATGGGTTTCTGTGTAAAATAAAACCTCCTAGTATTCAACAGTTTAAAGGAAACTTTAGACTCTTTAGTTACAGACATTACCGGGGAAAGGCAATAATTCCATATAGAACTGTATCTATAGCAGCATTTCTTTCCAAATAAATTTTTATTAAATATCCCCATTTAAAAAATTAAATGTAGACTTCCAGTTGAATGTAGGAGACTCGGATGCAGATCTGCTCACCCTCTCACTTCAAAAAGCTAAAAATATATCTTTTGAAAGGTATAAACCTACATAGACAAAAATATTAGACCCCCCTACTAGAAGCAAACTGAAATACTCTGTAGAATACCAGAATGCCTCAGGATTTGGAAGCTCTAGGTAACAGCAAATGTCAGAATGCATGATAAAGCTACAAGTGCTGGCAAGGATATGGAGAAAAGGGAACCCTTACACACTGTTGGTGGGAATGTAAATTAGTACAGCCATTATGGAAAACAGTATGGAAGTTCCTTAAAATATTAAAACTAGAACTACCATATGATCCAGAAATCCCACTACTGAGTATATACCCAAAGGAAATGAGATGAGTATGTTGAAGAGATATCTGCACTCCCATGTTTATTGCAGTAGTGTTCACAATAGCCAAGAGGTAGAATCAACCTTAGCGTCCATCAAGGGAGGAAGAATGTGGTATATATACACAAGGGCAAATTATTTAGCCATAAAAAATAATGAAATTCTGGGCCGGGCGCGGTGGCTCACGCCTGTAATCCCAGCACTTCGGGAGGCCGAGGCGGGCGGATCACGAGGTCAGAAGATCGAGACCATCCTGGCTAACACGGTGAAACCCCGTCTCTACTAAAAATACAAAAAATTAGCCGGGCGTGGCTGTGGGCGCCTGTAGTCCCAGCTACTCGGGAGGCTGAGGCAGGAGAATGGCCTGAACCCGGGAGGCGGAGCTTGCAGTGAGCCGAGATCGCGCCACTGCACTCCAGCCTGGGCGACAGAGCGAGACTCCGTCTCAAAATAATAATAATAATAATAATAATGAAATTCTGTTACATGTGACAACATGGATGAACCTGGAGCACATTATGTTAAGTGAAATAAGCCAGACAACAAAAAGATAAATACTGCATGATGTCACTCCTGTGAAATCTCAAAAGTTGTTCTCATAGACGTAGAGAGTAGAATGGTGGCTGCCAGAGACTGAGGGGTGGGGAAGATAGGGAGAGGTTGTTCAAAGGATACATAATTACAGTTAGATGGAAGGAATTAATTCAAAAGATCTATTGTGCAGCAAGGTGACTGTAGTTAATGATGATTTATTATGTTCTTGAAAAATGCAGAGAGAGTGAATGTTAAGTGCTTTCCCCACAAAAAATAACTGCATGCGGTAATGCAATTGTTAATTAGTGAGATTTAACCATTCCATAATGTGTACATATACTTCAGAACATCGTGTTGTACATGATAAATACACACAGTGTTGTCAAATCTTAAAAAAATTTTAAAAAGAATGCATCATAGGGTCAAAACCAAGGTGACTGCTTGAAAGTCTCTCAACTACCCATAGGCAGGGCCACAAAGATTTTGTTGTCTGGAGAAAGTAACCTGCAAACTTTTCGGTTTCAGGGACTGAACAGACAGGGTGAGGGTAATCATGGGGCTGATCACAGGTAGATTTCAGGGAGGTCTGCCAGCTGAACTGAGGGGATGCCCCAGCCTGGACATCCAGGACTTAAGAGTTACCATAGTTAATGTTTGCCTAAGAAAGCACTTAGACCAAACTGGATTCAAATCCATGCTGCCAGCTGCTAGCTAAATGATCATGAATGAAGTCATTAACCTCTCCAAGCCTCAGGTCTCTTACCTGTGAAGTAGAGATAATAATATGTATCCCAGTTGTTGTGATAATTAAATTAGATAATATAAATAAGGTATTTAGTACATGTTTGGCACGTTATAGATAATAAATGGTAACAAGCATTATCAGTAAAGAGCAGTATCTAGAATCCTTTCTGAAGGACTTGAAACTACCAGTAAGTATAAATTATTGTAAACTGACTCCTATCTTTACATTATTTTCTAACAGATTACTATAGAAGTATAACCTGAAGTCTTCAGTAAGTCACAGGTTACAATCATGTTAACATTGTTCTATATCCCAGGAGAACATTCGAGAATGGGCTCTGAAGTTAGACAAAACTGACTGTTTCTGGCTCTTGCAGTTACTAATGTGATCTTGACAAGTCACGTGTTTCTCACCTGTGAAGTTGGAATAGCAACAACTATGTGCAAGATTGTTGTGAGGACTGGCCATAAAGCAGGCATGCCCCAGCAGAGTGCCTAGGACATAGTGGGTGTCAACAAACAGAAGCCATTTTCACTACGATTATTATTAGGCCAAAAAAAAAAAAATACAAATGCCAATTGAAAATCTGGTCAACTTTGGAATAAATATGCTTTGGGCTATTTTTGACATTCATCAAATGTCACTGGGGTGGGAGGGCTGTCTGACTGTTATCCAAGTACTGGGATTCCACTGACTTCTAAATCAATTTGGAAATTAACACAGTGTACTTCCAAATGGTAAACTATACCACTTTTTTTGTCTAGGACATTTGCAGACATTTCAGCCAAACTGGCAGGGAAAATGATACTCAATATTTTAGGTAGCTTTTTACACTGGGATTTTAACTTACTCAGTTTTTCTTTCTCTGTAAAGTGGAGTCTCCGGCCAGAATTAATTAGAACAGCACTTTTGTGGCTTGTACATGGACACTCATCTTCATTTCTTGGACTCTGAGCCTCAATTTCTCATTCAAGTGGAGAAAGCATATAACAAGAATATGGTAAGTAGTATTTTTCATCTCATAATCAATGGAGAAGTAAAAACTATTGTATATAAATTATCTGAAAATACTGGAAAATACTGCACTTTCAACAGTATTTTGTAGGGTATTTTAGTTACTTTCTCAATGGTATATATTTTAAAAGCTTAGAACATATTATAAATTCATGGCTTTGCCACAGATTCTTATGTTCAGTTACCTTTCTAATTGAACCAATTAACAAAACAAAATACACATTCAAATGAAACATGTATCTAAACCATTTAGGAATGATTAAAATTATAGATCAGGTTTTCTTTCACTGATCACAAATCATGGTAATGCTTTTGTGGTGCTCATTTCCAGGCTCACTTTGGTGTGTTTATTAAAGCACAGTATTGTCAGATCATAGGGAGTATCTCATTTTCATTTGCATATCTCCAATTCTAACGGGGATTAAATTATCCAATTAAGCTGTTAATTAAAAAGACTCCTACAGAATAAACTGCAGGCTACCAATGGCATTTTCAGTTTTCATTGTGCCGTGCTCAAAAGCAATTTTCTAAATTCAGAAGAACTCAAAGTTACTGCCCCATACGTCACTTTATAAGGTGTGCCTGGGAATGCTCCCTGAGAACTAAACCCATTTGCTCTTCATTCTGGGCACACAGCTAGACTACATGTCCCAGCCTCCCCTGCAGTTAGATTTGGCCAATGGAATATGAACAGAAGTAATGTAGACAACTTCAAGGACAATTGCAAATCTTCCACTCAGTATCTTCCATGGCCTTTTTCCCTCCACTGGCTTCTTATAGATGAGCATACATTAAATCATGTGTTGAAAATGGCAGAACCATAATATGGAAGGAGGCTGGGTCCCTGAGTCACCAGTTAGAGGAGAGAAACTCACTGATAATTAATATCCATTATGTATGTAATGAAAACAAGAAATAAATTGGGTTAAGCCATTATCTGTTTCTACAGCTAGTGTGATCTTAATAAAAAAAAGCGAGTGAACTTGAGGCACATGCAAATATCTTAAACCTAATTGGAAACAGCCTCTTGCAAATTTTGATCAGGTCCACTTAGATACATATGTAACACTGTCATTTATATGCATCTTTCCTTGTGCCACTTCCCTATACACAAAAATTCCCATTTCATGGATCAGCTCAGAAACTAGGATAAACTCTCCAAGAAGGGCACAAACAGGCCATACTCAGCTACTTATTACCCACAGTCTGTGCCATCTGATGTCCATTTCCTGTACATGATGATGATATGACCTACTACACAGAAGGGCTGACCTAGGATCCTACAAACCATTACTTTTCCAGATCTTTTTTTTTTTTTTTTTTTGAGACGGAGTCTCGCTCTGTCGCCCAGGCTGGAGTGCAGTGGCGTGATCTTGACTCACTGCAAGCTCCGCCTCCCGGGTTCACGCCATTCTCCTGCCTCAGCCTCCCAAGTAGCTGGGACTACAGGCATCCGCCACCACGCCCGGCTAATTTTTTGTATTTTTAGTAGAGACGGGGTTTCACTGTGTTAGCCAAGATGGTCTCGATCTCCTGACCTCGTGATCCACCCACCTCGGCCTCCCAAAGTGCTGGGATTACAGGCGTAAGCCACTGCACCCGGCCTTTTCCAGATCTTAGAACATATCAGTGCCAGAAAGGTGTTTAATCAACAGGGGACTCAATTTGCACTGTCAGCATAATGCTAAAAGAAAGACACCACAGAGAAATCAGTATAAATTCTATTGTATGCCTCTGGATTTGTCTGAACTCCGGGAGGTAGTCAGGCATGCGGAGTCCCATACCACTCAGTCACTGTCTAAGGGTCACGAGGCACTTCCAGTTCTCTGAAAGTGCATTGGGCAAAGAGGCTCCAGTAGCATGAGGGCAGCCATCCTAGAGAGCCACAGCCAATTAGAAACAAAAGCAGACCGAAGATGAGATAAGGCCACCCAGTAAAAGGAATTTGCTGGGATCTGCGCAGAGGAAACACCAATAGTATCCACCAGACAAAAGTTGAAGAATTCTTTCTCTGTGTTCCAAACCACAACCTGATTTACTTATATATCATAATCACTCAGTAGGGTAATTGAAACAGTTTATATATCCATCTCCCATGTTAGACCAGACTGTTCACTGAAGCCCAGACACTGTATATTATCCACCTAAATATAGCTAGTTTGGTGATTTAAATATAATGGGTGCTCAGTTACTGTGTGCTGAATGAATAACTATAAATTGACTGGATTGTTAAAGAATGATGATAACACAGAGATTGTTTGATTTGATAGTAACTGTGATGTTCATTGTCACTTTTGTGAGATCAGCCCTATCCCCTGTCATCGCTGATAATTTCCTCAGAGGCATCACTTTCTCTATAGAAATATTATTACAAAGGCAATAAACCGTATCTGCTGACTTACATTCTGGAAGAAAATATAATGACAACCTCTTAAATACCTTCTTGTCTATGGAGAAAGTTACTGCATTCAAATCTCACTTTTCTAAGCCAAGAAAGCTAGTAAGTATAGTTATTGTACACTATTTTTTGGCAAATGTTGTGTAAAACAGGACGGAATATGTTAACAGATCTAATAGATTTTAATATTTTTAAAAAAGAAAGACACAGAAAGCCTTCAACCAGCTAACTTTTTATTGTCCTTAAAATGCTTGTTCACATCGTTTCACGAGTAGGAGAAGAAAATACAACCAGTCTCAGAATAACCATTTAGATATAAAACACATAATCCAAGAATATCTTTCTTCAAACCAGTAGGACACTGTCACTGGTGATGAGAATGTTGTTATATGAAGCAATCGTATATTCTTCCATAATGTAATATGCAACTGAGGCGTTATGTTAAATGTATCAAGGAAGAAGCCTATCAAATGCTAAGTGATTATAGAAATACTGATTGAATAAATGTATTTAGAAATGGGATAATCTAAGGGATAGAGTTTAATCCACAGGTCAGTAGACCAAAGCCCAAAGACTACCTTTCCTTCCTGTGGAATACTTGACAAGGGATTTCAGGCTTCTCCACTTCTCTGGCACAAGCATAATCTGTCTGGCAAGCCATAGTTCCTAGCTGCTTCTTAGTGATGCTCCAGGGCTAAATAAGATAAAATTTATGTGCTATGCTTTAAGCTCCATTGAGGCAAGGCACTAAATAAACTTCAGAATAATTTATGAATCCTGTGTTTGCATTAGTGATGTCCAAGTCCATCTCATAAAATGAATAAATGAGAACAGGAGGCCAATGCTGAGCACTTAGTGAAAAGCTCAGTACACTTTGGGCAATGGTCATGAGCCCAAATAAAACCACTTTATATCTAGAAAATTTTTTTACTAATCCAGGAGATTTTCACAAACACAAAAAACCTAACTCCTTCCAATGCCCAGACAACAGTTCGCTGGCAGAACATCTGGTGTGCGAATCAGAGAACTGTATTATAGCAGCCCTAGTCTGAGATCCAATATCTAATATCCTTTTAATTTACCATAATTATTTTTGTAAAACTTCATGGCTCTCCTCCATTGAACGTGCTTAGCAAGGAATGCCAAAATCCTGTCTTCTCTTCAAAGCCACATCCATAGGCCAGCTTCTCCCTACTTTTTTCTTTCCCTTCCAGTTGCATTTTACCTTTCTCTTTCTACCACTTAATCAGTGTCTGTTTATCTTAGCAATCGGTATCCAAGAGAAAGGACAATGAGAATGTAATTGGAAGAGTTGAGTTAAACATAAGCATGTATTTGGAAATTCAATCCTTCTCATTGTTCTAGCTAGTAGTGATGATTTGGTATTGCTGCTTTTGGTTTGTTGTTTTGTTCTGCTTTGTTTGAGTAATGGACATCCTACCTACAATTTTCGGTATAACAGTTACAGCAAGTAAAGTTAATCAGGATAAGGTAAGCTTCTCATCTAGAAACTGTGAGGGCCCCAACTAATCACCAACCAGTTTTGCTAAACCAACAAGTGACTTAGTTTGTCTTTCCAAAGCCATAATTCTATGCTTTTATCAAACACTTTCTCTGACCTGCAGGAATGTGTTTATTTGGAGTTTATAAAGGAAATCTAGAAGGGAAACACTATTCATATAAGCATGATAAACCTCAGCTGATTTTAAACACCCAAGTCCAGGAATAAAACAGAGTATCTTATATGTCTAAACCAAGTCAGAATGCTTCCTCCAGAGAAAAGACACATACAATTCCAACCTAATACTGCTTGTTTTTGGAAATACAAACTAAGGTCACATTAAGCCAGGTTAAGAGGAGGACAAGGTAGCTGCCCTTCACAAGTTTATCCATTCAGAGAGGAAGAAGTCAAAGGGAAAATCGCTCTCCTCTGACTAATGCAGTATAATTGTTTCCTCATGATGGTGCCCCTCCATTTTTCTCCATTCAAACGTTCCCATGGCTACAAAAGGACATGGCACACACTTAGGTAGATATACATATATATATATATATATATATATATATATATTTTTTTTTTTTTTAAAAGAATCACAAATCACAGGGACACACAATGGCTTCCTGTGGTTAATCTGAATTTGTCATTTTGCTTTTGAGATTTTCCTATTGGCCCACTTAACCCAGCACCTCATGTCTAATGAATAATGTAAAGGGAGTAGGGGGATGCCTATTTTAAGAAACCAAAAATGCCAGGTAACAACTTTAAGGCCATTACAATTTTATCCTACACACACACACACACACACACACACACACACGCTCAGTAATAAGAAAGGAGTTCACTTAGAAGGATAATGCTCTAAGGATAAAACACATAGTACTGCTCTTTCTCACAACTCTTTAGATGACTTGAAGAGTAAAAATTATGTTTATTTGGACTATGCAGGGAATTTTAAATTGAATCAATAAATTCTAGAATGTCATCAGTCAAGAAATTTTTCAAAAATGTTTTTTTTTTAAAGAGAGGTAACATTAAGCTGAAAAAGAAGGGTACACTTCTCCCTCCTCAATGTGATGTTTGTTCCTTTGCACTAAAGGGAAATGAAAATCATATGTTCCTAATGGGGAATCAGAAAATTGTTTTCTCAATGTCTGCTCATTTCAAAACCAGTACAATGCACACATATGAAGGTAATGAAACGAACAAGAATTAGGCTAAAAAAAAGTGTCTAGCAGACAGACAATCACTGCAGTTCATACAGACTGGACAAAATTTTGGAGATTTCATCTCCTAGTTTCCCTGCTGTTATGTAACTAGGAGGTTTTGCTGCTTCTGGGACCTAAAGATATGTCCTCATTCCCTTTTTTTCTACTGAATAAACTCAAATCCGTTACCTAGTAGCCTTTCTGCGAGCTTTGTTCATGCTGACTTGAACAGGGCAATCTGCTACATCAGATGCAAGCTGTGAGACACAGTTTCATTCCAACAGACTCCAAAGCTGAAGGCAAGAACTTCATCAAAAAGTGTAAAATGGAGATCAAACATATTTCTAATTTAACTACCTTACAGTTGAGGAATGCTGTGTAATTACTGTCCATAAAAACGTGCACTGCATTCCACAGAGCAGCAAGCCCTCCCAGGTATTCATGCACATGTCTTCATCATTGAGAGGCTACAAGTTTAATAGATTGAACTTTTAAAGGATACATCAATTTAGGCTTCCCACAAAGCTATAGATTGAAATGCTATGTACCACATAACTGTGGCCAACACCCTAAAATGGACAATAGCAACAATTTAGCAGATAGCATTTTAACAAAAGTAGCCTAGGGATTTATTTTTGTTGGTTTGATTTTCTAAAGAAACATACTTAGTTCATTCTTATATTCCACTTTATAAGCCCTACAACTTTGAACAGATGCTGTCTAGATCCAAGCAGGTCACCTACCCAAATAATGAAAATGCACTAAAAATGAAAGTCTCCAGGCCTAAAGCAATGGGCGATGAAGGCTCAGTGCAGCCTCCGCTGGCACTGTGCAACTGTCTCAGGATGCCATAAACCAGCGTCCCAGCTACCAGAGTCGGCAGGAGTCCATGCCTCTGTTCATCGTGGAATTGGGTGGACAGTTAAAAGCTTTCTGGAATTCTTCAAAGTTACTAATTGCACCATTGACCCTGAAAAACGATATGTCAAAGCATATGTCATATAATTCTTGCACATCAACAGGTTCTGTATAAAACTGTAGCAGAATATTGCTAGAAAGAAGGTTGGCATTCTTTTAATCTGTTTACAGGGAGACAACTAAAGCCCAAAATGATTAAGTAAATTTCCAGAAAAAATTAACAGACTAGATCCAGCATCTCCTGAATGCCAAGCACATGCCCCTATTACTCTTCGAACAGTCTTCAAAATTCTTTTAAAACTGTATCATCACCAATATTAGTTTTTCTAACTTTTTAAAAACTTTATGGAAAGTATAACTGACATAAAGTATGCAAAATATTAAACGTAGGACTTGCCAGTTTTTGTGTGTATATGCCCATATTACTATCTGCCAGATCAAGACATTCCAGCACCCAGAAGGCTCCTGCCTGTTCCATACCAACAGCATCTCCCAAGATAACCTACTATTCTGACTTCTATTGCCATAGCTTTGCCTGATTTTGAACTTCATGTGAATGGAATCCATGGTATGTACTGTTTGGTCTTTGATTTCTTTCACTGAATATAATGTCTATAAGAGTCATCCATGTTGTTGCATTTCCAGCTATTTTTAAAGAATTCATTCAATCTGCAAAACATTTTCTCTGAATTAGTGTTAGGTATGGGAAGCTCACAGTTGCCCAGAATTTGATTAATGCAACAATCAGTCAATTAATGAATGGTATCTAGTTATTACTGATAATTCTTCACTGGAGTTAGCTCCAATATGTCACATTCTTACAGGCTTCCAACTACAGCAAAGACTGGATTCCTACTCAGCACTTTGATTGTAGCTGCCTTTTGGAAGTGGTATTGCCATTGTGTGATTTCTGCTGCACTCAAAATCTATAGTTACTGCAGACCTCAGTAACAAGCCAGCACACACACACACAAAAAACTTCCCCCCTTCTATTTCTTACTCAACTCCGTGTTCAAAGGGTTGACTAGAGACTCAGCATTCTCAGTCCCTGACTATTTCTTCCCTAATGACTTTGTTACCTACGGGCATTTGCATAAATGTAATGGACTGTATCCAAAAAATCCTCATAACCTCTTGTTGTTTTAGCTGAATATATGGGTAGGGATGCATATTTCATAGTGTGATTCACCCTAGGCAAGTGTTAAAGATAGAATACAGTTGATAATTAGTAAGCATGCACTGTAAAATTCAACATTACAGGCAACTAGTTAAAGGAAATAAGTTTCTGAAAACTTATCTGTTGAGTAATTAATCTACTGTGTGAGTTCATCTGCACCATTGGTCAGTGGGAACACATTTTAGTACGTTCGAGACCGTCAGCCTTCATGACAGTTTAGCCCAGTGGGGGAGAAATTTCCAACATAGTGATTAGATTTTTATGCTAGTGGGTAATTTATAGTCAATTTCTGAAGCATTTCTAAGGCAAGATCTTAAGAATAAGATTTTAACATATAGAAGAAATTTTAGATGGCTTTCTTGCAATATGCTAATGGATCTGTTTAAACATTAAATATAAAGATATCCAGATATAATGCCCTAAACAAAGAATGAATACATATAAATTATTATGGTTTTTGGGTTTCTCATCATACTTATCTTTCCGGTACTATAGAAAATTTCTGTCAACCTGTACGACCGAGTACAGGGTGAGTAATATTAACTTTTAATTTTATTTGTACTTAATGTTTTATACATTCTGACAAATAAGACTGCAATTCATAATCCTTTTCCTTTTTTGTATAAGCTACCGTTTCAAAATATGATCCCACCTGAAAGCCAAAATGTAGACTCTCTAACTCTAGATATAAATTATAATTGCTGAATAATACTTTGTATCCTCCTTTGTGTTCAGAGCTATTTAGAAAGTGGCCATTCATTCATGTTTGCTGGTTGACTGTGTGAAAGAACAAGAGGTATTAAAGGGGATATTCTTTAAAACAAAATAAACCAGAGCGCTAGGTGTTTTAAGGCAGAGTACATCAAATCTCATCCTTTCCTAAGACAATAAAGGCTATTTTTTTGGACAAAAAAGTAAGCAGTTGAGTAAGTCCAATAATGCAGTTTACTGAGACTCTTTCAAAAACTAGAAGATAATGGGATGTAATACTAAAGCTATGATTCGGATTCCGAATTACCTCTGGAGTCTTGTATAGTCTCACTGGCACTTGATGTAGCACTAGACTAGATATGTACAGGTACCATCAGCAGAAATTCAGGTGAGAGAGTGCTGACTAAACCAGCTTACTACTAATGAAAGAAGATATTTAGTTTCCGTGTGGCCAGATATTTTTTGGCTGCAAAATGGAAATCACACGTCCACAATGTGGGATTTTTTTCAGATCACCTATCTGGTAGAGCCCTTGGATGGCTGGGTGGGGGAGGAAGGGGGGAGATGTACAGTTAAAAACTGCCGTCACCCATTTGCCCATTTACCTAAACTGAGGGGGACTGTGAGCACCAATTTGGACTTGTTCTCGGGCAGCTTCTGGTCTGTAGGAATTGCACCTCACCTAGAAGAGAAAAGCATCCCAACAAATGAGCTTTCATTCCAATTATGTATTTTCTGCTGTTTTAACTGCTCCAAATTATACTGAGGAACAATTTTAGAACCAATGGATGACAAACAGTTTTAGAAGATCAAATAAAACCGTCATCTGTAATAACATCTATTATTCTGATCCCCAGAGTAGAAGGTTTTATCAATGTGAATAATTTCACAATTTGAGTAAGTGAGAAAGGTTTCCAGACAAGTGCTTTAAATCAAGAGAATCGTATATGTGCCCAGGAATCGACCAGTGTATTCATTCAATGAATTTAATGTTTGAAATAGTCCTTCTCAAATTTAACCATACTCATTCAAATCAATAAAATGAGTCAGCCACCCATTATTGAGGATGGTGATGAGAAGTTAGTAGTCTGCCCCTGAGTGCCTTGCTCGCTTCACCCTAGTCTGGGCCTAGGACTGAAGTACACTTCTCCATCTCCTTTGAAGTTGGGCATGGCGATATGGCTTGTTCTGGCCAATGAAGTGTGAGCAGAAGCAGAAGTAATATATGTTACTTCCTGGCAGAAGCTTTAAAACCTGACAGAAGTTTTAAGAGCCTTAAGAACAATTTAAGATGCTACACTAACGGCCAGTGCACATATCCTCGTATGTCTTTTCTACTCCTGTGGTATCCACAGAAGCACATGCCAAGATATAGACTCTAAAACCCAAGTTTTTTGTTTGTTTGTTTGGTTTGACATGGAGTCTCGCTCCGTCACCCAGGCTGGAGTGCAATGGCGCAATCTTGGCTCACTGCAACCTCCACCTCCTGGGTTCAAGCGATTCTCCTGCCTCAGCCTCCCAAGTACCTGGGATTACAGGTGCACACCGCCACGCCCAGCTAATTTTTGTATTTTTTTTTTTATTATACTTTAAATTCTGGGGTACATGTGCAGAACGTGGAAGCTTCTTACATAGGTATACATGTGCCATGATGGTTTACTGGACCCGTCAACCCGTCATCTACATTAGGCATTTCTCCTAATGCTATCCCTCCCTTAGCCCCCGACCCCCTGGACAGGCCCTGGTGTGTGATGTTCCCCTCCCTGTGTCCATGTGTTCTCATTGTTCAACTCCCATTTATGAGTGAGAACATGTGGTGTTTGGTTTTCTGTTCCTGTGTTAGTTTGCTGAGAATGATAGCTTCCAGCTTCATCCATGTCCCTGCAAAGAACATGAGCTCATTCTTTTTTATGGCTGCATAGTATTCCATGGTGTATATGTGCCACATTTTCTTTATCCAGTCCATCACTGATGGGCATTTGGGTTGGTTCCCAGTCTTTGCTATTGTGAACAGTGCCGCAATAAACATACGTATGCATGGTGTCTTTATAGTAGAGTGATTTAAAATTATTTCGGTATATACCCAGTAATGGGATTGCTGGGTCAAATGGTATTTCTGGTTCTAGATCCTTGAGGAATCGCCACACTGTCTTCCACAATGGTTGAACTAGTTTACGCTCCCACCAACAATGTAAAAGCGTTCCTATTTCTCCACATTCTCTCCAGCATCTGTTGTTTCCTGGCTTTCCAATGATCGCCATTCTCACTGGCATGAGATGGTATCTCATAGTGGTTTTGATTGATTTGCATTTCTCTAATGACCAGTGAAAATGAGCATTTTTCATATGTTTGTTGGCTGCATAAATGTCTTCTTTTAAGAAGTGTCTGTTCATACCCTTCACTCACTTTTTCATGGGGTTGTTTTTTTCTTGTAAATTTGTGTAAGTCCTTTGTAGATTCTGGATATTAGCCCTTTGTCAGATGGGTAGATTGCAAAAAGTTTCTCCCATCCTCTAGGTTGCCTGTTCACTCTGATGATAGTTTCTTTTGCTGTGCAGAAGCTCTTTAGCTTAATTAGATTCCATTTGTCAATTTTGGCTTTTGTTGCCATCGATTTTGGTGTTTTAGACATAAAGTCCTTGCCCATGCCTATGTCCTGAATGGTATTGCCCAGGTTTTCTTCTAGGATTTTTATGGTCCTAGGTCTTACATTTAAGTCTTTGGTCCATCTTGAGTTGATTTTTTGTTTAAGGTGTAAGGAAGGGGTCCAGGTTCAGTTTTCTGCATATGGCGAGCCAGTTTTCCCAACACCATTTATTAAATACAGAATCTTTTCCCCATTTCTTGTTTTTGTCAGGTTTGTCAAAGATCAGATGGTGGTAGATGTGTGGTGTTATTTCTGAGGGCTCTGTTCTATTCCACTGGTCTACATATCTGTTTTGGTACCAGTACCATGCTGTTTTGGTTACCGCAGCCTTGCAGTAAAGTTTAAAGTCAGGTAGTGTGATGCCTCCAGCTTTGTTCTTCTTGCCCAGGACTGTCTTGGTTATATGGGCTCCTTTTTGGTTCCATATGAAGTTTAAAGTAAGTTTTTTCCAATTCTGTGAAGAAAGTCATTGGTAGCTTGATGGGGTTGGCATTGAATCTATAGATTACCTTGAGCAGTATGGCCATTTTCACGATATTGATTCTTCCTATCCATGAGCATGGAATGTTCTTCCATTTGTTTGTGTCCTCTTTTTATTTTGTTGAGCAGTGGTTTGTAGTTCTCCTTGAAGAGGTCCTTCACATCCCTTGTAAGTTGTATTCCTAGGTATTTTATTCTCTTAGTGGCAATTGTGAATGGGAGTTGACTCATGATTTGGCTCTCTGTTTGTCTGTTATTGGTGTATAGGAATGCTTGGGATTTTTGCACATTGATTTTGTATCCTGAGACTTTGCTGAAGTTGCTTATCAGCTTAAGGAGATTTTGGGCTGAGACGATGGGGTTTTCTTAATATACAATCCATCATGTCATCTGCAAACAGAGACAATCTGACTTCCTTTCTTCCTATTTGAATACCCTTTATTTCTCTTGCCTGATTGCCCTGGCCAGAACTTCCAACACTATGTTGAATAGGAGTGGTGAGAGAGGGCATCCTTGTCTTGTGCTGGTTTTCAAAGGGAATGCTTCCAGTTTTTGCCCAATCAGTATGATATTGGCTGTGGGTTTGTCATAAATAGCTCTTATTATTTTGAGATACGTTCCATCGATACCTAGTTTATTGAGAGTTTTTAGCATCAAGGGGTGTTGAATTTTGTCAAATGCCTTTTCTGCATCTATTGAAATAATCGTGTGGTTTTTGTCATTGGTTCTGTGTATGTGATGGATTATGTTTATTGATTTGCATATGTTGAACCAGCCTTGCATCCCAGGTATGAAGCCAACTTGGTTGTGGTGGATAAGCTTTTTGATGTGCCACTGGATTCAGTTTGCCAATATCTTACTGAGGATTTTTGCCTTGATGTTCATCAGGGATATTGGTCTAAAATTCTCTTTTTTTGTTGTGTCTCTGCCAGGTTTTGGTATCAGGATCACGCTGGCCTCATAAAATGAGTTAGGAAGGGTTCCCTCTCTTTCTATTGTTTGGAATAGTTTCAGAAGGAATGGTGCCAGCTCCTCTTTGTACCTCTGGTCGAATTCGGCTGTGAACCTGTCTGGTCCTCAACAACTTTTTTTTGGTTAGTAGGCTATTAATTGCTACCTCAATTTCAGAACTTGTTATTGGTCTATTCAGGGATTCAACTTCTGCCTGGTTTAGTCTTGGGAGGGTGTATGTGCCCAGGAATTTATCCATTTCTTCTAGATTTTCTAGTTTATTTGCATAGAGGTGTTTATAGTATTCTCTGATGGTAGACTGTATTTCTGTGGGATCGGTGGTGATGTCGCCTTTATCATTTTTTATTGCGTCTATTTCATTCTTCCCTCTTTTATTCTTTATTAGTCTGGCTAGTGGTCTATTTTGTTGATCTTTTTGAAAAGCCAGCTCCTGGATCCATTGATGTTTTGAAGGGTTTTTCATGTCTCTATCTCCTTCCGTTCTGCTCTGATCTTAGTTATTTCTTGTTTTCTGCTGGCTTTTGAATTTGTTTGCTCTTGCTTCTCTAGTACTTTTAATTGTGATGTTAGGGTGTCAATTTTAGATCTTTCCTGCTTTCTCTTGTGGGCATTTAGTGTTATAAATTTCTTTCTACACACTGCTTTAAATGTGTCCCAGAGATTCAGGTACGTTGTGTCTTTGTTCTCGTTAGTTTCAAAGAACATCTTTATTTCTGCCTTCATTTTGTTATTTACCTAATAGTCATTCAGGTGCAGGTTGTTCAGTTTCCATGTAGTTGGGGAGTTTTGAGTGAGTTTCTTAATCCTGAGTTCTAATTTGTTTGCACTGTGGTCTGAGAGACTGTTTGTTATGATTTTCATTCTTTTGCATTTGCTGAGAAGTGTTTTACCTCCAACTATGTGGTCAATTTTGGAATAAGTGTGATGTGGTGCTGAGAAGAATGTATATTCTGTTGATTTGATTTGGGATGGACAGTTCTGTAGATGCCTGTTAGGTCCACTTGGTCCAGAGCTGAGTTCAAGCCCTGGATATCCTTGTTAATTAATTTTGTCTCAATCTGTCTAGTGTTGGCAGTAGTGTTGACAGTGGGGTGTTAAAGTCTCCCACTGTTACTGTTTGGGAATCTAAGTCTCTTTGTAGGTCTCTGAGAACTTGCTTTATGAATCTGGGTACTCCTGTATTGGGTGCATATATATTTAGGATAGTTAGCTCTTCATGCTGCATTGACCCCTTTACCATTATGTAATGCTCTTCTTTCTTTGTCTCTTTTGATCTTTGTTGGATTAAAGTCTGTTTTATCAGAGACTAGGATTGCAACCTCTGTTTTTTTTTTGTTTGTTTTTGTTTTTTGCTTTCCATTTGCTTGGTAGATCTTCCTCCATCCCTTTATTTTGAGTCTATGTGTGTCTCTGCAAGTGAGATGGGTTTCCTGAATACAGCACACTGATGGGTCTTGACTCTTTATCCAATTTGCCAGTCTGTGTCTTTTAATTGGGGCATTTAGCCCCTTTACATTTAAGGTCAATATTGTTATGTGTGAATTTGATCCTGTCATTATGCTGCTACCTGGATATTTTGCCCATTAGTTGATGCAGTTTCTTCATAGTGTTGATGGTCTTTACAATTTGGTGTTTTTCAGTGGCTGGTACCAGTTGTTCCTTTCTGTGTTCAGTGCTTCTTTGCGGAGCTCTTGTAAGGCAGGCCTGGTGGTGACAAAATCTCTCAGCCTTTGCTTGTCTGTAAAGGATTTTATTTCTCCTTTGCTTATGAAGCTTAGTTTGGCTGGATATGAAATTGTGGGTTGAAAATTCTTTTCTTTGAAATTGTTGAATACTTGCCCCCTCTCTCTTCTGGCTTGTAGGGTTTCTGCCGAAATATCCTTTGTTAGTCTGATGGGCATCCCTTTGTGGGTAACCCGACCTTTCTCTCTGGCTCCCCTTAACCTTTTTTCCTTCATTTCAACCTTGGTAAATCTGATGATTATATGTCTTGGGTTGCTCTTTTCGAGGAATATTTTTGCGGTGTTCTCTGTATTTCCTGAATTTGAATGTTGGCCTGCCTTGTTAGGTTGGGGACGTTCTCCTGGATAATATCCTGAAGAGTGTTTTCCAACTTGGTTCCATTCTCCCCGTCACTTTCAGGTACACCCATCAAATGTAGATTTGGTCTTTTCACAGAGTCCCATATTTCTTGGAGGCTTTGTTCATTTCTTTTAACTCTTTTTTCTCTAATCTTGTCTTCTCACTTTATTTCATTGAGTTGATCTTCAATCTCTGATATCCTTTCTTCCGCTTGATCAGTTCGGCTATTGATACTTGTGTATGCTTCACAAAGTTCTCGTGCTGTGTTTTTCAGCTCCATCAAGTCATTTATGTTCTCCTCTAAACTGGTTATTCTAGTTAGCAGTTCCTCTAACCTGTTTTCAAGGTTCTTAGCTTCCTTGCAATGGGTTAGAACATGCTCCTTTACCTCGGAGGAGTCTGTTGTCACCCGCCTTCTGAAGCCTACTTCTGTCAATTCATCAAAATCATTCTTTCTCCGTCCAGTTTTGTTCCCTTGCTGGCGAGGAGTTGTGATCCTTTGAAGGAGAAGAGGCGTTCTGGGTTTTGGAGTTTTCAGCCTTTTTGCACTGGTTTCTCCCCATCCTCGTGGATTTATCTACCTTTGGTCTTTGATGCTGGTGACCTTCGGATATGGTCTCTGATCGGACATCCTTTTTGTTGATGTTGCTACTATTCCTTTCTGTTTGTTTGTCAGTTTTCCTTCTAACTCAGGGCTCCTCTGCTGTAGGTCTGCTGGAGTTTGCTGGAGGTCCTCTCCAGACCCTGTTTGGCTAGGTATCACCAGTGAAGTCTACACAGAAGAGCAAAGATTGCTGCCTGTTCCTTCCTCTGGAAGCTTTGTCCACAGAGGGGCACCTGCCAGATGCTAGTGAGAGCTCTCCTGTATGAGATGTTTGTCAGCCCTTACTGGGAGGTATCTCCCAGCCAGGATACACGGGGGTCCGGGACCCACTTGAGGAGGCAGTCTGACCCTTAGCAGAGCTCGACCGCTGTGCTGGCTGTCAGGCAGGGACGTTTAAGTCTGCTGAAGCTGTGCCCACAGCTGCCCCTTCCCCTAGATGCTCTGTCCCAGGGAGATGGGGGTTTTACCTATAATTCCCTGACTGGGGCTGCTGCTTTTCAGAGATGCTCTGCCTAGAGAGGCAGTCTGGTCACAGTGGCCTTGCTGAACTGCTGTGGGCTCTACCTAGTTCAAACTTCCCAGTGGCTTTGTTTACACTGTGAGGGTAAAACAGCCTACTCAAGCCTCAGCAATGGCGGATGCCCCTCCCAACTCCAAGCTTAAGCATCCCAGGTCAACTTCAGACTGCTGTGCTAGCAGTGACAATTTCAAGCCAGTGGATCTCAGCTTGCTGGGCTCCATGGGGGTGGGATGCACCGAGCCCGGTACTGTAAGGAATCTCCTGGTCTGCCAGTTGCGAAGACTGTGGGAAATGCGCAGTAGCTGGGCTGGAGTGCACTGTTCCTCCTGGTAAAGTCTCTCATGGCTTCCCTTGGCTAGGAACAGGAAATCCCCCAACCCCTTGTGCTTCCCGGGTGAAGTGACGTCCCACCCTGCTTTGGCTCACCCTCCGTGGGCTGCACCCACTGTCCAACCAGTCCCAGTGAGATGAACCGGGTACCTCAGTTGGAAATGCAGAAATCACCCGCCTTCTGTGTCAATCCTGCTGGGAGCTGCAGACCAGAGCTGTTCCTATTAAGCCATCTTGCCTAATTTTTGTATTTTTTTAGTAGAGATGGGGTTTTGCCATGTTGGCCAGGCTGGTCTCAAACTAACTAACTCCTCACCTCAGGCAATCCACCCGCCTCGGCCTCCCAAAGTGCTGGGATTACAGGCCATGCCCGGCCCAAAACCCAACTTCTTGATGAAAAACTACAAGAGCCCCACTGCTGACTCATGTTGGACATGGAGAGTGAACAAGAAATAAACTTTGTCGTGTTGTTTCTGCAGCATAACTTACTTACTTTAATCCTGACTTGCCATATGACTTGAGGTATGATATGGTCTTCAAGTGTGAATTGAACTAGGACACATAAATATGGAAAAAAATATTCTAAGTGGAGGGGGAAATGGGAACAAAGACATGTTTGAGGGGAAAGAGAACCAGACATTCAGCTAGGCTGGAGTATATGATGCCTAACGGGCAGCAGTGGGAGAGGAAGGACAGTGTCAGATTTCTGAAGTCCTGAGCAGTTGGTCAGAGCGTTTAAACTATATTTAAAAGTCATTCTTGAGTAGGAAAATAATAAAACCCAGATTTTGAAAAAGATTTATCTGGCAGGGGTGTATAGTGGAAGGAAGAAATTAGAGGCTAGTTAGATTATTTATAGATACCAGGAAGGTTCTCAATGGATGTCCACTAAATAAGTAGAAAATAGAATGGAAAGAAGTAGAAGGATTAGAAGAATATCTGAGAAAAATGAGAGGTCACAGCAACTACAGGGACATAGAAAGCAGGAAAGGTGATATGATGTTGTTGCTTTTGATGAAGATAAACCACCAGTCACAGTGGTTCTGAATTTGACTTTGAAGATGATGTTTTGTAATGCGATCCCTTGATTTCCTCAGAAGCTGGCTAATATGAAGTTGTTTCTGGCATTTGATTTTACCTCATTTCTTATTTCTTCCTATATTCTTATACTCTAATATAGTATTGTCTTTGCTTAATATATCACTTAAGAGACTTCTGAAAACACATTATGCCTGCTACTGTTTTCTTAGTACCTTCCCAGGAGGGAAAGTAATTTTACTCCTTATAAGCAGACTTACTTTAAAGTGCAAAAGACTGAAAAATCTCTTCATTCTGTCAGTGGGAAAAGCTCCAAGATAAATTTCTCACTAGTGATATAAGATATAAAATAGCTTTCCACTTTTCCCCCCTAAATCTATCTATCTATCTCTTTAGTTTACAATAAATCAGTCAGCTATAGTTTAGTTTGGTATTATATCTGGAAACATTTCAGAATTATAAGTAACTTCACTATCAATCAATTAGTTTATTTTATCTACAAAGAGATATTGTGGGCTAGGATGTAAATAGTAAGAACTGATTGATAGATCACTATACTTTGTCCTCTAGAGCAGGGGTTAGCAAACTTTTTCTGAAAAGAGACAGATGGTAAAGATTTTAGGCTTTGAAGACTATAAGGTCCCTGTTTCAATTATTCAACTCTGCCACTGTAGTACAAAACCAGCTACAGATCATGAATAAATGAAGGAATGTGGCTGCTTTCCAATAAAACATTATTTACAAAAACAGGCAGCAGGCCATATTTGGCCCTAGTTTGCCAATCCCAACTCTAGAAAGTTCTATTTTTGTATACTTATTTTATATATCTGACCCAGTAAAAGGGAGTCTCCTTAGTTGAACTGTTAGTTTTAGTCATTTCAAGCAATTGATCTAAAAATATCAACTGTCTTCAATATACCCAGCATCTTTGCTGGGTGCTATGGAGATAGGAAGTGTAAGGATCCAGAAGATTAGCTGTGGAGATAAAACTAAAATTCTTGAACATTTGGAGAGCAGTTAAGTACTCAACTGCATGGTAATGAAAGTAAGAAAGATAAAAGGAGTTGAAGATAAAAGAAAATAATAAGGACTGGGGTCCTTGGGGAAGAGTTTATGGAAGATGTGGAGGGAGTGGAACTCAACATGGATCCTGAAGGATGAAGCTTAGATTGAATAATCATCTGAAGGGGAAGAGTAGGAAGGGTTGCATTATAGAAGGAGAATCAGAAGCAAAGCCAAAGAGACAGTAATGGGCATGACATTGTAGGGTAGAAGTGAGGATACTTGCCCCACTAAGGCTGAGTTTTTTCTCACCCAGTGGAGTTAGTTATGGGAAATTGAATTGGATTGAGTGGAGTTGGATCATACTGAAAATTTGGGAAGCCAGATGGAGGTATTTGGCTTCAATGTGGTAGGCATTTGGGAGCCACTGTAGTTCTTTCAGCAGGTTGGTAATGAAATAAAAGTGGTATTCCAATGGTATGTATAACAGTGGTTAAAAAAAAAAATGCTGAAGTCAGATTAACATTCCATAAGGCTGTTGGGATAATCCAGAGTAGAGGATATTTATTAAGATTATGCCTATATATGATAACTAACTATATATGATAAGATAGGGTAATGGGGATGCTATGGACTAAATGTTTCTATCCCCCAAAATTCTTATGTTGAAGCCCTGATCAATGTGATGGCATTAGGAGTTGGGCCTTTGGGAGGCAATTAAATCATGAGGGTGGAGCCCTCAGGAATGGGATTAGTACCCTTATAAGAAGAGGCCAGAGAGCTAGCTAGCTCTTTCCACCATGTGAGGACACAGAGAGAAATTGGCAGTGTGCAACCCAGAAGAAAGCCCTCACCAAAACTCGATCCCACTAGCACTCTGATCGCAGACTTCCAGCCTCCAGAACTGTGATAAATTTCTGTTGTTCATAAGCCAC
Organism: Homo sapiens; assembly: GCF_000001405.40. NCBI lineage: Eukaryota > Metazoa > Chordata > Mammalia > Primates > Hominidae > Homo > Homo sapiens. The sequence continues at coordinate 22,235,404 of NC_000023.11, read as the reverse complement.
CTAGTCTATGACACTTTGTTATAGCAGCCCAAACTGTCTAAAACAGGAGAGAAGATGTCAAATCTGAAAAGCACTTAAAAGTATGAAACATCGAGAAGAACTAGAAGATGGCCAAATAGGAACAGCACTGGACTGCAGCTCCCAGCGAAATCAATGCCAAATCAATGCAGAAAGTAAGTGGGTGATTTCTGCATTTCCAACTGAGGTACCCAGTTCATCTCATTGGGACTGGTTGGACAGTGGGTGCAGGCCACAGAGGGCAAGCCGAAGCAGGGTCTGGTGTCACCTCACCCAGGAAGTGCAAGGGGTCGGGGAATTTTCTCCCCTACCCAAGGGAAGCCATGAGGGACTGAGCCTGAGGAACCGTGCACTCCAGTCCAGATACTGCACTTTCCCCACGGTCTTCGCAACCTGCAGAACAGGAGGAGATTCCAGATTCCCTCCAGTGCCTACCCCACCAGGGCTCTGGGTTTCCAGCACAAAACTGGGTGGCCATTTGGGCAGACACCCAACTAGCTGCAAGAGTTTTTTGTTGTTTCATTGTTGTTGTTTTTCTGTGTGTGTGTGTGTGGTTTTTTTTTTTTTTGATACCCCACTGGTGCTGGGAACGCCAGCAAGACAGAACCGTTCACTCCCGTCAGAAGGGGTTCTAAAGCCAGGGAGCCAAGTGGTCTGGCTTGGCGGGTCCTACCCCCACAGAGCCCAGCAAGCTAAGATCCACTGGCTTGAAATTCTCGCTGCCAGTACAGCAGCAGTCTGAGATTGACCTGGGACACTTGAGCTTGGGGGGGGAAGGGGCGTTCCCCAATGCTGAGGCTTCAGTAGGTGGTTTTACCCTCACAGTGTAAACAAAGCCACCAGGAAGTTTGAACTGGGAGGAGCCCACCACAGCTCAGCACGGCCACTGTGGCCAGACTGCCAGATGTCACCTCTCTGGGCAGGGCATCTCTAAAAAAAAAAGGCAACAGCCCCAGTCAGGGAATTATAGATAAAACTCCCATCTCCCTAGGACAGAGCACTTGGGGGAAGGGGCAGCTGTGGGCACAGCTTCAGCAGACTTAAACGTCCCTGCCTGACAGCCAGCGCAGTGGTCGAGCTCTGCTAAGGGTCAGACTGCCTCCTCAAGTGGGTACCTGACCCCCGTGTATCCTGACTGGGAGACACCTCCCGGTAGGGGCCGACAAACATCTCATACAGGAGAGCTCTGGCTGGCATCTGGCAGGTGCCCCTCTGGGGCAAAGCTTCCGGAGGGAAGAACAGGCAGCAATTTTTGCTGTTCTGCAGCCTCTGCTGGTGATACCCAGGTAAACAGAGTCTGGAGTGCACCTCCAGCAGACCTGCAGCAGAGGAGCCTGTTTGTAAGAAGGAAAACTAACAAACAAACAGAAAGGAACAGCACGTCTACTAAAATACCCCATCCGAAGGTCACCAACATCAAAGACCAAAGGTAGATAAATCCACAAAGATGGGGAGAAACCAGCACAAAGAGGCTAAAAGTTACAAAAACCAAAATACCTCCTCTCCTCCAAAGGATCACAACACCTCGCCAGCAAGGGAACAAAACTGGACGGAGAATGATTTTGACGAATTGACAGAAGTAGGCTTCAGAAGGTGGGTGATAACAAACTTCTCCGAGCTAAAGGAGCATTGTTCTAACCCAATGCAAGGAAGCTAAGAACCTTGAAAACAGGTTAGATGAATTGCTAGCTAGAATAACCAGTTTAGAGGAGAACACAAATGACCTGATGGAGCTAAAAAACACAGCATGAGAACTTTGTGAAGCATACACAAGTATCAATAGCCGAATTGATCAAGCGGAAGAAAGGATATCAGAGATTGAAGATCAACTCAGTGAAATAAAGCGAGAAGACAAGATTAGAGAAGAAGGAGTGAAATGAAATGAACAAAGCCTCCAAGAAATATGGGACTATGTGAAAAGACCAAATCTACGTTTGATTGGTGTACCTGAAAGTGACGGGGAGAATGGAACCAAGTTGGAAAACACTCTTCAGGATATTATCCAGGAGAACTTCCCCTCCCTAGCAAGACAGGCCCACAGTCAAATTCAGGAAATACAGAAAACACCACTAAGATACTCCTCGAGAAGAGCAACCCCAAGACACATAATCGTCAGATTCACCAAGGTTGAAATGGAGGAAAAAAAGTTAAGGGGAGCCAGAGAGAAAGGTCGGGTTACCCACAAAGGGATGCCCATCAGGCTAACAAACAGTGGATCTCTCTCAGCACAAACTCTACAAGCCAGGAGAGAGTGAGGGCCAATATTCAACAATCTCAAAGAAAAGAAAAGAATTTTCAACCCACAATTTCATATCCAGCCAAACTAAGCTTCATAAGCAAAGGAGAAATAAAATCCTTTACAGACAAGCAAAGGCTGAGAGATTTTGTCACCACCAGGCCTTCCTTACAAGAGCTCCTCAAAGAAGCACTGAACACAGAAAGGAACAACTGGCACCAGCCACTGAAAAACACCAAATTGTAAAGAAAGACCATCAACACTATGAAGAAACTGCATCAACTAATGGGTAAAATATCCAGGTAGCAGCATAATGACGGGATCAAATTCACACGTAACAATATTAACCTTAAATGTAAATGGGCTAAATGCCCCAATTAAAAGACACAGACTGGCAAATTGGATAGAGTCAAGAACTATCAATGTGCTGTATTCAGGAAACCCATCTCACATGCAAAGAAAGACACACATAGGCTCAAAATAAATAAAGGGATGGAGGAATATTTACCAAGCAAATGGAAAGCAAAAAAAAAAAAAAAAAAAAAAAAAAAAAAGCAGAAGTGGCAATCCTAATCTCTGATAAAACAGACTTTAAATGAACAAAGATCAAAAGAGACAAAGAAGAGCATTACATAATCGTAAAGGGGTCAATGCAACAAGAAGAGCTAACTATCCTAAATATATATGCACCCTATACAGGAACACCCAGATTCATCAAGCAAGTCCTTAGAGACCTACAAAGAGACTTAGACTCCGACACAATAATCGTGGGAGACTTTACGCCCCACTGTCAATATTAGATAAATGGACAGAAAATTAATTAACAAGGATATCCAGAACTTGAACTCAGCTCTGGACCAAGTGGACCTAATAGGCATCTACAGAACTCTCCACCCCAAATCAATAGAATATATATTCTCAGCACCTCATCGCTCTTATTGTAAAATTGATCACATAATTGGAAGTAAAACACTTCTCAGCAAATGCAAAAGAAAGAAAGAAAATCATAACAAACAGTCTCTCAGACCTCAGTGCAATCAAATTAGAACTCAGGATTAAGAAACTCACTCAAAACCACACAGCTACATGGAAACTGAACAACCTGCTCCTGAATGACTACTGGGTACATAACAAAATGAAGGCAGAAATAAAGATGTTCTTTGAAACCAGTGAGAACAAAGACACAATGTACCAGAATCTCTGGGACACATTTAAATCAGTGTGTAGAGAGAAATTTATAGCACTAAATGCACACAAGAGAAAGCAGGAAAGATCTAAAATTGACACCCTAACATCACAATGAAAAGAACCAGAGAAGCAAGAGCAAACAAATTCAAAAGCTAGCAGAAAACAGGAAATAACTAACATCAGAGCAGAACTGAAGGAGATAGAGACACAAAAAACCCTTCAAAAAATCAATGAATCCAGGAGCTGGTTTTTTGAAAAGATCAACAACACAGATAGACCACTAGCAAGAAAGACTAATAAGGGAGAGAAGAATCAAATAGTCGCAATAAAAAATGATAAAGGGGATATCACCAAGAATCCCACAGAAATTCAAACTACCATCAGAGAATACTATAAACACCTCTATGCAAATAAACTAGAAAATCTAGAAGAAATGGATAAATTCCTGGACGCATACACCCTCCCAAGACTAAACCAGGTAGAAGTTGAATCCCTGAATAGACCAATAACAAGTTCTGAAATTGAGGCAGCAATTGATAGCCTACCAACCAAAAAAAGTTGAGGACCAGACAGATTCACAGCCGAATTCTACCAGAGGTACAAAGAGGAGCTGGTACCATTCCTTCTGAAGCTATTCCAAACCACAGAAGAAGAGGGAATCCTCCCTAACTCATTTTATGAGGCCAGCATGATCCTGATACCAAAACCTGGCAGAGACACAACAAAAAAAAAGAAAACTTTCAGGCCAATATCCCTGATGAACATCTATGCGAAAATACCCGATAAAATACTTGCAAACCAAATCCAGCAGCACATCAAAAAGCTTATCCATCACATGATCAAGTCGGCTTCATACATGGGATGCAAGGCTGTTTTAACATATGCAAATCAATAAACATAAACAGAACCAATGACAAAAACCACATGATTATCTCAATAGATGCAGAAAAGGCCTTTGACAAAATTCAACACCCCTTGATGCTAAAAACTCTCAGTAAACTAGGTATTGATGGCACGTATCTCAAAATTGGAAGAGCTATTTATGACAAACCCACAGCTAATATCATACTGAATGGGCAAAAACTGGAAGCATTCCCTTTGGAAACCAGCACCAGACAAGGATGCCCTCTCTCACCACTCCTATTCAACATAGTATTGGAAGTTCTGGCCAGGGCAGTCAGGCAAGAGAAAGAAATAAAGGGTATTGAAATAGGAAAAGAGGAAGTCAAACTGTCTCTGTTTGCAGATGACATGATTGTATATTAAGAAAACCCCATCGTCTCAGCCCAAAATCTCCTTAAGCTGATAAGCAGCTTCGGCAAAGTCTCAGGATACAAAATCGATGGGCAAAAATCACAAGCATTCCTATACACCAATCACAGACAAACAGAGAGCCAAATCATGAGTCAACTCCCATTCACAATTGCCACTAAGAGAATAAACCACCTAGGAATACAACTTACAAGGGATGTAAAGGACCTCTTCAAGGATAACTACAAACCACTGCTCAAGGAAATAAGAGAGAACACAAACCAATGGAAAAACATTCCATGCTCATGGATAGGAAGAATCAATATCGTGAAAATGGCCATACTGCCCAAAGTAATTTAGAGAGAGATTCATTGCTATCCCCATCAAGCTACCATTGACTTTCTTTCTTCACAGAATGGAAAAAACTACTTTAAACTTCATATGGAACCAAAAAAAAAAAAAAAAAAAAAAAAAAAAAAAAAGAGCCCATATAGCCAAAACAATCCTAAGCAAAAAGAACAAAGCTGGAGGCATCACACTACCTGACTTTAAACTTTACTACAAGACTGCAGTATCCAAAACAGCATGGTGCTGGTACCAAAACAGATATATAGACCAATGGAACAGAACAGAGCCCTCAGAAATAACACCACACATCTACAACCATCTGATCTTTGACAAACCTGCCAAAAACAAGCAATGGGGAAAGGATTCCCTATTTAATAAATGATGTTGGGAAAACTGGCTAGCCATATGCAGAAAACAAACTGGATCCCTTCCTTACACCTTATACAAAAATTAACTCAAGATAGATTAAAGACTTAAACAAACTTAAGACCTAAAGCCATAAAAATCCTAGAAGAAAACCTGGGCAATACCATTCAGAACATAGGCATGGGCAAAGACTTCATGTCCAAAACACCAAAAGCAATGGCAACAAAAGCCAAAATTGACAAATGGAATCTAATTAAACTAAAGAGCTTCTGCACAGCCAAAGAAACTACCACCAGAGTGAAGAGGCATCCTAAAGAATGGGAGAAAATTTTTGCAATCTATCCATTTGACAAAGGGCTAGTATCGAGAATCTACAAAGAACTTATACAAATTTACAAGAAAAAAACAACCTCATCAAAAAGTGGGCAAAGGCTACGAACAGACATTTCTCAAAAGAAGACATTTATGCAGCCAACAAACATATGAAAAATGCTCATTATCATCACTGGTCATTAGAGAAATGCAAATCAAAACCACTATGAGATACCATCTCATGCCTGTTAGAATGGTGATCATTAAAAAGTCAGGAAACAACAGATGCTGTAGAGGATGTAGAGAAATAGGAGCACTTTTACACTGTTGGTGGGAGTGTAAATTAGTTCAACCATTGTGGAAGACAGTGTGGCGATTCCTCAAGGATCTAGAACCAGAAATGCCATTTGACCCAGCCATCCCATTACTGGGTATATACCCAAAGGATTATAAACCATGCTACTATAAAGAAAGATGCCATGCACACTTATGTTTATTGTGGCACTATTCACAATGGCAAAGACTTGGCACCAACCCAAATGTCCATCAGTGATAGACTAGACTGGATAAAGAAAATGTGGCACATATACACCATGGCATACTGTGTAGCCATAAAAAAGGATGAGCTCATGTTCTTTGCAGGGACATGGATGAATCTGGAAACCGTCATTCTCAGCAAACTATCACAAGAACAGAAAACCAAACCCCGCATGTTCTCACTCATGAGTGGGAGTCGAACAATGAAAACACATAGACACAGAGAGGGGAACATCACACACCAGGGCCTGTCAGAGGGTTGGTTGGGGGCTAGAAGAGCTATAGCATTAGGAAAAATACCTAATGTAGGTGACGGGTTGATGGGTGCAGCAAACTACCATGGCACATGTATACCTATGTAACAAAACTGCACGTTCTGCACGTGTACCCCAGAACTTAAAGTATAATTTTTTTTTAAAGTAAAGTAAAGTATGAAACATCTGGCTTCTGGAATACATGTTGTAAAATTGAGGACAGATGCATCAAATAAGACCTAAGAATCCAGGCTTTCTAACCAGGAAAATCTAAAGATGGGATGTGATGATAGAAACAGGAAAAGTAAAAGGAAAGTCATGTTGTGGATGACTAGAGTTGAGTTTTGTTGACATTAGGTTGCTAAATAATAATTTATTTAGTGTTTTTTATTAGCTTTAAGAAATAAAAGACCGCAGGCAAGCAAGAATCCTGTGACCAGAGTGAATTATAGAAGACTCGTGTGAGAATGAGCTTACTTAGCAGTGAAAGCAAAGACAGACTTAGGAACAAAAGGTTGTACTGATGAAAATTTTTGTCTAGCTTTGAGCATATTCATACACATTTGCCCACGGTGAGGCCATTCACTAGAACCTTTATTGACCTATCCCTGACTTCTTTGAAAAGGCTGCCCGTATGTTTATGACATAAACCAGTATAATAGCTAATAAAGATTTGGCACTTGCCTCATTAGACAGAGACTCAGGCTCGGAACTGTGCTTTATTTCGTGTACATCTTCCTTTCAATTTCTGCTCCAAGAGCCTATTAAACTCACAAAAGAGTGACATGACTCTCCTTGCCTTTGTTCTTTTTCAGCTCTAGGGGTCTCTGCATATGCATTAGACAGTTGGGAACATGACCCTGAGGGTCCCCCACAGGCTGAGAGTGGTGGCATAAAGTCAGCAAATGAGGCAAAGGAGGAGCAATATAGGAAAGAGCAGGCCCATGAAAGCCAAAGAGCAAGTTACTAGAAATGGTTACAAATAAATAGTATCAAACACATTAAGAAGTCAAGATACATTGAGGAACTATCAAATGAATTACCACAGGGCTGCTAACCCATTTGATTTAAAAAATACTAATAAACCTTGATTCAATCAGTTAATTAATTATGTACTACAGAACATTAAGAAGATGAGATTTACCCTGAAAATAATCAAGATAACATTTTTGCTGAAAATCAAAGTCATGCCATTAAACTTTTGTTTGAAATCTTTCTTTGATCAAGGGAGCAAACTCAAGTCCTGCATCTCATCCCTGATGCCCCTTCCTCAGTCTACTCACATGAGCATAACTCAGGAAGAAGAGCTGGTTGTTGGTGAATGTGATGCCTGGTAGAAGAGGCTCCTCAAGTCCCTGCCTTCTGTCATTTATCCATTTCCTGTAAGCCTGGTGAGAGAAGAAGAAGAGATGAGTCTCTGCAACGGTGGGTTTTTCTCTTTGCTCAGCTAGCACAGGAATAGCAAATATATACTCCTGCCACGTGCAAAATGCATCATGTCAAAATTTTCTTAAGAAACACAAGTCCATGTCCTGTTGCTTACCAGTGAGGCAGGTACACCTGCAAAAAGGCCTTATGCTCAATGTATACCAAAGCAGCTGGACCAAAGCATTCAGATGTTAAATAACTCTTGGAGAAAAAAAGCTGTTCTTTCCATTCCTAGCAGGGGACAAACAAATCTAACACAATGGCAAGGCCCCTATGGCAATACATTTTGGGGTCCGCATATTACCTTTTTTCATTTTGACACGTAAGAGAAAACCTATCATCTTCTAGTGCCCTCATTTTATAAAATAAAGTATATTTCAACTAGAATATAGGAAGGATATAACCAGGAATAACAGTCTAGTCATTAAATTTAATGCATTTAGCTTTATGAAATCTTTCTGTATTATCTTTATGCTTCTTATTTGACCACAAACTAGTGGATGATGAAAACGTTATTATGAACTATCACTTGGCCCAGTATATGAGAACCACTACCCTCTGGTCATAATTTAGAAGTTTGATATTTTAAGAGAAATTTATAGGAGGACTACAGAAAGACCTGTACTCAAGGAAAACAAATGAACCTAGCCCCAAGGAGATTGCTGTAGCATGCTTCGATCTGATGGTGAATGTATTTTCTAAAAGCTATTCTTTAAATACATGATTCTTAATAACAAATATTATTCTTTAGGGTGACTTCACACCCCAAAAAGAAAAAAGAAATATAGTTCTCTTTATGTAATAGGGTCAATGGGGAGACACACTTCTATTTACAGAAATTCCATAATATCTAACTAACTAACTCCTCAAGAACATGGCTATGGTATGAATTGAGGTACCCCCATATGGTGTTTTATGGCTTGATTTTTAGAACCACGGTAAATGTAGCAGCGCATACCCTAAAAGCTTCCCGCAGGCCTCCATTATCAGCAATATTTTCTCCCAGGGTCCTCTTCCCCTTGACCTAACAGAAAGAAAAAAGGAAAAAAAAAAAATGAATGCGTGTTTCACGGTCAACTATCATTCAGCAAGAGGCATCAATATTATAGCAAGAAAAGTATCATATTTTAAAGAGAAAATCACATTCAATAAATCAGAGGTAGGCATAATATATTGTAAGAAAGATGGCAAACTATCCTCAGCAAGGTGCTCTGGAATGTAATACTTTCTATTTCATTATGCTACACACTTCTTTTTCACCTACCTCTTCATTCTAACCAATCTAGCCAGCTCCAATAAAATGTTAACAATATTCTGAGTGACTCTGGTTTAATGGGAAAAAACAGGAATGTCAATACACAGGTTACTTTCTCTGATTAACTCACATAATTTGAGTATTCTTCTCATTGTGCCTGTGTTTCCAAAAATTTACCATCCACACAGGAACAAGATTTCAAGACCAACTATCATCATTTTACCTTCAGCAATTTCCATGGAAAATTAAAAGGAAAGTGGTTCTCCTAGGGAAGAAAAATCAAACAGAAGTAGTGCAGATCACAAGGTCGAGGTCTGCGATATGTATGACAACCAGCCAGCATGGTAAAAAAAATTATTCCCAATATTCAAGATTGTTTCTCAAAACTTTAAATGAGCTAGGACACAAATATTCTAAACTAATACAGCCCACACGCCAAATCCAACCTGCTGCTTGTTTTTGTACAGGCTTCAAGGTAAGACTGGATGTTACATACTTCAACAACTGGGGAAAAATCAAAAGAAGAATAATATTGTGGTGGCACATGAAAATTACTTATATGAAATTCAAATTTTGGTGTTCATAAATCAAGTTTTATTGGGACACAGCCATGCCCATGCATATAGTCTGTATTTGCTCTCTTGCTACAGTGGCAGAATTAAATATTGTAACAGAGACCATACGCCCCACAAAGCCTCAATTCTTTACTATCTGGCCCTTTACAGAAAAGTCATTCAACTCTTGTATAACACGCAGGATAACGGCCTCCCAAAGATGTCTGCGTCCTGATCCCTGGAATCTGTGAATATGTTACCTTATTCACTGCGAAGAAAGAAAGATTCAGGCACAGAGGAATGGTCCCCACAAAATGAAGCTGGAAAAATAAAGCATGGCAAAGGAGACTTTTATGATGTGATTAAGGATCCTGAGATGCAGACTTTATCCTGGATTGTCCAGGTGGACCCAGTGTAATTACAAAAGTTCTTACAAGAGGAAAAGGGAGGCAGGAGAGCGAGTGTCAGAGTGATGCAACATGAGAAGACTCCACCGGCCAGTGCTGGCTTTGAAAAACGAAGGGGCCATGAGCTAAGGAATGTGGGCAGCCTCTAAAAGCTAGAAAAGGCGAGGAAACAGATACTCCCCTAGAACCTCTACAAAGGAATGTGGCCCTGCTGACACTTTGATTTTAGTCCACTGAGATCCATGTCAGACTTCTGACATACAGAGCTGTATGATAATAAATCATACAGCGCTGTATGATAATTTATGTTATTTGAAGCTACTAAGTTTATAGTAACTTGTTATAGCAAGCAACAGAAAACTAATATACCTTGCTTTTAACTTTCAAGCCATGGATCTTACCAACACTTTACTTTTAAGCTAGCCCAGTCACCCAGGTATCAAGCAATATCAATGAATAAAAACAAATCTTTGGAAAATATTATTCACTGTAATCACTCAGGACCCTCCTAGCTTCAGTACACAAAAGCTACCATTCCTGCTTTACGTATATTCTTTGTTATCCACAGTCGTATGAGGTAAGTAAGTGCTAATTACCACCACCCTTGCTCAACAAATGAGGATCTAAAGCTCCGAGAGTGTAGCAGATGTCGATATCCCACCAGATCCCCTTTTCTGCCTAAACTGTGCACCCATTCCCACAACTGCTAACAGCTCAGATCAACCTTAGCTTATGGGAGTCACCTCATCTGGAGACCGCTGGGAGGTTATAACCCACCTTCCAGTAATTGACTGATGTGCAGTTTGAACAACCCAGTACCTGGGCTGAACAATTTCTGTGGTGCAGTTCGTGCTCCAGAATCCTCTGTGGAATCAGGGTGAGGCTAAACATTTCCTGAAACCAATAGGTTTCCCTCATTCCATTATAGGTTTTTCCTGAAACGACTTTCTGAATAAATCACTGACCTGGGCTGGGTGCGGTGGCTCACACCTGTAATCCCAGCACTTCGGGAGGCTGGGGCGGGCAGATTGCCTGAGGTCAGGGGTTTGAGACCAGACTGGCCAACATGAAGAAACCCCGTATCTATTAAAAATACAAAAATCAGCCAGGCGTGGTGGCTGGCACCTGTAATCGCAGCTACTGGGGAGGCTGAGGCAGGAGAATCACTTGAACCAGGGAGGCAGAGGTTGTAGTGAGCCGAGATCACACCACCGCACTCCAGCCTGGGTGACTCAGCGAGACGCTGTCTCAAAAAAGTCAATGACCTAAGGAACCCCTTCTTGGGCTCTGCTTCTAGTGAACCTAAGACAGAGTGATGAAGTAAACTGCTCGCATGTCACTGGGATTCGAACCCAAGCAGTCTTCTGTCTCCAGAGCCTTTGCTTCCTAATATGCTACTTTCTCAAGTCCCAACTCCTCTTGGCTCTTGAAGATTATGATTATATCCACTCCTGCTTAAAAAATTTAATCTCCTTCCTTTTTACTCTGAGGGTTTCGTGTGTGTTTGTGTGTTTTGAGACAGGGTCTCTCTCTTTCACCCACACTGGAGTGCAGTGGTGTGATCATATCTCACTATAGGGTTCCAACAATTCTTCCACCTCAGCCTCCTGAGTAGCTGGGACTACAGGCATGCACCACTACACCCGGCTAATTTTTTAAAAAATTTTCTGTAGAGACAGGGTCTCCGTATGTTTCCCAGGCTGGTATCAAAATCCTAGGTTCAAGTGATCCTCCCACCTTGGCCTTCCAAAGTGTTTAGAATACAGGCATGAGTCACCATGCCCAGCCATTCACTCTAAGCTTTATATCTAATTTAGAGCCTTTTGGAGCAGCCTCACCCCTCTGGCTCCTTGAACTCTGGTCTGCCTCAGTAGACCACGTGGCCCTAGGTTTGGACTCCCAAGACTCAACAGCTACGAAAAGGAACAACAACAAAAAAAGACTCAACAGCTGCTGACAGTCTGCATCTGTAGTGCCCCATCTGAGCTCCCCCGAAGTCACTACAAAGCAAGATTCAGGCACAAAGGAACGGCTCCTATAAATGAAGCCAGAAAAATAATAAAGCATGGCCCTTATATCCACAAAGGAAGCCACCCACTCTCCTGTGGGAATGAAACTGAAGCTGTTTTCTGATGGTTAAGTGGATTGGTGCTAAGACAGGCATGCCCTTTCTATCGTCCTTGTGACAAAGGTACACATTTGTCAGAATTAAGTTTCAATCTCTGACACTTTGGCCAAAATGAATGGTGAAGAGCAGTCCACCCACACATCACCCAGATATAAAATGAACTTAAAATAAGAACCTCAGCATGATATAGGGGAAGCAGTATGGACTTTGGAGTCGTACAGACTTACTTAAACTCTAATCTAGACTCTACCGTGGATTTTAATCTCTTTGAACCTCAGTTTAATTCCTTTGAACCTCATACGTAAAACCTGTACACTTAGTAATAATCTATACCTCTCAGGACTAGTATGGGGATACATTTGTTTCAATTAAGTGAAAAGTTTCATCTTCATGCCTGTATATACTAATCATCAGGAAATATAAATTCCCTTCCTCCAAGAAAGCTGTTCTATTGTTTTTTGGGGGGTTTTTAACCCAAAAATCTTTGGCTTTGTTTTTTCCTGGGATAGGGTACTAATGAGTATGTCACGAAGGATCAGGAATATTAACTAACGATCTTTTATTGAGCACTTGCTTTATGTCAGGCCTTGTGCTAGTGCTCCACATTGCTTTGCTCACTTAATTCTTACAACAAATCCATGAGTTCAGAAACATTGACCCGTTTCACAGATGAAGATGCTGAGACTCAGGAACATTAAGTAACTTGCCCAAGTTCATAAAACTAGTTGAACCTAGATTTGGACCCATGTCTGACTCTAGAACCCCTTTCTGCTATGCTTTTCTTGAAGCAACATATACTCCAGATGAATTTTCACAGTGTGAAAACCCCTGCACTATATAGAGATACATAGAAGCACCCATTTTAGGTCTTCTCATGTCACAGTTGTAGATATTTAAAAATATATAGGCAGAGAAATGGCTGTCCAGGACACTGATAAAAGAGCTAGACACCATTCAAGGATACAGACTCTGGTTTCTCTGCCTGAATGAGCAGTGGTCTCACTTGGGCTGAGCATGGTTTAAGAACCAGGAGAACCAAGTCAGTGTTTATAAACATTCCCTTTAAAAGAAGCACATGGATTTTTACCTAAATTCATCTACAAGTATAATAGATTTGAGGCATAGCAAGGATTTAGGTATTTTTCCAGCCCTAGTAATATATCAGGAAAAAGTTCATGCCTGGTTAAGGGATGACCAGGCCCCAACCCCAAAGATTCTGATTCAGCAGGTATGGGGTAGGACTCAAGAATGTTCCCAAGGAAGACAGATGCTGTTGATCTTGTAAACACGCTTTGAGAACCAATGGTTTAAAGCAAGCTAATGTCCAAATGAGGAAAAATGAACCACAAGGTGCCCCCCTTAGCCACAGTTGTACTCACATTTAAGCCAGCTTTCTTCCAATAATAGTTGCTATACTGGTTAATCATGCATTTTGTTTTTTCCTTAAACTTTTCTTCTGATTCAGTAGACCACCAAGGATCCAGGTTTCCATTTTTATCATATTTTCTACCTAGCAAAAGGAAAAGTTCGAAGACATTTGTGTTATTTATGGAAACTAAATTCATCTTTCCTTTCCCTCACCTCGACAAGCCTTCAAAAAGCAGTCATAACAGCAGGGAACACTCTTCCTGAGATCAGCTCCTGCATTCTCTCCAATGTCACAGGTTAATTGTAAAAAGGGCAAAAAGGATAAAGACAATTGAGGAAGTTCTTTCCTTCTAAGGAACAAAGAGCACCTTAAAAATGAGATTCATCAATTTATTACATATACTAGTCTTATTCAATCTTGGATTCTGTGTCTTCACCTGATTTGACCCAAAGTGTTCACTGGATTATGAAATAAAATGGCTTCATTCAGAAAGCCCATGGAGGCAATCAGAGCATTACTACCAGTGAAATTCCAAATGATCCATAGGAATAGCCCCAGTGAGTCATCCATACTGTGCGATCATAGACCCTGACTCAGCCCTATAGGAACCTGTTTCCTCCAAGTTGCCAGGAGCTGAAAGACACATAAAACCTCTGTTATGATTCATTCCACAGCCACTAGTGTGGACGGAAGGCCCATCTGTCCTGCTTAGACAGGGAAGATTGCTCTAAAAAGAAAACTTGGAATAAGAATGAAAATCTCCAAAACACAATGGGAAGAAAGATTACACATGCTTTCTTGCTATGTGCTCACTCTTCATTTTCTCTACAGCCTTTGAAACAAAATTTGGATGCTGCTAGACTGTCTTCTATATTCAGGGTTACTATGAGAATCAGAGGCATCGTTTAAATTTAATTATACAGAGAGCTTACAAAAAAGTCCCGTAAGTAAAGTTGTTAATTGGAACAATCCAAAACTCTTCAGCAAGGCTACATACTACTAACACCACCCCCTGGGATAGTATGGAGTCACTGTCCTCTACCCACTAACCAACCAATCATTAAATAGGTACCGGGCATGTACTTATATGTGCAATGCACTGTTCTAAGCATTGGTTACAGAGTGAAATTGCCACCATTAGATTCAGTCCTTTGAGAAAGACTCCAGAAGGTTCTGGGGAGGAACTGTACTTAAATTTCCTATCAAGAGAGGTCCAGAACGAAGAAAGGACTATTAGCTTTTTTTTTTCTTAGCTAAGACTCTCATCTCAGATAAACCAAACACCCAAAGGCAGAAAGTCTAGCTCTGCAGAGTCAGATAACTACAAGTCAGCCACATTTATAACTACAAGTCAGCCACATTTTAACAGAGAAGGGAAGACCAGGGGAGCAAAAAATCTAGGTGATTAAGGAAGGGCTGGTGGGAGTACAGGAAGACTTTTCTAGAAGAGCCTAAGTGTCTCTGGCCCTGGGGTAGGCATCCAGGAAGGATGTTGGAGATACTACAGGGATGGAAGAAAGAGGTCCCCTTCTATATAACGTTGCCTTAGGGCAGCTGGTTCCTGAGACTGCCTGTAAATCACTGTGTGGGTATGGATGTGATAGTAATTTGCTACTAATCCGTAAGTTTCAGAGATTTCATGTGGCCTTCCGATAATACTCCAAAGTTAAAGGAGAAAAGAGTGCTGATTAATGATGATGAGGACTCTCAAAGGAAGCCATTTCTTTAGTTTATGTCATATTCTGCTTTTTCTTTTTGCTTAAATGTCATCGGGATACAAAGCATATCCTATTATATAAATTATCAGGAAAGTATAGACTTTAAAATAATCAGAATAGGCCAGGCGCGGTAGCTCATGCCTGTAATCCCAGCACTTTGGGAAGCTGAGGTGGGCAGATCACGAGGTCAGGAGATCGAGACCATCCTGGCTAATGTGGTGAAACCCCGTCTCTATTAAAAATACAAAAATTAGCTGGGCATAGTGGCACGTGCCCGTAATCCCAGCTACTCGGGAGGCTGAGGCAGGAGAATCACTTGAACACGGGAGGCCGAGGTTGCAGTGAGCCGAGATCGTGCCACTGCACTCCAGCCTGGCGACAGAGCTAGACTCCGTCTCAATAATGATAATAATAATAATAATAATCAGAATATAAGCCAGTATAGAGAAAAATATAGATTAAGCATTGCATAATCTTCGAAATCGTAAAAGGGAACCAGTCAGCCAAGCTCCAGAGTCCTAACTCAACGAGTCCTAACTTGGCAGCATGTATAATCATCGTTGGAGCAGAGCTTGCTCCTCCAGGGAGAATATCTCAAGACAATGAATAAATGACAAAGGGAGAAGCTATAAATCAATCTCTGTAACTATTGTGGCAGCTACAGCAATCCTGATCTAAATGCAAAGCTAATTTTATTGAAATTACAAGGCTGCCTTTTAAAGTCTACCCCGATCACCAATGGGAACAATTGTTTACTTATTGCAAGCCATCACAGCAAGACACGGTGAAAAGTTTTCAATCAGCAATCATATTGCTTTGGATAATCTTCAAGCTATGATGCTGCTGCTATGCAAAGATAATCATAACAATTAACATCCATATAGTCAACATTATTATAAAAGCAGCAGCTTATAAAATGAACCGGTACTTACCATTATTATCAAATCCATGTGTAAATTCATGTCCGACAATTACTCCTATAGCACCATAACTCAGAGATCTATGGCATTAATACATAATTTGGAGACAATTACAAGCATGAATCTCAGAGCATAATCCTTTAATTTTTTCAATGGAAAGCCAAGATAAACTGCTTTCTAGTAACCATGGTAATAACAATCGAATAACCATACCCATAAAGCTGTAAAAAATCTAAACATACCTTCCAATTGAAATAGACAAAGAAAATATAAATTCTAACAAACATTGTCATTATTACCACATATGAACCTTAGTGCCCTACTCTCTGAAATTAGGGATGTGAAAGAGATGATTTCTAAAGTCCCTTTCAGCCTTAAGATTGCTATGATTTTTTTATCTGCTATAGCTATATATTTATGAACACCTAGAACAGGGCTTGAAAAGATCCTGTCAGTAAATATATCATGTATATTTTATCTGGAAACTTGTTGAAAAGTCACTATAGTCTTAGAAGTTAAATTGTTTTCCAAATGTAGTCATAAAAAAAGGAATAGAGTAGAGATTAAAAGGGATCACTCTATTTTCAAAGGTAGTCACGTTCCTCTTTCTGTTGTAGACAAGATAGCAACTGAATAGCAAAGATTTGAAAAAGGTGCCACATTATTTCTCTTCACCTCTGAAGAAGCATGTGGTAGATTATCTATAAAAGGGGACACCAACAATTCTCCCTACCCCTGAATGCACATAGCCCCTCCTCCCATCAAGAGACAATCTATTTCCCTCTTCTTAAATTTGGACTGGCCTTGGGACTTGCTATGACCAACAGAATGCAGTGGAAGGGGTCAGGTATGACTTCTGGGTCTAGGCCTTAAGAAACTTAGTAGCTTCCATTTTCCACCTTCTTGGAAGTCACTTGCAAAGAAGTTCAACTACACAGCTAGAGGGAATGAGGCCAAATGAAGAAGCGAGAAACCCCAGAAGTTGAGAGACTCCAAAGGAAGAGAGAGAGGCCCTGCCATGCCCCAGCCACGAGAGCCAGCCCAACTGGGGCACAGACAGGTGAGTGAGGTCGCCTTCACTCACCTGTCTGTGAGTCCAGCCCTAGTTGAGCGACCCCGGCCAGCACCATACAGAGCAGCTGTCTCAGCTCAGTCCTGCCCAAATTACAGAATCATGAGCTAATAAATGGTTGCTTGGTGGTGCTTTGTTACATAGCAAAGCATATTAAGAATATATGAAGAAATCAATAATGGGGTTTCCATATGTATGTCTGGGATTTTCTCTCTCAAATGTAAGTTCTATTGAGGCCACTCTCTTATCTACTTGTTCATTGCTACATCCTCTATGCCTTGTACAGCGTAAGAAAGTAACAATGATTTAACTGATTAGTTAACTTTACCATCTCATGCAAGTGACAGATCTGTATGTATCTTAATTTAGTCATTCAACCTGTGGATGAGAATTACACACCACTTAGAATCCTTATTGTGAAGATTCTTCATGAGATTTGCAATTATGCTAAAAATATCTCACAGTTAGTTCCTGACATGCAACATCAAAGTCACCCAGCAAATAGATAGGACCCATAACTGGAAGGAATGGAAATTTTTAAAGTAATATGTTATTACAGGACATAAATGATCCTTACCATGCTAACTGTTTGTCTCAACTACACCCAAGGAAGTGGTGTAAGATTTAATTTTTCCCCTTGGTGGCAATGCTTTCCTTTGTTATTTCTTTCCTGTAAGGTAATTTGCATTTGAAAAAATGCTTCCTACTGTTTTTCCATCATTGCAAACCTTCATTAAAGAAGTAAGAGTGAAATTATTCATTTCAATCATAGAGCTATCATAGCAGTGTGGGACAAATTTGTAATTTTACATAGTGTTAATTTTTGCGGCAGTAGCTATCAGTGTGCAGATTGCAACATTTAGTTTTTCCAGGTCTCTCAGCTCTGAGAATAAGTACTTGGTCCTCTACATCCCTCAGTCAATGCTGTTGACTGGATGAATTGAAGGCATGAACAATGGGAGCTTATAGAAATTGCTGTGCAATAAATGTCCTTTAAGCAGGGCTGCTCCAACAAGCTTCCTATTTGCAAAAGGCAATAGAGAATTCAGAAAATGATTGAATCATTTTAAGTTTCAATTCTCAGTTACTTAATCACAATCCTTTGGACAAGAGACAAAGAAAAAGTAATTTTATATGACTAAGCCTGACAATAATAATATTTCATAATATTAGATTCATGTCCTCTATTTTATCAATGAAGAGTATTTAAATTAGCATGTCATTGGCCAGGCGTGGTGGCTCACGCCTGTAATCCCAGCACTTTGGGAGGCCGAGGCGGGTGGATTACCTGGGGTCGGGAGTTCGAGACCAGCCTGACCAACATGGAGAAACCCCATGTCTATTAAAAAATACAAAATTAGCCAGGCATGGTGGCGCATGCCTGTAATCCCAGCTACTTGGGAGACTGAGGGAGGAAAATCACTTGAACCCGGGAGGCGGAGGTTGCAGTGAGCTGAGATCATGCCTTTGCACTCCAGCCTGGGCAACAAGAGCAAAACTCTGTCTCATAAATAAATAAATAAATAAATAAATAAATAAATAAATAAATAAGCATAAAAAAATAAACTCGCCCTTTTAAAATGCAACCTTGACTGGCTGGCCAGAAACTGGAAGATTTCTTGCACTGAAGATCTAGTCTTCCAAAAATAAAATGGAGAAGACACCACTTTTACTACCTACTCAGTTTCTCTTTTGTTCTAATTACTCAGTGGGTTTAACATATGCACCGGATTTGCTGTCAACAACAAAACAACTATACTGCTGTCTAGCTTAATCATGATCTCACACTGTTATCAAGTAAGGGCTGTCCTATGCCTGAATCATAAATTCATAAAAATTTCTGAGTTGGAAATGGCTTAGAGGTCATCTACTCCAACTTCCTACTAGAGGAATGGGCCCCCTCTAGAAAAACCCATTCAAATGGTTATAATACCCTGCTTGGGTATTTCCAATGACCAAGAGCTCATCCCCTTCTAAGGTAACCCATTTCCTCTTTGGGCGGGTCTAAACGTAATAGCTCTCCATAATGCTGATCTGAAATGTCTTTTCTATGGCTCCCATCTATTGGTCTAGTGTAGCCTCTAACTGAACACTTGCTGAATCTCCTGAATATAATAAGTCGTTCTACCACCTTAACTTTCCTTCAAAAATATGCAGACAGTTATGAGGTTCCACTTCAAGTGTTATTAAGTTCTTTCAACTCTTATTCTTCAGTCATGAATTCTAGATCAGCATTTCCCAAAACACCGGGGAGTTTGGGAACCTCTGCATTTCGAAGGATGGTTACCAGAGCCTGGGAAGGGTGGTGGGGGGCTGGGGTCAGAAGTGGGGATGGTTAATGGGTACAAAAAAGGTAGTTGTGTTAAACACATCTAAATAGGTTTCTTTCTTGGAGAGCTTCTAGGAAATTTTTATGGTGATAATTATTATGATTCCCCAAAACTGAAGGGAGGGGAGGATGTCTTACCTCTATTACTATTTCATGGAACACACACTTTGGGAAACGTTGTCTTCAACCATTTACAGTCCTGATTCTCTCTTCTGGAAACAATTCAGCTTGTTCATGCCCCATAATTAGACTCAACACTCAGGTGAGGACTAAGCTGACCACTGTGAGCAGAAAGGATACCCACTCCCTTGATTCTGGAGGCTATCCATTTATTAATACAGACTAGATGAACATATGGGAAGCCATCTCACTGGACCATGACTCCCATGTCTTTAGCATCTTCATATTCCCAATGCTGAGTACCCAAATGATATGTAGTAGCTATTCATTAAGTGGATGAGGACAAACAAGTCTTTAGGAAAAAAAAACTCTCTTTCACACTCAAGTATTAACTATGACCTAGCCTAAGGTACAAACAAATAGACACTAACATGCTCACAGACCCAATAAACAAATTACTTCATCAATAACTTCAGAAATCCAACCAGACTATTTCCTAGTCTCCAGCTATATAACCACAATAATAGAAGCTCAGTTAAATTGTTAACAGTAAGCAGAATCAAAGAATTATAGGACTTTTTTAGTTTGAAGGGAGCTTAAAGAATATTTATCCTAAACCTTTAATTTTTTAGATATATATATATTTCTAAACTTAAAAGCAGGGCAAATTGAGTCCAAACATCTGAACACCAAAGAAAACTATGGAGCTGAGGCCTGGGATATTATTAATGGATTTGGTTAAATAAGAACCTGCAATTTTTATTTACTCTAACGATGGTGCTTCCCTGTAGTAAGCTTTATCGATGGCTGCCCACGTCCTCGTAGCCCTCACTATTTTTGAGCACACCAATCTGACAGCCTTCAAATGTCAGCACCTGAAACTAGTTGCCTGAAGACTTTCTCCAGCCACTAGAGCCCTCTTGGCCTAGGATGGGCACTGCCAGGTACCCCTGGTAGGAGCCCTCAATCAATGATGGAAGGTGAGTTGGAGGACAGATAAATACCCCAGCTCCCATGTCCCTGAGATGGGATCACTCTGAAGCATGTTTTACAGTTCCCCAGCAAGACTGAGCTCCAGTTGCCCATGGTGATAACTGGCTTTGTAACACACATGTGGTAGGTGGAATAATGGCCTACAAAAGATGTCCATATTGCTAATCTTTGGAACCTGTGAATATGTTATGTTACACAGTAAAGGGGCTGCAGACGGAATTAAGGTTGCTAATCAGTTGAACTTAAAACAGGAAGATTATCCTGAATTATCTGAATGGTACCAGTGTAATCACAAGGGTCCTTATAAGTAGAAGGGAGAGACAGAAGATGAGAGTCAGAAGGAGATGTGACTATGGAACTTTAAAGATGGAGGAAGAGGTCATAAGCCAAGGAATGTGGGCCCCCTCTAGAAACTAGAAAAGGCAAGAAAACAGATTCATCTCTAGAGCTTCCAGAAAGGAAAGTAGCCCTGCTGACAACTTGATTTTAGCCCAGTGAGAACCAGTTTGGACTTCTGACCTACAGAACTATAAGCTTATAAGTTTATGTCATTTTAAGCCACTAAGTTTGTAGTAATTCATTTTGGCAGCCATAAAAGACTCACAGGACATAATTCATTTGGCTTATTTCCCTCACTGTCTCAATTCTCCACTCCCCTACTGGTGTTTCCTTGTACCACCTCCCGAAAGAACTAATTGCACTTGAATACTTACCACAAGGTCTGCTACCGGGAAAGCCCAAAGGCCAAATGAAAACATTGCCAACATATTTCTCTTATTGATATATTTATGGGAATCTGTATCTTTTAAACCTACATATTTTTAAATTGTCATATATCCAAACCAAAACACAAGAGACTCAATGTATAGAATCAAGACTAAAATTTTCCAAGCATTAAAACACAAAAGTAAAAAGTATATAATAGAAATGGTGATATTATTGACATCAAATATTATCAGAATCTCTACTATGTATGGAAATTCTGAATTACATGAGTCTACAATCTGTTGGTATTAAAATGACCTTTAAACTGGTATCCCTAAGTCCATACACTACCAATTTTGACTTATTCTGTAGCTACACAGGTTATATTTCTAAAGATAAATTCGATTATCTTACTAACTTGCTCAAAAAGTTCAATATTTTCTATTGCCTATTAGTATCCAAGCTCCTTATTTGCCATGCAGAGCCCTCCAATATCAAACCTCAATCTTCTTTTCCACTACTTCCTTTCATATACCATTTGGGCTAGCCAAACTACACTCTGCCATTATAGAAGCACTTTTCCCTCCTTATCTCACACTGTTTCTTCTACCTGGAATGGTTTTAGACTCATCCCATCAATTCAAATCCCAACAATCCTTCAATGTCCAAATACTGGTAGTATGAGTTAATGGGTAAGAGAATAAATGCATAAAAATGAAAGCCACCTATGTGTAAGATGGCTTTCCTGTCCAGCCATACACCCTGGTAACAAGGATCAGAAAACAAATACCTAAAATGATAAGAGTACAGGCGACCCACGCCAGATTCCATGGCTTCTTTCTGCTGAATAACCTTTGACTTTGTTTCTTCTGTCCTCTACCAAAGCAACATGTTCTTCCTAATTGGTCAGTAACTGGTTTCTGTACTCATTTACTCACCGAGGATATTCTGTTCCCCAAAAGAAAGGCTTCTGGAGCTCTCCTGCTGGAAATCCTATGAGAAGGAAAAAATGTTAAGAGATATAGAGAGATTGATTCAATGATGAGTACCTGGTTCTAGCTATAACACTGAGGTTTCAAAGACCCATCTGAAAGGCACTCCTCCTGGCACTGGGAGCCCTCTAAGAGATCTAGCTGTCTCAATGATATCAATTCAACTGAGTTTGAAATAAGTAAGTGTATTAAAGGTTTCAGGGAAACCATTTTGCACTGGTACACTATTGGCAATATCCAGCCTGCTGTAAGCTGGGCTCCTTCATACATGGCATGCTCATGAGGCTTCAGGCTGTCCAGCAGCTTTGCCTGATATAGAAAGGGCCGGCTTCGTGGGTGTGCAACCTGTGTAGTCACACAGGCCCCACAGAGAGAAGGGTCCTGCACTTAGTTTAATCTTCTCCTGCCACTATCTTGAAATTCTTAATGATTTTTATCTTTGAACTTGTATTTTTTGAGTGGAGCATGAGGGGACAATGGAACATGTGTGTGTGAGCAGAGAAAATGTGCACAATATGTGTCTGTTGTTCCTAGGAGCCCCATTTACACACAGCATTCACAATGCCCCAGGAGCACAGGACTCCATCAGGCCCATAGTGCATGGGAGTTCAGCGAGATGCCAAACAAATACAAGGTAAATACGATACATCTAGAACTGAGTAAGCTCTGATAGCCCTAAGAGGCCATACTTTCCATTCAAACCAGAATTTGCTTCAACCACCAAAAGAAGGTAGTGGCATTCTAAGAAACATGAATGACCAAGGAATCCTGTCATAACCTTTCTTATACCTGTTACTTCCCTGTATTGGCCAAACACCTACACTGAAAACGATGACAGAAAAGGACAGAGAAAGGGTGAATTATATGGTTTGGCTGTGTCCCCACTCAAATCTCACCTTGAATTGTAATAGTCCCCATGTGTCAAGGGTGGGGCCAGGTGGAGATAATTGAATCATGGGCGCGGTTTCCCCCATACTGTTCTCATGGTAGTGAATAAGTCTCATGAGATCCAATGGTTTTATAAAGGGGAGTTCCCCTGTACAAGCTCTCTTGCCTGCCGCCATGTAAAACATGACTTTGCTCCTCTTTTATCTTCCACGATAATTGTGAGGCCTCCTCAGCCATGTGGAACTGTAAGTCCATTAAACCTCTTACCTTTATAAATTACCCAGTCTCAGGTATGTCTTTATTAGCAGTGTGAGAACAGACTTATACAATAACCTATAGATTCTTTTCCTTTTAGTCCTTCTTTATTCATCAGTAAACCAAAGGTAGAGAGTATTGGTAGAATGTACATGTATTAAGAAGTAAAATAAAAACAGTTGAGTTTTGTTCAGCATTTCCTCCATGCTGGTAAGAACAAAATACATACGCACATACAAGCTACAAAATACAAACTATGTAATTTTGGTGATTCCACATCCAAGTTAAATGCTCTTATGTTTGCATTTAAAACTGACATTGCACAATATTGAGATGAAAAGTAACACTCAGGCTAATGACTTACGTCTTTAATTTTTCTTATAGTAGCACTGAATAGCAAATAAAACAATACCATGACAAGTTGAAAGAGAAAGCCCATGAAAGATAGGGCAAGGCTTTATATTTTAGCCCCCTCAATGGCATTTTTTCCTGCTTTTGGAACAAGAGACCCCACATTTTTATTTTGCACTGGGCTTCCCAAATTATGTACCTGACATTGAGTGCAGATGAGTGGGAGACATGCTTTGCTTTGCCCTTGCAACTCACCACTAAATTTTGCACCCTGGGTTGATCCTAGGAACTGTACTTACAAGTCATCACAGCTGATAGAGCAAAGAATCATAACCAAAAAGAGAGAGAGAAGCCTTCTGTAGTGTCCTTCACTGCTCCAGAGCAACTGTTCCAGGCCCCATGAGACTGAAAGCTCTTTCATAAGTCAAAATGTTCTTCCTCCCTCTTCTTAACTTTTTTTTTTCTCTCTCTCCTCCATGTCAGAACACATGAGGAGAAATGAGGACAGGAAAGCAAGTCCTTAATTTAGAAGGGAAATGGTGGTTCTATATAACCCTTATATATATTCTTTATATTTTATTAATAATATCGTAGTTTGTGATTAGGTGCAAAAGCCTAATTGCAAAACAGAGATGGATCCAGCTACTAGTTCTCTGTCAGTTTCACATAAAGGAAAATGCATCTAATATTATTTTGAAGTGGCAACATCATAATAATCTTCATAATTTCTACATTTCCTTAAATATTTGTGGCATATTTACATCAATATTCCATCCTCTTTTTTTGGTGATTACTTTTAGTAAGTCATTCTCACTCAGATATATATACATATGCAAATATATATTACAAATAAATGCAAATCACAGTGTTTATATGAAAACTCAGTTTCACATAATAAATCATCAAAAAGCAATGATATTTCCTAATAAGAACAATGATCATAAACCAATGTGATTTCATTATTAAATCATTATGGCTTATCCTGCCTGGTAATGTGCCCAGCTGGAAGCATTTACGTCCATTGCCAACCTCTTTACAGGAAAACATCTGACACCTGCATGAGCCTCTATGTCTGTCACTTTTGCCGTTAGAAGCCCCAGACTCAAGAGTTGAAGCCACCACACATCACTCTGTTCAGCTGTATCTGCTGAGCTTGTTGGGGCCAAGGAACCCAATACTGATAAACAGAAGAATCTGATGCCCTTAGGCATGTTTTGCTGAAGTGAATGGATTAATAGTGTAAGCTGCATTTTTGGAGATGTCAACCAGCTAGAGTGATAGATGGAATCCTACAGGGTCAACTCAATATCTTATCTCATAAAGTGGATAAGTTGTATTTAGCAAAGGTAGAAGTGAAAAATAAGCAGAAAGGGAATTCCTTTTTTCTGCCTTTTTAATAGGTTTTTATGTATTCTTTCATATCCATTTTATTTCCTTTTTATTTTTATTTATTTATTTTTTTTTTTTTTTACCATTTCAACACCACCTCGCCACCTGTTTCACACTTTTAAAGTTCCTTTTTCTATCAGTGTACTTACGGGAGGCATTCCTCACAGTGTAAATGTCTCTGTGGAGGTGGGGGAGGAGACAGAGGGAGGAGAGGGAGAGGGAGAGGGAGAGAGAGAGGGAGGAGAGGGAGGAGAGGGAGGAGAGGGAGGAGAGGGAGCAGAGGGAGCAGAGGGAGCAGAGGGAGCAGAGGGAAGAGAGGGAGAGGGAGGAGAGGGAGGAGAGGGAGGGAGAGGAAGGAGAGAGACGTTTAACTAGTGGTTGGCAAAAGTTAATAAATGTGATAATAGGTAATATTGGCCAAGGTGTAGGAAGCATGTTGATGGGAGTGTAGGTTGTTGCAAGCATTTTGGAGATCAATTTAGTCATCTCTTAATGCTTTAAATGCCATTAAAAAAAAAAACGAGTAACTATGTGGCGATATGGAAAAAGCTCTAAGAAATATTAAGTGAAAAACAGCATTCAGTACAGTGTATGGAGTTATTTTGTGTAATGTACGCAAAAGAATAAGCATCCATACATACAGCTGTGACACCTGTATCGAAAAGGCAAATTTATTCCAAGGAAATTGATACACTGGGGGAAAATTTGGACATAACTCCAATTTCGCATTTGCTTATCCACAAGAAATGCTAGGGAAAAGCAGAAAAATGCACCCAAATGGACTGAGCCATATAGGAATACCCAAAATGCACACACACACACACCTCAACATGACCAACTGCCTCAGTTCACCACGTGCGGCAGGAGCCACACTCACCACATCTGCTGTTAAAACTTACCTTCCAATTTCATGTAACCCTCCTTCCGCCACTACCCAAAAACTCACAAGGGTCAACCCCTCCAATACCAACTTACACAAGCAAACTTCTGGTCTTTTCAAGGGAAGGTGCCATATTTACTGTAGCGTTTGTGTATTTACCCATTTAACATGTATAAAACCGCACTATCATTTTTATTGGTCTCCCAGCTTTTGTTTTTAACGTGTCACTGATGAAGTTTTTAACTGTTGTGCCCCAACCTCATTTTTCTCAAAAGCCCCGAGGCCTTTTATTACATACTTTTGCATAGCACAGTGGTGTTTAAGAACACATATGTTACATTATAGAACTGACTGTATCCGTACATGTGTGTCTGTAGAAACAGACATACCTGCCAGTGGTTTTCAAATTGTATAATGCATCAGATTCACCAGAGGGCTTGTTAAACTACAGATTGCTGGGCCCCATCCTCAGTTTATGAGTCAATAAGTCTAGGGTAGGGCTAAGAATTTGCATCTAGCAAGTTCTCAGGCGATGCAGATGCGGCTGGTCTGGGTGCCACCGTGAGAACCACTGCCTGATCACTTGCACAAGTGCACTACAGAATTCATTGCTGCATGGCTTGTAGTTGAGAAGTGTGCAACAAGCTAAATGTCCAAATAAGAGGCCAATTAATTATGGTATAACCATATTGTGGACTGCTATGCAGTAAGTGAAAAGAAAGAGGTAGGTCTTAAAATTCCAGCATGGGAAATAATCCCCAAGACATGTTGTTGGCATAAAGCAAGGTACAGATATAGACATATAAATACCATTTATCTTCTTACATAACTATCCTACCAGTGTGAGCATATACATGTATTGTGTGTATATGTGTATACATATGTAAATTCCTTAAAAGTCTGTAAAATACCTATCAAAGTGATCACAGTGGTTACCTTTTGAAGAAAATCAGGATTTGGGGTGGTGGCTCGTAAAAAGGGCTCTACACATAAACGTAATGTTTTACCTTTTGATTATCCAAAGATAATAAACTTGTGTAATTAAAATTAATTCTTTTAGAAATAAGTGTGTGTGTACACAGGGGCCTGTCGGGGGGTGGGGGGCTAGGGGAGGGATAGCATTAGGAGAAATACCAAATGTAAATGACGAGTTGATGGGTGCAGCAAACCAACACGGCACATGTATACCTATGTAACAAACCTGCACATTGTGCACATGTACCCTAGAACTTAAAGTACACTAAATAAAAATAAATAAAATACCCCCTGGATTTTCAAGCCTTAGTATGAAAAAAGAACATAAAACATCTCTTTAATAATTTTTGTATATTGATTACATATTAGAATGAAAATATTTTGGGTATATAGGGTTAAATAAAATATATTACTAAAATTAAATAAATTTGAGAATTAGTTTTGTCTTGATTTTGCTTTTAACGGTGACAATGTCAGGTAAATTTAGTTAATAGAGTAATTTTGTATGATGACAACAGTATGTATAAAAAACCTCCTATTTCTTATTTTAGTTATTTATTTGTTTTCTTATTTTTTTCATGGAAATTGTACCCAAAAAACTAATATATTCTTATCATACATTTCAAGACTTACTTTAATAATTATTACACAGAGGTAGATTTCATCAAATAGCTACACAGTATGTTATGTAACAATTATTAAAATTTCTTTTAGCATCTCAAAAAAAAAGAAGTGTGTGTGTATTACAGAAAATTCTTCTAAAGGCTATTGAAAAACAGTTAACTAAGCTTATATAGTATTATTTTGTTCTTGCATTTGTTAACACCAGCAAATTCCACTCCTATTTCAGGCAAAAATACAAATTGTGGTTATACCACTTCAATGATTAAAATTCTGACAAAAGAAAATATTGGTCTTTGTAATAACCTAATTATTTATCAGTAATACTGTCTTTTTCAAATCTGCACCTGGGAAAGCCACAAGAACCTGCTTTTGGTTTTCTACTGGGGTCAACCTCTCCTTTTTACTGGTGTTTCTCATTACAATTCTCCTATCAGTAAATATGGAGTAACCTAGTTGGAGCTTAGCAAAATGCTGACCATAAAAGACAGAGTGCTTTTGTTTAGGACACAATTGCCAAAGAACCAATCACATTCAGTGGGTGATTACCCCAGGCTCAACTATTTGACTTTTATAGTCATAAATCATACCCTGACGGTAGCTACAGCTTTCCCAGAAAAGTTAAATGCCTCAATGTGTCTGGGTTTCAGTACACATTATTGTAAGCTGCATTAATTAGAGTTTTTTTTAGTACAAACAAGTATAGAGAAGAAAACAAATTTAGCACATTATTCCACAGCTCAGACCTCAAGAAAACAAATAAATAAATATATTCAGGCCTAGCAAATTCACACTGTATAGAAGGACATGCAAAAAGGGAATAATTTTCCTTTTGCCCTACGCCTCTCTTCTCCTAACCTAGAACCTACTTTCCGCCACTATCTGTATGGCTCGCTTCAGGTATGTAGGCTAAGATCATCTTTTCATTAACCCCTTCCCTAGTGCTTTTTTAAGGGGCAGGATGTTATTCTACCCACTTTCTTGCTTTGTAACTCATCGTAACACTTACCACCATCTAAGACAGTTTACATTTGACTTATTTTGTATGCGTTTTCTGTCTTTCCCCAACTAGAATGCAAGTTCCATGACAAAAGGGATTTTTATTTTTTACTATTCTTTAATGGTGATGTCTTCAGAGCTAGAACAATACCTGGTTCATGGTAAGCACTCAATAAATACTTGTTGAATTAACTGATTCTGTATCTTGTGAAACTCAGAGGGATGACTGGGGTTGAAGCATTACCTATCATTATGAGTACATCTTGTTAGACAAAGTTTAAAACCTTACATGATACTATTAGTAGTACCAATGTATTACTTCTTGAATTTTCCACATTCAGTACCAGATCTAAGATACATCCCATTATTCAAGTTCTGGTTTTCATTTTCCTTCTAGATGAAAGAATTTGTTGGTTCCATTCTCTTGCTATCATTGCCGAACTAGTGTAGTTTTGAGATCAGCACATTTTTCCAATAAACTTTCAATCACAATACAGATATTAACAAGCTAAATAGTCCAGCCAGTTTTATGCAAATACCATCACTCCTGTATCCTCTTAGCCCTCCCTGCTGACCCCCAATAAAAGTGGAATATTCTTCCTTTTTATGTTTGTGATATATGCTGGAAAGAGAAAATTAGACAAAATATTGATCAAAGGCCTTCGGCCTGCAGAATATTGAACTAATTTAATCCATTTTCCCTACATTCATTGTTGCGTTCACTTTACTGCAGCATTAATTTTAAGTTCCATATTCATAAGTGTATGGTTCAGAAAAGTTATCATACAGAAAATATTTTTAAAACATTACCTTCCAAAATTGTATGTTATTTGGAAGTTTTTTAAATATTAATAATAATAATTTAATATTAATAAAGTATTAATAAATTAATAATTTAATATTAATTTTTAATATTGATGTGTTAATAACTTATAAATGCTGATGATTTTAGACAACTATGAACCAGACTCAGACATCTTTTCCTGTTATTTCCATGTTTGGTCAGATTTTACAAAATAGGAAGCCTCCAACTTTCACTGCCAGTCTTCAGAAACCCAGACCATGTGCTTTTCTCCTTTCTCTATAGCAAACTTTTGTAAGTGTAGTAACACAATGCAAGACAACTTGAACTCATCTACCTTCAGGAGCATTTCATTCTTAAATTCAACATCTCTTTTGACTCCTCTGAAGGAATAAGCATCATTGAATTTGTTCATTTAGGATCCCTGCAGCAGCCTCTGGACAGAAGTGACAGAGCCAGGGGCAAATGACAAAGTAAATTCAATCCAAAAAAAGGTGACCAAGGGAAAATTCCAAAGGAAAATTCAATGGGCTTGAGGATGTGTGGACCAGCATACACATTCAGCTGTTTATTGAACTAAATCTGTTTCCATATTTGCTGTAGCTGCTTTCTCCAGAAATATACTTGGGTTTTTTCATTAAGTGTGTACCTGTGTCTGTTTTCTTTCAGTGTGGATGTTTGTGATAGTTTTGTTAAGGGGTGGACTATGTCAATACATTCTGTTGCATTATTAGTTTTGTCAAACAATGGGATATTTGGTCATTTGCATGGATTTTTTGATGTATTAATGTGGCTCCAGTACAAGTTGTGACAGTTATTTTTTTTTCAAAAGCCTTAAGTGTGTGCTTATATTACTAAACTACTCTATGTATCAGTCCACATTTCAGGGCTATTGCTGATATATCATCTTATCTACATTATTGTCCTTCTTGGTGAAATTCCCTTGTAGTTACCTTCTGCTAACTTCTTTGATTATTTTACTTGTCCTGTGCAATAGCTTCGACTTCTCTAAGTGAATACGTTTTATGATCCTAATTTTGGAGTGTCAGTCTATTTAGATCCCATTATAAAAACTACTGGGAATAGGTGGGTTTGGTTATGATGATGCAATTTCTATGCATAACCACTGACTACTAACATTTACTGAGCACCTATGATGTCCTAAGCCACATGGGCAACCTTCGAACAAACAAATGTCCTCAGAGAACCTACAATCTAGTGAGGGAGAAAGGATACCACTCGACAAATAATCCTATTTTGCAAGACCTAAAGAGGAAGGTAAACCTATACCAAGCTTTCTAAAGTATGCTTTTTAATTGAAATATGTTTTAAACTCAGTAGAGAAAAGAAATACTGGATACGTGGGAGTAGATGTGCAGAAGTGTTTTGAGAGGGAGTTATTTATTCACATGTCTAGCTAATGGGTGACAGATGTGGTTTGTACGATTATCTGGGGTTTGGAGTAGGAATGGTTTAGGAAACTGGTGATCAAATCTTGGTCTGCAAACCAGCAGCATCAGCATCACCAGGGCACTCCTTAGAGGTGCAAATGTTTGCACCCCCACCTCCCTAGACCTACTGAATAGCACTTCAGGCTATTCTGGTACATGCTAAAGTTGGGACCCATTGGTTTATATCAGGGTAAGTACAGTATTCTCAACCCCAAATGCACATCACCTGGGGAATTTTGCTTGTTTAATATCTATGTCCAAGCCCCTGCCTCAAACCTATTAAGTCACCATCTCTGGGATGGAACCCTGAACATAAGCATTTTTTAAAAGCTCCCCAGGTGATTCGACTATGAAAACAGGTTCAGAATTGTTGGTTTAGGAAAAATAAGGAATTTCTTATGTTTAACTGATCTATAAATCAGCCCTCCTGTCTTTCTGTCATCAACACCATGCATGTAACAATGTAACGTATGATTACTTTTATTAAAATTTTGCACACTATACTTTCAAAACTGAAACTTTACATGCCTTATACATTATTGACTGTAGTAAAGAACAAAAAGAGTTTAAATTGCACCTGCTTTAGAAAATCCGGGATGAATGCTTACTCTAAGAATGAATGTTACATCTTATTCAGGATTAGTTCTTGTAATCAGATAAGCCCGACACCATTCTAGAATCTAGGGGGCCATCAGTCAGGACATGGAAATTGCTGCAATTACAAAGCACTTTTGGTTATGGTTTTTGCTGTAAAATGATTTCATTGTCATCACTGCTAAGATTAATCATGGCTTTTTTTTCAAGTTGGCATCTTGCAGTAGTTTGGTGAATGCCAACCTTCCCCTTTCCAGAAAGTATCAAGTTCTAACAGCTGTGACTCCTGTCAAGGGATTCAGCAAGATGCCTTAGCCATCTGCTGGCTTCCTGCAGGTAACCTCCTGCCACCACATCTATCAGCCTAGAGCTGACAAGCAGAAAGCAGCTTCTGAAATCTGCCCTCCATCTTGAAACCTTCTCTGCTGGCCCTTCTATTCTTTTTCTGCCATAATTACCTTTAGGCTGCAACAAAGAGAACCTCCCTTCACCCCTGCCACCCTTTACCAGGGTGACCAACCATCCCTGTCTAGCTGGGACAGAAGGGGCTCCTGGGATGCGAGACTTTCTGTGCTAAAACTGGGATGGTCCCAGGCAAACCAGGAGAAGTTAGTCACCCCACCTTTACCCAACAAGTCTGACCTCTTCTGCATTTGCTGCCTTTTTATAGCTCAGCGGTCCTCAATCTTTGGCATCTTGCAGAAGTTTGGTGGTTAAGACCTTGTTAAAACATAAATTGCTGGGCCCAAATCCCAGAGTCTCTGATTCAGGAGGTAGGGCCAGATAATCCCCATCTATCACAAGCGATGCTGATGATCCAGGGACCGCACTTTGAGAACCACTGCTATAGTTTAACATCTGGCAAAGAAAACACTAATTTCCTTCCACTATAAAGCTCGGTGTCTCATATTCTACTCATATTCCAACAGGTCCTCTCATTTATTGATTGCTGTACTAAGTATTTGAAACTGACACTAGCAGCAGGGATATTCAGCCCAGGCCTGGGAGCATGGTAGGTACTCAACAAATGCTTATGTGGGTTCACTGAACCATATCTGGTTATGCAATAATGGTCTCAAGAATGAAATGTGACTGATATTTTCCCTATATCAGTTAGACAAAAAACTGAGTCTCTCTATTCATTTCCTCCAACAGTATCTTTAAGATGCAACTCATTAAAGGTTAAACCATCTCATTTGTTGTTACTGGAAATACAAATTTGTACTGCTTTCTTGAGAGAAGTTGGGTAAGATGCATTTCAAAACCCTCAAATGGGGCATACCATTTGATACAGCAACTCCTCCACTTCTAGGAATTTACTCTAAAGAAATGGTCTCAGATTTAGACAGAAAGCCACAAAACTTATTAATACAGAGGGTTCTTTAACAATAGGGAAACAGCCTAAATGTCCATTGGGAAGTAATTAAATAAATTAAGGTGTTTTCTCAATTGAACACTACACTCGATGACTTGGAAGAATATGTAATAAATGGAAAAAATATTCATGTTACAATGTTCAGTGGGGAAAAAGTAGTACTGTTGGATGAGTCTAGTTAATTTAAACTGTAAAATATTTGTAGATAAACATACATCTCAGTGGTATTCAACAAAGGTATTAACCATGACTATCTTTAAATGATATTAACTTTTTAAATTTTTAGTTCACTTAAAATTTTTCTAGATTTTCTACAATAAATATGAACTCCTTTTGTAAATAAGGGTAAAAAACAATTGATTTTTTAAAGAGAAGACAAATGAGACTGTGACCATCAAGGTCAATTAATGAGATTTCTCCCTGACATCCTGTCTCCTGTTCCCATGGCTGGTTTTTAGGTCCCTATGCTCACCTCACCCTGGCTTGCTTACATCCTGTCTTTAATCAGGTTGACTCTGATAATCATTTCATGCTTTCCTACTACCAGCCCTGCAGCCAACCTGACCAGTGCACTATGTCTGAAAACAGCATTTAGAAATACCCTGCAAGCGGCAAATTGCATCCTTACAGGCATTGGTTCTGGGACTTACCATGGTAACAGGAATCCCATGAGACTGCAGAGCATTCCAGATGAAGCTAGTTTTGTCCTCCCAGGATACTACCCAGAACACCATTCTCAGGTGCCTCCTTGGTTAGGCTTCAGAAACTGGGGGTCTGTATCAGGACCTCCAAATTCCTCAACTAGACCAGGACAAGAATGCCTTAAAATCGGTGTAGCAGGTCTGGGCATGGTGGCTCACACCTGTAATCGCAGAACTTTGGGAGGCCGAGGCAGGTGGATCACTTGAGGTCAAGAGTTCGAGACCAGCCTGGCCAACATGGCAAACTCCTGTCTCTAATAAAAATATATATTTTAAAAAAATAGCCAGGCGTGGTGGTGAGCGCCTGTAGTCCCAGCTGCTCAGGAGGCTGAGGCAGGGGAATCGCTTGAACCCAGGAGGTGAAGGTTGCAGTAAGCCAAGATCGGGCCACTGCACTCCAGCCTGGGTGACAGAGTGAGACTCTGTCACAACAACAAAAACAAAAAAGTTGTAGCAGGTGTTCCACAGACTTGCTAAGTGCATCATCTGTCAATTTCACAAACTATTCAAAGTTTGTTCATGACTTAACTTCAGCTCACTTAACAAAACTTTTAAAATCTCAGTGTAAACTTTGGAAAGTAAAGCCTTTTGGGGGAGTATATCTAAATACTCCTTTTAAGCTAGCTTACAGAATAACCCCTCCTCCACTCTTCCCATAAGCTAAAGACCCAAGGAGATCACAGGCTTGGCCAAAAAGCTTGCAGAGAACAGCATCGTTAGAAGAGGCAATAATGAACTGCTTGATGCCACAACCCTTTTGGACATGAAATCAGTAGGACTTGGGGACCATCTAAACTTCTCACTCTCACCTCCTGGCTGCCTTACATTCTATAATATCTTGTTTCCATACCAGAAGAGAAACAATCCCCCAACCAGTGAACGAGCAGCATGGGTGAGGGGGTGATATAATAATGATTACTCTAACACATTTATATCATACCCTTAACCTTTTCAGAGTGTGTTCCTGTATATCATCTCATGGCTATTTTTTATTTTATTTTTTATTTTTATTTTTGAGACAGAGTCTCACTCTGTCACCCAGACTGGAGTACAGTGGCACGATCTCAGCTCACTGCAACCTCCGCCTCCCGGGTTCAAGTGATTCTCGTGCCTCAGCCTCCCGAGTAGCTGGGATTACAGGCACCAGCCACCATGCTCAGCTAATTTTTGTAGTTTCAGTAGAGACAGGGTTTCACCACGTTGGCCAGGCTGGTCTTAAACTCCTGGCCTCAAGTGATCCACCCACCTCAGCCTCCCAAAGTGCTGGGATTACAGGCGTGAGCCACTGCACCCAGCCTATCACGTGACTGTAATTCTCACATTTCCTATCCAGTTTTGAACAGTGTAGTGTGACGATAAACAGGATGCAATCAGATAAGCTGGGTTATACTCCCAGCTCTGCAATTTGCTAGTTTTGCAGTCTTTTGCAAGTTGCATCACCTCTCTGAGCTTCAGTTTCTTCTTCTGTAAAATGAGCCCATAATACCAAGTTTATAGAACTGTTGTGAAGATTAGAGATAACATACATTAA
This sequence comes from Homo sapiens, assembly GCF_000001405.40. Lineage (NCBI taxonomy): Eukaryota > Metazoa > Chordata > Mammalia > Primates > Hominidae > Homo > Homo sapiens. Next base: position 22,200,092 of record NC_000023.11, on the reverse strand, counting down.
AGTACCTGGCATAATGGTTGGCATATTAATGGTTCCTCAGCAAAGCCTAGCTGCACAGAACAGTTATAATCTCCATTTGATGGAAGTCCTGTAAAGCCCTAGTGGAAAAGTTAGAAAAGTACAGTAGTCCCCGCTCTTGTCCTTGGGAGATATGTTCCAAGACCCCTGGTGGACACCTGAAACCTCAGATAGTACCAAACTAATACACACACGCACACAATGCACAAATTTCTTTTTCCTCCACAACTTCATGTATAGAAGATTCGTTCTTACTGTAGATCTTAGCAACCTCAGTATATGATTTCTTTTTAAATTTCCTTAAGTGGAGAACTTTCACCTTAGCACTGAAAGGAAGCTTCTCTTTGGCATACCTGAATTGCCAGCATCACTACTCTTATGCTTTGGGGCCATTATTAAGTAACATAAGGGTTACTTGGGCACAAGCACTGTGACAGTTGATCTGGTAACTGAGACAGCTACTAAGTGACTAACAGGCAAGTAGCATATACAACATGGATACACTGGACAAAGAGATGATTCACGTCCCAGGTGGCACAGAGCTGGACAGCAAGAGATTTCATCATGCTACTCAGAATGGCACACGACTTAAAACTTAGGAACTGTTTACTTCTGGCATTTTCCACTGAATATTTTCAGAACTTGGTTGCCCATAGGTAACTGAAACAATGAAAAGCAAAACCATGGATAAGGGAGGATCACTGTGCTATCTGTATTATCATTATGCAGTTATTTGACAATTATCTCCTGGGATATGATTTATAAACTTCCTACTCCTCCTCACCCCTGTCATTGCCTAAGTTTAGGCCCTCCCCGTCCTTCTCTTGAGCCATTTGCAAAACTCCTAACTGGTCTTAGTGGCTGCAATCTGTCCCTCTCCAGACCATGATCTTTAATACTAGGATTAAGGAAGTTGATATGGTTAGGCTGTGTTCCCACCCAAAGCTCATCTTGAATTGTAGCTCCCATAATTCCCACATGTTGTAGGAGGGACCCAGTGGGAGGTAATTAAATCATAGGGGCAGGTTGTTCCCATGCTGTTCTCATGATAGTGAATAAGTCTCATGAGATCTGATGGTTTTATAAATGGGAGTTCCCCTGCATACACTCTCTTGCCTGCCACCATGTAAGACATGCCTTTGCTGCTCCTTCGCCGTCCGCCATAATTGTGAGGCCTCCCAGCCATGTGGAACTGTGAGTCCATTAAACCTCTTTCCTTTATAAATTACCCAGTCTTGGGTACGTCTTTACTAGCAGTGTGAAAACAGACCAATACAGAAGTAAAACTTAAGTTATTTGCCTCCCCGCAAAAAAACTATACTAGCTCCCTCTGGCCTGTTCTTTGACATGACCCACAAAGCCTTCCTTCCACTTATCATCTCCCATCACTCCCTTTGCTGTCTCTTCCACCAGTGCAAGCTGTGCCCCAGCATTTGTGGCCATCTCACAGTCTGTTCCTGTGCTATGTTCTGCCATATCTGCGCCTTTGCACCAAACAACAGTGCTTCTTCCTAAATGCCCTAATCTCACTTCTGTGCCCAGAGAAATTTCTTTTTCTTTCCAAAGTCCACTCAAACATCAGTTTCATAGGGAATCCAATCTTGACTCCCCCAGGCTTAATTGCCCCTCCACTGTGGCTCCCAGAATGCACTGCACACCCTTCTGTTGCACACTCACCATGATGTCTTCTAAATGACCTGGTAACAAGTCTCTCTCTCCCAGCTCCTCAAAAGCAAGGACTAATAGCTAATGTTTATTGGGTGCCTACTATGAACCACACTCTATACCAAGCATTTTATATATATATATAATAGTAGTAACCATCCTATAGGGTTAAGATTAAATGATATTATATATACAATATTAACATATATATAAGTATATATAATTTAATATATACTTATATATTACATATTGATATATATTATATAAATATTATATAATATATTATATGTATAATTTATAATATATAACTATAAATGTATATTAATATTAGATATAATTAATATTTAATATTACATATTAATATTATGTATCTAATATTAGATTATAAAATGTACTAGATAACATTAGATATTAAATATATAGTATCATTTAATCTTCACAAAAACCCTATAGGATGGTTACTACTATTAGCTCCATTTTACAGATAATTAAACTGAGGCTTAAAGATGTTAAGTAACTTGCCCAAGGTTGCAAGTTATTAGTGGCCAAGCCAGGATTCAAAATCAAACTGTCATACTTCAGAGCTCACACCCTTAACCACTAAACCACACAAAGTTATATACCCTCCTACCAAACTCAGTTAGTACCTGGGCATGCTCTAATAGCTATATTAGTTACCTCTTGCTGTGTAACAAATCATCCCCAGACATAGTTGCTATCTCCCCATTTCTCTGGGTCAGGAGTTTGGAAACAGCTTATTTGGGTGGTTCTGTATCAGTGTCTCGTGAGGTTGCAGCCAAGATGTCAGCCTGGGCCACGGTCATCTGAAAGCTTGGCTGCACTGGGGATCTACTTCCAAGATGGCGCACTCACATGGTACTCCTAATGAGCAGGGGGCCCCAGTTCCTTCACATGTGGATCTCTGTGTGAGCTCCCTGAATGCCCTCACAGTGTGGTGGTTGGCTTCCCCCAGAGTGAACATTATCCAAAAAACAAAAGCCACAATGTTTTTTATGACCCAGCCTCAGAAGTCATAATCTAGAATTTCCATAGCATCCTATTAGTTACAGTGGTAAGCCTTACTCAGTGTGGCAGGGGACTAGACAGGGGAATGAATACCGGGAAGTGAAAATCATTGGGGCCTTGAAAATTCACTTGAAAATCAAGTGAATAAGTGGAAAAAAAATTACTAAGAATTGCTCTGAGTGTCAGGATCTCTTTTAGGTAGTGAGAAATTTGGATGAGGTGACCACTTAAGTTTCTTTCTAGCTCTAAAAACAATGGAAGACTATTCCCAAATTCTATATATTAGTCTTATATTCTCATGTCCCCAGATGGAACATCAAGTGGATTCAAAGATTTAATTTCATTAAATTCCAAGAGAAGCCACAGGTGAGTATTTGCTAACTTAGCTTTTACTTTATGGTTTCAGGCAGAGCCAGTGAAGTATGAGAAATTCTCCCAGTTTGAAACACAGTTATTTCCTTAACAGCAAAACAAATCTATGTTTGATTTCCAGGTTAATTCCATAATTCGATGCCCCCATAAGCCCAGCCTCTGGACAAAGGCTTATCTTCTTTAGCAGAATATCTGTGATTAAACTGAGGGGAAAAAAATCCCTTGTGTATAACAGCAAAGATAATAAAATCATTGGTTTTAGCCCTTAGGCCATGCTTGTTTTCAAGCCAAGATCTTATCTGTTTAAGATACTTCTTTAATTTGATTTGAGATGTATGAAAATAAAAACCAAATACTTAAATGAGGCGCTTTTCAAATATTCATTGATAGTGAATACTTAAAATGAATTTTCTTCTAAAGACCAATCCATGTTAGTAGAAATGAAAACCAAATATGAGCTGTTCACTCTTCCCACCACTACCACTACCTGAATATTGCCACCTGTTTTGTAAATAAAGTTTTACTGGAACACAGCCAGGTTCATTGGTTTATGAACTGTCTATGGCTGCCATGGCAGAGTTGAGAAATTGCAACAAAGACACTATGACTTGCAAAGCCAAAAATATTACTATCTGGCAATTTACAGAAATAGTTTGCCAATCCCTGGTCTACACATCTAGAGACTTAGCCTGAGGCAACCTATTATTAGCTCCAGATGTCCATGCATACTATACGCTGTTCCAAACATTTTTATGGAGAAAAGGAGCAGTGTTCCTATTTATTTTGAGGTGTCACTTAACATACAGTAAAAGCATACATTTTTGTTGTTGTTAAAGACAGGATCTTGCTCTGTCACCCAGGCTGGAGTACAGTGGCATAATCATAGCTCACTGCTGTCTCAAACCCCTGGGCTCAAGCAATCCTCCCACCTTAGCCTCCAGAGTAGCTGGGACTACAAGTGCATGCCACCACACCTGGCTAATTTTTTGTTGTTTTTTGTAGACACAGGGTCTTGCTATATGGCCCAGGCTAGTCTCGAACTCCTGGGTTAAAGCAATCCTCCCACCCTGGCCTCCCAAAGTGCTGGGATTACAAGCGTGAGCCACCACACCCAGCCAGACACAAATTTTAATGATAGAACACGGTGAGTTTTTACTCTTGTATCACCTGTGTAACCACATCTGAGATCAAGATAAAGAATGTGTCACATGCCTCCTCTCAGTCAATACCCCCAACAAAGGTAGTCATTATTTTAACTTCTATCATATAGATGTATTTGCCTGTTCCTGAACTTTATACACATGAAACAGAACAGTATTTAGTCTTACACCTGGCTTCTTTTACTCAGCATTTAGTCAGTTGCATGCATACATATTATAATGTGGAACATTATAATAAAATCTCTTTTTTTTTTTTTGAGACAGAGTCTCACTCTGTCGCCCAGGCTGTAGTGCACTGGCACAATCTCGGCTCACTGCAACCTCCGCCTTTTGGGTTCAAGTGATTCTCCTGCCTCAGCCTCCCGAGCAGCTAGGATTACAGGCGCCTGCCACCAAGCCTGGCTAATTTTTTATATTTTTGGTAGAGATGAGGTTTCACCACGTCGGCCAGGCTGGTCTCGAACTCCCAACCTCAGGTGATCCGCCTGCCTCAGCCTCCCAAAGTGCTGGGATTACAGGCGTGAGCCACCATGCCCGGCCTAAGATCTCTTGAGGGCAAAAGTTTGAAATAATCCCCCCTGCCGATCTTTATATTTTGCTGTTTGTCTTGTGACACAATGGTTATCGCAGGGATTCCTGGCATGCCAGGTTTAGATATACAAGCCCTGAGCTTGGCAATGTGCTGGCACTTTACAAATTCGTCTCATTAAATCTTCCCCTAAAACCCTATGGGCTAGATAGCCTCAACATGTGGCAGACAGGACAATAGGGGTCTGGAAGGATAAAAACCTCGACTAAGGCCATACAAACTAGATCTCTGATTCATGTTCTCACCTTGCCACTCTGAAAAGCAGCAAGATCAGTGTCGCAGTTATCACAAAGTTAGGGTTAAGCACCAATCATTTCAGATTTGTGTTTTCCTCTTTAACCACCTTATTCAAATATAATTAAATTTTATGACAGCTACTGAGTTTAACTCCTCATACAGCAGATTTAAATCATTATAATTTCACACTACATGCCATGTCTAGAGACGTTGCTACCCAGCTTGACAAGGGAAGAAAAATAAGAAGTTGTAACCACCCTGTAAAAATCTAACATTGAAAGATGGCCACAAATCATAGGGTTCCACACAAAGGCATGGATTTGAAAAAGAAAAAACAACTACAGGTTTTTCTGTTTTCTATTCAAGTCTCTATTGCGTGCAGAAGAAGATTTAAGTAGCATAAATCAGAAAATGATAATGGGAACTGAATGAAATTGTCATAAATCACGTTACTAAGTATAGTTACATCTTAGATGTAAAACCCAATTAAACAGATGGCCACATGCTGTCAGAATCAGCCCCTAATCAATAAAGATGTTCATTTTAGAGAATCACCTCAATTTTTCACTTCTTCAGCGAAGCAAAAAGAAGGCAGTTGTAGGGTGGGGGAAGTCCCAGGAAACCCGGTGGGGAAGTGTGTAAGAAGAAACTCCACCTGTCTTAATTTGTAGTCCAGAAAATCAGAAAGGAGAGAGGGGAAAAAAAAGTCACCCAAAGGATTCCTTGTCATCTTGCCTGGGAATGTAATTTACAATGAGAGCAAGCACTGGTCATTAGGAAAACAGAAACAGCTTGAATCTCTTAATTAAAATACTGTTTCAAATTGTTCATTTTAAAAAAAACCCTCTGCCCATGAGCTTTCATGAAACCATTGGGTTACCCTGAAATGGTTTCTTCCTCAGTAAACCTCTGATAGGATTAGCCCTTCCCAGGCAAGAAAAAGGCTGAGCAGGGGTGAACCCTGGAGATGGAACTATTATTAGACACACTTAAGTACCCCAAGGAGCAGTAAGCCTTCAGTGACATTTTAAAGTGAATGCGGAAACGTCGGCTTTTCTTGCATCAGAGCTGATCTCTTACACTCGCTAGACTGGTGAAAATTAAATCTACCAATGCCAAGAGTTGATGAAAATGAGGAACAACAGAAACACTTCTGTACTTTGGAACACCAGCTTTGGAAAACATTTGATATTATCTGGTAGATAACTTCTTCCTATCAGCCAATAATTCCACTCCTGGATGTATACCCTCAGACACTTGTTCCAAGAGACATTCACAAGAATATGCAGAGCAGCACTGTTCATAAGCAAAAACCTGGGTGTGGGGACTCATAGGCTGGACAACAGAAGAATAAACAATCTGGGGGTACAGTCATGAAATATTATACAGCAGTGAACATGAAAACAACCTACCACCACATGCTACACGAACAAATCCTAAAAACATGTTGACTGAAAAATCGCAGTTGTTTAAGATTGCATACAGTAAGATACCATTTTTATTATACTAAGAAACAAGTAAAAATAAACAACATATTCTTTAGGGATACCTATATAAATAAAGTTTTATTTTAAAAAAACAAAACAAAAATGATAAACCCTCAAATCAGAAGAGTGTTACTTCTGTGGTGAGAGGGAGGGATGGTTCCTGATGGGGTGAGGGCGTCGTAGGCACATATTAATTTCGTCATGTTTTCATATATTCTTTATAACTTATATGTGCCAAAATGTTACATGTTCTTTTGCATGTACCAAATATTAGACAATAAAACGTTTTTAAGTGAATAATCTAAACAATTTCTATTTCCCAATAGAATGTCCTAAATGTGATTATAATTAATAATAAATTATTATAAGTATTAGTTATAATTAATAACTCAAATATCATAAGTTCCCATATAACATATGCAACTTAGTTCTCAAGTTGGCATTTAGGGCCTTAAGAAAGCAATGGTAGTTTCGTGATAATGAATATTTATACAGTAAGAAGTGACATTCAAAATATTTAACAACTTACTTGGTTATGTAAATTAATGTATAAATAAAAAAATCCCGCCATCTGCTTGTCTTTCGTCTTTCTGTTCATTTCTCTCTCAGACCGAAGTCGGGCAGAAACTGCCATTCCTAACAGTGGCCACACGAGGGCGGCTCTAAGAAGATGTGCCAGCTGGTAGTGAGCAGCCACAGCCTTCCGGCTGTCCTCTGACCAGAGTCCTGTAGGAACAACGGCCAGTATGGAGGACCCACGGCAGACTGGCCAACTGGCCAGAGGGAAGGCAGGATGCCTCCCTAAGGAGGTGGCCTGGCCTTTGAATAAAGATTTGAAGGAAATGGGAGCATAAACCAGGCAGGTCACTTGGGGAAGTTTTCCAAGAGAAAGCCAACCCCAGGTATAAATGCTCCCAGAGCAGAGCGTGTCAGGTGTGCTCTATAAACACGAAGGAGGCCAGTGTGGCCGGAACAGAAGGAGGGAGGAAGGGGGAGAGTAGCAGGAGGTACAGGCAGAAAGATAACAGACCTTAAGGCCATTATAAATAATTTGGCTCTTTCTCTGAGTGAGATGGGATGCTGATAAAAGCTTTTGAGCAAAGAAGTGACACGATGTGATTGTAAAACGTCTTAAAATCGCTACAATATTATATTTAGAATAGACTGAAGGGGGGTAAGAACAAAAGCAGGGAGGCCAATGAGGAGGCTATTACCATAATCCAGGTGGGAGATAGTAGTGGTATGAACAAGGGTGATAAATTCCATCCCCTGCATTCAACACTGTAGAAATGTGATTAAAACCATGAGATTAGATGTTATCACCAAGCAAGTGAGCAAAGATGGAGAGAAGAGAACAGAAAAGGTGCAGACTGAGCCTTGGGGCATGCCATCATTAAGAGATATGGGAGATGAGGAGAAACCAGCAAGGATTTGAGCAACAGTGGCCCACCCTCCCCAAGACAAGCCACCACCAACCGGAATTTGGTGTTTGTCATTCTCATGAATGTCTTTACACTTACACTACAAATGGATGGACCTCCAAACCATGTGTAGAATTGTTCTGCATGATTTTCAACTTTATTTATATAGTATCATACTTGATATATTTTCCCAAGTTGTTTTACTTGTGAAATTCATCCATGTTAATATATGTTGCTCATTTTTCACTGCTGTATGGTATTCCTTTGTGTGAATATGCCACATGTGACTCATCTTCCTGCAGAGGAATATGTAGGTTATTTTGCTTTTTCTACTATTATAAATAATACTGTTATGAGCATTTTTGCATGGGCTTCTTTATGCCTTGTGCAAGAGTTCTCTAGGGCAGCTGTTCCCAAACTTTAGCATACATTACAATCACCTGCAGGTTTTATTGCACCAGATTTCTGAGCTCCACATCCAAAGTTTGATCAATAGACCTAAGGTGGGGCCTGGGAATTTGCATTTCTAACAAGATCCCCCATGATGCTATTACTGCAGGTCCAAGGACCACATTTCAAGACTCACAACATTAGAGCACATTCCAGGAGCACACATCATGGTCATAGGTATGCATGCACAACTTCAGCTTTTTGAGATATTGTCAAATTGCCCTGCAAAGTGGATGAGCCCATCTATCTTTCCACCAGCAGTGAGTATGTGTCCTTATTGCCAAGGCTGGAAGCTGTCAGACTTTTTATTTGTGCCATTCAGATCTTAATAATTTTTTAAGGCCAGGTGCAGTGGCTCACGCCTGTAATCCCAGCACTTTGGAAGGCCAAGGTGGGCAGATCACTTGAGGCCAGGAGTTTGAGACCAGCCTAGTCAACATGTCAAAACCCCATCTCTGCTAAAAATACAAATAAAAAAAATTTAGCTGGGCGTGGTGGTGCACACCTGTACTCCTAGCTACTCAGGAGGCTGAGGCACAAGAATAATTTGAACCTGGGAGGCAGAGGTTGCAGTGAGCCAGGATCGTACCACTGAACTCCAGCCTAGGTGACAGAGGGAGACTCTGTCTTTAAAAAATAATAAAAATAATAATTTTTTAAATTTATCATGGTATTTTTAATTACATATACCTGATACATGTAAGTAGAAAACCTCAAGACATAACTTCCTAGCGTTAATAAGAATATTTCCAAGCTTCTTTCTTACATACAGATGGTCCGCTCAGGTTCTACAATCTGCTCAGTTACCTGCTGTTTTCCCCACCAATCCTAGGAATGAATAAAATGGCATGGACAAAATCAGTAAGGCCATTATGAAAGGAAAGTGGAAACTTGCTCCTTTTCATGGCAAACTTCATTATGGTTTAATTTGGTTTACTGTAGTTGACTTTTTTTCAATCAGTGGTGACATAAAGCTTTAAAAAAAACTGGTAAGGTGAAGAGAGTGAGGAAAATTTGGCATATAGGTAGGAGAACAACCTTCCTTCACCAGCATACCCTGCCACTTTTGGGGGAAATAAGAAATGTCTTACCCTCCATCATAGTCATGGAAAAGTTCTTTGCATTTTATACCAGGTTACCAAGGAGACAAGGAACCCGTACTCACGGATCTGGTTGGTGGATGCACTGTAGAAGGCATTGACAGTCGTCGGATTTGTAAACCACCTGTAGAAAAAGAAACAAATGCCAGAGAGCAATCATCATTATACAGGCAGGAGGGAAGCAAAGACAAACACAGCATGGCTGGGTTTATTAGCAGATAACATGGAACAATGGGGATGTTGGACATGAGGGGAAATTATTCCCTCAGTTTGGGGCTACTGTACTGCTCAATGAACAATCTCATCCTAAACTGAACATGGCTCAATGAAAATATATTAACATGCCCAGTTATTTATTGTTACTAACTTAACAGAAAAAAAGTCAGCACACCAGTGCTTTTGAAAAAGTTTTAAAGAGAAATTCTAGAATCTAAAGGGCTGTCCCTGCAAATGGAAACACAGCAACTATATATTTGCCAGGCCCTATTCAATGGGTTGAATGGACAATTGGGTTTCTATGCTGCATTACCTCTGGCCTGTCCATTTAAAAGTTCTGGATTGGTGACAACACAGAGGTCCATTTAAAGAAAGATGAATAAAGTCCAACTATGCCACCCAGAGGGTCTGCCTGCTCCAGTGGAAAGTGTACTGCCTCTATCACTAACTAGCTGAATTGTGTGGGAAGAGTCACCTACCTTCCTGGGGTTTGGTTTTAGCTATAAAATTAAGGCATTGCATTAGGACATCTAAAGGATCCCTTCTATCTAAAAGGAGTCTACACCCAAACCTTAAATGCACAATAGGTTACTGGGATCAGCAGTCAGCAAATTTTTTTCTGTAAAGAGTGAGATCATAAATATTTTAGGCTTTACAGGCAAAGAGGCAAAATCAAGGATATTACGTAGGTACTTAAGAGCAAACTGTCCACAAATTTTATTGATGAAATCCAAAAAATAACAATAGTAATCAAGTACAATTATTTCTCTTTTTTTTTTCAGAGACAGGGTTTCGGCATGTTGGCCAGGCTGGTCTCAAACTCCTGACCTCAAGTGATCCACCCACTTCAGCCTCCCAAAGTTCTGGGACTACAGGCGTGAGCCACCATGCCCAGCTGAGTACAATTATTTCTAATATATGCCTATTAATGAGAATAACGGAATTATTTTGGGATGAGATAACCTTTTGCTTAATTGGGGTTCAAAGTTATGCTTCTCCAATTTGGAGGTTCCTCAAAGAACTAAAAATGGAGCTACCATATGATCCAGCAGCCCCACTGCTGGGTATATACTCAAAGGAAAGAAAATAATCAAAGAGATATCTGCACTCCCATGTTTGTTGCAGCACTGTTCACAATAGCCAAGATTTGGAAGCAGCCTAAGTGTCCACCAACAGGTGAATGGATAAAGAAAATGTGGTACATATACACAATGGAGTACTATTCAGCCATAAAAAGAATGATATCCTGTCATTTGCAACACATGGATGGAACTGGAGGTCATTATGTTAAGTGAAATAAGCCAGGCACAGAAAGACAAACATTGCATGTTCTCACGTATTTGTGAGATCTCACGTATTTGTGGGATCTAAAAACCAAAACGATTGAACTCGTGGAGATAGAGAGTAGAAGGATGGTTACCAGAGGTTGGGAAGGGCGGTAGGGGAATGGGGGAGAAGTGGGGATGGGTAATGGGTACAAAAAATGTATAGTTAGAAAGAATGAATAAGACCTAGTATTTGATAGCACAACAGGGTGACTATAGTCAATAGTAATTGTACATTTTAAGATAACTATAATAATATAAGCGGATTGTTTGTAACACAAAGGATAAATGCTTGAGGGGATGGATACTCCCATTTTCCATGATGTGATGATTATGCATTGCAGGCCTGTATCAAAATATCTCATGTACCCCATAAATATTTACAACTACTACGTACCAACAAAAGTTATTTTAATTAAAAAACAAAAACAAAAAACAGAACAAAGTTAGGGCTTCCCCATCATCAAACCACCTGCAAACATTTATCTCTAAAAATTATTCTTAGCTCATGGGCCACACAAAAACAGGCAGCAGGTGAGATTTGGCCCACAGGCCATAGTGGCCAAACCCTGACTTAGATGGTTGTGAGTTTCAGTGACTGCTTGTTATGATTAAAACCAAGCAATTCATCTTAAGCAAAATTGCTAAAAATAAACTCCTAGGCCCAGCAGTGGCATGCAAATATAGTTCCAGCTACTTGGGAGGCTGAGGCAGGAGGACTGCCTGAGCCCAGAAGTTCCAGTCTCTAAAAAAATTAAAAAGAAAAAAAAAACTTGTATAAATCCCTTTCTAGAATAATTGTATTACTCATTTACGTCTAATAGGATAATTATGTCAGACTAACAAATTAATTTATATCAGGTTAATATGAAACTAATAGGAAACCCAATTATTGATACTAGTTGGTAAACTCATACCTTCTCCCCAGCTACAAAGAAGTCTATGAATATGTCATTCTGTTATCATTATCATTATATTTAGCTAACATTCATTGAGCACTTACTATGTCCTAAGCACCTTCTATTCATCAGTTTTTCCCCATGGCAACATAGGAATTATTAGCCCATTTCACAGACGAGGATAATGAGATTTATGAGCATTATGTGCTTGTACGAGGCCTGGTCTGTCTGACTTCAAACCAGTTCGCCTAAGCATTATATTATACTGTAGACATTACTGGAAATCAAGAAAGAGCACCTCTTCTCTCTTCAAAACCGAAACCTAGACATATTTCCATAAAATGCATATTCTTTTCCTTCAAATTTAGGGTATTTCAATTAAGCCCTAGTGTTTAACATAAACTTGCTGGTTGGCCTACTTTCCTGAGGAAACAAGTGAAGGGGAAAGCACCTCTATTGACCTAACTTGGCTACCTGTAGTAGGTAAAATTATGGCCAAGTCCTAATCCCTGGATCCTATGAACATGTTACATTACATAGTAAGAAGGACTTTGCAGGTGTAATTAAGCTTAAGGACCTTAAAATAGAGAGATTATCCTGGATTATTCAGGTAGGCTCAATCTAATCACAAGCCCTTAAAAGCAGACAACCTTGTTTGGCTGGAATCAGAGAGATGCAACAGAGGAGGAAGTCGGAGAGGAGGAAGGGTAAGAAGGATTTGACACGCTGCTGGCTCTAAGATGTAGGGGCAATGGGCAAGGACTGCATAAATCCCTCTGAGAACAAAGAGTGGCTTCCAGGCGATAGCCAGCAAGGAAGTAAAGACCTTACCCCTACAATCAGAAAGAACTGGATTCTGCCAACAACTTGAATCCCCTTGGAAGGGGATTATTCCCAGAACCTCCCCATAAGAGCCCAGCCGGCTGACACTCTGATTTCAGCCTTATGAAATCCAAAGCAGAGAAAACAACCAAGCTACCCTAGACTTCTGAGCTAGAGAACTGTGAGATAATAAATCTGTGCTGTTTTAAGCTGCTTAGGTTGTAGGAGTTTGTTACAGTAGCAATAGGAAACTAATGCACTATCCAAAGAACCCAACATTTGTAGGTCAAGAGGGGAAAATCCAGGTGGGTGCCTTGGCTTCTAAATAACACTGGAATGAATCATAATACATACAAAAGATAACGTGTATTCCTAGAGCTTGTCCCTTCTCTTTTTGTTCTTCCCAACTCCCCTCTCTTTAAAATAACAAACTTTTAAAATATTCAGGTAAGGGCCATGCAGGGAAAATGTTCCTAACTGCTGGTAGACAAAGGTAGACAAAGCAAACCAAACAACCAGTCTCTGAAACTAGACCTTAATGGGGCTTCTGAAGCTTCAACAAGAATAACGAAAACATCTTATTTCAGACACATGATCTTACCATTCCTGACCTCCCAGGGCTCTTATTGACTCTAGGGCACGTATGGAGACTTGATAATACCCAGAGCTGATATTAAGCAGCTGCACCAGTAGATCCTACCAGTTGTTGATGCTGTTATTTCTTCTATTTGTTCAGGGCCCATGCCAAACCAGCTGTTAAACATTTTGTATATCTCCCGTATTACATCCAAGTTTATTATATATTTAGTTTTACTATTCTCTAATGTAAGGCTACATGTGCTAGTTTTAATATGTGTTTGTGAACTTTTTTACACTCCTCCCATTAAGAGATGGAATCTAAATTCCTCTCCCCTTGATTATGGGTTAGCCTTAGTGACTCACTTCTAAAGAATAATACGCAGCAGAAATGACAGTGTGACTTCCAAGGCTAGGTAATTAAAGGTGATACAACTTCCCCCTGATGCATACAAACACACCCTCCCTCCCTTCTTCTTTCTCAGAAAAGCTGCTCTTTGAACTTTCTATATCAATCAACATGCTGTAAGGAAACCCAACATACATGAAGAGGCCATATGTAGATGTTCTAGTCAACAGTCAGCATCAACCATTAGACATGTGAGAGAGGTAGCCTTCCATATGACTCTAGCCCCAGCCACTATCTGACTGTAACTACATGAAAGACCACAAATGGTCAGGTGCAGTGGCTCATGCCTGTAATCCCAGCACTTTGGGAGGCTGAGGTGGGCAGATCACCTGAAGTCAGGAGTTCGAAACCAGCCTGGCCAACATGGTGAAATGCTGTCTGTACTAAAACTACAAAAATTAGCTCAGCGTGGTGGCGGGCACCTGTAATCTCAGCTACTCAGGAGGCTGAGGCAGGAGAATCGCTTGAACCTGGGAGACGGAGGTTGCAGTGAGCCGAGATCACGCCAATGTACTCCAGCCTGGTGACAGAGTGAGACTCTGTGTCCAAAAAAAAAAAAAAAAACCACAAACGAGAACCATGCAGCTGAGCCTAGTGACCCCCAGAACCATGAGAGAGAAAAATAATGACTGTTGTTTCAGTACTCTAAATTTGGGGGAGGTTTATCACACAGCAATAGATAAATGGAATGCTGAAAAGTTGGCTATCCACAGACTAAGTCCAACCCAATGGGCTGAATCTTCCCAGAAAACTGTTTTGCTTGCCCAACACAATGGCTTAACAAACTATTGAATTGGAATTCCTTCAAGTGGTGTGTGTAATTACTAGTTTTCTACAGTCCCTACCACTCCCTGTTGTTTACACCCATGTAGGTCAACCATTTGTTAACTGACTGGCCCCTGAAGGCATCTGAGTTTGCACAGCTTATGTCCCAACAAGATTTTAAGTTGCTTATGGGCTTTGACTGTTGTCCAAATGGTAAGTGCTGAACAGAAGATCACTAAATCCATTAAAATGAATTTATTGCATGTATACATCCACTTCAATAAACAGAGAATATCATTCAAGTGCTTTAAATTCTTCTTACTATGTCTTTAGGGTGCTTCTGCAGTCTGTGTTTGAGAAAGGATTTGGTGGATAAGGTAAGGAGAGGTCTCATAGAAATTTCAAATCCCACAATAATGGGGATGAAATTATACTGGAGAATGAGATACATAAAAGGAATATAATACCAAAATACAAGAATCTGAAGAAAAAGACATTGGTACACCTATTTCTTTGGACCATATAAAATAGATATACATCAGGCTAAAGTTTTACATTTTTCTTATCAACTCCTACAGATAGTCTAGGGAATATGGAATGGAAAAGCAATAGTGTATTTATTGCTTTCTTATTAATATCCTGCAGATTATATCACTCACATTCCATGCTATAGATAATGCTTTTGCAAACAAAAGTTCTGGGCAGGAACATAATTTATAAAGACATTTAATGCATTTTTACATATTTTTCAAAAGATAGAGAATTCAGACGTGTTTGGTCTCAGTAGAATGAGAGTGAGTTAAAAGTGAGGCGGGCTAAAATAATTTCTGTCAAAGAAGGTGATCCTGAGGGAAAGAAATTACTTTCAACTCAAGCCGAGCAGTAAGTAAATCCTCTATTTTTAAGCAAGCTGATGAAGTGACAATTCTGTGAACCAACCCCTAAATATGTACCTTCAGGGATGACCACCCAATTAATTTCATTCTTGCTGACATTTCCCATCGCCTTAGAAACTTCTTAATGCACATTAGTGCAGCTAAAATGGATTCCATGAGAATAAAAGATAAAGGGTCTTTATCTCCTACACCCACAAAGAAGCAAAACGTTATTTCAGGGCTTTGTGAAAATATAATCATGATGCTGTTCAAAGTAAACTAGTGTAGTAGAGCTACTCCAGAATGATCCCCACTCGATTAACTCATGAATTTTCAGACCTGAAAGATGTCCATTCAAGCCAATGAGTATCATGAGGCTAAAAGTCTCTACAATGCCTGAAAAGGTCCAGCCAGATGTTTCCTTTAAAAAAAAAAAACAAGAAGGAAAAGGAATTTACTCATATCCCTTTACTATGCAAAGAAGACCTTAAATTTCTAAATGTTATTTCCCTGAAATAGACATATAGTCTGAGGAAACAAGAATTACAAGCATTGCACTGATTTCCATTTCTGGAGAACTTTTCCCAAAAGTTAACCAATTTAATACCCTTGTGAAAGAGCTATTTGTTTTTCAATGACAGAAAAGAAAACCACACAAATCTCAGTTTGCCTAAGCCTGCAAAGCCAGTATATTTCTAAGGCATGAATAAAATATTAGAAATAGTTAAGACCATTAGAATCTGAAAGTTCATCAGTATCCTAGGACGATGTTAAAGATAACACATTTAGGAGTTTTTCAATTACTAATCCAGGCCTTTCTACACAACTAAATGAATAATGACATTTTGAAATCAAACAATTAGACTGACTGTATTGCCAATATGCAGGAGCCCCTGAGAAGACCCTGAAAATTCACCAAAAAATTGGTGAAACCCTTCAATTTTCCACAGATTTTTTTTTTTAAAAAAGAGTTGGAACTGATCTGAAGCAAATATTGAAGGGCAAGATTATATAGATCTGTGACTACCGTATTACATGTAGATGGTCATAGGGATACTGGAAATCATTTGCCAAAGTCATCAGATTTGAGTATTGGATTTAAGAAGCCTAAATCTAAAACTATTGAATAATTTAGACTGGGAATGAAACAGGATAGGTGGACTGAGAAATAACGTGATGAGAGGAAAGAACCAAAGACAGTGGAGCAAATGGCTTTAAACCATTATCTATCATTTTTCAAAGCAGTTCTAAAGCTGTTTTCCTTTGTGCTTTTGACTGGAGTCAGGGTTAGGTAGGGGAGAGATTCAGCTTTAGGCCTACCTCTTAAAGTCAGTAACCTCCAATGAATTTTTCAGGTGCATATTATAGGAAGGTTTGAAGGGCAGAGAGCAGGGATGGCCGGATGGAAACATAAGAGGGAGAAGTGGTAATCACCACTTAAGCCAAGGGAAAGCACAGGGGCTCAGAGTTTCTAGAAGCCAGGACAGAACAGGGACTTGAAAGGGAGAGTAGCAAAAGACTAGGCAGCATAAAAACAGCCAGTCAAAGATCTAGAAATCAGAATATTAGCCAAGGTTAAAAAGTGGGCCATGAAAAAAAAAATTGTAATCCATGGAAGCCAGGCTTGCAGGTATAATGGCATGAGAAGGTTGACAAATCATTTCTACAAAAACCAAGTACAAAACTGGACAACATTGTCAACAAATAACCATTTTAGGAATCTGGGAATTCATCAAGGGGGAGCAATAAATTAAACAAAATTTAATATTTAAAAACTGCTAGAACTTGGCATTAAGTAGAGCAGGCACTATGGCCTTTTTGCCTGAGACTACTCCTGTCCCTCCTAGCTCAGTGAGACCTTAGTTTTGTCAGAAAAAGGCTGGCTGGGAAATCAGCAGCTTTGCTGCCCCAGTGGGTAGACTCAACTGGGGGTGGCAGTGAAAAGCCACAGCTTTGTCAGATAAAAATGGCCAACATAGAGGATGAAGCAGAGCAAGAAGGCTGTAGAAACCTCCAGCAAGTGTCCTCCCTGCAGGAACACCAAATTGAACAACTAGCCACACACACACACACACACACACACACACAAAGCATCTTCATAAGAACCAAAATCCAGGTGAACAATCACAATACCTGGTTTTAACATCACATCAAGGAAAGAGGCACTGAAGAGGGTAGGAAAGCCAGTCTTGAATTGCCTATACCGTCCTTCCCTCATTCCCCAGCAGCAGCCACATGGGCACAGAGAGAAAAACCTCTGCGCTTGGGGGAAGGAGAGTACGGTGATTGTGGGACTTTGCACTGGAACTCAGTGCTGTCCTATCACAGTGGAAAGAAACACGGGGCATATGATCATGTAAACTGATGCTAAAGAAGCATTTAATAAAATTCAACATCGTTTCAGGATAAAAACTCTCGAAAAACCGGATATAGAAGGAATATACCTAAACACAGTAATAGTCATATATGACAGAGCCACAGTTAGTATCACACTGAATGGGGAAAAACTGAAAGCCTTTCCTCTAAGATCTAGACAAGACAAGGATGTCCACTTTTACCACTATTATTCAACATAGTACTAGAAGTCCTAGCTAGAGCAATCAGACAACAGAAGGAAATAAGGGGCATCCAAATTAGAAAGAAAGAAGTCAAATTACCCTTGTTTGTAGACAATATGATCTTATATTTGGAAAAACCTAAAGGTTCTACCAAAAAAACTATTAAAATGATAAACTGAGTAAAGTTACAGGATACAAAATCAACATACAAATATCAGTAGCATTTCTATATTCTAAGAGAAAGCGATCTGTAAAAGAAGTCAAGAAGATAATCTCATTTACAATAGCTACGAATAAAATAAAATACCTAGGAATAAACTTAACTAAAGAAGTGAAAGGTCTCCACAATGAAAACTATAAAAACATTGATGCGAGAAATTGAAGAGGACACAAAAAAGTAGATACTCCATGTTAATGGATTAGAAGAATCAATACTGTGAAAACGCCCATACTACCAAAAGCAATCTACAGATTCACTGTAATCCCCATCAAAATATCAATGACATTCTTCAAAGAAATAGAAAAAAATTCCTAAAATTTATATGGAACCACAAAAGATCCAGAATAGCCAATGTTATCCTGAGCAAAAACAACAAAACTGGAAGAATCACATTACTTAACTTCAAATTATACTACAGAGCTATAGTAACCAAAATGGCATGATATTGGCATAAAAACAGACACATAGACACAAAGATCTGAATAGACATTTCTCAAATGAAGGCATACAAAAGGCAAACAGGTATATGAAAAGGTGCACAACATGAATGATTATCAGAGAAATGCAAATCAAAAATTACAATGAGATATCATCTTACCCCAGTTAAAATGGCTTTTATTCAAAAGACAGGCAAAAACAAATTCTGGTGAGGTTGTTGAGAAAAGAGAACCCTTGTACTTTGTTACTGGGAATGTAAATTAGTACAACCACTATGGAGAACAGTTTGGAGGATCCTCGAACAACTAAAAATAGAGCTACCTTACAGTCCACCAATCCCACTGCTGGGTATATACCTAAAAGAAAGAAAATCAGTACATCGAAGGAACATCTGCACTCCCGTGTTTATTGTAGAACTGTTCACAATAGCCAAGATTTGGAAGCAACCTATGTGTTCATCAACAGACAAATGGATAAAGAAAATGTGGTATATATATACAATGGAGTACAATTAAGCCATAAAAAAGAATGAAATCCTGTCATTTACAACTACATGGATGAAACTAGACAATACTAAGTGAAATAAGCCAGCCCCAGAAAGAAAACTTCACATGTTCTCACTTATTTGTGGGAGCTAAAAATGAAAACAATTGAACCCATGGAGATAGAGAGTAGAATGAGGCTGAGAAGGGTACTGGGTCGAGGGGATGGTTAATGGGTACAAAAATATACTTAGATAGAATGAATAAGATCTATTTGATAGCATAACAGGGTGACTGCAGTCAACAACTTTTTATAGATTTAAAAATAACTAAAACTGTATAATTGGATTGTCTGTAACATAAAGAAAGGATAAATGCTTGAGGCTATGGATACCCCATTTACTCTGATGTGATTATTACACATTTTATGCCTGTATTGAAATATCTCATGTACCTCATAAATACGTACACCTACTACATACCCACAACATTTTTTTTTTAATTTTTGAATGGCCAACTTAGTAGAAAACTAACGAGGAAAACCCAGTCAGAAATTTAAAAGAGAGATCCTATAACTGAAATAGTAATAGAAGGGCCAAATAAGCACTCCACACATCCCTGGCTGACTGGGAAACTAGGCACATGTGCAGGGAAGACCAGTGAGGGCCTGGTGGAAGGTGAAATTGAAGGTGGACTGAGAACTGGCTATAACTTTGAAGGTGCTCCCAACCCACACACAGAGCAACTGGCAGAGGGTAGAAGCCCTATGGACTCAAGGTGTTTAAGCACAAGCTCTGACCTAATCACTGATTGAGCACTAAGCTATGTAGACACAGGGACAACCAGCAGGAAGTGAGGCTAATAACTACAAATAAGAGTTAAAAAACTGAGTGGAGACATCGACAGCTACATACCACAGAGAAGATCTATTCGGCAGTATAAGTTAGGACAGTTACTTTTGATTTTAAAAAAAAAAAGCCTCAGAAAAATAAATCAGAATCCAGAGTTGCTACAACATGCTATCTAAACTGTCATTAGCAACAACAACAAAAAATGTTAAGCAAAGGAAAAACTGTAAAAAAAAATTAATTAATTTAATAAAAAGGCAATCAATAGAAACTAACTCTAGTTAGTTTGAGCCCACATATTAGATTTAGCAAAGACTTGAAAGTGACTATTATAGATGACTTCAAAGAATTAAAATAAACTTTATTTGAAGAATTAATAGAAAATATGATGACAATGACTTAACAAAGAATCACAACAGAGAAATAGAAACTACAAAAAACAAACGGAAATTCCGAAGTTGTCAGCCATAAAAAGGAATGAAATAATGGCATTCACAGCAACCTGGATGGAATTGGAGACCATTATCCTATGTAACTTAGGAATGGAAAACCACACATTGTATGTTCTTACTCATAAGAGGGAGCTAAGCTATGAGGACACAAAGGCATAAGAATGATACAGTGGACTTTAGAGACTTAGGGGGAAAGAGTGGGAGGGGGGTGAGGAATAAAAGACTACACACTGATACAGTATACATGTACACTGCTCGTGTGATGGGTGCACTGAAATCTCAGAAATCACCACTAAAGAACTTATTCATGTAACCAACCACCATCTGTTCCCCCAAAATCTATTGAAATAAAAAATAAGTTAAAAAAATAATAATACAATTAAATTAAAAAAAGAAATTCTGGAGTTGAAATCCAGACCAATAGAAATTATCCAATCTGGAGAACAGAGAGAAAAAAAAGCATTGGAGAAGTGGGCCTTAGCAGAACAGAATCCAGTCCCAGGAATCAAAAGCACCAGCAGACAGAACAAAATGTGATCCAAACCTAAGCTGAAGAATTTCTCAGTTGTAAGCCTTTTATTTTCCTGTAAAATGGGGATAACAGTACCTATACCACACAGAATTCGTATGAGGATAAAATGAATTAAAAATTGTAAAGCACTTTCTGGTACAATGTAAACAAATAATAATTGTTAGCTGCTACATTCATCACTGACATTTTGCTAAGGGATGAAATCGTAGCTGGTGGGCTCTGGGCCTAAAAGTTCCTAAGGAAACTCTCCTATCTGTAGGAAAAACTCCTATAGGCAGCTGAGAGGAAGGCAAATAAATCATAACTGCTATTAGATAAAAACAATATAGCTATCAGTTCTTTGATAGGCATTACCTCAACAAATATTTTCTAGTTGCTTCTATACATTTACTTTGACATTTCTAATCATAGTTTAAGTATTTATTCTTTTTTAAGGTCTTCAAAAGTTATTACATGAATGTAAAAATCCAGAGAAATTATTCCCTCTCTATATATTCATAACTAGATCTAGACATAACTTTAATGTTTGCATTCTAATAAGCCTTCTCTTGATATGTGTTGATGCTAGAAATGGGGGACCTGTAATTAGACTTAAGATCTGAATCACGTAATATAAAAAATAAGAGTTGGCAAAACATGACACAGATTTTGCTAAAACAAGTTAACTGGCAAGCCAGCTACTCTGACTTGAGGGGAATTACAAAGTTTAATCTAAAGAGACTCCGCTTCTCACCAATGTATTTATCTATTTAACTTTTTTTGTTTAATACTCACTCTGTTTTTGGAACGGCTTTTCTTAGCCAGAAGAAATCAGACTGTGCTAAATACTTGCGAGTTTGTAGGACGTTGCCAAAGTAGTCGGCTTCTGAAAACTTGATCTGAATAAAACAAACCACAACATCATTGTTCTAAGTAAAGATAAAAGATGGCTCTAAAAAAATACTTCAGCATAGGAAGGAGCAACTAGCAGAGAAGCTGCATCAGTCACAGCCTCTCTCAGCTGTTATCAGTTGACCCAGAAGTCACAAAGCCATGAAATTTAGTCTCAGTGATTTTGTTAACGTAAAAACTTCAAAAATCAATATAGTCATTTCTGGATCACAGTAAAAACACAACAAGAGAAGCTGCAGTCATTTACAATGCGTTCCATTTACTTTCTAATTGAAAAATCTACTTCAACCTTTATAAAACATATTATCTTTGGTTTGAAATTTCTTGGCTCACGAGTCCTTGATCTTTTTTAAAATGTGTACTTTGTTAATTTGTCACGTAAGTTTTTTCAGTAACATGCAGTTTAGTTGGCTGAAAACTCATTTAGCTTATAGACAATGATTTAGTCAAATAATTGGTAGTTGTTCGTAAAGGAAAACAATAAATGTGATTCAGAGACCTATTTTCCACCATAAGCACAATGAAGTCACCAGAATAATTATTAACAGAATGTATCTGTTAACACTCAAAAAGTCTCTGGTCACTAAATATTAATGAAATTACAGAGGCAAATCATAGATTATAGCTTGCATGGGAACACAGAAAGCTGGTAGCAGCTCACAACAATGTTGTCTATTAAGACAAGGAAACAGACATAATTGCTTTTTTAGTTCCTTTCCTTGTTTTGGAAGGAGAATGGCAGACGGTTTCCATTCTATAGGCACTCCATCTACAAAACTAGCAATACCTAACCTAGCTATTTATTGTAAATAAGATCTGTGGAGCTGTTCATGCAATCGTTTGTAGTGACCTCCAATGCTTGGGTTTTTAAATATATTACTATGGAAATTAAGAAAAATACACATTTGAATAAGGAGATAACCAAGGGTAACCAAATTCTTATAAACTGTAATTTTTATAACTTTAATAGTCTTTTAAAAGCAAAAAGTAAAATACTCGTGTATATGAAACCCACAAGGCATTACATTATAGATACGAATGTATATATGCAATTTGATGGTAATAGGCTCGACAGTCACCTACTTGTTGACCAATGTCTGGCTCACATTTAGCTCCTCCCTAACACAGAGTGGGTTCTCATGTCCGTGGAGAAGTTTTTGTTAAGGAGTCATCTTAACAATCTTTCCAGGAGACCAAGCCAAAATATAAAGGAAGGAGTAAAATAACTGAAGGCACATGGAGAAAGGCAGAAATAAAAGTATTGATTCCTGGCACCCTCTGTGTTCTGCTTGGCCAACAAATTATAACACTATGACTTTAAATTGTCCCTCAAACTGCTTGCTCAGGGAAGAGGGGCTGATAAACAAATTGTGGTATATTCACATAATGGAAGGCAATACAACAGTTTACATGATTGTTCTGTATGCATGAACATGAAATAATCTTAAAAATTATGCAGAGTGAATAAGGTAAGTTGTATCTATGAGGAAATTTAAAGTTTTTAAACATGCAAAACAACACTGTATGCTGTTGATGGATGCGTACCTATGTAGCAAAAGCATAAAGAAAGGCATGGGAATAACAATAATAAGACTGAACTCAAGGTAGTGTTTATATGCAGAGATGGAGATAGACGCAGAGGAAGGAGATTAGATCAAGGAAGATTACAGACAAAATTTCAAATGCATCTGTTCATTTAAAATGTGTGTGTGCATGTACAAAGCTAATATGGCAATATGTTTACTATGTGTTAAAATAGATGTGTTCAAATTATTTTACTCATGTTCCAACATTTGAAATGCTTCATAATAAAAAGAAATCATATATACATACATATATATATATATATATATATATTTTTTTTTTTTTTTTTTTGAGACAGTCTCGCTCTGTCACCCAGGCTAGAGTGCAGCAGTGCAATCTCAGCTCACTGCAACCTCTACCTCCCAGGTTCATGCGATTCTTGTGCCTCAGCCTCCCGAGTAGCTGGGATTACAGACATGCACCACCATGCCCAGCTAATTTTTATATTTTTAGTAGAGATGCGGTCTTGCCATGTTGGCCAGGCTGGCCTTGAATTCCTGGACTCAAGTGATCCGCCCACCTTGGCCTCCCAAAGTGCTGGGATTACAGGTGTGGGCCACCGCGCTGGCCAAAATCTTATAATTGATTATATTTTAAGATAAAGGTTTTCTTTTAGCCTCAGAAGAAACAGAGTAAGCACCTTGTTATAGAAAGCAACCTTACTAGCAATCCTAAGGCATTCCCAGATCATATGGTTAAAAGATGTGTCCACTGTTCAACCCTTTGCCTTTTTCAGCTTTTGTTTCCAAGACAGCTCTGCCAAAACCTTCAGAATATGATTATAACTGATAGAAAATTCAGGTATGTTCTTGGGTTCAGAACACATTCTGGGAAATTCTCTCAGAGGAATTTCCTTCAAAAATATTAACTTTTTAAAAATAATATCAGTGGGGTCAGTTTTTACTTTTAGAAAACTTGCTAATTGTGATACTTTCATTACTGTTCCATCTGAAAAAAAAAAATCCCTTGATATTCAGGTTGGTCTACAGACATTAAACAGAAAGCCATCTCAAAACTTTCTAAAGGGCTGGGCACAGTGACTCATGCCTGTAATCCCAACACTTTGGGAGGCCGAGGCTGGCAGATAACTTGAGGTCAGGAGTTCGAGGCCAGCCTGGCCAACATGGTGAAATCCCGTCTCTTCTAAAAATATGAAAATTAACCAGGTGTGGTGGCACATGCCTGTAATCCCAGCTACTCGGGAGGCTGAGGCAGGAGAATCACTTGAACTTGGGAGGTGGAGGTTGCAGTGAGCCGAGATTGTGCCACTGCACTCCAGCCTGGGCAACAGAGGGAGACTCTGCCTAAAAATTAAAAAAAAAAAAAACGTTGTAAAGAAGAAAAGGGTCCCAAGTCTAAAAATACATTAGATAAGTAAGGACCTACCAGAACCCTGAAAATAATTGGGGGAAACAAAACTCAGAGGTAATTAATTACAATTTGCCATAGCTTATTTATGTTTAGAAAGATAATTTAAAAATTGTTTTCATTATTAAGTTGAGAATATTTCTTCTTTCTTAGCCTGGTTTAATTGATCTATTCCATTTATTTAATGGAAATCACAAGTAATAGAGGACAGGTCTTACGTTTTTCCTTGAGACAGGTTAAGTGTTTGGGGGTAGGCAGGGGCCAGTCACTGTTATTCACATATGATAGATGGGAAACAGGGCTAAGGAGATTACGGAATTTGGCAAAGCTACACCGTCCAAGTCATTTGGCTCTGACTCCAATGTTATTTTCGTTGGTCTTAATAAGAGAACCAGTGATTCAAGGACAAAGTGAGATTGAGGAAGGGAGTAGAAGCAGTGATTAAATCAATCATGATACAACTTACTTGAAATACTATACAGCAGTTAAAATCATGGTAACAAAGGCTATAAAGACAGTAGCAAAACAATATGTTACTGTAAAGGTTGGTGTACCAAATTATATGTAAACATCAATTACGGCAGTACAGAAATAGAGAAAAACAAATTAATAAACTGTAACAGAAGTATATATTATGTAGCAATATTATGAGTGCGTTTTCTCTAGTTCCCAAATTTTCTGCCAAAACCTTCAGAATATGATTATAACTGATAGAAAATTCAGATATGTTCTTGGGCTCAGAACACTTTCTGGGAAATTTTCTCAGAAGAATTTCCTTCAAAAATATTAACTTTTAAAAAATAATATCAGTGGGATCAGTTTTTACTTTTAGAAGACTTGCTAATTGTAATAATATTTTGATAATTTTAAATATTTCAAAAGGCCCTTGGATGAGAAAAAGAATTGAAACCCAGCAACTATTGAGAAAGTTCTATTTTTTCTAGAAGTAGAAACAAGAATGAATTCGCATGAATATTTTAAAGCCGCTTGTAATCTCCAAAATGAAAAAATTAAATTTGGCAAGAGACAATACTTGGCTCAAAAGCCTCTTGTCCTTTCAGTTACTGGAAAAAGTCTAGGTCAAGTTGATGATCACTTTCAATCAATTCCATCTCTTGACTTTTCAATTGCGTGACCTTTGGGGAATTAATTGGGATTCTTGTGTCATTTCCCAGGAACAGCTGTCCCGATCATAAAATTCAGGAGAGCCTACATTTCTCTTCTTGAATATCCTATCCCAGATCCACAGACTAAATGGAAGAATAAAGTTATTACCACCACCACCACCCCAAAGATGGAGAACCTGTAATAAGCGCAGAACAAGGAAATGTGTTCAGCTTCTCTGTAGGATAAGTACATGTTTATAAGGCAGTACATAGGAATGCAAATGATCTGTAGTATAGTCTTCGGCCTACATGTAGGAATAGGCAGATGAAAAATACTGAAGCACTAATTGTGGTACTTTCCTTACTGTGCCAGTAGGAAGTGTAAATTCTAGGATACCTTTCATTTAATTTAAATCCATTTAAAGATACTCAGAGATATATCCAAATATCTATTAGAAAGACTTTATGTTAGGCACCCAAAGGATTTTCTGAATACTTAATGGAATCCGTATTTTATATCTACATGTCCCCTTATTCAAACAACAAAGCAACATGCAAGATTGGTGTGTTTAGATGGCTTTGCCCAAAAGTAATGTGTGTCTATACATGTAGACATACTTATTATGTTGGTGCAAAAGTAATTGCAGTTTTTGGCATTAATAGTAATGGCAAAAACCACAATTACTTTTGCACCAACCTAATATATACTGAGGTGATGCTCAAAATGTTTAATAATCCACATATACAGTGTACCATGGAGGATGCAATTCCTACAAACAGCTATGTGAAGGTGGGTCTGAGGGAGTTCCAGCCAGCACACTAGCACTGGAACCAGATGTCCCATCTCCACACTGGGGCTGGTCTTGGTCTGCTCTGACCAGTGGAACAGTCTGGATGAAGGCCAATGTGAGAGAGTTACAGAGGCCTGGCTGGAAGGTTGGGGGGCACCAGGGTGTCCCACCTCCAATGCCCACCCTTAGCTCTCCAGTGCCATGATGGCCAGGGGTCCCTTGAAAGAGCTGAGCGCAATGTTTTGTGTTTTTTAACAAATAGTAAAGAATTATTTTAATATTTTAACAACCTCTTTTTCTGCAGCATTCTAGCATTCCATCTGAATATCACCTCACTCTTGCAGAGTGGCACTCTCTGTCATGTACACACACACACACACACACACTACACACACACACTAGTGTTTCACTGGCCAAAGTAGACCAGACCCACCACAGAGAATCTTACATAGGTTCACATATCTGCATATCCCTATATGCACATTTATGTCTATATATGTGTGTATCACTCACCAGAAACTTTGGCCTCTGAAAATTTTCTCATTTCCAATTCTCCTAAGTAAATGGAGGCCAGCCATGATTCTGACTTTGGTCCTTAGTAACGTCCTTAATAGTGCCAGTTATTTACCTGTAGTTTTTCAGCTACATGCCTACCCTTTCACTCTGTTCCGTAATGCTGGGGACTGGGAATCTGAAAACTGTTTCTCAAGCTCCTTTGCCAATTAGCTTCCTGCAAATAGGAGGCACTACAGGAAATTAGTGGGTTGCAGAAGGGAAAAGGGTGCTGTGTTGCTGTCTCTCACTCTCTCTCCCCCTCTACTCCCTCCCTTTTCTTTTTCTGACAATAACTCTGGAAGAATCTTTAGTTCCTCCTGCAAAGCTCAGCTCTGGAGTGGCAGTTCTCCTCTACTCTCCTAAGTGACGGTACCATCACCTCCTCCCTTCTGTGACCCTAGACACAGGAGTCGCAGCTGCTTTCTAAAGTTACTAATCTGTGGTTTATCTCATTTTTCCCTCTTCTTGCCTTCCAACATATTTCATGTATTAAATTCCTTGTTTAAAATACCTAGTGTGCTTTTTGCTTTCCTGGCTAATACTGAAATATTTCCAAAATTGGGAGAGACTCACTTTTGAATCTATTTCTATTAAGAATCAATGAAATGGAATACTTTATTAGGCTGATTTGAAAATGGGCTCATGCCTACCTTTTTAGGCTAACAGGCTTTCCTGCATGTTGATGGGGGTTCAAATAAAGGGCATTTTATTTCTTCCTGTTCTTTTCAAAAACTACAAGATTGTTGTTCGGAAATGCTTTGCTGAGTACCTCAGTTTACCTTGTCATCCTTAAAAAATTTCTGATTCCTTTGCATATTTACCTCTTAATTCTATCTCATTTGCTTTTATTTCCACATGAGCCCAACTTCAATTTTCAACATTTCTCCTTGACCTTCGTCTGATCCATCAGGTAATCTCGCTCCTCTTTCCTTTTGCATTTGTGCCTGATGAATCATATCTCCACCTGTCTCAAATGCAGCATGCTGTTTTTCATTTGTAACAGCCTCTCATGCTCAGAGCTCGTATTACCAGAAATTTCTCATAGGTCCTATAGCAGTCCTTATCTACATGTTTCTTAAAACTGAAAACAGTCTCATTGTGTACCAGGAATACTTCAGTCTTTTTGCTATTGCCCTCAGTGACAATATTACAATCTATCATATCATCCTTTACCTATTTTTAGGGTGGGTTTTATTCATTTTCTCTATCAGTGATATGATTTGGCTCTGTGAGAGTCACAGGAGTACACAGCTGCGACTCCTGTGTCTAGGGTCACAGAAGGGAGGAGGTGATGGTACCATCACTTAGGAGAGTAGAGGAGAACTGCCTGCCACTCCAGAGCTGAGGTTTGGAGGAGGGACTGAAGTCACTGTCAGAAAAAGAAAAGGGCGGGGCTTGAGGGGGAGAGAAAGTGAGAGAGCACAAATCTCATCTCGAATTGTAATCCCCACGTGTCAAGGGAGGGACTTGTAATCCCCATATGTCAAGGGAGGGAGGTGATTGAATCATGGGGGCAGTTTCCCCCATGCTGTTCTTGTGATAGTGAGTTCTCATGAGATCTGATGGTTTTAAAAGTGGCAGTTTTTTCCTGAACTCTCACTCTTCCCTCCTGCCGCCTTGTGAAGAAGGTGCCTGTTTCCCCTTCACTTTCCGCCATGATTGTAGGTTTCCTGAGGCCTCCCCAGCCGTGTGGAACTGTGAGTCAATTAAACCTCTTTCCTCTATAAATTATCCAGTCTCGGGTATTTCTTTATAGCACCGTGTAAATTGACTAAAACAATCGGTTTCTGAATACAAATGTCTTTTTACTTCATGTACCTGGAATTTTTTTCACTGTCAGGTTTTTAAACTGTTAAAACTCTTGGGCGTAATTGTGTCTGCTTTGGCAATGAGTCAGATGAAAGCC
Organism: Homo sapiens; assembly: GCF_000001405.40. Classification (NCBI taxonomy): domain Eukaryota; kingdom Metazoa; phylum Chordata; class Mammalia; order Primates; family Hominidae; genus Homo; species Homo sapiens. Next base: position 22,170,949 of record NC_000023.11, on the reverse strand, counting down.
ATTTCTTCAAAGAAGTGATTAAAAATCTTGGTGTGTAATGTCTTCAGTTCAGGCCCCAGAGAAACAAAGAAGCACAGCCAACATGGCATCCTGTTTGGCATCTGGTTTCTTTTCACAAAAGATATTGCATTCAATGGGTCCTTAAATTTGGGGCTCTGAACTTAGCAACAGAATGCCAACAAAACTTGATCAACTAAATATTGTGAGTAAGCCTTAAGTTCTACCTTATTCGATTAAAGCTTGAGACTGCTCCATCTGTATACCCTTTTAAATCAATTTGAGGGACCTGGACAGTGCATGAGTTAATTCATGAGGACTTTTTCAAACCAAAATAGTTCACTACCACAAGTGTGAATTGAGGATGTCATAGCTAACACATGTATTGTGCTGATTGTATGTTAGGGTTCATTCTAAACACTTCAAATATGTTAACTTATTTGATCCTCCCAGAAATCCTATATGGGAGGGATTGGTATGACCTTCATTCTTCAGATGAAGAAAGGCACAGAGAGGATACATAACCTACCCTAGGTAACAAGGTGGTACATGGTAGACTGGGGGTTTTACTCCAGGCACTTTGACTCCACGGTCCCTATTTATAACCTCTACATCAAACTGTCTCTCAAACCTTCTCATCCACATGCTGACTCAGAATATATACCAATAGTATGGAGTTACCCAGGTTCTCCTGCTAAGGTACTTTGTGCCCTGATGATACTCTTCTTAGTAGCAACAGCAGTTTAACCTGTGGTTTATCTATTTTCCCTTTTCTTGCCTTCCAACCCATTTCCTGTATTAAATTCCCTGTTTAAAATACCTACTGTGCTTTTTGCTTTCCTGGCTGATACAGATATATTTCCAAAATTGGTAGAAATTCACGCTTGAGTCTATTTCTATTAAGGATCAATGAAATGGAATATTTTATATGGCTGATTTGAAAATGGACCACAAATGGTCCATATTGATCCGCAAAGCTACCCTTTATAGGAAGTAGGCTATACTCTGAGCCAGAGTATTATGCCAAGTGCTTTTACATTTATACAGTCTCATCTAATCTTCCCAACAATACTAAGACTTGGTTATTATATTTCCAGTAGCCAGATAACCAAAGGGAGGCTAACCGAAGTTAAGTAACCTACACAGGATGAAATAACTAGTAAGTACAAGAAGCAGAATTCAAACCCAGGCCCATGATACTGGAGCCTGTGCTCTTAACCATTTGATAACATGGCCTTCCCTCTGCTCTTCTTCCAACAGCCCTGGTCACACTGCCCCCACCAAGTCTCCACCCTGATGCCTCTGTTCCTCCAGCATAGCTGCCTAAAAAGGACCCTCAAGAATCCCTTGTCTGATTACAGGCAGAGCTTCCTGAGCCCAGATATCAGTCCTGGCTCTGAAAGTCTGTGTGGAACTGAGGAGCTCACTTAAATTATTGAGTCTCTATGTCCTTTTCTGCAAAATGGGAATGAACATCATCTATTTCACAGAATCACTGAAGGAATTAAAAGATAATGTACATGAATATGTCAAGTGCTTCAATATTTTTAGTTACGATAATAATAATGGGATTTTCAGCATCATCAAAACAGTGTATAATAAGATAGACTGAGTTTTAGGATGCTATGAGGCATCATTATTTTCTTCCAGAGCAACTGTATCAATATTTTGGGAGGCTATATCTTAGAGCCCAATGGAGGAAGATTCTAATTAATGCTTTCTCTCACTTTTGAATAGTCTTGTAAAATTTTGATGCTCATCTACAAAGCTGGGATCGTTTTCAGATATGCCACTTGTTGAACCACAATTTCAGGAAAGAGCTATACCTCAGAACTATAGTTACTTAAAGAATTTCAAAAGACTACATTTTCAAGAAAATCTAGTGAATAGTAAAAACAGGTTTTTTTAAATGAGGAAGAAAAATCACTTATCAGAACTATTTGTAGGAGAGGAAATAACAGTGCTTGTGAATAGAAAGGCCTGTAATTAATACACCTACTGGAAAATACATGTCCAAAAATATTGAAATAAAAAAGAATTATGACCATTTTTCATCAGTAACTTACTGCAAATACACAATCCAATTCACAATAAATTATAGAGTCGTATGTATATGCATTTAATTTGCCAAAACACTCATAAAGTTTAATGAAGTTAACTCCCAGCAGGCAGATTTATTACTATTCATTTAATACGAATGAAGCAAATAAAAAGTATTTAACAACAAACATGATGCATTTGCCATTAGAACATGCCCACTAATTGTAACATACTCAATTTGCTTAATTCTTTCTTTTATGATCAAATTAGGCCAAACCCAAGTCCATTTGTTTTTTGGTACCCACTCAGCTACGCATCGTTTCTGACACTTCTTTATTTTGAATCTGCCCTAAATCTTGTGATCTGCCTGGCATATTCAGGCTCATATCTAGCCAAGGAATTAATCAAAAGTTGGTGTTTTCTGGCATCACCAGTTTTAATTGCTAGGACTTGGGTTAGTTGAAAGGCACAAGGCCAGTAAAACTTGCCAGAAAAAAAAAAGTACAGTAAATTTAGCACTTACAGCTTTGAGGTCTTCATTAACATGAGTATCATTCATTATAAACTCTGGATAGCCAACTTTTGCCAAAACAGCTCTCGCCTACAAAAAGGAAAAAGAAAAATAATGTCAGAGTTTCAGCACTTAAATCATTAATAATCACAAGATGTAGAAATGCGCCCTTCATCTGAAAACTCCATTTACTGAATATCTACTATATGCAAGCCACTGTGAAGGGCAAAAATATATAGATATATATTGAGAGACCTCAGTATACTAAAAATGCAGTGAATGTAGCAAATAACTGTCTAGTACAATGTAAACAAAATAAAAAATTTAATAGAAATAGACAATATTGTTATCAAAGTCCAGAGGAGAGACTGTTTCTGCATGGAGAAAATGCTTAATGGAGAAGGTGACTGAATCGAGTCTTAAGAGAATGGTTAGGATTTCAAAATGTAGAGCTAGAAGAACATTCCAGGAGAAGAAACAGGGGCAAAGACAGAGGCAAAAATATGTGCAAACCATACATCTGATAAAGGGTTAATATCCAAAATATATTTAAAACTCAACTCAATATCAAGAAAGCAAATCACCTGGTTAAAAAATGGGGAAAGGAGGTCGGGCACAGTTGTTCATGCCTGTAATCCCAGAGCTTTGGGAGGCTGAGGCAGGAGGATTGCTTGAGGCCAGGAATTCAAGACCAGCCTGGGCAACACAGCGGGACCCTGTCTCTACAAAAATAAATTTTAAAAAAAGCCGGGCATGGTGGCACCTGCCTATAGTTCCAATTACTTGGGAGGTTGAGGCAGGAGGATCACTTGAGCCTGGGAGGTAGAGGCTGCAGTGAACTATGATCACACTACTGCACTCCAGCCTGGGTGACAGAACAAGACCCTGTCTCCAAAAAAAAAAAAAAAAAGAAATTAAAAAATTAAAAAGGGAAAATAACGTGAAAATACATTTCTCAAAAGAAGACATGCAAATTGTCAACAGATTTTTTTAATGATCCACATCATTACTCATCAGGGAAATAAAAATTAAAAACACAATGAGATATTACCTATCACCAGTTAGAATGGCGACTATCAACAAGACAAGAGATAACAAGTGTTGGTAAGGGTGTGGAGAAAAGGGAACTCTTGAGCACTGTTGGTGGCAATATAATTTGGTACAGTCACTATGAAAAACACTATGGAGGTTCCTCTAAAAATTAAAAATGTAACTACCATACAAAGCAGTAATCCTACTTCTGGGGATATATCCAAAGGAAATGAAATCAGTACGCTAAAGAGAGTGCCTCCATGTTCATTGAAGCACTATTCAAAATAGCCAAGATATGGAATTAACCTAAATGTCTATTAACAGAGGAATGGATTAAAAATGTAGTATATGTACACAATGGAATATAAAATGTAGTATATATACACAATGGAATACTATTCAGCTTTAAAAAAGAAGAAAATCCTGTCATTTGTGACAACGTGGATGAATCTGTAGGACTTCATGCTAAGTGAAATAAGCCAGGCACCAAAAGGCAAATACTGCATGATCTCATTCATGCGAAATTTAAAGCAGTCAAACTCATAACAGAGTACAGTAGGATGGTGGTTACCAGGGGTGGGGGAATGGGGTTAGGGAGTTGGTCAAAAGATACAAAATTTCAGTTAGATAAGAGGAATAAGTTTAGGAGATGTATTGTACAACATAGTGACTATAGTTAATATCAATGTATTGTACACTAGAAAATGGCTAAGGGAGTAGATTTTAAATGTTCTTACCACAAAAATGATAAATATATGAGGTGATGGATATGTTAATTTACCCATTTTCTAATGTATACATGTATCAAAACATCATGTTGTACATCATATATATATATATAAAATTTTGACAGTATATAGTCAGTTTAAATACATAAAAATGAAAAAAACTACAAGGAGATAGCAAACACACACGATATGGCATATTGGAGAGAGGGCGAGTAATTTAATGTAGCTGGACTATAAGTACATGAGGATGGAGAACAGAAAATAATGCAGGAAAATTGGCCTGGGGTCAGATCACAGGGATTCCTGAATGCCATGTTAACAAGCCTATATTTTATTTTACAGCTAAGAGAGAGCTAAATATGTTTAGCATGGGAATAAAAGGAGATGAGTCATGCTTCAGGAAGATTATCTTTGCAACATTGTGAAAGATGGCCAGGATGCCAGAAAGATTGGAGGCAGTGATCTAGAATAATTTAAGATACATCATAATGTCATAACCATCATTTAGATAGACAAAGGTACTAATTATCCTCTGTGTTTTATAACAGATAGGGAATAAATAAAGGAAAAACAAACTTAGGCACATATAAAGAACCTCAAGAGCAGCGATTGGCAAAATATGGTCCCTGGGCCAAATCCAGCCACCCTACCCCTGTTTTTATAAATAAAGTTTTATTGGAACATAGCCACACTCATTTGTTTACCTGTCAACTATGGCTGCTTCTGCAGTACAGTTGTAGAGTTGAATAATTGGGTCAGACACCCTGTGGCCCACAAAGCCTCAAATATTTTATCTGGCCCTTTCTAGAAAAAGTTCGTCAACCCTTGCTTTAGAGAAACTTTACAGTTCCATGTGAAAATTTCTCTCTCCCTTCTCCAGATTCTGGGTTTCATAAAAGCAAAAGAGAAGCTTACAAGTACACTGTCAGGGCTCTGACCAGATTCCCTGGGATCCCTTTTATAACTTCTGTACATCCCTCCAGCATCTATGTTTTTTCTTTTCTAATGGCCAACACCTGAGACTTTCTGAAGGCCTGCCCTAGGAACTACTAGAGCTCCTTGCCTGCAATCAAAAATAGCTAGTTCCTGGGGGTTTATTTGCCTTCTACCCACTTTTCCTGCACCTGCACCTCCGCCTCCGCCTCTGCCTCCACCCAAGCAGCCCTAAGCGGCAATATGAAAGCCCAGCCCCCTTGCCTCAATTCAGGACAAACTCTGAGGTATAATTTGTACTTCCAAAGTTCCCTGCAGGATCAGACTAGTTCTGAGATGTCTCCTGAAATTGGACTCTCATCCCTCCCTGTCTTGCTTCTCCCATTCCCTTACTGATTTCTCTTGGGAGTATTTGTTTAATGAATCACTTACACAGGAATTCTCATCTCCAGATCTGCCTCCAGATGACCCAACATAAGACCTAGGCAACCCCAAACACGTTGGTTTTATTCCAGCAAAGCCACAAAGCAAAACCAGTGACCTCTGGACACTGCTCTTGGCAACGAGTTCTTTCCTTTAGTCCCTTTCAATTTTCCTCACTCAAGAAATAAACATAGTAAGATAGTACACTTTCCTTACCTTCCTTGAAATAATTCAGATATTAAATATCAGCAGAATCCTGAAGCTCAAGACTTAGGATTTTACAAGGGCTGTAGGACATAGTCATAATGGGTTTTGCTGTTTCACAGACTCAAGTATAGCACAGATCAAATTACACCTTCAAAACTCTGTGAGTTACACACACTAAAAGCTTGATGTGACCCAGATAGCAGATAACTAGAGGTTACAACTCTACCCCCAACACCAAACTATGTCATACATCTATAGGTTACCTCATTCTGAGATTATTCTATTATTTCCGGCATTGTATTTAATTTTGCACTATATTTTATCAGCTCGCTATAAGTCATATGCATAACTATAGCAAGTAAAGAATTCCAGATAGTTTTGGAGAGAAAGTGAGAAAAAGAGAGAGAGAGAAAAGAAAAGAAGAAAAGAAAAGAACGAACGAACGGACAAGCTGAGTCATCCACAATTGTTTTCTGAAGACTGGTCTTTCCAGAGCATGCTGGTGAATTATGCATTGTTTTTTAAACCTCATCTCTGGGACCCCCACTGCACTACAGAGCCTCACAGAATATATTACCTTCTGCACCATCTATGCAGGTTATTGAATCCTTTTTTATTATTTATTGAGCATCATCATGACTTGAAGATAATCAGAACACATACAAAGAATCCCTATTTACCTCCCAAAGATACATACCTAGAATAAGGTAATAATACTAGTAGCAACATTGCCAACATCTGAAGAGAGTGTTCTTCTTCCTAAAATATGCTATATATGTATTCCTCTATTCAGATTCAAATGTTTTTTTCTGCCACAGACTTCGTTGTCAATTCCTCCTCATCCTACCCCACCCCATTCTACATTTTTCCCTGAGAAGCTTCAGAAATACATCTTGCAATATCCCATGGCTCCAGGTTAGACTGCCAATGAGAAGCACTCATAGGCAATTCCAAAGGTAGAAGAGGAGATGCCATTCATTTGCTGTTGGTAGCCTTATACAGATATGTGGGCATCTGCAGACAGCAGATACAGCCCTTTTCCAGCAACTTCCAGGCATTCTCCTGAGAAAGACCTCTTTGGTGTACAAGCAGCAGAGATCATTGACAGACTCTGCCCTTCACTCCCCAGCCCTCTGAAAGGTTACCTAAGCCTCCAATTCCCTGTATTAAATGTCTTGCTGGTTGATATACTTAGAAGAGTGTCTGGTTTCCTGAATGAACCCTAAGTAAGGCAAATAGTAATCACATCACTTTTTAATTTTTCAAAATGGGAGAAGTGAAGCACCAATAGTTTGATGGCTTGAAGGGCAAAGTATTAGTGAGTCAGGTCTGAGATTAATTACCCTATTGGTTACATGGACAAAAAGGAAAGGCAAGTCCCACTGTAAATGCTGAGAGAGCAGTGATATAAATATTTAACAGATTGCATATTATATCCTGCAAGAAATATTTCCTAGGCTGTTTGTGGCTGATCAAAAACTCCAGGGCTTTCCATACCCAGTGCATGCATTTTCATGCTTTATTCATACAGACATGTAGAGAGAAGCTGCACTTGACAGCTGGACATCCGTTCCTCAATAGAGGAGGTTTACGCAGCTGCTGATCTTCACTACCTCTGTGACCTTAGGCAGAGTACTTAACTTTTTGAAATAAACACCGCCTACTGTCTACCTAATAACTATTCTCCCTTTCTTCTCTTACTGTCAGGACTCCAATTCTGCTCAGGATGACAATGGACTCAACAACAACAACAACAACAACAACAAAATAGCTGTGTTGCCCAGCTTCCTTTCCAACTGGAGTCAGCTACAGGATGAGATTCGGGCCAATGACATTTAAGAAAAACTTCTTGTTGCACTTCCAATGATCCATTTTAAAAGGGGACAGATTCATCAGCATATGCTTTCTGCCTCGAGTCCAGGGTTTCTCAACACTTTGGGCCAGATAATTCTTGCTCTGGGGTTTGTCCTATAAATTGTAGGATGTTTAGCAGCATCTTTGGCTTCTACAAATTAGATACCAGGAGCAACCCATGCCCCCCTCCGCAAGTTGTGACAACCAAAAATATCTCCATATATTGCCAAATGTGCCCCTGGTGGCAAAATCACCTCCAGCTGAGAACTACTGCTTTAGCCTTTCCTCTTCTTCCTTTCTGGAATGCTGATGCAATGCCAGAAGCCGAGCAGCCATCTAGTAATCACAAGGCAACACATATGAGGAAAAAATCTACATGCTGAAGATGGTGGGATGAAAAGCTGATGGCATTCGAAGGCCAGCATATTAGACCTGGACTGCCTCCCTCTTTTCCCTTCATGACATACAGAAAATAAAGCCCTTATTTGTTTGAGGCATTATGTGTCATGTTTTCCATTAGCTAATGTAATCCTAACACACTCTCCTTTACATCAGATGTTGAGAAAAAAATTACTAAAAATTAGTACCTATTTCATAGCATTGTCTGCAAGAGTTCAGGATGACATTGCATGTAAAACACTTTTTTCCCTTGGTCCAGAGTACATGATGAGCAAATGTTAGTTGTAGACTACACCAAGAAAGTAGAAACGTGACTTTTTCCAAGGATTTGGAGTAACTGTGATGTGTAGTGTTTGGAGGTCTTCCAGAAGAGTCCAGGTCATCTTATACCCCTAACCAAACACCTGAAACCCCTGAGAAATAATGTCACTCTTTTAGTCATAGGTCCAGTTTCAGAAGGCCACACTTGTGGTGAGAGGAAAAATATCGAGAAAAGAAATGCTTAGGGAGAAAAGCTATTGAGGCAACCCTCTTATCAATGGAAGACAAATGTACAAGCTTCTTGGAGCATGGTAGGAGATTTTCCTAGCAAAGCCAGACTCTGCATATGAGTCAAAAGAATCCAGGCTATTTGCAGCCCCCCAAAAGTTGGAGGACTCTTTTGAGAGCCACTATTGGCACACCTCTGAAAACAGACACAAGAAACACTACCAAATCTAACCCTAGAAAAGATCAAAGATACAGGTTGCTTTTAGCACTTGCCATCTTGGTTTCTGCCTTCCTCCTCTTTCTCTTTCTCTTATCTGTTCCTTTCAACACCTAGCAGGTCCTATGTGTTCATACCACTTGCAATACCATCGTACCCTAGTTGGCCTTTCCTTAGCAATACTCTGTGCTCCAAAGATATCTCCCCCTTCCCTTCTCATCCATCAAAATTATTAATTCTTCAAGGTTGCTAATCCACTAGCTGCCACTGGGGCCTCAAACTAGTTTATAATAGAATGTAAGTCACTAATAGCAATCTAATATATTTACTCTGGAGAAATACTTTTATTTAAAAGAGTAGTTTATTAGCCAAAGGAATAAATACAATTAAATGAGAGGTTTTGTAGCTGAGAGAATCTTCTAATACTATTCAAATTAAACCAATAGCCTATTCCACCTAATCACCATGTTACCACAGGTAACATAGCAAGTGACCAATACTCAATAAATATTAATTCATATAATGAATAATTTGATAAACCCACTATGATCAATGTCATCAAGAGTATCAGAAAATATAAAAGGCTATATTTTACATTTAACCTTTAAATATAAGAGGATTAACATACAATCATAAACATCATTCAGTGCTGTTCACACCAAGGTACGTTTCCCTGGGTTTTGTTGTTGTTGTCTTGAGACAGTCTCACGGTGTCATCCAGGCTGGAGTGCAGTAGCACGATCTCGGCTCATTGCAACCTCCATGTCCCAGGTTCAAGTAATTCTTGTGCCTCAGCCTACCAAGTAGCTGGGATCACAGGCGTGTGCCACCATGCCCAGCTAACATTAAGGTATATTTCAATATTAACTGATCTTACCACAGGAGAGAAAAAAGGGGAGAAAATGAGATATTTTGTGAGAACATATAAAACATTCTGGAAAATTAAGCAAGATATAAAATCCATTGCAATTAATTTTTTTTTTTGAGGTGGAGCCTCGCTCTGTCAACCAGGTTGGAGTGTAGTGGCACAATCTCAGCCCACTGCAACCTCCACCTCTCGGGTTCAAGCATCTTCTGCTTCAGCCTCCCACCGAGTAGCTGGGATTACAGGCATGCACCACCATTCCCGGCTAATTTTTGTATTTTTTAGTAGAGACGGAGTTTCATCATGTTGGCCAGGCTGGTCTCGAACTCCTGACCTCAAATGATATGTCCACCTCAGCCTCCCAAAGTGCTGGGATTACAGGTGTGAGCCACCACACTCAGCTTCCAATGCAATTAATTCTTGGTGGCAAACAAAACTATATATTTTATGTAAGCTATTTCAATCAATCAGCAAATACTTACTGATATGTTTTGGCTGTATCCCCACCCAAATCTCAAATTGTAGCTCCCATAATTCCCACGTCATGGGAGAGACCCAGTGGGAGGTAATTGATTCATGAGGGTGGGTCTTTCCTGTGCTGTTCTCTTGATAGTGAGTAAGTCTCAGGAGATCTGATGGTTTTATGAAGGGGAGTTCCTCTGCACATGCTTGCTTTCTTTTTTCTTTTCTTTTTTTTTTTTTTTTGAGACGGAGTTTCACTCTTGTTGCCCAGGCTGAAGTGCAATGCCACAATCTCAGCTCACTGCAACCTCCACCTCCTGGGTTCAAGTGATTCTCCTGCCTCAGCGTCCCAAGTAGCTGGGATGTCAGGTGCCCACACCATGTCCAGCTAATTTTTTGTATTTTTAGTGGAGATGGGGTTTTACCATATTGGCCAGGCTGGTCTCGAACTCCTGACCTCAGGTGATCCACCTGCCTCAGCCTCCCAAAGTGCTGGGATTACAGGCGTGAGACACTGTGCCCAGCCTGCACATGCTTTCTCTTGCTTGCCTGCCGCTATGCAAGATATGACTTTGCTCTTCCTTTGCCTTCCGCCATGATTGTGAGGCCTCCCCAGCCATGTGGAACTGTGAGTCAACTAAACCTCTTTCTTTATAAATTACCCAGTCCCAGGTATGTCTTTATTAGCAGCATGAGAACAGACTAATACACATACTGAACATAAAATCAAGGCTCAGGACTCTCCTTAATGCTGAAAGAACATACAAACGTAATATTATCGATTACTTAACTGCATTTTTATTTAAAAAGCTGAGGAAAACCATTCTATAACAAGTTATCATCATCACATAAGGTATTAGCAATAGCTGAATTTTCTGAATCTCTCTGTTCCTCAGGTTCCTCGTCTGTAGAATATGGATACATTTAGTTCTAATACCAATAAAGTAAAATAGAGAGTTGGGAGAAGTATTCAGATAATAAAGGAATTATGAAGTTTGCCTTACCCATATCAGGAATAACCAAACTTTTTCTGTAAAGTGCCAAATAGTAAATATTTTAGGCTTTGCAATCCATATGGCCTCTGCACAACTACTCAGCTCTGTGATTGTACCTGAGAAAGCAGAAACAAGCTAGAACAACACATAAATGAATGGCTGTGACTCTGTTCCAATAAAACTTTATAGACACTGAAATTTGAATCTCATACAACTTTCATGTATCATAATATATTCTTCTTTTGGTTGTTTACACTTGGTGTGTTTTTTTGTCCTTTTGTGTTGTTGTTGTTGTTGTTGTTGTTTTCCTTTTTGTGGAGAACGAGGTCTCACTACGTTGCCCAGACAGGTCTCAAACTCCTGGGCTCAAGCAATCCTCCCACATCTCCCTCCCTAAGTACTGGGGTTCCAGGCATGAGCCATTGTGCCAAGCTGATTTTTTAAAACTATTTAAAAAATGTGAAATCCATTCATAACTTGTGGTTCACACAAAAACAGGCAGAATGCCAAATATGGCCCAAGGGCCATAACTTACTAAGCCAACACAGATAATTAAATAAAGCTAGGTTATTCGCTGAGTTGCCTCAATTCATGACACAGGGGCTAGTACACAGTAAGTGCTTAACAATGCTTCCAAACTGATCCATGCTCAACAGCATCATCTGTGTGCATGTGTGTGCACGTGCACGCACGGCTTAGCTATCAAGATTTTTATTTGTTTTTGCTTTGCTCTTTGCTATTACTACCATTTACATGCGACAGATCTCAGTTGCTTGGGAGTTGACTCCCTGCCCTAAAGTCTTAGTGCTAGAGCTTTAAAAATCACAATTAATTTCCATGGAGACAACAGAGAGTTTGTAAAGATTATTATTTGAAGAGAGAAACAACAGCTATCACAAATGAACTCAGAAAAATGAGGAACATTGAAAACCTAATATACAACATGATTTAAACTCTCAAATCACCCCCACCTTCCCAGAATTTTCAATACTGTATACTACAACTTGATAATGCTGGTGGGAAGAACAGAATCAGGCATAATTCTGCTTTATTTAGCTGTGAGCTCTGAAATGGCATCTACTTTTTATATATGTGACTGAACTGATTTAAAGATTGGCTAGGTTGACTGCTTTACTCCTGAATTTTCAAAGCCACTTACTATTAAGCTGATCTACAGAAAGGAAGACAGAAAGCTCATTTATTTTAATCCCCACTGACTTGGCTATTTAGGAGAGTCAGATAAATTCTCAAATGTCTTGCATGTATCACATCAAAGAGACCACTTTAATCACTTAATTAAATAGCTGTATGTTTAGTATACGTGGTTAAGTCTCAGCATATTTTTTCTTTTTTATTAATTTAACCAACTTAAGAAAAAAATGGAACAACTGATCACTGCCCTTTCATAAAAAATTTATAGGGCAACTTTCCTAAGCTTGCAGTGGCTTTGAAAGCTTCAGTCAGGCTCAATCATGCCAAGGCCTCATTTTCTCTGATGAGTTCTGTAATAACTATTAAACATCAATCAAAATTCTGAGCTTTAAGCACCCAGAAGTTCAGGAGACTGTACATGAATTACACTATCATTCAAAACAATGGCAGTTTCCATAATGCCAAACAAATGATTGACTAGTATAGATGCCTTAGCTGAAGATATTACCCTAAGCGGAGCTAATGGTATTGATGAAAATTAGTCAGGGGAACAGGCTTTAATATCCTCTGGGTCTATCAGGATCCCACAAATAATAACAATGCAGTTATCTGATGAATCAAATTTTATTCTCTTGATAAAATTGAACTGATTTATTATGAGTCTTCAAAAACTTTAATTCTGCAAATTGCTTTTGGGTGCGGTCCACAAGCAGATGCATCATACAGGGGTAGAAGATAGATAAGCACTTCCATGAATCAGAAGGCTCTCTAAGTGCAAATCACAGTTCTAATTGTACAAGAAGTAAAAGACAGGAAAGATCAGATTTCAGGTCATCCACCCTCAACCCCATGTGAATAATGCCCCAGTATAGCAGAAAACCCTCATTACTCTCTAAGATAGACAACATTCTAGGAAGGCATGTTCCAAATTATAAACAAGCACCATCCATGCTCTCTCCTAAAACACCAACTCAATATATTTTGGAGGTGGGCAGTTTCTTCTGTCTGCAAAAGGAAACTACTCTGGCAGAAGTAAATCTTAATTTTGCCATACTGGCACTAAACATTTCCCTGGTGTCTTTGTGATGCTCCTCTTACTTGGGTGAGCCCTGTACTGAACAGAGTTAAAGAAAGAAAGTAATATTTGAGTTTTCTTGGTAAACAGATGGAGCAGGTAGTAGCAATAGATTTTAGAAGCCAAAGCCACCTTATGATTAATTAATAAAACAACACACCCATCGTCCTTAGAGTGGTAGCAATATTACCTTAAAAATAGAGGCAACTCTCATTTATTTCCCTTATTTGTTTGTTTGTTTAATATAGACAGGGTTTCACCGTGTTGTCCAGGCTTGTCTCAAACTCCTGGACTCAAGCAATCCGCTCACCTCTGCCTCTCAAAGTGCTGGGATGGCAGGTGTGAGCCACCACACCCGGCTCATTTATTTCCTTTAAAACTGGGCAGGAGCTGGGCACCGTGGCTCACACCTGTTATTCCAGCACTTTGGGAGGCTCAGGCAGGTGTATCACTTGAGGTCAGGAGTTCCAGACCAGCCTGGCCAACATGGTAAAACCCTGTCTCTACTAAAAATACAAAAATTAGCTGGGCGTGGTGGCTTGCACCTGAAATCCCAGCTACCTGGGAGGCCGAGGCAGAAGGATCACTTGAACTTGGGAGGCAGAGGTTGCAGTGAGCCAAGATTGTGCCACTGCACTCCAGCCTGGGCAACAGAGTGAGACCCTGTCCCAAATGATAAAAATTAAATTAAAAAAAAAAAGATGAAAAGAAACTGGGCAGAAGAGTGGCCAAATCATAAATTTTTAAATCAATGTTTTTATTGGTTTCGATTATATGTGGTTAAACTGCTCACAAAGTTTGCAAATAGAACAGCTGCTAGACCTAGTCAAATGAATACCCTAAGCCTCAATTAGCTAAGCCCATTTATCCAGACATAACCAAAATGATAACAGCCCAAGAGTGGGAACAATCCTATATCACACTTAGGCTTTTATATGAGCCAAAATAAATTATGTTTGTCTCTGTCTCACTCACAGGGCTCTGTATCAGAGGTCAGCAAACTACAGCCCAAGCCAGCCTACCACATGTTTTTTTGTAAAGAAAGTTTTATTGGTCCGGAATATGCTACTGTAGCAAAGGACTATTTTGAGCTGAAGGTATCTGAGAATCAAGACAAGCAGAAAGAGGCTTTCTCCATGCTTCCCTTATCGGCCTACAAGCAGAGACTTCCAAAAGAATTCAACTGTCGTAAATCCCCCTTTTAAGAGACACTTCTTGCACCGGGGGAAAATAACTCCTCTCACCGGGGATAAAAAGTTGGCGCCAGGATGAGAACTTACATAAACAGACCTTACTAAAGCAAGCCTGACTTTCTGTTAGGTCCCCTCATATATTTCTCAGTCATTTCCCACCATTTATTGTCCCTTAAAATCCTAACCCTACCCCTTCTTAAGACAATATGTAACCCCCCAATTCTGTTTCTCTGGGCTGTGTTTTCTGTAAGCTCTCATGCAGGTTAGTGAATAAACTTTGCTTTTCTCTTGTTAATCCATCTTTTATAGTTTAATTCACAGGCCCTGACATTAAACCTAAAGTGGTAAAGGAAAAGTTGCTTTTTTCTCTCTGACGACAGCCACGTTCATTTAAGTATTGTTTACTGCCACTTTCATGCTACAGCAGTGGAGTTTGAGTAGTTGCAACAGAAGCCATATAGCCCACACAATGCCTAAGATGTTTACCATTTGTCTCTTTACAGAAATGGTTTGCCAACCCCTCTTCTACACAAGAGGTTTCCCCATTTTTCAAAACCAATAGTAAAGATAGCAAGGGAAAAATAAGGCACAAAGGTTAATCTTTTCGGAAAGTTTCATCAAGATAGAAATATATAATTAAATAATAACTATTTAAATAATTCTATAATTAGCTGTAATATTCATATTTTGTTGAGGTAAATATCTACATTTAAAACACAGCCAGTATAGAAATATTAACCAAAATGGGAATAAATACTATGAAATAAATCAATGCATTTTTTGGGGAATGGGAAAAAATACTTACAAATTATTTAAAAACATTTTCAAATATCAAGGTTGAAAGGGCTTAGAAACACACCTGCAATAAATACCAAGGCCCTAACACCTAACGTTTCTCAGAGAAATTTAATCAGCTACTTAATCCTCCTCCAGTTGTTAAATTACTTATTTAAACAGGAGGCAAGTTGGAGATTAACCTAGATAAACATATCCCCTTGTCTCATCAACAGTTTAAGTGGGAATTGTTGTCATTCTTTCCTTTAAGGTTAGCTCTTATATGAACAATTCTTTACCACCTAAAAACCTTGTGAAGTACCTCCCTCATAAACTGGTGGGGAGAGATCAAATGAGATAACTTTGGTGAATTATTAAATTAGACAAGTGTGGGCTGGGCACGATGGCTCACGCCTGTAATCCCAGCACTTTGGGAGGTCGAGGCGGGTGGATTGCCTGCGGTCAGAAGTTTGAAACTAGCCCGACCAATATGGTGAAACCTCGTCTCTACTAAAAATACAAAAATTAGCTAGGCATGGTGGCGTGTGCCTGTAATCCCAGCTACGTGGGAGGCTGAGGCAGGCGAATTGCTTAAATGCGGGAGGCGGAGGTTGCAGTGAGCCGATATCATGCCACTGCACTCGAGCCTGGGCAACGGAGCGAGACCCCGTCTCAATCAATCAATCAATGCAAGTGGGAATTTTCATATCATTTTTCTAAAAGAAGGGAATGTCATAGGGCCAGTGCCCACATATATGGCTTGTTCCTTTGACACTGGCATCGTCTAGCTTAGGGCTTCCCAAAGCTTTGTCTTTGGACTGGCAGCATCTGTGTCACGTGGGAGCTTGTTGAAAACACAAATTTGTGGGACAATGCTACATCTCTTGAGTTAGAATGCTTCTGAACTGGGACCCAGGAATCTGCATTATAATGAGCCTTACCATAAGGCAGGGTTTCTCAACCTTGGCACTATTGACATTTGGGAAAGAATCATTCTTATCTCTGGGGACTGTTCTGTGGATTGTAGGATATTTAGCAGCATTCCTGGCTGCTACCCACTAAATGCCAGTAACACCCTCTGTCCCCCCAGTTGTGATCAAAAATATCTCCAGACATTGCCAAATGTCTCCAGGTGTGTAACATCACTCTGGGTTGAAAACCACTACTATAGGGGAGTCTCATGCCTGCTGAAATTTGAGATACTCTCTGCTGTAGATCATGGTACTTGCCATGGTACCAAGGCTTCTGGACCCACTTCTGAGAACCCCCAACACTGTGTTATCAGTTCATAAGTAGGGGACTCATCCTCTGCTTCAATAATCCTTAGGGATTTCACTAATAGTCACCACTACTAAGCTAGTAGGTGCACTTTATGTAGAAAACTCTACCACCTTCCCTCCCACTCATTTTTTTAATTTTTAATTTTTGTGGGTACATAGCAGTTGTACATATTTGTTTTCTAATTTTTATTTTTAATTTTTGTGGGTACACAGTAGGACATCAATTTTCTAACGTGCCTCAGGTACTTGCAATTCAACCCAATTTCTGGCCAGTGCCACCTAAATCCCAGGATGATAAGGGACAAAGAATAAAAAACTATTGGAAAATGCTTTGCAGCTGTAAGTCGTGATATAAATATACCTCAGGATCTTAGAGATGTTTAGATTAAAAGTTCTAATAACTTTTCTCTCAGTAACTTCGCAAAATCTATTTTTAAGTACTTTCAGGCATCAAAAAAGCCATGTTAATACAATTACAGTTCACTGAAAAATTAGCACGCAATCCAGTTTGAAAGCAAAAATCAGTCATAGCAGGGTAATATTCCGTTTAATTATAAAGATTAATTCAACCTTCATTTATTTGTGCATGTGTTTGGTCTTTTCATTTTTCATAGAACACCCGAGATTCGAATGCCATCTGGTAGAATTGCTGCACGAGTGTCAGTAGCATCTATTAGAGTTGCAGATTTTATTTCCAAGTAGAATTGATAAAAGGACAAAGGGAGGGTGGGAAAAGAGGGGCATAGATGCAATAGACAATCAATTAAAAATGAGGTTTTCCACCAATCTGACAGGACCGTATCCCCACTCTGTGTTCTCTGTCCTGCCAACTGCACAAACTGTCTGAAATTGCAAGTCCTGCCGTTCGCATTTACTATATTTTCTGAAACAGCTATGTGAAGATCCAAGTAGCGCCATGAACAACAGCGTGAATTCTGGCTATAAATTATGAATTATGTCTACCATGTTTTCCAAAATGTATGCTACATCTTCCTTAAAATTTGGTCTTGGTCACATGGTGATTAAGATTAACCACTTAGGGCCAGGTACGGTGGCTCACAGCTGTAATCTCAGCATTTTGGGAGGCCAAGGTGGGGGCTTGAGCCCAGGAGTTCGAGACCAGCCTGGGCAACATAGGGAGACACCATCTTTACAAAAAAATAAATTAGTTTGGCATTGTGGTGCATGCCTATAGTCCCAATTACTCAGGAAGCTGAGGCAGGACTATCTCTTGAGCCCAGGAGATTGAGGCTGCAGTGAGCTATGATGGTGCCACTGCACTCCAGCCTAGGTGACAGAGCAAGACCCTGTCTCAAAAAAAAAAAAAAAAGTTGATCATTTACTTCATCATGACATCCATTAAATATTCAACCTTTTACTGAATGATCACTAAAAGGCAAATAAGCCCTGCATACTGGGAAACATCTTTTAAAATTTTTACTGCACTATATCGTACAAAGTGCACAAATACTAAGTATACCAATCAAATATTTTTTAAAACATACACACATCTGTGTTAGTAGGCCTGAGACAAGATTTAAAACATTTATAGCATCCTGAAGACTCCCCTGGGTACCTCCCCAGTGAATAACCCTTCCACCTTCAAAAGAACCGCTATCCTGATCTCTGTCTCCATAAATTACTTTTTCCTGTTCTTGAACTTCAAAAAAAGTGTGTACTCTTTTGTATCTGGCTTCTTCCACTCAACAACACATCTGTGAAATTTGTCCATGTTGTTGTGTTTAGACGGAGTGAAGACACACAGTTTAATAAACTGGATTTCTTTCCTTCAGGAGTTCATAGTTGGTCATAGGGAGAGAATGCGATGTAAGAGAAAAAACAACAGAAGAAGGTAGAGGGTCAGATGGAATGGATGGGAAGGGAAGGGCCTTGTGGAAAGGACATTTTCAAAGAGGAGGAGATCTCAGAGCTAAACAGAAACAGAAACAATAGACATAATTTTTTAAATAACAAAAGTAATGCTCTCCATTAAACCCTTACTATAAACCAGGTACTGTGCTAAGTACTTTACTTCATCATCAGATCCAAATCCTACCCTAACTGTACAAGGTAGGTACAGATCATCCCCATTTCACAGCTCATAAGCTAAGACTCAGAAAATGAGCGCAACTCACCCCAAGTCTACACAGGCAATGAGGGCCAAAACCAACTTCTCACCTAGATTAATTTAGCCTTAATCTGACTTCAAATTTCATGTTTTCCCAACATATATTATCTTCTGAGTGATTAAATATTCTATTATATAATTATTCATTTTTTATAAATCAAACTGAATAACATGTAAGGCACAGACCACATCTGCATTAGTAACCATATTCAACATGCCAAGACAAATAATATTCTCAGATGTAAGGATGAAAAGACACACACAGATAGAATTTTAAGTATGCTTTTAAGAGGTTCTCCCTCCCTCTCTAAAAATAATACCACTGAGCTTTCTGTTCTGGACATCGGTGGGACTAAACTTTGACTGAGAGCCCCCGGAAGACAAGACTTGGCCAAGAGAGAAGATCAAAATGGAAAAGGCAAGGCAAGAAAGTACAAGAATGATAAAGAAGCAGAAAGCAGAGAGGACAGGCTCTCCTGTCAGGAAACGTCAGAACATTTATTTTGCAGACCAGTCAAGGCACTAAGGTAAATTAGATTTTACCAGCAGAGAGAAGGTGGTATTCCAGAAAATGGCACCTCGGGGAGAGAAGGGTCAATCTCATAGAGGAAATTCCCAGCCAAAACCATGCTGAGAAATGGAGTCTGCCATAAGCATCCCTGGCCCAAGGATTCCTGGCCCACATCCTCCCATTTCAGAAGAGGAGTAACACCTCTCCCTTAGGAATCCTAGCACTGTCATAAAGATAGATGAGAGTCTGTTTCAGTTTTGAACCAATTAAACTGAAAACTTTCCTGAAGCTTAGGCCTAACTGACTTTGGGGTTTGAAATGCAGGAAATTTACCATGAGCAGCAGACCAGGAATCTTGCACCTTACTCCTGAAGCCCACAAGATGGAACCCTTCTGAGCTTTGAGTCCTTGGTTCCAAATTTGGGTCCCCCCAAAACTCTGACAACTTGGTTCTGTATTATCTACTTATTAGAATATATTATCAGCAACATTTAACTCTCTGCTACCATTAATAGCCATATCTGGGGCATGACCTATCTCAACACAAAATGTACATGTCCAGGAACCTCTCTGCTCTCTACCTCTCAGATAGCCAAAATACCAGCCTCTGTCGCCTTAGACAAAACACCAGAGATGAGTTGTAAAATGCAGGTCAAGGAAAAGTGACCTGAAGCCACCCTCTGCCTCTACAGTTCAGACCTGGTTATTTATTCTGAGATGCCCGTGGGCCACATTTTAGAATAAACCCTAGCTCTGTTTCGATCCATTGCTGAAGAGGCAGTCTAGGGAGAGAAATCAGAAAGGCCACCTATATTCAAGGCAAAGCAATGAGCCACAACCAAGGGACAATTGGGGCTGTTTGTAAACAGAGCCTAAATGTCATCATCAATTATTCATCAGTTCAACAAAGCCATTGAGTAACCTCTTTCAAAACCATTTAATTCTTACCTAAGATTCAGCCCAACAAAACAGGGAAGAAGCAAGATACGGCTCAAAAACTTGAGACAGGGAAAGCTCTAGACCAAGTTGGCAAGTCACAGCCTGTAAAATAAATTCAGGATACTGCCTGGTGTTATAAATAAAGTTTTATTGGCTCACGGCCTGTAAGACAAATTCAGGATACTGCCTGGTGTTGTAAATAAAGTTTTATTGGCACGCAGCCACACCCATTTGTTTGCCTATTGCCTATTGCTGCTCTGTACTACAGGTATATTTGGGTTGCTGCAACAGAGACCACATGACCTGCAAAGCCCAATATATTTACTCTCAGGCCTTCATATGTGAAAAGTTTGCTGCCCCCTGCTCTATATTCTCAAAGTATGGTCCATAGGCCATTGTCCAGCAGCATCGGCCTCCATTGGGAGCTTGTTAGAAATGCAGACTCTCAGGCTCCCCTCCAAACTTATTAAGAATCTGCATTTTTAACCAAGTCCCCAGGAGATTTGCATGTACATTCAAGTTGCAGAAGCATTGCTCCAGTAGGGCTCTGCTTCTCAAACTTGGCTGCTCATTCGAATCACCTAAGAGTTTTTATTTTTTTTATTTTTTTAAATATTAATGACCTGGATCTGAAGTGACATCAGGCTGGAAACTTCATAAGAGCTTCCAATTCCTACTCAAAAGGTCACATGGCATCCCACTATGTTCTCATTCTCATTAGATGCTGATAAAGGATGCTCAAATAAGTAACCAGTGATGAGGGGGGCTTGGGGAAGAAGAGAGAAAAGAGACTTTCTCCTTTTCTATTCTGTCATTTTTCCTCATTTCAAAAGTGGTCTCTCTCTCTCTCTGATGAGATTCTTATTTTTTCATGAATCATTTTTAATGGAAATCAGAAATTACTTAGAACTCATTGGACCTCATTAGAACATGATGTATTACAGATCTATACAAATCACTTTGCCAAAACTTAACCTTCATTTTCTTTTTTGAGACGGAGTCTCGCTCTTGTCGCCCAGGCTGGAGTGCAATGGCATGATCTCGGCTCACTGCAACCTCCGCCTCCCAGGTTCAAGCGATTCTCCTGCCTCAGCCTCCCGAGTAGCTGGAATTACAGGCAGGCACCACCACGCCTGGCTAATTTTTGTATTTTTAGTAGAGACAGGGTTTTGCCATGTTGGCCAGGCTGGTCTCGAACTCCTGACCTCAAGTGATCCACCCGCCTTGGCCTCCCAAAGTGCTGGGATTACAGGATTACAGGCATGAGCCACGGGCCCAGCCTTAACCTTCATTTTCAAGAGCCTGGAAGAACAAGCTGAATTGTTCCATAAACTTGTAAACTAGCTTTATAGCTTAACATCAGAGTTGAGTAAAGGTTCTGGTCTGTGGCCCTGAAGGACACAATCTCACTGTTGTCCTCGGCTTCACTCTGCCCTGGAACAGGTCTATTCCACTCAGTTCTAATCCTTACAAACCTCTGTGAGGAAGCTCTCATGAGCCTTCACTAAGACTGCCAATGAGAGAATACCAGAATATACCAGGGTGGCAGACCTGTCCCCTTCACCTTAGCTAAACAAAGACACAGAGTGGAGCATCACCTTTCCAACACTGAGTCTTTGGTTATGGCGTACAGGACCCCATAAGTCAGTGGAGGGGGTGTCTATAATGGAAAGTAAACTTATTTACTAATGAACTCAAATATAAAACTGGAAAATGATTTGCCTACTAGGATGGGTTGGGTCCCTCATGGCCTAGTCCAGTTCTGGGCCCTAAAACCTAGTAGGAATTTCTTACACCTGTACACAAAGGTCACGTGTCCCAAGGCTGAATCCTTTCCCCATCACAGTTCAACAATGATTAGGCTTACTCAAATACTTCTGTGAGTCGATGTATACAATGGTCTTGAGCTAAACAGAAAAAAATAATTCAGTCAATAATGAAAAATAGCCTAATCAACCAAACAGAAAAATAGAAAAAAAATGCTAAGTAAGCAAAACACAGAAAGAAAAATACTGTATAATCTCACTTATATGTGGAATCTTAAAAAGTTGTTCTCATAGAAACAGAGAGTAGAAAGTAGTTACCAAAGGCTGGAGGGAGGGGGAGAGATAGGGAAAGGGGAGATTTTGATTAAAGGGCACAAAATTTCAATTAGACTGGAAGAATAAGTTTTAGTAACCAATTGTACTGCATGGTGGCCACAGTTAATAATAATTTATTATATATTTCAAAATTGCTAAAATAATAGATTTTTAATGTTCTTACCAAAAAAATAAGTTTGTGAAGTGATGGATATGTTAAGTAGTTTGATTGAATCTTTCTATAATGTATACATACATCAAAACATCACACTGTACCCCAAAAATATATATACAATTATTATTTGTCAATTATATTCTGAGACTTCTGAGAACAGACATTAAGAGGACCGGCAGCTTCTGCTTTCTCTTCTTGGCACTCTTAGCTACCCTGTAGGAGTACCACAGCACCCTGTTGAGAAAGCCACATGAGGAACACTGAGGTGCCAGACACATGTGTGAAGAAGCCACCTTGGACGTCCAGCCACAGCCACCATCTGACTGCAACTGCCTAAGGGACTCCAGGTGAAACCAGCAGAGGAGCCACCCAGCTGAGCCCAGCCAACCCACAGAATCATAGGAAATAATAAAATACTTGTTTTAAGCCAGCAAGTTTTGGGGTAATTTGTTATGCAGCAATAAATAACCAAAACACAGACAACTACAGTAACTGAGTCATTCTACCTAGATGGAAAAAAAAATAAAACCTACTCTGTTCCTCGGGCCTTTCACTGATCCAGAACCAAAAAAAAAAAAACATAGCACAAAACTCCAAAATCTTCTATGAGCAATCCTTACATAAATTTCATTTTTTAAAAAGGAATTTTGTTCATTTGAACCACCACAAATGATGGCATTTACAATCAAAATTAAATTTATTTTGCAAAGTTGTCAGCACCTCTATCAGAATACTTGATCATGTTATTTCTTCCTAACATTGTTTCCTCTGACTTTTCCAACCCCAAATCTTTCCCTCTTTTCCCAGTATATTTCACCCTTTCTTCTCTTGGTATCAGGCTGTTTCTCCAGTTTGTATATGAGATTCTGCCAGAAATAGATTTGCTGTCATGCCCTCTGCTTGCCTTTACCCAGCTATGCTAGGGTCTCAAAAATGACAACTCAGAACACTGGGTTAAATACAATTTCTCTCTCTTCACCCATTTTCCACTATCTGCCTGTCCGGCCCTGGGGTTATTAATGGAAATGACATTCCTGTACAACTGACTGAGCAGGACCAGCAGCCAGATAACAAGGGTGCAGCTGACAGCAGCAGACACAACCCTAGAGACAGCACCAAAGCAGACACATTGTGGCTATTAGTTTCATCTTGGGCCAAAGAGAATGAGCAACACAAAATATACACAGAAAGCCTGAACATTCCTAATGGACTCTTTCCCCCATGAAATTAAAAGTCAATACATCAAAACTGATTATTTTTATTAAACCAAACTAAACGTATATTTTTAAGTGAATTCCTCATATAATTTGGATTTGGATTTGGATAACAAAAAAAAACAAAAGAAACAAGAGACAGGCATTAAATCACCACCACCCATCCCATGAATAAAAGTAATAAATATCCTCCATAATTCTTAAGAGGCATCTCTCTCCGCTTTGGGTCTCTAGAATTTTATACTGAGGCTATTGTGGCATTTCCCAACTGCTTTCAAAGTCCCACAGACAACCAGTCTCTTACATACCCTTAAAAACCAAACACTTTTACAGTACATGTTTAAACTATCACTACCTGTTGATATTGTTAGAATTTTTAAGTATTTACTATTCCAAGTTTCGTCTTTTATTTTTTTAATTAATTAATTAATTAATTTTATTTTATTTATTTATTTTTTGGAGACAGAGTCTCACTCTCTTGCCCAGGCTGGAGTGCAGTGGCACAATCTTGGCTCACTGCAACCTCTGCCTCCTGGGTTCAAGCGATTCTCCTGCCTCAGCCTCCCAAATAGCTGGGATTACAGGTGCGTGCCAACACGTCCAGCTAATTTTTGTATTTTTAGTAGAGATGGGATTTCGCCACGTTGGCCAGGCTGGTCTCAAACTTCTGGCCTCAAGTGATCCGCCTGCCTCAGCCTCCTAAAGTGCTGAGATTACAGATGTGAGCCACCACACCCAGACTCATCTTTTAATATAGTCCCACTGTTCCACAAATTTGAAATTAGTTATATTCCTCAACACTAGCATTATTTGTTTTTAAAATGTATGACATGGTTATATATTTGTATTCTTGATGATCAACACTGAAAATGCAACACTGCAGAGGTTTTCAAAAACCATGGAGTACATATTACGTGTGTTTCTATTGATATAAGCTACTGCCCCTTACAAAAGATAATTTACATCAGTCTCTAACAGATATTTCTGCAAATTTGCTCATTAATAAAATGCTGTATTTCAAGTTAGTAAGGTGCTACCCTTTCCCCATCAGAAAAAAATCAATATACTGTTCATTGGTGGGAGAACTAATTTAGGCACTGATTTACAAATTGTTCAAAACAGCTTATGATTAAATAGAGGTTAAACATTAAAGAGAATATCTTGTGCCAGGAGGCAAAGATGCTTTCAAAAACAACTAGGGTCATGTCAAAATTCACTAAAGGAAGAGCCCCACATTGGCCAAGATGGGACAATCTGAGCTTCAGTGAATGATGATCATAACAAATTTAAACACATCAAATACATAAGATTCCCTAAGTTGGTGATACTAAAAAGAAAACTATTTTGGCACCTCTGGAAGTGCTTAGGGCACCAACTTGTGAAAATTAATCAAGAGAAAGATAGCCATTTATGCTGTCTTTCCTGTATAAACTATATGTCAGAGTAATCAAGTGGTTGATGAGGGAAAATCCTTTTTTATAAAAACAGCCTAGCTAATAAATGCAAAAAGAATGATAGAATTTGAAAATCAAACATTGCAACACCGAATGGAATCACGAATCAATGAAATATTATCAATGGCCACTGAAACAATTAAGTCAGTGGTTTCAAGCCTGGCTGCACATTTGTATCTCCTGGGTAACTTTTTTTTTTTTTTTTTGAGACAGAGTCTTGCTCTATCACCCAGGCTGGAGTGCAGTGGCATGATCTTGGCTCACTGCAACCTCCACCTCCTGGATTCGAGCAATTCTCCTGTCTTAGCCTCCCAAGTAGCTGGGATTACACGTGCATGACACCATGCCTGGCTAATTTTTGTACTTTTAGTAAAGATGGGGTTTCACCATGTCGGCCAGGCTGGTCTGGTCTCAAACTCCTGACCTCAAGTGATCTACCCACCTCGGCCTCCCAAAGTGATGCGTTTACAGGCGTAAGCCTCTGCGCCGGGCCCCTCCTGGGTAACTTTAGAAAATGCCTGTGTCCCACTCCCAGAGAGTCTGATCTTCATATGGGGTGTGGCCTGAGCCTCAGGATTTTTAAAAAGCTTCCCAGGTGATTCTAATGTACAGCCAAGAAACAGGACTGCTGCATGAGGAATGGTAAGAAAGTTCAAATGAAAGGATCAGGCTGACAACACCTGAACACACGGATCGCCCTTCGCTTTGCAAGTGGGACAACGTGGCATTGTGAGCCTCTTGATAGATGCAACAGGAAGCTCACAGCACTGCCTATGAAGTCTTCTTATCCAAAGAAAATTGAACCTGAATCTAATCAAACCTCTAGATAGAACCAATTACAGAAAATGTAAGAGACAGAACAACATGTTAAAAGACAACATTAAGAAATAACTAGCAAAACAAGATTGTTAAAAATTCTACCAGACAAATGACTCAATTTATTTCATAAATAAATTTCATGGATGGAGAGGCGGTACTCTTAAAATTTAAAAAGCTTTAAAAGATGTACCTATTGACTGCAATATGCAGACCTCATCTGGATACTGATTCAAATCAACCATTTTTTTTTTTTCAAAAAAAAGAAAGCAAACAATTTTGAGATAATTATAGGAAACTGCACACAGACAGGATACTAATAAGGAATTAATGTTAATATTGTCAAGTATGTTAATGGTATTATAGTTAGGTTTTTAAAATTCCTTATATGTTGGAGATACATAATGAAATATTTATAGTAAAATGGTGTCAGAGATGGAATCATAGTAAAATGATTTCATAGATGGAATTAGCTTTAAAATTCTCAAGCATAAAAACAAGTAGGGGAGTAGATGAAATCAGCATGATAAAATATTACTAACTGTTGAGTCTGGGTGATAAGTATACGGAGATTAGTTATGTACATTTTTGCGTACATTTTTAAATTTCCATAAAAATATTTTTAAATATTAGAGGCAAAGTTTAATAAAATTCTATTTTGTACCTCTGCCCCAAAGAAAACAATGTAATTATGTAACTGGCATCACTTTTTCATTCCCAATTTTAAGACACTATAATGGAGCATGTTATTTAGTGAGGGAGGCAGTTAGAGGAAACTTGGGAAAAAAAAATGAACATGTCATCTTACTAATACTGAGCACTTACTCTGTGCTAGCCACTGCACATATATTAATTGTTCCACTCAGTAAAAATAGGGACAAAAGTATTTGTCCCCATTTCATGAGTGAGGAAACTGAGACCCCCAAAACTGCCCATCTTGCCTGAGGTCCCATAGCTAGTGTTTGGTAAAGCCATGGTTCTTACTAAGTTCTGCCCAGTGGTCAAAGAATGGAGTGTCAGATCCACATTAGGTTCTGAAAATACAAAAATAAAGTAGTCAGACATACTTCTTTCCCTACAGGAGTTGCTTCAATTCAGTAATATATAGCTGGGGGATAGTATTTCAGCTATGAATAAACACTACGATGCTATTGCAAAAAGTTCAGAGAAGACAGGAAAGATCTCACTATCAGAAATGCTACAGGGGTTTATTTTGCTATTCCTTTTCCAAGACTATCAATGGGGACGCCAATTAAACAGAATGAGAAGATACATGCTACAAAGTGGATGAGTCTCGAAAACATAAGGCTAAGTGAAAGAAGCCAGTCACAAAAATCGCATTGGTGCGTGATCTCATTCACAGGAAATATCCAAAATACATGAATCCATAGAAACAAAAAGCAGATTGGTAGTTGTCAGGAGCTGGGGGAGTGGGGAATGGAGAGTGACTGCTTAATGGGTACAAAGTGTCCTTTGGGAGTTACAAAAATGTTTTGGAACTGGATAGAGGTGGTGATCACACAACACTGTGAATGTTCTAAGTGCCACTGAATTGCTCACTTCATTTCTTTTCTTTTATTGATGCATAATATTTGTACATATTTATGGGTACATGTGAGTAGTTTTTACCTGCATAGAATGTGTAATGATCAAGTCAGGGTATTTGGAGTGCCCATCACTGTGAATATTCATTATTTCTATGTGTTGGTAACATTTCAAGTCCTTTCTTCTAGCCGCTTTGGAATATACAATATACTGTTGCTAACTGTAGTCACTATAATCTGCTATTGAGCATGAGAGCTTATTTCTTCTATCTAATTGAGAATTGTTCACTTTAAAATGGTTAGTTTTATGTTAGGTGAATTTTACCTCAATTAAAAAAAATGTTTAAGGATGAGAAGCTAAGGGAGGGGAATAACTAAAACAGAAATGGTATAAATTTGAGAGCTGGCAGAAAGAAGCAACACGATTTGTGCTTACAAGTTGGCTAAGAGGAAAGACTGAGATTTCTGATTTGGTTGCCTGAACAGCTGGCTGTTTTCACAGAATGATATAATCTGCACTTAGGTAACATGGAACTTCAGAAAAATGAGAACCCAGTGAAGCTTTGTTCATTTCCTCAGGTTTCCACATTTTAAACAGAACAATACATTGGTAAATTAAAGAATGCCCTAAATACAGTATAACTGGATGATATCAACGCATTGCTAAATATCTCAAGGTCTCCTTGCAGGCAAAAGGGAGAATTTAAATCATAGTTCCATGGAGTTTGTCCAAAGTAGAACAACTAGACCAAAAATCTATTAGTTAGTGAATTGACTGGCACCTAACAAAAGACTCACCACTTAGAAGTTTCTCCCTGAATATTTTTGTTCAATAGATAAATCTGGAAGGGCATTGCCAAAGGATGAACAAATTGGCTGATTCCAATTCCCTTTTTTTGAGCATGTCCATTCATAATAACCCCAAAATAATAAAACTAAAAAACAAACTTATCAAGTTATGAACGACATAGAAACAGTAGTTGATATACTGAAGGAAAGAGTTGACCTTTTCAAAGGTTGTCTGAGATGCCATTCTAAGGAATTAGTCCTACATTTAGGGAGAAGGCATTATGCAAAAGATGTGTATCATAGTAATAACTATAACAGCACAACCTAAACATGCAACTATAGAGAAATGTTTAAGTAGTACCTCCTGTGCCACCACTAGAAGAATATGTCATAGTAGTGAATATTCTTTTTGTGTGTGTGAGAGATAGAATCTCACTCTGTCGCCCAGGCTGGAGTGCAGCGGCGTAATCTTGGCTCACTGCAACCTCCGCCTTCCGGGTTCAAGCGATTCTCCTGCTTCAGCCTCCCAAGTAGCTGGGATTACAGGCGCCTGCCACCACACCCGGCTAATTTTTTGTATTTTTAGTAGAGACAGGGTTTCACCATGTTGGCCAGGCTGGTCTCAAACTCCTGACCTCTAGCGATCCACCCGCCTCGGCCTCCCAAAGTGCTGGGATTACAAGTGTGGGCCACTGTGCCCAGCCAACAGTGAATATTCTTGCATAAAGAATATGCAATAATACAAGAAATGCTTATAATAAATGTTAAGAGAAAAAAGAACTCAAATTTTTATAAACATCATTGTTCAAGAATGCCTTTCAAAGCCTATGTATGGGAAAAAAGTCAAAGTGATACATCAAAATGTTAGCAGCAGTTATGTTTAGATGATGGAACTAGAACTTTTTTTTGTCTTTCTACTGTTGTGCTTTATTTTCCAGATTTTTTAAATGAGCATAGATTTTTAAAACAATAATAAACATGTAGGAGGTCCAGAAATATACTTTTTGAAAGCCAGAGCCATGAACCAAAACAACTAAATGGATTTTAATAAGAATAAATGTGAAGTTCTGGGATGAGGGTTTTTTTTTTTGTTTGTTTTTTAATGCCAAGTTTAGGACTGGAGCAACAGGGCTTAACAACAGTTCCTGTGAGCGGGGAAAAAAAGACCTAGAAATTAACTGACTAGAAATTCGTTATGAGCCAACAGTGAATGGCTGAGGGGAAAAGATAGCCATAATGTAAACTTTGGATTTCTTAATATAATTTGTATGCAAGACAAAGGCAGTAATAATATTCCCATTGTGCTGTGTGAGTTACACTATACCTAGAATATTGTGCACAGCCTTGAACTTAAGCTTCTAAAAAAGATATTGAAAACTGGAGAGCAGCCAGCAGGATGAGGCATCAGAACCACACCTTAGAGCAATGGTTCTCATACTTGGGCTGCATCAGAATCACCAGCAGGACTGATTAAAGTACAGATGCCTAGGGCCTCTCCCAGAGTTGCTGATTCTATAGATGTGGGATAGAGCCAAGAATCTGCATTTTTAGCTAGTCCTGAGTGATGGCGATGCTTCTGGACTGGGGACCACACTTTGAGACCCACTGGCATTGCGGATAAAAGCACAGACTGTGAAACCAGACCTCTAGGGAGGGAATCCCAGCTCTTCTACCTACTAGCTGTGTGACCTTGGGTAAGTGTGCTCACACTCTCTGTGCTTCAGTTTCCTCATCTGTATTAAAAAAAAAAAAAAAGTACCTACCTCATACGGATATTATGGCATTGAGAGAGCTAATATTTGTGAAGCATTTAGAACATCCAGTCTGACTGTAATGTTGGTTAATTTAATGTGAGAAACACTAAAGGTGTTTTATTTGAAATAGAAAAAACAGCCAGGCACGGTGGCTCATGCCTGTAATCCCAGCACTTTGGGAGGCTGAGGCAGGCGGATCACTTGAGGTCAGGAACTCAAGACCAGCCCGGCCAACATAGCAAAACCCCATCTCTACTAAAAATACAAAAATTAGCCGGGCATGGTGGCGCATGCCTGTGGTCCCAGCTACTCGGGAGGCTGAGACAGGAGAATCACTTGAACCCGGGAGGCAGGGGTTGCAGTGAGCCAAGATTGCACCACTGCACTCTAGTCTGGGCCACAGAGCAAGACTCTGTCTCGAAAAAAATAAATAAATAAAATAAAATAAAGAAAAAAGAAAAACATTTAAACATCTTCAAACGTTGGAAGGGCTTTTATGTGGAAGACTTAACCTGGGTAGTTCCTGGGGACAGATGTGGAGTCAAGGAGCAGAAATGACCAAGAAAGAGCCTTTGGATCTCTCTCAAGCAGGGCTCTTTAGCAGAGACAGCAACAGTAGAGTAGGTGGCCTGGCTGGGTTCTGGGTGTCCTAGTACTCACTCAGGGGACCCACCTGCGAGAAATGGTGAAAAGGGGACTCCAGTAAGAGGTAAGACAATCACTTAATGAACATTATACCCTTCTATTAACACAGGCTTGGCATAAGGACATTTTCACTTGTAATCACCTAGAGCTCTCAAAGCACAGGCCCCAGACCAGCAGCATCAGAATTGCCTGAGAACTTGTCAGAAATGCAAATATCCAGGCTCCACCTTAGCACTACTGAATCAGAAATTCTAGGGGTGGGGCTGGCAATTGGTGTTTTAACAAGCCCTTCAGATGGCACTGATGCATGCTCAAGTGTGAGAATGAATGACCTAAAGCATCCCCCTAAATGACATTTACATGAGGCTCTAGAGCATGGAAAATCACTCCGGTAAGATATCACATGTACTATGCCTTTAATAAATATATGTTGGCTGGGTGTGGCAGTGGCTCACACTGTAATCCCAGCATTTTGGGAGGCTGTAGCTGGCGGATCGGTTGAGGCCAAGAGTTTGAGACCAGCCTGGGCAACACAGTGAGATCCCATCTCTACCAAAAAAAAAAAAAAAAATTAAGAAAACCACTTAGCTGGATGTGGGGGCACACACCTATAGTTCCAGGTACTCAGAAGGCTAAGGTGGGTGGGGGCACACACCTATAGTTCCAGATACTCAGGAGGCTAAGGTGGGTGGATCGCTTGAGCCCAGGAGTTTCAGGCTGCAGTGAGCTATGATTGTAACACTGCACTCCAGCCTGGGCAACAGAGCGAGACTTTAACTCGAAAAAATAAATAGATATATGCATCAAACTCCCACTTATACCAGATATTTACTTTTGTGTTTAAAATATATATCACAACGACAATACTGAATTTGTTCAAAACCACAAAATCCAAAATCCAGAGAAAAGAAATGCATCCCCTCCAACACCCTCTCAGCAGGGGCTGCTCACAAATATCCCTCCTCTCACCGTCTGGTCCAGCCAAAGCCTCCCCTCCCAGAGGCACAGCAGTTTGGACCAAACGGCTGACAACTTGGGGAGCCTTTCTCATGCTCCAGGCATTCTTATAAGTACTTTAGGCACAGTGGCTCTTTTAATCCTCATAACAAATCTTCTGAGACAGGGACCAATCTCCCCAGTTTATGGATGTGAAAACTGAGGGTGGAAGAAGTTAAGTAATTTCCAAAGGGTCATACAGTCAATAAGGTGTAGAAGTTGGCTTGGAAACTAGGCAGTCTCTCACCTGTCTATACTCCTGACCTCTATACCATACTTCCTGTTGAGGCCAGTGAGAGGAAAGAGATACAAGTATGAAGGCCGCCATCTTGGCCTGCATGTGTGTGAGAGAGACATAGAGCCAAAGAGAAGGGACAAGCTCGGGAAGGTGGCACATGGGAGGGAGCCACAGCCCGCGGTTTCCATGCTGGTCTACCAGTCACTGTCCCTGGTGAGCCCTGGAGTGGATGCCAGACGCAGGGTGACTGCATTCTTGAGCGGTTATGCAAATGTGCTAGAATCTGTAACTGGAAAGGGCAGGAGACAGTTTGATGAAAGCCCTTCTGTTTCTTTTCTCCTACGAAACAATTTAAAATGCACAGTGAGGTGAAGCAGGAGTGAAGGTATCAAGGGGAAGTGACAGCCAGATGCAGAGTTGGGATTAGTAAGGAAGGAAGAGGAAGACTTGCCACAAGGCTGCAAGACAGGGTGTGGGAACACCACAGAGGAAGAGAGAAAGGGGCAGAGTAGGCACTTCCCAAGTAAGGCACCCTCACATGTCATGTTTGAGCTCCCCTAGACTCCCAGGACCCCTTTCGTCTCCATCACGTTACCTAACACTTCTCCTGGTCTGCCCTGCATCCATGGCCTCCTGTTCTCTCCTAGGAGCCTGAAGGCCCCCGCAGAAAAGGGACTGTGGCTGCTCATCTCTGAGTCCGAATCCCGGCTCAGCACCTGGCATGCTGTTGGTGTGCTAGAAATGTTTGTGGCATTGAGTCTGCTGAAGCAGTGCTAGCAACCAGACTCGGTGAAATGTGCTGTTGCCTTACAGGCAAGGAAGCACTGGGAAAGCGTATACCCCCAGGGGCTGTGTCCTAGTTGGGAATCCCCCAGAAACAGACTCTAAGACAAGGATTCAAGTGCGAGCAGTTCATTTGGGCAGCAAAAGAAACACTGGTAGGAGAAAGAGGAAATATGTAGAGAAAGAAAGGCAGTCAGCAACGAGTATCTTAGCTAGTATAATAGCTCTAGCCCATTGGAAAAGCTCCCAGAGCCCATGTGGAACACGCACTAGAGGGATGAGGGAGCGGGGGCCACACACAGCAACTCCCATCAACTGTTGGGTGAGGACTTCTGAGGAAGGTGTGGTCATTCCCCGTCCTTTGGGCCCTCTTTATGAGTAGCAAAGCAGGCTGTAGCAGGGAGAGAATGCTCTTGGCCAAAATGCAGGAGGCTGCAGTTGGAAGTCAGGCAGGTGTGCTGTGAAGTGGTAAGGACAAGACAGGGGTTCCCAACCCTTTTCACGCAGCAGAATCACCAGGTAAAACACAAGGCACTGAGCCCTACTCCCAGAGCTCAGCAGGTGGGGATGTGAAAATTTGCATCTCTAATGAGTTCCCAGGGACCACTGCTGCTACTGGTCTGGAACCACACCTTGAGAACCACCAGGCTCCGGATATAAGCAGAGCCCTGACCGCATACCTGGGAGAAGTCCAGTACCTAGGCCTGGTAGAGCTTAGAGACAAAGCCAAAGAAGTGGGCTACACCTCTGTTTCGCCCTCTGCAAGAA